>NC_000002.12:159989618-161239618 GCF_000001405.40 Homo sapiens
AATAATAATTCCTTTTCTTCTCATGGGTTTTCATGAAGATCAAATGAAATAATGAACTGAAAAGCACTCTATAAAATATGAAGAGCTAAAAATACCCCTGCAATGTTGCTATTATGCTTATGGCCATTTTCATTACAAAAACTAGGGTTTTGTGGCATAAGTTCTGCCTGCATATTCAAAGAATTTTTCAAAAGTTTGAATCAGCAAGTTTGAAATGTAATATACTTTTTTGTTGGTCTTGCATTTTGTCTCACTTTCCCACACCAGACAATGATTAAATAGCTTTGGTTTTAGATGCTATAAGATATTCGACTCATCTTCATTAGTGAAGAAGGAGATGTTTGTGAACCACTATGAAGATGAAAAGTGCTGCAGAAGTGTTATTGGTATTCTAAAGTGGTTAACTTAATGGAACATTTGACCCAAATTTTAAGAGTCTCAGCCCCAAAGAAGCAGTAAAGTGGTATAATAAAGGGAGACCAGGCTAAGGGAGAGATAAACTAAATTTATAAGCCTATATCGTGGGGATGCTTGCAAAGCCAAATAATAAGGGTAAGGGTGTGGGAAAGAGCAGAGGCGAATTTTCTTTCAGAGAAGTTGTTCTTAAATTTGATAACTCACTTCCCACTGGAGAAGAAAAATGATTATTCTCAGAGGTGAATCTCACATTTTAACAGATTCTCCTTACCTGCCTTACCCCCACCCCACTCACTCTCTCCTGCAAACACGAATGGGGAGACTTTCTGTCAATTAAGAAATTCTGATTCACCAAGTTATCTATGCAAAATTAAGTGAGCTGGGAAAACCTCCACTGTCCACCTCCCTGTTCAAATACCTAAAAACAAACCCATTGACCAAAACTTTTTGTGCTGGCTTTTCAGTGCCTCTAGACAATTATTTCACTTGAGTCTGCCTGCTTATTTTCTGGTTCCCTGCAACAACCCTTTACATCCTCATCTCTCAAGTCCTCTACCCTCTCACCTTCCCTCTCTCTCTCCTTCTTCTCTCCTCTAACAGAGAAAAGTGAAGCTCTTTGGGTAGGCAAGGCAAGTTTCCTGCAATGCTGTGTATCTGCCAGGCACTGTGCTAGGCAATTTATATGGTCTTTTCCCTATTTAACTCCAGAAACTCTTCGAGACAGGCATTAGTGCCTGATTATGCAGTTGGAAAAATTAGGGCACAGAGGCTTAGTAACTTGCCAAAGGCCACAAACGTAGTGGGCTTGCTCCAGGATTTGAAACCAGATTTATTTGGGTCTACTGTGAGACAGGCACTGTGCTAGGCAATTTATATGGTCTTTTCCCTATTTAACTTCAGAAACTCTTTGAGACAGGCATTAGTGCCTGATTGTGCAGATGGAAAAATTAGGGCACAGAGGCTTAGTAACTTGCCAAAGGCCACAAACGTAGTAGGCTTGCTCCAGGATTTGAAACCAGATGTATTTGGGTCTGTGAGACAGTATCAAGGTACAGAGTGAGTGGGTGGGCATTCAATAAGCAGTTGAATAAATGAATGAATGAGTTCCCCTAAAATTATGCTCCTGTCCCATGGAGCTCTCTTGCATCCCTCTGATCCTGTTTCTCTCCTGTGTGTGGCCACAGCATTTCCTTGAAGATCTACTGTCACATTTTCACTTTGCATGACAGTTACTTATATGATTATGAGGAGATATGGAAATGTTCTAAGGGCTCTCAGAAATGAGACTGGGTTTATCCTTATTTATATGGTGGCTCATTTCAGAGCTCTGATGAGCCTTAAAATGGATTGGCCTCTCTAGTGTCTACTGATGGGACAGGCTGAAAGTGCAGGGCACTTTCTTTCTTTTTTTTTTTTTTTTAAGTTTTTCTTTCTTTTATTATTATACTTTAAGTTTTAGGGTACCTGTGCACATTGTACAGGTTAGTTACATATGTATACATGTGCCATGCTGGTGCGCTGCACCCACTAACTTGTCATCCAGCATTAGATATATCTCCCAATGCTATCCCTCCCCCCTCCCCCCACCCCACAACAGTCCCCAGAGTGTGATGTTCCCCTTCCTGTGTCCATGTGATCTCACTGTTCAATTCCCACCTATGAGTGAGAATATTCGGTGTTTGGTTTTTTGTTCTTGCGATAGTTTACTGAGAATGATGATTTCCAATTTCATCCATGTCCCTACAAAGGACATGAACTCATCATTTTTTATGGCTGCATAGTATTCCATGGTGTATATGTGCCACATTTTCTTAATCCAGTCTATCATCGTTGGACATTTGGGTTGGTTCCAAGTCTTTGCTATTGTGAATAATGCCACAATAAACATACGTGTGCATGTGTCTTTATAGCAGCATGATTTATAGTCCTTTGGGTATATACCCAGTAATGGGATGGCTGGGTCAAATGGTATTTCTAGTTCTAGATCCCTGAGGAATCGCCACACTGACTTCCACAATGGTTGAACTAGTTTACAGTCCCACCAACAGTGTAAAAGTGTTCCTATTTCTCCACATCCTCTCCAGCACCTGTTGTTTCCTGACTTTTTAATGATTGCCATTCTAACTGGTGTGAGATGGGTATCTCATTGTGGTTTTGATTTGCATTTCTCTGATGGCCAGTGATGATGAGCATTTTTTCATGTGTTTTTTGGCTGCATAAATGTCTTCTTTTGAGAAGTGTCTGTTCATGTCCTTCACCCACTAAGCAACTTCAGCAAAGTCTCAGGATACAAAATCAATGTACAAAAATCACAAGCATTCTTATACACCAACAACAGACAAACAGAGAGCCAAATCATGAGTGAACTCCCATTCACAATTGCTTCAAAGAGAATAAAATACCTAGGAATCCAACTTACAAGGGATGTGAAGGACCTCTTCAAGGAGAACTACAAACCACTGCTCAAGGAAATAAAAGAGGATACAAACAAATGGAAGAACATTCCATGCTCATGGGTAGGAAGAATCAATATCGTGAAAATGGCCATACTGCCCAAGGTAATTTACAGATTCAATGCCATCCCCATCAAGCTACCAATGCCTTTCTTCACAGAATTGGAAAAAACTACTTTGAAGTTCATATGGAACCAAAAAAGAGCCCGCATCGCCAAGTCAATCCTAAGCCAAAAGAACAAAGCTGGAGGCATCACACTACCTGACTTCAAACTATACTACAGGGCACTTTCAAGAAAATAAACCTGACTTACTCTACTGGGATCTTATTTTCTTTGTCACTTGCAGATTTCCATGGGTTTGGAACAATTGGGTTGAACATGCCCCGGAGTCATCCCATATGAATGAAACACGCCAGGGGTATCTAGGTCTAGAAACAAAACATTTTTCACAGAGCCTGAGTTATGGAGGGCTGCAAAGGAGTGATTGAAAGTGTTTATTTTTCTCAATACAGACACCTATGAGCCTCTAATATAACTTGGAAAAGTGTTTTCGAATGTCTTAACAAGTATAGACTCATCTATTCTCTTTCACCATAGAGCAACCTCCACTTATATTGAATCTTTAATCTAGGGGTACAAAGTACATTTTAGTTTCTAAGCATTAGCTTCTCCTTGAATGAGAAGCTAATTTATCATCTTTCCATTTAATCAGTGGCAATAATTAGTATGGATGAAAACCATTTTTCCTGTTTCACCTGAATATTTCATTTCTCTTGAAATACCAAGTGTCAGAGAGTCCCTTTGTTGTTGCTTTTTACTAAAAATAACAGGATTTTCTGGTGTTTTGAGAATGGGAAATTTGGCATGAAAGAAAGGAAATCCAGTTAAAATATAGGTTAATTAACCTTGTAGTCCTGAATTCAAATTGTAAATATGAATTTGAACTCAAAAAGTGTTTAATTTACACACACACACACACACACACACTTCCTAGATCTGTCCATTGAAATGGCCTAGAAACAATAACAAACCACAAACGACGAGCACCCTTAAGCCCAGACTGTGATGCTGAAATAATATCATTTCCCATCAGAAGAAACCAGGGTTCCTTGATGCAATGGATGCTTCTAGGTCTGCAGCAGAAATTTATATCTTGTCATACCAGATAGCAAGGACACTATCAAAGACTACTAGGATCACATCAGAAGGATTCAGAAGATATTCCTTGAAGAGATTCCCATCACAAGGATGGGGCAATTTGAGCATTAAAAAGGATAATTGCAATGGACTAAAACATATCAAATATGTTTAAAACCCTTACTCCATAGTAATGCTAAAAAAAGAAAAACACCACTAATGGGTCACAGATGAAGGATGCTAATGCAAAAATAATCATTTTGAAAGCTAGTAAAGGGAAAGAACTAAGCATTTGTTCTGTGTTTCCTATAAAAATTGTACCACGGGGTAACAAAAATTGATTAAAAGGAATTAGCTTTTTATAGGACTATCCCAGCTATAAGTGAAGAAACCCCTAATGAGTCAATGGATCTAAGAATTGACCATCAAAGGCTGCTAATGTCACAAAAAGAGAAAAAAAAATGGGACATTATGTGCCTCTAGACAGAGCACACAACTACCTAGGAAGTGATCTTTCAAAAAAAAAAATAAAATCTGAATTTGATCAATCCTTTCATTCTTTTTAAAAATAAAAATGCGTATTTTATGAAAAAGAAAATAGAGTAACACATTAAACAATGTGATGTGAATACAATCAACAAAGCCCAGACTGTAGGAAAATTTATAAGACAAAACACATTTGCATTAACAAATAAAGGCAGGGGTGGAAATTGGGGAGGGGCAGGAAACACAGAGATGAAAACAGACTTTAGGAGATCTATCAACCAATTACAATGTGTGAACCTTCTTTGGATCTTGATTCAAACTAACTGTAAAATACATTATGTAATATTTATGAGCCATTTAGAAATTTGAGCATTAACTGAAGATTTATAATGATAGGCAATTATAGTTAATTACTTTAAGGGGTGATAATTGTATTATTATGTCTTTTAAAAAGGAGTCTTTATTTTTTGGAAATAATGCTGAAATGTTTATGGATGAAACAATATGATGTTGAGGATTTGTTATGAAAAAATATGGGAAAGGGGTGAGGATACAGATGAAAGAAGATTGGTCATGAAATGATAATTGCTGATGCTTGGTGATGTACCACAGTGGTTCTACTACTGGTAGATACCATCTGGTGGTAATACTATTTGATAAACTTAATACTAAGTTGAAAAAAAAATGGCGGAAAGGTGATTCCCTTCTGATTTGCTTTTATGCTAGTGAAATGCGTGACAGGAATGATAGGAGGGATGAGAGGGACTTTGGGTGGTTCTGAGTGTTCATGTAGGTTCGTCAATTGTAGCAAATGTACGACTGTGGTGTGGGATGTGGGGTGGGTGAATATTTTGCTGGTATGACATGAAGACAGAGTCCTGGCTGAGTTTATAAAAAGCTGTAGGCTTCCTGTTCAGTGGTCAATTCATGTAGTTAGTCTTTGCTGGATTAAGATTCTGATGTGGGGACCAAGCTAATGGATTCTTTTGTGACAGGCAGGAAAGAAATGTGATTTAGGTAGTGTCTCTGCAAGCTGCAATTTAAAAGAAAAAGGGAAACACAGGAGCTTTTATATTGCTATTTTCTTCAAAAAGATTTACATTTTCATCTTATTCAGAGACAATTTACTCAGCGTCAATCAGCTTGAGCAGCCAAACTGAACATCATGGCATTATTTTTGCTTTAGGGAAAAGAGAAAAAGAGCAGTGTCACTCAAATAAATTACAGCAGAAACTTATGAATGACAAGGAACTCTGCTTCAATTCCAGATTTTCGACATCTAAATATGCCCCAAGAAACTTAATATTAAAAACCAAAGATTTTCTCTACTCAAAATGTATTAATTTATTTTGACAGTTATAGACATTCCTAACAAAATTCCAAAGTATATAGAAATGATACCTAAACTTTTATTTTTTTGCAGTATAGTGTGACATGGAAGTTTATTACTCTCTTTATTTTAATAATATTCATAGATTTGTAGAACAAGGTCGTTCTGTTGAGCAAATTGTGATGTTACTTGTTTGGAGCTATGGAAAGTCACCAGTTTCCATACAAATTTCCTAAGCTGATGTTTATATACAAAAAAATCTAATTTGTCTTCATTTCACTTTGCATGCATCTTTCAAAAGTATAATTTTAAAATTTAGTAACAGAGAGTTTTAGGTTGACAGCAAAATTGAGCGCAAAATACAGAGAGTTCCCCTCTAACACCACTGCCCTCCAATCTCCTTCACTATAGACATCCTACACCACAGTGGTACATTTATTACCACTGATGAACCTACAAGGACACATCACAGTCACCCAAAGTCCCTCTTATCCCTTGCATCATCCCTGTCACTCATTTCACTTGTATAAAAGCAAATCTATCATCTATCTGTCATCTATCTATCTATCTCACCTATGTCTGAATATATTGCTGCTATTATTTTAAACATACTGTTATTTGTTGGATCAATTAAGACTAAGAAAAATAGAAGTTTTTATTTTACCTTCATTTATTCTCTGATGCTCCTTCTTTCTTTATATAGATCTGAGCTTCTATATCATTTTCCTTCTCTCTGAAGAACTTCTTTGAATATTTCGTGCAAGGTAGGTCTACTAGCAACAAATTTCCTGAATTTTTGTTTGATAAAAATCAGATAAAATCTGATAAAAATTCTCCTTCATTTTTAAAGGATACTTTCACAGAGTATAGAATCCTAGGTTGGAGGGCTTTTTTCTCTTAACACTTTAAATATTTCATGCTACTTTCTTCTTGCTTGGATGACTTCTGAAGAGCAGTCAGATATAATTCTAATCTTTGCTCCTCTAAAGATAAGGTGTTTTTCCCCTCTGGCTTCTTTCAAGATTTTGTCTTTATCTTTTATTTTCTGAAGTTCGGATACAATATGTCTACGTGTAGTTTTTCGTGCGTTCATCTTGGTTGGTGTTCTCAGAGTTTCCTGGATCTGTGGTTTGGTGTCTGATATTAACTTGGGGGAAATTCTCAGTTATTATTGCTTCAAATATTGCTTCTTTTCTTTTATTTCTTTCTTTTCCTTCTGATATTCCCATTACACAGTTTGAAGTTGTCCCACAGTTCTTGAATATTCTGTTCTGTTTCAGTCTTTTTCCTCTTTGTTTTTCAGTTTTGGAAGTTTGTATCATCATATACTCAAGCTCAGAGATTCTTTTCTCATCTGTGCCCAGTCTACTATAAGGTCAGCAAAAGCATTCTTCATTTCTGTTATGGTGTTTTTGATCTGTAGCATTTCTTTTTGTTTTTTTTCTTAGACTCTCCACCTCTTTGCTTACAGGATCCAGCTGTTCTTGCATGTTGTCTACTTTTTCCATTAAAGCCCTTAGCATATTAATCATAGTTTAAAAGAATTGCTTGTCTGGTAATTTCAACATTCCTGTCATAGCTGACTGGCTCTGATGCTTGTTCTGTCTCTTCAAACTGTGTTTCTTGCCTTTTAGCATGTCTTGTAATATTTTTGTTGAAAAGTGGATGTAATATATTGGGTAAAAGAAACTGCAGTAAACAGGCCTTTGTGATGGAATGGTAAGGTGTGAGAGGAGGGGAAGCGTTCTACAATTTTACCATTAGGTCTCAGCCTTTTGGTGAGCCTGTGTTCCTGGACTGCACCCTTGACCAGTGAATGCTTCTCAGTTATTTTTCCCTGCTTGGTGGGACAGGATGGCTAGAGAGCTGGAGCGGGGTATTTCCTTTCCATCACGTGAAAGGATAGAGCTGGCTGGAGTTGCAGATTTCCCTTCCTCCAGATAAGTTAGGCTCTGATAAAACTCCAGTAGCAGTCTCTGGTAAAATAGCCTTTCCTGAGGTGGGGCCTTGTTAAGAACAGAATGCTTTGCTATATTTCAAAATGGTTATTTTTCCTCTCCCTCTGCTGGAAGCATTAGGCAATTTTTCTCTGATATTTCACTGTGATAACCTGATAGATCACCTGGAGCTAGAACTCACAAAAGTGTGGGGGTCCCTTATGACTGAGTCCCCTACAGTTTTTAACCCTTAGAGTTGTCTGTGTTGAGCCTCCAGCAGTTTTATCAATGACAGTTCAGATGTTCCTCTCCCAGCACTGGTTCCTCTGGAGATTTCTGCTCATGGGTTTCTGATCCAGGAAGCTGTGATTCTCTGTATCTTTTTATTTCTCCAGTTTGGGGCAGCAGTGGTTTGCCTTGCGATGGATCTAAGAAGAGTTGTTGATTTTTCAGTTTGTTCAGCTCTTTACTCATTAGGATGGTGTAACTTCTAAACTTCTTATATGCTCGTCTGGGAACTGGAAGTCTTCAAAAGTACAGGGTTTTAAACCATGTATTTAACAGAGAGAATGTAAACTGACTTTCTTTGATCTCTCTCTTTTTTCTTTTTCTAATATCAGGAGGTCTAAAGGAATTTTTTTTAAAAACATTTAACACTAGCTCCTAAGTGTTGGGGAAATGTATGTGTATAGGCCACAATCATACCTTCCTTTAAAACTCTGTGGTTTCCCAGGGTGCTCACATTGGTGGCTGGTCCAGCACAGAATAGGTCCTGCATCTTAGAATGTATGGGTGAGGAACCCTAATAGGTTAGCAATGTCACTATCTGTAGCTTTAGGTAAAATCCTGCAAATTATTTCTCTGCAATAAGAAAGTCTAATATTTATTAAGTATTTACAATGCAGTAGCAACTATGTAATATTTCTTTTAATCCTCACAACAATCCTGTGAGGTAGATACAATTACTGTCCTTATTTTAAAGAAGAGAAAACTGAGATATGAAGAGATTAAATAACTTCCCTGAGATCATAGAGCTGGAATTTGAACTTTAGTTCAACTCAGTAGTGGGTAGGTACTCTTTATGCATATGTTATCCTGCAGTGCAGTCTCTTATATCTGTTTGTATCACCCTACATAATAACCTCAATGAAGAACACTTCCGATCCTAATATTTTTCGATCCAAAACCTCTAGTGACTTCCTATACCTAGAGAAGAAGTGAAAACTCTTTAGCTTGTAATATTAAGCTGTAGTTTCAATGTCCTACTCTGGCCTTATCTTTTACAACTCTTTTGCATGTATCTTAATCTCTAATTACACAGTGCTCCTAAAATTTCTCAAAGTTGCCCCATATATTTCCTCCTGCTGAGAAAATTCTTTTTACTTCTTTAACCACTAAATCCTACTATATTTCAGACATTTTCAATCCCAGGTGAAAGGCCACTTCCTCTTGAACTTTTATGATAACTTCAATGGGAATTAATCCTCCCTTCATTTAACTGTTAGAGTTCTTTATTTTATACTTCTTACAACACTCACCACACATTTTCCTGTTGCCATGGTTTGAATGTAATATATCCCTCCAAAACGCATATGTGATAGTATTAAGAGGCAGGGCCTTCTGGGAAGTAATAAAGTCATGAGTGCTCCATCCTCATGAATGGGATTGGTGCTTTTATAAAAGAGGCTGAGGGAGTGTCCTAGTCTTGTTTTGCTCTTTTGCCTTTCCACCATGTGAGGGCGCTGCAAGAAGGCCTTCAGCAGACACTGAATCTGCTAGCACCTTAATCTTGGACTTCCCAGCCTCTAGAACTGTGAGAAATAAATTTCTGTTATTTATAAATTACCCAATATGTGATATTTTGTTATAGTAACAGGAATGACTAAGAATCTATATATGAGTTATTTATTGTATTTGCTGTCACCACTCCCAGATTATAGCAACATGAAGGCATGCACATTACGTAATTTTTTTTTTTTTTTTTTTTTTTTTTTTTTTTTTTGAGACGGAGTCTCGCTCTGTCGCCCAGGCTGGAGTGCAGTGGCGGGATCTCGGCTCACTGCAAGCTCCGCCTCCCGGGTTCACGCCATTCTCCTGCCTCAGCCTCCCAAGTAGCTGGGACTACAGGCGCCCGCCACTACGCCCGGCTAATTTTTTGTATTTTTAGTAGAGACGGGGTTTCACCGTTCTAGCCGGGATGGTCTCGATCTCCTGACCTCGTGATCCGCCCGCCTCGGCCTCCCAAAGTGCTGGGATTACAGGCGTGAGCCACCACGCCCGGCCTACGTAATTTTTAAATGTCCCTTGTCATACAAATGCCTTGTAAAAGTTCATTAAATGAATGGCTTTAATTATGCAATAGGGTTATAGAAAGAAAAAATTTTTAAAAACACAGAGAGAGACATCTCAAAGATTGAGCAGTAGACTGAATACATGTGCTTATCTCTTCTCTATCCTAAAATCTCATGTGTTAAAATAAATGGTGCTATGAGAAATAACCAGCAGATTAGGTACCCTGAAAGATTCTTTTGGTCAAACTAGTTGAAATGCTGGATAAAACATTTTGAAAACATCTTTATAAATGTATGGCTGAGCTGGCACAAAATAAACAAATCTATAGAGCTTGCAAATGAAGTAAAAGTATGAACCATGGTAGCCAAACTACCTTCCTAGTGGGATTTACCCTAAAGGTTTCTTTCCAATTCTGGAGACCTTGAGCATCTGCTTTGATAGTTGCATGGAGATTTTAAGGGAAAGGAGATGAAGCCTAAGAGATATACAAAATGAAAAGTCTAACAGAAGAAACCTGCATAAAATAGAATCCCAAATGGCCACTTTTGGTAAGCGTACATGAGAATATATTCACTCAGCTGTTTGTAAGGAAACTTGTCTCTGTCAATCTTGGGAGTGAATAATAAGAAAAGAAATAACTTTCTAAAGAATTTATAACCACAACCCAAACTTCATGCAGGTTAGTCGTTAGTCATCGAATTCATGCTACCTATGTGTTCAAGAAAACCTCAGTCAGAGCTTTTAAAGCAGTCCTTAGTTGGTAGTGCCTCAAACTGAGTGGTGGAAACAAATGCTAATTTTCACTGGAGGAGCCCAACTTCACCCTGGGGGTGAGAGAACTCCCATAAATAAAGTACAAAGAAAAATCAGTAGTTCTAGGCAAAACCCACAAAATGAAAGAGATGAGATCCAGAAACAGACCCATACAACTTCAGGTATGAGATTATTAGAAACCAAATACAAAATAACTCGGATACATTTAAGGAAATGAAAGAGAATCTTTAAAATATGAGTAGGAAACAAGTGACTACAAAGAACCACAAACCAAATTTAAAACAGAAATAGACTTTCTAGAAATGAAATAAATATAGTATCTAACACTGAAAACTAAAAAATAAAATTTAATTAGATCTGGCTGAAGAGAGAATCAATGAATTGAAATAATTCATGACTTTATTTAAAATGCATCCTTGAGAGACACAGAGGTAGAAAATATTTTAAAAATATTAACAAACATGGAGGAGAGGCTGAGTAATTGGAATGATAAAAGGAAATATTAGAATGAATGGGGAGAGGCAGTATTTGAAGAGATAATGCTTGAAAAATTTCCAGAGTTGTGTAAAACCAACCATCTTCAGGTTGCGGGAGTCTAATGAAAAGGATATGAAACTGAAGGTGTTCCAGATCACAGAAGGAATGGTACACTAGTATATGAATACATCTAAACAAATATTCATTGCAAAGATAACAACAACAAAATCATGGCTAACAGAAATGAAGCAGTTCAGAATTTTCAAAACTAGACAGCAACAGCAAATTATAATCCTTTTAAAGATGAATAACTTTGATATTGTTGATTTTGTTAAGAATGCATGTTGAATAGCTAGTGTAACAAATAAAAAAATAGATTTAGATAATACAATTTTCAGATAAGTAAAGGGGAAAGAATGAAATGAGAAAAGAAGAAAAAGATACATTCAAAAGATGGCAAGAAAGAAGAGAAAACATGACTAAAAAATGCAGGATAAATGGAAAGGACATAATAAAATGGAAGAAATAAATCCAATTCTATACATAATCACAAAAAATATAAGTAAACCAAACTATACAGTTAAGGACAAAGAATGTGTGAATAGAGTTTTAAAAATTTAGTTATATGCTGTTTATAAGTGATACATTAACTCTAAGAACACAAAAACATTCAAAGTTAGAAAAAAATTTAAAAAATGTACTAGGCCAATACTAATTTTTAAAAAGTTACTGTAGCTACATTCATGGACAAATTAACTCTAAGGAGAAAATAATTTTGAAAGAACAAGAGGATCACTTGGGATACTACTATACCGATTTTGACACCACAGGTGGGATATCACAATTCTAAACTTGTATGTTCCTAATAAAACAGCCTAAAAAGTATGTAATACAAAAATTCGACAGAACTACAGGGAGAAGTTTACACATCTACCATCATAGTGGGAGGTATCAAACACTCTCAATAATTGATTGATCACGTGGGCAAAAAATATTGAGGCTATAGATGATCTGAACAACACATTTAACATAATCTGTTGACATAGATGAAGCATTTCAGGTAGCAAAAGCAGAATATACAATCTTTTCAAGTACATATGGGATATATATATATAAAAAGAACACATGCAAGGCCATAATACCAACTTTGTATTTGAAAGGACAGGCACCAAACAAACCGTATTTCTTGACCACAGTGCAATTAAATAAGGTATTGACAACAAAAGGAACTAGAAACACCTGCATTTTGGGAAATTAAAAAAAATCTTCTAAATAATTTATGGGTTGAAATCATATTCATATTGGAAATTGGAATGTATTCTAAATTGAAAAATTATAAAACTCTACTAAATCTTGTGAAATACAACTCAAGCAGCACTTGGAAGGAAGTAGGAAGCCTCAGTAGTCTTATAAGCATTACAGAAATTGAATTAGTGGTTTTTAAATTTCCTATATAAAACATAAGGCAAATTCTAATAAATGTTTACTGTATATATAGTTCTGTAGAGAATAAAAGTGAACACTCTCCAATTCATTCTATGAAACTTAGCATAATCATGAAACCAAAGCTGTATACAAATGAAGAAATGTGGACTAGTTTTCCCTATGAAAAAAGGTTGCTAAAATCATAAACCTACCACTCAAAGGTTAGTTTGTGTACCTGCAACATAGGCAGCACCTAGGAGCTTTTTAAAAAATGCGGATTCTTGGACTTTACCCCAGATCTACTGAATCAGAATTTTAACTTCATCAAAATCTACAGGATATTCTTATGTACATTATAGTAGGTGAAGCTTTGTACTAGCAAACTAAACCCAGAGATGTATTAAAATACATATCACTAAGTTAAGTTTACCCAACAGTACAAAGCTGGTTTACTACTGTAAAGCAATTTGTCATATTAAGAGAGTAAAGGAGAAAACCTTAGGATTGTCTTAGTAGATTCAGAGTGTTGAGTAAAATTTAAAATCTGTTAATAATTTTAAAAAAGAGCTCCAAGAAAACTAAGAATAATAGAAATTATATTCTTGTATTACTGCTCTCTTTTCAGCTACATTGATTCTATTTTTTCTATTTCTTTTTCAATACCACACTGCTTGAATTATGTTAGTGCCATATTGGCAGGGAAACAGAAAATGAGAATGTAGGTTATGTTTATTATGGTATTTCGAATCAGTAGACGAAAGGGTGAACTTACTATATAGTGTTGAAATTGGTTACTATTTAGAAAAATTAAAATGAGCTATCTCCTAGAACATACTTTTAAAATCTCAGATCAATCAAAATTATACATTTAAAAAGCCAAACTATAAAAATATAAGGTTATATTTTTATAATCTTTGGTTGAGCAAAGCCTTTAGAAAATATAAAAATCTACAAAGCTAAAATGAAAAATATAAACTTTTTTACTACAAAAAGTTTAACATTTATGTGTGACAAAACATACCATAGAAAAATTAAAAGGCAAATAGCAAACATGTAGAGTTTATATTTAGAATATAATGAAATTTCCACTAAGTAATGAGAAAATAGAAAGTGTCCAAAATAAAAATAGAAAGTGATCAAATTATGTGACCATGTAGTTGAAAAACAAAACAAAATGTATAGAACAAATATGAAAAATTGCTCAAATAACTAAATGAAAAGGTAGACATTAAAAGAATAGTAAAACTTTTTTTATTCTATCAAATTGGCAAAAATGTAAAAGGTTGTTACATTCAGTATTGACAAAAATGTGGGAAAGCTGCCACTCTCAAATTTTGTTAGATGAACTTGTAAACTGATAATGCCTCAGTAAGATGTACACTTTTAGGCCAACATGCTCATAGTTATGCACAGCGACATCAACATAGAGATATTTGTTGTAACACTTTTGTAGCAGAAATGAAAATGAATTTCACCCAATGTCCTTCAACAGGGTCATGGCAAAGCAAATTATGAGTCCTACATACTATGAAATTCTATGTAGCTGTTTCAAATGTCGACTAATAAATATTGATGTGGAAAGTTCTCTAAGACAGATTGCTAAGTGAAAAAAATCAAATAACAGAAACATGCAATCCTTATATCCATTTAAAAAGTACATATGCATAAATGTATTTAAATGCAATGCATAGACAAACACCAGCAGGATCATACCAAACAGTTAACAGTGGTTGTTTCTGAAAAGGGAAATGTATTGATGTTGGGAAGGTGAAGAGAAAGATGTAACGGAGTACTTCCACATTTTACTTAGCACACTTCTCTATAATTAGAGCATCTACATAATTTACCATCCAAGCCAGAAAAATTTGGAGTAAAAATACCTGCTGTTAATTGCTCTGGGACACCAGACATAAATTAGAACTGTTCTGGGCAAATGAGGTATATGGTCACATTATCTATAGTAAGAATATATTCATGATTTCATCGTTGAATTTTAAAAATCGGTGGAGCTTTGCCAACCACTGTCTAGAGTTGGGATTAGCAAACCACCTTGGACTGGACTTTTGTAATTATGAGAAACAAGGCTTGTGTGGCCACTTTTATATTTTAGTGTGAGGCCACACTAAAGGGGAGATATACCTCCCCCTGTGGCTTAGCAAACACTTTCCTTACCTTGGTATATAGAGCTCTGAGGATGGAATAGACCAATTTGTATAAAGAGCTCCGGGCCTTCAGGGAGGGAAGAGCCTGGGGCCCCTAAGCCATTTCCTCTAGATACAAACTTAGTAACTCTTTGCTGTTGTCTCTGGCACAGCCCTGATGGAGATACAGGCAAGCAAGAACTCACCCTGAAGTAGAAGGGCTGTTGGGTCTAGGCTGTCAACCTCAGCTTAATACAAGGGCCTGAAGCTTGTTCCACAGAGACTGGTTCTAGTGTAGGCTGTGGCGGAAGACATCAGCTTCTCTGGTACTGACCAACCTGGCACAGTTTCATGCCTTGGGATTCAGAGCTGAACACCTGAGGATGAACTAGTAGAGCTGTTAACGCTGGAATCCTGGCTAAGGTACCCCAGGCAGTGACTGTGAACTGATTGGATGTACCCATATGTGCCCATCCACCGTACTTTGAAGTTTAACTGACCATTCTGAACTGAGTAAGCACTTGAGATTCTTAGACAGTGGGGGGTGCAGGTGGGGAGAAAGACATTAGGAGGGAGAAGCTGGACTTGCTGCTAATAAAGGCAGTGGTGGTCCTGAGCGATGAATTTATACCTTTAACATGTCAAATGACTCATACGGATTATACTTTTAAAAATGACCATTGGGCCAGGCAATTTGGCTCATGTCTATAATCCCAGCACTTTGGGAGGCCAAGGTGGGAGGATTGCTTGAGCCCAGGAGTTCAATATCAGTCTGTCTCTACAGAAAATACAAAAATTAGCTGGGTGTGGTGGCGCATGCCTGTGGTCCCAGCTACTGGGGAGGCTGAGGTGGGAGAATCACTTGAGCCCAGGAGGTCAAGGCTGCAGTGAACCGAGATTGCACCACTGCACTCCAGGCTGGGTGACAGAGCGAGACCTCGTCTCAAAACAAACAAACAAACAAACAAACAAACAAACAAATAAAATAAATAAAAACAAAGATCAGCCATATGTCACCCCCTGTTAACCTGTGTTGATCCTTGTAATTGATTTAGGCATTAAGAAAACATTAAGAAAGAATCAAAGGAGGTGGGCCAAGGGGTGGAAGGAATTTGGAGTAAAGAAAACAGGGAGGGTTGGTGATGCAGCACACTCTACTCACGCGGCTGGTGTGTGTTCCAGTGTGTGTACTGCACCGGCTCGGGTTTCTGCCCTACTGGCTTCCAAGTGTATTCTCCCGTATCATTTTGGTCCTGAAGAGCTATCCAAAAATAACTGTCCTTCATTTTTACCACACTACTGATCAAACTGGTAATAAAAGCCTGTTCAAACCTTAAAAGGGGAAAAAAGAAGTGGTTACATTAAGTTTCTGGGCAATAAAAAAATGTCATTAAAGCATAATGAAGTGCACAGAATGGCCCCAGAGTAAGCATTTCTCATCAATTCTTTAGAACATGGAACAGGAAAACACCCAAAGACCCTGAACATTACTAATAAATGCCGAATGTCAGTGCAATTCCCAGAACTATATGAGTGAGCAGAATCTGACTCTTGCATATGGGGCTTAATTCTTGCACAGAATAGAGAGTCCAGCTCCAGTTTCAAAGCATAGGTGGTAAAGTTCACATGGCCAGCAATGCATTTCTTGGAGTACGATGTGGCCTATTTTGTAATTAGGCCACACACCACACACACCATGCCACAATATGCACGGGGTAAAGGTGGGCAGGAGGGAGGAGGAAAGATATTATGCTTTTCTGAATGAGCATTTACTAATACAGAGTTCACACACACCCACCTACCTCACTTGCCTGGTGAGAAAGAAACAGAAATTAAAGTAGCAATTTTATGTCTCCCAAATCAGTGTGTTCATAGGCAGAGGTAGGTCTCAGCTTATTCAAATGTGTTTAAATCTGCATGTTCACTGAAGAAAAATGTGAAAGCCTAGGAACTAATCTAAGGCCGTACATCCACTAATATACTTCCCAAACAGCTGAATGAATTACTGTTCAATGATTGGTGGCAGTGCCCCCTTTCCAGTATGAATGCATCAAAAGCAGAATATAGAAGACTCACATACATGCTTCCACATGCACACCTACTAAGAAAAACATGACTATTAAAATTTAACTAGCATTGAACCTTTCAGCTAAGTTGAAACTATCTTGAGAAAGCTATTTTTAGAACATACAAAGTTAGAAGAAGCACATTTGAAACAGTGGCGACTTCTGGGCAGACCTGCTGAGTCAATGGAAAAGGAAAGGCTGAAGCCATTACCCAGGAAACCTAAGGAGAAAGCAAATTAGATCTTTTCATTCAATTTTGGTGGCTTTTTTCGTTACTGTGCATCCTTAACTTGCTAAGGGAAGCAAAAGCAATGAGGTCATTTATGAATAGAAGAGTCTCAAAGGAAATAGGAGATAAAAAGAGAAAAGAATAAAAAGAAGTAAAAATTTTAAGTGCCTTACAGATATTATTAGCAACATTTAGAGATCTTAGGTATTTATGGTACTCATCTTTGCAGGGGATATGGATTTTCGTCATACTTTAGTAAATATTTTCTGCAGATACTCTATTAATAACCTAAATAGCACACATTTGAAACAAGAAAAGTTCTTTTTTTAATCCAGATCATACTGGCAGAACCTTATATAAATGTGCTTCAAAAGGAACATATAGAAGACTAAATATTGCCTACATGCTGTTGTAATTTTCCTTACACTTCTGTTGGTTCATGCTCTCAATAATATACGATCTGCTTTTCTCTATCTCCTCTGAGGCAGAGTAGTAATACCGGGTCAGGGAAGTGCTGGGAGGAGAAGGGCGGGGTCCCTGGTTAGGGCTCCACCCCCAGCCTCTGCCCCCAGACCTAGGTGAGGACAAGCATTTCTGTTTTCATGCCCAAATGTTGCATTTCCCAAGACCACCCTGGCTTGCCACACCCCCATCCTGTGCTTGTAAAATCCCCCGAGGCCTTAGCTGGAAGACAGACAAGCGGCTGGACATCCAGAGGAACACACCGGTGGAAGAGCACACCGACAGGCACTGGCAGATGCCGGCAGGCCGTCGACAGGAAGAACGATGTGGAGTTTGGCCAGAAGAAAGTTAAGAAAATAACTCCACTTACAATAGTGCCCCCAAAATACATGGGAATAAACTACACAAAGACTTGTATACTGAAAACTTGTATACTGAAAGGTGAAAGACTTGTATACTGAAAACTGCAAAATGGTGCTGAAGGAAATTAAAGAAGCCACAGAGAAATGGAAATAAATCCCGTGTTCATGCCTTGGAAGACTTAATATTGTTAAGATGCTCATACTACCTAAAGTGATGTATACATTCAATGCAATCCCTATCAAAATCCCAATGATATCTTTTTCAAAAATAGAAAAGTTCATCCTAAAATCCATATGGAAATTCAAGGAACCCTGAATAGCCAATATAATCGTGAAAAGAAACCAAGTTAGAGGTCTGACACTTTTTGATTTCCAAACTTACTACAAAGCTACAGTAATCAAGACAGTGTGGGCTGGGCATATTGGCTCATGCCTGTAATCTCAGCACTTTGGGAGACTGAGGCAGGCAGCCTGCTTGAGCCCAGGAGCTCAACACCAGCCTGGGAAACATAGTGAGATCCTGTCACTACAAAACATAAAAAACATTTGCTGTGGGTGGTGGTGTTAGATGCCTGTAGTCCCAGCTACTCGGGAGGTCGAGGCGGGAGGATGGCTTGAGCCCAGGAGGTCAAGGCTGCAGTGAGCTATGACTGAACCACTGTACTCCAGCCTGGGTGATAGAGTGAGACCCTGTCTCAAAAACAACAAAAACAAAACAAAAAACCAGTGTGGTACTAGCATAAACACTAACGCATAGGCCAGTGGAATAGACTAGGAATAAACCCTTGCATATATGTCAAATGATTATCAAGAATGGTGCCAAGACTGTTCAGTGCAGAAAGGACAGTCTTCTCAATAAACTGTGCAGGGAAAACTAGACAACCACTTGCAACAGAATGAAGTTAGACCCTTACCTTATACTATGCACAAAAATGAACTCAAAGTAGATTAAAGACCTAAACATGAGAGCTAAAACTATAAAACTCTTACAAGGAAACACAGGAAAAAGACTTCATAACATTGTATTTGGCAATGATTTCTTGTATATGATACCAAAAGCACAGGCAACGGAATAAGAAATTAATAAATTGGACTTTATAAAAATTAAAAACTTTGCACATCAAAGGACACTATCAACAGAATGAAAAGGCAACCCACAAAATGGGAGAAAGTATTTGCAAGTTGTACATCAGATAAGGGATTAATATCCAGAATATATTAAAAATTCCTATAACTAAACAATAGAAAAGACAAACATCCCAATTAAAAAATGGACAAAGGACTTGAATAGACATTTCTCCAAAGAAGATACACAGATAGCCAATAAGCACGTGAAAAGATGTTCAACATCATCAATCACCAGTGGAATGCAGATCAAAACCACAGTGAAATACCACTGCACACCCAATAGGATGGCTATTATCAAAACAAAACAACCAGATAATAGTAAGCATTGGCTAGGATGTGGAGAAACTGGAACCTTTATGCACTACTGGTGGGAATGGAAAATGGTGTAGCCATTATGGAAAAGAGTACAGTGGTTCCTTAAAAAATTTAAAATCAAATTATCATATGATCCAGCAATTTCACTTATAGGCATACATGCCAAAGAATTGAAAGCAGGGACTCGAAGGGTATTTGTACATTCATGTTCATGGTAGCATTAGTCACAATAGCCAAATGGTGGGAGCAACCCAAATGTCCATTAATGGATGAATGGATAAACAATATGTGTATATACATACAATGGAATATGAATTAGCCTTAAAACAGAATTTCCAGAAACGAAATTCTGACACTACAACATGCTAAATGAAATAAACCAGACACAGAAAAACATAATTCCACTTATATGAGACATGTAGAGTAGTTAAACTCACAGAGACAGAAAATAGAATAGTAGTTGCCAGGGTCTGGGAGGAGGGGAGAATAGGCAGCTATTGTTTAATGGGTACAGAGTTTCAGTTTGGGAAGATGAAAAAAGTTCTGGAGATGGATGATGGTAGTGGGTGAACAACAATCTGAATGCAGTTAATGACACTGAACTGCACACTGAAAAATGACTAACATGGTGAATTTTACGTTTATGTGTGTTTTACGTATATTTTACCACAATAAAAAAAATATTAACTGCAAAAGTGTTTTGGGGAGATATGACAGTTGCAGGAAAACGGTAGAGCTGTAAAAATGCTTTAAAATAATGCACATTTAAGCTTAGGAGGGGTATAGTGGCTCACACCTATAATCCCAGCACTTTGAGAGGCCGAGGCAGGAGGATTGCTTGAGCCCAGGAGTTCAAGACCAGCCATGGCAACATGGCAAGAACCTGTCTCTGTAAAAAATTTTAAAAAATTAGCCAGGCATGGTGGTACATGCCTGTAGTCCCAACTACTTGGGGGGCTGAGGCAGGAGGATTACTTGAGCCCAGGAGGTCAAAGCTGCAGTGAGTCATGAAGGCACCACTACACTCCAGCCTGGGCAACAGAGTAAGACACTGTCTCAAAAATAAATGAAAGTAAAATAAACTTAGGAGAAAATGAGATATTGCAGAATTTCTCACTTTTGGCAAAATTCACAAAATTGAATGCCATTTGGATTATTTTGTACCAATATTCTATGGCTGATTGATTCAAAATTTAGACATACATGGATTTAGCCAATTATCCATTATAATTTTGGAACTCAACTTTTGCATTCATGCTTTGTCTGGAAGCAAAGTGGCCAGGCCTGAAAAAATTTTGTAACAATCAGCAAGCAAACAAAAATTTGTTACTCAACAATAAGGATCTGTTTTTCTTCCCCTCTCTATTCCACAAAGTGTTAAAAGTCTTAGACCAGGAGCAGTTGCCTGATCACAAAAGAAATAAGTAATTTGTAGCAGGTGGTTCTAATTGTGCCCATCAAACCTGTCATTCCATTGTGCAGAAGAGTGGAAAATCGATTAGCAACTACAAGCTTGGGTACTGAAGAGTGACAGGAGTGTCTTAAACAGGAAATCAGTAATGGAAGAAAATGATTACCATGGCCACTAGTGGACACTCCTGGATCTGAGACACTTTCCATCTACTGCCCAACCTTCTCAGACAAAAGATGCTGTTTGCAAAAATTCCAACGTGTATGGTGAATCAAAAGCAGTACAGTGTGGACCCTTGTTTCTTCCCTGATGGACTCTGAATGATTAAAAACCAAGAGCATTGGCCCTTTCTTTCTTCAACTCATGAGTCCTGTGTTGGAGTTGCTGCTTTGAATGTAGACATGTTTTGGGGGTAGCATAAGTATATGTTAACTGACTTGGACAGATGACACATCCTGCTCATCTGTACTCCCTCAGGGCTTGGCGGGTGACCAGGCAGCACACCAGCACAGGGCAATCTGGACAGGCGTAGGAGGCCAAGACTGGGATAAAAACAAACTTCTCTATGCCATAGTTCTGCTTTACAGATGGACCAGGCATGAGCGCTGGCTACTGAATACAGTTTACCAGAGAAAACATTTAAAGTATTCACAACATAGTCTTGTATCCAGTTTTGGGGAAAATGAAACAGATTTTTTTCCCAGATACTTTCTGTCATTTGTATGAGGTCCCCAAAGGGTTCATGGAATATGAAGCATTTGTTCTAACAGATTTCTGCCTTAGCTTGGGTCACTGTGGCACTATGGGTTATCTGTAATGTCACTGTGAGTTTATCCATTTATTGTGCTATTCTACCTTCTTCACTTATTTCTTGTGTCTATGTTCGATCTCTTCAGCTGCTGGGTTTCAGAAAGCACTGGACAATAATAGCATGCCTTTTATTTCTTGTGGATAGCATGTCAGTGTTTAATATGGGGACTCTCACAAAACAGGTATTCAAAAAAAATTTTCTAATAAACTCTTGGCTATTAATTTTTTGTGTGGTCAGATAACATATGAAAAATAATTAACACAGTGCCAGGTATGTGACAGGCACTCAATGAACATTAAACAAAAAAATAAAGAATAAGACATAAAAAACAGGTGAAACAATTGGACTTATTTTCTTTGGTAAAAAACATAATTAAATTGTAATTAACAAAAGAGCGTATAGCTTCATTGGTCAGCCTCCTGTGAAGTCCAGTGTTGACTCACTGACTGGGGGACTTCCAACCCAAGGTGTTCTTGGAACCTTTTGGGTGAGTTAACAAATTGATAAAGGCTTTCTTCTGCCTGTTAGCCAAACCTGGGAGGAGAAAGGTAGAACTAAAAACAATGCTGAGATACATCAAAGGTAGTGCTATATTTCAACGGGAGGATCTCCTGAAAGTAAAATGTTTCACCAGGTGACTTAGTCTGCCAAATGCTATCAATCCATTTGAGTGTGTGTGTGTGTGCGTGTGTCTGTTTGTGTGTGTGTGTATGCATTCCTGTGCATTGTTTGGAACAGAAGCTGGGTAAGAAGGCAAGAAAGAGGGTAAGAGGAGGAAGGACATACTGGCAGCTTTGGATGTTGACTTCCAATGTGGGAGGAGCAGAGAAATCATACAGGAATTCCTCTACAAATTAGGCTTATATGGGAAGGGTCTCTAGGTAAAACCAGTTGTCCTATTTGCTGGTATTCAGTGAATATTTTTAAAGGCAATGGCCCAGGTAAATATGCAAGTGACTTGCTTTGCAGGTGTAGTTTCCTGTGGCACCACTGGAGTTCTACCCCGCTTCTGTCTTCCCCAGGAGGAGTGGGTCTCCCAGGTGTTCCAGCCCCCACTGTCCTCCTGGCATCGATACTAATATGAGGTCACCTTTACTCTTGGTATTTTTATCCCCTACAGGTATTATGCATCGGTACCATGGGGCAGATTGTATGGAGTGTAAAAAGGGCACAGTCTCTGTGCCAGCATCAGGAAGGCATATGTGCACAGAGAAGTCTCAATCTAAATAAAATAGATGGAAGAAGTGATGGTGAAGGATTTGAATATCCTCCACATTTTATAGCTTTTCTGCTAAAAACACCCCCATACAACTCACATACATTACATCAAAAAAATACTTGTTAAATAATGTGTTTTGGCTGGGCGCGGTGGCTCATACCTGTAATCCCGGCACTTTGGGAGGCTGAGGCAGGTGGATCACTTGAGGTCAGGAGTTCAGACCAGCCTGGCCAACATGGTGAAACCCCGTCTCTACTAAAAATACAAAAATTACCAGGGCGTGGTGGCAGGTGCCTGTAATCCCAGCTACTCATGGGGCTGAGGCAAGATAATTGCTTGAACCTGGGAGGTGGAGGTTGCAGTGAGCTGAGACTGCACCACTGCACTCCAGCCTGGGCAACAGAGCAAGATTCTGTCTCAAAAAAATGAAAAAAAATAAAATAAAAAATAAATAACGGGTTTCATTTCCCATATAAGCAGTTAGAAGATAAAATCTAAAAACATCTGAATATATTAGAAAAGCTGGATAATTAATAAATCTTTACAGATAGTAAAGGTCACCTTAAATTTTATTATTTATTACTCAAAAATCAATTCTGGAATAACATAGTATAATTTAAATTCATCTCAATAAATAACTTAAATAATTTAGTACTTTGATGTATAGCACAATTTAGATTTTGAACAGTTATGATTGTAGCTAGATTTTATCATTCCAAGAGTCCTCATGTGAAAGCCGTCTTGTTTCTGTTAAAAAAAGTTTAATTTACCTGTTTGTAATGGTTACAAGTGCAGGAGGACAGTAATAACCGCTGGAAGCTTGGTCAAAGCTTCGAAGGACTGTGTCAATTTTGTAACAGAATCCACCATGTCTCTCCCATCCCTTAAAAAGAATAAAAGGGAAATTAAGGACACAATCTCATTTAGTTAAATACCAAGAGATATTTTTGCATACTCTTTTACCACCTACATAACTTTCTTCTCTTACTCCTTTAAAACTCCTTGAATTTTTGTCTTGATATTTTTATATTTATTCTATCCAGTAATGCCATTAACTACACCCACTTCTACATTTATTTAATTTATTATCTTAAAACCTAAAATTTTTAATTAACTTAAAACGTAAAACCTTAAAAGTAAATGAAAATAAAGGGCATTCATTCAAGATCTCTACCTCTCTCTTTCTCTCTCTCTCTCTCTCTCTCTCTCTGTCTCTCTCTCTCTCTCTCTGTGTGTGTGTGTGTGTGTGTGTGTGTGTGTCTCTCTCTCTCTGACTTACAGAATTTCATATAAATGGTCCCGACAGGAGGGTAGAAATTAAGTGTTGGCTCTAGGGTCAGGATGCATGGGTTTGAATTCTGGCTCCACTACTGTGCAACCTTGTTTAATATCATAGTTTTTTCATCTATACGATGAGGATAATAATAGTATTTATGGGGTTGTTCTGAGAATCAGAGAAGGACAATACAGATAGAGATTTTAGAATTGAACAGAGGGGAAAGAGAACATGAACAAAGAGAATATATGTATCTAGATAATATTAGAGATTTTTTTCAACTTTCATATTGATTATTTCATGTTATCCCTCTGAGATTCATTGAGATTAGGGACTTGGATAAAGTCAAACTAGTGGATCAGTTGGGCCTGAAACCCAATTCTGGAACAGTCCAGGATGGTCTTGTTTGGAGCATAATGCTTCCAAATAGAGAATGGCCAATATATGTATTTTTTCTTTTTCTTTCTTTTTTTTTTTTTTTGTAAAGATTATTCCTAAATTAACTGGCTGGCCTTTTGGAGGGGAAGAAAGTAAGCTTTGGCACTCAGACAAAAATGACAAACATGTAGGTCTATGTTTTAGCCCTGGGAACAACGAAGGGTGGCTCTTCCTTTGAAATCATGCAGTACAGTCTATGGCCACACCACCCTGAATGTGCCCGATCTCATCTGAAATCACACAGTATGGTAAGACATACATTCATTAGTCCTCTATATTTAAACTGAGCTATTTTAGTTCTTTTTTCCCCAATATTATTAAATCACATCATTTTTATCTATTTTAATTTATTCACCAGTTTTAAAACACTCTTCATTTTATGCTATGCCAATTCTTGCCAGCTTTTGATCAGTTATAAAATGATTTCTCATAAATTTCTTGGAAAAGATGTTGGTCTTGCAGTAAATTAAAGAAAACCTTAATTTAGAGATCAGCTGTGTTAGTTCAAACATATCATTAACTGAGGTAGGAAGCACAGGAGCTCCCACATCCAGCCATCTAGGATCTGCTCTGAACTCACTCCCCTTCACTTCTATTCCCAATCTTCTCTCTGTGAGTAACTGACAGCTCCATACAGCTCCTTCATGCATCCCTCCAGGGTAGGAGCAGGGATATTAGACTGCTCCTGTACTTGGAAGGACAGGGAGAGGGAGGCTGGCAATTTGACCTTTCCGATAATGTATTCTTCTTCATTAGCAGTTTTTAGATCATAGGCTGCTTAGCAAAACAAACAAACAAAAAAATCCAATAACTGAACCAGCTCAAGAAAAGGGAGGGAAAAAAAGATCTGGCATAGAATAATCAGAAACACAGACTTGTTACTTCAAGACTTTGTCCACACAATGAATACGGGAAGGATAACTGATTATATCAGTTAACCCTTTGTACACTAGGTGCCATTTCATTTTTAAATGAAAGGATGGTGGTGACAAAACTGAAGGAATTGCTCATATTGTCCAATCCCAAAAAAGTGACTCAGAAGGAAAAACAAATCACTTCTTTTGCTTTGAAATTATCAAGATTGATTTTACAAATTGATTTTTCAAGTGCAGACTGTTTAGAGAATTGCATTGAAGCAACTTTCTAAAAAAGAGAAAACTTTCAAAACCATATTCATAGACTGATGCATAATAAAATTACTGGAAATTTCCTCACAAAGCTAGAGAATTGGCTATGAACTCAGAAACTTTAAATACTGGTAATGCTGGCTGGAAAAGGGAAGCCATGAACAAAAGTTTGAATAGAACATCAGTTCTGTATTTGCAGTGTAAAAAGTTAATTGTCCTTTCAACAAAAATAAAACACGCTGAGTTTCCCAGAAAGCCACAGTAAGACAAATCCCCCCACCCTCGCCCCTGCCCCGTCTTCAATATTTCATATCAGGTAGAGATTAATCAGAGATCAGCTATAACTAATTCAGAGATTATAATCATTAGATAAAATGGTGACATGTCAGCTACGGCATATCTACTATCCAACTAGAGTATGAAGTTCACATGTTTACACATTGATTAATGAATAAAATGAAGATTCTAAGGGGATGGGTCATTGTTCAATTGCAATACAAATAACTGGATTAGAAGAGAAAATAATTAAAGCATAGTTGCATAAAGACCAGGTCTGGAAAACTGTTGAGACTGATAAAGCATAGTTCACTCTGACTCAGAGGAACACAATTGTTTTATGACATCTCACTTGAAAACTAGGAAAACCATAAGTCAGGCACAGTGGCTGAAGCCTGTAATCCCGGTACTTTGGGAGGCTGAGGCAGTAGATCACTTGAGGTCAGGAGTTCGAGACAAGTCTGGCCAACATGGCAAAATCCCGTCTCTACTAAAAATACAAAAATTAGCCAGGCGTAGTGGCGCACGCCTGTAATCCCAGCTACTCGGGAGGCTGAGGCATGCGAATTGCTTGAGCCTGGGAGGTGGAGGTTGCAGTGAGCTGAGACTGTGCCACTGCACTCCAGCCTGGGTGACAAAGCAAGACTCTGTCTCAAAAAAAAAAAAAGAAAAAGAAAAAGAAAAGAAAGAAAGACTAGGAAAACCAAGTGTGAGACAGGGCATCACACATCACAGGATAGTCACTGTACAGATGCTGTATCAGGACCATTTACATTTTTAATCTCAAAAGAAAAGTAATCCTGTGTAGAAGATAGCAAGACAACATTTCTCAGGACAGGAAAAAAAAGAGGAAAGGAAAGAAGGGGGGGGTGCGAGGAGAGAGAGAGAGATGAAAGAGAGGAGAGAGAGAGAGGAGAAAGAGAAATTCACTTCAAATTGATGGTGGAATTGATATTCTAGCTATGAAGTCCCTGTACCTAAATTGCAATGTTAACAGCACTTACCTCTTGACATCCTGATTCAGCATCAGAGAGGACATGGCCTGCTTTTTTACAAATGTAAAAAAGTCTTTCTTCACAATTTTTGACTTTCCAGTGTCCCTCCTACGGAGAAAAATGTTACAAGAGAATGAATACACTCTGTGCTGATACCGATGGGCAATAGCAATTCTTATAAAAAAAATATGATGAATAATGTGCTCCCGCGTGGGATAATGTTTCAGGCGGCACTCTGCTTTGTCACGGAAAGGGTTGACACTTTGTCTAGGGAAAGGCCCTTCTCTCCAGCATGAGTTCCAAGGTGTGCAATCTGTAACTGGGTGGGCAGGAGAGAGGGAGCAACTATTAACAACTGGTGCTTCTTGATAGCTGCCATGTGCTAGGCTTAATGCAGGGCGATTTTCATATATTATCTCAATGTTCCAGTGAGGTAGGGATTATAATTCCCATTTTAAAGGTTAGAGTTAGCATTTTACATGGTCCTAGAGTCAGTAAAAATTGGAGCTAGGATTGATACCAAGGTCAGCCTGGCTTTCCATTAAGCTGTTCTCAATTTTTCTATGAAAAGATGGGATAGAGCCATGGTTCTCAATCTCGAGTGTGCTCCAGAAGCACCTGGAGGGCTAACTGAAACCTAGATGATTGGGCTGCATGACCAGTGTCTCATTTGGTAGGTCTGGTGGGACTTGAGAATTGGCATTCCTAACAAGTTTTCAGGTGATGTTAATGCTGCTGGTCTGGGGGTCACACTGTGAGAACCACTGGGATGAAGCCATCCTCCTGACCAAGTGAGAGTGCTGACGCCTCTCTTCAACCACTTCTAAGTGTTACATTAAATGCTTTGCTGCTTTCATGTCTCTACCTGATGCTGGGGAAATTCCTGGAAGCTACCATGAAACACCCTAGGTAATATTGGCATAGCTGAAACTCATGTTCACCCTTCAATGATCCCTCCATCAGGAATTCGAACAGCACCACCCCATCTCCTCTTTATATGCTAGGCAGATACCTTCATGTCTTTCTCTAATCCTATTGAAGGCTACTCTCAGATCTTTCATTAATAATGATATAATAACTGCTAACATATTAAAATTTTATCCTCCCATAGGATTTTTTAATAACACAAATCAGAACCTTAGGCTAAAGTTACACAATTCAAATTCCAGGTGGTATTTCACACATCTAGAATTTTAGGGGAATGTGGAGCCCTTCCATGACCCTTAGAAAAATACAACGTCCAGGGCTGATACCTTCATCTGTAAGAGGAGCCCTGCATCGCTCCCCCATGGAGTCTTCCAGCAAACAATCCAGTTACAGGATAGTGTCAGGCATACTATAGTTAAGAACTGTTAGATGAATGGAAGAACAAATGAATTGTTTCCTAGGCTCTCATATTCAAATTTGTGTCAACTGTGATTGGGGAACTTGTTAATTATAATAATTATATTCATACTAAGTTCTACTCCATGGAAATAAATGTTAATTTTTACACATCTACTATTTAAGGAGCTTCTGAGCTTCCAGAAAAGGGGCCATAAAATATTACACTTACGGCAGCATTGTCCTGACATATCCAATACTATTAATACCTATCATCAATCTCTTAAAAAAAAATCTCTGTCCAAATATTGGCTCCTGTTCTGTAAACTTGCAGAGCAACATACCCATGCCTGTCAATAAGAAATGATCACCTAAATTATATCAAAACTAATGAACCAATAAATCAGCAGATACTGTAGAATAAACTGTGGTGGGCCAGGCGCGGTTGCCCATGCCAGTAATCACAACACTTTGGGAGGCCAAGGATGGTAAAGTCCAGGAGTCTGAGACCAGCATGGGCAACATGAAACCCCATGTCTACTAAAAATACAAAAATTAGCCAGGCATGCTGGTGCAAGCCTGTAATCCCAGCTACTTGGGAGGCTGAGGCATGAGAATCTCTTGAATCCAGGAGGCAGAGGTTGCAGTAAGCTGAGATTGCACCACTGCACTCCAGCCTGGGTGACAGAGTGAGACTCTGTCTCAAAAACAAACAAACAAACAAACAAACAAACAAACAAACATTGTGGTGGATTTCAGCAGAGCTAGACCCAGGACAGACATTTAGAGGTATTGTTTCTCCTTTATATGGGGCTGAGAGACACTGCCTTAGCATGTATAATTGTTACTGCACTGTACAATTGTAATTGTCTGTGCTAGCATTAAAAGATGGAACCATGAAACATGTCACAAAAGTTAAGTGCTTAGAAATGCTTCCTGTTTTGCTGGCATAATTACTTTGTCAAGCCACATCAGTAACATTTAATAAACTGCCTCTTCGGAGAACCTGACAGAGTATCCTGGTGGTTAGAAGAACATGGACATCTACCAAATCCCAACAACCCCCTAAAACTCAGCCAGTGTATTCAGCAGCTATCTTGATCAAAGAGATTAAGTCTGTTTTAGGCATAATAAACTGTTCAAATGGCTTGGGATTAAGCTAATTCTGTATAATCAGATGCTTTAGATAAATGAGAGACTAGAACATAGGGATGAATGTGATGTTCAGGCTACTGGGACCACTCCATCCACATGAGGAAAAAAAGCAAGATTTGCCACTGATCCACAATTTTCAAAGAGGTTACACATACTGTTTAAATCCTTTTATGTGAATAACATAATGGAGCTTAAAAACCATCACTCTCCAGAGTAATCTTCCATCCCTCAGTTCTTCCCCTCATCTTCATCACAGCAGTCAATGGCACCACCATACACCAAAACCATGGTTGCTCAAGCCAAAAGCCGACCTCTCTCTCACCCCCACATCTAACTTAGCAACACCTTCTGTTCTCCAAAGCACACTTGGATCTGTCCACTTCTCTTCACAGTCACTACCCTAAGTCAACTCTGGTGTAGCCTCCAAACTGGCTTTTCTGCTTCCATTTTATTCCTCTCCTAACCATTCTCTGTGTAGCAGCCACAGTTAATTGTAAAATGTAAATCAGGTCATGCCCTTTGTTTCCTTGAAGTACTTTATTGGTTCCTATACCACAGTCTAGAAACCTGGCATTTTAGAATTCCTACTGCCCATCTCTTACGACCTCCTCACCACTGGTCTCCTTTTTGATCATTCAACATGGCAAGTCTTGGTCTGCCTTTGGGCCTTTGCACTTGCTACCCTCTGCATGTTCTGCTTAGAATATTCTTCCCCCTTCTCTCTGAGAGTTTTTTTTTAAGTCCAAGCTTAAATATTAACTTTTCAGAAATGCTTTCTGTGGCTGTCCTGTCCTGCCCCAACCCAAGCTTTTCACTATCATGTCACATAGTTCCTTGGAGCAATCATTACAACTATAATTACCATGTTTTTTCTGTGTGTACTTGTTTGCTCTCTAACATGGAAGGCCCATGAGGAACAGGGACTGCACCTGTCTTGGTCTCTGCCACAGCCCAAAGCTCCAACACAGGTGGCCTTCAGTACAAGACCAGCAAAGTGAGCACTGAACAAATGAATCAACTTACAGACTGCTCTGCTGAGACACACAGCTGGCTTCTATTTGGAAAAATGTGGGGCTCAAGTGTGTGCCAATTAGTAAAGATGACTGAAGAGTCATTAGACCATTCAAAGGAAACTGGAATTTTATTGCTGCTCAAACCAATCCATGTTTCTGATGCATTTTCTGTAAGAGATAAATGTAAATTACTTATGGGATCCTATTATTTGCAAAGGAGATAACACCCTGGAGTTATTACTAAAATATACCACTTCACATGTGATTTCTTCTTTATTTCTTTGCATGATGAAATCTGTTTAAGTCTTGGTATAAAATGTCTGTTTAAACATTTTCCCTTCCCTGCTATGGTTTGAATGTTTGTCCCCTCCAAAATTCAGGTTGAAACTTAATCCCCAGTGTGGTAGTATTGAGAAGGAGGCCTCTAAGGGGTGAATGGGTCATGAAGGCTCTGCCCTGATGAATGGATTAATGGGCTAATGGATTAACTAGTTCTCATGGGAATGGTACTGGTGGCTTTATAAGAGGAGGAAGAGAGACCTGAGATAGCACACTCAGCCCCCTCTCCATGTGATGCCCTGTGCCACCATGGGACTCTGCAGAGAATCCCCACCAGCAAGGAGATCCTCTCCAGATGTGGTCCTTTGACCTTGAACTTCCCAGCCTCCATAACTGTAGGAAATAAATTTCTTTTATTTATAAATTACTCAGTTTCTTTGTATTCTACTATAATCAATAGAAAATGGACTAAGACATCCCCATAATATCCAGATCTGCTTGATATAGGCCTTATAAGTGAGGCAGAATGTGAGCTAAAGCCAATGCAACAACAAAGCCTAAGCAAGTTGGATTCCTGGGGCTCTGGTTTCTGCTAGAACCATGTATGTATGTTAAGCAGATCTGAAAAATCTGGTTTTGCTTCTGCCTAGAGAAAGGAAAAATAGGAAGGCCCACTGGATTATGAAAAGGGCATGAAACAAACAAACTTTTAATGATAGTCTAGCTTAAAGATAGGAGTTTTTTTTTCCCCAACAGATGTTGGTGAGGATGCAAAAAAAGGAACACTTATACACTATTGGTGGGAATGTAAATTAGTACAACATTTATGGAAAACAGTACTGGGATTACTCAAAGAACTAAAAATAGAACTACCTTTCAATCCAGCAATCCCACTACTGGGTATATACCCAAAGGGAAAAAAATCATTATATCAAAAAGACACCTGTACTCATATGTTTATCACAGCATTATTCACAATAGCAAAGATGGAATCATGTAAGTATCCATCAGAGGAGGGTTGGATAAAGAAAATATGGTATATATATATACACATACACATACCATGGAATACTACTCAGCCATAGAAAAGAATGAAATCATATCTTTCGCACACAGGTAGCACTTGAGGCGATTCTGCTAAGTGAAATAACTCAGAATGTCAAATACTGCGTGTTCTTACTTATAAGTGGGAGCTAAACAATGGGGACACATGGAGATACAGAGCAGGATAAAAAACACTGGAGATTCCAAAAGGTAGCAGAGGTGAGGCTGAGGGTTGAAAAATCACCTGTTGGGTACAATGTTCACCATCCAGGTGATGGGGCCACTAAGAGGCCAGACTTCACCACTGCAATATATGCATGTAAGAAATACTCACTTGTACCTCTTAAACCTATTTTTTAAAGTATTTTTTTCCTTTTTCTTTTTTCTGCCATAGGAAAAAAGGAGCAAAACCTCTTAAAGGCATTGAAATGGAGTTGCTGCAAAAGTAATTAAAACTTGACAGCCTAGGTAGGAAAGGACCCTATGTGGCTGAAAGAGATGTGTAAGTGCCCTTGTTGAGATAAGCAGCCCACAGGGTTCTTTAATCCCAAATGCAAATGATTAGGAAAAATAACAGAGAAGGATGCATGTTTTTACTCCAAACTAAAATGTAACAATTGAAAAGGTCATCAAAGGAGATCCTGGACATTTTTTTGTATTTTTAAAAAACTGAAAAATGAAATAAATAATTTCAGTATTTTTCAGCATAAGTCTATGTCAAATACATGACACAGTGAAGAGCAGGCCAACTCTGAGGGACTCAGGCTGTGCGGAAGCCAGGAGCCTAAAATTCCTATACATGGGGAACAGTCTGAACATCACCTCACCAAATAAATTACCCATGTTCACTGGCTAAAATTGTTTACATCTAATTATTTGCCTAAGGGGTTCCCTTTATTATGTGGATTACATGTTAACAATACACTACTGCTATCTAGTGGCCATAAAGCTAAATTACAGGTTTAGGTTTTTCATTAGAAGTTTTAGGAAATGAACTTTCCTACTTTCCAAAAATTTAAAAATCATCTAATATATGTGGCATATATGAAGATGTTACAAAGTTTCTGAACATGTATTTTGTAAAAATCCAATAAATTTGAACTCCTGAATAACATTTAGAAACTTTAAATATATGTGCAATGAATAACCACTTTTAAATAGCTTAAATTTCTTTTCAACTCCACTAATAAAAGTAGTTACTACATTATATTTTATGCCTTTTAAACCAAAGGCAGCTGGGACTCACCATCTCCAAGGAGGGTTACAAGAAACTCCACCTCTGCTAATGAGGTTATGTCTATTAATGCACTGTTATCAGCCTGACAAGAACGCAGAGCCTCATGCCAGGTCTTTTCTTCTTTCTGAAGTTTGTAGCAATTACGATTGTAGGGATTCCAGCCAGGCTCACAGTGGGTAGCATAATATTTCCACGCATCTTTTTCTTTTTAAACCAACAAAAAACAATGTCATTTTCCACAATTATTTTAACATTACTTATTACAGCTTATGTAAATTGCCATTAATATGATTACTTTAAAAATGTGAAAAACAGAAATATACAAAATGACATATATCATGGAATTCTAGATCTTCAGAGTTGAGAAGGGTCTAATCTATGATCTAGATTTAGATCTAGGATCAAATGAACCTCAGTATTTCATTTTCCGGATGAGCTAGTGAAGGTACAAAGAAGTAAGGAGAGGAGGGATGGCAGCAAGATGGCCGATAGAGACACCTGTGTCAGAGGCCTTTGAACAACAGCAACTCCATCTTGTTTAGGAGCTGGGTAAAATAAGGCTGAGACCTACTGAGCTGCATTTCCAGGAGGTCAGGCATTCTAAGTTACAGGATGAGACAGAAAGTCTCATCAAGAAAGCTTGCTAATAAAACAAGCTGCAGTAAAGAAGCTGGCCAAAACCCATCAAAACCAAGACGGTGAGGAAGGTGACCTCTGGTCATCCTCGCTGCTCATTATATGCTAATTATAATGTATTAGCATGCTAAAAGACACTCCCACCAGTGCCATGACAGTTTACAAGCTGTGGCAACATCAGGAAGTTACCCTACATGGTCTAAAAGGGGGAGGAACCCTCAGTTCCGAAAATTGTATACCCCGTTCCCAGAAAACTCATGAATAATCTACCCCTTGTTTAGCATATAATCGAGAAAGAACTGTAAGTGTAATCAGCTGAGCAGCCCAAGCTGCTGCTCTGCCTATGGAGTAGCCATTCTTTATTCCTTTACTTTCCTAATAAACTTGCTTTCCTTTTATGGATTCGCCTCCAATTCTTTCTTGGGGTTTGGATCAGGACCCCTTTCTGGTAACACCTGGGATCTCATCCCTGCCACAGGAACAGCCAAAGCAATGAATAAATGACTACATTTTCACGAAGGCAGCTGAAGGAGAGTGCTGGAGCACATCAAGGGAGTAGCAGAAACAACACGGAGCACAGAAACCCTTGCTGCCCCCACCCCCACCATCTCCCCCAACCCCCGTTATAAGCAGCTCAGAGCCAGGAGAGACTTCTCTCTGTAAGGAAAGGAAGAGCAAGGGGACCCTAGCAGCCTCCAACACCACCAGGGTCACCTACAGTTCTTGCCACTGAGGACCCCTGCAGCCCCCACAGGCACTAAGCCCATTTGAGGGAGCTGCCTGGAGTCTACAGGACTATGCTTGCCTCAGAGAAAGTTCTGATGCTGCACCCTGTCTCTCTGTGGACTATGGGTCTATTGCGCTGCACAATGTTGAAAAAAGAACCACTGCTAGAATGTCATGTTCTGCTCCAGTAGTGAGTAGCCACAGCACCCCTCCATCCTTGAGGCTTTGTAACCACTGCACCACTTCTACCTCGTGGCCCACCATCCCCATGCCAAGCTGCTGTGGGGCTCTCACTCTACCTGGTGTGGCCAAGTTGCCACGAGCTGCTCCATCTACCCTTCCTGGTTGTTGCTGTGCTGTGCCCCTCAGAGCCTGAGCTGGCTTATCACCCTGCCTCCAAAGAAATGGTGCCTTGGCCTCCCAGAGTAGTCATGTTCCCCAGTGTGTGTGCTGAAGTGGCACCCTGCCTCCCAGGGAATCCCTACCCTGGCTGCCCAAAACAGTCACACCCCAGGCACCTGAGCTGAAGTGGCTCTCAAATCCAGGGGAAACAGTGCTTTAGCTGCCCAAAGCAGTCATACCCCCCAGCACCTAAGCTGAAGCAGCCCCATCTCATGGGGGAATGGGTGCCTTGGCTGAGCTGAGCAGAGCAGCTGTGCCTTGTAGGGCTTGGCTGATGTGGTACCCTGCATCCAAGGGAAACAGCATTGGCAAGGCTGGGACATCCTGCCCTCCAACACAAACAGCTGTAGCACCTTGCCTTCCTGGAACTGGACTAGTCCCACAAAGCCTGAACTGCTGAGGCACCCCACCTTCCCAGGGAGAGGAGTCATCATTTTGCTGCTCCTTGACCCCCAGGAAACAAACCACAGGTATATGCCACCATTCCTGGGTCCTTGCTGCTACTGAACCTGACCTCACAGAGCCTGAGATACTGCTGTGTCCCACCACCCCAGGGTCCGGAGTCACCACTGCCTGGTGCTTCATCCCCTAGAGCTTGAGTTGCCACTGTGCCATACTGGTTCTGCTTCCCAAGTTACAGCCGTGCCCTGTTCCCTGGAGCCAAACCTCCAGAGTACCCCTTCTTCCTTGGAGGTAAATATATAGTCAAATTCAGAATGTTCAAATACCGTAATGGTGGTCTGTAAATCATTTATATCTCTACTATGAAGATTAAAGTCAAAATTGTCAAAAATAGATTGGGCACAGTGGCTCATGGCTGTAATCCCAGCACTTTGGGAGGCTGAGGTGGGAGGATGACTTGAACCCAGGAGGTCAAGCTATGATCATGCCACCATATTCCAGCCTGGGCAACAGTGCAAGACACCGTCTCTAAAGCATAAATAAATAAGTAAATAAATAAATAACCAAGATGGTAAAACATAACTATAGCTACAATAAATTAAGAAATGCACGATATTAAAAGATGTAAATAGCGACATCAAAATTTTAACTATTGGGGGTAGGGTAAAAATCTAGAGTGATTGTATGCAACTAAAGTTAAGCAGTTATCAGTATAAAACAGTCCATTATAACTATGTTTTATGTAAGCCACATGGTAACCATAAAGCAAAAAAAAAAAAAAAAAAAAAACTATAGCAGATACACAACTGATAAAGAGAAAGGAATTGAAATTTAGCACCACACACACACACAAATCACCAAATCACAAAGGTAAACAATAAGAGAGGAAGGAAGAAACAAAGAATCTATAAAACAAGCAGAAAACAATGAAAAAAATGGCAGTAGTAAGTCTTTACCTATCGGAATAATTACTCTGAATGCAAATGGATTAAATTATCTAATCAAAACACAGAATGGCTGAATGGATAAAATGTTATAGGAGTCAACGAGAGAAAATGAGCAGAGGTAGGAAAAAGGATACAAGTAGCAGATATGTAGGATGAACAAGTCTGAAGGTCTACTGTACAGCATGAGGACTATAGTTAATGTAGTGTATTCAGGATTTTTGATAAATGAGCAGACTATAGTTGCTCTTGTCACAGTGGGGGAAATGGGTAACTAAGTGAGATGATGGATGTGTTAATTTGTTTCACTAAGATAACCATTTTACTATCTATATATGTATCCTATGACATCATGTTGAATACTTTGAACATACACAGTCAATTTTATTTTAAAAAATAGTAAAAAAGTAAAACAACAACAACAAAACCAAAGAAGTAAAGAGACTTGACAGAGGACATACAATGAAAGCAGAGTGTTGGGGCTAGATATAAAATTTAACAGAGCTGCTCATTTTTGAAACCTTTTTATATTTAAAAGAAGTATTATGGAATACAATTTAAATGGTATTCCAAGGATTTTATACATAGTATGTGGGTAAGGTAGATATTTATCCCCAGCTGAAAAGAGCCTAAAACTCTGATGACTTCCTTTAAAATGGGGATGACAAATAGGTTTCACTTTGAAAATAAGTCTTGAGTGTCCACGATGTTGCTCTGGGCTGATATGGACTCCAGGTGGGGCTTTCAGGAACACAGTGCCATGATGTTTTGGACATTGGAGGGCAGTGGTGATGCACATGCTTATTTTGGCTTTCCTTTCTCACGAGACTGTCCCCAATCTGATGATGGCATTTTTACCTTATTTTATTAACCACAACGAGGTGCCTCCATTAAGAACGAATCTAGTTAAACTAAATATGATTTCACTGCTATTTGGGAAACAAAACATTCTTTTAAAATTGTTTCTAGGACTCTGGCAGCAATTAGAATCATGGCCAAAGAGTGTTAGAACTTTGTATATCATTGACCCCAATGGTTTTCAGCCTAAAAAAGCACTCATGAAATCCTTTTTGAACTTGGAATTTTAGGCTGCGCGTGGTGGCTCACGCCGTAATCCCAGCACTTTGGGAGGCTGAGGTGGGCGGACTGCCTCAGGTCAGGAGTTCGAGACCAGCCTGGCCAACATGGTGAAACCCCGTCTCTATAAAAATACAAAAATTAGCCGGGCGTGGTGGCAGGTGCCTGTAATCCCAGCTACTCGAGAGGCTGAGGCAGAATTGCTTGAACCCAGGAGGCGGAGGTTGCAGTGAGCCAAGATCGTGCCATTGCACTCCAGCCTGGGCCACAAAAGCAAGACTTCAATCAATCCACAGAAGAATGTGTTGAACTTGAAGCAAAGCAAATAATCCAAACAAGCTAACTTAACTACTCCCATTTCTGGTCTTCTGACCTCAATTAGCAGATAGAAGGATAAATATAACAGAAGGAAAGAAGGGTGGCAGGAGGGAATGCAAGATGGCATAAGAAGGAAAGAAAGAAAAAATGAAAAGAGAAGGAACGGAGAAAGGAATATGAAAGAAGGAAGAGAGGGAGGGAAAAGGACAATAACAGGTGGTAGCAATTTCAGCAAATTCCTGAAATAATGGAAAAATCTCTACATAAAAAAATGACAAGTTGCTTCTTCTTTCCCCAGCTTGTACCCCATATTCTACAAAACTTCTAGGCTTAGCTATTTAAAGGAAAATGAAAGTTAAAACCCAATTCTAAGAGACAATATTTAAAAATGACAATTCAGCTTATTATTTTAAATCTAGAGTTTTTTCTAATTATTTTTGTAATGATTCTTTAAAAAATGGTTATACTTTTATCTCTACATTTGGAGCTAAGACATTAATTCTCAGAGAAACTAAAAAGAGGTTATAGACCTGAAAAACAGAAATAATTGGACTTCTGGTACTAGACTGTGATTAGATATTATTTAAGTATTAACTCCATCTAAAAGTTCTGCATGTAATTTCAGGGAGGAAGGTGTGTTACTAATAAGAGATTCAGAGTGTGGCAGAAAATCAATGAAGTAAATAATTATATAAAATTGTTTTCTAAATTATGTTTAATTTCTAGGGGAACAATAAACTCAAAACTAGAATAGAAAAAGAAATGTATCTTATTTCTCTAATACAGAATGACTAACAGTGCAAATTTTTTAAAAGAGAAGAAAATGTTTGCTATGCTCAGATTATTTCAGTTTTTAGTATAAACCTAAATGCATTTGTTAAAATCACAGTCCCTTTGACATAACAGATATTGTCTAGTTACACATCTTTTCATATAAATATAAACTAGATTTAGCTAAGTTTACATTATGAATTATTAGCAAAAAATAGAGAAATTTACATATATTGAGAGGACAAGTCAACAACACCTAAGAACAACTTAAAATAAAAACGCTTACCAACTATTTCATGATCAATGTGGTTTAGATATTTTTTACATATATATGGCAAGGTGGACTCACAATCCCGACTCCTCCAGGCACTTGGCATAAATGAACTAAATGTTCCACAGTGATCTTCAACAAATGGCTCAAAATTTACCTCTGAAAATACAATGAGTGTCTTTAATATTAGAAGCAAAAGCAGTTAGTTTAATATATATTGAAATGTGGTTTTCAGCATCGGGGGACAGCGTTTCTATTTGTCATATATAGTAAATCCTATAAGATGTTATCTATGATTTTGCAGTTACAGTCCAGGCATGTCAATTAAATGATTTCCCAAAGATTCCAAAAGACCCACTTTTATTATCTTAAAGTAGAGAGATATTTTGCAATTTGTAGCTATTTTTAAAACAGCAGACTGGAATCTTGGCTTACACCCAAATCCTCCTGCAACTTTGGCTAAAAAGCTTATCTTCCTGGTCCCTATTTTCTTGTTTGGAAAAGCTTGCCTTAAAGGAATTCAGTCAGGCTAAAAAATGTTTATACACTACTCTCAAAAAAGCATGTCCTATGTGCATGGGAAATGCTGCTGTGTAAGGGTGCAAGATGATGCCACGTGACGAAGGCAAAGAAAACACTGCGGGTACCTGGGCTCCAATTCAGATAGTTGAGCGGCGTTCCATCAGACCACTGCCAGCCAGCGTGTTCATCCAGCTGATTGAGGCCCATCCACACCTCCACTGTTTTACTGCTCATGTGCTCTGAAATGAAAATTATGGAGCTTCAAAAAAAAAATCCAGTGTTACACATCTTTCTTGTTCTCCTATTCCTGGATCATGGAGTCAGAAACTAATTCCAGTCAATGACGGGAAAGGTGCACAGAATGCACGTGGTGCTTCTGAGTGATAAAGCAGGCTCCCACCATCTTGAGAAACAGAGCAGGCTCACTGACAGCTGTTTTTCAACTGTGAATGCTTCATGCAAGTACCCAGAAAGGTTGCCTTTCAGGGTTGTCAATCTAGACAAGGGTGCATGGTTGCATACTTGAGGCCATCTTACTTGAGTGAGCTCATGAACTTAAAGGTTTAATAGGGTGGAGGAAGAGGTGTGCAGGGTCAGTCCCAGAAAGTGAACAGAGGCACATCTTCAAAGGTAAAACGGTGTGCTGAAGTAGATCAGGGAGGGGTGTACAGTGTGACAGCCACCAGGAGATGTCTGCTCAACAGGAGGGACCAGAGTGTCTCGGGGGATCCCTAGCAGGTTGGGACCTAAGGCTGTGTGCAGTGCAAACTGGAGGCTGCTTCCACAGCTTGAGGTGGGAGAAGTTTAATGGCAGGCTGGCTCTGTGGCCCCTCCTCTTAACCAGTCCACTACAACTTGCAGTTTAATGCAATACCATTTTTGTTATAGATACTATGAATAAAAACATGCATTGACATGCAGAAAGACATAGTTATCAAAATTAAAGAATTATGGGAATTTTTCCTCAGTTTTTCTTTTTGTGCACCTAAATTTTAAACATTATTCCAGAATAAATAGGTACTACTTATGCAGCAAAATTTCGGGGGGAAAAAAACCAAAACCTAGTGTCAGAAACATAATGAAAGTGGCAATTTTGTGATGCTTTGAAATGTTGCCATTTACTCGTTTAATCTATAAAGGAGAGCATTGTTCGCTTACAATTCACCTGATTCAGAGCCCAATTTATTTTTAGTCAGACGCAGGGGTCCTGCCTAAGATTAAGACCCTGACGGATAAGGGTTATAAACAGGGTGACCGTATGCCCCCATTTTCCTGGAAAACTCATGGTTCATGCTGGTATTTCCAGAATAATTATTAATCACAGTCCCTTTTACTATCAAAAGAATCTCAGTTTGGATGATAGACTGTATGATTACCCAGGTTGTGAAGGTCATTGTAGTCATATAACAAGGCTGCAGCATCCTCAGTGACTAGATATTTCAATACAATTGTGAAAAACTCAAAGAAACTAACCCATTTAAGAAAAGAGAAAAAGGTGCTTTATAATTTTGAGACTCCCAGAAATCAATAAACAGAAACAGCATACTATACACGGGTTTCACCCTTCCAAGTTTCTGTGGCATTCATATGGAATCTCTTTCTAATGTCTATTTGATTATTCCTTTCAATAGCACCATTCGATTGAATCGTTTAGCAGGTCTTATGATGATAAGAAGTGAAATGGATTGACAGGGCAGGGAGAAATTTTCACGTTTCACATCCAGGCAAGTGCCAAGTGATATTTTAAAATCTAGTTAAAATATTAAAACGTTAATTATTCTTATCTTAGAATTTTTTTGAATACCCATTGTGCAATTGTTTTAATAATGCAGATAAAAAATAATTGTGCAATTTATAACCTGTGTCTGAAGGCACAAAAAACCATCTATTTACCTTTAGGACTAAGCTGGCCCACGATACTGTAATAAGAAACTCGAATTTAAATTCCTTTGGATATTTCTCGGCATTCATGACAGCTTAGATAATTCCTTGTACCATAGTATATGTTCACCAGAATTAGCAAGAAACATTAGACTATTTTCATCATTAAAAAATACCTTGGTTGGAACAGGTTTCTGTCTTTATGAACAGACTTCTGTTTTTCCAAACAATTCCCAAAGACTAATTATAGAACTGAGGTAGTTAAATCAAAGTCCCTGACATGTCTTATTTTTTTAAATGGTTATTCAAATTTGATGAATAAGTCCAGACCTTCTCATGAGAAATCCTGGCAGTTAAGATAGATAATTGTAATTCATAAATGGCATGTAAACTTTTATATAAAAACCATTTCAGGCTTAAAATGATTTTGAAAATTGATGTTTTCCTGCACTATGACTTACTCAAATCAAATTCAATAATAATTTCTGACTTTTAGGGTGGGCACACATTGCTCATTCATTTCTTACAATCCTTCTGGAAGATATTAACAACTTACAAAAGCTTTTAAGTGTGCTTACTTTTCCATCCAGTGAACCCACTTCTGCAAACTTATAGAGAAATAATTGGGGATGTATGCACAAAGGTTTGTGCAGGGATGGTTTATAATACCAACTAATAAATACATAACAAAACAAATAGTTTTATCAATATCTCTAATATATTACCACTAACTTATACTACTATGTAACCATTAAAAATTATGATGTAGATCTATATTTACAGATACGGGCAAATGTTCATTAAATGCAGGTAAATAAAATAACCAGATTACCAAACTGTGTACGTAGTTGTTGTTAAATGGTTAACACACACTGAGTGTTTGTTATGTGTGCCAGGCACTTTTCTATGATTTCACCTGTATTAAAATATGTAAGCCACACCAGGAATTTGCATTGTTATTATTTCCACTTGGTAGAAGGGGAAATTGAGGCACAGAGCGGTTAAATCACTTGCTTGAGTAACCCTGCTACTTAAGTGGTAGAGGCAGGATTCAAACCCAGGCAGGTGGCTCCCTGCTCCTAACCTGAGCAGGTGGTTAAATCACTTGCTTGTATCACTGTGCAATAGCTGCCATGTTTTTATTTATTTTTATTTTTTATTTATGTATTTATGTATTTTGATATGAAGGCTCGTTCTGCCACCCAGGCTGGAGTGCAATGGCATGATCTTGGCTCACCGCATCCTCCACCTCCCAGGTTCAAGTGATTCTCCTGCCTCAGTCTCCTTAGTAGCTGGGACTACGGGTGCATGCCACCACGTCCGGCAAATTTTTGTATTTTTAGTAGAGAGAGGATTTCGCCATGTTGGCCAGGCTGGTCTTGAACTCTTGGCCTCAACTGATCCACCTGCCTTGGCCTCCCAAAGTGCTGGGATTACTGGCGTGAGCCACTGCACCTGGCTGCTGCCACGTTTTTATATAATACCATTTTTTATATATACTGTGTATGTACACATGCATTTATATGTTTTTGCAGAGAAACACAGTTGTCTCTGGATTACAGAACTATGGGAACCTTTTTATTGGTTTTTCTTTCTATATACCTGAATTTTACAAATTATTCTAAAATAAACATGGACTACATATGCAATAAAATTTGAAAAACATTGGCATCAAAAACTGTTAATGAAAGTGACTAATTTTGTGATATTTTCTAATGTTTCCACAAGTTTTTAAAGAGGTGAATGTACACACATACAAATACATTTAATCTATAAAGAAGAAGTAAGAGGAGAGTTTAGGCAATAAGCGAAACATAAGTCTTAGTTTATCGGCACAATTCTTTTAACATATTATTGTCTATACTGTTAGTTAACATATATGTGCTTTTGCTTTTCCCACTAAATTTTAAGGTTTTGTTTTTGGGACCCACCAGAAGGCCTATGATGTACCTGCACATGGTGAATGATATGTAAGATTTTGTTTAATTAATAAAATGCTTAATGATTTATTAATGGAAATGGAATGGCTAAGATCTCCAGAAGAGCAAGCAAATAGCCCTTAAATTTAGAAATCTTCCTGATCCACTTGTTAGAACTGCAACTCTCCTGGGTCCCTTGCTGTGGCCTCAAATTCTCTTCTCCAAGGAGGAGAAAATAAGAAAGACATCACTGGATGCCAAATGGAATCACTCAAGGTTCATGGAAAAATTTTGGGTGAGAGTTTTGGGCCATATTATGGAAAGAAAAATATTTTTTAAGAACTTTTTGTCAGAATATATTTTTGTATATGTGAAAACAGTTAACAACCATCTTTTATTGTATCAATATCAATGTGCGTCATCCACCTACTTACCCCTTATGAAATTTTCTTCAGTTTCATCTGTAATACTTAACAGCGTACCTCCTTGCATCTGGCATGAAGAATGTGCCTCACTCCAAGAGAGAGATGAAAGCAGGTTGAACTGGTAGCAAATGTGTGAATTGAGGTCCTTCTCCCAAATAGTATCACAACCTACTTCTGCAGAGGCTGGAAACAATGGCCATTAAAAACAACCAGGTCTTATTTTATCTATACAGCAACATATTTCTAAGGTAAGTCTGAATGGAATTATTCCATCTTGCAATCTCTAAAACTTCAGGGCCTTATCTATTCTTGATTAGGTCTTTATGATAAAATCTGCATTGTTATTCCATTGCTAAGATATGGTTAAACTCTTTCATGATTTACCTAAAGAAATATAAGAAATCACCAATGAAGAAGCTATGATCCTTTCCAGAGTAATAATAGGAACCAGTTTTAAGAGAAGGAAGTAGAAGCGAAGTATTTGTGAAAATAAGATCTAAGTTCTTTTGTCATTTAGAACTTTATATTGAAAACTTGTAACTTTAAATGTTCATTTTAGTAGATACAAATGTTATTTCAAAGGCATTTCTCCCTAAATACAAAATGCTAAAATAAAAGGATACAGTAGGAATATGAGTCAATAGTAAACACAAGTTTTCAAATAAACATCAAGCACAGGAACACTGACATATAGTTTAAGAAAGTTCTTTCAGCCAAGAGGAATAGAAGCAAGATCCACTTGTAAGACACTGGCCGAAGATTGCATAGTGTGCTCAAAAGGAAATGTAATAAAGTATGAAATGTGGAGCTGAAGTCTGAAGTTTTTTTTGAAATAACAGAAAATTAAGACTGAGTTTGGGTGCTTTTGCTAACATTTAAAATCAAACTCCAAGGTGAACTAAGTAGCCACAATAATGACCGGAAACCAAACTCAGACAGAGAATGTCAGAATACAGAGAATGTGAGCCATACTGCAGCATGACTGAAAATGACTGACAGGCAACCAGCTGAAGTCTAGGATGGCCTTTCCCAAAGTGTGATTCCCAAAGTAAGACAACTTTAAGAGGCTCCCCAAGAAAATCTGGACACAATGCATACATAGCGTTCTCTGGGAAATTCACAATGAACATTAGCATATTCAAGGCTCTGAGAAGTTCTGTAGTAAAGAAACATGCTTACTGTTAATTTAGTGTACTTCAAACTTATTTGACAATAAAATCTTTTTTGTTTGGTTTTTTTTCCTCCCTCATAACAGTTAGATGGTCCCCTTGGGAAATGTGGAAAGTTTATTTTCATGTCTGGTTGCAACACACATTCCAGAGGTTTTAAATCACATATAAATCTAAGGTTGTCTATAGAGTTTCCTGACTGATACATGTGTTTATAGAAGGATCCAAGATTAAAGGAAGGCAGAAGACAAGGCTATCACCAAGTAACACTGAAGGGAAGGAAAAGAAAGAAAGGAAAAAGAGAAGGGAAATTTTCAGTAACCATTTTGCCCAGGTGGCTGAAATTTCCCCATTGAGATGGAATCCTTAAAGATTGTTTTCAGTTAAAATCCTAGGCCTTCCCTGAGAAGGACAATATACTACTACGTGTTACGAGACACTAGTTCAGCCATACTCATCCACCATGACAGCTGAGACCATGATGGGGGAGCGGGGGTGTGTTCATAGTTTTGGCATGCATAAGAATCATTTAGGACAGTCACAGTGGCTCATGCCTGTAATTCTAGCACTTTGGGAGGCTGAAGCGGGAGGATCACTTGAAGTCAGGAGTTCGAGACCAGCCTGGTCAACAAAGCAAGACCCTATCACTACAAAAAGAGAAAGAAAGATGCCGGGTATGGTGTCTCATGCCTGTAATCCCAGCCCTTTGGGAAGCTGAGGCGGGTGGATTGCTTGAGCCCAGGAGTTCAAGACCAGCCTGGGCAACATGGTGAAAATTTTTTTAGTGCTGACATGACGCCACAAGTAGAAAATTCGACACCTGACCTCGTGATGGGTTTTGGTCAATACTTTGTTTCATGCACAAAATTATTTTAAATATTGTATAAAATTACCTTCAGGCTATGGGTATAATGTATATATGAAACATAAATGAAGTCTGTGTTTACACTTGGGTCCTGTGCCCAAGAAACCTTATTATGTATATGCAAATATCCTAAAATCAGAAATCTAAAACACTTTTGGGCCCAAGAATTTTGGATAAGCGATACTCAGCCTGTATAAGAATTTGTACTTCTGTACTGGCAGACACAAGTCCTTTCTCTGCTTCTCTAGGATAGGCTGCATGTCCCTCCAGGAATCTCATTTGTAAGTTTTAAGTAACAAATGGAATGAAAATGTTGTCATAGACACTGTGATGTGCTGCTCTCTAAGGACTGCTTTGGCAGAAGAGTCTCTTTGCCCTTTCACTCTCCCTTCCCAAGGGCAGCTGACACCATGACTGGTCAATGTAGTGGTATACTTAGCCCCTGTATCCCAACAAGGGGCAACTCTGAAGGGTCACCCCAGCTTGAGAACTCTGAAAATCAAAGGCTGGTGTCTCAGGTATGTTTATTATTCTTGAAAAATTCTAATCTAAGGGCTAAAATCCTATTGTTATATTCTTTACATCTTTGATTGTGTTTATATCATCTCTTCTATTGCTAAATTATGGGCTCCAGGGAAGCAATTGTGTCATATATAACTTTGAGTCTCCTATTATGTGATGAGAGATTACCAGAATCTTTTTCATGGTGTTATAAATAGGTGATTTTTCCTTCCTAAACTACACCTCCTTTTTAATGAAGTGAAGTGCATACGTAGAATGACTTGGGAAGTGTTTCATCCTCTTCTAATTTCCCACTTAGTCTCATCCACTGAATCTAGCCATTAATGTATACCTTGTTTAAGGCCATCAATGACCCCTGTGTTGCCAAATTCAGCAACTGTTAGTTTGAGACTTTATCAAACAAGCCCCTTCATCAGCACTTGGCAGGCTGAGTTCCCTCTCCGTGCTGATTTACTCTCTTTTCTTGACTTCCCATGCCTGGCTACCCTTATTCCTCCCTGGCTGCCCCCTTTCAGTCTCCCTTGCTGATTTATTCTTCTCTACTCAAATTAAATGTTGGAGGCCTTAAGACTTGGCCCTGAGCCCCCTTCCTTTCTATTCTATACATTCTTTCTACACATGGCTATCTAACCTGTTCTCATGGGTCCATTTCCTATAACTTCCAAATACATAGAGACCATTACATCTACCTACCTAGTCCACATCTCTACATAACTGACTCACATGTAACATGTGCAAACCTGAATAGTATTTAATTTTCTTTTCCAAATGTATATCTCCATAAACTTAGCTATGCATGTCAGAAACATGGAGTCTGAATTAATGTCTCACTTTTTCTCCTAGCCTCCAAGTTCTTAGGAGTGAGAAGTCCTACTCCTGGTTAAAAACCTATATGTGATTCTTGAGGTCTGACCACAGGCAGTTACAAAGGCTTTACCTGGTAGGCCTCATGGGGGAAAGCTGCCCCTACCCCAGACTTGGTGCTGAGCTGGCACACTGCAGTTTCTAAAGAGAGTCATAGTTAACGGTTCAGGCCCCTCAAGCCCATCGTGCTCTGTGTTATTTGCATTTCTGGTGCAGGTGCCTTCCATTCCTAGGTCTCTTTCTATGTGAGGCCTTGGGCCAAGGTCCTCTTCAGGTGCCTCTGCTGAGGCTGGGATGGAGTGGGAAGGAGGGGAATCTTGAAGACACTTTTTCCCCACCCTGACTCAGTGCTCAGTACTTTTCAACTCCTAGCTCTTCCCCTCACCTTACCCCAACCCAGAATCTATACAACTGAAAAGCCTTTGTTGTTGTTTAGTGTTCTCTCAATAGTGAGCTGAGCTGAACTCCACATCTGTGCTGATCCACTGACCCTCGATGGCTGTGCTGTTCCCTGGGGAAAAATGGAACGGGGGAGGTGGCGAATTCTTCTTTTAGTCTCTTTGTTATACCATTGTAGTGAGTGATCAACAGCTTAACACCTTCATTTTTGGCTTGTTGCTTTAATCAGCTACTCCAACACCTGACAGCTCTGCTGTCTCCAGCCCAGCTAAGCTCCTGACAACCAGGTCCTGTTCAGTTTATCTACAAGTTAGATCTTCAATAAATCCACATTTTTCCAATCCCCTTGCTGCCACCTAACTGAAGCCACCACTACTCCTGGCCCAGACTATTGCTCTAGCCTTCTACCTGGTCTCCAGGATTTGCCTATTGCTCCCTTCCAAGCCATTCAGTATAATAGAGCCAGAGTAATCCTTAAATATATATTTTTAAAATCATCACTCCCCTGCTTAAAACTCTTTTGATAGCTTTCTTTTGCACTTAGAATTAGGTAAGTCCTTACCTTTATGACACTCATGGACTCTGTCTGCCCTTTCAGAGTGTCTTGTTTCTCTCTTCTTCATTCACTGTACTCTTGCCACATTGTCTTTCTTAGATGGCAATAACCTCTTTCCCCCCTCAAAACCTTCAGATATCTGGCCAGTGACATGCTGAGGGCTGGGGGTGGAGGAGCAGTCAGCCTGGACAGGTGGGCGTATTTTATCACTGACATTGTTTGGAATGGTTAGAGCATGTGCCTGGTGACTCAAAAGCATGCTGTCTTTTACTTGGTTTTATTATTATTTTTTAGTTCTATTTAAACCATATACCCTCTTTATTGCCTGCATCCCATGCTGACCACTCCCTCTCCCCTTCCTTTGCACATGTCTGTATCATGCATCTCCGTGTGAATATCTCATTTCCCCACTTTCCATTTTGACAACTTCTACTCATCTCTTGGGCTACAGTTCAAATACAACTTCCTCAGGAAAACCTTCCATGACTCCCAATTTTAACTTCGGTTTCTCACTTGTAATACTGTATTTTCTTAAGGTAGAACTTATGACAAACTGTAATTATGTATTAATTTGGGTATTATACTTGAATGTGAATTTCATCAGGGCAGGCACTATGACTTTCACATTTCACATTCACGGTTATAACCCCAGGAGCCAGAGAAGTCCCTGGCACATAGTAGGTGTTCAATACATATTTGTTAAATGAATAAATGGATGAATGGTCTGTGGAAATGGAGGTCAAGGTCAGGCATGCATTGTTGTAGAAGTCAAGAGGAGACAGTGCCCTGAAGAAGGTATAGACAATTCTTTTGCGAATTCTCTCTATTTAGAGGATGAGAGAGAGAGGTGTTTTCAGGAGGCAGAAATAGGGATGAAAGAATTGCAGTATTTTTAAGATGTTATTTCAAGACTCGCACAGGTCTAACTGCTAAGGAAAAGGGCCCAGCAAAGAAGCACCCAGGGGTGTGCACTGGAATCACCTAGAAGTTTGTTAAAACACAGATTGCTGGGCTGCACTTCTAGAATTTCTGATATGATGGTCTAGGGTGTGACTGCTACTTTGCGTTTCTAGCAAGCTCCCAGGGAATTCCAACGCTGCTGGAACGGGGACCACACATTGAGAACAACTGAGATACAGGTTGGAGAAGGTTGGATGGGGCGCTCCAGAGCCCAGGTGGGGAGACTTGGCCCATGTAGGAGGAGGAACATCATCCTCGCGCATAGAAGGGAGGAAATAAAGATGGGCACAGATGCAGGTAGGCTTAAAGGTGAGAGAGCAGGAAGTTGCCAAACTGTCTGTCTGATGGATCTTTTTGCCATTATGAGGTAGGAACTGAGGTCAAATAATGAGAATCAGAAAGGAGATTGGAAGGTAGGGTTAGAAGTTAGAGGAGAATAGAGAGGTTGGCAGGGTCATTGTGGGGTGTGAGAACTGCATGACAGAAACATATAGCATTGCTGAGCCATGTTGAGGGCTCAGGAGAGAGCAGCCATACCTTTGTTGTATCAATCTGCTTGTTTGTCTTTTTTGTGGAGGGCGGGAGCGGGGGCAGGCGGGCGGCGACAGAGTCTTGCTCTGTCACCAGGCTGTAGTGCAGTGGCGCGATCTTGGCTCACTGCAACCTCCATCTCCTGGGTTCAAGCGATTCTTCTGCCTTAGCCTCCTAAGTAGCTGGGATTACAGGTGCCTACCACCACACCCAGCTAATTTTGTATTTTTAGTAGAGATGGGATTTCACCATGTTGGCCATGCTGATCTCAAACTCCTGACCTCAAGTGATCTGCCCGCTTCAGCCTCCCAAAGTGCTGGGATTACAGGTGTGAGCCACTGTGCCCAGCCTAAATCTGCTTTATTATATCACTCGAGCAACTGATCAGAATTATATAAAAATAAGGTTCAAGGGCAATCATATCATTTCACAGGTTGGTATCGTAAAAATATCTCAAATTAACTAAGTGTGATTCTGCAGCTCTGTAAGGCACACAACCAAGAGAGTCCAGAATGGCCCATAATTGCCTCTAAACAAACCCAGAGAGATTCCTGTGTGTCATCCTTTTTGCTGAAGATGTTTTATTACATCCTTCACCGCTAGTATATTTGTATATGTGTTTATGAATACTACATTTAAATTTTGCTCATTTACAATCAACTTTTTTTTTAAATGTAGCATCATTTTACATTGAGATATTTAAAAAAATTTCCCACATAAGAAGGATGAGATACAGCAGTACAGACCTTTACTTTATTCCACTCACTCTTCTCTGTCCTATCCACTTGTTGACCCCATGGAAAGAGCTATCAGCTTGCTCAGGTTTCAATCTCCGACACGTCATTTTGAGTTATATTGGCTACCGGGAGCCAAAAGTAACAAGAAAGGAAGAAAACTGGCACTGAACAAATAAACATGCTCTCTGCTGGTTGTGGTAAAGGGCAGGAGGGCTGGAATCTGGCAGGCTGTCAAGCAGAGGAAGCTTCTGAGCTGTACAAGGCTGAACAAATAGATGGTCTGGGGAATGAAAAGCCTGGAGCACCACTGAACCCAGGCTTCCACTGGGAAACTGTCATTGGAAGTTTCCCAGTGGAAACTTCTTAAGGTTTCAGAACCTTAAGAAGAATATTGTAGTTTTTTTTTTGAAGTCCCTAGTATTAGAGCCATGTGAAGTACGTGTTAACTTTATTAGTATTGGTTCATTTATTTGGTTTTAATAATGACCTCTATTGGGGATGGAAAAGGAAAAAGAAGAGATGATGCAAATAATATGACAATAATAAAAATAATATGACATCTGTTTCAGGAGTCAAGGGGTGTAGAGATCACATGCATACACACCTACATGCATACATTTAGATTCAAATAGAGAAGGCTGGTGATCTGACAGTTATAAAATAATAAAATGCTTTCATTCTGGTTGGTGAATAGCCACTGTTCTGAGCTTCTCTATTACCCCCACTACCCAGGCTTCCCTGCACCCCACCCCCACATTGTAGCAGCTAAGGGGTTAATATCAGCAGAGAGCCTCTGGAATTCCCAACCCCCACACTAAGGTCTCCATTGCGATTGACCAATAGCCCATACCATATTGGCTGTTAAATGTGTTGATATTATCCCTGTATATAGATGTATATTGCATAGAATTATCTCCATATTATTGCTTGATGATGAATTATCTGCACCGGGGTCACCTGGGGCACTTTTCAAAAATGCAGATGGTTGAGTTTTACATACTGCACCCACTGCATCTCTGGAAGATGGGCCAGGATATGCATTTAAACTATCTCCCAGGTGATTCTAGGGCATTGTGTCAAATACAGCCTGCATTTTCTGGCATACAGCAAACCTGTCTTCTCTCTAGATGCCAAGTTCCTTAAAGGGAGGATCCTAAGTCCTAAAACTCTTGGCATTCACCACTATGCATAGCTTAGTGCTTGTTGACTTACAGCAGAGAGGAGAAATCATGGATTCAGAAGTGTATGCTGAAAATATAAATTGGGTTTGATGCTGCTGCTGCTATTGTTGCTGCTGCTTCTGGCTGCAATGGTTAACCCTTGTGAGTACTTACTGTGTGCCAGATATTATGAAAAGTGCCTTGAATGCCTCATCTAATTGAATTGCACAATAATCCTAATAGGTACTGCTATTACCTACATTTTATGTCTGAGGAAACTGAGACTCAGATAGATGGAGAGAGCTTCCCAAAATTTCATTGTTGGGAGGAAGCAGGACTCCAATCTTGGCCTGTGTGATTATTTCAAAGCTTATACTCTTTCTTATTTGCTAAGCCATACTAGCTCTTGGATTAGAAAACAATTCTACAGATACTTTATAAGTCAGATTCTTTGGGGTTAATCTCTTCAACTTGCTTTTGCTTCAAATTTATTTGTTGCATTTTATATATGTGGAGGGGAGGCAGGCATGGGAGATGAAGACTGTAAAAGCTGTACTCTGACTCACAGAAACCAAGGGAAAGGAAATTGAATATAGAAAGTAGGAGGCATATATAAACATTCTCTAATACTTGGTAACAATTGGAAACTTTTTAGCTAAATAAAAATAAAATGAAATAATAAGGCACTAACTGAAAAAAAGAAGTTAGAACATTGCCACTGCCATTGAACTTTGAAAATCAAGTTAAGAAAAGAAAAAAAATGAGGTTATAGCCAGAAGGTAAATAGTAGGAAAGGGAGTCAAGACGAGAATCCACTGTCAAGAAATAATGAGGGCAATTGCGATTTTAGAAAGATCATCAAGGGGCCAGCTGGTGCCTGGGCTTGACAATGGGCGAGACAAGCAGCAGCCTGGATGTGGAGAAATTAAAGCAGCTCATAAGAGATAGTGGATTGAAAGGCTAACTGGGCTTTATATGCAATCAGGTTTGTTTTGAAGTATCCAGCCAAGAAGCTGGGATCAATGAGATCGCAGAGTATTTATAATTTGATTCTGGTTAAAACATCATTATGCACTGAGCTTAATGAAGAATGGCTAATTAACATCTCTTGAATGTACGGCAAAAAGAATATATATTAGAATTGTCTTTTCAAGGCAAAAACAAACCCCAAATCAAAATCTGTGTTAATAGCATCAGGGTTCTTATTCAGACTTCAATATATCAATCCCAGTGCTTTTGTTTAGATACAGATAACTTTCTAATCATCTTTGATTCATTCATGACATATAGAGAAGACAAAATTTATTCTTACTGGGATCAGGGCAAAATCCCCACTTTTCATCTCTTTCATAACGGCTTGTCGTGGCACACCACAGTAAGTCATCTTCCCGACCTTCACGGGTACATTCATGATGCCACTGATGGTTATACTGGAAGGGAAACATACACGGCATCCCGTGGGTGTTCCCTTTGATTGTATGCAAATCTAGGAGAAAGAAATGTACAAAGTCAGATAAGTATGATGTCAGCTTTATCTTTGGAAACTGCTATATATCGAAAGCATTTTTTATGGACTGAAACCCTCTTGGGGCAGATACTCACTACAGCAGAGTGAGCCCTCAGGTCCTCACTGTCTCCTGTCAGTAGAGGTGTGAGACTGAGTGCTGGGCTCAGAGGAAGTGCTGATACATGGTTTGCTTATGCATTTATCTACTTGTTTACTTACTATGGTGAGCTGTCACAGTAACATTCATATTTGTGGATGGATGAGAAAGAAACTTTAATGGAGATTTAACTTCATAATACCTTCCAGTCGCCAAACACATCAGCCATTAGCATCTAAAGCTCAATAGATTCATAGGCATTTATTAATTTATTCATTCAATAAATATTTATTGAACATTTAATGTACTCAGTACTGGGGATACAACAGTGAACAAACCAGCAAAAGTTCCTTTATGTGGAACTTCTATCAAGGAGAGAGAAAGAGAAAGCAAATATACAAGTAAACATACAGTATCATTGCAGGTAGCGGTGCCATGATGAAAAATAAATAGGATGAGAAGACAGAGTGGGGTGTGTGTGTGCGTGTGTGTGTGTGTGTGTGTGTGTGTGTGTGTGTGTGTGTGTATGTGTGAGACAGAGGGAGAGAGAGAGAGAGAGAGAAAGTGAGAGAGAGGGAGAGATGGGGTGGAGGGGCACAGGGCACTACTTTGGACAGGATGGGCAGTGAAAGACCTCTCTGAATAGGAACTGGGTGACCTGAGAGTGCAGGTCTTTAGAAAAGAGGTGATCCAGCAGAAGGAACAGCAAGTAAAAAGAACCTGAGACAAGAACAAGTGAGGGGGTGAATGAAGAAGAGGAAGGAGGCCCTCTGGGTAGGGAGCCAGGGACGTACTAGAGTGTCAGTGCACATAGAGCTGTCTCCCCGCCATACTGCGGGCTTTGGCCTCTACCCTGAGGGTGGGGGCAAGTCTCTTGCGGGTTTTGAATGGGAAAGTGACAGGATCAGATTTACATTTTTAAAGAACCACTGATGCCCTGTTTGCAAAGGGGCAAACAGCTGACATAGGGAGAGGGTGAAGCGAGACAGCTGGCTGGGTGGCTTCTCAGTGGTCTAGAGCAAGTCGACCATGCAGACGTGGCCTGCTGGCTGCCTTCTCAGGGTATTGCAATACTCGGCCATTCTTGGCCTTAATCAGGAATCAACAAAAACTTTTCATGACTCAACTGGGGCTGCCAATGGTATGTCCTGGGGCAAAAGGACCAGCAGTGGAGAGCCCCACCTCTTTCCCACAATTGGCAGGGGCTGACCTGAGCTCATGACATGTCACCAGTCACCAGCCTTAGCAGTTAGGGCTATTTAGGAACCGTAGGTATTTCAGGACATGCCCTTTTCTTTCAGTCCCCTTCCTTCTACTCCAAAGCATATGTTCCCCAGAATCTTCCCCTGCATGCACCATGAGTGTGGGTATGTGGCTAAAAAGTTAACATAAAGCAAAATATCAAGTTCCTCTTCAGAACTGTAGATTATTCAGAGTGCTGGTTTGCAGCACTTGCTTTATTTTAGTGAGTCCTGAAAATGCCTGGCCCTTGGCTCTGTCTCTTTTTAATCATTTCTTCTTTAGGAGTTCCTTGCTCTGCTTCCCAGGACCGTACAGAATTCTTAGGAGCATATGCTCTTGTGAAAGCATAATTCTACAGAGCAGCACGAGGGTAGGGGCTCCACCTGTCCTGTGGACCTTTGTAAACCAGGTGCCTAGTCCAGTGCCTGATGAATGTGGGGTGGATTTGTTAGCAGTGCTATACAAAAATGCGGGATGAATGGATGGATGGATGGATGGATAGATAGATGGATGGATGGATAGAGTGAGCTACCAAACAAAACGCTGAGGGACAGGTTTGAGATTTGAATTTAACTATGTAACTTTCTTTTTTTTTCTGTTTAGAAATGACAAAAATAACCATAGAAAATGAAATTCCCCTCTAAACCATGCTTCCCCACCAACCATGCTTGGCACACACCAAATAACCCCCGACAATAGTCTGTCATTTCTCTTCAAGTGACTTGTAACATGATTAATCACATGAATGCCAGCCAGCATCAGGAGGCATTGGAGGTGTCCTGGACACATACCTCCATAGGTGGGGATGAGTTTTTACAATAAGAGAAATGGCGGCAGGGGAGGAGAGATTATTATATTTGTCATGACAAAAGTCTTCAAAGATCTTTTCCTTCCACCGTCCTTTTCTCTCTCCCTCCTGTCTGCTTATTCTTTCTGCTCCCTTCCATTGATTCCCAGAGTCAGTTAAATGTTTTTCCTCCCAATACCTTTAAATTCTGAGAAGTTCTGCTTCTTTAGCAGAATGTAGTATGTCCATTCTGAGACTCTCATAACCCTTTTACCATAAGCAAGGAAGCAACTAAAATGTATTTAGCAGAAGTCCCTTGAGGGTCCAGGCTTCGTGTACTTCTTTCACGTAATGCTTTACAAATCTTTACTTATAGGCAAACCTTAAAAAAACACCATTCCCTGAGTGCTTCTTTAAATTATTTTTACCTTTGTGTAGATATTCACAAATGTCTCCACCACCTGACCCATAAGAAATCCACTTATGAATATACTTCCGTGAGGCCACCACTGTGTTGTCATGCGCCACCTGGACAGAGTACTGCAGCGGGCCTGTGATCATCTTCCTGTTACAGCGCCACCGTAAGGAAACGAGGGTGGAGTCACATTCATATAAGCTTAATGGCTGCTCTGGGGCGGAGAAATTCAGGCCCAGGCAACCACTGCCTCCTATGTTAAAGAGGCCATGGTTTGAAACCCATTTCCACAGCATGTGCTTGTTTGCTTGCTTGCAGTTCTCCAGGGTCAGAACCGATTTACCTGCTTGAATGCATTTCTTGAGACTCTCACTTTGGATAACAAATATTCCTTTATCTGAAACAAAAATCAAAGATGTGGCATGAAATTTTCATATATAATTAACTAGCGTCATGAGGATCTCAGTGTGCATATCTAAGTGCGATATGCGACAGTTGCCAGCCATTTCCCACAGATCTGGAGTTGTTGGGCAGGGTCCACCTGAAGGGCTGTATTTGCATAAAACAGAGGAGTTTCTTGGGAAGCATAAAAGGTCTTACTGGAGCTAATGGGAGAGCTCTGATCTAAGACCTAATTGGCCATATGGGAACAAGGGTTACCTGCCAATCCACTCAGGTCTGTTACTGACAGAGAAGGTGTGCTCACACAATTGGTTAGAGAGAGGGATTGGTAATAATACTCAGGGCTCCCGGGGAGGGACACTGGGTGCCAATGGATATGACAACACTGTCTTTCTCAGACAAGTGCCTGAATGTTAGGAACACAGCTGCTGAATCAAGAGCCACTGAATGAAACTCTCTACCATCAAGTTCCTATAGAAAACCGAAAGGCTATCAGTGAAATGCTGCTTTGTGATCTGATACGGGATTCAATACTGGTCAGAATACAATGTTTCTCAGGAGTACAAGGGTGGAGGTGGGGACCTCTTGCTATATGGGGATAGACTCTTAGTAGGAGATGGCTTGCTGGGTGGGGCAGGCAGAAGCAGGTAGATGCCCAGGCCACTAGCTATGGCACCACACCTTGAAACACGAGAGGTGACGGACCACCATTACGGTGGCAGAAACCAGAGGCCACATGGACAGGCGGAGAAAGCAGGTGTTTTGTGATATGCCCCTAAGCTCTCCTCCCCGGAGCTGGAAGAAGGGATTTGGGTGAGTTTCCCGTGGAAAAGCTGTGGGACCCAGCTGGGGAATACATGTTAGCTGCCAGCCTGCTACCTGACTTAACCCAAGTTGCGGGCCTGGAAGGCACCTAGTACTCAACAGTTATGAACTTGTTTTCTCACAGGCTTTTTGAAGATGGAAACAAAGTCTCATTTCTTTGGTCTAAGTATGGAGTGTGCTGGGCACATGGTGGAAATTCAGTCAGTGCTTGCTGTTGATGAAACACACCGGCTGCTGCTGCTTCAGCCTTTGGCTGCTTAAGTCACCTCAGTTCATGTCTGGTGAGGCCCAGGCGCTCTTTTGTTCTCCCAGTAGCTAGGTTCCCCTCTTCTATTTTACTTCCTGTCTATTCTTCAAAACTCTGAAGGGACAAGATAGGGTTCCCTCCAATGTCTGGGGTTTAGGGCGGGTCATGTAATGGAGGGCAGAACAGGTACAGGCAGAGGCTTTGGAGAGGTTTGGGACAGTGCAGGACGGGCCTCCTCATGGATCCACGAGGGAACAATGCTTCATTCTGGTAAACGTTCTTTTGGTTTCTCCAAAGTTAATCAGCCTGAGGAGAACTGATTTACAGTAACCAAAATCACTTAAGATACTGTTTCAAAAAGATTGTCAATGTATTAATAAATGGTATACCTCATCTAATAGTTGATGACCTTACCTATAGCCATAGATTTGAGGAGTTGAATTAGTTGTCAGAGAATTGCTTTGATCACCATACATAAGAGCAAAAGAGAGGGGGTGGGGTGGGGAAAATGAATGGTTTTAGGGAGATTTCATTTAGATCAGGAAATTTGTTTTCCTAATGAGGGCCTTGTCTGCATGGTTATTAGTAATAGTGATTCAAAATCAAATCCACCTCTCGTCAATGTGATATGGAGTCCGATAATTAACCTTCTGTCCAACTCTCCTTTTCACTTTTTCATGCCTGGGTAGAATGTTTACCTTAATTTCTGTTGTAACCTACTAATCACTTTCTAGCTAACCTAGAGTTCATTAATTTTTCATTAAAGGATAATTATTTTACTATAATGGTTTTGTAGTTCAGCTTCTACCTAATATATATGTTCAAATGTATTATAAGCTCTGCAACGTACTGACTGTGCCTCAGTTTATACACCTCAGATAGGTGTGTAGACGACCTGGCTAGTGGTTGAGAGCTCTGGAGTCACGTGGAGCTGTCACAGACCTGCTGTGTAACTTTGGGCAGATTGCTCCATCTCAGTGAGCCTCATCTTTCCTCCTTGAACTGGGAATATGTATGGTACTGACCTCTTAGGGATGTTAAGGATATTCCATTGAGTAACCCATGAAAAGCACACCACATACTACCATGAAAAGCCTTAGGAAATGGGAGCTATCATTATTACTTTATTCCTCTGACTTCCTGATTCTTGGTCTATAGATCCAGCTGCAGACCTGGTTGAACCTACAGAGTGCTAATCTCATCATCCCTCAAAGGCTTCTCTTCTTACACTGTTAGCACAAAAGCTTATTTTTACTGCAGTTTCTGCAGCACACAGTGGGTGCAGACATTTTAGTTTTAAACAATCCTGAGACACCACGCTATCATCTTTTATGGAGGAAAAATACTCTCCAAACAACCAGATAACAAAATATTTGCCTCCTTTGTTCAAATATGTGTGCAATGATGAATTAAGAGCCTTCATCTGTTGATTTTCTGCATTACCCACCTGTAAAGTCTACACTGTAGGTTTTTTAATACGAAAGAGAAAAATACATGGTGTTGACAAGCAGTGTGTAGATGCGGGAATGGCTGGTCTGTGAATAAATAGACATGAAAATTACAAACCTAACATTTGGGGTGAATAAATATTCTGTGGGGCGGTGAGTTTGAAACAAGGTCTTGCTCTGTCACCCAGGCTGGAGTGCAGTGGCACTGTCATGGCTCACTGAGGCCTCGGCCTCCCAGGCTCAACTGATCCTCCCATCTCAGCCTCCTGAGTAGCTGGGATTACAGGTGTGTACCACCATGCCTGGCTAATTGTTTGTTTGTTTGTTTTTGGTAGAGACAGGATCTCAATATATTGCCCAGGATGGTCTCAAACTCCTGGGCTCAAGCAATCCTCCCACCTTGGCCTCCCAAAGTGCTGGGACTACAGGTGTGAGCCACCATGCCTGGCCAATAATGCTTTTAAACTTCCAAATTAATAAATGTTAAGAGAAAAAGAGTGGCAGAAATTGGAACTTCTGTAGTCACACCAGCAATCATAAAAATACCTTTCCAAAGCAGAACATATTAGACACACCTAATCCATTGCTGCTTAATTTTGGGGTGCTACTTATATTTCCACACCAGCTGCCTTTAGGAAATAGCTTTAGAAAAGTTCTTCAGAATGTGCCATAGGCAAGTAGCTCTGGTTCACCAATAATAATCAACATGCTGCCTCCAAATATACTAAGTTAAAAAATGACTTGAGCCCATTTTTCCATTAAGTTATAATAGAATATGATCCTAGCACTGTTAATCTCCATAAATTCACTGAAAAGAATTACTTTCAAATAGACTGTGAGGAGACTTAATATAGGTATCAATATTCTGATTGTTATTATATGCACATAATGTCTCTAACAAAACTATAATGTGAAAATAAGCCACCAATCCTTAGTGTGCATAGTTGTTGGATTTTTTAAAAGATGAAAATCAAATGTGGGAGGAATCAAGATTGATTATACATGTCAAGGACATCAGTTCTGCTTGAACACTGATTAAGTGATTAATGAAGTACTGCCAGAATTACTAAATCTCTTTGCAGGAAAATGTTATTATACTTCCCTTCATAATTATAAGTTTAGGAGGAGAAAAAGGATTCATTTATTAGAAGAAACATTTTTTTTTTTTTTTTTTTTGAGACAGAGTCTCGCTCTGTCACCCAGGCTGGAGTGCAGTGGCGGGATCTCGGCTCACTGCAAGCTCCGCCTCCCGGGTTCACGCCATTCTCCTGCCTCAGCCTCCCAAGTAGCTGGGACTACAGGCGCCCGCCACTACGCCCGGCTAATTTTTTTGTATTTTTAGTAGAGACGGGGTTTCACCGTTCTAGCCGGGATGGTCTCGATCTCCTGACCTCGTGATCCGCCCGCCTCGGCCTCCCAAAGTGCTGGGATTACAGGCGTGAGCCACCGCGCCCGGCCAGAAGAAACTTATAAGCTAATTTCTATCCTTTTTTTTTTAAATAAAATCCATGGAAGACAGTGGTTCTACTTTCTACTTCTGAGTTCCTTTAGGAGGAGACCATTTCAGATCCACTCTTTGGCCCCATAAGATAACGTGTACTCTTCTAAGGAGCGGGAGGAGAATGTTTCATTGATCAACTTTTAAACCGAAGTTTAGGTTATTACCTTTATGACTGCATATGGAACATTCATTCATTCAACTAGCTTTCATTGGATGCCAGCTACTTCATAGACACTGGGTAAGATGCTAGAGATAGAGAGAAATTATTTGCCTAAATATCTGTTCTTTGAAACTGTATATATTTGTTCTGGAATCATGGGAATTTGCCTAGCTAATGAAAAGAAGGGAGTTCCATCAGTTCCAAAGAAAACATTATAATTGCATTTAAAATAAGCCCTTAATGGTGGGGCGTGGTGGCTCACACCTGTAATCCCAGCACTTTGGGAGGCTAAGGCAGGCGAATCACTTGAGGTCTCTACTAAGGATACAAAAATTAGCTGGGCGTGGTGGTGCGTGCCTGTATTCCCAGCTACTCGGGAAGCTGAGGCACAAGAATCACTTGAACCCAGGAGGTGGAGGCTGCAGTGAGCCAAGATCATGCCACTGCACTCCAGCCTGGGGGACAGAGCGAGATTGTGTCTCAAAACAAACAAACAAAAAACAACAAATAAATAAAATAAGTTCTTAAAAACAAGTGATAACACTTACAAGTGGGAGATGAACAATGAGAGCACATGGACACAGGGAGGGAAACAACACACACTGAGGCCTGTGGCAGGGGCAGGGGAAGGGAAAGCATCAGGATAAAGAGCTAATGCATGTGGGCTTAATACCTAGATGATGGGATGACAGGTGCAGGAAACCACCATGGCACACATTTCCCTATGCAACAAACCTGCACATCCTGCACGTGCATCCCAGAACTTAAAACAAAATAAAATAAACAATTATTTTAAAAGATTTAAAAAACCAAGTGATAACAAATAAGAGAAAGAAAATAAACCCAAATTTAAGACCCTGAACTGGCTCTTCAACTGATGTCACATGTGAGGTGGACAAGACCCCTCAGTGTCACCAGACTCTGAGCGGGGAGTGTGCACACACATGTACTTGCCCACTTTCTAGGGAGGACAAAGCAGGGCAGTGCTGGAAGGAAGACGGGTGTGGCAGAGGAGACTCACTTCACCCATAAACCCTGAACCGTGAACTTCAGAGCTGGATGGAACTGTAAAGATTATTTAACTGAACCACTCTTTCACTTTTTTTTTTCCAAATCCATTTTTGTCTTAGAAGTTTTATATCTATCTACTATATTCAGTCCAGGTGTAGCTTTATTTACATGCATTCATTTATAACTTAGAAGAAAATAAACTGCTATAGATTGTTGCCAAACATTTTGAAGTAGGTGACTTGAAATTTCAGACAACAAAGATCTATCAACTGCTTGATGTGGCATGGTTTAGGAACCCTGCAGACAGAAGGATATATATGTCATAGTGTTTGCCTGCAAGGAAGTCACATTCTCCCTGGGAATCCCTGAAATGCACAGAAAGAAATTATACCCTAATGCCAAAATATATTTTGACATAGGAGATATAAGCAAAAGGGGGTGCCATGAGGTTGGAGTCTAAAGCCTGGGGCCATTATTACAGTTTGATCTGTCTGTGTGAACAGCAGACTGGAGGTACCTAGAGGAAGTTTCTCCTGAGGCCTCTGCACTTGACCATCTGCACCCCTTCTGATCACCTCTACTTGCCTTTAGTGTTCCCTTTAGCTTTAGACAGCTCTTCTCTTAGAACTAGCTGAGTGAAGGTTTGAAGTGTTAAAGTGAGTAAGATAAGATTTGTACTGTTAAGCCTTTGTGAAGTTTCCGCATTTTTAACAAAAAACACTTTAAAGAAACAATAAAACAACAATTTTAATGGTGGCATTTTAGGCAAACAAAGGACTTTCTGGTATTCAATAAATTACACCATGAAGGTGTTCACCTAATCCAACTATACACATAAAGTCAGTCTCTGTGCTGCTCCATTAAGGGAACTGGAAGGAAAAGTTCCAGTGCATGGTTCACATCAAGTGCAATGCTTAAGACAAGCTATTAGAAAGCCACAGCATGCAGGCTGCAACCCAATTTCAATCTCCTACCCCAGTCCATAGGTTTGAAATTGCTTCTATTCCATCTACCCACAGAGCTAGTGCTGGGCTCAAGCCCTTCCTGCCCGGCAGCCTGTCTTGACTCTGTCCATTTCCTTGCTGTTCTGACATTATTAGGTTTCAGCAGGGATGCAGTCCAGAAGGAAATGGGGAGGGCATCTCTCCTCTGTAACCAATCTGGAGGTGAGCAGCTTCTCTCTTGAGATGTACTGACCTTTTCCAGCTTCACAAATTTGGGTTTGTCTTTATCTGTTCCATCTAGTGAACAATGGATTCAGAGCTGATTACGTTCCTAAGATTACTCTGTAGCAGGAAGGAATACTGTAAGCTGCTGAATCAAGTCCTATTCATGGCCGAGTGATGCAGAAAATCTGTATTCTTAATATGACCTTTCAAACCAATAAGTGAGGAATTTCTCATGCTTGCAGCAAGCAGCATGTGCATGGTTCTTCAAAGAAGAGATCCACGGAAGAAAGTGAAAAGTGGGCCAGCCCTTCCTACCTCTCTCTCTGCATGGAAATGTGCATTTTATCTGAAATCATCTGAGTTTTCATGTGTCTCTTATTCTGAAACTTTTGAGTTCCTGTCAGTTGCCTTCTATTAATCAACTAAAAAGTTACCCAAGTACATTTTTTAAAAAACCTCTTTGTCCTGTCTCAGAACTTTCTTCTCTTTCCCTGTCCTAGCATTGTCCTTAACTCTTAGCCTTCTTTATTCTCCTACAGCTTCTGAACCTAGATAATCACCATCTCCACAGGGCCGTGGACCGCTCTTGCTAAATCTTTTTACATGTTCTCTTCCATTTTCTCTCTAATCTCACCTAATTGCCTCTCCAAGTTTCATGAGGCACACAATAGTCTTTCTCACATGAGGGAAAAATGAAACCCAGCATAATCAGTGCCACCGGACTGCAGTTCTGTGAGGCTTCAAATTGTCTGTTACCAACCCCTGTGCCAGGAGGGGTTAACCCTTTCAGACTGTCCTTGCCACTCCCTGGCCATTCCCGTTCCCTCCTCTGTCCTCCTGCTCTGTCCTCATTTAGCAGTTGCTGACCCTGGCAGAAAATCTCTCTTCCGTGATTCTTTGCTAGACCTCTGTATCTTACCAATGAATTTTTAAACTGAGTTGAAAACATTTTTCTTCCTTTTAGCTTTTAGTCTATTCTCCCATTGTTTTGCCTTTATTTAACTGGAAAGTACTTAACAAACATTGCTGGTATAAAAATCATTATTCACAACAGCTCTGTGATTATCTTATTGACTCTGTTGAAAATATACCATCTCAGTCAAAAGGGTGCCTCATTACAAAGTGCAAGTTAGGGCAAGGACAAAAAGACAGAACACTGTTAAGATGCCCTCACAAATGCCTGCATATTAAAGCCCAGGGGGAAATGATTCAAAGACTGGGTCACAAAAACCAACAAAACCAGAAAACAACTCCATCATCAACCAAAACAACTCCGGAAATGATATGGCATTACTGAAAACAAAAGTGCTTACAATGAGCTATCCATCTTAGCCGCCTTGGGAGTATGCCCATTAAAAGAAAAATCATTTACTAAAGTGCAAGGTAGAAATGTTAAAAAACAAACAAAAAAACAAACAAACAAACAACTTTTAGTGGTAGATAGAGTGTTAGTCCCTGTATCGGTTTGCTACTAGGGTTGCCATAACAAAATACCACAAACTGAGTGGCTTCAATGACAGAAATTTCTTTTCTCATAATTCTGGAGGCTGGAAGCGTGAGATTACAGTGTGGCAGGGATGGTTCCTTCCAAGGGCTATGAGGGAAGGATGGATTCCTGGATTCTCTCCTTGGCCCCTAGAGGACCATCTTCTCCCTGTGTCTCTTCACATCATCTCTCTATGCATATTTCTGTGTCCAAGTTTCCCCTTCTTATGAGTATACCAGTCATAATAGACTAGGGCTACCCTAACTGCCTCATTTTAACTTGTTTACCTCTGTGAAGACCCTATCTCCAAGTAAAGTCTCATTTTTATACGAATTTGGTGGGGGGGGGGGGAACAATTCAGATCATAACCATCCCTATCATTCTTATTCAGGCTGTCTACATCATTTGCAGGGTCCAGGGTGCAATGAAAATACGTGGTTTTGGCTGGACATGGGGAAGTCAAGTCAATGTCCCTTTCCCTCAGGCCCACAGGAGATTGCAACCTCTGAGCTATAACGTGCTTAGAATACAGTACCTGGATTGAGGATATGTGAGAGGTTCCCACTCAGCCCTCGCAGAACCCACAGAAGTGATATCAGTACAGTGGTGACAAATACTGCCTTGCACTGCCCCGAAATGCTACAAGGCATCCACTCCCAGGGCCCAGGCCTCCAGTCCCCCAACTTCAATGCAACCTGGTTGCCACTGTGTGCAGCAGGCAGCATCAATTGTAGGGCAGGAGTTGGGAGGAGGCAGCTGAGAACCCGTCCCGGGAGGTAGACAGGGGACACCAGGCAGAATTGAACAGAGGCTCCAAACCTCTGGCTCAAGTTCCATTGTTCCATTGGACATCATGCGCAGCACACAAATTCAAAGATAGAAATGATTATGAATCCCAAGACCCCAAACCATGGAGCTTTAAACCCTAAGTGGAAGGAAGGCCCTTCTGAGTATAGGGCCCTGTGCAACTGCACTGGTTACATCCCCATGAAGCTCTCCTTGTTTGCATTTGAACAAGATTAACATTATGTAAAAAAGACCTTGGCAAACTACCGAGCACTTCTTTCAGGGCAGAACTGCTTAAAACCAGAAGAGTATCTGCCTTGGTTTTCCCATCTGCACAATGGGTTTAATAGTAATGCTGGGGCTGGGTGTGTAGTTCACACCTGTAATCCCAGCACTTTGGGAGGCCGGGGCTGGAGGACAGCTTGAGACCAGGAGTTTGAGACCAGCCTGAGCAACATAGCAAGACCCCTTCTTTACAAAAAGTTTAAATTTTATAATAAAAAGAAAAAAATAATAGTGCTGGCCTCACAAGGCCTTGATAGGGATTATCTCAGTCATGATGATCACTTTATAAATATTAATAAAAATAAAAGCCAATCTTAACTTTGAATATGAATGGTGCCAAAGAGCAGCAAAATGAAAAAATGTGTATAGTTAAATAATTACTTTGAGTTTCCTGTTTATATTTTCATGATTGAAAAGTTCTCAAGAGCAGAATACCAAAAGCTAGAAGTGGTAACACTATTTTATTTCCATATTTCTTTGGAACTGTAGTTGTCTAAAAAGTATCATAAATTAAAAAGCCAAGTGGCTATGACTTTTCTGTCTTGTTTAGCTCTGTGTCACAGAACCCAAGTTACAGATATTCTAATCATAATTTTCTAATTTTCTTGAGTGGCTTTATAAAATGTTTTTCCCTAAATGACTTAATATAGTGTTTATATGGTGTTCTTTTGTTTATTTTATGAACAATAATATTTCTTTTTGCTTTGATCAATTCAAAATATAATTTATGCTCCTAGCTATGTGTTGGAACATCTCCAAAAGGCTCTCAAGGATAATTTCTAAAAAAAAATGGAGGGAAGGGTTTATAAATGTCTTAAATCAATTACTTTGATAGATTACATGAGGATTTGCAGCATTAGGATTGAGTTCAGAAGAGGCAACACAAGGGGACCGTTTCTTCAGAAAACTTGATATAAATAAGCAGATTGTTAGGTCAAAGAAGGGGAGCTGCAGGGACAACTAAGCTATCTGTGTGGCCCCATCTTTCCTGTGATGGGCTTGGAACCTGCATTGTGTGGCATCAGTTACTGTGACAACCAACAATAGGAAAAGAGTTAGAGGCTTAACAAGAAAGAGTAAATAGGACCAGAAAAACTGGACATCTATGCTGACTCACAAAGGCTTGCCAGGAAAGGAGCCAGGCAGAGAAGGTAGGATGAGAAAAGTATGAAGGGGAAGAAATGCGAGGGATGACAAACAGAAATGGGAGAAACGGAGTCAAGAAGGCTGGCATGATTCAGGGCCAGGAAGGGCAGCTAAACCACTATCCGATCACGCTTTTACTGAAATTCCGTTTCCAGATTAGTAGAATGGCTCATTGCCTAGGGACATCAGAATTGCCTAGAACAATACATAAATCAGTAGCTTTGCACATTTCTGCTTTAGGAAAATATCACTCCCACATGTGGAAGGAGGGGTTTGGAAAAGGAGGAGTTGCAGAGAACAAGAGGCTGGCCTCCTATTCTTCCTGCTGTGAAACCAAATCGCATGCTTCTGTCATGCAGCAGGATACAGAATGAACCACACCATGGGGTCACAAGGCTATTCAGGGATCCTTTGCATTAGTGCAGAGTGCTTGGTTCGAATCCCCATGCTGCAAGCTCCTGTGGGCACAAGTTACTTAACCCTTCTTCATCTGTAAAAGAAGGGTATGTATTAATGTTGCCTACCTGTTTTGGTGAGGAGACAATGTGTCGATGTAAATAAAACAACAAAGAGTAACGACTCCCCAGCTGTTAGAAAATACTAGAAGCAGTAGAGGGGCATTTTTACCTTTGTATTAGAAACAGAAGCTATGCAGGAAATCTCAGGGCTACAGCTTCTCCCCACTGCCGCCTCCAGGTAGTGGCTCTCATCGCCCTCTTTCAGAAGGTGGCAGCTACCCCCCTTCCTCGCCACTGGGGCCCTCTGCCCTGAACCATTCTTCCCCCCATTCACCATGGCTTTGATACCAGCAGACTCCCCGCTATTCTCCACACCCCAAAGCCACTTTAGCTTCCATACAGATGACCCAACACTCTGACTCGATGCTTTCCCCACTGCAGGTTGTGGCCCATTTATGGTCTTGAAATCAACTGAATGTGTTATGACCAGCGAGACAAAACGAAACAGAATGGAACAGGGGGAAATGTAGCAGCATGTCATATTAGGTAAGGGTATTTTTTAAAAAATGAAACATTGTTTCAGTTATACATATGTAGACCTATATGCTGTGGGTTGTGATGTAAAATGTATTTCTTATTGTGGTTTGCTGACAAAAGAGTCCCAAACTCTACTCGACTTTAGCTTTGCTCTGGACATTGGGCTCCCTGACCTCCTCTGCTGTGAGGACCTTCTTTTGCCTCTTCTTCACTTTGGTGACCACTCCCACAAACACAGCTTGGATCTGGTCACTACCAAGAATAGGTCCATCTCCAAAACTTGGATTTTGCACTCTATAACCACTACCTCTCCTATTCTGCAATCTTCCCTCATCTAACTTTCACTAACTGTTTTCTTTTGTTGTTGTTTTTAAATATATATTTTCCTCTTTTTAAACCCTGTTTCTTGAACCCAAACTTTCTGCTCCTCAATCTTCCTATTGGGACTGACTTAGCTCAGCTTTAACTATCCAGACGGTTTCTTTGCTGCCTTCCAGAATTACCCTCTTCAAGGTGATAGGAGACCCTCTTCAAGTCCCAGACTGAACATGGCACTTCTAAACTTAAACATGCAATCTGGTTCCCCTTTGTGCAAACCCACAGGGCCCTTCTCAGCAGTACCCAATTCACTCAGCCAGACTTTTTCCAGAAGCAGGGTGCCTCCAACCAAACTCTTCCTCATCTCTCTCATGCTTCCAACTATAGACATGTCACTGCTTCTTGTTTTGCCTGGGACCCTACTCTGGTGGTCTATACCATCCACAGCCCTGGATGAAGCAGCATCCATCCCTGTGTCCACCTCCTGCCTCTACCATGGCCAATTAGCCAGGGGAAGGCCTTCGACTTGAGGGCAGAGCACAGGAACTAGCTAGCATGCTGTGAAGAATGTAACCAGACCCCTCTCCTAGGAAATTAAGGGACTCTTCCCAGGAAGCTAAGGGAGCTACAGAGGAAAGTCCTACTAGTCAAAGCCAAAGAAACAGTCAACAGAAAGAACAACCAAGCAGGAACCACCATAGAGCCCCAGAGACAGAGAGAAACAGATAAAGTAATGCTTCATGTCAGTGGCCAGTGCCTGTTTCCCAGGAGGCCTGGCTGCCCTGAAGAACCTGTCCTGGGTCCCCCTTGAGATCCTGGGACCATTACAACCAACTCCACGTTTGCCTGAGTGACCTTCAGTGGGCCTCTTTCCTTGAATCCAAAAGAGCTCAGAAGGGAACTTTCAGCTCACTGAACTTTTACTGTTGCCTGACACGTGATCCTGGGCCTTTGCACATGAAATACATGTTCCCAGGAATGCTCAGTCTCCTTTTTCCTATATGGTAACTGCCTACTTATCCTTTAGGAAAACAAATGTCTTTTTATGAGCCTCCAGCTCCCCAGGCCAGTGCCTCCTCTGCATGCCTTCAGCACTTTGCTCATCCCTGGTTATCATAAGACCTCTCTCACTGTTTTGTAATTGTTTATGTTTCTGTATCTGTCCCTGGACTCTCAGCCTCTTGGGGCCAGTGTCATATCCTACTCATGTTTTTACCTCCCCAATCTGGAGGTGGGTAGCAGATTCTGTTGGTTTCCTTCTCACACCCTCTAACCTGGAGCTCACTCACCTGCAGACAGTCCTCGTGCACTCCCACTGACTTTCTGTGGCTCTCTGCCTGGGAGAGACCAGGAGCACCAGGGGGTGAATGCCCCAGGAGTGACCTTAGTCAATAAGAGGCGGGAGTTGGTGGATAAATACTTCAGCTTCCTGCCCGTTGGTGGGTCCACTGAGTTCTATACAGTTCCTCAAAGGGTCCTTTGTGAAACTGAGCCCCAGTGGTCTGTGGTGGCTTTCTTCCCTCTCTGGTCTCATGTCCTCACTCCCTTACCATGCTTTCTAGAATCACCTCCAAAAAAAAAAACTACTTGCACCCTAAGGAAAACATGTCTCAGGAATTGCTTTTGGATGAACCCAACTAAAACAGGTAGATAAAGCACATATTGCCTGACAGATAATGAACAACTGAGGCCATCAGCCCCTACCCCTCTTTCCGTCGGCGCAGCATGTCGAGAGACACCCCGTACACCCAACCCTGTTTCACTTTCTTCTCCCCAGATAGGACCTGATGGCAAGCACACTGACCACACACTCATCTGCACCCTCACCTCCTTTGATCACTGGTCATTTAGAAGAGCCTCCCCTGAGTGTCCCCAGGCACTGACACAGACTTAGGTTCTTTCCACTCCTGCTCTGGGAAGCTGAGCACTACAGAAGGAAACTCTCCTACGATATATTAGTGGGGGACCATTTCACATTTATCATTTTTCAACCCTCAACAAAGCTTCAAAACCCTTTTACTTGCCCCCTGATCATTTCCTTTAGCAATGACTATGCCCAGTTTTCACCAGGATGCTCCATCCCCTTCTTCTTTCTCCCCGCTGTCCACTTTGTATCTGGAGTACTTGAGTGAGTGAAGTTAGTGTGTCTTAGCACTTGCTAGAAGAAGGGCTCAGATTCTGATCAGGGAAAACAAACTAAAATCAGGCTCCTTGGAATAACCAGCTAGAGCAAAGGTCCCCCACCTTTTCTGCCCCAGGCACTGGTTTCACAGAAGACAAATTTTCCACAGGCCAATGGGGTGGTGGGGTGGGGGATGGTTTTGGGATGACTCAAGTGCATTACATTTATTGTGCACTTTACTTCTATTATTATTACATTGTAATATATAATGAAGTAATTATACAGCTCACCATAATGTAGAATCAGTGGGAGCCCTGAGTCTGTTTTCCTGCAACTAGACGGTCCCATCTGGGGTGACGGGAGACAGTGACAGATCATCAGGCATTAGATTATCATAAGGAGCTCGCAACCTAGATCTCTCACATGCACAGTTCACAATAGGGTTTATGCTCCTTTGAGAATCTAATGCCACCACTGGTCTGACAGGAGGTGGAGCTCAGACAGTAATGTGAGGGAAGGGGAGCAGCTGTAAATACAGATGAAGCCTCTTTTGTTCACTGTTGCTCACCTTCTGTTGTGTGGCCCAGTTCCTAACAGGCCACAAACTGGTAGGTGGCCTGGAGGTTGGGGATGCCTGAGCTAGAGGTAGGAGGAGATGAGTTTCAGACCTGCCAAGTACAGTGCTGTGCACCGTAGTAAGTAATTGTTATGGGGCTGTCAACCTGTCAAAATGTCTGGATTGGCCAGAGGAAGAGGGTGCCATGGTGAGAGAGCAGCAAAAGGACAACACTTAGATGTGTACTATTACTAGCTCCATTTTACAGATGAGGAAACTGAGCTACTGACTGGCAAAATACCTGTCCAGGGTCACACGGATGGTAAATGGCATAGTCAGGATTTGAACTCAGATCGTCTAGCTCTGAAGCCCGAGAACTTAACTACTATATAATACTGTATCTACTGACTTTTGAATACAGAATTGTATTACTCCATTTTCACACTGCTGAAAAAGACATACCCAAGACTGGGAAGAAAAAGAGGTTTAGTTGGACTCACAGTTCAACATGGCTGGGGAGTCCTCAGAATCATGGTGGGAGGCGAAAGGCACTTCTTACGTGGCAGCGGCAAGAGAAAGATAAGGAAGAAGCAAAAGCAGAAACCCTTAATAAACCCATCAGAGGTTGTGAGACTTATTCACTATCACGAGAATAGCATGGGAAAGATTGGCTCCCATAATTCAATTACCTCCCCCTGGGTCCCTCCCACAACACGTGGGAATTCTGGGAGATACAATTCAAGTTGAGATTTGGGTGGGGGCATAGCCAAACCATATCAAGAATTATTGATAAATCATTGGAAAATCATCACAGTACAATCCATCATCTGCCTCCCAAGGCTGGCATGCTTGTAATACATATCAGATCTACAAATAATACATATCAAACAATTCAGATAAAAAATGCTGTATGTATAATCTGCTGTGCATTATTACATAGCCATTATTAGTGGATTGGAAATGAAAATGAGTGTGCATTTTTCTCTCAGTTGCTCTGTGGATGTCAATCGTGGCTAAAGTGAGTCAATGTGGTACAGTGAACACAGCGGTAAACTGAGGCACCCCAAAGCATGGCTAACTACATGGTAGCCATACCTCAACTTCCACATCTGAAGAATAGAGGGCTAGAGTAGACAATGTCTCAGGTTCTTTTCAATGTTAAGATTTTGTTTTTCCATTTTGTATTGACAGTAAAAACTTGACTTCAAACCTGTCCAGCTTACACTTGAAATTCTACTCATGCAGGTGACTGGAGTCAGGGAGAGAGCCTGTGCCTGTGCGAGGAATGGTACATAACCTCCGTGCTCCTTGGAAAATCAGCAGCAGCATTTTCATATCTGAAGAATCTCTATGCCAACTATGTCAACCTTTTCAGATGTGCAAATTGCACCTAGTAGGTACAAGGGCTAGCAGATGGCTCTAATTTCAGAGTGCCCTTGACTACTAAAAAGAAGGCACTGATGAGAATTTGTCTCAGGCCAGTATTTGGTTCTGCTACATATAGAAGGGATTAGCCCTTCACTCGGAGGATCACCAGCACATACTCTCTGTGTGGCCCAGTCCAACTTCTGTCCTGTGGGCTGCTGCCCTGTTCTACCACCTAGTGCCCAGGCAAAACCCACATTTTAAAATGCAAAGGAATAACCACTGCATGGTAAACTTAGTGGGAAGGAATCATACATACTACAGGATCAGATGTGCATCCACAGGAGCAATTTTCTGAATTGACCAAGAAGGTAAGAGCATCTCTGACTTTGGTCACTTTAGAATAAGAATGGTCTTGTTCTACCTGCCCCTGATTAAGCCTCCAGGGAGCTTAGGAAACACAGTCTAGAAAAGACTACCTCAAAAATGTAGACATATTCTACTGTGGAGGAAAAAATGTGAACGCAGATATTGATCACATCTTGTGTTACCCCTTCTCTCCAAACTTATCTCCAAAGGCAGAGAGGATGGAGGCTGTCTGGAGGCTCCTCCTGGCATATTTAACTCCCTCCTGTCCCCCTCCTACTTGCATATATGGACTTCTGCACTTAGGCGCAGGCTTCTCTGCCTGAGGTGGCCCATTCTCAAATGCGGGCCCCTGCAGGCCAGAAATCTCTCCTCCCTCTCTTTACACAACCTTCTGAGTCTCATGTGTAGTAGGTGCTCAATAAGTGTTTGCTGAATTGAACCCCGTTTTTCCACTGAGAGAGACTAAGGCATAAAGGCTTCAGATCACGCAGTTCATGGAGCCACTGGGGCTTCTCTCCCTCACCTGGCCTGATGTTTTCAGGCGGGGTGCGGTGGGTCAGGCCTGTAATCCCAGAACTTTGGGAGGACGAGGTGGGCGGATCACTTGGGCCCAGGAGTTGGAGACCAGCCTGGGCAACATGGTGAAACTCCGTCTCCACCAAAAATACAAAAATTTTGCTGGGCGTGCGGGCGCACACCTGTGGTCCCAGCTACTCGGGAGGCTGAGGTGGGAGGATCGCTTGACCCCGGGAGGCGGAGGCTGCAGTGAGCCGAGATCCCGCCATTACACTACAGCCTGGGCGACAGAGCAAGACCCTGTCTCAAAAAACAAACAAACAAAAAAAGTTTTCCTTAAGGAAGGGATGGACTGGGGAGGCCTGGCTTGGGGGTCACTCCTAGGTGGCGACGCAGACCCTGAGCGCTTGCTTTGCAAGGGGACGAACTGAGCCATCTTTTTGCTATCATTTATCCGTCCCAAATAAGCAGCTCTCAGAAAGTTTCCGTTTTGAAACTTCTCCGACACTCCTATCCCGGGCTGGCTCCGGGCGCCAGAGCCGAGAGGAGTTACCTGCGAGACCAAGCCCCCCCGCCCCCGCCGCCCGACCCCCGCAGGAGCCAGGAGGGTGCCGGGCCGCGCAAGTGGGGTGCTGGGCCTAGACAAGAGGCTGCAGGACACCACCCGCTCCCCCCATGCTCAGGACTGCTGACACACGAACCCCTACAAACGCGGCCGCCCTTGCCCGCCAGCTTGGCCCCTAGCTTCGCCCCTTCTTCCTCTCCTTCGACCACCCCGACCCCCCTCCCCAACGTACCGATCCAGTCCCCGACCCTGGGAGACTCACCCTGCCACTCCAGGAGCCGCTCGGGGGTAAGCGCCGCCGCCACACCCTCGGCGCAGCCCCGCGGCGCCCCCAGCAGCAGCAGCAGCAGCAGCGACGGCGACAGCAGCATCGCTAACCACTGGGCTCTCCGGGAGCCCCTTGTCCCGGGAGCCCCTTATCCCGGGAGCCCAGAGCCGCGTCCCAAGCACCCGGCCCCGCCGCGCGGAAGCGGATCCGTAGCCTCCTCCGCGCCCCACCCCCTCCGGGGGCCTTGCCAGCCCAGAGCCCTGGAGACCCACTCCGCCACCGCTGTCTCCACAGTGAACCGACACTCGGGGCTCTGGGCTGGGATGCGGGAAAGTCGCGGAGGTTTTCCTCGCCCCACCCACTGCGGCTTGGGGAAGGAGGAGGAGGAGGGGTGGGCCATCTGCCCATCCCAGAAATTCCTGCCTTTGGGGTGGGGACAGGCGGAGTGAGGCTGCTCGGGTCACACTCTCCGCTCCTCTAGCTTGCAGCCCTGCTCTCTCCTTTCTGGGGGAGGCCGAAGAGGAGTTGTGGGTGAGCGATTTGAGAATCTCCGGGACAAGGAGCCTGACATCCGGGTTTGCAAACCACCTGGATTCTGGTAAACACCGCGGATTTGCAGCGGGCAGCCTAGAGTGAACCCAGCTGCTCCGCGACGCAGGCGCTTTGGGAGGGTCCTGGACTCCTTTGACTTGTGGAGCACTGGAGACACCTGAGGGGCCACGCCGTGGTCTCCACCTTCCTTGCCCCAGAGTAACCCGGAGATTCTTCTATTCAGCTCCTTCGGTTTTGAAATAACCTCCTCTTTCCAACTCCTTTGATCCCCCAAGCCCCGCAAAGTAGCCGGGGTCCCTATTATCCCATTTTTACAGCTGAGAAACCCTGCCCAGAAAGTCGAAGTGCTTTGCTCTAGGTTACTTCCTAATCCAGCAAAAGTTACTCTCTAGCAAGTAGGACAGCCCTGGCTAGAATGTAGTCGTTCTAACTGTCCTCCTTCAAATAACCAGCAGAACACTGGAAGCGTTTAATATTCTGAGAACAGGCTCATATAAGACCTTTCCTCAGCGGGACCTTGACATTAGTCATTAAAACATAAGAGAGGGGGAGGGGAGGGGCAGAAAGCAGAGCCTGGAAGGAAATGCCTAGCAGGGAGCAAGATTGAAGGTCAGAGCCAAATGGGGAAGAAGGGAAAGTGGTTGCCTTGGCCATGGCCTTAACAAAAGGTGCTCAGTCCTGCAGGAACCTCAGAGAGCCTCAGAACTGTCTGTCGAGGACAAAAGGGGCAAGCGTTTATCCATGGACTTTATCCTTCCCTGTTGGTAAGGGAGATCCTAGGGTTATTAACTCCTCTGCACTGTTCTACAGCAGTGGTGAGTTTCAGTCATGGTCCCATACCTTGTCTCTTAGAAGCCCTGGGTGCATAGCATGGCAAAAGGTGAGGCGCTGTCAGGTTGTTTCTCAGAGGGTTGGGGGGTGGGGGACAGCCGGGGGAAACAGGCTGCAGAGGGGGCTGGAATAAGAGGTGGGTTGAGAGGATGTGAGAGGTTCCAATGTGTGTAGAGTTTATAACATATCATTACATGTAGAATTCAGCATCCTTGCTTGAAAACATGCAGAAAAGAGATGCTTTAAGCCTAGTAGATTACACAGACTTCAGCCACAAACTATGTATCCATCTCTCCTATGGCCTCAGAACTACATTGCTATGGGAATATCCCCGTAGTATTATGATAGAAGATTTGGCCCTGCCCGAGCAGGCTGGCATGTATTGCAGCAGGCAAGTGCAATGCACATGACATAATTAGGTCATAAAACAGGACACTGATGCTAATCTCTGGTGAGGTCCAGGGCAGTGAGAGTAAAGGGGAGAGAGACTAGGCTGGAGTGGGCATAGAGGCCTAACTATGCTCAGATAGTATGGTGGGTATTGGGAGGAAGAGGCTGTTCTAGGATGGGAAGAAATTGTGAAAAAAAAAATTATACAAAGGTTGGAGTGAGAACTGCTTGTATGGGAGAGAGTGAGGCATGCCTGGCTGAAATAAAGGCAGCCACTGGGGCACCCTGACGAATGAGGACAGTTGCTGGGACATTGGGCTACCTCTCACTGGCTGTGGACCAGGGTGAGTTATTCACGTGCTATGGTCCTGTTTTAGTCTCTGTATAATGAGGGGGGAAAATGCCTCCCTTGACCCATAGCAGATGCTATTCTGAAGTAGCAGAGCTAGGTCTGTGAGTAGGATAAGAAGGGAGAAACAAACCTTATTTCATCTTCAGAGCAATTAGTATAATGAAGAGAGGTGTTGACAGCTTCCTGGCCTACCAACCCCGTATTTTCTATTCAACCATTAGAACACTCAGAAAAGAGCTACTTTTTCTTTTTTTAAAAAAAATCTCTTCCTGAAACACTGCAGCTTTGAAATGGAAATCTGTGGTAAAGGGCTTTTTAACCTTCAAGAAAATGACCAGCACCCATATCCTGGGCTCACGTGTGTTTCAGGTTCATGAGGCAGTGTAGGGTCATGGTTAAATGAGGCAGCTCTGCCACTTACCAGCACACCACTTAGTTTGCCCCAGCCTCAGTTTCCTTCTGTGTAAAATGGAGATAATAATGTTTGCTTCATTGTGTGGTTGCATTAAATGAGCTAATGTATGCAGAGTGCTAGCACAGTGCTAACACACTGTAAAGTTCACCTCTGGGAGCTGTGGGTGTGTGGGGAGGGAGTGAGGAGCAGAGAGCAAGAGCAAAGGAGAGCTCAGAAGCCATGCTACAGAGCACTGTGCTAGTGGTAATTATGGCTCTGGACTTCAGCTGGGGAACACAGCAGGGAGGGCTCAGTGCCTGCTGGCCTTTGTACAGCTTCCCATTGCTTCCCTTCTCCTTTGGAGTTGGAATTCATTATTTATATCTCTCACCTGAATGTGAGTTCCAGGGCAGCACACTTCCTGGCACTTAGTCATCTCTCAGTCTCTGCTGAATGAGCGAAGGAATGAGGGAGGAAAAGAAAGAGGTTGAAAGAAATGAAGTCAGTCTTCACTTAACGTCATCTATAGGTTCTTAGAGACTATGATTTTAAGCAAAATGGCATATAATGAAACCAATTTTCTTTTTCTCATCAATGTCATAATGAAATCACAGTGAAGGAAATAATGTTGTTTGAGGACCTGCTGTATGTCATTTCACTTAAAATTGCAGTTTCCAAGAACCTGTCCATGGTGTTAAGTGAAGACTTACTGTACAGTGTGTGGAGTGATTTGAAACTTGAGAAAAATATTAAAACTTTGAATGGTATTGACAGTAAAGAAAATGGGATTTAAAACTCAATGTATAGGTTGCGGTTTGTCAAAATTAACAAAACTTTTTGAGCACTGTATGAATCAGGGTATCAGCAAGAAAGGGTGAGGTCCTGGTTTGTTGAATGTTTACCCAAGGGACTGTGAACCCCCAAAATTTGAGATGGGCCTCAGTTAATTTAGAAAGTTTATTTTGCCAAGGTTGAGGACACACACCCGTGACACAGCCTCAGGAGGTCCTGATGACCTGTGCCTAAGGTGTTCAGAGCACAGTTTGGTTTTATACATTTTAGGGAGACATGAGACATCAATCAATGTATGTATGATGAACATTGGTTTGGTCTGGAAAGGCGGGACAACTTGAAGTGGAGAGCGGGGCTTCCAGGTCATAGGTAGATAAGTGACAAGTGGTTGCATTCTTTCAAGTTTCTGATTAGCCTCTCCAAAGCAGGCAATCAGATATGCGTTTATCTTGGTGAGAAGTCTTTGAATAGAATGGGAGGCAGGTTTGCTATAAGCAGTTCCCAGTTTGACTTTTCCCTTTAGCTTAATGATTTGGGGGGCCCAAGATATTTTTCTTTCGCATTTCCCCCCTTTTCTTTTGAAAAATCTTTTGAAGGCCGAGCATGGTGGCTCACACCTGTAATCACAGCATTAAGGGAGCCTGAGGCACGTGGATCACCTGAGGTCAGGAGTTCAAGACCAGCCTAGCTAACATGGTGAAACCTCGTCTCTACTAAAGATACAAAAATTAGCTGGGTGTGGTGGTGCACGCCTGTAATCCTAGCTACTCAGGAGGCCGAGGCAAGAGAATCGCTTGAACCTGAGAGGCAGAGATTGCAGTGAGCTGAGATCATGCCACTGCACTCCAGCCTGCATGATAGGTGCATTCTCTGTCTCAAAAAAATAAATCGTTTGGAGCAAATTAGTCTCTGGTTCCAGGTTTAGTCTTTTATCTGATATCTCATGGCTAGGATGATTTATTCCTAGACAGGTAGGTCCTGAGTTATTAGGAAAGCTCATTTTTAGAAAGTTGTAAAGTCTCATGTCCTATGAAGAGAAAATAGGGGGAGGAAGGGAGAACAACAACAATAAACAAAAGAAATATTTTGGAAAATCAATGTAGACCACATTACTCTGAAGTCCATACATCAGTAGGCAGGTATGAAAGTGGCTTATGTATGTAAATAGGTTTTGCTGTTATTTTCTTCTGAAGTTCAAGTTGTCTAGTTTCAGTTTGCAGAGCTTTACAAAAGCACAGCTTTGTTTTCAGTGACTCCAAATTAGGAAAAATGGGGGGAAAAGGAAAAAAAATTAAAAACATTATTTTGAAAACTTATAGCCAAAAAAAATTAGAATTCAGTCCAAACTGTAGAAAATAATAAAACTGAAAAACATCAGACAAGACTAGAATCTAACAACAGGTGTACTACAGTTTTTGAAACATAATTTTTCTCTCTCCAGTTTCCCATTTTTAAAGACAAATCATGGTAGGACTGATTTGCTTTATTATACTTATCCTAATTATTTGCATACTGTGCAGCAAGAATAATTATTTTTTTACATAGGCTTTTAAATTGTCTTTGGTGGGACTTTATTCCATAGAAGGAATCTCAGATAAGACTTTTTTAAAGCCGAGCCCAGCCGTGAATTTGTGCCACCTAATACCTGTGAATTGGGTGATCCTTTCCTCTTGAGGTTCCAAGATAAACTTGGAGCTCCTGGGCCTGTCAGAAAGTAACATTCTTTACTTACCACAGGTCAGGAACCCTGTACAGGGAAGGTATGAGACCAGTTTCCCCAAGGGCTTTTATTGACTCCATAAGTCAAGTTTGATTCCTTAAAGGAAAGCACACCATTAAAGCCTTGGTAAAATAACCAATGTCTCCAATTGCGTCCTGTTGCAAAATGAAAACAGATTCTTATTGCAGTTATGCAAATAACTGTATTGCCATAAGTTAAGAATACTCACAGATAGTTTCCAAATTCTGGAGAAATCAGGTAGAGGGAAACAGATATGCTCCAAATTGTGTTCATAGGAGTATACTAAATTGTTAAAGCTGTCAATAGCTCAAAAGAAAAGTTTCCTTGACTCTGAAAAAAGCAGAACAAAGGATCAGCAACATTTAAAGCAAAAATCAAAAAATTAGTCTTCTATCAGTTCAGTTTACATAGTTAACTCCTGTTCTGCTTGATATTCATGAACATTTTAGCTCTCCATGAGAGTCCTGAAAGTTTTTCCTCTATTCTAATGTCACAATCTCCAAAGTTATCAGAAACCGGCATTTAAGAACACCTGTTAGACTTTTATAGCAGATTAGAAAACCACCTCCTAAAGAGGACCAAAACAAGACAACAATTGTCTGTGGATGACAAAAAATTTTAGGGCAGCCATGGTCAAAGACACAATTGACAAGGAAATTTGTTACATCTGTGGCACACAATAATTTAACATAACAATTATAAGTATTACTGATAATATACAGTAAGTCATATCAGAATTATAGGAGTTCCCATGATTTTGGAACAGATACCATATATTTATATAAATACAGCCTAAAGAAAACCAAACACCATTTCATCTTTGACAATGTTTCCTGTATAATATTTATACCAGACAAACCAAACTATGTCATCTTTGAACTTTAAGGAACTTAATATCTTAAAGGATTGATTAGGTTAGAAAAAGACATAATTTATAATTTGATTTTGGAAAGTTCATCAAATATCAAAGGTTTAAAGCCCTTGATATCACAAAATAAGATCATTCATTTAACCAAAGTGATAACTCAAGGATTTAAAAAGGCAAAAACCTTCATTCTTTGAGAAAGGAGACTTGACATTCCAAACAATAAGCTCTAATAAAAACAGCATGAAGCCAATTAAATTTGTTTTTTGAAATTTTATAAATGATCTATAAAATTTTAATCTTGACCGTAAGATACAACTTCCATAAGCCTTTTATAACCTTTATTGAGGAGTCAGTTAATGCTTCAAGAAAACCTTGTTAATTTGACAAAGGGGCCAATATGCTAGTCTTGCATCACTGCGCCTTTAACATTAATTATTACTTTTTAGAGAAACTGAACTTATTTTATCTTTCAAAATCAGCCCTTAGAATCTCACATGCCCACCTTTTCCATGATAGTTCCTGGGCCTTGAGTTGAAATAGCTTTAATTTCTGGTCCTGTGTCTTAGGAATGCAGTTTATTTTGATTGGCATCTCCTACAGGGCCTGAAAATGGGGCTTTAATTGCTGTCAGTGTTTAAAATGTAGTAGGAGTTGTTGTCCTTTTTAGACCCAGGAGTCAAAGCCCTGTAACTCAGTGTCACAAGTATTTTAAAAGTGCATATGGAGAGATGAAAGATAGATGGATGTAATAACCTTAATTAAAAAATTTTAATCTCAGTTTTTTTCCTAAGCAACCCAAAACTTAAATAATAATATGACAACTTGATCATATAAAAGTTTTTGGTTTTTAAAAAAATAAATCCTCTTATTGTGACTTACATAGACCATTCATGACATGCTTGTACTTTCTGGTTTGTTTTGAACATCCCTCTTTCTTAAGCAACTAGTCATTTTACTCTAGGACTAAATTTACCATACGAGATTCTTTCTCATATGAAATTATTTCCCTTTACGCTTTCTCACAAAAAAACCCCTCTTTATTTTAATAACTTTCTGTACATCTCTTTTATTTCCTGGTTCCTTTTACCTTGTTTTATACATGACCTTTAAATAAGCTTTGAATTAGATAAAAATTGTTCACCTTTTTTTTTAAAGGACACATTTGTTTTGAATGTTTTCCTACAAATATATTTTTATTGGAAAATACCCAAATAATAAAATATATGTGATTTAATTTGATATAACTTTAGATTCTAAATTATGATGAGCTTGTCTACAAGTATTTATCCTATTATATTTACCTAATAATTTTTTTGTCATTTACTTAGAGTATTTACAAAAACCGTGATTGTCATTATTTAAAGTTACAGAACCACCATTGCGAAATTGTAACTGAGAGAGTGGAAAAGATTTGACCTGACTGACTCCATCTTACTTCTAACCTCCAAACTGTTCTGTTCATTCCTGGGCATAGGTCAAACTAACTTTGGGAGGAACTTAGTTGATAGTTTAGCTTTAAAACAAAGACTGTGACAGTCCTTTCCCAAAACAAACCTTACTGCCTGTAGAATGGACCACCTAAAGCCACAAGATTAGAAGATATGGTAATCGTACTAAATTCAAGATGTAGAATTTTTTATTAAACCAATATCAATATCTTATTAAAGATTACTCAAGCAAAGGTCTTTCTGATTTGGGCTGGGTGTATAGTTTTATAACCCCTATGCCAATTTTTGACAACTTATAGTATTTGGCAGGGAAAAATATGAAATTGCCTGATTTATAAATGCAAACAAAAACGTATGCTGGCAATTCTTAAGACATTTCTAACAATACTTTACCAATAATTGTAAAGCTAACTTATTAAAGATTTTACTTAAGTTACATAAGCTTGAAAAAGCATTTGACTAGTCTTTTCTTTTATCCTGATAAAGTATTTGATTCAAGTGCTTTTATTTTCTTAACCCAATTAATTAGAGGTTTTTTATATATTTTCAGTAGTGAAACATTGTGTACACAACAAATAAATACAAAGACATATTAGGCATGCTGATAGAAATACATCTTATAGATTCATAAAAACCTTTTTTTTTCTATCTTACACTTTCAGATTCTAGATAAACTGTTTCACAGCCCTAGGCAGTTGTCAGCTAAATAGCCTTAAATTTGCATTTAAAGGAAACAACCCAGGTGAAAACCAAATAGCAAAATTTATGTCATAAGGTACAGAGAGAAAATATCTGGTGGTCCTAGAGGGATATTAAAGATGGATGCCAAATCAGACAAAAAATTATAGAAATCTATCACAGGATTGTATAAGAGGACCAATTTTGTCTACATAGGGACTACCTATCTTTTAACAGGATCTCTGAGCTCTGGGCAAAGCTCACACTGAATCCTGGGTCTCCAAAAAGGAAGAATTATTATGAGTTTAGACCATGTGATGCTTTTACAGTGCACTTAAAAAAATTTTTTTTTAAATAAAGACATTTCCAAGTGTCTGAACAAACCACACTCTTCCTTAAAAAACCAAGAGTAACCTCTGCTGCAACAACTATTTTAGGCAAAACACACACACACACACAAAACAACCCAAACAAACAAACAAACAAACAGGAAACACAATACAAAAGTAAGCAGTTTAAGAGCTGAGACAAACTTGTCTGTTTTCATTCTTGTGATTCCATAAGGCAAAACAGGTTTCTCCCCTAAAGGGAGCCTGCTACCTTCTCTATTTTCTTTATGGAGCCCCACACTGCTATAAACTGTTTTAGGTACCCCATACAGCAGAGAGTGCAAAAGAAAGGAGAGACAACAGAAGTAAATGAAGAAAACAGAATTCAGGCAACTGAGAAGAAAAAACTTTTGCTCAAAAACAGACAAAGTCCTAGGAGAAAAACAAGAAGAAAAACATGAAGGCATTTTAAATACAAACACACACATATGCACACATACACACACACACACACACACACACACACACACCTTGGATGTTAGCTTTCAATTAAGCTGACTTTTAACCATTGAGCTTCTTTAAAAAAAATCTTTTTAAGTTCCATTACCATATTTCAGCTAGAACAAATTGCTGCAATTTCAGAAGTATCGCTATTGCTGTTTCAGTTTGGCCTGGCTAGCAAATAAGTGGTCTTGTTATGTAAGTAAAGCCACTTAGTAGTCAAAATCGAAAATCTTTCCTCTTTTTTTCCCTTTGCTGATCATTTTTCTCCCCTCTACCACACCACCTTTTTTTATATTTGTGGGAATTTAGCCACTTCAGAAGCCTTGTTCCCCATAATTTAGAACTTTCATTGGATTTGATCAAGTCAGAGTTGATCAAACCCAGTGGGAAAAAGACCCAACAATGAAAACAGAACCAAACAACCCACCCCCCAAAAAAAAACAGTTAAGCAAAACAAACCATTGTACAACTTATGTGATTACTGAGTGCTCTAACAGTAAAGAGAAATTAAGACCAGTTGGTTGTTAACTTTTGCCAAGACAAAACCCCAGTTTACTTACCTAAGGGTGTGTCTCATGCTGAAAATGTATCTCCACCATCCTAGAAGCAGGAAAAAAAATAATAACTTATCTTCCCTGTTGGAAATGAGCTCAAACTCCATGAAGGGGTTACCTGCCTTCCATTGTCATGGAAGCAGAAAAACTTGCCTTCCTTGTTGGAAGCAAGTAAAACTCCAGAAAAAAAAAAAAAAAAAAAGGGAGTTGCAGCAAAATAAACTTTAGATCTTGACCAAATTTTGGGAGATCAGGGATTCTCTGGAGGGGGTGCTCCCAGACTTCCACAAATTGTCCTATTGGTTTGAGCCATAAAGTTAGCTCATGCTGGTACCAAGCACTGAAAGGAGATTTGTCAAAGGTTAGGGACACCTCCACTCAGAATCCCTTCATGGTTACCAAAATATGAACACTGAAAATTTATGACAGGTCTCAGTTAATTTAGAAAGTTTATTTTGCCAAGGTTGAGGATGCATGCCCATGACACAGACTCAGGATGTCCTGGTGACATGTGCCCAAAGTGCTCAGAGCACAGTTTGGTTTTATACATTTTAGGGAGACATGAGACATCAATCAACATATGTACGATGAACATTCGTTTGGTCTGTAAAGACAGGACAACTCGAAGTGGAGGAGGGGGCTTCCAGGTCATAGGTAGATAAGAGACAAATGAGTGCATTCTTTTGAGTTTCTGATTAGTCTCTCCAAAGGAGACAATTAGATATACATTTATCTCAGTGAGCAGAGCGGTGACTTTGAATAGAATGGGAGGTAGGTTTCCTCTAAGCAGTTCCCAGTGGGACTTTTCCCTTTAGCTTAGTGATTTTGGGGGCCCAAGATATTTCCCTTTCACAGGACTATTTACAAATGTATGGGCAGAATGAAGGGAACCAAAACAGGATGATGAAGCACCCAGCTTCTGGCAAGAATGAAGCTGTCTTTACCACAGGTAGACCTGAAGGAACACAGGGGCAGGGAGCAGTTACAGGGGCCTAATGAAAGCTGTGCCCTTGGGACAGAGGACATCTGCTAGGACAAGAGAACAGCAACTACTACCAACTGAAGCCTGGTGGGGAGGAAGCTAAGACAGTAAATACCCTGTCTGTCTTCTCCTGCTTTCTGACCTCTTCCCGTTGGCAGAACCCAGCTGGAATTCAGTGGGCAAAGAAGTCCACAGAAGCCAGCTTCCCAGAGTACAGAGCAGAGTGGAGGATGATAGAAAGAAAAATATTGTATGATCTCATTTATTTGCAGAATCTTAAAAAATAAAGTTGAATAAATAGGAACAGAGTAGAACAGTGGTTACCAGGGGGAGGAAATGGAAGAAAGTCAAGGATACAAATTTGCAGTTATGTAGGATGAGTAAGTCTGGAGATCTAATGTATATCATGAGGATTCTAGCTAATGATATTGTATTGTATACTGAAAAGTTGCAAAAAGAGTAGATTTTAGGTGATACTAGTACACATACATAAAGGCAACTATGGAAGGTGATGGAAGTGTTAATTTTTTGGCTTTTAATCATTTCACTATGTGTATATATATGTCAAAACATTATGTTGTATACCTTAAACACATACAATAAAAATAAATTTTAAAAAGCAATAAACATACAACTACTATATTTGTTTTCTAGGGCTGCCATAACAAAGTACCACAAACTGGGTGGCTTAAAACAATGGGAATTCATTCTCTCTGTTTTATAGACCAGGAGTCCAAAGTCAAGTACATCAAAGGAATGAACTATTGATGCATGCAACATGACTGTATCTCCAAATAATTCTGCTGAGTGAAAGAAGCTAGACAAATAAGAGTATATGCTTTATGACTGCATTTATAGAAAATTCTGGAAAATGTAAACTGATATGTAGTGACAGAAAAACAGATCAGTGGTTGCCTGGGAATGGGAATGAAGGGCTAGCATGGACAGAGACTTAGCTGAGTCAAGAAGGAACGCACAAATACTCCAGACAGACTGAATAGAGGTGAGAGTGCACATAAAATGTGCTTCAGAGACTCTTGTAGCAGACAGGTTGAGGACTGTGTTGGGAGGTTCTAGGAGCATTGAGACTAAATAGAAAAGCTGGTGCTAGGTCCAAGATCGCTTTAAGAACTTTATGCTAAAGCCAAGAAGAAGTCATTAAGTGGTTTCATTGCGACCAGATTTATGTTTTACATTTTAGAAAGAATGTTTCTGCTGTAGCATAGAGAATGGATGGGGTTGAGTAATTCATAAGGCTTAGGAGGCTGCTGCAGGCACCTAGAGAGAGGGCAGTTGTCTTGACTAGGAAGGAGACAGTGGAAGGTAAAGAAATCCGAACATATATTTTGAGGTATTTAAGAGGAAGGATCATCAAGACGTAGTTTTGACTGAGTGTGTTGGGGAGTAAGAGGGGAAGTTGTCAAGAATGATTTCCCATTTTATGGCCAACCTAATTGCTTCATACACTGAGAAACAGGTTTGGAGAAGGTGGAGGATTTCACTTTGGGATATGCTGAAAGGCTGATGGGACATCCAGGTGGAGATATCCAGAGGGCAGTTGCATATTATGGGTATCAAAGTCAGAAACAGTCTGGAAGCATAGATTTGGGGGTTATCTGTGGTTAATAATTAAAGCCATGGGAGCATGTGCAATTGCCTAGGGAGTATAGGTTGAGAAGGAAGAGGAGAGACCTGAAAGAATCATAGGGAATAACAACATATAAGGACAGCTAGGGAAGCACACTGAGATGGAGTTAGAGAGGCAGGAGAGGGTAGGTAGAAAGTGTGGTGTTCTGGAAGCTGGGGAGAGTATTTCAAGGAGATAACGAAAACAGCTTCATATGCTCTGGTGAGGTCAAAGGATTTAAGGATAGACACGTGCTGAATTTTGGGAGAGGGAGGTAAATGCTGACTTTTGGAAGAGTGCTCTTAAGGGTTGGAGACAGGAGACACATTGGTGGTTTGAGAATGACTAGGAGCAGAGACAAGGATAGACAGCTCTTTCAAGCAGTTTGTAGTTGCAGGGAGAAGAAGAAATGGCTATATAGTCTGTGGGTATATGATTGGGAAAGAAGGAGAAAGTCCCAGGGCAGTTGCATATATGGGTATCAAAGTCAGAAACTGTCTGGGAGCATAGAATGTTGTTGTTATTGTTGTCATTATTACATTGTTAGATGAGAGATTTAACATGTCTGAACCCTGATGGAAAGACTGTACTAGGGAGGGAGAAGTCAAAAATGCTTACTCTGAGAGAATTTATAGAGTAAGACCCTTGAGAAGACTGAAGTTTCCAGAACCAAAACTAAGTGGATTCACTTTAGAAAGGAAGGTGGAACCTCTCATATAGTTGAAATGCAGGAAATAATAGTGTAGACTGAGGTAAGACTGTAAGCTGTGGGTAGAGTTGAGGGTTCTATCATCTGCTAGCTTCTAATTTCCCTGAGAAGTGGCAGAGGAGTTCATCAGCTGAGAATGAAGGGAGAGGTGGAGTTGGAGAGAGTGGGTGAGGCTGGCTTCAATAAAAACAGCAGAGAGAGCTGCTGGGGAGATTGGACATCTGGAAATCACCAGGGGCCCAAATGCGGTCCAGGACCAACAAATGTATGATGACTCACGTGTTTTCTTAATAATATTCAGCAGCGCAGGCGTTGGCAGGAAGAAGGTGGACACTGGGCTTCTTCCGTGCTGATGTTGCCTAATCAGGATGTTATATGCAAAAGAGTTGAGGATATTGGCAAGGGAAAGGTTGTTGTTCTTGGTGGGAATCTCACTAGACTCAGCTCCATGACCACAGATGGACAGGTGGTAGCAGGCAGAGAGGGCTCTGGGGCCAGACTGCCAGGTTCAGATCCTGGTTTTGTCACTCATCAGTTGCGTGACTTGGGCTTGACCTTCATGTGCCTTAGTTACCTCATCTGCAAAATTGGAATAATAATGATAGTGCTGGCTAGGCGCGGTGGCTCACACCTACAATCCCAGGACTTTGGAAGGCCGAGGCAGGTGGATCACCTGAGGTCAGGAGTTTGAAACCAGCCTGGCCAACATGGTGAAATCCTGTCTCTACTAAAAATACAGTATTTAGCTGGGTGTGGTGGTGGGTGCCTATAATCCCAGCTACTCAGGAGGCTGAGGCAGGAGAATCACTTGAACCTGGGAGGCGGAGGTTGCAGTGAGCCGAGATTGCACCATTGCACTCCAGCTTGGGCAACAAGAGTGAAACTCAGTCTCAAAATAATAATAATAATAATAATAGTAACAACAATAGTGCCTATTTCATTAGCTTGTTTTGGAGAATAAATGAATTAATACTTGAGAAGTGCTTAGAACAGTGACACATAGTAAATACTCAACAAAGGTAGCTTTTATTATTAATTGTTATTACTTAAAACAAATAAAAATATCCTGCAGGCAAATAAAGAATAAGTAGTTATTTGTCTTCTTGCCAGGGGGAGAGAAAAGCCATATGACATTGTCCTTTTTCCTTCCTAATAGCTGCCATTTATTGAGAGGTTGGTATGTGCCAGGCTTTATGCATTGTGCTCACAGTGCAGTGGTTAAAAGGTCATACTGCCTAGATTGGAATCTTCTCTGGGACCTATGCTAAGTCATGGCACTTTGCCCAGCCTCAGTTTCTTTTGTGTAAATTAGGGTAGTAGAGTATCCACTCCATAACATAATACATGGACAGCACTCATAACCTGGCAAATAATGAGTGCTCGCGAAATGTAGCTAGGGTTGTTAGATAATACAACAACAGCTGCACCAGGAAGTTTGTATTTTTAAAATCATTAGATACTGATAAGGACAAGGCAAGAAGTTAAGTGACACATTGTTAAATCCCTATCCTGAGCTATTCATTAACCACATGTAATAAGCTATTTCATTAAGAGGCAACTGTACTACAGATAAAAGAGAACATTGGTTTATATAAGACAAGAGTTTTCTAACCTATTTAATATGTATATTTAGCAGCTATCTCCCAGCTACTTATTAAACACTTCTGGATGTGTTCAAAATATTGTTTTATGTTGCGATTTTGCAGAACCAGGATATTTTAACTAATAACATCCACAGAGGCTTGAGTACCAAGAGGTGAAAAGAAGTGAAAATTTACTGGGCTATGGGCCAATTTCAGTAGTGAATTAATGAACTAGCTGTTCACCTTAGTGTAAGCAGCAATTTATATCAATTTAATTCAATTAATGGCTTTCCCAGTGTGTGGTTCTTAGCCAGAAAGAAAGTTTCACTTACTCTGAAGTTCCGTTTGAGCTTCTGTCTTGATTGGGCTTGCACAGGGTCTCTTTCTTCCCCTGTCAGTGAGCTAAGCCTAATTTCTGCATGCTCACGCCTTCCCTTCTGCTTCCTGTATATAACCTTGTTGAGGCTATGCAGAGGAAGCAGGCAAAGGGGCACGCATTGTTAAAAGAAAGAGGCAAACCCCCTGGAGAGAATGTGCACCTGCAGCATATGTTTCTGAAACCTACGCAGGCCCAGTAGTGCTCAGCCCTCACTGTGGCCAGAGTCACCTGGGAGCTTTAAAAATCAGCCATTACTCAGGCTCTCAGCCCCTCAGAGATTCTGCTTCAGTTGGTCTGGGGTAGGACTAGGCAACAGTATTTTTTGAAAAGCTCCTAAAGTGATTGATTCTAATATGCAGCTAGAGTGGAGAAGGGCTGGGTCTGTGCACAGAGCCCATGCTGGGTTCTGAATAGAAAAGGGCAGGAGGTAATGCTCAGGACATGGAAAGAAAGGGAAATCAACAATAAGCTGCTCAGTTGGGGGAGAGAAGGCTGGTTTTAGAATACAATTTCCAACTGGCTGTGTTGTAATTACAAACAGAATGGGGAGCAAGGCACAGGAAGCCACAGCAGACATATGGCTGTTGTGGGAGTATGTTGCTGCCTGACTCTGGGAACCCCAGTTTGGGAACCAAAGCTACTGAAGCGTCTTCCCAGGCATTGCATCTCTAGTTAACATCCTTTGGACTCTATAACCTTCCTAGAACTTAAGGGGAAAGGCTGGAGAGTTAAACTAATATTTATTTAACATCTATTAATCATTTCCTAGGAATTTAAATATTCTATATCAGTCAAGATTCAGGAAAGTGTATAAAAGCTTTTATAATTACCAATGTTCCTTATAAATAAAAATAACAAAATATAAGGTCTGGCATCTTTTGGTTTCATCCAAAGTACCCACCAATAAATGGAAGCAGAGTCTGTGAATGTATTCACATCTGGAAGGAAGAGGTAAGGGGAGAAAAAGGAGTCAGACAGAGAGCAGGTTGGAATAGGTGGATGAAAACGCCTTCTTCCATTATTTCTTAGCTATGTTACCTGGGTCAGATTACATAATCTTGCTGTTTCTTCCTCTATATGCAGGACAATGAAAACCTGTCTTGCAAGGTTATTGTAAGATGAGAAATGAAGCGAGCCAAACACCTGGCACAAGCAGGTCCCCCAGAAGTACAGCCACAGCCACTCTGAGGGAAGGAGCCTGGTCCTAAAGGATCAGGGACAGTGAGCCTGCATGGTCATACTTACCTTGCTTGCTTGGAGGGTTGGATACTTTGTCAAGCTTTATTTCTAGGCAATTCAAAATGCTAAAGCTCAGGGTAGTGGAGATAATAGGGATTTGGCATGAGATGATCACGGGACTGTGAAAAGAAACTTGTGGACAAAGGTCTTCACCTAACTTTCCTAGTAAAACTGGTTAACTATTAAAGTTCATTGTGGCTTTCTGAGAAGAAGATTTACAAAGCTAAGTGAATTGAGCACTAAGAAATTGGCAAGCCTGTTTTATATTGCTTAGCTCTCTTAAGAATCATTTGAGGCATGCTGTATAGTTTTTCCTTAGCTTAACATTTTTTCTGGGTTAAAACAGGAATTACAATGTTGCCACATGCAAATTTTTTAAAAGAGGAAGATGTGGATGGACAAGTGACCAGGAATCCATGACTATAACTTAATTCTTTTCGTGCATTATGTCTATCAATTAATATATAGTTTTGTTCCTGCAAAATGGCTTCATTTACATTTGATGCTATAAAAAAGCAAGTTATTAATATAGGGTCAGAAACCTCAGCTTTTGATACTAGAATTGATAGATTACATAAAATTTTAATATTCCTAGTGAATCCAGTGAATTATAAAATTATATAAGCCCATTGTTATAGCTTTAATGGGGTATAAATGACAAATAATGGACTGTACACATTTAAAATATACAGTCTGAGAGTTTTTGACATACTTTTACACCCATGAAAGCATTACCATAATCGAGGTAGTGGTCATACCTACCATTCCTGCAAGCTTCCTGTGTTCTTTGGTAAGTCATCTGTTGTACCCTTTCCCACCCCAGCTCCCAGTCAATTATTGAGCTGCTTTCTGTCACTATAGATTCGTTTGCAATTTCCAGAATTTTATATAAGTGAAATCATACGGTGCGTACTCCCTTTTTTTTTTGTCTGACTTCTTTCACTCAGCATATTTTGAGTTACACCCATGTTACACTCATCAGTAGTTCAATCTTTTTTATTGCTGAGTTGTAGTTCATGGTATGAATGTACCAAAATTTGTTTACCCATCATCTGTTGATGGATATTTGGGTTGTTTCCAATTTGGGCCTATTACATATACAGCCGATACGAACATTCATGTATAAATCCCTGTATGGACATGACGTTTTATTTTTCTTGTGTAAATACCTGCAAGTGGAATGAGTGGATCATACAGAAGTTATACTTTAACATTTTACATTCTCACCTGTAGTGTGTGAGTTCTAGTTCCTCCACATCCTTGCTGTTATGGACTGAACTGTGTCCCCTCAAAAGATGCTGAAGTCCTAACCCCCAGTACCTGTAAATGTGACCTTATTTAGAAATACGGTCTTTGCAGATGATCAAGTTAAGATGAGGTCATTAGGGTGAGCCATAATCCAATATGCCTGGTGTCCTTATAAAAAGAGGAGATTTGGACATAGGCACAGACATACAGCTGAAGAGAACACCATGTGAATATGAAGACAGAGGTTGGGGTATGCATCTACAAGCCTAGGAGAGCCAAAGACTGCCAGCAAAACACCAGAAGCTAGGAGACGGGCCTGGCGCAGATTCTCCCTCACGGCTCCCAGAAGGAACCCACCCTGTCAACATCTTGATCTCAAATGTGTGGCCTCCAGTACTGTGAGACTATACATTTACATTGTTCAAGCCACCTAGTTTGTGGAAATTTGTTAGGGGAGCCCTATGATATGAGTATACTTAACAACACTTAGTATGGTTGATCTTTTAAATTTTAACCATTCCGATAGGAGGATAGTGGCATTTCATTGTGGTTTAAATTTCTGTTTATCTAATAACTAATGATTTTGAAAATCATTTCTTGTGCTTATTTGGTATCCGCATGTCAAATAGTGGTGGAATACGTTCAAATTCTTTGTCTCTTTTTTTTCTTCATTGTGTTGTTTTCTTCTTATTGAGTTTTGAGAAATTTTTATATATTCTAGATACAAGTTCCTTATTAGATATATAATTTATTAATATTTTCTCCCAGTCTGTGGCTTATATTTTTGTTGTCTTAATATTGTGGGTTTTTTTTAGACAGAGTCTCACTTTTTCACTCAGGCTGGAGTGCAGTGGCACAATCTTGGCTTGCTGTAACCTCCACCTCCTGGGTTCAAGTGATTCTCCTGCCTCAGCCTCCCCAGTAGCTGGGACTACAGGTGCACACCACCACACCTGGCTAGTTTTTGTATTTTTAGTAGAGAGAGAGATTTGCCATGTTGGCCAGGCTGGTCTCAAACTCCTGACCTAAGGTGATCTGCCCACTTTGGCACCAAAGTGCTGGGATTACAGGCATGAGCCACTGTGCCCATTAATATTGGTTTTTTGAAGAATGTAAGTTTTAGATTTTGGTGGTTCACCTTATCAATATGTTCTTTTATGGATCCTTGAATCTAAGGAATCTTTGACTAACCCAAGGTCACAAAGATATTCTATGTTTTCTTCTAAATGCCATTATACTTTTAGATTTTACTTTTAGGTCTGTGGTTCATTTGGTGTTGATGTTTATGCATGCTGTGAAGTTTTTTAAAAAAATATGAATATTCAATTGTTCCAACATATTTATTGGATAGACCATCCTTTCAAAGCAGCATCATTGTCTGGGGTAAATACCTAAGATTTGTTGTCTCATGGCCACAGAAAACTAGGACAGAGATACACAAAAGGTGAAGTTCAGAGCAGAATTTTAATAGGTGAAAGAAAGAGAAGAGCTCTCTCCTGCAGAGAGGGGTCCCGAGTGGGTTTTCCGGTCCACAGCGAAATGCAAAGGGTTTTATAGATGAGCTTGAGGAGGTGGTGTCTGATTTACATAGGGCAAAAAATATTGGTTGGACCAGGTGTGCCATTTGCATAAGGTGTAAAAATCTGGTTAGGGCTAGGTGTGCCATTTGCATTAAGTGCAAAAATCTGGCCATCCCCACCCTAATCTTTTATTATGCAGATGGATTCTCTGCCTGGCCGGCACCACGTTGCCTGCCTCTTTACTGTACACATGGTGACAAAGAAAAGGGAAGATGGAGCCTCCATGTTGAGTATACCTGGCCCCCAGGTAGCCCTCTTCTATTGGCACAGCTGCCAGCATTCCCCTATGCAAGCTTCCAGTTTGATAATCTATGTCTTAGATTATCAGCTTGTCTTAGATTATAAATAGCTTGCTTATCTATGTCAGCAGCTTGATTTTTCAGGCTGCTCTTTGTTAGAAAAGGAATGGTTTTGAGGCTGCTTTTTTTGTTAAAAGGAAAATTCTGCTGAGGACTCTGTCGTCCTTACTATCTGCCTAAATAATTTCTTTCTAGATCCTGTATCATAATCCCCCCTCAGGAGTGGTAACCCTAACTGCTATTAGGGGGTGTTGGACGATGACTCTTTCTGGCTACTTCCTGCTGAAAAGGGGCATCGTGTGGGGAACAGCTGTTAAGGCTCCTCCTGGGGTCAATCTAAGGACCCTCAGAAGAATGGTGTGTCCATGCATGGTTTCATCACAGCACTGTTTGAAGTTTAATAGCTTCTAGGTGAGAAGAGATAAATTTTACAAGAAGGCTTGTTGTAAATATATGTTCAATATAGGGTTTGAATATGAGTATTAGGTGTAATACTCACATTAAGAATATGAGTATTAGGTATAGTATATATATATGTTCAATATAGGGTTTTCATATGAGTATTAGGTATAATACTCATATTAGGAATATGAGTATTAGGTGTAATACTCATATTAAGAACATGAGTATTAGGTATAGTATATATATATGTGTATATATATATATATATATATATATATATATGTTCAATATAGGGTTTTAATATGAGTATTACAATTACCACTATTTGGCCAGTCGTGGTGGCTCACACCCATAATCCCAGCACTTTTGGAGACCATGGTGGGCAGATCACCTGGGGTCAGGAGTTCAAGATCAGCCTGCTAACATGGCAAAACCCTGTCTCTACTAACAATACAAAAATTAGCCAGGCATCGTGGCAGGCGCCTGTAATCCCAGCTACTCAGGAGGCTGAGGCAGGAGAATCACTTGAACCCATAAGGTGGAGGTTGCAGTGAGTTGAGATCACGCCACTGCACGACAGAGTGAGACTTTGTCTCAAAAAAAAAAAAAAAGATTACCACTATTAGTGCGGGTATTACAGGCCATAACCATGATAGTAGAGTTTGTTTGATACCTCTTAGTCATTTTGATGGGTTGTAATACTGGTTTGACTCCACCAGATTTCACTGTACTTTACCAGAAGCATTAATATAGAAGCAACATCTTTTCTTTCAGGAAAAGTGGCATTGGATTGGGTGGCCAGAGTAATTTTAGTGTTAACTTTGGCTAAATCTTTCCTGTAATTATCAATCCTGTTATAAAGATGATAACTAGGCAGAATATTACAGCAATTATAATTTTCCATCCAGAATTCCACTTTGCAGGTGCCACAGTGGCACCTGTGCAATAGTCCTAATGCAAATAGTACAGTGAGTATAGTAATCCTACGAGTGTGGCAAAATAAATAATTTCCATTTAAAATTTTACTCACCAAGATATAGAATTTCCCTTTAAGGGTCAAAAAGGAGTTCTAATATCTGACAGCAAATCTTGAGAGGAAAAGTAGAAATGACTAAAAATAGAGAAGGTAGGAGTGGGACTGAGTAGGATGAGTAGCCCTTACTCATTTACTTATCTTTTATGATTTTCAGCTTAAGATCTCCTATTTCTTCGCATTGACATCCAGGACATTCCTCTGGGCTGTCTGGGGCTTTCCAGCTGTCCCAGCTTTTCAGCTTTGACTCAAGTGTAATTTATCCAGGAATCCATACCTGTAGCTTTTACTGTCGAGGAGGTTGAAAGAACAGTGTAGAGTCCTTCCCAGCTTGGGCTTAGGAAAGGAGAGCAAGAAGGGAGAGCTTTCACCAATACTGGATCTCCTGGGTTAAATAAACGTGGTCTTATTTCTTGGGGTTGGGCTTCTGCTAGTTGTATTAATTCCTACTGGAAGTGAGCCAGAGAGGTTACATGCTTAACCATTTGAGAGGTTTCCTGGTCTAATAGAAAGTCATTGGTAAGGAAAAGCTGTCCATACACCATTTTGAAAGGGCTTAGACCTAACTTTAAAAGGGTATTTCTCACCTACAGTAAAGCCATGTGAAGAAGAGTGACCCAAGGAAGGTGAGTTTCTTGGGATAGTTTTCTGAGATGTCTTTTGATAACATCATTTGTTTTCTCTACCTTTCCTGAGGACTGGGTTCTCCAAGCACAATGGAGAAGATATTGTACGTCTAGTGCCTTTGAAACCCCCTGTGTGATGGCTGCCTTAAATGAGGGGCCTTTGTCACTTTTGAGGTATTTGGGTAGGACAAAGTGGGGAGTTATTTCATTAACTAACACTTTTATTACCTCAGAGGCCTTTTCTGTACAGCATAGAAATGCTTCTACCCAGTTAGTGAAAGCATCTACCCATACCTGGAGGTATTGGATGCCCTTCATCTTTGGCATATGGGTAAAGTCTACCTGCCAGTCCTCCCCTGGATAGCTTCCCATACTTTGGGTTTGAGGAGGAAGGAGCCACCTATTGAGGGGATTATTTTTAAGACAGACTTCACAAGCATTAACAACCTATTTGACTGTTTTTAATAAGTTCTCTCCTGAAAACAATCTCTGGGCACACTGATAAACTTATCCTTTATCAAGTGAAAAGCTTGGGGAAGGATTTTAAGGACTTTCCACAGGCTGGAGGCTGGCAAGTGGAGTTTATCCTCCTCTGACTGTAGCCATCCTAAGGGCTGGAAAGTGTACCCTCGAGAGATGGCCCATTCTATCTCTACAGGGGAGTGCTGAGGCTTAATTTCCCTTATGGAGCCTTCCCAGATTAGAGGGGCTTCAAGTGTGTTGATACCCTGAGGCTTCATTGCTGCTGACTTGGCTGCCTGATCAGCTAGATTGTTTCCTTTGGCTGTTCCCTTCTGATGTCCCTTACAATGCATCACTGCTATCTCTTGTGGAAGAAAAACTGAGGATAACAAGCTGTTAATTTCCTGGTGGTATTCAGAGCGACTACTGCATACCCTGCCATATGAACTCCTTGCTCTACAAAGTTACTTCCATCCATAAAGAGGGTCCAGTCTGGATTTTCTAGGGGAGTTTGCCTGATATCCTCCCTGGCTTCATAGGTCTGTACCATAACTTGTTCACAGTTATGTTCAGTTTTCTCAGGGAGGAAAGTGGCCAGATTTAGGCAAGAACAAGTTTTCAATTGGATTGTAGACACTTCTAACAGCAAATCCTGATATTTAAGGAGCTGGCTGGCTGTTAGCCAAAGGCTTTCCCTGGAAGACAGCAATCTTGCTATATTATGTGGGGCCTAAATAGTTAAGCCATTTCCCAGGGTCAATTTGGCGGCCTCTGGTACGAGTCAGGTCACTGTGGCAACTGCTCGGAGGCATGCTGGCCATCCTTTAGCCACCAAAATAAGTTCCTTACTCAGGTAGTTCAGTGGCTGTTGAGCTGGTCCTTGGGCCTGCGTTAAAACTCCCAAGGCCATTTCCTTCCTTTCTGATACATAAAGATTGAAGGCCCTCCCTATGGGAAGGCTGAGGGCTGGTGCCTTAAGTAAGGCTTGTTTTAACTGGTTAAAGGCCTTTTGAGCTTCAGGTTCCCAGGTTAAGAAATAAGTTTTAGCTGCTTGAGTTTCTGTTATGAGGTGACATAAGGGAAGTGCTATCTCGCCGTACCCAGGTATCCATAGTCTGCAAAATCCCATAATGTCCCAAAATCCTCTTAGTTGCTTGAGGGTTTTAGGGAGGGGAAAGGAGGAAATAATCCTTTCTTCCCCTAGTCTTCTGGTCCCTTCTGTCAACACTAAACCCAGGTACTTCACTGAGGTTTGGCCAAACTGGGCCTTAGATTTTGAAACCTTACATCCTCTGTTGGCTAAGAAATTAAGAAGAGCTTCAGTGCCTTCCTGAGAGGCTTCCTCAACTGAGGCACAGACCAATATATCATCTATATATTGCAAGACCCTGACCTGAGGATGGGAAAACTTGGAAAGGTCCTTTGACACTGCCTGTCCAAACAAGTGAGGACTGTCTCAAAATCCCTGAGGCAGCACCATCCATGTTAACTGGGTGGTTTGGCTGGAGGGATATTTGAAGGAAAACAAGTATTGAGAGTCAGGATGTAACAGTATACAGAAAAAGGCAACCTTTAGATCTAGGACTGTGAACCATTTAGCTCCCTCAGGTATTTGAGTTAGCAAGGTATAGGGATTAGAGACCGCCAGATGAATTGAGACTATGGACTCATTAATGAGATGGAGGTCCTGAACTAGTCTTCATTCCCCATTGGGTTTTTGCACTCCTAATATTGGGGTGTTGCAGAAGCTGTTACAGGGTTGAGGAGGCCCTGCATCTTCAGCTTATTAATAATGGCTTCTAGCCCTTTCCTAGCCTCTGGCTTTAGGGGATATTGACTGGTTAGGAAAAGAAGTGGGATCCTTAAGATGGATCTGGACTGGCCTAGCGGTTACAGCTCAACCTATTCTTCCTTGAGTTGCCCATACTTCTGGATTAATATTAACTTCCACCAGGGGGAGACAAAGAGTGTCTTGGGGCTAGCAGGATGCTGGCCCCCATGCGAGCTAAAATATCTCTACCTAATAAAGGAGTGAGATTTTCTGGCATGATTAAGAAGGCATGTGTAAATAATGGGTCCCCCCCAACTACAACTAAGGGGTTAAGAAAAATTTCAGGTTAGAACCTTTCCCGAGATGTGCATTATGGTTGTGCTATGGGAAGAGGGGAGGTCTGGATCAGAGAGAAGAGAGAGGCTGGCTCCAGTGTCCAGAAGGAAGTCCACCCTCCTTCCTTCAATTTCCAGAATTACCCAGGGGTCCTGTGCAGTGACAGCAGTTTGAGGTGCTGGAGCTAAGGGTTTGAGCCCTGAGAGCATCAGTCCTGTTGGACCATCTGTGAGACTGGTTTTGAACCCAGTGACCTCCATCTCTGGGGGCAGTCTGATCTCCAGTGGTCCTGCCACAGGCTGGACAGAGTTGAGGTGGCTTCCTCTTGCTGCCTGGGCACTCCTTCTTAAAGTGCCCTGACTTGCCACACTGGTAGCAACTAGTGGACGCACCTCAGGGATCCTGGACTTTGCAAGCCTACAAAGCAGTTACTAGAGCCTCAATCCTTCTCTTGTGTTTTCTATCTTTCTCTTGGGCCTCCTCCTGGTCTCTCTTATGAAAGACTGAGGTGGCTACCCTTAGGAGGTTTTCCAAGGTGCTATCTGGCCCTATAGCCTGCTTCTGCAGTTTCCTCCTAATATTGGGAGCTGCCTGTGCAATAAACTTTTCCTTTACAATTAGCTGTTTCTTGACTGAATCGGGGATAAGGAGGTATTTTTATTAGTGCCTCTCTCAGCCTTTCCATAAAGGATGTGGAATTCACATCTGGCTTTTGGTCTATCACAGATAGTTTAGGGTAATTAAGAGGTTTGGCCCTAGTTCTTCATAGGTCTCTAATATGCACATTAAAAACTGTTTCCTTTTCCGGATGAGTTCAGGTCCTTTGCAGGGACATGGATGAAGCTAGAAACCATCATTCTTAGCAAACTATCACAAGGACAGAAAACCAAACACCGCGTGTTCTCACTCATAGGTGGGAATTGAACAATGAGATCACTTGGACACAGAGTGGGGAACATCACACACTGGGGCCTGTTAGGGGGTGGGGGGCTGGGGGACGGATAGCATTAGGAGAAATACCTAATGTAAATGACGAGTTGATGGGTGCAACAAACCAACATGGCACATGTATACCAATGTATCAAACCTGTGTGTTGTGCACATATACCCTAGAACTTGAAGTATAATAATTTTTAAAAAAGTGTTTCCTTTTCCATTCATCTGTGAAGTCACTGGGGTTCCATTCAGGGTTGTCAAGAGGTACTGCCTCTCTTCCTATTGGGATTAATGGTTTCCCTATTTCTTCACCTTGACTATGTTCTCTCTTCCTTTTTGGCTTACTATAGGAGACATATTGCTTCTCTCCAAACTTCTCTGCTGCCTACAGAGCTGGCTGTTTTTCAGCTGCAGTTAGGGTTTGGCTTAGGAGCAGCATAACATCCATCCATGAGAGGTCAAACACCTGAGTTAAATTTTAGAAAGCTTCTATATACCTATCAGGGTTGTCAGAAAATCAGCTTAAGTCTCCCTTTATTTGCGTATTTCATTTATTTGTGATGAGAAGGGAACATGAATCCTAGTGGCATCACCTCCATTGGGCATTTCCTGTAGGTTTAAGAGCGAAGCTGGGAGGGTGGAGAGTTTTGGAGATGGTGGAACTGGAGGAGCTGATGGCACAGTTGGAGGGGGCCCAAATAAGGGGGACAAGAAGGGCCTGGACACTCAATAGCTGCCTCAGATAGTTCCCCCAGAAGTTGCTTCTCTAATTTTGTGGAATCATTCCCTATGGGCCTGCCTACTATGACTGCTAAAAGAGCTGGGTAGATTGTGTCATGCTTGCAAAAGTCTAGTAAGAAGGCTATATCCTTCTGCAAAAGCAGAGTTTCAGAGGAGTGCAGGCTGAAGATGGTCTGTTACCCATGTAGAAAGCAAAGTGAGAAAAAAGGTGTCCCTTTAGTCTCTTTCCTTTCCTTTGGAATGGCCCAAAGTGGAGGGGAAAATAGAGGGGGCATCCCCTCAACTGTTTTCCCTCCTTGGTTCCCTTCCCCAGCATCCATTAAAAGTGCCGCCCATGGATGCAGGCATGACCCTTAGCCATGGAAATGGAGGAACTGAGTGATTGGGAGTAGTCACGCTCACCCCACCCGTGTGACTCTACTCCTCCACTGGTGGTTTCCCTTTGACTTCCTAGACCTGTGTTACCTGTGTGGCTCCCCAATAAATGGATCTCAGGTAAGACTATGTAACAGTTGCATTTGGCAAGGCCCCTTAATGGAGGGAGTCCTGGACTAAAACATTTATTTTTAGGCAGTGGCTCTGGTTAAGTTGCAGACATAAAATCCCCTTACTATTTAAGTACCATTCTAATTGGAGGCAGAATAGGTGCCTTAAAGAAACACAGGGACTGAATGGCAGTCTTCCTGGTGATGGGACAGTATCAAGACTAGAATTTTGTTTTGGAGAACATTTTCCTCACCATTGTTGAGTTTTCCTGTTCACAGAAGGGACATAAAGCCTGGTCTTTAGTAGAGGGGTGCCAAAAAGGAGGAGAATTAGGGAACTAGAGTGTTTCATCAAAGGGAGGATTCTTATTCCACTAGGTGGTGCTGTTGGCCTTAAAATACCATGTGCTCTCCAGACCAAGGGTAAAGAGAGAGACACTCACTAGGGTGGGGTGGGGGATGATGGCGGGGGAGAGAAGACCCCATGTTTCTAGGAAATCACAAAAACAGCAATCCCTTGAGCTATATTCCTGGTTACTGTGGCATTTCCTGATCTTGACTAACAGGATTACTTCTCTGAATTGTAAAAATTCCCACAGTATTGCATACAGAGAGTGGATAGGAGACATGGTGGTCGCAGACAGAAAAGGAGGAAAATTGTGATATGAAAAGCTTGGAGATCCTGTTTCCAATTCCCATCAGGCTGTCAGAGGCTGGGGTTAGTCCAGAAGGCTTCAGATAACACCAGGGTGTGGCCCTGGCCAGGAACCCTCAGTTACCTCTGAACCTCTTCCAGCCTCATGTGACAGCTAGGCTTTCTGTGAAAAGAAACTGGTTCAAAACAAAGCCAACATTCCCAGCACCCTGAGGGCAGAGGGATTTGCTAAGTTCTCCTGGCAAGCCTGTTCCCCAAGTCTTGTTAGGCTTGCAGCCACACTAACTGTTTTTAAATGACTGAAGGGGGCGCAGTGTTTGGTTTGATTTTAAAATGGAGGATGGAGGCCTCAAAATGAAAACAAAGGGTTGGGGTCTGCTGCTATACTCACCCTTCTGATGAATCTACCTTGGATCCTGGATGGGCCCCCAAAATGAAGCAGTGCCATTGTCTGGGGTAAATACCTGAGATTCGTTGTCTTATGGCCATGGAAAACTAGGACACAGACACACAAAGAGTGAGGAAGAGAGCAGAAGTTTAATCGGTAAAAGAAAGAGAAAAGCTCTCTCCTGCAGAGAGACGGGTCCAGAGCACATTTTCTGGTCCACGGCAAAATGCAAGGGGTTTTATAGATGAGCTTGAGGAGGTGGTGTCTGATTTACATAGAACATGAAAGATTAGTCGGAGCAGGTGTGCCATTTGCATAGCATGTGAAAATCTGGCTGTCCCCATCCTAACTTTTTCTTATGCAGATGAGTTCTTTGCTGGGTTGGCACCATGTTGCCTGCCTCTTTACTGTACACATGGTGACAAAGAAAAGGGAAGATGGAGCCTCCATGTTGAACATACCCTTTTCCATTGGCACAGCTGCCGGCATTCACCTGTGCAAGCTTCCAGCTTGCTTATCTATGTCTGTACTCAAAAGAGTAGCTTTTTTCAAGCTACTCTTTGCTAGAAAAGCCTCCATGTTGAACATACCCTTTTCCATTGGCACAGCTGCTGGCATTCACCTGTGCAAGCTTCCAGCTTGCTTATCTATGTCTGTACTCAAAAGAGTAGCTTTTTCAAGCTACTCTTTGCTAGAAAAGCCTCCATGTTGAACATACCCTTTTCCATTGGCACAGCTGCTGGCATTCACCTGTGCAAGCTTCCAGCTTGCTTATCTATGTCTGTACTCAAAAGAGTAGCTTTTTCAAGCTACTCTTTGCTAGAAAAGGAATGATTTGTGGCTACTTTTTTTGTTAAAAGGGAAATTCTGCTGAGGACTCTTGCCCTTACTATCTGCCTAAACAATTTCTTTCTAGCTCCTGTATCAGTTTTTCCATTAAATTGCTTTGCACCTTGATGAAAAATGAGTTATCCATATATGTCTATTTCTGGGCTCTCTTTTCTGTTCCACTAAATTATTTATCTTTACATCAGTACCACATTGTTTTGATTATGGTAGTGTTATCATAAGTCTTAAAGTCAGGTAATGTTAGCCTTCTAATTTTGTTCTTCTTTTTCAAAATTGTTTTGGCTGTTGAAGATCCTTTGGATTCTGATTTGAGCTTCACAACCAGTTTGCCGATTTCTACAAAAGTGTTACTGGGATTTTGATTGGGATTGCATGGAATTAAAGATCAATTTGGGGAAAATTGACATCTTAACAATATTGAGTCTTTTGACTCAATGAACAAGAAGTATCTATCCATTTATTTAGTCTCCAACTTTTCTCAGCAATGTTTAGTAGTTTATAATTTATAGATCTTTTATATTTTTGTCATTTTTATTCCAAAATATTTCATATTTTTGATGCTCTTATAAGTAGCATTCTTTTTTAAATTTTCCAATTGCTTGCTGTGAATATATAGAAATACAATTGATTTTGTAGATTAATCTTCTATCCTGAAATCTTGCTATCCTCATTTATTAGTTATAGTAGTTTTGTAGATTCTGTTGGAGTTTCTGCATATATGACCGTGTCATCTATGAATAAAGACAGCTTCATGTCTTTCTTTCTAATCTATTTTATTTATTGCCTGATTGTACCAGCTAGAACCTCCAGTAGTAGCTAGGATAGTTAGTAGGTTAACTCTAAAGTTTTGTAGCTGTCCTTTATCAGCTTAAGGAGGGTCCTTTCTGTTCCTAGTTTGATGAGAAGTTTTATCAGGAATGGATGTTGGATTTTGTCAAATAATGCTTCTGCACCTATGAGATGATCATATGATTTTTCTTTTCAGTTTGTTAATATGGCAAGTTATCTTACTGATTTTGTATGTTAAACAAACCCTACATTTCTGGAATAAACTCCATTTAGTCCAGGCCTACTTTTACCTTTCCTTTTCTAAGCTCCATGAAGGCCTTTGCTTTCCACTGACACTGTCTTTCTTCAGACCGTACAGTAGAAAATATCATCATTTGTCTTGGAGCTTTCTTGTGGAAATCACATCTCAACCCCATTCTTGTTGCCTTAATTCTATTTGTGGGTTTCCAAATCTCCCTAAATCTCTTATTCAAAGATGGTCTCTTGGGTTGTTTCTAAAAATGGTTAGTGACCTCCATTTGAGCTGACTTCACTCTCTGAGTGATTTTGCTTTCAAAGTACTTTAATTTCCAAATCAGGGTGGTACACTTCTACTTTATGGGCTGGATAAAGGCTTAAACTAAATCACAGGTGGCATAGCAGTACTTTCTAAAACATTCCACTCCCTCAGTGTGATGAAATACTCTGCCTTCTGGAATTTTCCCTGCTCCTTTGTCCTTAATTATATTCCCAGAGAGGTTGTGTGACTCATCTGTATGAGCTAGAGAAAATCTATGCATCTCTTTTTAGTAAATTTCTGTTTTGACTTGTGCATTCTAGTCAGGTAAATTCCTGTTTGTTAGTAAGAGCAGTTATTTTCAGAAAGGCTAAACCCAAATCTGAACTGGTCCTAGCTTGTTTGAGTTTCTTAAAAAATGAAATCTGGAATCTGTCATTTGTGCTTGTTATTTATCATAATAGTTGTGGCTTTGTTATTTCCATCAGTACTCTTATTTTTGGCTGTAGGTCCTCACGACCTACATCATTCCTCCACTCCTTCCTCCTTATTTTCCCACTGCCATCCTACTTCCCAGAAAAACCTGAGATTTGTTTGGTGGACTGTCCCTCTGGGAGGACTGGCTAGGGAAAGGACTGAATAAGCTTACTCTTAGAAATGAGCAATGACCTCTAAGGGTCTACAAATATTAATTTGAGAAGTGTTACTTTAAATTGGTTTTCCTTTGGCTACCTTCATATCAAATATTTCTGCCCTTTTTTTTTTTTTTTGAGACAGAGTCTCCCTGTATCCCCCAGGCTGGAGTGTAGTGGTGCGATCTCAGCTCACTGCAAGCTCTGCCTCCTGGGTTCATGCCATTCTCCTGCCTCAGCCTCCCGAGAAGCTGGGACTACAGGTGCCTGCCAACACGCCCGGCTAATTTTTTGTATTTTTAGTAGAGATGGGGTTTCACCGTGTTAGCCAGGATGGTCTCGATCTCCTGACCTTGTGATCCTCCCATCTCAGCCTCCCAAAGTGCTGGGATTACAGGCGTGAGCCACCGCACCTGGCTTATTTCTGTCTTTGAGTCCCAAACCTTTCCAAGTGTCAGTGCCTAGTCGGAATTAACAGTCTTTTTAACATTCAGACCTGAATTTTGTGGCCTGTGTTACTTACCGCAGTCCCTGGAAGATTTGAGGGGCCCCTTCCAGTGCTCACACTCACCTCTAGTATCTGGGGATACTCAGGGGGCACCTCACAAGCCCTCATGGCAGCTTGCCAGTGCTCCTTTAGGCAGCTACTTCCTTAGCAGCCTCCACAGCTCCATGCCCAGGCCCAGAACGCTGCCCCACCTTCCATTGCATGTGCTGAGCACCTGCCTCTAGGCCCCCTCAAGGTTCCAGTGGCCCACTGTGTTCCCTGTGCTTGCCTGTCTCTAGGCTTCTGCTCAGTCTGCAGCATTAGCAGGTCCCTGCTCCACTGAAGCCACTCACCTCCAGTCGACAGCATGATGCTCTGCCTTCTGAGCTGACAGACCTATCTTATTTTTAGATTTGGAAGCAGGTCTCCTCTTCTGTACTCTACTTGTCTCAAAAGGGCCCCACATTAGTATTGCTTGGGCCCCAAAAGTTCAGTAGGTCAGATTTTAGTTTATATATAGTTCTTTTAAGGTCTAGTTTAAGGAACTGCCACCATATTTACCCAGAACCAGCATTCTCCTCTTGCAATATGACCCTTGTTCTGAGTTATCTAACTCTGAGGTCCTCAACATTTTTGGCACCAGGGACCAGTTTCATGGAAGACAGTTTTTCCACAGACTGGCCAAGGGGATGGTTTCAGGATGATTCAAGCACATTACATCTATTGCGCACTTTATTTCTACTATTATTACATTGTAATATATAATTATACAGCTCACCATACTGTAGAATCAGTGGGATACCAGAGCTTGTTTTCCTGCAACTAGATGGTCCCATCTGGCAGTGATGGGAGACAGTGACAGATCATCAGGCATTAGATTCTCATAAGGAGTGCAAAAACCTATTAGAACTGATACATTCAGTAAAGTGTCAGCATACAAAGTCAGCATACAAAAATCAGTAGCATTTCTATATGCCAACAGCAAGCAATCTGAAAAAGAAATTTAAAAAAATCCCATTTGCAATAGCTACAAATAAAATTAACTACCAAGGAATTAACCAAAGAAGTGAAAGAACTCTGCAATGAAAACTATAAAACATTGACACAAGAAATTGAAGAGGAAACAACAAAATGGAAAGATATTCCATATTCATGGATTGGAAGACTCAATATTGTTAAAATGTTCATACTACCCCAAACAATCTACAGATTCAATGCAATCCCTGTCAAAATACCATTGACATTCTTCACAGAAATGGAAAAAGAAAACAGTTTTATATTTATATGGAATCACAAAAGACCCAGAATAGCCAAAGCTATCCTGAGTAAAATGAACGAAACTGGAGAAATCACATTATCTGGTTCAAATTATACTACAGAGCTATAGTAACCAAAACAGCATGCTACTGGCATAAAAATAGATACATAAACCAATGGAAGAGAATAAAGAACTGATATGATTTGGATTTGTGCCCCCTCCCAAATCTCACATCAAACTGTAATCCTCAGTGTTGGAGGTGAAGCCTGATGGCAGGTGATTGGCTCATGGGGGCAGAGTTCTTATGAATGGTTTCGCACCATCCCCTCCATGCTGTTCTCATGATAGTGAATGAGTGAGTAATCATGACAGCTGGTTGTTTTAAAAGTGTGTGACACCTCCCCCTCCCCTGCCATGTAAGATGTCTGCTTTGCTTTCTGCCATGAGTTAAGAGCTCCCTCAGGCCTCCCCAGAAGCAGAGGTGCCCATGCTTCCTGTACAGGCTGCGTAACTGTGAGGCAATTTAACTTCTTTTCTTTATAAATTACCCAGTCTCAGGTATTTCTTTACAGAAATGTGAGAAAGAACTGATACATGAACCCAGAAACAAATCCATACATCTACAGTGAAATCATTTTCAACAAAGCTGCCAAGAACATTGTCGACAAAAGAACATTCTCTTCAAAAATAAATGGTGCTGGGAAAATTGGACATCCAAATGCAGAAGAATGAAACTAGACCCCTATCTCTTGCCATGTACAAAAATCAAGTCAAAATGGATTTAAAGACTTACATCTAAGACCTCAGACTATGAAAATACCACAAGAAAACGTTGGGGAAACTCTCCAAGACATTTGAGTGGGGAAAGATTTCTTGAATAATACTCCACAAACATGGGCACCTAAAGCAAAAATGGACAAATGGGGAGCACATCAAGTTAAAAGGCACAGTGGCTCACGCCTGTAATCCCAGTACTTTGGGAGGCCGAGGTGGGCAGATCACCTGAGGTCAGGAGTTTAAGACCAACCTGGCCAACATGGTGAAACCCCGTCTCTACTAAAATACAAAAATTAACCGGGCATGGTAGCATGCCCCTGTAATCACAGCTACTTAGGAGGCTGAGGCAGGAGAATTGTTTGAACCTGGGAGGCAGAGGTTGCAGTGAGCCGAGTTTGTGCCACTGCACTCCAGCCTGGGCTACAGAGCAAGACTCTCTGTCAAAAAAAAAAAAAAAAAAAAGCTTCTGCACAACAAAGGAAACAATCAACAAAGTGAAGAGACAAGCTACAATATGGAAGAAAATGCAAACTCTCCATCTGACAAGGGATTCATAACCTGATTATATAAGGAGCTCAAACAACTCAATGGGAAAAAAACCAATAATCTGATTTTAGATTGGGCAAAAGATCTGAATAAACATTTCTCAAAAGAAGACATGCAAATGGCAAACAGGTATATGAAAATGTGCTCAACATCACTGATCATCAGAGAAATGCAGATCAAAACTACAATGAGATATCATTTCACCCCAGTTAAAATGGCTTTTATCTAAAAGACAGGCAACACATGCTGGCAAGGATGTGGAGAAAAGGGAACCCTCATACACTATTGGTGGGAATGTAAATTAGTACAACCACTATGGAGAACAGTTTGAAGGTTCCTCAAAAAACTAAAAGTAGAACTACATACGATCTAGCAATCCCACTCTTAGGTATATACCCAAAAGAAAGGAAATGAGTATATCAAAGAGATATTTGCACTCCCATGTTTATTGTAGCATTGTTCACAATAGCCAAGATTCGGAAGCAACCTGTGTCCATCAACAGATGAATGGCTAAGGAAGATGTGGTACATACACATAATGGAGTACTATATTCAGCCATAAAAAGAATGAGATCCTGTCATTTGTAACAACATGGATGAAACTGAAGGTCATTATGTTAAATAACCCAGGCACAGAAACACAAACTTCACATGTTCTCATTTATTTATGGGAGCTAAAAAGTAAAACAAATGAATTCACAGAGATAGAGTAAAAGGATGGTTACCAGAGGCTGGGAAGGGTAGTAGGGGGGCAGGGAGAGGAAGGAGTGACGGTTAATGGGTACAAAAAATATAGTCAGATAGAATGAATAAGATATAGTATTTGATAGCACCACAGGGTGACTACAGTGAACAATAATTTATTGCACATTTCAAAATAACTAAAAGAGTATAATTGGATTGTTTGTAACACAAAGAAAGGCTAAATGCTTGAGGTGATGGGTACCCCATTTACCCTGATATGATTATTACTCACTGTATGCCTGTATCAAAATATCTCCTGTGCACCCTAAATATATACACCTACTATGTACCCACAAAAACTTAAAATTATAAAAATAAAGTAAAATAAAATAAAATGCTCAGTAAACTTCATATAAACTGAAGTTGAGTTCACTTCAAGCTGGACTCTTCCCTATTGCAATAGCGTATTACTGATTAAAGTCTGTTGTTTCCACCTTAACTAGTGTCTGGCTTTGTTTATCTTTGACACTTCGAAGTCTGTTAAGCTGTATGACCTGGGGAATTTACTTAACATCTCTGTGCCTCAGTTTCCTCACTTGTAAAATAGGAGATAAAAATAATACCCCCCCCATAGGGTTGTTGTGAGCTCTGAATGAGTTAACATGTATAATGTATTTAGAACAGTAGGTGTTACCTTAAGTCAAATTAGGTTTAGCTTAAATCTGCCTCTTGGTAAATTTGGCCTAAAGGTTTCTCCATATATAATGATGTAACCTAACTGGGTGTGGAAACAGACTGTAACCTACTTTTGTAATGAGTAACCAAGTCTCAGCCCATCACAGAAGCCATACTTCAACCACGTGTAGGTGGCCAACTGATCAAATCGTGTTCAAATAGGGCAAATGCAGAACTGTAACCAATCTGTTTCTGCATGTCAATTCTGTTTTCTGTACCTTGCTTTCCCTTTTCTGTCCGTAAATCCTCTCCGACCACACAGCACTGCCTGAGTCACTCTGAACCTACTCTGGTTGAGGAACTGCCCAATTTGTGAATTGCTCAATTAAACTCTGTTAAAATTAATTCATCTAATGTTTTTCTTTTAACCCTAATTTTTTTGAGCTTTTGATTGATTTTATTTTTGTTTTTTCTTTTTTATTATTATTATTATACCCCAAGTTCTAGAGTACATGTGCACAACATTCAGTTAACCCTAATTTTTATTAACAATGCAAGCTCTTTAATGCTAGTAAGATATAGCTATTGAAATAAGAAATATATATGTATGTATTTACATATACACATACACACACATCTATATTATGCATAGCAAAGTCAACTGGATTAAAAAAATAAACTTTTCATTGGGTCAGTTATTGACAAACAACAGAGTTCCTTGATACGGAGCTTCGGATATTGACCTAGAACAGGATTGATTAATATGCAAGACCATAAATGTAAATACATTTTAGGCCAAAAAAACAAATACTATTTGAGCAGTTCTTTCATAAACTACATACCTGGAAATTGCAAAGGTCAGATTAAAATTTCAAACTGAACTAGATCCTCCATGGGATTTGTGAAGTCTTGCCAAGTCAATGACACCAAAGAGTGGGGGGTGGGGTAATGGTGGTCAAATCTGTGTCTTTGACTGTCAGGCCTCTCCCAGGACCTAGCTCCAGGAGAGCTCATGGGATGCAAAACTTCTGGGGTGCCATGTTGCTCCCTTGCTGGTTGTGTAACCAAATGAAAAGACAGAAGATCAAGTTTTCCACCCTTTGCCCTGTCTAGAGCAATTCACTTTTGGATTCACTTTCCCAGAAGGCGGAAATTGCAGTGAGCTGAGATCATGCCACTGCACTCCATTCTGGGTGACAGAGTGAGACTCTGTCTCAAAAAAATAAACAAATAAAAATAAAAGAAATTACAACTCTTTCTAAGGGTGCACTCTCACAGGGCATTGTGTAGCTTTTTGTCCTGCTTTATTTTCTGCATAGTTCTTAGGACGGTTAGACAGTCTTAGTCCAGTCTTCTTATATAATAAGAACCCGAGCAAGGTTATGTGCTAATGTTTTATTGAGGGGTGCTAGCCCAGTGAAAAAGGGCAGGGAGGCAGCTAATGAGGGAACGCAGGTACAAGGTGAGGCATTTGGAAGCTGGCCACTGCTTCCCCAGAAGACATCGCTGGTGGCTCATCTCCTGTTCATCTGCTGGTTCCTTCTTATCTCTGTCTCTTATGGATCTACATTCATTCTTCAGAGTGTTGACTCCCCTGAACCTCCCTGTTGTCTTATGTGGTCCCTTGGGGCAGCAGCTAGGGAAGCCATTCTGGACTTGGGCACAGGAATTGCAGCAGCTCCTTAACCTGTTAGGAGTTAGGAAGAAGCTGGGGTTTTACTACCAAGGAGACTGTGCAGGTTGGTGCTGGGGTAACTCCTGGCATAGGCCTGGAAGGCAGGTGGGACCAAGTGGATCTGGGGTCTGCACAAACTGGGTCCAGGACCCTGATAATGTATATTTACTTGTTTATTATTTTCTCTCTCATTTGGAAGCATAGAGATTACTTGTTTTGCTCATTGTTCACTGTATCCACAGTCATAAGAACAGTGTCTGGCATATACCAGGCATTCAATAAATATTTGTTGAATGAATTTATTGAGTTGCTACTGTGTCAGGAATTGTTATAGCTGCTAGAAGACACAAGAATTCCACCTCCCAGATGGAAAAATTAAGACGAGAAGGGACTTTCTTGGTGCTATTCAAAATGGGAGCTGTTTCTCTATTTTCAGACATTTGGCCTTTAGTTTACAAGAGACAGTGTGTTTCAGAATATAAGTACTCTTGATTTGACTTTGCCTGTCTTCTTGTAAGAAATGGGCCTAAGAGAAAGATTAAATTGACTCCTTTTTCCAGCATTTGGTCTCTTTGTGCTTCATTTTCCTGATTTAGAAGATAAGCATGGCACCATGACACCGAACAAATGGATGTGCAGAAGAATAGACTCCCTGAGCGCGTGAGTGTGCTCAGGCTGCTGAGCAGAGCACCACAGACTAGGGGGCTTCCACAACAGGAATTTATTTTCCCTCAGTTCTGGGGGCCAGAAGTCCAGGGTGCAGGTGGCAACTGGGTTGGTTTCTTATGAGGCCTCTCTCCGTGGCTTGTAGTTGGCCACCCTCTCCCTGTATCTTCACATGGTTTTCCTTATGTCTGTGTCCTAATCTCCTCTTCTTATAAGGACACTAGTCATAGTGGACCAGGGCTCAACTCCATCGCCTTATTTTAATTATCTCTCTTTTTTTTTTTTTTTTTTTTTTTTGAGATGGAGTCTCACTCTGTCACCCAGGCTGGAGTGCAATGGCGTGGTCTCAGCCAACTGCAACCTCTGCTTCCTGGGTTCAAGTGATTCTCCTGCCTCAGCCTCCCAAGTAGCTGGGACTATAGGCGCCTGCCACCATACCTGTCTAATTTTTGTATTTTTAGTAGAGACGGGGTTTCACTATGTTGGCCATGCTGGTCTCGAACTCCTGACCTTGTGATCTGCCTGCATCAGCCTCCCAAAGTGTTGGGATTACAGGCATGAGCCATCGTGCCCGGCCTTTAATTATCTCTTTAAAGGCTCTATTTCTAAGCACAGTTATAGTCTCAGCTACTGGGGGTTAAGACTTCAATACATGAATTTTGGGGGGACAGGGGCTATTGGGGGTGGAAGGTGATACATTTCAGTTTATAGCACTAACTCTAAAGAACTTGACTTTACAAAATGGTGATGTCCAGGCCCGCTCCCTGCTGTCTCTTGCCTTCTGTGGCTGCCTCCTTTTGCTCTTCTCCTTGGCCCCAGACCAAGACCATCAAGGCAGTCAGAACAGGTCACAGAGGAATCCAGAAATCCAAGAAGAGGGTTTTGTGCCAAGCAAATAAAAGAAACTATCATCCATCTAAGGTTCATTGTTTAAATTACCATGTTTATTTATATCAACACAAAATACAATAATAAACACGACAAAACCATTTTATCTTCATGTAACATAACTCTTCAGTGAACAGAAGTACTACTGTTAATGTTTTGGCCTTTCCAAGGTCCTGCCTGGGGTCAAAACAGTATTCAGAGAAAGAGCAGATTCTTCTCTACCTTCCCTAAAACACACACAAAGGTAACTTCTATTTTCTAAAATCCCATTCCAATAATAATTAAAAAAACAACAGTAAGTCCACGTAGAGGAGAGGATTGCTGTTGTGTTATCAGCATTGCAACCTGTATATTGCTGTAGATTTCCCCCAGGTTCTGCGCATCAGTCAGGAACATAAAGGGTATATCAGCCCTTCGGATTTTCAAGGTGATTTTTCAGTAATTCTTTCACCTAGCCCTGTACTCTGTAAAGGTCTGATTTACCTGAGTTATCTAGAAACCAGCAAAAAAAGAGTCTCCAAGTGATCAAAGGTATATGGATCTATCTTGTAGAATTGAAGAAACTTATAGATTTTGCTGTGACAATTCAATGGACAACCACGAAGCCTCCACTACATAATGAACTATTCACCTAGTAAAAGCTTCACATTACAATTTAATCAAAGGTAATAAACATTGCACAAAAGTACAATATCTCATCTATATGCCAGCAGTTTAAATGCTATTTGTTCAGTCTCGAACATTTTCAAACAAATGACAGTTATCACTTAACTAACACAATCTTTCTATTATTTCACTGACAAAAGAGGCAGTTTCCTGCAGTGGAAAGAGGAGATGGCTTGGAGTTAGAAGAGCTAGATTCTGAACCCAGCTCTACTCATTCTGAGCCTTAGTTTCCTTATGAGGATCAAGTGAGACGAAAGTGCTTTGTAAAGGAGTAATAACCACAAGAAATAATATTCTAGAGTCCATCTCTTCCATCAACTGATGGATCCCTAATTTGCACATGTATTTTGCAAGTAAAATCTTACCTCTTAAAGTAAATATATGATGCATATTCACCACATGCAGCTGAAATGTGCAAGTTGGGTTACATAGATGGGAAAAGAGTATGTATTAAAAAGCCTTTAAGACTTGTATACTCTTGATGTGCTTGATTTAGAGCCATTTAAAATTTTATTGTGTTTAACACATGTTCCTTTTATATTATTGGATCGCTCTTTGAATAAACTAAGCATTTAAAGTAATTTTTTTTTAAAAAGAAACTTTGGTATGACAATTACAGGGTTTAAAAGACTGTGCAACTGAGTGAAATGGATTGAGAAATATGGGAGAAGTAACAGTTTGAAAACTCAGAGTCAAAAAGGAAACAGTGTAGAATATCGTTTTTCAGGTAATTTAAAAATAAGCTATATGATAGGGTTGTTATCTTTTTATTTTTATAGGTAACTTCTTAATTTATAAATTACTTATTCCTTATTTGTAAAACAAATAAAATATTTGTGTACTTAACGTTTAGGTGTGTATAAATTCACAAAAATTATTAACACTTAACTTTCAACCTTATATTTGAGATATCTTCAGAAGAATTGCAACCTTTTAGCTGAAATAAACTCAGAATCTCATTTCTCAGAGATTTAAAAAAAATTCTCCTTTAAGAGAGGGCATATTTCCTACAAGTTTAGAATTAATTGGCAAGTATAGACACACAATGTGAGTATATGGGCTTTGTGACTTTGCCGAGACAAAAAACTCAGGTAGCTGCATTCCTGAAACAAATGAGACTCTAATTTCAAACATTTTTCAAATGCAAATCAGGCCCCCATGAATCATTTGATGATTTTTTGAAGCATTAATGCAACAGAGTTAGTATTCCTCAAATGATCCCCAAAGTCATCTCTTTGCTAAGGATATTTCTCTTCTTGATTATTTTGAAACTGCCAACAGTCTGTCACCTTCATGTAGAGGATGACTTATCTGCAGATGTCCTATTATTATCTTAAACCAACCTCATTTTGAAGCAACAAAGAGAAAAAAATTAAATAGTGCATTAACATTTCATATCAGTGAAACAGACTTTTTTCATGCATAAAGTAGTTCTAGCAATCTGTGGAAAGGTCTACCTTTTGTTTTTCCCTGTGTTTATAAGTTACATTTTTAAAAGTACTTGTGGATCCTCTGTAGAGTGGATTGGTTCCCTGGAAAAAAAAAAAAGATTCAAGTGAAAGTATGTATATTTTGTTTTTATACTGTTTTAATACGTAGTGCAAATTGGAAGAGGAGAGTCAAGCTCAGTCTTGGAAACCATTAGAACAATTTTGATTAATTTGGCATTTCATATGTTTAGTGTTTTGCAATTTATACATTTTCATTTTGTTAAATATACAGAACAAGTCCCATATGTATATTCTAAAAATCTTACCTCTTTTGGTAATGCACAAATTTACGGATAGAAAACAAGGCTTCAGCTGTTGTGCTCACTGCTGTTTTCCCAGCACTGAGTCCCTGGCCCAAAGCAGGTACTCAGTATGTATGGAATGAGTGGCATGAACAGTGACAGATGAACCAAAAGTGAAATCAAAGCCAAAAAAGTAAAAAACAGGAAAAGTGAAACCAGTAGGAACATACAAAAATGAACGACACAGTATCTGCCTTTAACAAACGTGTTACTCATGAGAGGCATCAAAGAAGGGCACAAATAATCATGCTAAGATGAAATCAAAACTCAGAAGTGGGAGAAAGTAGTTGCTTGGGAGGAGTGAGGAACCATCCTCTGGACAGCTAACACTTGCCCTGGGTAGCCAAAGAACCAGCTGTCTTTTGCTTACTATGTACAACACTGTGTAAGACAACCACAAGAGACTGGTATGGAGGACCCTGGGGTCATGAAAGAGTTGCAGTCCAAAGGCAGGCCAGGAAAAATGGCTTTGCCTTGGGGGCAGTGGGAAGGTTGGGTGTGGGACTCTTGGGTAGCTCAGCTGTGCTGTTTGGGTTATAGATGTGCCTCCAGGTGCCAATAGCAGTGGTGCTGTAGCCAAAAGGACCAGAAGGTCCAGAAGGATCAAGCCTCTCTAGTTGTTCCAGGCCGGAGGAAGGTGTCTGGGTAAGGTACAGTTTCTTCTCTCCCACTTTCCAAGGCTGATCACACAGGCTATGGCAACAGTCTGGGTCCAAACCCAGCTCCACCACATGACCGTACTGAAGACACTCTGAGCCTTGGTGTCCCTATCTGTTCCTACCTCGTCCAGGTAAAGTATTTTAGCACTGTGTGTAGCACATAGCAAATGCTCCATAAATGCTGCCTCTTCTCATTAGTTCCTATTTATAGCTTTTCTTCACATTTGGAATTTCCTTTTCTTTTAGGTTTTAGAGAGGATTATTAAGATATTTTCCCCCAGGGCTTTGGTACACTTAACATTTCTAAGCCCATTACTGAGTATGTATGGAATCCAGGTACCGCCTCTGACCTTCTAAGTTAAAATCTTATACTTTGATCACCTCATTCCATGAATTATAGCTATGGTAGAAATTTCTAGGGGTGGATTTGAAAAAAAACCTTAATTGTCTTTGCTTGCTCAGTATATTTCTTTCAGCTCTTAAAAGAATTGAATAAAATCGGAAACACTCCCCGGTCTTTCCCACTCACTGGCCTCAGTGCCCTCATTGTGAGTGGGAATCACACCTGCACCCATTTCTATGTTGTCCAGAGCCAGTGGCCTGACCTCTGACTAAGTGACATGCTACTTTTGTTATGTGCCTTTAAAGAGATATGCTATTTCTATAATAAAGCCAAACAGAAAAATGTTCCTTGGCTGGTGGTGGATGATGGGTGAAAGCTAAGTTGGTATATTGCTTCTATTCCTGAGAGCAGCCTGGTTAATTCTGAGGGACCTCCAGATCTTATCTAGTCTTGCTGCTCTAAGAATTTGAGATTTTGAAGGCAAAGGGCAGACTGATGTGAATTTAGATGTAGATGGAGTCTCATTTGCAAACAAAAATCATGCATGGAATTCTATTAAATTTGAGACTAGAATCTAGTTGGTTACAGGAGAATGAGAGACTCCATTGAAGAAACAAGATGGAAAAAAGTAAGAGGTTCAGGCCAGCAATGACAGGGTAAGCCTGTCCTGGAGGAATTTCCCACTTCCTCCAGGAAGCTCCCACCTTTGTGAACAGAAAAGACACTTGGAAAGAGGACACAGGCTGTGAGCAGGGCCAGCTTAGAGCTCCGTAGGACCAGATACTTGTTTGTAGGTGCACCCTATATCATGTCAAACATACTACAATACACCCATATCCCACACTTAATATAACTGATATGCATTATAGAGGAGGTGACTTGAATTGCAGTTGACAAGATAACACAATGTTATTTAGTAGATATTTAGTTGAATGTTTAATTTTGATGGCAGAGTTTTCATTCCGTATTTTAAAGCAACTTCATTCATTCAGGTTTGCAATATTTTGGGAGTCCCTTGCAATACTGGTTTAGGGCCAAGACATTGCTTATAGGGAGTGATGGGTAAAGCAGACTTCACTAGAGTAAGAGGGTAAGGTGGAAGTGTAAAAGTGGACGAAGAGCAAGTACATATTGCTGTTGTGTGTAATAGGGTATTTCCTGGCCTCAGCTGAAGATCAGAGGTCAGGATAATGCACTCACATTGGGTTTTGTTCCAGGAGGAGGTGTGGAAATGTCCACACTGCCTCCTCTAGTGCTCTGCTGATTGTAACCTCTCTACACAGACTTTCCAGCTGAAATGCAGGCTTGAGTCCTACTCTATTTCGGGTGAGTGTGCAATCCACTGCTCAGAAAAGGTCAGTTTTCCCCTAACCATTTGGGGTTACCAGGCTGATTCCCCCAGGTGTCTGGGAGTGCTAATTTAGGCTGTGGATTCTGCAAATGCAATGACACATTTTTCAAGATTGAAAAAGTGGTAATAGGAAAACTCTGTCATGACCCACAGCTTCCTTAATGATCGCCCAACTGCCAAACACAGACCTGATTTGCTTAGCACAGTACAAAATCAATTCATGACTGCAAGAAATGTCAGGCTGAACATTTTTTTGCCTCAAGTTAATGACTTGTCATCCTAGAAAAAAAATTCTAATCAAAGATGAATTTAAATATGTTTCATTTGTGTTTTCATAAAGAATATGTGGGGGTGGGCATTATTTTTTAAAGCATAATAAAAAAGATAACCTTTCTTTACAGCTGCTCTGAAATGTTTTAGGAGGTAGGAGTGAAGACCTTTCTGTCTTAAGCCCTGTCACTTTATGAGTCCAGTGCAGTCCTATGGCCAGGAGGCCTGACTGTCCCTATTGTCTCTGGAGGGCACTGGGTTTCAAAGACCAGTCAAATTCACTTCTTCAAGAAGAAATAGGTTTTAGGGAAAAAACTCAGTTAAATTGAAGACCCCTAAATGTGTGCAGTGAGCGACATTTTTTTCCAGTAGGATGTTAGTGAAATTTAAACTGAATTATTTGAGTTAAACCTTTTTTGCATCCAAGTGAATAATTACTACCCAGTCATTATCTAGTCAGGAACATCAAACATTTGTTATTCAAAGAAACTCAATTTAATAAGGGAATAATATTTTCCATTTATGCTTTTTTTTCTGTTTAATGCATGTTCGGGTCGCATGTTAGATGAAGAAACAGCAAAAATTCAGCATTTGAATTTCAGTCATGTTCTACATCCTGAGGGAGAACAATTCATGTTTTTGGGGAAATTAACTGTTAATTAAAATGTTATTTTAAAGATATTAATCACTTGTCAGTATTTATGCCTCTGTATGAGAACATTGAAATGTGCTGGTTAGTAGATACACATCACATAATTGCCCAAGTGCGTGTTTGTGGAACACCTGCTTATTATTTCCAGGAGGGTCAACCAAAGGCTGTGCTTAGAAGAACAATGAACAATTAGGCTTCAGCTTAACCATGCACCAAAAGTTAGGGAAGTCCCTTAACTTCTCTGAGCCTTAGTTTAGCTCTTCAAAATGGAAATACCAGGATTATATCATGGGGCTTGCTGCTATTGTCCTTTGTGGCAACTTAACCATATTCTTTTACCTGGTTGCCCTTCTAACCATGGCAAGGCATTTGTTGGAGAGTTGATGAAAGTCAAAAATAACATCTGTGGCCAGGGGTCAGGTGAAGTGAACTGTCCTACAACTTTGGGCTCATTAGTACTGTGTTCTAAGTCACCAAGCTAACCTGTTTACCTTTTACATTGTTAGGGATGAGTAAATTATATCTTCTCCTGAGGAATTTTGCTTAATTATGGAAAATACACACATTCGCAAAAAGAGGAAAGCTATATAACCAACCTCCAAAGACCCATCGCTCAGATTCCACAGTTATCACAGTTCTGCCACACCTGCTTCAACTATCCCTCCATCCCACTCTCTTGGCTGAATTATTTCAAAGTGAACCCCAGCTTTCATTTCCTTTCACTCCTTCAGTATGCATCTCTAAAAAATATGGATATTTTCTAGCAATGTCACCATGCCATTATCATACCTAATCAAATTAACCATACTTATTTGCTATCATTCTAATACCCAGCATGTATTAATCTTTTTTCAGTCTTTTTATGTATTTATTTATTATTTATTTTGGAGACTGGGGCTCACTCTGTCACCTAGGCTGGAATGCAATGGCATGATCATGGCTCACTGCAGCCTTGACCTCCTGGCTCAAGTGATCCTCCTGCCTTAGCCTCCCAAGTAGCTGGGACTACAGGTGTGAACCACCATGCCTGGCTAATTTTTGTATTTCTTTTTGTAGGGATGGGTTTTGCCATGTTGCCCAACTCGAACTCCTGAGCTCAAGTGATCCAATCCTCCTGTCTTGGCCTCCCAAAGTTCTAAGATTACGGTGTGAGCCACCATGCCCAGCCTTTTTCCAGTTGTTTTAAAAATGTATTTTTACAGGTGGACTGTTCAAATCACGATCCAAACAAAATCCATACATTGCATTTGGCTGTTGTATCTAAATGCATTTTTAATGGGAAGATAAAGTAGATAAAAATTTTCAGTGTTCATTGTCCTGTACCATGTATTATCATTAATTTAGAATAACCGCATACAACAGAAACATCCCTTATCAAGATAAATTTATCAAAAATGGAAAATTCCATTTGCTTTAGGAGTTGAAGGCATTGCTATAAAAATTGTTAACATCAAATTATTTGGGCGGACAAATCCAAAGGAGCATTGCGTCTACCTGTATTTTCTCCAGTGATATCATTGTTGTTAGAATCAGCAATGTAAGATAATTGCTGTTAGATACCTGGACACACCATTAGAGATAGAGAGATGAAATTAAAACTATGGAATTGTTTCTATGGGTCTCTAGAAATGTAATTATCTCTCCTGTGGAAAAGAAACACAGAAAACTATAGTCCTGCCTTCTGATTGCCTCTTGTGAAGAGAAGGCAGTTAAATTATTTCTGTTGAGTTTATGTATTTAAAGGTTAATACTTTTGGGGTTTTTTTCAGGTCTCTGTTTAAAATTTATGTTATTCAGAAAAAATAACTGCATGGCATTTTAAAAATCATCTCAATTTTGCTTTGTAACCTATTATATCAGAAACAAGTATTTCCAAAGAAATTGGCATGAATTATCGTACTATTTATGAACACTATTCCATTCATTATAACATAACCAATTTATGGAAATGTTTAGATATAGCACCCGTGCTTTATCAAATGGGGCCTGAGGGATACTCCTAGTGGTGAGGAAGCGCTGGGTAAAAATATACTTCCCCAATGTCCCTAAGCAGCTGTCTCAGGAGCCTCATGAGACCCTTCATCGTGGTGGAAATCCCCACCGCACTAAGACAAATATAAGCTATGAGGGTCATCTGGACCTTTGCCCCTGAAGCAGAACAGAAATCAAAGCTGTTGGAGTCATGGCGAGAGTGGGAGAGAAAAAATGTGACATTTGAACTCCCAGAGCAGAAGAAAGCTGAGCCCCTCAATCTCTTCCACCAGCCTCTTTCTCCCCTAGACAAGGAGTAGCCCTAAGTTTCCACATACCGTTTGCCACTTGGCTTTTGATCGTTCTGCTTCAAATTTGGCAACTTCTTTACGATCATGAAATGACACCAGTAGCTTCCAGATGCACAGTAGGACAACCCCGATGAGAAGAATAGCCAGGGAAACCCCTAACATGATCATGGGAATGTTTGGAGGCTTCGGACAATCTGCAGAAATAAAGAAAATTATAAGAAGGTGGTAAAATCAACATTTTGACATCGGAAAGGCATTTCTTGTTGGATTTTCATCTACATTTTCTGCAGCAGAGGATAAATATTGACACCATTTTCGCCTTGCTTAAATTTTAAAAATGAGTTACTTGTTGAAGAATAGCCCTGCATTCCTCAAAGTAGAACAAAAGATAAAGGAAGAATTTAGATATTTGAAGTAAATGGATATAGACTTGATGGTTGACTCTAAAAGAGAATCCAAAAGAGTGATAATTAATGCACATGGAATATTTAAAGGATTAAGAAAAAGACTAGTTTAATCACTAAACATGGTCTCTTCTGAGTTCACGATAAAGCAGAAATGGAGTGTGTGTGTGTGTGTGTGTGTGTGTGTGTGTGTGTGTGTGCTGCATGTCATCAGTTTTTCATGGACCTTCTTGAATCATGGGGAGTCTAGAAGACTATATTAAAAGTTATATAAAAACCTATCCCTTGGAAAAAATTACTATTTCCTTCTTTCTTTATAGACAGAAGACAATGATGGGTTTCAGTTCTGTTTTGTTGAACCCTAATGCAGTAGTCTGGTTTTGGGGAAGTTCCTAGACTAGATTCAGGAGAGGTAGATTCAATTCCCATCTGATGTACAGTAGCTGTGTGAATGTGATCCAGTCCCTTGACCTCTCTGAGCCCCAGGCCCTTCCTCTGTAAAACAAAGTTCAGTGTTCCCTTACCTTTTCTGATGATACCAATAAGCTGAACTGTTCTTGCTTACTAACACAGCTTCCTGGACCCCTTCCCCAATATTCTGATTCAGTGGGTCTTGGATAAGCCACCGATTCTGTGTTATTAAATATTCTAAATTATTCTTATCCTCAAGCAAGTCTGGGAAATTAGATGTTCTGTAGGGTACTTTCAACTTGAATATTCTATGAAATGTTATTTTGACTGTATTGAAGATATTAATGTAATTTTGCAATTATACAGTACGTTTCCTAATTCACAGCAGAATGACTAATAGTCCTTGCAATATGCCTAGGAGATGATACATTTCTTAATGAAACATTATAATTATGTTCTCCTCTTACTTTCATGGAAAAAAAATCCCACATAAAATTATCATTAGATATCTGCATCTCTCTGCAAGAAATGAGGCAAAATCCATGGGATCTGGGGAGGAAATGAATGATGTTTAGTTTATCCTAAGTCTTACTGCTTTTAGATATTTAATAAGGAGAGTTATACACATATGACTAGTCATGCTGTCTTTAAGGTAAGGATCTGGAGTTGATGTGAATCTGAGTGGGGCTAATTACCCACTAACAGCATGATGCCTGGCCTCACACACTTTTGTTCTTTGGCCAAGAAACCATGTAAAGAGATTATGCAGAAATAAGTAAAGGAGCTAATGACATAGCTATTACTGTATGAAGATCTAAAGACTATATTCTCGCATAGCAAATGAACCATAGCTGCCTCTAATAGGTGAGCACATTCCTGCAAATAAAGCGGCAGGCCTGTGTCATGAGAATATATACTGGCTACATCTTTGGCTAAGAAATGCCTGGGGTGGGGCATAGTATGTTCCTGTTCAAAGCAAGATGAAGCTTGCTACAATCCTGCACCTAGACATGAATTAGGAGGGTTCTCCAGGAGGGACTAAAGAAGAAATGGGTGCGGTCTGGCAGAGATAATTATTTTAAGAACTGAAAGTCCTCAGGAATTGTACATTTCTCAATTAAAGATGTTGGCCCAAGTGCCAGAGCAGGTCTTACACAATAGAGATCATCACTTTTCATACTTGGATGTTTCTTGAGATGCTCAGACTGAAAATGGATTTCTACGTGGAAGAAGAGGGTCACCTCTATCACTGTGGGCAATGTGGCCCATCGAGTCCAGGTTGGTGCAGCACCTACTTCTAAGGTCCTGAGTATCTAACTGTGCTACATGCGTTGCACAATCTGGTAGCTCAATGTGCATATTGAGTGCTTGAAATGTGACTTTTCCCAAGTAGCTTATGCTGTAAGGGTGAAATACACACTGATTTTGAACACTTGGCATGAAAAAAATGTAAAATATCTCAGCTTTTATACTGATTACACGTTGAAATGACAATATTTTGGATAACATCGTAAATAAAATTCATTTTACCTGTTTCTTTTACTTTTTAATGTAATTACTAGAAAATTTTAAATTACATATAGGGTTTGCCTAACAGTTCTGTCGGATGATGCTGATCTAACATCTTTTTGTGATTCAGATAGTTATGATGATTGTACAGCCAGTAGGAGGCAGTAGAGCACAGTGGTTCAGAGCAGGGGCTCCAGGCCAGGCTGCCAGAGCTCCTCCAACTAGCTCTGGCACGTAATTACTGCCAGACCTAGAAAATTATTTAATGTCTCTATGCCTCAATTTCCTTACCTTTAAAATGAAAATAATAGTGGTACCTGTTTTATATGGTTGTTAAGAATATTAAGCGAATTAATACATGTAAAATATATAAAACAACATCTGGCAAATGGTATTAGGGCTCAAAAAATGAGAGCTGCTATTATAATAATTAATATTACTATTGTTACAGCAAATACAGCACTCTTTCCCCTTTTCTATCCTCATCACCTCAAGGGCCTGGAGCCTCCAAGTTGGAACCTGTGGGTATAGCATCTACCCTAGCTGGTACTTTCCAGCCAGGAAGCCTTCCCGCCTATCATTCCTTGACTCTGTTGTGGCTCTTATGCTCTGGAAGTCCCTCCGGACTGTGGGGGAAAGAAAGAAGATGAAAGAAGCCACCTGTGTCCACAAGCACCCTGGTGGCGACCCTTCACTCAGTTCTTTTTTTCAATTTGCTTAGAGGACCCTGGGGATCAGCCCCTTTCTCACTTCTCAGTTTGCCTCTTCTACCCAAGCCTCCACCAGGCCACCCTGGGATTTTCTAGTCTGAAAGCTGTGAGACGGGAGACAGGAGGGACCATGGACCTCTGGGGACAGGTTCTGCTCTGCTGGCCCCTGGAAGTGCCAGGCCTACCCAACCATGCGGACATTTGTTGAGGAAGAGGGAGCCTGGAGGCTGTCAGGTGACTCTTGTTAAGCCTCCGGGAGGTTATGTTTCCCCTCACTTTTCCCTACTACAAAAGCATGGGGATAATAACACGCCATAATAAAAAGCATCAGGGCATCTGTGCGTGCTCTGCAGAATGGCATGTTGTGGTGCCACTCTTATTGTGTGGAAGAATAAAAGAACAGACAACAGCTCAGTAATGAGGAGGCATTTAGCCAAGGCATGTTTCACTGAAAAAAAAAAAATCACCAACTAGATACAAAAGTCTCTGAATTAAAAGCAGGACTTATTCTGGAAATTCGTTTTTGTTTTTGAAACTCGTTTTTTTCAATAGAATCAATACTGTAAGGGATGGCTTTGATTTCAAGATAACTTGCTAAAGTCACTGCCACAGTCACAGAGGGTTGGGAGTGTAGTTGGAGAATTTTATTTTGTAAGACAGATAATGAGCAGGCAGGCTTTTTTGGTATTATAAAGTAATTTCTCCTTATACAGCAGGATTCTCCTTATGTTTCCCTAATGAACGGCCACAAGACTCATTTTATGTATGCATTTCAAAGGAGTTGATTTACATGAGATTTTTCCAGAGCAAGACTCCAGGGGCACTCGGCATACCTGAGCTTCAAGGCCAAGTTCACAATCATCTTCAGATTTCAGGAAGATGATGACTGCTGCAACTACAAGTCATCTTAGCTGTTTTTTTTTTTTTTTGGCAGAGTCTCACTCTGTGCAGTGGCGCGATCTCGGATCAACGCAACCTACACCTCCCAGGCTCAAGCAATTCTCCTGCCTCAGCCTCCCAAGTAGCTGGGATTATAGGTGCAGGCCACCATACCCGGCTAATTTTTGTATTTTTAGTAGAGACAGGGTTTCACCATGTTGGCCAGGGTGGTCTCCAACTCCTGACCTCAAGTGACCCACCCTCCTCGGCCTCCCAAAGTGCTGGGATTACAGGTGTGAGCCACCGTGCCCGACCCTTATCTGGTCTTAATAAGAGACACTGGAACATACTGAACCTTCTAACTGGCATCTTTCAATCCTTGGGAAACTTTAAGAAACTTCATCAAAATTTTGGAAATGTCTTTCCTGGCATGCTACCCAGAGCGATTTTCTGGTTGCTTTCTCTTCTCCTGTGTAGTATCATTTGCCATCGGCAATGGAAGGCAAAACACCCACCTTTTTCATTGATGCTGTGAATGATGGTTTTCCCCTCATTATCTGTAGTTATTAGGAATGTAATAAGACATTCATTTTCTCCTTGCAGAGAGCAGGAAACAGAACCATCCTTTGAGAAATCTGCAGATAAAGGAGTCATTCATTAGGTTAAACAAGATTCCAAAAGAGATTGTTTTTAAAACAAAGTAGTATTGAGTTTTAATATGTAAATTAGAGTTTTCAATATTGCAGAATGAGAATAGGAGAGGCATAGGTTTTTTTTTTTCTCATGAAGTGAGGTTTTCGTTTTCACTCACGTTCCAGAAGAACAGTTCCAGTTGTGGTCAATCAGGACTGACCATCAAATGTGCCTATCAAACGGATACGGGCAGGATTGCAACAGGCTGAACGTACTTCAAGGCAGGTACCCACAGCTGCCTTGGGAATAGAATGGCCCTGATTATGGTAATGAGGGGGCTATAGGTTCTTTGCTGAGAGCATGAAGGATGTCTAGATTACATTTCTGCACAGTTCAAACTGATACTGATACTTTTAAAGGGGCCTTTCTCACAACGACATAGTCAAGATTGCTGGCCATGTATTGTGGTAACAGTAACATAAATTAATATCAGGAAACTGAGACTGAAGCATTATGTAGCTCAGGGACCAGCAGGATAAAGGTAAATAAATCCACAGTGACAGTTTGTCTATCATTCAGTAGAGCTCCTTTCTTAATTTGAAAAAAAAAAAAAATCCAGTTTACCTTAAATCTTTTCCAAGTGGGAATTTTTCCTTATTGAGCTCATTCAAGAGGCAGAAAATGAATGTCATGACAGAAATTAAAAGTAAAGTAAAATGGCCAATCTGAGATGCCAGTACTATCTACCAGAAATTTTAGTAGTCCAGGATGTATGCCAAAATTATGTGGCATTCTGCTAATTAAGAAAACCAAACAAATTTGCTTAACTGTTCTCCTATCTTTTAAGTTGGAGACTTTTCAATGATGGTTACAAACACTGTTTTTCAGAAACCTGTAAGTAGAAGACGTTTTTCTCCTAATCTAAACTTTTAGGACATAGGTCCAAAATTAGTGTGTTATGCTACAATGGATCAGAACATTAAAACTGGGGCTGCCCCTGATAATCTTGGACATACTCCTACTAGACTTATAACCTCTCCCATTAGCTTAAAAATAAAAACATTAATAAAGCAGAATCTAATGTGTTTTCTGAATCTAACAAAAATTAAATAATAGTCTGTTTTTGGTCAAAAATGCCATAGCCATAGATAGAAATATTAAGTTGCTGTTTGCTGTCTTTACATTTTGTTTGAGATGAAAAACCCAACAGTGTCTGTGAGAAGTATGCTTTGTATTATCTATGAAAACAGGAACCAGCAAGACATTTAGCATTGTAAATAAAATTTCGGATGATAGATTTAAGTGTACAAACTGTTTTTGAACCCATTAGAAACATCTATTACATGGGAATATTAAGAAATCTAATTACAAATCATCCTAGTCTAGTCATTGCCAAATGATTATGGTCATCTAAGTCACCTGGGAGTTTTGAAAATGTAGATTCTGGGGACCCACCTTGGGTATTCTGATTTGAGAAGTTGGTTGTGTGCAGAGGAGCTTGTACACTTAGTGAGTTGTTTAATAAGTATTTTTAAAAAGGAGATTCTGATTAAGAGATTTGGTGAGATGTGTGTTATTTCATATATTTGATTGCAAATGGTATTGCATATATAATTCATACGTTGGCCATTTTATTTGGCCTTTACCACATCTCCTGTTCACTTGCCCCTCCAATTAGCTAGGGTTCATGAAGTCTTGGGGACTATGCGTTTTCTTCTTGGACTGTTTTCTTGCTTCTTTCCCCCTCTCTGTGGGAACAGCCCAGGCTCACTCTGCTCGCCTTGAACATATTTAATGAAACATTTTATTCTGTGGTAGGAAATATGTGAGTGGCTTATCATACTCCTTTCAGTAATATTAACCATGTTTTTAAAAATTTTCTTTCAAATAGCTGCACTGAAGCCTAGAGAGGCTTACTTGACCTGGTCAGGGTTATTTAAGTGTTAATGGAATGGCAGAATATGATCTTTGAGTCACAACTCCCATGTTGCTTTAATTACTTCACCACTCCTTTTCATGACTGTTACGGCTCTAGATGTAGCCTGTTTCATGGTGTTTGGGTATTGAAATAGTATTCTCAAATGTGCAACGACAGATTTGCATAATTCGCTGCATAATTTCTTCTGTTGTTCATAGAAAATGGATCTCTCTTTTTTCCCTTCCTTTGTGAATGTCTACAGTGCTGCTCTAGAATAATACAATGAAAATAAGATGCCAGGCAGTCCGTGGAACCATACTCAGAGAAGGAAGAAATGTGAAAACAGGGGTGAGGATGTGGGCCTGGGAAGGTCCAGGGAGGGTGTGAAAAATACAAAGCAGGGGGGTGGAGCCAAGATGGCCGAATAGGAACAGCTCCAGTCTACAGCACCCAGCGTGAGCAACGCAGAAGATGGGTGATTTCTGCATTTCCATCTGAGGTACCGGGTTCATCTCACTAGGGAGTGCCAGACAGTGGGTGCAGGTCAGTGGGTGCGCGCACCGTGCGCGAGCCAAAGCAGGGCGAGGCATTGCCTCACTCGGGAAGCACAAGGGGTCAGGGAGTTCCCTTTCCTAGTCAAAGAAAGGGGTGACAGACGGCACCTGGAAAATCGGGTCACTCCCACCCTAATACTGCTCTTTTCCAATGGGCTTAAAAAATGGCACACCAGATTATATCCTGCACTTGGCTCAGAGGGTCCTACGCCCACGGAGTCTCGCTGATTGCTAGCACAGCCGCCTTGTACACTGCTAGGCGGCAGCGAGGCTGGGGGAGGGGCACCTGCCATTGCCCAGGCTTGATTAGGTAAACAAAGCAGCTGGGAAGCTCAAACTGGGTGGAGCCCACCACAGCTCAAGGAGGCCTGCCTGCCTCTGTAGGCTCCACCTCTGGGGGCAGGGCACAGACAAACAAAAAGACAGCAGTAACCTCTGCAGACTTAAATGTCCCTGTCTGACAGCTTTGAAGAGAGTAGTGGTTCTCCCAGCACACAGCTGGAGATCTGAGAATGGGCAGACTGCCTCCTCAAGTGGGTCCCTGACCCCCGAACAGCCTAACTGGGAGGCACCCCCTAGTAGGGGCAGACTGACACCTCACACAGCCGGGTACTCCTCTGAGGCAAAACTTCCAGAGGAATATCAGGCAGCAGCATTTGCGGTTCACCAAGATCCACTGTTCTACAGCCACCACTGTTCTGCAGCCACCGCTGCTGATACCCAGGCAAACAGGGTCTGGAGTGGACCTCTAGCAAACTCCAACAGACCTGCAGCTGAGGGTCCTGTCTGTTAGAAGGAAAACTAACAAACAGAAAGGACATCCACACCAAAAACCCTTCTGTACATCAGCATCATCAAAGACCAAAAGTAGATAAAACCACAAAGATGGGGAAAAAACAGAGCAGAAAAACTGGAAACTCTAAAAAGCAGAGTGCCTCTCCTCCTCCAAAGGAATGCAGCTCCTCACCAGCAGTGGAACAAAGCTGGAGGGAGAATGACTTTGATGAATTGAGAGAAGAAGGCTCCAGACGATCAAACTACTCCGAGCTACAGGAGGAAATTCAAATCAATGGCAAAGAAGTTAAAAACTGTGAAAAAAAATTAGACGAATGGATAACTAGAATAATCAACGCAGAGAAGTCCTTAAAGGAGCTGATGGAGCTGAAAGCCAAGGCTCGAGAACTACGTGAAGAATGCAGAAGCCTCAGGAACTGATGCGATCAACTGGAAGAAAGGGCATCAGTGATGGAAGATGAAATGAATGAAATGAAGTGAGAAGGGAAGTTTAGAGAAAAAAGAATAAAAAGAAATGAACAAAGCCTCCAAGAAATATGGGACTATGTGAAAAGACCAAATCTACTTCTGATTGGTGTACCTGAAAGTGACGGGGAGAATGGAACCAAGTTGGAAAACACTCTGCAGGATATTATCCAGGAGAACTTCCCCAATCTAGCAAGGCAGGCCAACGTTCAGATTCAGGAAATACAGAGAACGCCACAAAGATACTCCTCGAGAAGAGCAACTCCAAGACACACAATTATCAGATTCACCAAAGTTGAAATTAAGGAAAAAATGCTAAGGGCAGCCAGAGAGAAAGGTTGGGTTACCCACAAAGGGAAGCCCATCAGACTAACAGCTGATCTCTTGGCAGAAACTCTACAAGCCAGAAGAGAGTGGGGGCCAATATTGAACATTCTTAAAGAAAAGAATTTTCAACCCAGAATTTCATATCCAGCCAAACTAAGCTTCATAAGTGAAGGAGAAATAAAATACTTTACAGACAAGCAAATGCTGAGAGATTTTTGTCACCACCAGGCCTACCCTAAAAGAGCTCCTGAAGGAAGCACTAAACATGGAAAGGAACAACTGGTACCAGCCACTGCAAAAACATGCCAAAATGTAAAGACCATCAAGGCTAGGAAGAAACTGCATCAACTAACGAGCAAAATAACCAGCTAACATCATAATGACAGGACCAAATTCACACATAACAATATTAACTTTAAATGTAAATGGGCTAAATGCTCCAATTAAAAGACACAGACTGGCAAATTGGATGAAGACTCAAGACCCATCAGTGTGCTGTATTCAGGAAACCCATCTCACGGGCAGAGACACACATAGGCTCAAAATAAAGGGATGGAGGAAGATCTACCAAGCAAATGGAAAACAAAAAAAGGCAGGGGTTGCAATCCTAGTCTCTGATAAAACAGACTTTAAACCAACAAAGATCAAAAGAGACAAAGAAGGCCATTACATAATGGTAAAGGGATCAATTCAACAAGAAGAGCTAACTATCCTAAATATATATTCACCCAATACAGGAGCACCCAGATTCATAAAGCAAGTCCTTAGTGACCCACAAAGAGACTTAGACTCCCACACAATAATAATGGGAGACTTTAACACCCCACTGTCAACATTAGACAGATCAACGAGACAGAAAGTTAACAAGGATACCCAGGAATTGAACCCAGCTCTGCACCAAGCGGACCTAATAGACATCTACAGAACTCTCCACCCCAAATCAACAGAATATACATTTTTTTCAGCACCACACCACACCTATTCCAAAAGTAACCACATAGTTGGAAGTAAAGCACTCCTCAGCAAATGTAAAAGAACAGAAATTATAACAAACTGTCTCTCAGACCACAGTGCAATCAAACTAGGACTCAGGATTAAGAAACTCACTCAAAACTGCTCAACTACATGGAAACTGAACAACCTGCTCCTGAATGACTACTGGGTACATAACGAAATGAAGGCAGAAATAAAGATGTTCTTTGAAACCAGCGAGAACAAAGAAACAACATACCAGAATCTCTGGGACACATTCAAAGCAGTGTGCAGAGTGAAATTTATAGCACTAAATGCCCACAAGAGAAAGCAGGAAAGATCCAAAACTGACACCCTAACATCACAATTAAAAGAACTAGAAAAGCAAGAGCAAACACATTCAAAAGCTAGCAGAAGGCAAGAAATTACTAAAATCAGAGCAGAACTGAAGGAAATAGAGACACAAAAAACCCTTCAAAAAATTAATGAATCCAGGAGCTGGTTTTTTGAAAAGATCAACAAAATCAATAGACCGCTAGCAAGACTAATAAAGAAGAAAAGAGAGAAGAATCAGATAGATGCAATAAAACATGATAAAGGGGCTATCACCACCGATCCCACAGAAATACAAACTACCATCAGAGAATACTACAAACACCTCTATGCAAATAAACTGGAAAATCTAGAAGAAATGGATAAATTCCTTGACACATACATCCTCCCAAGACTAAACCAGGAAGAAGTTGAATCTCTGAATAGACCAATACAGGCTCTGAAATTGTGGCAATAATCAATAGCTTACCAACCAAAAAAAGTCCAGGACCAGATGGATTCACAGCCGAATTCTACCAGAGGTACAAGGAGGAGCTGGTACCACTCCTTCTGAAACTATTCCAATCAATAGAAAAAGGGGGAATCCTCCCTAACTCATTTTATGAGGCCAGCATCATCCTGATACCAAAGCCTGGCAGAGAAACAACAAAAAAAGAGAATTTTAAACAAATATCCTTGACGAACATTGATGGAAAAATCCTCAATAAAATACTGGCAAACCGAATCCAGCAGCACATCAAAAAGCTTATCCACCATGATCAAGTGGGCTTCATCCCTGGGATGCAAGGCTGATTCAACATATGCAAATCAATAAATGTAATCCAGCATATAAACGGAACCAAAGACAAAAACCACATGATTATCTCAATAGATGCAGAAAAGGCCTTTGACAAAATTCAACAGTGCTTCATGCTAAAAACTCTCAATAAATTAGGTATTGATGGGACGTATCTCAAAATAATAAGAGCTATTTATGACAAACACACAGCCAATATCATACTGAATGGGCAAAAACTGGAAGCATTCCCTTTGAAAACAGGCACAAGACAGGGATGCCCTGTCTCACCACTCCTGTTAAACATAGTGTTGGAAGTTCTGGCCAGGGCAATTAGGCAGGAGAAGGAAATAAAGGGTATTCAATTAGGAAAAGAGGAAGTCAAATTGTCCCTGTTTGCAGATGATGTGATTGTATATCTAGAAAACCCCATCATCTCAGCCCAAAATCTCCTTAAGCTGATAAGCAACTTCAGCAAAATCTCAGAATACAAAATCAATGTACAAAAATCACAAGCATTCTTATACACCAATAATAGACAAACAGAGAACCAAATCATGAGTGAACTCCCATTCACAATTGCTTCAAAGAGAATAAAATACCTAGGAATCCAACTTACAAGGGATGTGAAGGATCTCTTCAAGGAGAACTACAAACCACTGCTCAATGAAATAAAAGAGGATACAAACAAATGGAAGAACATTCCATGCTCATGGGTAGGAAGAATCAATATCGTGAAAATGGCCATACTGTCCAAGGTAATTTATAGATTCAGTGCCATCCCCCTCAAGCTACCAATGACTTTCTTCACAGAATTGGAAAAAACTACTTTAAAGTTCATATGGAACCAAAAAAGAGCCCGCGTCACCAAGTCAATCCTAAGCCAAAAGAACAAAGCTAGAGGCATCATGCTACCTGACTTCAAACTATACTACAAGGCTACAGTAACCAAAACAGCATGGTACTGGTACCAAAACAGAGATATAGATCAATGGGATAGAACAGAGCCCTCAGAAATAATGCCGCATATCTACAACTATCTGATCTTTGACAAACCTGAGAAAAACAAGCAATGGGGAAAGGATTCCCTGTTTAATAAATGGTGATGGGAAAACTGGCTAGCCATATGTAGAAAGCTGAAACTGGATCCCTTCCTTACACCTTATACAAAAATTAATTCAAGATGGATTAAAGACTTACATGTTAGACCTAAAACCATAAAAACCCTAGAAGAAAACCTAGGCAATACCATTCAGGACATAGGCATGGGCAAGGACTTCATGTCTAAAACACCAAAAGCAATGGCAACAAAAGTCAAAATTAACAAATGGGATCTAATTAAACTAAAGGGCTTCTGCACAGCAAAAGAAACCACCATCAGAATGAACAGGCAACCTACAGAATGGGAGAAAATTTTCGCAACCTACTCATCTGACAAAGGGCTAATATCCAGAATCTACAATGAACTCAAACAAATTTACAAGAAAAAAACAAACAACCCCATCAAAAAGTGGGCCAAGGATATGAACAGACACTTGTCAAAAGAAGACATTTATGCAGCCAAAAGACACATGAAAAAATGCTCATCATCACGGGCCATCAGAGAAATGCAAATCAAAACCACAATGAGATACCATCTCACACCAGTTAGAATGGCAATCATTAAAAAGTCAGGAAACAACAGGTGCTAGAGAGGATGTGGAGAAATAGGAACACTTTTACACTGTTGGTGGGACTGTAAACTAGTTCAACCATTGTGGAAGTCAGTGTGGCGATTCCTCAGGGATCTAGAACTAGAAATACTATTTGACCCAGCCATCCCATTACTGGATATATACCCAAAGGATTAGAAACCATGTTGCTATAAAGACACATGCACACGTATGTTTATTGTGGCACTATTTACAATAGCAAAGACTTGGAACCAACCCAAATGTCCAACAATGATAGACTGGATTAAGAAAATGTGGCACATATACACCATGGAATACTATGCAGCCATAAAAAATGATGAGTTCATGTCCTTTGTAGGGACATGGATGAAATTGGAAACCATCATTCTCAGTAAACTATCGCAAGAACAAAAAACCAAACACCGCATATTCTCACTCATAGGTGGGAATTGAACAATGAGATCACTTGGACACAGGAAGGGGAATATCACACTCTGGGGACTGTGGTGGGGTCGGGGGAGGGGGAAGGGATAGCATTGGGAGATATACCTAATGCTAGATGACACGTTAGTGGGTGCAGCGCACCAGCATGGCACATGTATACATATGTAACAAACCTGCACAATGTGCACATGTACCCTAAAACTTAGAGTATAATTAAAAAAAAAAAAAAAAAAAAAAGAAAATGTGGCACACATACACCATGGAATACTATGCAGCCGTAAAAAATGAAGAGTTCATGTCCTTTGTAGGGACATGGATGAAACTGGAAACCATCATTCTCAGCAAACTATCGCAAGGACAGAAAACCAAACACCACATGTTCTCACTCATAGGTGGGAATTGAACAATGAGAACACATGGACACAGGAAGGGGAACATCACACTTCAGGGACCGTTGTGGGATGGGGGAGGGGGGAGGGATAGCATTAGGAGATATACCTAATGCTAAATGACGAGTTAATGGGTGCAGCACACCAACATGGCACATGTATACATATGTAACAAACCTGCACATTGTGCACATGTACCCTAAAACTTAAAGTATAATGATAATAAAATTTAAAAAAAAGAAAAAGAAAAATACAAAGCATCTGCACCACTGAGTCAAGATGGCCATATGTTTAAGACCTCAGCTCTAGGATTAGTTAGCAGTTTTCAAAAAAACAAAAACGAAAACAAACAAACAACAATGTTTCCCAAGGAAAAAGTAAGGGGTTTATGGTCAGATAAGTTTGGGAATCCTCTATTTATTCCAATTCCTCCCCTTGCCATTCCTGATGATTCACAATGCACATTTAATTTAAATGTATAACAACTCTCAGAAGTCCTGCAAAGAAAACAAGAAACCTAGTTTCCTATTTCTAAGATTTACATTACCAGGGGCGCCTTTTTCTATGTAATGTTTTCATATCTAGGGTTACATGGAATATACTTTGAGAAACAATTCTCTGAGTACATGTATGTTAAGGTAAATAAAAATATGACTCTCAAGCTGGGCACTGTGGTGCATGCCTGTAATCCCAGCAATTTGGGAGGCTGAGGCGGGCAGATGCCTTGAGCTCAGAGTTCGAGGCCAGCCTGGCCAACATGGCAAAACCCCATTTCTACAAAAACTACAAAAAATTACACTGTGTAGGGTGGCATGTGCCTGTAGTCCCAGGTACTCATGAGGCTGAGCCTGGAAGGTCTAGAATGCAGTGAGCCTTGATCACGCCACTACACTCCAGCCGGGGAGACAGGGTAAGGCCTTGTCTCAAAAAAAAAGAAAAAAAAAAAGACTCTCAGTAAAATGGGATGAATAAGGTTAATAACATGTTTTTGATATGCCCACTCACAGCATAACTGAGGAACAATTCATACAGATTATAAAGTTATGCTTTTTTTTTTTACTCCTGGGGAGTAAAATACTCCCCAGGAGTAAAATAAAATTCCTCTTGTTGGGGGAAGGGTAGGTTGTTAAAAGACAAATATTATGCGATCATTTCAAGGTAGTATGATCAGTAACATAACTGGATGAGTAACTTGAAATAAAGCTTATAAAAAGGCTCATTAGAAAAGTGGCTTTTAAACACAGTCTGAATTAAAAACATTTTTTTCTCTCAAATTCATCCAGATTAGTGCTTTAAATGGTATTAGTAATCCAATTTTTATTTTCAATTGCTGAGTTACAAATAATTGTATCTCCCTATTTTGAAATAATTTAGTCAAATACACAAAAAGAATAATGTAAGTATTTTAAATGCCACTGGAGCCCTAGTCTTCCTCTCCAATCTCAGCATTTATGATAATCTACTCAAAAAAACCTGTGTACTTAAATATAGTAAGTACCTTGTTCATGCCATTATGATTTGCATGTATGTAAGGTTTACTCCTTTTTTTCCTCAACACATTAGATTTCCCATGTTGCTAGTGAATTGAGGCTTAGCAATTTGCAGAGCATTTTCTGCAATTTTTACGCGTTTCTCAGAAACACTTGGTAACTATCCCCAGTGCTTGCTGTGAAATGAGCCCAGAAGGTGATGCTAGGACTTTGCACCAGGTACTAATGTGGGAAGTCCACAGAGGCTGTCTGCTCAGTGCTTTCATGTATCTCGCCTTTGGTAGTAATGTAAGGCGCACACCATTTTGTCCAATTTACTGCTATTTGGCATGTTTATCTTTGGTCACAAGAAAAGCATTGGTGAGGGGTTTTATGAGCACATATCATGACCCTCCATATAGGGTAATCCAATTGTGCATAGTTAGAACTCTAAATTTTCAGACAATGTAAGTAGTCTTCAAAACAATATAAAGTTCATTAACTCAATCCATGCTGGAAATGGATTAATTTCCGTATTCTAATTCCATCTATTCAAGAGACACATCCTGGAGGGTCATACATTATTGGCTTAATTATTTCACTTCACCTGAGCTACATCTTGGCCACATCTCTAATGTGTGCAGAGTAGCAATTCTACCCTGAGCTGCATGATAATGCAGCGAGTTCAGGATGATACCAAATTAAATTCTCCCAGGTTGTCTCTGTTGGAAGAGTCAGTCATCATCTTTGTTTTAAAGTCCACAAATTATTGTTTAAAAGGTATTGCCAGTTAAAAAACAAGCTATTTAAATATTTGAGGTGAAACTTTGCCACTAGACTCTGATTCTAAGTAATTAAATTTAAAATGACAGATGAAAGCAAGAGAAGTTTGCTTAGCCGTTAAAGAGAATAGGTCTTTCTTGTATTTTGGGGGTGAGGCAACAGGGAATTGAGGATGGTCATTGTAATGCCCATGTTTGGAAGGTTGGGAATAAAAGTATATGGAGGAGAGGAAAAATGGCCACTAACCAGAAACCACCCAGTATCTTGGAGCCACCATCTGGAACACTGTTTTACAGTTGGCTTTATCTTATCTTGAAATAAAGCAATTGGATGATAAAGGGTGAATTCAGGTTTGGGGGTTAACATTTAGCCATTTCTTCAATTTTTCTCCATTTCTAGTTTGAAAAATATAGCATTCTGGAATTCTCTACAGTTGAATTTGTTAAGCAGAGGTGAACTTGGCAACAGAGCTGAAGTCAAATAGAATAGCTATGACTTTGAAATGCTAGTGTCCTGAGACATCAAGTTTCTAGTCTTATAGGATGCATTTACTCTTAAAAAATGAATGTGAGTGAGCTAATGCCCTGGTACAAATAAGGTCAAGCTACTAAATAGCCCTCGATTCACAGAGGGTCAAGAACTACGCCTCTCAAGAACTACATAAGGAAATGAAAAACAATTTAAGACAAGCAGAACCTTCTTCTTCACTGATGGTCGCACCAGCTAGTTTGCACTTGTCCACACATTCTTCTCGGGCTTGGCCAGCTGCTGACAGGTGGCACTCAATGCAGCTCCTGTGGACAGTATCCAACAGTGTATCAGTTCATGCTGGTGGAAAATAGATTTGCAGCTTGAATATTGCTTTACTGCTGTTGTTGCAATTTGTGCTATAGGAGTATGTCATAGATGTCATTATCTTTTGTTACTTTCAAAAGGATAGTAGGGTAATGTCCAAGTGAACACTGAATTATTCTGAGTTCCACTCAGTAATCAATGTTCCCTGGGCCAGTCTTGATAATAGCTACTATTTTCATTTACCTGTAATGATTGCTCCTGATTGGTTAAGTAAACAAACAAATAATCAAAGAAAATAAATTGATTTAGCTGTTTTCATTTACTTTTTCCTACAGAGAGCGTATGTTCCTAAAATATGATTAGAGACTGGGAGAAGTTTTGAATTTCTTGACAGAAATGGTCTATACCTTAACCAGAATTCCAAGAATGATTAGTGGACTTTGTATATGTCTTATATGATTATTTTCACAATTCACTTTTCTGTAACTCTTTTGAATAAGTCTAAGTCTTAATGAAGGTGTGGATTAGAGCCTGGATCTCAAAAGCTGTGGATTAGAGCATGGATCCTCATTAATACAGGCTTTTAAATAAAAGATCACTATTTATAGAAAAGTACATTTCCAAGAACATCATCCAAGAATTAAGGTACTCTAAAGACATCTATAGAGCAAAGTAAAATTTAGACCCTGAATTAATCTTGTGCTGAAAATCACTTTACAAATAGATTGTGCTTGTTGTAATTCAAAAACTGCAAAAGTTTTCTTACTGTGGACACACATGCTGTCTCTGTCTCCTCTGGCCATGGAAATGTATGCTCTGCTAAGTGCTTGAAACACCCCACCCGCACCCATAACTCAGCAAATCTCAGCTGAGACTGCACTTCCTTAGGCAAACCTTCACTAAACCTTAGACCAATCAGTTCCTTTGCAGTGGAAGCCTCAGGATTTTTCCACAGGAAGGGCAACCTATCAGGCAGTGGGGAAGGTTTTACTGTGAAGTTGCCTTGGCATTGCAAATACATTGCATTTTTCTAGATTGTATATTTATTTGGAGTGGTTTTGAAGGGGTCTGGTGATTGTGGAAGCTCTTAATATCTCTTTGTCTTTGTGCATCTCAATGATGGCTGCCCTAGCTAGTCTGGTAGCCTTATCCCCTGCTGTAGAGTTCCATAGCACTCTCTATTTCCCCTATTAAAACTGTCAGCCTAGACAGCATTGCAATGACTTTAAAAGATGTCTATCTTTCCCACTAGACTCCAGCACCTGTGAAGGCAGAGGCTGTAGCTGTTTCAGTCATCATTGCTTTGCCCATGGCATAACATGATTCTTGGCATATAGTAGGCACTTAATACCTCATTGATAAATGAATACATGCATGAATAAATGGAAAAATGGACTCATCTCAAAACTAACATAAATCCCAAGGAGGTCACTACCTGATTCCCCAAATTCAAATGGCTTTGATTGTTAATTTCCTATCTTGAAATTCAGATTTAAGATTGAATCATATTTATAGAGAAGATAAAACAGAAAAGTAATAGAAGAAACACCTTGAAGGGACATTTTCCATTAGATCCTATTCAAATCATCCTAATCATGTCCTCATGCTTCTCCTGGCATGCGTCTTGTCTTAGTTTGCCAGTGACAGTGGCAGAGAAGTTTTGACACCTGAATGGTGAGTAACCACTGAGTGAAAAATTGCTTTTCTCACTCTGTTTATGTCAGAAATGCAAATGTCACCATTTTGGGCATCAGAGTTCATGAAAATCTGAAATGCTGAAGCATATTTGCTGCATAATACATTATCCACTGCAATATCATAAGAGCCACTTTGGAGGCTCGCTTCACTTGACCTACAAATGTGGCCCCAATTTCATTAAGAAATTGTGAGGTTTCATTGTTGTTATTGTGCATATGATATAAAACACAATACACAATAGCTGTGTATAATGGCAACCAAAGAAAGGCGCCAAAGAGCATGGGTGGTAAAGAAGCAGGAGAGAATTGAAAGCTAAGATCGTCTTTCTGCCTTTTTGCCTCTGTGAGCCTATAGATAGGAATGAATCAGTAAGGTCAGGCTATAAACTTCTAGATAAGAAAGAAGCTTGTCTGTTTCCCCTGAAAAGCTACTGACTGCATGTGGGTGTCATCCGTCTACCTCCAGGGCATTCCTTCTGTGTGGCTGGTATTGTAATGGAGAGGCGATCTGATGTTATCAGTGTGGGACATCAGCTCTACTTCCCCACACTAGTCTCTAGCAGAAACGTGACATTGTGATTCTGGATAATCAGGACTGAGAAAGAGGTAAGCGAGAGATTGATGTTCCAGGCTGAAGATCACAGAGGCCCTGTGGGTTTGTGTGTGTTTTGATGGATGTTTGGAGACCAAACCAGCAAATACAATCTGAGGTCTGAGTTTACAAAATGCCACTGTAAGTTTGATCACTATAAACCTATCCACATAAGGAATGGAGAAAAGCAGAGACATTACCGTTTAGAGTTACAGGGGTCACCACAGGTAGGACATCGTTCACAGGTTGGTCCTGAGGCTCCAGGGTTTGTGCAAACACACTTGCCACAAACACAGTCCCCGCGCCCGCTGCAGAGCACTCCATCTTCAGAGACGCAGGAGTCCGTGCTGGTGGTGCAGTTGCAGTACTCGCCAGTCCAGCCGCTCCTGCACACACATTCACCACAGTCACAGTCGCCGTTACCTGTAACACAAAATGCTCTATGCTTCTCACAGCCCCAAAACACTTGCAGATTTGAGGGGGTGAGGGGCATCTTTTCTCTTTGTCTTTAAGCACCGTCATCAAAAGACAAGAAAAAAATGAGAAAAAAAGTATGTGTGTGAGGGGTGCAGTATGAGTGTAGATATATTGTATCAAATGTGTCTTGCTAATTGTGCATACTTAGATCTGGTCTCCTAACTGAAGATCCACTTGCTTACTTTATGTTTGTAAACCATAAATAAAAATATAAGCCTCTCAGCCAACTGAATGGACCCCTCCTCTCAGCCAAGGGCATTCTAAACTAAACCTGAAACACTAGTCCAGGCCGTGATGAGAGTGGGTGGTCCGACATGCCTTATTATATACCCTTCTCCCTTTGGAATTCAGGCACAGCTGACCAACATTAACAAGAAGACAGAAACCTTAAGACTGACAAAGCAGACTCTTTGTAGCAATAAGATACCAACATGATAGATAGCAGGTCCTGAAAGTAAAGTATTTTACCCCAAAATATATTTCTTTGATATATTTTGAAATGGCTTGACCAAGCTGTCTCTTGTGGGGAATATCTACATTCTGCAGAGAATCCCCTTTTCTTTCCAGATCTTCTTCCTGATCCAAGAGAGCATTAACTAAGAATCTGGAACCTTTTTTAAGTCTTCTAGGAAACATTTGCAATCTGTTCTCTCTGAAGCCTGCTACCTGGACGCTTCATCTGCATAATAAGAACCCTGTTCTCCACAACCCCTTATCTTAACACAGGTACTCCCTTCTATTGATTCCAGGTCTTTAGATAGACTCTTTCAACCAATCACCAACCACTATGACCTGAAAGTCCTGCCCATCCCCTTTGAGTTGTCACACCTTTCTGAACAGAACCAATGTGCATCTTACATGTATTGATTGATGTCTTATGTCTCCCTAAAATGCATAAAACCAAGCTGTGGCCTGACTGCCTTAGGCACAGGTTCTCAGGATCTCCTGGGGCTGTGTCACGGGCCATGGTCACTCATATTTGGCTCAGAATAAATCTCTTCGAATATTTTACAGAGTTTGGCTCTTTTCATCCACATATTATATGAAATAGAATTTGTAATCAGACCAAATGAGATAATCCAGAAAGCACGTAAAAGATATTTGATGTGAATGTGTGTCTCTGTGCATATTTATTTAGTTATTTTTATATTTTGCTTTTAGTTAAGATGCCATATGATAATGATGCAAGACAGACCTGGATTAAAGCCCACCCCTCTATATCACTCAAGCTGTGTGATCATGAGAGCCTCATCTATAAAACAGAGGGAATAAAGTCTACTTCCAATGCTTGTGACTGGATGACATAATGTATATATCTCCTAATTTTACATTCACCAGTTAGATGTCCCATAAGCATACACTGAGTGCTCAAAAAATTCACTACTTAACACACTTTAATTGAGCATATACTATGTGCCAAAGATTGTATTAGGTATGAGGATATAAAATTAAATAAGACAAGGTCATTGAACTTATAATTTAGTATAGGAGGCAGGCTAATGAATACTACTACTAATAAATATACATAGGGGAATAGTTTCCAAATTAAACTGGAGATTTGAGGGTTTCCAAAGGAAGTAATGCTTGAGCTAAATTTGAAAGATACGGGTAGACAATACAAAAAAAAAAAAAGGTTCTATGCATTTCAGGAATACATGTGGAATCATGTGACCTGCTTAATACCCATAGAACTTTCCTATGGATACAGCCAAAGTTGCATATGGAGTGTGGCAGGTGGGGAAATGGAAAGGATAACAAAAAGTCAGAAATCAGACCATGAAAAGCCTTATTGGCTGAAGGAAGAGCTTCTATCCTGAAAGTTTTGTCTAGACATTTTTTAGCATCAGTAGACAGGGTCAAGCTACAGACAGAAAAATCAGGAGTAGAGGCAAGAAGATATGAGACCATGAACCAAGGCGGTGCCCATGGGAGCAGCAAGGAAAGAATATATATTCGGGAATGGAATGCTCAGGGTGTGGGTGCGATTGGTGCCAGGCGGAGGGTTGAGGGAAGAGACAGAGGGATGGAATTCTCCCCCAGGTGACTAGACTGAGCAGCCAGATGGATGATGTGGCTTTTCACTGAACTGGAATGGAAGCTAGCTCATGGTCACTGCCGTGTCACCAATGCCTGGCACAGAGTAGGACCTGATTATTGAAACAGAGGAGGAGAAGCAGCTTTGGGTGGGGAAGATGATGAGTTCACTTTTGGCCCTGAGGAGCTCAAGGGGCCTGTGGGACATCCTAGTAGGAGGCTGAATATATATATGGGCCTGAAGTTTGGGGTTTGGGATCCATTAGGGAAAGGTGGTACTTGAAGCTGTCATGGATCAGGTCATCTAGGGCAAGCAGGTAGAGTGAGAAAAACTCTGGAGAGCTTCAGGACTTAAAATGTGATCAGAAAAAAGGATCCTTATAGAAGAGACTGAGAGGTAGGAAGGGAACAGAAGTGATATTGCAGAGGCCTGAGGCAGACACTGTTAAAGAGGGAGGCACCTGGACACTTTTGCTGTAGACAAGTAGCCCATCTAATCCTAAAGAGCCCCTTTGATATGGCCACTTAATGACGTATGAAATACTTCAAAAATGATTTTAAAAGTGTTTAAAATAATGGGCTTCTGTGTCATTTCCATAATATTATTCTGGGTGCCTGCCATGCGCAAGACACTAACATAGGTGTTGGATGTTTCAAACAAATAACATTTATTTGCAAACTCTCGTAACTGATACTTTTCTTCAAAAAAAAAAAAAAAAAAGAAATGTGCATTAGGCATTTTGCCTCCCAAGTTTTGCTCTTCCAGCAAAATTTAGGATTACCTAAGACAGTATATAACAGTGTTTAGAACGGTACCTGGCCCATAAATAAGCACTATACAAGTGTTAGTTACTGCCATTATTTCTGAAAACTATCCAGTAGGAAGAATTTGTAAACAAAATTATCTATCAATATTAAAATTCCTATACTTTTACTGAAAACAAAGTAGATGTAGAAAAAAATCACAAGTGAAACAGGATTCTACTTGCAGGAGACACTGCCAAGTTCACTGTAGAAGGAAGAATTCTGGACTTTCTCTTGTAAACTTTGGTCTAGTAAGTGGCTTACTTTTCTATCTTGATGACTGGGCTCTAAGGAAATTGGAGTAGGAGAGTCCTGGGCTTAATTCTTTGGTCAAAAATCACCAAACAAAGATGATAGACACAAAGATTTTGAAATTGGATTCTGATTTCTGTAGGTATGTGTGTGCATATATGTATATATATATGTGTGTGTGTATATATATATGTATATGTGTGTATACACACACACACAGTCATGTGTCTTTTAACAATGGGAATATGTACCAAGAAATGCATCATTAGGTGATTTCATCATTGTGTAAACACCATAGAGTATATGTACACAAACTTAGATGGTAAACCTGCTGCACACCTAGGTTATATGGTATAGCCTATTGCTCCTAGGCTACAAACCTATACAATATGTTACTGTGCTGGGTACTGGAGGCAATTGTAACACCACGGTGAGCATTTGTGTATCTAGACATAGAAAAGGTACAGTAAAAATACAGTATTATAAAATTATGGGACAACTGTTGTATATGTACTGTGTTGTTGACAAAATCGTCATTATGTGGTGGATGATTATATGTATATACATATATATTCTCTCTCTATATATATTCTCTATATACTCTATATATACACATACACACACGTATGTATAGATGCTTCTGGACTTATGATAGGATTATGTCGGGATAAACTCATTGTAAAATGTAAAATAATGGATTTATCCAGACATAACATTACTGTAAGTCGAGCAACACACTAAATTTATATGAGTTTCACACCATCTTAAAGTGTGTGTTTGTGTGCATTATTTGTCTAATGAAAGATGAGTTGAAATTTACCTGGATTCATGATATTAAGATATATTTCAACTGTGTTTCATAACCTATACAATTTATAATTGACATAATTAATTCAAAGCAAAGAATAATTAAATGATTTGGGCCAAAGCCATTAATTTCATTTTTACATGTAAATGATCTTCTAAACTACAATATCTTTTTGTTTCTTCCTCAACAAAAGGGGAAACTTATGATAGAAAGAAATTCCATATTACAGTTGATTCTGGAAAATTAATATGATTTACAAATATTATTAAATGAAAGATGCATTTCCAAATGCTTTGAGAATGCTCAAGTATATTATTGCATGTAGGAAGTACTTGGCAGAAATTTAGAAAATCCTTCCTGGAGCAGTAGAAAAGGACCATCATGGCAAAAACACGGAGCTCCTCTCAGAATTTAGAAGCCCTCCTCTCTCCTGGCCTTCCAGAGCCACTGACCTGGTTTCCAAAGTTGCTAATTGATATCCTCAAACAACCAGTTATCTAGAGTACTGGTTCATACAATAACAACAACAACAACAACAAAACTGTCATATTGGTTTCATGGAGGGACAAGATGATAACCAAAGATCAAGAAAAAATTACCATGCTATTTCAGAGGGATAGATCTTTCTGGAATGCCATTGACAATAACTGTTAAGTGCATAATGGCAGGAAGTGTTTCTCTAATATCATTTGCCTGATAGTTTCCATCTCTTAGAATCAAAATACAGGAGACTAATGGAATTTGGGCAAGGAAAAAATCAATGGAGCTCTGTATCTTTGAGTGCTTACAGATGGATGAAAGAAGCTGTATGAAAAAGAACATTGCGATAATAGCTCTTCAGAAAAGTGGCACATTGCTTAGTATATTAGTTACAAACTGGAGATCCACACAAGTTGTGAGCTGTAGCATGTTTGATCCTCTGTTGCAAATAAAACAACAGCAGCAGCAGAGTGTCTATTCCAATGCCAGGCACAATTTTTGTCCCTGCACTAAGCACAATGCCAGGCACATAGTAGGTACTCCATGACCATTTGTTAACCATTTGTTATAAATGCATTTACTTTCATTATACCATTTGAAAGAAAAGTTACTAATTATAGAGCAACATCCTTTGTGATGTTACTAAAAACCAAAATAGCTTTTGAGAAACAGTAATGGTTGAAGGAAATCGGCATTGGTGAAGTTTTCTGAGTCTAGCTAAATAAATCGTATTTTCTAAATAGAATTTCTGTAGCAATCACTGTACCTGATTCAAAAGAGACGCACTGTTGTCAGAACTTCCTAGCTACAATCCACAGATCAAGTCTTTTTTAGTTTATTTCTGTTCCTCATGCATGGTAAAAAATAAAGCGAAAGACCATCAAGCAAAGCTCTGTTGCTAAACAGAGTTCAGCATTTTATACTGCCTTAGATCTCTTTGATCCAAGATTTAAAGGGTGAAATATAGGTCGTGTTAGTATCTCTATTATATTTTGTTAGATTACACTTAGGGCTTTTTGAAAGGTAATTTCAAGTGTTTTGAACATGTATTTTATTACAAGATTCCTATTAGACATGCAATATGGGATTCTGCCCAATATATCCTCTCTGTGATGTGGTGACGGCCTTTGGCTGGCTTCTTGTCACCTTCAGATTGTGCCCCATCTGCATCATGTGAAAAGAGGACTGATGTGGGTTTGGAAACACACCTATTAAACCAGGAAATAAACCTTTAAATGAAAAGGGAGAGAAATGTGTCTCGATCAGAACAGACCATAAATTTTTCACTCTCTGGAGGGAAAAAAGGCATATATTCTCAGAAGAACTTATTGGCTGCAACAGCAGCAGCAAAGAAATGAAAGGTAGGTACACTTCTAAGGGTATCAAATGGTTTTCAGAAAGCTTGGATTTCTTTGATGCTTCTTTCTTTCAGGTCTTTTATTTCCCCCAAAATTAGTCTTTTTTATATGTTCCTAACGCTGTCTTTTAAAAACATAACTTGCTTAGTTTTCTATAAAGATAATGGCTTTCTGATTTGAATAGCTGTCTGCTTACATAGTGTGAAGAACAGAGATATTGAAGCTTAAATTCAGCATTCAGTTAATATTTCAATCTATAAGACAAATTTATACTGTTTAAGAGTATATGAACATATTTATAATTCTTTTCTGAATAGATTACACTTATATATGTGTGCATATATATATAAAAGAATGATTTTACAATAGTCATATACAATATATCGTTAAACTATAGCGATTTTACATCTATGTAGGATATTAAAACATACATATTTCTACTTTAAATTTTTCTCAAATTTCTCAAGATATTCCGAGTAATTTTCCATCTTTGTCTTTCCTGTAGGCTTTTTCACACATGCAGTTACTCATCTTTCTTATGCTCAGTGCCTAACCTAGTATGTGTCATATAGTAGGTGTTTAATAAATATTTGTGGAATGAGTGAAGGCCCTGAAAGCCCATTTAATATATTTTTGTGCTCCTTATCCTTGGTAGCATGCTTATTTAGCAGTCTACCTAGTTTTTACTTTTCCAAAGTCATATACATTTAAAAGGTCAGTCAGTGGCAAATTGGATAAAGAGTCAAGACCCATCAGTGTGCTGTATTCAGGAAACCCATCTCACTGCAAAGACACACATAGGCTCAAAATAAAGGGATGGAGGAAGATCTACAAAGCAAACGGAAAACAAAAAAAGGCAGGGGTTGCAATCCTAGTCTCTGATAAAACAGACTTTAAACAAACAAAGATCAAAAGAGAAAAGGCCATTACATAATGGTAAAGGGATCAATTCAACAAGAAGAGCTAACTATCCTAAATTTATACGCACCCAGTACAGGAGCACCTAGATTCATAAAGAAAGTCCTTAGAGACCTACAAAGAGACTTAGACTCCCACACAATAATAATGGGAGACTTTAACACCCCACTGTCAACATTAGACAGATGAGACAGAAAGTTAGCAAGGATATCCAGGAATTGAACTCAGCTCTGCACCAAGCAGACCTAATAGACATCTACAGAACTCTCCACCCCAAATCAACAGAATATACATTCTTTTCAGCACCACACCACACCTATTCCAAAATTGACCACATAGTGGGAAGTAAAGCACTCCTCAGCAAATGTAAAAGAACAGAAATTATAACAAACTGTCTCTCAGACCACAGTGCAATCAAACTAGAACTCAGGATTACGAAACTCACTCGAAACTGCTCAACTACATGGAACCTGAACAACCTGCAACTGAATGACTACTGCGTACATAACAAAATGAAGGCAGACATAAAGGTGTTCTTTGAAACCAACGAGAACAAAGACACAACATACCAGAATCTCTGGGACACATTCAAAGCAGTGTGTAGAGGGAAATTTATCACACTAAATGACCACAAGAGAAAGCAGGAAAGATCTAAAACTGACACCCTAACATCACAATTAAAAGAACTAGAGAAGCATGAGCAAACACACTCAAAACTAGCAGAAGGCAAGAAATAACTAAGATCAGAGCAGAACTGAAGGAAACAGAGACACATAAAACCCTTCAAAAAATCAATGAATCCAGGAGCTGGTTTTTTGAAAAGATCAACAAAATTGATAGACCACTAGCAAGACTAATAAAGAAGAAAAGAGAGAAGAATCAAATAGATGCAACAAAAAATGATAAACGGGATATCACCACTGATCCCACAGAAATAAAAACTACCATCAGAGAATACTATAAACACCTCTATGCAAATAAACTAGAAAATCTGGAAGAAATGGATAAATTCCTCGACACATACACTCTCCCAAGACTAAACCAGGAAGAAGTTGAATCTCTGAATAGACCAATAACAGGCTCTGAAATTGAGGCAATAATTAATAGCTTACCAACCAAAAACAGTCCAGGACCAGATGGATTCACAGCCAAATTCTACCAGAGGTACAAGGAGGAGCTGGTACCATTCCTTCTGAAACTATTCCAATCAATAGAAAAAGGGGGAATCCTCCCTAACTCATTTTATGAGGCCAGCATCATCCTGATACCAAAGCCTGGCAGAGACACAACTAAAAAAGAGAATTTTAGACGAATATCCCTGATGAACATCGGTGCAAAAATCCTCAATAAAATACTGGCAAACCGAATCCAGCTGCACATCAAAAAGCTTACCCACCATGATCAAGTGGGCTTCATCCCTGGGATGCAAGGCTGATTCAACATACACAAATCAATAAACGTAATCTAGCATATAAACAGAACCAATGGCAAAACCACATCATTATCTCAATAGATGCAGAAAAGGCCTTTGACAAAATTCAACAGCACTTCCTGCTAAAAACTCTCAATAAATTAGGTATTGATGGGACGTATCTCAAAATAATAAGAGCTATTTATGACAAACCCACAGCCAATATCATACTGAATGGGCAAAAACTGGAAGCATTCCCTTTGAAAACTGGCACAAGACAGGGATGCCCTCTCTCACCACTCCTGTTCAACATAGTGTTGGAAGTTCTGGTCAGGGCAATCAGGCAGGAGAAAGAAATAAAGGGTATTCAATTAGGAAAAGAGGAAGTCAAATTGTCCCTGTTTGCAGATGACATGATTGTATATCTAGAAAACCCCACTGTCTCAGCCCAAAATCTCCTTAAGCTGATAAGCAACTTCAGCAAAGTCTCAGGATACAAAATCAATGTACAAAAATCACAAGCATTCTTATACACTAATAACAGACAAACAGAGCCAAATCGCGAGTGAACTCCCATTCACAATTGCTTCAAAGAGAATAAAATGCCTAGGAATCCAACTTACAAGGGATGTGAAGGACCTCTTCAAGGAGAACTACAAACCACTGCTCAATGAAATAAAAGAGGATACAAACAAATGGAAGAACATTCCATGCTCATGGGTAGGAAGAATCAATATCATGAAAATGGCCATACTGCCCAAGGTAATTTATAGATTCAATGCCATCCCCATCAAGCTACCAATGACTTTCTTCACAGAACTGGAAAAAACTACTTTATAGTTCATATGGAACCAAAAAAGAGCCCACATTGCCAAGTCAATCCTAAGCCAAAAGAACAAAGCTGGAGGCATCATGCTACCTGACTTCAAACTATACTACAAGGCTACAGTAACCAAAACAGCATGGTACTGGTACCAAAACAGAGATATAGACCAATGGAACAGAACAGAGCCCTCAGAAATAATGCCACATATCTACAACTATCTGATCTTTGACAAACCTGAGAAAAACAAGCAATGGGGAAAGGATTCCCTATTTAATAAATGGTGATGGGAAAACTGGCTAGCCATATGTAGAAAGCTGAAACTGGATCCCTTCCTTACACCTTATACTAAAATTAATTCAAGATGGATTAAAGATTTAAATATTAGACCTAAAACAATAAAAACTCTAGAAGAAAACCTAGGCAATGCCATTCGGGACATAGGCATGAGCAAGGACTTCATGTCTAAAACACCAAAAGCAATGGCAACAAAAGCCAAAACTGACAAATGGGATCTAATTAAACTAAAGAGCTTCTGCACAGTAAAAGAAACTACCATCAGAGTGAACAGGCAACCTACAGAATGGGAGAAAATTTTTGCAATCTACTCATCTGACAAAGGGCTAACATCCAGAATCTACAAAGAACTCAAACAAATTTACAAGAAAAAAACAACCCCATCAACAAGTGGACAAAGGATATGAACAGACACTTCTCAAAAGAAGACATTTATGCAGCCAAAAGACACATGAAAAAATGCTCATCATCACTGGCCATCAGAGAAATGCAAATCAAAACCACAATGAGATACCATCTTACACCAGTTAGAATGGCGATCATTAAAAAGTCAGGAAACAACAGGTGCTGGAGAGGATGTGGAGAAATAGGAACACTTTTACACTGTTGGTGGGACTGTAAACTAGTTCAACCATTGTGGAAGTCAGTGTGGCAATTCCTCAGGGATCTAGAACTAGAAATACCATTTGACCCAGCCATCCCATTACTGGGTATATACCCAAAGGATTAGAAACCATGCTGCTATAAAGACACATGCACACGTATGTTTATTGCGGCACTATTCACAATAGCAAAGACTTGGAACCAACCCAAATGTCCAACAATGATAGATTGGATTAAGAAAATGTGGCACATATACGCCATGGAATACTATGCAGCCTTAAAAAATGATGAGTTCATGTCATTTGTAGGGACATGGATGAAGCTGGAAACCATCATTCTCAGCAAACTATCACAAGGACAAAAAACCAAACACCACATGTTCTCACTCATAGGTTGGAATTGAACAATGAGAACACATGGACACAGGAAGGGGAACATCACACACTGGGGCCTGTTGTGGGGTGGGGGGAAGGGGGAGGGATAGCATTAGGAGATATACCTAATGTTAAATGATGAGTTAATGGGTGCAGCACACCAACATGGCACATGTATATATACGTAACAAACCTGCACATTGTGCACATGTACCCTAAAACTTAAAGTATAAATAAAAAAAAAAAGAAAAAAAAAAAGAAAAGGTCAGTCAGACACAGCTGCTTGGTCCAGAAAAACCTGGAAGGTAATGGAGTTCATATAACAGGCACTTTTGTAGAGTCTGGGTGTCAACCAGAGAGAAGGCACTTGTATCTTTCATCTACGCTTAGGGAAACAATAATAGACATAAGTTCAGTTGGCAGAAATCTCACCCCAAGTGAATGTTAGAGCCAGAAAACCTACAAGAGAAGATTCAGTTACCCTAGGTCTAAGGCTGATCAGCAAATATTTATTGAGCACCTACTGTGCCCAGGAAACTGGAAGGTGCAGAGGATGCCAAGCCCCTTGCTGATACTTGAGCAGCCACAGGGTAAGATGGATTTCAACATAGCCTACCTCCGCAGAGCAGCCCTTTGTGTCTCACGCAGGAGAAATTGTCACACTGGCAATAAGGCCCATAAATGTTTCCATAGGGAGACAAGTGGCAGATACACTGCCCACAGTAGCAGTCACCCCTTCCGCTGCAGGAGGGATGATCTGGGGCCTCCTTGCAGGAATCTGTGCTCAGCATGTCCTCGCCACACTCACAGCGAGGCCCCATGTGGCCAGGGTGGCAGGCACACACCCCACACTGGAAAGAGCCGTTCCCGTGGTGACATTTGGAGCTGTTCACTTCCACTTCTTTCTGACAGTCGCAGTTGCATTCTGGGCTGACAAGTAATTCCAGGGCATCCCCCAGCCCCACAGGCTTTATGATAATGTGCCTGCTTCTTCTCTCGCAGTGTGGGATATTCACAGTCACGCTGAAGGAAGCCTGGAAAAGAAAATACTAATTATCTCCCTCCATCCACCAAAATGCACGAGGTGAAACAAGGCTTCACGGAAATCAGCTTTGCCAAAAGCATTTACTAGAAAATCTTTGAAAATTGCTTTTAAAATTCTTGAAAGAAATCCAGCTTCAGTGAGCTCAGCTAATTTCTGACCCATCCAGGTATTTATTCAGACTATCTACTGGCCAGCTACTTACTGTGTCTCCCACTTTCATGTGAGAGCATTTCTTTTGGTGTTGGAAGAGGGTACCGTTGTTACAGATGGCTGTAAATGACAAGTTGAGTCCTTCAGTGTCTCCTAATACTTCCAGTTCCACCTCAGACCGCAGTTCCTTTAGTTACAACATAAAGAGTTCAGTGAAGTCACAACCCCAAAAATATAGCCAGAAGAAGAAACCGTGAATCATGTTCATTGAACTACAAATAAATAAAACTAAATTGGGTGTCTAAAGAAATTCAGTATATCATCAATCAAAAGCAAGAAAGTGAGCAATCATATATACATTTTATATATTATCAAATCTAAGGTGCCAACATTATAAGATACACCATTATCTTACGACAATTAAACTATGACAAAATACCTCAAGATGGTTCTGCACACCATATGAATCAGTCCTATCCATCTATCATTGCTTTGAAAATCATTTTATCCATTCTGAAGGATTTGGCAAATTCTCCTGCCCTGAGTTGCATAGATTGGCATATAAAAGGCAATTCTTTTGCTTATATCTCAGTAACAAAATTAAACAACAGCTTCCTTTATGTGTATCATGATTTCTTAGCTCCCATAAATCAGCTGTTTGTTGCTTTGCAAAGAATCCACAATTGAAGTCATTCCTCCACCAATGAATATTTGCTTCATTGATAACAAATTTACACCCTGCTGCTCTGTTTTGGTACATTTCTGCATACATAATAAACTTTTCATCTCAATATCAAATCACAGTACACATTTTAAAATATATTTTAAAACAGCAATTAAACTTAATATTTATGTAGCAACAATGCCTCTAATGAATTGAAGTGAGTACAATCACAATAGTCCATGAAAACTACATCATGACTGCTGCCTGGCACCACAATGGTGATAGTAACTCACCACCAACAGTAAGATGGAGCTCAATTTTAGAGATGTTAAAATGTAGGGGGAAAGTGTGCCTTAAAATCAATATTGGAATGTATTTAGTGTAGAGTTAGGTCTGGGGAATACTATAAGAATGCTTTCTTTCCTCAAGAAGTTTATCATTTTGCTTTCTCTATTCCTTGTTCACTTATAAAATGAAAGTCTGTATTGTAGGTGAACCAAACCAAATTATGAAAAATAGAAAAACAGAATAAAACCAATTTAAAAATATTATGAATTAATTTACACTTCAGTTAATCCAAAAGTTTTAAGTCCACATATCCATTTTCTTGTTGGCATTTAAAAAGCATATTCGGCTTCAAATTTCCCTTAAGTGTAATTTTTTAAAAATTTGTTTTATTTTTAATTTGTGTGGGTATATAGTAGGTGTATATATTTATGGAGAAATGAGATGCTTTGATACTTTATGTGTAAGTTTGCCAAATGTATAGTAAAATGACCCTGCCTTCCTCCAAAATCTGTTTATACTGAAATAATAAGATTAAAATAGAAGCAATGTTGGAGATAGAGTCAGGAGCTAAATAAAAATTAAGGGATATGAGCTAGAAGACTGTGACAGCAATTATGAGGACTAGTGGATGACATGATCTGACCTAAATAAAGGAAATTTCAGCATTGCTATAATTTAACAGCATATTGCAAATTTGACCAGGAATATTTTAGTGTGAATTTCCCAAGGAAAGGACATAAACACTTATTTGTATTTTTCATAGTTTCATTCATTCATTTTTTGAGCATCTCTTATGAACCAGGAAAAACAAAAGAAACCAAGTCAATTCCCTCCTGGAATTTAAACACAAACAGAGGAACTTATCCTTGGGATTGCTGATATTTCGGTAGCTTTTATTATACGATCGGGGAAGAAAGAAAATTAGTGAATGATGATCAGATAAGTACACATCGGTATTTAAGGTTTTTTTAAAATATCAATACGGCACTGTAAAATACTGAGCTGAAGTTTGTAGCCACAAAGTTATAAACACAAATTGTCTACCTCTGCCCTACTAGAGGTCAGTCAGAAGCATTTTATGTTTTCTCTCAATATATTCTCTTTCCTTCTCTCTCTTTTTATAGACTAGAAAGAAATTCAGTCTATGTGTTCCCATATTTTAAATTCTTTTTAGCATACATTTAAAAATAACAGTAGAAAAATAATTTGAACTAGTGCCAGGATCTATTACAGACTTTGCCCTGTGAATCATAAAGCTCCAATAATAACTCCAGTGCAAGATTGTTTCATTTAAGAATAATAGACACTTCTTAGTATTTCTGAGATAGTAAAACAAGGACAGAAGATTTAATTCAAATGTTTAATGCCTTGATTTCAACTACCCTGTAAGTTGCGTGAAGTATTTGGGATCTTAAAGTGAGCCATAACCTCTGGCAGAGCAAGCAGAGGCATGGCGGCTGCTCTTACTGGAGGGGGAAATATTTTTGACAATTTAGTGTTTTCTAATCTGCTTAGTTTCTCCGATGATGTTAGTGGCCAACACTGTTGAGAGTATTGGATTCGAAAAAATGGCGTGCATTCTGATACAGTGAAGGATTGCTGTGTGATTTTATTTGATTCTACACATTAAAACTTTAATTACTGCATGAGAGGGAGGAAGGTTTTTATAGCGTTTTGTTGATGAGCATTCCTGACTGGAAGAATTTCAAGCATGAGCTAATGTGGTGATGAATTTGATGTGATCTAAGAAAACTGAAATTTCTGAGGCTATCAGTAAAACAAACAAAACAAAACAAAACCATCATCTTATAATTTTAATGGACACATCTGTATTTTATTTTCTGAAGAAATGAAGTACTTGAGAGGGAATATCTTGCTTTTCTTCCTTCAGGGGAGTTTCAAAATTGGTGGGGCAACGTCAAAATTATTGGGGAATTTTTTTTCTTTCCAAAATATGTAGCTCTCATTTCCCCTGAAGTCCTTCAAAGACGTCTGTGAGAGGATAGGCCTATTTTTAAAAACTTTCCGTGTTGATTCTGATACGTCGTTTTAGTTAAGGAATGCTGGTTCAGTACATGCTAAATGTTGGCGTATATTACAGATGGGCCTTTTTTTTTGTAATTTTAAAACATCAAAAATCAGGAGAATTGTTATTCACTTGTTCTTACATAGTTGCTGTTTACAGTAAATAGTAGAGCTTTACTCCTTACTAAAAAATTTACTTTTTTTCATTCCTATCCTAATTTAGGGCTTCTTCTTTCTCTCTCTGTGTGTGTATTTCTTTGTAAGTAAAGGCAAAAAAAAAGGGGGGGTGATATTTAGGAACCAAAATTAAAAATAATTGACAATGGGCCATCCATTGTTGACTAATGGAGTTATGAAATGGAGACAAAGAATGAGAACATAACAACACCGTAGGTATATATTCTAATTTTAAGGGAGGAATTCTGTCCTCAGGTACTAATTCCCAAAGTCAAAAGCAAAAATTTACACACCTACTCATAAACCAGTGGAAAATGTCCCTAGTTCTCCAAAGTATAGAAATTAAAAAGTGGCATTCCTTGTGTACTGGTGTTTTGGTGGATAGCCAACACTTGTATTTTTGCTTGAGTTATGACCTAGTATCGTCAAGCCTGTAGAGTTAGCTCTCTACATAACTCTGTCACTCACTGGCAATTTAAACTTCATTTTTTTTCAGATGGAGGAGAGCTTAATTGTATGACTCGTGGAGCCTTTAAAATTTTGCGGCAACAATGTTACTGTTGCTTATTATTATAAAAACAACCTCGACTTTATGATCAGTTTTATGATTTTTCTATCTTCAGCTCCACCTTCCAGGAAGAAGATCAGCAAGCAAAATGAACAAAATTTATATTTTGGCTGCATTCATGCAGAGACTTTTTTTGGATAAGCACTCTCTCTACCAACAAGTAACTAACATTTAACTGCCTAAATCACATCTTAGTTTTTGAATACCAAAGAAATGCAAAAAAGAAGCCAGCTGTAAAATATCCTACTTCATAAGCTGAGATGATCAGCTGGAGAATGTTTCCGGAGTCCTTCTGAAGTAGACCTACTGTAGCTCCAGGAATAAGTTTTGCGTAATTCTGTAAACAGAAAAAGAGTAAGTCAATCTTTGTTTCCTCATGGTAATTGAGAAAAGTGTGGGTTTGAGCCTGCTGGCTATGATTGCCTCTATTTAACTGGCCAGGGAAAACAGGTTCGTGATAACAAACCTGCTTTTCTCCTGAAACTGTAGCCTTTACTTTGTGCTGCTTCCTGTGCTCAAGTGGAAAATGGACTGGACAGAGTCAGCACTGGGGAAATCTAGGGTCTGTGGTTGCCATGGTCTAAGGCTGTGATTTTTGTCTCCAGAAGAGTCAAGTCTCAAATAATAGTAGCATTTATATAACATCTTCCATTCGTGAAGCATCCTTTGTCCAAAATGTTCTCAGCACACACCCAGGAACTTCTCTTTTTGTAACGTTGCAGAAACCAAGGTTTGGTGCACATGGGCAATGAGGGGAATCAGGTCGCTCTGTAAGTCATTCAGTTTAGAGGCCTTAAGGAGTAACCGCTTGGTGGAGAAAGAGAGTGAATTATTGGATGCTTGCACTGAGCTCTCCCTTCCTCCTGGTAATGAGCTCCCTTTCAGGATGCTAGCACCGTGCTGGGGTTGGTTGGAATTGCTCCCACCACATCACCGTGGAGTGAGTCAGAAGCTAGTGCAGAAAGCATTCTTTACCCACAGTGTTTTTTCCTGAGGCATCATTCCCACCTGAGAACTAGCAATATGAGTTCATCATCACTCCAGGCATCGGGCATGGCCAGGGAATGAGGCACGGCAAAGAAGGGAATTTTCCAGACAGCTGGACATTTCCCCACCCTGGAGTTTTATGTTTTAAATTTTGTTGTTTTCAAATGAAAAGTTTTACAAGGTGTGTGATAGACATACCTGTCTTCTTAAACAAAGATTCCCCAAAATACTTTGGCCTTTGCTTGAAGGAATAGAGTTATACTTATCAATATTAACTACAGTTTTGCCAGGAATGCTGGCTCACATCTGTAATCCCAGCACTTTGAGAGGTCAAGGCAGGCAGATCATTTGGGCTCAGGAGTTCGAGACCAGCCTGGCCAACATGGTGAAACCCCGTCTCTACTAAAAATACAAAAAGTAGCTTGGTGTGGTGGCACGCCTGTAGTCCCAGCTACTTGGAGGCTGAGGCAGGAGGATCGCTTAAGCCCAGGAGGTTGAGGCTGCAGTGAGCTGATAGGTTGCCACTGCACTCCAGCCTGGGTGACAAAGTGAGACCCTGTCTAAAAAAAAATCATAATAATAAATTAAATAAACTATGGTTCTGTAATCATCAAAGGCTTTTGAAATCTCCGGAGAGGTCACACCCATACCAAGTGTGCTCTGACTGTTACATTGTTGCTTCTTATATGTGTTTTTAAATGATTTCTACCTTCTCCTTGGTGAGCTCTAAGGTATTACTCACCTACTAATTTACTCATTTATCTATTTACTATTGCATTTGACATCTACTAAGTAGGTTTTCTATACTGTACTATGTCAACAACCACTCTTTCTTTCAGCTGTGGTCTTCTGAGTTGCTGTGTGCTACGAAATTAGATGGCTGAATTTATTAAAATTGTATGTAGAAAAGAGTAAGTAAGCTTTGAGTAAAGGATTTAAGGCATCTCATATAGTTCAAACATAATGATATTCTATCTTATTTAAAGAAGATTTAAATGTTTTAGAAAATGCACAAAACTATATTAGAATGGATAATTATCATTAATTATAATAGTGATACTAAGAAAATAAATTAGGACAAAGAGAACCAAGGAGAGGAACAAATGAAGCTAGGGCAATGTTAGAACACAGAATGCATGCAGGGTGCCCCGGGCACTTGCTAGAAGTGGGTCCCTGGGTGAGTCCAAGCTTTCTACACCTGTGTGGAAAAATGGGTTTTGGTTTTGATTTGAGGGTTTCTAATGTTCCTCTTATTTCAGTGGTCACGATTGTGTTGAAGTTTGAAGTCAGTAGAAATCTAATTATTTTTGTTGTTGTTGTTAATTTTTATTTTTAGAGACAAGGTCTCACTCTGTTGCCCAGGCTGGAGTGCAGTGGCCTGATCATAGCACACTGTAGCTCAAACTCCTAGGCTGAAGCAACACTCTCACCTCAGCCTTCCAAAGTGTTGGGATTACAGGTGTGAGCCACTGAGCCTGGTAAAATCTGAACTCTTAACAGTGTGAGATGCTGCTCTGCCTTGACACTGTTTTATTATTGAGGGGGCTGTGGGCAGTAATCCAGGTAACAGTCCTTACCTTACTTTGTGTCCCACATTGCTGCCTGATGATGGAGGACCCCCTTTTGTTTCCCTGAGTCAGGGGAAACTTGTAAAATACAAGGAAGGCACTGGTTTACGGACTTACCTTTTCAAATAAACATATGTCACAAAGGGCTGTGAAGCATGTGACATGTGGTTAACAGCGAATACCTACACAGGAACTTGAATTCCACTTAAGTGAAGCTGGAACGTGTGTAAATTTGACTGATCCCAGAAGAGACGGCAGAGGGAACCTTTCGCGCTTGACAAAGAAAAGTTTTGGTCTCTTAGGAAAAGGATTTCAAGGCTCTTAGCTTTTTATGAAACTGCTATCCTTGAAAAACATCCTGAGAACCCCAGGACTGAGGTGTCACAGATATATTCTGCAAGCACTAGTTCAAGTGGCCTCCAAATTTGTGGTTAATTCTTGGCTAACAAAGCCAAACCCATCCACTTCCTAAAACATAACTATAATCCTGCATGTGGTATGACATTTGGCATTTGGCTATTAGGACAAGTGGTTACCATTAATCGCTGACTTCCACTAGAGTGACGATATAAAAGCGTTGGCAGCCAGTAGCAGTAACCAGTGGTTAACACTGACAATTGCACAGAGGAAAACTATTAATTAATTTCTGGATGCTGAGTTCCCCCAAAAACATTTCAAATAATTAACTAAAAATATGGACAATTTGGCTTCCTGCTCTAACACTGTCAAAATTTATACTTTAAATATTGTAGTATTATGATTACTGTAAATATCATGTGTCAAATGCCTTCCTTTCATTAAAGTCTTAACGCACTATTATAAATCGTTGTAATTAAACATGTTTAATGTTAGAAAAAGGATGATTTTGCATGCCTGGATGTGATGAATTATAGCATTTGTGACTCTAAAAGATGGTGCTTGGATATTAGAAATGGTGAACACTGCAAACATGATGTTGCATGAGCTGATTAGAAATGCAAGCTCTTATGCTTGGGCTTGAATTCTCTATTATCTATCTGCAGATTAACCGAATTATGGATTTTCCCTGTCCTCCCTACCATACCACCCAGGAGTTCCTGAGGTTGCTTTTCTCACTCATTCTTTCTGGTTACCTTAGTTTTCTTAACTTCCTTCTTCAAGTCCTATTTATCTCTTCACTCGGCCCCATCTCCAAAAAGATTATGTATATATCCAACAGTCTGCATTTGTTCCCTGGAATTCTCCTCTTTGTGGAAGAGAAAGCATAAGAAACCGACAGAGAGCTATTTAGCAGGCAGATGTGATACAGAGGAAACACCTGCATTCCCACCTGCACATCCTGGGCTCCTCTCAGAGAGGGACCCCCAGTTTGGTGCCTCTCAGTGTCTGGCTGCCAGAACCAGCTGTCAGGTGTGCACTCCTGCTTGGCTCAGGGCAGAGGAACATGCGGTCACACAACTGCTGCCTGGTTAACTGTGGACAGGCTGTTGGTTGGCCTTCTCTTCAAAAAGACTCCTGTTGAGGACCTTGCAGAGCCTCTCTGGCTTTGGTGATATCCTGGCTTTCTGACCTGCAGAAGGGGCAGCTCCTGATGTTACCCCCATTCCTGCTCCGACTGTATCTCCTGTGTGCTTAGCTCTTCAGAACCTGGCTGTCTGCTGGGTCAGTGTTTCGTATTAACTGTATCCTTGCTGGGTACCTTGATTTGGTTTCTGCTTTGGACAGTAACTCTACTGGGCCCTTATAGCCCACTCTTGTGACATTTCTACTATAGTCTCAGAGACCCCTCCTACCTCAGAGCTCAGTAGCCCTCATTTGATATAGACCATGTGAGGCATGCCCCTCATTTGAGGCATGCCCCTCATTTGAGGGTGAGAAGTCACAAGTCGAGTGGTCACATATCAGCTAGCGGCAATTTTTTCTTGCTTTTATTATTATTTTAATGGATGCATAATAAACTGCACATATTTATGGGGTACAGTGTGATATTTTGATACACATATACCATGTTTAATGATCAAATCTATCACATTTTAATAAAGAATTTGTAAAACCAAATGCTCAGAGCAGCCGGCTGCTTCTCTTTAGACTCTCTGCTTGCTTAACTCTCTTTATGAAGCCTCACTAATGTGTCACTAATGTTACTTTATTTTATGCTCACAGCACTGTTTGTTTTCAATATTATATTATTAACCAACATCAATGTTTCTAATCTGGAAATAGACTTACTATATGTATTCTACTGAAATCTTTAGTAAATACTAAAAGATTGGCTTACATAGACTGAGAATATATGATGTCATATAATCTGCTCACAAATTTCTCTTCAAATCTTTCTAAGTATTTTTTGTCATTACTTTGTATCTCTTTAGCCAGCGGCTAGCATTCTCTCTCTCTCTCTCCCTGTTTCTCTCTCTTTCTTTCTTTCTTATCAACTTTAATGGCAGCGTAACATACAGAGTGTGCCAGTAATAAATATACCGTTCAAGAAATATTTAAAGAGTAAACAAGCAAATACCATCACCCAGAAAAATCAAGAAATAGAATATAAGGTAGGCTCAGTGGCTCATGCCTGTAATCCCAACACTTTGGGAGGCTGAGGTGGGTATATCACTCAAGTCCAGGGGTTCGAGACCAGCCAGGTAACATAGTGAGACCCCATCCTTACAAAAAATACAGAAATTAGCCTGGCATGTTGGTGTGCACCTGCAGTCCCAGCCACTGGAAGGCTGAGGTGGGAGGATTGCTTGAGTCTGGGAGGTTGGGGCTGCAGCCACTGCATTCCAGCCTGGGTGACAGAGTGAGACCTTGCCTCAGAAAAAAAAAAAAAAAAGAAAGAAAAGGAAAGGAAAGGAAAGAAGGAAGGAAGGAGAAACAAAGTAAGAAAGAAAGAAAGAAATGAAAGAAAGAAAGAAGAAAGAAAAGAAAGAGAATATAACCAGCTCCCTAGTATCTTCCCTTGTATTGCCTCCCAGTCATTACTCCTCCCCACAAAAGCACAACAACTATTTTGACTTTTATCACTGTAGAAGTCAGGGGAGTTATCTTCACAGCCTTATGGTTAACAAGAATATCTTAAGTAGGATAGAAAAAGCACTACCCATAAAGGAAAAGATTAATAAATAAGACTTAAAATTAATAATTTCATTTATAGATTTAATGCAATGCCAATCAAAATGCCATCAAATTATTTTGTGGATATGAACAAACTGATTCTAAAGTTTCTATGGAAAGGCAAATGATCCAGAATAGCCAACTCAACACTGAAGATGAACAAAGTTGGAGGATTGACACTATCTGACTTCAAGACTTACTATAAAGCTGAAGCAATCCAAAGAGTGTGGTATTGACAAAAGAATAGTCAGACAAATGTAACAGAATAGAGAGCCCAGAAATAGACCTACATAAATATAGTCAACTGATCCTTGACAAAGGAGCAAAGGCAACACAATGGAGCAAGGGTAGTCTTTTCAACAAACGGTGCTTGAACAACTGGACATTCACATGAAAAAAAAATCTAGACACATTATTACACCCTTCACAAACATTAGCTCAAAATGATCACAGACCTAAATGTAAAATGCAAAACCATAAAACTCCAAAAAGATAATGGTAGAAAAATCTAGATTATCTTGAGTATGTTGATGACTTTTTAGATATAACACCAAAGGCACAATCCATGAAAGAAAAAATTGGTAAGCTGGACTTAAAATTAAAATCTTCTACTCCGTGAAAGATGATGTCAAAAGAACAAGAAAACAAGTCATGGACTGGAAGAAAATATTTGCAAAATACACATCTACTACAAGACTATTACCAAAATATACAAAGAACTCTTAACAAGAAAACAAACATTTCAATTAAAAAATGATCCAAAGACCCTAACAGACATATTACCAAAGAAGATACAGAGATGGCAAATAGGCATATGAAAAGATGCTCCACATTAAATGTCAGCAGGTAAAGGCAAATTAAACAACAATGAAATACCTTTATGCATGTATTAGAATGGCCCAAATCCAGAACACTAACAACACCAAATGCTGACTAGGATGTGGAGCAATAGGAATTCTCATTCATTGCTGGTGGGAATGCAAAATGATGCAGCCACTACAAAAGACAGTGTGGTAGTTTCTTGCAAAACAAAACAAACACTTACTATATGATCCAGTGATCAAACTCTTTGGAATTTACCAAAAAGAGTTGAACACTTCCAAGATGGCTGAATAGGAACAGCTCCGATCTGCAGCTCCCAGCATGATCGACGCAGAAGATGGGTGATTTCTGCATTTTCAACTGAGGTACCTGCTTCATCTCATTGGGACTGGCTGGACAAAGGGTGCAGCTGACAGAGGGTGAGCAGAAGCAGGGCGGGGCATTGCCTCACCCGGGAAGTGCAAAGGGTCAGGGGGATTTCCCTTTCCTAGCCAAGGGAAGCCGTGACAGACTACCTGGAAAAACGGGACATTCACACACAAATACTGTGCTTTTCCCAAGGTCTTAGCAACTGGCAGACAAAGTGATTCTCTCCCGTACCTGGCTAAGTGGCTCCCACACCCACGGAGCCTTGCTCACTGCTAATGCAGCAGTCTGAGATCGATCTGCGAGACAGCAGCCTGGCTGGGGAAGGGGCATCTGCCATTGCTGAGGCTTTAGTAGGTAAACAAAGCAGCCAGGAAGCTCAAATTGGGTGGAGCCCACCACAGCTCAACAGGGCCTGCTGCCTCTAGACTCCACCACTGTAGGCAGGGCATAGCTGAACAAAAGGCAGCAGACAACTTCTGCAGACTTAAACGTCCCTGTCTGACAGCTCTGAAGAGAGCAGTGGTTCTCTCAGCACTGCGTTTGAGCTCTGAGAACAGACAGACTGCCTCCTCAAGTGGGTCCCTGATCCCCATGTAGCCTAACTGGGAGACACCTCCCAGTAGGGGCCGACAGACACCTCATATAGGTGGCTGCCCCTCTGGGACAGAGCTTCCAGAAGAAGGATGAGACAGCGATATTTGCTGTTCTGCAGCCTCTGCTGGTGATACCCAGACAAACAGGGTCTGGAGTGGAACTCCAGCAAACTCCAACACACCTGCAGCTGAGGGACATGACTGTTAGAAGGAAAACTAACAAACAGAAAGGAATAGCATCAACATAACAAAAAGGACATCTACACCAAAACCCCATCTGTAGGACACCAACATCAAAGACCAAAGGTAGATTAAATCACAAAGATGGGGAGAAACCAGAGCATAAAAGCTGAAAATTCTAAAAATCAGAGTGCCTCTTCTCCTCCAAAGAATTGCAGCTCCTCACCAGCAATGGAACAAAGCTGGACAGAGAATCACTTTGACAAGTTGACAGAAGTAGGCTTCAGAAGGTCGGTAATAGCAGACTTCTCCAAGTTAAATGAGGATGTTCGAACCCCTTGCAAGGAAGCTAAAAACCTTGAAAAAAGATTGGACAAATGGCTAACCAGAATAAACAGTGTAGAGAAGGCCTTAAATGACCTGATGGAGCTGAAAACCATGGCACAAGAACTTCGTGATGCATGCACAAGCTTCAATAGCAGGTTCAATCAAGTGGAAGAAAGGGTATCAGTGATTGAAGATCAAATTAATAAAATAAAGTGAGAAAACAAGGTTAGAGAAAAAAGAGTAAAAAGAAACCAACAAAGCCTCCAAGAAATAGGGAAGTATGTGAAAAGACCAAATCTATGTCTGATTGGTGTACCTGAAAGTGATGGGGAGAACGGAACCAAGTTGGAAAACACTCTGCAGGATATTATCCAGGAGAACTTCCCCAACATAGCAAGGTAGGCCAACATTCAAATTCGGGAAATACAGAGAACACTACAAAGATACTCCTCGAGAAGGGAAACCCCAAGACACATAATTGTCAGATTCACCAAAGTTGAAATGAATGAAAAAGTGTTAAGGACAGCCAGAGAGAAAGGTCAGTTTACCCACAAAGGGAAGCCCATCAGATTAACAACAGATCTCTCGGCAGAAACCCTACAAGCCAGAAGAGAGTGGGGGCCAATATTCAACATCCTTAAAGAAAAGAATTTTCAACCCAAAATTTCATATCCAGCCAAACTAAGCTTCATAAGTGAAGGAGAAATAAAATCCTTTACAGACAAGCAAATGCTGAGAGATTTTGTCACCACCAGGCCTGCCTTACAAGAGCTCCTGAAGGAAGAACTAAACATGGAAAGAAACAACCGGTACTAGCCACTGCAAAAACTTGCCAAATTGTAAAGGACATCGATGCTATGAAGAAACTGCATCAATTAACGGACAAAATAACCAGCGAACATCATAATGACAGGATGAAATTCACAAATAACAATATTAACTTTAAATGTAAAGGGGCTAAATGTCCCAATTAAAAGACACAGACTGGCAAATTGGATAAGGAGTCAAGACCCATTGGTGTGTATTCAGGAGACACATTTCACGTGCAAAGATGCATATAGGCTCAAAATAAAGGGATGGAGGAAGATCTACAAAGCAAATGGAAAGCAAAAAAAAGCAGGGGTTGCAATCCTAGTTTCTGATAAAACAGACTTTAAACCAACAAAGATCAAAAGAGACAAAGAAGGCCATTACATAATGGTAAAGGGATCAATTCAACAAGAAGAGCTAACTATCCTAAATATATATGCACCTAACACAGGAGCACCCAGATTCATAAAGCAAGTCCTTAGAAACCTACAAAGAGACTTAGACACCCATATAATAATAATGAGAGACACTGTCTCTCATTAGACAGATAAACAAGGCAGAAGCTTAACAAGGATATCCAGGACCTGAACTCAGCTCTGCAACAAGCAGACCTAATAGATGTCTACAGAACTCTCCACCCCAAATCAAGAGAATATACATTCTTCTCAGCACCACATTGCACTTCTTTTAAAATTGACCACATAATTGGAAGTAAAGCACTCCTCAGCAAATGTAAAAGAACAGAAATCACAATGAACTGTCTCTCATACCACAGTGCAATAAAATTAGAACTCAGGATTAAGAAACTCACTAAAAACTGCACAGCTACATGGAAACTGAACAACTTGCTCCTGAATGACTACTGGGTACATAACAAAATGAAGGCAGAAATAAAGATGTTCTTTGAAACCAATGAGAACAAAGACACAACATACCAGAATCTCTGGGACACATTCAAAGCAGTGTGTAGAGGGAAATTTATAGCACTAAAAGCCCTCAAGAGAAAGCAGGAAAGATCTAAAATCAACACCCTAACATCACAATTAAAAGAACTAGAGAATCAAGAGCAAATACATTCAAAAGCTAAAAGAAGACAAGAAATAACTAAGATCAGAGCAGAACTGAAAGAGATAAGAGACACAAAAAACCCTTCAAAAAGTCGATGAATCTAGGAGCTGGCTTTTTGAAAAGATCAACAAAATTGATAGACCACTAGCAAGACTAATAAAGAAGAAAAGAGAGAAGAATAAAATAGATGCAACAAAAAATGATAAACGGGATATCACCACTGATCCCACAGAAATAAAAACTACCATCAAAGAATACTATAAATACCTCAATGCAAATAAACTAGAAAATCTAAAAGAAATGGATAAATTCCTGGACACATACACCCTCCCAAGCCTAAACCAGGAAGAAGTTGAATCTCTGAATAGAACAATAACAGGCTCCAAAATTGAGGCAATAATTAATAGCATATCAACCAAAAAAAGTCCAGGATCAGACGAATTCACAGCCGAATTCTAACAGAGATACAAGGAGGAGCTGGTACCACTCCTTCTGAAACTATTCCAATCAATAGAAAAAGAGGGAATCCTCCCTAACTCATTTTATGAGGCCAACATCATCCTGATAGCAAAGGCTGGCAGAGACACAACAAAAAAAGAGAATTTTAGACCAATATCTCTGATGATCATCAGTGCGAAAATCCTCAATAAAATACTGGCAAACCAAATCCAGCAGCACATCAAAAAAGCTTATCCACCATGATCAAGTTGGCTTCATCCCTGAGATGCAAGGCTGGTTCAACATATGCAAATCAATAAACATAATCCATCACATAAACAGAATCAATGACAAAAACCACATGATTATCTCAATAGATGCAGAAAAGGCCTTTGACAAAATTCAACACCCTTCATGCTAAAAACTCTCAATAAACTAGGTATTGATGGAACGTATCTCAAAATAATAAGAGCTATTTATGACAAACCCACAGCCAATATCATACTGAATGGGCAAAAACTGGAAGCATTCCCTTTGAAAACTGGCACAAGACAGGGATGCCCTCTCTCACCACTCCTGTTCAACATAGTGTTGGAAGATCTGGCTAGGGCAATCAGGCAGGAGAAAGAAATAAAGGGTATTCAGTTAGGAAAAGAGGAAGTCAAATTTTCCCTGTTTGCAGATGACATGATTGTATATCTAGAAAACCCCATCATCTCAGCCCAAAATCTCCTTAAGCTGATAAGCAACTTCAGCAAAGTCTCAGGATAGAAAATCAATGTCCAAAAATCACAAGCATTCCTATAAACCATTAACAGACAAACAGAGGGCCAAATCATGAGTGACCTCCCATTCACAATTGCTACAAAGAGTATAAAATACCTAGGAACCCAATTTACAAGGGATGTGAAGGACCTCTTCAAGGCAAACTACAAATGAAATAAAAGAGGACACAAACAAATGGAAGAACATTCCATGCTCATAGATAGGAAGAATCAATATTGTGAAAATGGTCATACTGCCCAAGGTAATTTATAAGTTCAATGCCATCCCTATTAAGCTACCAATGACTTTCTTCACAGAATTGGAAAAAACTACTTTAAAGTTGATATGGAATCAAAAAAGAGCCCGCACTGCCAAGACAATCTTAAGCAAAAAGAACAAAGCTGGAGAGATCACGCTACCTGACTTCAAACTATGCTACAAGGCTACAGTAACCAAAGCAGCATGGTACTGGTACCAAAACAGAGATATAGACCAATGGAACTGAACAGAGGCCTCAGAAATAACACCACACATCTACAACCATCTGATCTTTGACAAACCTGACAAAAACAAGCAATGGGAAAAGGATTCCCTATTTAATAAATGGTGATGGGAAAACTGGCTAGCCATATGTAGAAAGCTGAAATTGGATCCCTTCCTTACACCTTATACAAAAATTAATTCAAGATAGATTAAAGACTTAAATATTAAACCTAAAACCATAAAAACCCTAGAAGAAAACCTAGGCAATACCATTCAGGACATAGGCATGGGCAAGGACTTCATGACTAAAACACCAAAAGCAATGGCAACAAAAGCCAAAACTGACAAATGGGATCTAATTAAACTAAAGAGCTTCTGCACAGTAAAAGAAACTACCATCAGAGTGAACAGGCAACCTACAGAATGGGAGAAAATTTTTGCAACCTACTCATCTGACAAAGGGCTAATATCCAGAATCTACAAAGAACTCAAACAAATTTACAAGAAAAAAAAACCCATCAACAAGTGGACAAAGGATATGAACAGACACTTCTCAAAAGAAGACATTTATGCAGCCAACAGACACATGAAAAATCGCTCGTCATCACTGGCCATCAGAGAAATGCAAATCAAAACCACAATGAGATACCATCTCACACTAATTAGAATGGTGATCATTAAAAAATCAGGAAACAACAGATGCTGGAGAGGATGTGGAGAAATATGAACACTTTTACACCGTTGGTGGGAGTGTAAATTAGTTAAACCATTGTGGAAGACAGTGTGGTGATTCCCCAAGGATCTAGAACTAGAAGTGCCATTTGACCTAGCAATCCCATTACTGGGTATATACCCAAAGGATTAGAAATCATGCTGCTATAAAGACACATGCACATGTATGTTTATTGTGGCACTATTCACAATAGCAAAGACTTGGACCCAAGCCAAATGTCCATCAATGATAGACTGGATTAAGAAAATGTGGCACATATACACCATGGAATACTATGCAGCCATAAAAAAGGATGAGTTCATGTCCTTTTTAGGGACATGGATGAAGCTGGAACCCATCATTCTCAGCAAACTATCACAAGGACAGAAAACCAAACACTGAATGTTATCACTCATAGGTGGGAATTGAACAATGAGAACTCTTGGACCCAGGAAGGGGAACATCACACAGCAGGGCCTGTTATGGGGTGGGGGGCTGGGGGAGGGATAGCATTAGGAGAAATACCTAATGTAAATGATGAGTTGATGGGTGCAGCACACCAACATGGCACATGTATACCTATGTATCAAACCTGCACTTTGTGCTTATGTACCCTAGAACTTAAAGTATAAAAAGAAAGAGTTGAACACTTATGTCCACACAAAAACGTGTACATAGATGTTTATACCTGCTTTATTCATAATTGGCAAAAGCCAGAAGCAACCAAGATGTCCTTTAGTAGGTGAATAGTTTAAAAAAAAAAAGGCTGTGGTACATTCATCAAATGAAACATGATTCAGAGCTAGAAAGAAATGAGTTATCAAGCTATGAGAAGACGGAGAAAGTTTAAATGCATATTATTAAGTGAAAGAAGCCAATCTGAAAAGGCTACATATGGCAGTTGGTATGGTTTGGATTTGGGTCTCCGCCCAAATCTCATGTTGAATTGTAATCCCCAATGTTGGAGAAGGGGCCTGGTTGGAGGTGAATGGATCATGGGGTGAAGTTTCCCCTTGCTGTTTTCGTGATAGTGAGTGAGGTCTCATGAGATCTGGTTGTTTAAAAGCATGTAGCACAAACCCCTTCTCTCTTCCTCCTTCTCCGCGCCTGCTTTTCCTTCATGTTCTTCCATGACTGTAAGTTTCTCAAGGCCTCCACAGCCATGCTTCCTGTACAGCCTGCAGAACTCTGAGTCAATTAAACCTCTTTTCTTTATAAATTACCCAGTCCCAGGTAGTTCTCTATAGCAATGTGAGAACAGACTAATACAGTAGTATTTTGACCATGTGGCATTCTGGAAAAGGCAAAACTGTGGAGCCAGTAAAAAGATGAGTGGTTGCCAGAGGTTGGGGGCCAGTAAGAGAGGGAGGAATAGGCAGAACACAGAGAAGTTTTAAAGCAGTGAAACTACTCTGTACGATACTACAAAGGTGGATACATAATAATTGTACATAACTCATAAAGTGTACAACACCAAGAGTGAACCCTAATGTAAACTCTGGACTTTGGGTGATAATGATGTATCAATGTAGGTTCATCATTTATGACACATGTACTACCGTGGTGGGAGATGATGATAATGGGGAAGGCTATACATTTATGGAGAGAGTAGGTATATGGGAAATCTCTCTATACCCTCTACTCAATTTGCTGTGAACCTAAAACTGCTTGAAAAATTTGTTTTTAAAAATTAAGAATTTTATTCTCAAAAGATGCCTTTAAGAGTATGAGAAGGAGGCACTCAGTGGGAGGAAAATATCTGTAGTACAAGCATGTAACCAAGGACATGGTGCCAGAATATCTAAACGATTCTACATATCAACAAGAAGAAGACATCTTAATCAAAATGGATATGCAAGTGGCAAATAAGTATGTGAAGTGTTCAACATCAGGAATCTCTAGAGAAATATACATTAAAACCACAATGAGATGCCACTGTGCACTCACTTCACTAGAATGGCTAAAATTACAAAACTGACAATGCTCTCATACACTTGTAGTAGAAGTGTAAATTGGTACAACTATTTTGGAAAACTAGTTAGCAGTATCTACTAAAGCTGAACATAAGCACACTCTGTGATCTAGCAATTCTACTCCTATAGAAATGGGCCAACAGAATGTATGACTATTCCAAGACAAATGCATAGAGAAGGATTCATCATTGTTGTCATCAAGGGGATGCTTCCGGGTAATCAAGATGCCACTTAAATTGCAGAAAGTGCAGGTAATTCTGAAAGGGGCTCAGTTCTGTTGGGTATTTGACCACAAGGAGTCATCAGCTCCTCATGGATTCCTCTACCCGAGGACAAAGCCAAGGGAGGTGTAGACCCAGCAGACTCCTTGGCTCTCACAGGAATCTCATCTGCCTCTTTCTATGCCTCTCCCCTTCCTCAGGAGCTGCAGTTGCCAACTCAGGGGCCTTACAACAGGATTGAGAGGTCCTCACAAGCCTCTTGACATCCCCAAGCACCTCCTGCATCCTCTGAAACCCAAGGCTCTCGAAGAGACCTTGTTATAGCCTCGGGATAGTGGCAGGAATGCATGGGGGAGTGGACCACATTGCTTTTTATCTACTCAGGGTTAGTGGGCTCAGGGAACCCTCAGTTCAGACAAAGCTAAAGGTACCCAAAACCTGCCTCCTACCACCACCAGGAAAAGAATAGCTAGAGCTAACCGTTAGACCTCACAGTTGTTCCCTTTCATTGTTCACAGAAGTTCTATTATTTAGGTACCATCATTATTCCTGTTTTATGGCCATGATCCTGAGGCTCAGAAAGTGTAGTTAACTTTCCTGATGTCATCCAGCCAGGAAGTAGTAGGGCTGAACCCATACACTCATATCCTCTTTCCTTATATTCTCTTTCTAGAGCCAGATTTCTTAACCACATCACTTCTGTTAGGTGCCTGGCAATGGCTATCTTCGACTTGTGATGTCATTCTTGACCTCCAAGGGAGGTTAATGAGTAAGCCTGACTGGGTATGTTCATTTCCTTGGGTTGCCGAAGTCCCACAAACTGGGTGGCTTGCAACAACAGAAATTGTTCTGTTCTGGAGGCTGGAAGTCTGAGCTCCATGCCCACCTCTTTATAGCTTCTGGCAGCAATCCTTGGAGCTCCTTGGCTTGTAGATGCAGCTCTCCAGTCTCTGCGTCCATTGTCACATGATGTTCTCCCTCAAGTGGCGGTGTCTCTGTGTCTCTTCATATAAGGACACCAGTGGTATTCAATTAAGGGTCTGTCCTACTCCAGTATGACCTCCTATTAGGTTAACTTATTATTTCCACAATGACCCTGTTTCCAAATAAGGTCACATTCTGTGGTACTGGGCATTAGATCTTTAACATATTTTTTAAAGGAAGAGGGGGACATGATTCAAACCATAACACTGCACTAGGGTTCTTTTGATTTCTTTAACCTAAAGCCTTAGTTTTAACTGGACAGGTAAGTACCTTGCCCAGTCACAGATGTAATACATGGTAGAAATAGGTGTTGACTGTATAGCCACGGTTCACTCTTCTCCACCAGGCCTCTGCCAGAGAAACTAGTGCAAATGCCAGCAGCAAGTGAGGGTGGGAATCTTATTAGAAATTTAAGATAATAATGCTGTATATATACACATGCCTATGTCTATATATGAACTTACAGATTATAGAACACTTATTATAAGGATTTAGAGATTATAGAGCACTTTTCTACCCAGAGCAAAAAGAAAAGGAGAAAAAGCGTTGTGGCTGTAATGACTTTCAAAGTCAAAGGCTACATTTTGAAAGAAATGTAGGAAGTAGCAAAAGCACAGAGGCAAAAAAAAAAAAAAAAAAAAAATCCTAGGGGAATGTATTGTGCTATTTATCTGGTCAAAGAAAAACAGCTCTTTGCTGGCAAAACCTCGCTTTTATGGAGCCATGTGCTTCTTCCAGAGCTAGGGGCGGACTGGGTTTGCTGAAATGAGTCCTTCTTCAGAAGGCTTTCTTCCCGTGAGGTCTTTCATTCTTGTGGGGTTTTATTCTGCTGGTTCTCACGTTCATTATCAGTAAATGCAGGGCTTCCAGTATTATGCAAAAGTTTACCCCCAGGCTCAACTGTGTTACTAGGACACCCAAGATTCCAAAAAGAACATGTAATTGTTCCTGGCACAAGGGTAGCATGAATGTCTGTCTCTGGGTTGCATGATATCTGCTTTGCCTTCAGGCTTTCGATTGTCAGCATTCCATAGGCAGGCAGGTAGTGATGGGAGTGTGCTAATTAGATCAGGTGCTTGATCTTGAAGTCTGCCCCAGCAATGACTAGGTTGTCGGCATCGGAACTTTTGAGCACTACCTGTCTTTCTCCCAGTCTGCCCAGAATGTAATTATCTTGTCAGCCAAGAAGCTGGAGCACACAGCTGAGCGAGTGCTCGGCAGCAGTAACAGAGTGATAAGGGAAGACAAATGGATCCACCGTGCATGACTGTTCTGAGACAAACAAATGCACAGAGAGGCACTGGAGAATGGAGACTTAGAGAACAAAGAGGCTACATTGAGTATTTTGTTCCTAAGGATACTTCAGATCTTCTCTTAATAAGATTACCTTGCCTTTGGAGAGGAATTGCAGACCTTTGCTGACTAATTCAAGTCCCAAAGCTTTAGAAAGCTCTTTTAAAATAGGAAGTGATGTGGGGTTCAGTAGCAGCCTATGTGCTTTGCAGGCCAAACGGCAGGTAATAAAACTTTGAAGGATGACTAGTAGGAAGAAAATGAAGGGGACGAGAAAATAGCAAGTAGGTGTATGTGCAAGGACTGCAAAAGAGGCTTCAGCTCTTGATATTCGAAGTGTGATTTGTGGACTGACAGCAGCAACATCATCTGGAAACTTGTTAGAAATGCAGATTCTTGGCTGGGCACGGTGGCTCATGCCTGTAATCCCAGCACTTTGGGAGGCTGAGGGGGGTGGATCATGAAGTCAGGAGATCGAGGCCATCCTGGCCAATATGGTGAAACCCCGTCTCTAATAAAAATACAAAAATTAACTGGGTGTGGTGGTGTGCGCCTGTAGTCCCCACTACTCAGGAGGCTGAGGCAGGAGACTCGCTTGAAGCCAGGAGGCAGAGATTGCAGTGAGCTGAGATCGCACCACTACACTCCAGCCTGGGCAATAGAGTGAGACTCCATCTCAAAAAAAAAAAAAAAGAAATGCAGACTCTCAGGCCCCAGCCCAGACCTCTTGAATGACAGTCTGCATTTTAAGAGGTCCCTGTCCCCCAGGTTGATTGGATACACCAGTTAAAAAAGAAAATAAAAAGAAAAAAACCACTGGTGTCTGGGTCTCAGCCCCAGAGATACTAACTCAATTGGATCAGGGTGTAGCCTACACATTGGGTTTGTTAGTAAAGCTCCCTACCTGATTCTAATGAGCACCTAAGTTTGAGAACTGCTGGTGTAGAACAGTCTATCAGAGGGCTTGTAGTGATTTGGAAAATAAAGGCATTAGGTTTTTAAATCTATATACCCACAGTTTATCCAGGGTTTTCAGCCTGTCATATACCTGTGACATCTATACCCAGCAACAAAAGTATTTTTGGATGCCTGCTACCCATAGAATAGCACCCTGCTTACTTCCCACTGCCTTCAAGATTGAAGGGTCTGGTTTCTGCCTACCTCTCCCGCTCCATCTCCTTCTACCCCTACTCACTCCAGGCCAACTGGCCTTTTTTCCTTTTCTCAAGCACACTGGGAACTGAGTCCTTTGCTGCCTCAGGGCCTTTGCACACGCCTTTGCCTCTTGAAAACTCCTCAGCCTTCAGCTCGCTTCCTCATTATCACTTCTGGAAAGGCACCTTCCATGAAAATTCTATCCAAGGAAAGTCTCACTTTCTCCCCCTTAATTATGGTCCATGGCTGCACACTATTCTTTTCCATTTCTTCGATAACACTATTAAAAGTTGTAATTGGTTGTTTTTTCATTAATTGTTTCTCGTCTATTTCCCCCTACTAGATTACAAGTCCATGAGGACAAAACAGTGTCTTTTTTTATTCTCCTCTATACTCCTAGGGCCTAGTCCAGTGCTTGACACACGGAAAACACATAAATATTTGTAGAATGAATGAACGAAGGCAGGGATTGGCTATGTCCCACGGGCCATATTTGGCCTGTTGCTTGTTTTTGTAAATAACTATGCTCATTTATTTATGTATTGTCCATGGCCGCTTTCATGCTACAATGAGAGTTGAATAATCATGACAGAAACCATGTGGCCACAATGCCTAACTTACTATTTGACCCTTTGTAGATAGGCGGCCAGATAAAATACAGAATGCTCAGATAAATTGGAAAGCAGAGAAACAATGAAAAATTTTTAGTGTACATGTGGTCCAAATATTGCATGGGACATATTTATACTAATAATTATTTGTTGCTTACTTGACATTCGAATTTAACTGGATCTCCTGGATTTTTATGTGCTGAATCTGAAAACTCTATAGAAAAAAGTGTGCCAACCCTTGAATTTATAAATAATTACCTCAACTGTTCAAGCTCAACAAATAATGATTCCAAAATTTTCTGTTTATTTTCTGAAGATTCAATAATGCCAAGACAACAAAATGTTAAACTATGTTATCATTAATACTAGTCCCTTGGTAGGATATTTGGGGCTTTTCTGGATAATCAGACATAAAATGAAAATAGAAAATACTCTTAAACTCTTCTTATGTCCCGGGGGTTGTCAGTTTCACTTGTCCTTTTGTGCCTTGATGCCATATGTGATTATTTCAAAGGCTATGACACGTGGAAAATGCTTGGTTGCTGTTAGACTCCTGCATAGTGATACAAGCTGGGTGAGCTCCCTTCAAACTTACAGTCCGGGCCAGCCTCACAGACACCACATAGAGTGGCCAACTGCAACCATAGGAAAGGCTTTAGGGGATACATGGGTAACTGAATTATGCAGGAGTGCCCTTGTGCTGTGAGACCCAGAGAAAGCGGAGAAGGGTAATTACACAGCTTTGAGCAGTTAGCAGCTCAGAGAGGAGTTTTGTTCACAGATGTCAAAGTCTTCACCAAAGGGGCAATTTCAGGCATAAGAAAATGAATACTGGAAATAATTTGTTGGTCCTATTAATATAAAAAAGTAACTAAGTATTATGTGAATATGTAAAAGTAACCCAGGAGGTAAAAATGCAGTACTTGCTCAGGTTTTGGGCTGCTGGTGGGAAAGGACAAGTTTGCTTTTATTTTAAAGTAGACACCTATAAGTATGGCAACTATAGGCTCAGAATTTTGTAGGATGATCTTGATTTCATATAGTTACTCTCATCAATAAAAATTTTGATGTATAACTACATGCAATTTAATTTGTATGCCTTTATAAGATTATACATGTATAAACATTCAAAAAGTTTGAACATACTTAATTGTACGATTAAGGCATGACGTCGACTCACTGCAACCTCCGCCTCCCAGGTTCAAGAGATTCTCCTGCCTCAGCCTCCCAAGTAGCTGGGACTACAGGCACATGCCACCACACTTGGCTGATTTTTGTATTTTTAGTAGAGACGGGATTTCACCATGTTGGCCAGGCTGTTCTCGAACTCCTGACCTCGAGTGAACCACCCACCTCTGCCTTCCAAAGTGCTGGGATCACAGGCATGAACCACCATGCCCGGCCAGAAAAACTTATTCTAAAATGTCAACAATGTTAGCTATGTCTGAGTGGTGAGTTTATGAGTGATCTTTGTTTTCTTCTTTGGGTTTTCTGTATTCCTCCTCACTTTTCTTTTTGCAAATAGTATATATTAGTTTTATAATCAGAAAAAGAGTAACTTAAAGTTTCATTTTGTTTTGGTCATACTTCCACACTACATTACTGGTGGGAGAGTAACTGATACAACTACTTCGGAAAGCAACTTGGACAAACTCAGTAAAATTATAGATGCCATTCCCCTGTGACCCAAGGATTTCACTTCTCAATAGAGCATATGTGTGCAAAGATGTGCATGGCTGCAACACTTGTAATGCTGCACAACTGGAAGTGATCTGATGCCCTCACTTGCAGAATGAACACATTGCCAGTAATACTGTGAATGGAGCGTGCATAGCAGTGGGGTGGAGTAAACTATAGCTATACGTATCTCCATGGACAAGCCTCAAAAGCAGAGCATTGAGCTTAACAAAGTTTTAATACCTGGCAGATGAACCAATAGATAAATTCTCTATAAATGGCAGAGTGCTTCAAGTGCTTAATGCCACAGAACTAACACTTAAAAATGGCTAAAATGTAAAGTTTATGTTATATGTATCTTACCATAATAAGAAAATATAATAAAAAACCCCAAATATATAACATTGAGTCAAAAAGCAAATGGTAAAAATAATGTGTACAGCATGAAATTAAGCTTATAAGCCAAAACTACATAATTAGTTATGGATGTACATATATGTGTACATATATATATGTATATATATACACACACACATATTTTTAATAGCACAAAAAACAAATGTGAGAATGACAAACACTAAGTTCAGGATACTGGTTACCTCTGTAGAAGGACAGGGGAACTAGACCAGAGTTGGGCAGTTACACAGCATGCAACTAGATCTGGGTTGTTTCATTTGTTTAAAAAATCCAAAGCAAATATGGTGGCAAAATGTTAAAATGTGAGAAAACTGGCAATAAGTATGTGGGTGTTTATTTATTATTATTATTTTTTGAGATGGAGTTTCACTCTTGTTGCCCAGGCTAGAGTGCAATGGTGCGATCTCGGCTCACTGCAACCTCCGCCTCCCAGGTTCAAGCGATTCTCCTGCCTCAGCCTCCCGAGTAGCTGGGATTACAGGTGCATGCCACCACAACCTGCTAATTTTTTGTATTTTTAGTAGAGACAGGGTTTCGCCATGTTGGCTAGGCTGCTCTTGAACTCCTGACCTCAGGTGATCCACCCACCTCGGCCCCCAAAGTGCTGGGATTACAGGCGTGAGCCACTGCACCCGGCCGAGTGTTTATTATATTACGCCATTTTTCCATATGCTTGAACTATATGCTCATCATAAACCTATAGTCTTGGTCAGACCACGTGCCCCCAATTTCTCACTTTGATTGGAACCATAGATTGTGATTACCATAGACAGTAGCTGTTTTAGATGTGCTGACCCAATGCATAGTGTTCCCTAGCTGTGTGGCCTGTTCTTACCACCCAGAGCTTAAACAACCCACGGGGCAGAATCCAAGTGTCTGTCTTTTTTCAAGTCTATGCATCTTTAAATTGCTCTGTTCATCCAAATTAACAGCAATAGGGAAGAACCCTAGATGAAGTATTTCCTGATCTTAAAGCACTGTGCAATTTACAGGGAATTCATCTATTGGTTTAGCTGTCAGGCAGCTCTGCTCTACCCTTGAATTCTATGCTTTTTAAAGCTGGTTGCTTGACCAGGAGCAGTGCCTCACACCTGTAATTCCAGCATTTTGGGAAGTCGAGGTGGGTGGATCATTTGAGATCAGGAGTTCGAGACCAGTCTGGCCAACATGGTGAAACCCCGTCTCTACTAAAAACATGCAAATTAGCTGGGCATGGTGGCACACGCCTGTAATCCCAGCTACTCAGGAGGCTGAGGCTGGAGAATCTCTTGAATCCAGGAGGCGAAGGTTGCAGTGAGCTGAGATTGTGCCACTGCACTTTAGCCTGGGCAACAGAGGGAGACTTTGTCTCAAAAAAAAAAAAAAAGGTGATTATTTTAAAATCTGTGTCTGGTGGTCTAGTGGTCTGCTTTTTCACTATAGCAGGTTCAATTGTGAGTTATCTCAGTGATTCAATTGTGAGTTATCTCAGTGATTGAGACTGTAGATTCAGATTATCTGAGTTCAAATCTTGGCTCTTACATGCAATTTGCATAAGAAGGAGTTTAAATGATAAAATGAGTGCAAAATCCTGAACCTCCAGGGTGCCACCTAATAAGCTCTTGACAAACGTTCCCTATTACACTATTATTATCATAGTCATAGTTGCATATCATCACCAGCCCTCACCCCTATAAAGTGAAGGGCTTGGTCCAACACCATGATATTGTTAGCATCAAAAGCAGTTTTATGATTGCCGATTAATTTGCTGCTCCTTATAGGAAAGATAGTGAATAGAAAAGAGTAAAAACATTGACAGACATGAAAACTCTGACCCCTCAGCTGGAGTCTCTTTCCAGAACACAACTCTAAAATGCCCTCATTCTGTTTTTATAGGCAAAATATTAGTTTACAAGTCTGCTGATGCTCTCTGAGACTTCTTAAGGCAGGCACTACGTCTTATTCTTCTCTATAGTCACAAACTTTGGCATAGTTCACAGGAGGTACTCATGATATGTTTGAGAAATGAAGGAATGAATGACTATGCAGTCTATAGCGTCTTAGTTTCAATGATATGCTAGATATCCTGTGCGTTGTAAATCTGTAAATCTCAAAGCATTTAGATCTCGCATTATTGAAATCCCATTTTAGGCTGGGCACAGTGGCTCACACCTGTAATCCCAGCACTTTGGGAGGCCAAGGTGGGCAGTTCACATGAGGCCAGGAGTTTGAGATCAGTTTGGCTAACTAACATGGCGAAACCCCGTCTCTACTAAAAATACAAAAATTAGCTGGGCATGGTGGCGCACATCTGTAATCCTAGCTACTCGGGAGGCTAGGGCACAAGAATCACTTGAACCTGGGAGGCGGAGGGTGCAGTGAGCTGAGATCATGCCACTGCACTCCAGCCTGGGCGACAGAGTGAGACTCTCTCTCAAGAAAAAAAAAAATCCCATTTTATATTTCTACAAGTATTGGCCTAATCAGGCATCTCATTAAGGTCCTGCTTTAAACCTGTACCTTTTTCTTTCTTGTGTTTACTTTCTCAGTTATGAGGCTTTGAGTTCTTTAGAAGAAAAGTACTATGTGTGATCTAAGGGGTAACTGATGATTTTTCATGGTTAGGATTGGAAAATACTCCCAACAACTCTGACTGATAATCTGAGGACATAAGGTTTATTTCCAAAACCTCCCTCTCTAAGGGATGTTTTCATTAATAAGGAAAGTGTAGGCAGCTGGCCCTCCTCAGTCTTTGTTCCCAGATACTATCAATTAAGGAGAAATGAAAATACTTTCCATTACACTTAAATAAAGAGCAATTTATTACCTCCATGGAGATGTCTCATAATCCAGAAGTGGTCGTTTTACTCCTAGATGATTTTATTTTTACTAAAATCACAAGTTTGGAATACTCCACTACAGAATGAGATTGATAGGATAAAGAATATCTAGACTATGCCCTAAAATTAGCTACATTACAGCTTACTAAACTTTGTTATTTGTGTGGAGGTCATTGGAATTCATGGTAATTTCCCTCCTCCAGAATCAAGGTCATTGACTGTTGAGGCTGAAATCTTCCCGCCCAGTCTTTTTTATTGCCTAAAAACTGAGGCCAGAGAGATAAAGAGATTTCCACTGGAGCAAAATTGTTTTGATCTTTTCCAACAGGAACATTATAAAACAAAACAATAATAGAACAGGCTAACAAATAGCAAAGGGGTCCAATTTTTATTTTCTCTCTCTATTTTCTCTGCCTCTTTTCCTCCCTCGCTGCAATGAAAAGCTCAAAAGAACCAAATAGAAGAAAGAAGAGGTAAAATAACAGCTGGGTTATTGATTCCTGAAAAATGGAAACTTACGTATGGTGGATAATTTCCACAAGCCACACAAGGACATCAGGCTTATAGCATATGCGGCTGCTGTTTATGTTTGTTTATAGATCTAATGGCCATCAGGTGGGTACTTGCTCAGGGTGTTCCTTTTATGGCCTGCTAGAAGGCTGTGGAGCTTCTCCAACATGTTGGTCCTGAGACTGATGGCAGAGTGTTCATCTGCATCCAATGTGGGAGGGATGGAAGAAGGGACAGCCAGGGCTGCAGAAGGTTCTGGCAATGGTCAGGTGCCCCCACTTGCTCTGTGTCTGTGGGCTTCCTCAATCTTAACAAGTGCTTGTCACGCAAAACTCCAAGTCTTTCTTTTGACCCAATTTTAGAAAAGATGAAGTGCAGTTATTGCAATTTTTAAATCATTTGACAAATATCTACTGAGAATCTACTGTGTTTCGAGAATTGGCCTAAACAGATGAGAAAGACCTGTTATTCTCCTCAAACAGTTAATGATTGAGGGTTTTTTGTCTCCAGAGGAAAGGTCCCTTTGGCTGCATAAAAACCTGCTTGTACTCCCCTTCTCTCATGCTTTAGAAACATTGCTTTGTGCTAACAGCCAAGAGATATTAATCAGTGGTCATAGAAGTTAGTGAGTAAACTGGAAGTACCAGTATACTTCTTGTTTACTTTCCAATTGCTGTGTTTCAGCATTACATCACAAATACCAGGTCATATAATAATTATTGCTATTAACTTCACTAAAGTCATCTTTTCAAGCCAGATGTAGATATTTTGAATAGCTATAGGATATTTTAAAGCCTTGGAAATAGCCCACAGTGATTAATAATATGATTCGACAATGTCATAAAGAATGTTGATTTAATTGCTTTTTATCTCAATAGCTTACTAGGAAAGAGAAGCTATTCAGATAAGACAGTTGAGGTTTAGTGGCCTGATACTATGTTAATGTAAATTAACAGTAAACATTTTAAAACTACAGAGGAAATATAAAAACTTTTTTTTAACTTGGGTAATTGAATCCTGATTCAAAATGGTAGTTAGCACTAGAATGTAATATACTACCCACTGCTCAGTCTATTATCATCATTATCTTTCGAACCCTATAATTGGACAAACAGGAAACTATTCATAATAATAAGTTTGTTCAAAAATATTCTGTTGGCTGGAGTCTGGGGTGCACACTACAGCCATACTGAACTGAAGCAAAACTGCTTACTTTATCCTTTTCACTGTTCATCTCTGTTACAACAATGTACAGGCACACTACACACCTGGGCGGTCCAAAGCATTCTACCACAGTTACTAAAAAAAACAGTCATTTTTCCTGCATTCCATGAGTGGGCAACATAAATTTTATTTGCTGCAGACAGGGCCTTCGTTGAACCTAAACCTGTGTGGCCTGTGCAGGCAAGTAACTATGCTTAACGTGTAACTCGGGCAAATAATTTTCCTTCTGGAATTTTCATGAAATCTAACCACTTAATTGCTTTATTTATCTATCACTGGTTTTATTTTTCAGTGATTCTTCAGTAGCTACGTTCCTTATATCGCAGTTATCCAAACATCAAATCGCACAGGACTCCTGCACATACAGGGCTCCTTCTAAAAGATGTGAATTGAAAGGCAACACAAGCCATTAGTGGACCGTTTTCAGTTTTCATTATCAATAAAATGGAAGATCAGCATTTTCATGCTGTGTGAAGGCTTCAAGGATGTGCATTGTTGCTGTTATTATCTTTAGGCCAGGCTGCTGCCTGCCCCTACTAATGCAGATGGAATGATGAGCCCATCAAAATAAAAATAAAACAATGAAACGGTCAGTCATAGAGTGGGTGGCTGACCTGGACTGTCGTATGACCCCTTGAAAATGTCCCTTTGAATTTAGTGAAGGCTGGATGGTAAAGACCACAGATCATGACAGAACATAAATTCGCCTCATAATAAGATTAGAAGACAGGCAAAATCGATGTCCTGCTGTTACATTAGAGGCAGACTCTAATCTGGCATTTTCCTCGGAAATGATCATTTCCCTTGCAACGGGGGAATCATGGATGCAACTAGCTTAAATCCGACAGGCTCTGTTTTGCCATGTAGTTATTTTTCATCTGCCTCTGTCTTTTTAATAGCGGTTTTGGGGAGACGTATAAATGAGTTGTGAGTCTTAAAGACTATTACCAAAGTGAGTTATGGTAGTCTATGTTCACGATCATCAATCGCATTCCCCAGACTCCCCTTTGAAGAAAAGTTCTGTGCAACTCCTCCTCCCACTTCTAAACTGGAGCCTTGCTGTGGAGAAGGTGTTGTGACCCCCAGGGTCCTCTCACACTAGCCTTAAGGATCAAAGGCAGAATAGACTCACTATTGTATTTGGGGGTATTTTAAAAAAGTCTCAACTGCAACTCTACTACTTAAAACCACTGGAAACAAATATCACATACTAAAAAGCCTGAAGAAAATGCCCATATCAGGTGAACCCACATGGGCTCTGCGTAGAACACAGGTTTCAAGTATGGAGCTTGATTGCAAGGAACTTCCTTGGTTTGCAGCAGAAGGCAATCTCACCTGGGAGTACAATACCCTCCTCTCATTCAAAATGCAAGATAGCATCTCCTGCTGGATCCTTTCTACAGAACCTGATGCAAGTTCATGGGGCTGTACCGTCCTTAGTAGTGAGTGGCATTTAATCAAAGCCTTCTGTGACATAATCTCAGAGTTTCAGAAGCCCTGTGAAGTCACCAAGCAAGTTAAGAGGTCCTTTCAAAAGGAATGAGAGATCAAACTCTGTATTTAGGAGCATTTGACACTTCTGCATAGAAGGCACAGACTATTTAATTTCTCTGCATTATTTTTAGGGCCCCTGCTAAAGACTCCTTACTTCTCTGTAAAACTGCAGGAGTAAATCAATTCAGGGCATTTTGACATATTTTTCCTAGGCTGGGAAAAAAAACCACAGAAATCTTTTGTATGTGCATATATCGTATTTTTTTGCAGTTTGCACAGTGGTTTGGGGACAGCACTTCATCTAATGAAACCATTCCCTTTTTGCAGTTGGTGCTTCCATTCAAACACTTGAGCTGCAAATCCAGCTGGTTTAAGGGATAAATTGTATTTTGGCCCCATATAACAAGTTTTTTCCTTTAACTTTCCAATTCTCAATAGCTTGTGTCTCTGTGTGTGTCTTTTCTAAGTATCTAATTTGCAAATGCCAAAGAATGTGAAGTCAATTCTGCTCCCACTCTTAAGATTTTCTCTGTTCTCTGTTAACTCCCTCATTAGATGAAATAATTCAAGGGGACAGATAATAAATTTTCTTTTAGGTAGGCTGTCCTATATTTGTTGATACTCTCCTCCAGCATATCTGTTTCATTTCCTTAACTCAGTCTTTCTCATCCCACCTTATTAGTTCCCCATGCCCTACTGCACCTAGGTGTTTACAATTTAAATTGCAAGCAGTAAATGAGTCCACTTAGCCAAGCGCCCAGTACATTTGGTGTGTGTTAATGATTATCTAATGGCCTTCCCATGTGTTAAACTCACAGAGTTAATGTTAAAGTTTCATGTCACATAATCTCCTTGAAGGAATTTCCCAAGTTATTTTTGCTTACCTCATATAAATGAACTTGTTCTTGGGTTACAGCGAAGATCAATAACACGTTGTTTTGTACCAGTTTATCAATGAGTTGTCCAATTGTTGGATATTCCTAAAATTAACATATATAATTTTGCATCATCTCAATAAAATAATGTAAATAAAGAAAGGAATATTTATTTCAAAGATACCTTTTTGAGTTTGGCATTTCAATGCTCACAGGCATTATAGCTCTATCACTCTAAGTAAACAAATACACAATTAGCATTATTCACTTAGTTGGTTTAATAATCTTTTTCTAAATCTTATAAATCCAGTCAAGTCCTAAGAGTCAGTTCCTGTTGATGTGGTGTATCATGCTCTGCCACTTCTAAGAAGACCATTTGAAATTTATTTAAAGACTAACAGTGTGTCCTATTTTCAAGGGTAGACAAACATTTCTTCTCCTTCTAAGTGACACTTACCAGCAGGCTAGGAATTCCTCAGTCGAGGGAGGGGCTGTTGGACTATAATATACATGACTGAAGTGACTCTTGTAGCTCTGAAACTCCTATTGGAATTGGATGAGGTGGAATGAGGGTTGCTGAGGTATGACATACTATGACATTCCCGTACTAATCCTTGGGTTTGGTTTTACTGCCATTTTAATATCACAAGTTGGTTGCATGGAATCGTGCAATATTTTTACAGGACAATTGAAAACTACATTGTACTTCTGTTCCATTGGCATATTTGTTCCCAAGTGATATGTGTACTGTATAAAAAATAAAAGAAGCTTAATTTTTAAATTGGAATATGGACTTTACTTTTCAAGTTTGGAAAATATTATGTGGCATTTGCCCATTATATGAATCTAAATGTGAATAATGTACAGAGGAAACTCAAGTGAGGTACTAGCCTGCTAACAATTAAATTAAGAATATGTTAATTATGACATAAGTAACATATGTTAATTATGTTAAGGGAGTCAAAGGGAGAAGTCAGCCAAAGGGAGGAACACTGATAAATAAGCCCTCCTGTACACTCATATGGAATATTCACATATTCTTAGTACTACTGGAGTATTTTCATCTAAAGCCTTCTTTAGGCACAAGGTTCAAGTTGAGAGAAAAGTGTAGTTTTGCCTAAAACACTGCAATAAATTACCCAACTGCAAATGGCTATGTCATATGTGATTTCCATCACATTTGGATTTTTATTAATAGAGATACCAAATATTATCCATTTCCTCTGCTTTTCAACTGCGTAAAAATCCTTTACGCTGATGCCTAAATCCCTCCAGTGCCAGTCCCTCCTTATCTCCACGTGTTCCCACACTCCTTAGCTGCTGTGTGTGTGTAGCCAGGATCACACCACATAGTCCTTCGAAGGTGAGCGAAGCTGGTTTTCTATTTGAATCAGATCTGTTGGTTTAATTCCCACAACCATACTGTAAGTTCAAGGCCAGGAACCACCTTGTATTATTTTTTGGCCTGAGGAATCTGGCCTGAGTTTTGAGTACACAGGAAGTGCTCAGAGGACCCGGGGGCTATGTTGCAGGCAGGCATAGATACGGTCTCTGGCTTCTGTGGATTTGTTACAACTTATTCAGAAAGAACAACTTGAACATTTATTAGCTGAGAAGTTCATATTAGGCAATAAGTAGTGTTAGCTTTTATGAACCTGCCTCGTTCAAAATGGAGCTTTTTGTGGTGCTTTTGAAAAGTTGCAAGAAAAGGGTAATGAAAAGGGGATAAATTTTCCAGTTTCTTGCCCCTCACTGACTAAAAGACAACATGCGGCTATCCTCACTGATATTGTAATATGAAAAGGCAGAGTATGTGATTAAAGAATATACACATTTGGGGAATACTACTGATCAAATGTTTGGGGAAAACATTCATGTCGAAATTTAGAAATTTAGGTCAAGGAATAGTAGTGAGTAATGAACTGTTAAGAGTTTTTAGAGAATAGTTTTCCAATTGACATTAGAATTCTAGGTTCCCGTCTCCCTCTTTCTCTCCCCCTGCACCCCCACCTACACCTCCACAGCATTGTTCTAAGAAGTCACTTAAATTCTCTGTACCATATTTCCCCAAGTGTTAAATGGGGAAAATATGACAATCTCAGACTGCTGCTTCAGAAATCAAATTTATTTTTTTATTTTTTTTTTTTTTGGAGACGGAGTCTCGCTCTGTCGCCCAGGCTAGAGTGCAGTGGTGCGATCTTGGCTCACTGCAAGCTGCGCCTCCTGGGTTCACACCATTCTCCTGCCTCAGCCTCCCGAGTAGTTGGGACTACAGGCGCCCACCACCACGCCCGGCTAAATTTTTGTATTTTTTAGTAGAGATGGGGTTTCACTGTGTTAGCCAGGATGGTCTCCATCTCCTGACCTCGTGATCCACCGCCTCGGCCTCCCAAAATGCTGGGATTATAGGCGTGAGCCAACGTGCCCGGCCTCTATTTCATACATTAGTTGGCACCCACTGTGTTATAGGCACTGTGCTATCAGGAAACAGAGATAATAAACCAGGTCTGGACCTGAGGATTGTGCAAGAAAGACAGACAGATGTAAGAAAACATATTTCTACATAGAGATGCACAAGAACACATCTGCGTATGCAACTGAAGGGAAAGACAATTGCTTCAGAGCCTGGCAGAGGTCAAAGAAGGCTCTCTGGGGGCAGTAATGACTGAACTGGCTTTTCAAGGATAATGAAGAGTTTCTCAGCAGGCTAGGAAGGAAGGATATTCCAGGCAGAGGGAATAACATGTGCACAAGCATAGCAGCCTCATGGTCTGTTCAGGAAAAGCAGCTGGATACATAGGGGTCTATTGAGGAGATCATGCATGTCCAAAGAGCTCTGAAATTTTTTCCTGGTTTTACAAGAGTTAGCTGTTTTCTTTGAATGTCACTAGCATTTTATAAATGACAAAAAATAAGCCAAAGGTTAACAAGCACCAACCAAGCCATACCTGACTAGTTGTTACCCATGGAACATGAAAGGATGGCCTGATTCAAGGACTATCATTCACTGCAAATCCTATGTGGCTACTGTTCTGGTCTGGGTCCCTCCTTTCTGAGGCTGTGGCTGAGAATAGAATGAGCTGCCTGTATTGCTTTACCAGCACCAGGATTTTTGAGAAGTTGGGGAGGTTCTGGGATCATGGGATTCATAGCAGATCTAACTTCCCACATGTCCCACCGTCCACCTATGCTCTGGTGGGAACCTCTGAGGATGGTGAGAATCGAGCTGGGGCAACTTGTTAATCCCACATTAGAAAATGTGCACTGCTTTCACCAAGTGTATGTTATTTCACATGTATTACACTAGTTGTTGCTTCGTTCTCCTACTTATAGCCCTGAAAACAGTACAGAGTGCAGGTTACACACCAAGACAGTTGACATGGAGTATTCATTCTTGCTGTCCAAGTGACAGAGCCCGTCATTAGGAATGACGATGCCTGCTAGTTTGCTGTCCATTCCAAAATGAGAATCAGCATCACTCACAAAGACCAGGAGGTGGAGGGAGTCATTCCGCCAGCCAATTTTTTCCTACAGTGAGAAAGAAACATTTGTGTGATATTGGAGGGAGGCAGGCATTTATTGAGTGTGGATCAATTATGCTTGGACACATTTAGGTTATAAAAATAATATTGCTAGTCTATTTTAGCCTTTTTATCTATCGTGAATTGATAATATTAATGTTTTTAATAAAACATGAAATTCTGTGACATTTGCTTTTTCCTGGATAACATTTTCATATGATTTATGCTTCAGAAAAATATAGCTCCACTACAATCGGTATGCAGTTAATCTTGACTTTTACATAGTTCAATTATTTTTACTATCCAGCTTTCAATTCTCCAAAAAAATTGAGCAGAGGAGGTCATAGATGGTCCCAAATCCAAATTGAAGCCAAACTCATCAAAATGCAATGTTAAAGGGGCTCAGAGTAAGCCTGTTTCATTAAAATGTCACCCAACATTTAGGCACATATTTCTCTTTCCAATGATGTCATCCAAAAATTATGAACCTAATACAAGGATAAGAATTGCTTATGAAAGTATGGCCCGAAGGTCCTGTTAATTAAAATTGTCTGTTGTTGGTGTTTAGTAAAGCCCTCCCCTTTAATTAATATTAGTCCAGGAACTAATTGGGTAAAAACGCATCCTGGCTCTTCCATCCCACCTTATCCCTTTCCTTCCTCCTCTAATTCCTTGGCCCTCCCACCTTCTAGGAGCTTCAGCCCTGTTTATTTCCTGATATTTTTCATGAAGGGCTGTTGCCTAAAGACAGGGGAATAATTCTTGTGGATACTTGTCAGACAGTCAAGGAGGAGCAGTGTTCCTGTAATGTTGTAGAGACAGCAAACTTCCGAAGCTTATTGTTGGTTCAAAACAATAGCTATGTAGTCATATGTATGAACATATACTGACGTAGAGCATTTTAACTTTTTAAAATAAATGTTCTACCCTTGATTTTTTTATCATGATTAATCCAAAAACTAATCTGATCTTGATCTTTGAAAATCAATCATGCATAGCTATTGTTTCAACTAAATTTTCCCAACACGACAATTTTCTTAGATTATTCAAATAGTAGGCAGAAAGGACAGTCCCCATTTCAACATGATTTAATTAAACATTTGGTAAAAATTGTGTATTTTAAGAAAAATATGAAATATAGAAATTTAGAGATCAAAGGAAAGGAAATTAGCTAATCTTTTTGAAGTAGAATTATTAATAAGAGATGAATTTTATGTTAACAGAGTGAAACAGCACTCCCTTCAGCATACCTTACACACAGCAGCTTGCATAATTGCATCAAATCCACCTTCGGGTGTGTCAATATTAGCAGAAATTTTCTGATTCTTCACAATTTCATTGAATCTTTCAGCATCATTTGTCAATGGCAAAATGTGCTTGAATCCAAATGTAGGTAAACAGAAGTATGGAATACTACTGCAAAAGTAAGATGCAAAAATACTGTTGATGAAATATGATGCCACACACAATTAATGGATCTAATAGCTTAGCAACATTCTCCTAAATGAAGATTAGTTTTTCTAAAGGGCCTGACTCTGCAACTCAGCTATGAATCTCACTGTTAAGGTTGTTGACATCATCCCCAACCCTTTCTATGTTGACCATATTCGCTGACACTTATTTAGAGCTTATTGTGTGTCTTGCACTGGCTCAAACTCAGATAACAGATAATCAGGTGATCAGACTCCAGTGTGTGTGTGTGTGTAATCACTACCTTCTATGGGCTCCCAACCAAAATTCACCACTAAGTTAATACAACGACAATTCCTTTGTATTCTGATATCTCAGGCTGTCATCAAGTGTGAATCACCCTGTAGCAAGACAAGAGAGGAACCTGTCTTCTTTTTCCTTTGCTCCCTCCTGTACTCCCAGGTCTGCCTGCCAAGGGCCCAACAATTGTAGCAGCATTCTTGATTTGAGAGTCCAACTCTACTGTGATTGAATAGGCCAGTCTAGAAATAAAACCACTACTTAAGGTACAATGTTACGATGAAATCTGCACCAAAGATATTACAGTAGAACACAAAGGGCTGATCATGAGTTCAGCCACATCTTATTTTGAAAGCAAGTTTCTAGCTGTGCATGAAACTTTGGGCAAGTTACTCAACACTTCTGAGCTTTGGATTTTAAAATGCGGATAATCGTATAGAGGAGAGGTTCTCCAACTGAGATCCCTGGCCCAGCATCATGAGCATCACCCGGCAAATTGTTAGAAATGCAAAATCTGAACCCCTACCCAAGACCTGCTGAGTTAGCTATGCTGGGGGTAGGCTCACTGGCGTGCATTGTACTAAGCCTTCTGGATGCATGCTAAAGTTTTAGAATCACTGGTGTAGAAGCGCAAAGAGACAAAAAGGCATAGCGCCTGGTGAGGGAATGATGTGCTGCCTGGGGATGAACTGGTTGATTCTTAATATGGGCACATGTGGGGCCTGGGCCTTGGCTCTACAGGTCCAGTAGCTTACTTTGTCAGCACGAGAAGGTGCATTTTTCAATGTTAGGCTTCAGTTCATCAAGTTCATCTGCCTGAGGTATACAGTTGATCTTCATTATTCACAGATTCTATATTTGTGAATTCACCTAGTTGCTAAGATTTATTTGTTACTCCCTAATTAATACTTGCCGTGTTTTCTGAGTCATTCGTGGACATGTGTAGACAGGCAAAACAAAACAACAAAACAAAAAAACCCAAAACAAAGCATCTCCCTATATGCACATTCCCAACTGGAATCAAACACGGTGGTGCTCTGCCTTCTTATTTCAGGCCTCCAACTCTAAGCCAGTGTCTTTTTCACGGTCTACATAGTACCACCTTTCTTTCATTTTTATGCTTTTCATGGATGGTTTCACTGTTTAAAATAGCCCCCAGGCATAATGCTGAAATGCTGTTTAGTGTTCCTAAGTGCAAGAAGGCTGTGATGTGTCTCATTGAGAAAATAAGCTGTGTGAGACAAGCTTCATTCAGGCATGAGTTATAGTGCCTTCGTCTGGAGTTCAATGTTTATAATTCAATGAGATCTATTACATGTGGCGTCTTTAAATAGAAGCACACATAAAATAAGTTTGTGTAGTGATTTGTTAATGAAAATGTGATAGCCAGAGGCTCACAGGAACCTAACCCTATATTTTCCTTGGGAGCAATGATTCAATATTCCATAATTCATTGCTTGGGGCAAGTTTGCAGAACATGACTACCATGAATAATGAGAATTGACTGTGTGTACAGATAGATCAGAATGATCATGGACTCTTTCACACTGAGTAAGGATGCTCTCACCGGGACCAGAATGCTTGTGCCTGTGAGTATCATCATTTTCTTCCTATCAGTAGACTTTCCTTGAAAGCAGGTGAGGTTTGGATATGTCCCCAGGCTTCAGAACTAGGGGAAATGGAGGAACCCAGCACTGAATGGCATAGCCCAATATGTCCCAAGACGACCACCCCAGAATGGATGTTCTTGGTCACTTCTGACCCCTCCCCCATCTGTGGTCCACTTCCTCAGCTAACACAAATTTGAAAAGCTCTCGCAACCAAAGGGACTGGAAGCTCTGGAAGTGTGTTGGCCGAGGCTCTTGGATGGATGTGGCCCACACTGGCCTCTGTGACATCCCCTTCTCTGTCCTGCCCTAGCCCACTAGGTCTCTCTGTCCTTTCAGCTGCATCAATACACCTAGTCTACTGGGTCCAGGGGCCAGTCTGTCGCTTCCAGGTAATTTTTAAATTTCCTTTCCTAATTATTATGTTTAACTTTAACTCTCAGAAGACAACCTTATTCTCTTATTTTTAATATTGTTCATCAGGTTTCATTGAAACTCTAAAGTGCTGACCACAGACTGTATCTACCTAGCAGGATTGTCATGAGGCTTGAATGGGATCAAACAGGCAAAGAATACAGCACGATGAGCTTTTCAGAGTTAATGCATAATAAATATGATTGTCATTTCTTACATAAATCACTTCACACAGTCTAGAACAGACCTAAGTACAGATAATGGATTTGGCTAATGGTATCTCTAGAATAATGTTTTTTCCTGATTAAAATAATAAGGCAGGTTCATTGAAGAAAATTGGGGTTTTATATGAAAGTGTAAAGAAAAGAATCAAAAACATAAATTGTAATTGTTGTGAGATGAATCATAGTTTATTTGATCATCTTTCTATTGCTGAGCATTTATTTTGAACATTTTTGTAATTAAATAATATAGTGATCCTTCTACATACATATGTACAAACTATTCCATATCCTTGCTTAAAATAAATTTTTTGATTGTGAATTGCTGGGTTATCTTTTGACTCATATTACCAAACTCTTCCAAAAAAGTTTGTATCCATTGCCATCTGTGGTATTAGTGTATGGCATGGCATCATTGTTTTTTTTAAAAAAAACTATACTAGTTGATTAGCAAAAAATGGCATTTGTTAGTTTTAATTTTCATTTTATTATTACTAAGATTGAGTGATTGTTTCTACTTATTAACATTTTGTATTTCTTCTTTTGTTAATTGCTAGCTGATATCCTTTGCTACATTTCTTATTCTAATTTAATTTTAAGAACCATCCTGGCCAGGCGCTGTGGCTCACGCCTGTAATCCCAGCACTTTGGGAGGCCGAGGTGGGCGGATCATGAGGTCAGGAGATAGAGACCATCCTGGCTAACACGGTGAAACCCCATCTCTACTGAAAAAAAATACAAAAAAATTAGCCCGGGGTGGTGGTGGGTGCCTGTAGTCCCAGCTACTCAGGAGGCTGAGTCAGGAGAATGGCGTGAACCCGGGAGGCGGAGCTTGCAGTGAGCCCAGATCATGCCACTGCACTCCAGCCTGGGCGATAGAGCAAGATTCTGTCTCAAAAAAAAAAAAAGAACCATCCTAAAAATATTACATTTTTTTCTTTGTAGTTTGTCTTTTAATTTTGTTCATGGTGTTTTTGGATATATATCTTAAAAGTTTTGATGCAGTCAAACTTCTTCCCACCTTCAAATCTAAGATGCATTTTTAAAGTGTGATATAAGAAAGGAGCCTGATTTTTTTCAAAATATTTAACTTGTTAAATGACAATAATGCAGTATATTTCTTAATTGCCCTTAGAGCACTTGAAGTAGCTGTGGGTGGTAGAAAATACATTGGATTTAGAATAAAAAGAGCGAACAGTTATCTATCTTATTTTTTTGGAGATGGAGTCTCACTCTGTCACCCAGGCTGGAGTGCAGTGGCATGATCTCGGCTCACTGCAACCTCTGCCTCTAGGTTCAAGCCATTCTCCTGCCTCAGCCTCCCAAGTAGCTGGGATTACAGGCTCACGCCACCATGCCCAGCTAAGTTTTGTATTTTTAGTAGAGATGGGGTTTTACCATGTTGGCCAGGCTGGTCTCGAGCTCCTGACCTCAAGTGATGCACCCACCTTGGCATCCCAAAGTGCTGCGAGTACAGGCGTGCACCACTGTGCCCGGCCAGTTATCTATCTTTGGGCAAGTTATTCAACACCACTGGCCTCAGTGTCTTCCTCCATAAAATGGGAATGATCATAATATCTATTTCACAAAGTTGCCATGACGATTATATGAGATAAAAAGTATGTAATCATGTTAGGTACACCATTGTGCCTGGGACCTAACTATTCTTGGAAATTGTTTAATCTATTATTTGGGGCTACTGGTTCATACCATACCGAAATGACATTTGAGCATCTTCCAGATCCACAGAGGTAGCAGTCCTATTTTTTGTGAGAGATTTGCATCTTTGTTGGTTAGAATTATCCGCTATGTAGATTTTACTAGAACTCTGTGCCTTTGGAAAGTGGAATAAAATTTTAATTTAACTCACTAAAGAAATTCAAGTGATAGGAGAGCTAAAGCAAAACAGAATGTCAGAGATGGCTCACGCCAGGGAATTTTGAGTGCATATTGCCCATGTTTTGATCAGAGTTCATTTTCTTTTCTCTCTATCTTTCTCTCTCTCTCTCTCTCTTTTTTTTTTTTTTTTTTTTTGAGACAGGGTCTCCCTCTGTAGCCCAGGCTGGAATGCGGTTGTGGTGGCACAATCTCAGCTCACTGCAACCTCCGCCACCGGGGTCAAGCAATTCTCCCACCTCAGCCTCCCAAGTAGCTGGGACTACAGGTATGTACCACCATACCCAGCTAATGTTAGTACTTTTTGTAGAGATGGAGTCTCACCATGTTGCCCAAGCTGGTCACGAACTCCTGAGCTCAAGCAATCTGCTCGCCTCGGCCTCCAAAAGTGCTGGGATTACAGGCAAGAGTTCATTTTCTAACAAATGTTCATATTTTGTTGTTACTTTCTTAGCCTACCAATTAAAAGAAATAGGCACCTCTCACCAAATTACTTGATTTTGAGTCCCTAGATAAAAAGAGATTTGCATTTAAAATGCAAAATAATGATAAAACACAATATAAATATTACTTCAATTTTTTGTTAAAATTTTAAATAAATATTTATAAAATAAGACTATAATCACATATACTAAAGTATTAATATCGTCTTTTCCTGAGTGAGGTTAGAAATGATTTTCACTTCTTACTTTTGTCTGTATTTTCACATGGACTTATTACCTTTGCAATAAGAAACTATATACCATATACTCATATATGTTTATGTGTGTGAACATAGAGGAAATCCATTCTAGCATTTCTTTTCTTTTTTTCTTTTTCTTTTTTTTTTTTTTTTGAGATGGACTCTCACTCTGTCGCCCAGGCTGGAATGCGGTGGTGCCATCTCAGCTCACTGCAACCTCTGCCTCAAGTGATTCTCCTGCCTCAGCCTCCCGAGTAGCTGAGATTACAGGCATGCACCACCACGTCCAGCTAATTTTTTTTTTTTTTTTGGTATTTTTAGTTGAGACAGGGTTTCACCGTGTTGGCCAGGCTGGTCTCAAACTCTTGACCTCAGGTGATCTGCCCACCTCGGCCTCCCAAGTGCTGGGATTACAGGTGTGAGCTACCATGCCCGGCCCATTCCAGCATTTCATGCTTAGTTTCCTCTTTTGCAAAACTACAATGAACTCACTGTTGGTGTAAATTCAAAACAAAACAAAAAACACCACAGTATACATAAAATGATGTTTCAAAAATCTTTCGGCCGGGCAGGGTGGTTCACGCCTGTAATCCCAGCACTTTGGGAGGCAGAGACAGGTGGATTACTTGAGGTCAGGAGTTCAAGACCAGCCAGACCAACATGATGAAACCCTGTCTCTACTAAAAATACAAAAAAAAAAAAAAAAAAAATCATCTGGGCATGGTGGCACACGCCTGTAATCCCAGCTACTTGGGAGGCTGAGGCAGCAGAATCGCTTGAACCTGGGAGGCAGAGGTTGCAATGAGCCAAGATCATGCCATTGCACTCTAGCCTGGTCATCAAGAGTGAAACTCCACCTCAAAAAAAAAAAAAAACAAACAAAAAAAACAACCTTCAGAATGTTGCTGTATCTTAGACAACAGCAAAAGAAATTCTTTTCAAAAATGTAAACCACTTCAGCATTTTTAACAGGGTGAAATAAATTTTTAGTGTCTCTCCATCCACTGAAAATAAATGAGCTACTCCAGAAAACATAAAGATTAGATTAAAGAGGTGGATTTTCTTTCTTTTTATAGAGCCTTGGACACTCTCTATGTTGCCCAGGCTGGACTCAAACTCCAGGGCTTAAGCAATCCTCCAGCTCTGGGACTACAGGCATGTGCCACTGCACCTGGAAAAAGGGTGGCTTTTATTTTTATTTGTATTTAACTTTTATTTTATGTTTAGAGGTACCTGTGTGGGTTTGTTATATAGGTAAATTGTGTGTGATGGGGGTTTGGTGTGGTTTTTGAAGGGTGGTGCACAGACCCATGAGGGTCCCTGAGACCTTGCAGGAGGTCCTTCACGTTAAACTATTTTCACAGTAATTCAGAGATGTCATTTGCCTTCTTCACTGTGTTGACATTTGCACTGATGATATGAAAGCAGTAGTGAGAAGGCTGGTAAGATGATCAAATAGGAACAGCTCCAGTATGCAGCTCCCAGTGAGATCAACGCAGAAGGCAGGTGATTTCTGCATTTCCAACTGAGGTACCCAGCTCATCTCACTGGGACTGGTTAGACAATGGGTGCAGCCTACAAAGGGTGAGCCGAAGCAGGGTGGGGCGTCACCTCACCATGGAAGCGCAAGTGGTCAGGAACTCCCTCCCCTAGCCAAGGGAAGCTGTGAGGGACTGTGCCATGAGGAATGGTGCATTCCAGCCCAGATACTTCGCTTTTCCCATTGTCTTCACAACCCCCAGACCAGGAGATTCCCTCGGGTGCCTATATCACCAGGGCCCTGGGTCTCAAGCACAAAACTGGGTGGCTGTTTGGGCAGACAGCGAGCTAGCTGCCGGAGTTTTTTTTCATACCCCAGTGGCGCTTGGAATTCCAGCGAGACAGAACCGTTCACTCCCCTGAAAAGGGGGCTGAAGCCAGGGAGCCAAGTGGTCTAGCTCAGCAGATCCCACTCTCATGGAGCCCAGCAAGCTAAGATCCACTGGCTTGAAATTCTCGCTGCCAGCACAGCAGTCTGAAGTCGACCTGGGACACTGGAGCTTGGTAGGGGGAGGGGCATCTGCCATTACTGAGGGTTGAGTAGGCAATTTCCCCTCACAGTGTAAACAAAGCCACCAGGAAGTTCGAATTCGGCAGAGCTCACCGCAGCTCGGCAAAGCCTCTGTAGCCAGACTGCCTCTCTAGATTCCTCCTCTCTGGGCAGGAAATCTTTGAAAGAAAGGCAGTAGCCCCAGTCAGGGGCTTTTAGATGAAACTCCCATCTCCCTGGGACAGAGCACCTGGGGAAAGGGGCGACTGTGGGCACAGCTTCAGCAGACTTAAACGTCCCTGCCTGCCAGCTCTGAACAGAGCAGTGAATCTCCCAGCACAGTGCTTGAGCTGTGCTAAGGGACAGACTGCCTCCTCAAGTGGGTCCCTGACCCTCGTGCCTCCTGACTGGGAGACACATCCCAGCAGGGATCAACAGACACCTCATACAAGAGAGCTCCAATTGACATCTGGCGGGTGCCCCTCTGGGCCAAAGCTTCCAGAGGAAGGAACAGGCAGCATTCTTTGCTGTTCTGTAGCCTCCGCTGGTGATACCCAGGCAAACAGGGTCTGGAGTGGACCTCCAGCAAACTTCAGCAGACCTGCAGCAGAGGGGCCTGATTGTTAGAAGGAAAACTAATGAACAGAAAGGAATAGCATCAATATCAACAAAAAGGACGTCCACACAAAAAACCCCATCCGAAGGTTACCAACATAAAATACCAAAGGTAGATAAATCCACGAAGATGAGGAAAAACTAATGCAAAAAGACTGAAAATTCCAAAACCCAGAATGCCTCTTCTCCTCCAAAGGATTACAACTCCTCGCCAGCAAGAGATCAAAACTGGACAGAGAATGAGTCTGACGAATTGACAGAAGTAGGCTTCAGAAGGTGAGTAATAACAAACTCCTCTAAACTAAAGGAGCATGTTCTAACCCAATGCAAGGAAGCTAAGAACCTTGAAAAAAGGTTAGAGGAATTGCTAACCAGAACAACCAGTCTAGAGAAGAACATAAATGACCTGATGGAGCTGAGAAACACAGCACGAGAACTTCATGAAGCATACACAAGCATCAATATCTGAATCAATCAAGGGGAAGAAAGGATATCAGAGATTGAAGATCAACTTAATGAAATAAAGCATGAAGACAAGATTAGAGAAAAAGAATGAAAAGGAACAATCAAAGCCTCCAAGAAATATGGGACTATGTGAAAAGACCAAACCTATGTTTGATTGGTGTACCTGAAAGTGATGGGGAGAATGGATCCAAGTTGGAGAACACTCTTCAGGATATTATCCAGGAGAACTTCCCCAACACAGCAAGGCAGGGCAACATTCAAATTCAGGAAATACAGAGAAAACCACAAAGATACTCCCCAAGAAGAGCAACTCCAAGACATATAATCATCAGATTCACCAAGGTTGAAATGAAGGAAAAATGTTAAGGGCAACCAGAGAGAAAGGTTGGGTTACCCACGAAGAGAAGCCCATCAGACTAACAGCATATCTCTCTGCAGAAACCCTACAAGCCAGAGGAGAGTAGGGGCCAATATTCAACATTCTTAAAGAAAAGAATTTTCAACCCAGAATTTCATATCTCGCCAAACTGAGCTTCATAAGCGAAGGAGAAATAAAATCCTTTACAGACAAGCAAATGCTGAGAGATTTTGCCACCACCAGGCCTGCCTTACAAGAGCTCCTGAAGGAAGCACTAAATATGGAAGGGAAAAACTGGTACCAGCCACTGCAAAAACATACCAAATTGTAAAGACCGTCGACACTATGAAGAAAATGCATCAACTAACAGGCAAAATAACCAGCTAGAATCACAATGGTAGGATCAGATTCACACATAACAATATTAACCTTAAATGTAAATGGGCTAAATGCCCCAATTAAAATACACATAGTGGCAAATTGGAGAAAGAGTCAAGACCCATTGGTGTGTATTCAGGAGACACATGTCACGTACAAAGACACGCATGGGCTCAAAATAAAGGGATGGAGGAAGATTTATCAAACAAATGGAAAGCAAAAAAAAGCAGGGGTTACAATCCTGGTCTCTGATAAAACAGACTTTAAACCAACAAAGATCAAAAAAGACAAAGAAGGGCATTACATAATGGTAAAGGGATCAACACAACAAGAAAAGCTAACTATCCTAAATATATATGCACCCAATACAGCAGAACCCAGATTCATAAAGCAAGTCCTTAGATACCTACAAAGAAACTTAGACTCCCACACAATAATAGTGGGAGACTTTCACACTCCACTGTCAATATTAGACAGATCAATGAGACAGAAAATATACAAGGATATTCAGGACTTGAACTCAGCTCTGGACCAAGCAGAACTAATAGACATCTACAGAACTCTGCACCCCAAATCGACAGAATATACATTCTTCTCAGCACCAAGTCGCACTTATTCTAAAATTGACCACATAATTGGAAGTAAAACACTCCTCAGCAAACGCAAAAGAATGGAAATCATAACAAACAGTCTCTCATACCATAGTGCAATCAAATTAGAACTGAGGATTAAGAAACTCACTCAAAACCACACAACTACATGGAAACTGAACAACATGCTACTGGGTAAATAACGAAATGAAGGCAGAAATAAAGAAGTTCTTTGAAACCAATGAGAACAAAGACACAACGTAGTAGAATCTCTGAGACACAGCTAAAGCAGTGTTTAGAGAGAAATTTATAGAACTAAATGCCCACAGGAGAAAGTGGGAAAGATCTAACATCGACACCCTAACATCACAATTAAAAGAACTAGAGAAGCAGGAGCAAACAAATTCCAAAGCTAGCAGGGGACAAGAAATAACTAAGATTAGAGCAGAACTGAAGGAGATAGAGACACAAAAAACCCTTCAAAAAATCAGTGAATCCAGGAGCTGGTTTTTTGAAAAGATTAACAAAATAGATGACCACTAGCCAGAATAATAAAGAAGAAAAGAGGGAAGAATCAAACAGACACAATAAAAAATGATAAACAGGATATCACCACTGATCCCACAGAAATACAAAGTACCACCAGTGAATACTATAAACACCTCTATGCAAATAAACTAGAAAATCTAGAAGAAATGGATACATTCCTGGACACATACACCCTCCCAAGACTAAACCAGGAAGAAGTCGAATACCTGAATCAACTAATAACAAGTTCTGAAATTGAGATAGTAATTAATAGCCTACCAACCAAAAAATGTCCAGGACCAGATGGATTCACAGCCAAATTCTACCAGAAGTACAAAGAGGAGCTGGTACCATTCCTTTTGAAACTATTCCAAACAATAGAAAAAGAGGGAATCCTCCCTAACTCATTTTATGAGGCCAGCATCATCCTAATACACAAGCCTGGCAGAGACACAACAAAAAAAGAAAATTTTAGGCCAATATCCCTGATGAACATTGACGCGAAAATCCTCAAGAAAATACTGGCAAACCGAATCCAGCAGCACATCAAAAAGCTTATCCACCACGATCAAGCTGGCTTCATCCCTGTGATGCAAGGCTGGTTCAACATACATAAATCAATAAACATAATCCATCGCATAAACAGAACCAAAGACAAAAATCACATGATTATCTCAATAGTTGCAGAAAAGGACTTCAACAAAACTCAACATCCCTTCATGCTAAAAACTCTCAATAAACTAGGTATTGATGGAACGTATCTCAAAATAATAAGAGCTGTTCATGACAAACCCACAGCCAATATCATACTGAATGGGCAAAAGCTGGAAGCATTCCCTTTGAAAACCTGCACAAGACAAGAATGCCCTCTCTCACTACTCCTATTCAACATGGTATTGGAAGTTTTGGCCAGGGCAATCAGGCAAGGGAAAGAAATAAAGCAAATTCAAATAGAAAGAGAGCAAGTCAAATTGTCTCTGTTTGCAGATGACAAGATTGTATATTTAGAAAACCCCATCATCTTAGCCCAAAATCTCCTTAAGCTGATAAGCAACTTCAGCAAAGTCTCAGGATACAAAATCAATGTGCAAAAATCACAAGCATTCCTATACACCAATAACAGACAGAGAGCCAAATCATGAGTGAACTCCCATTCACAATTGCTACAAAGAGAATACAATACCTAGGAATCCAACTTACAAGGGATGTGAAGGACCTCTTCAAGAACTACAAACCACTGCTCAAGGAATAAGAGAGGACAAAAACAAATGGAAAAACATTCCATGCTCATGGATAGGAAGAATCAATATTGTGAAAATAGCCATACTGCCTAAAGTAATTTATAGATTCAATGCTATCCCCATCAAGCTACCATTGACTTTCTTCACAGATTTAGAAAAAACTACTTTAAATTTCATATGGAATCAAAAAGGAGCCCATTTAGCAAAGACAATCCTAAGCAAAAGAACAAAGCTGGAGGCATCATGCCACCTGACTTCAAACTATACTACAAAGCTACAGTAACCAAAACAGCATGGTACTGGTATCAAAACAGATATATAGACCAATGGAACAGAACAGAGGCCTCAGAAATAATGCCACACATCTACAACCATCTGATCTTTGACAAATCTGACAAAAACAAGCAATGGGGAAAGGATTCCCTACTTAATAAATGGTGTTGGGAAAACTGACTAGCCATATGCAAAAAACTGAACTGGACCCCTTCCTTACACCTTATATAAAAATTAACTCAAGATGGATTAAAGACATAAACATAAGACCTAAAACCATAAAAACCCTAGAAGAAAATCTAGGCAATACAATTCAGAACATAGGCATGGGCAAAGACTTCATGATTAAAACACCAAAAGCCATGGCAATAAAAGTCAAAATTGACAAATGGGATCTAATTAAACTAAAGAGCTTCTGCACAGCAAAAGAAACTATTATCAGAGTGAACAGGCAACCTACAGAATGGGAGAAAATTTCTGCAATCTATCCATCTGACAAAGGGCTAATATCCAGAATCTACAAAGAACTTAAACAAATTTCCAAAAAAAAAAAAAACATCAAAAAGTCGGCAAAGGATATGAACAGACACTTCTCAAAAGAAGACATTTATACGGCCAAGAAACATATGAAAAAAAGCTCATCATCACTGGTCATCAGAGAAATGCAAATCAAAACCACAATGAGATACCATCTCATGCCAGTTAGAATGGCAATCATTAAAAAGTAGGAAACAACAGATGCTGGAGAGGATGTGGAGAAACAGAAATGCTTTTACACTGTTGGTGGGAGTGTAAATTAGTTCAGTCATTGTGGAAGACAGTGTGGCCATTCCTCAAGGATCTAGAACCAGAAATACCACTTGACTCAGCAATCCCGTTACTGCGTATATACCCAAAGGATTATAAATCATTCCACTATAAAGACACATGCACATGTATGTTTACTGTGGCACTGTTCAAAATAGCAAACACTTGGAACCAACCCAAATGTCCATCAATGATAGACTGGATAAAGAAAATATGGCACATATACACCATGGAATACTATGCAGTCATAAAAAAGGATGAGTTCATGCCCTTTGCAAGGACCTGGATGAAGCTCAAACCATCATACTCAGCAAACTAACACAAGAACAGAAAACCAAACAGTGCATGTTCTCACTCGTAAGTGGGAGTTGAACAATGAGAACACATGGACACAGGGAGGGGAACATCACACACCAGGGCCTGTCGGGGGGGTGGGAGGCTAGGGGGAGGGATAGCATCAGGAGAAATACCTAACGTAGATGACGGGTTGATGGGTGCAGCAAACAACCATGGCACATATATACCTACGTAACAAACCTGTACGTTCTGCAAACGTATCTTAGAACTTAAAGTATAATAATAATAAAAAATAGAAAAAAACAATACTTCTCAATACTTTAAGATTTGTCTGATGAGAATGGTAATGATATTAACAAATGTGATTTTTTTTGATATTGTATCATGAAATCTGGAAGGTCTGCATAGCTCACTGAATCAATATTTTACAAAGGACAAAGCATCATATTACAAAATCACACATTGGTTAAAAAAATCCATTCAAAATGAAAAGAGATCAATGGCTTTTCATTTTAACAACATGAAACATTCACTGATGTTTCAGATTCCTCATTGAAACTACTTTCACCTGTTATCTAGTTTTACCTGTTATCTACTATCACCTGTTATCTAGTTTGAAGGTAATATCAAAGAAGAATGTCCACAGTCATTGAAAAAAGCTATTATATGCTTCTTCCTTTCCAACTATATGTTTACATGAGGTTTGACTTTCTTCATGGAATTCAATTTTTGAAAAAGGCAAAAGATTAAATGCAGGAGCAGATAGAGAATCCAGTTGTCTTCCATTAAACCAGATGCTTAAAGAGATTTCCGAATATGTAAAACAGTGCCACTCCATTTTAGAGCAGAAGGCCTGTTAATTTTTGTTTTGTTTCAGAAAATACAGTTATTTTTCATAAAAACATATTACAGTAATATGCAGTGGGTTTATTATTATAGTTATTAAATAAATCAGTAGATAATTATTTTAAAATGTTTCTGTTTTACTTTCTAGTATGATGATTATGGGTATATATAACCATAATCATAAACTAAAGCTCTTGGGGCTCTTAATTTTCAAGAGTCTAAGGGAGTCCTGAGATCTAAAAGTTTGAGGACCACTAGATTAAAATAACTAGAGATTAGTAAGTGTTAATGAGAGCGAGAAAAAATTAACATTTGTTTTGAATGTCTGTTTTGTTATGAGTTCATTTGGTTCTCACAATTACTCTAGGAGGTCAATATTATTATTCCCGTTTATAGGTAATGAGACTGAGCTCAAAGAGAGTAATGGTTTATCCAAAGTTATGATTGTAACCCAGGTCTGAAAAATCCTACGCTCTTTCCTTTTACCTCTAATTGCCTTCCTACTAAGAACATTTTATTCTACAATTATAAGGTTTGGTTTGATCAGAGGATTGACTTTTTATCTTGACATGTATATGTATGTATGTGTGTACAAGGGTATACTATCTGGACAGAGAAACTAAGAGAGTTAGGGCTATAATGGAAATGGGAAACATATAATCTTGCCACAAAAAAGAACTTGCTATTTACCACCTTAATGGTAAATTTTGCCCATAATAATAATCTTCAGAAAATAGGACATATTGAACCTTTTAAGAGATCAAATAGATGATTCTCCTTCAGGTCTCCAATTTTTGCACCCCCTGCAGTGCTCTGGTCTCCCCCTAATCACACCCTGTTTTTGTTAATAGTACCTCTTATTTATTGAGAACATATCATGGTCAGGCCCAATGCCAAATGCTTTTAATCGTTAACTCATTCAATTCTTTTTTTTTTTTTGTTAGATGTAGTCTCGCTCTGTCACCCAGGCTAGAGTACTGTGGCTCAGTCTTGGCTCACTGCAACCTCCGCCTCCCTGGTTTAAGTGATTCTCCTGCCTCAGCCTCCTGAGTAGCTGGGATTACAGGCATGTGCCCCCATGCCTGGCTAATTTTTTTGTATTTTTAGTAGAGACAGGGTTTTACCACATTGGCCAGGCTGGTCTCAAACTCCTGAACTCATGATTCACCCACCTAAGCCTCCCAAAACGCTGGGATTGCAGGCGTGAGCCATCACACCTGGCCAACTCATCAATTCTTAGCTAGAGGCATCACGCTACCGGACTTCAAACTATACTACAAGGCTACAGTAACCAAAACAGCATGGTACTGGTACCAAAACAGAGATATAGACCAATGGAACAGAACAGAGCCCTCAGAAATGATGCCACATATCTACAACTATCTGATCTTTGACAAACCTGACAAAAATAAGAAATGGGGAAAGGATTCCCTATTTAATAAATGGTGCTGGGAAAACTGGCTAGCCATATGTAAAAAGCTGAAACTGGATCCCTTCCTTACACCTTATACAAAAATTAATTCAAGATGGATTAAAGACTTACATGTTAGACCTAAAACCATAAAAACTCTAGAAGAAAACCTAGGCAATACCATTCAGGACATAGGCATGGGCAAGGACTTCATGACTAAAACACCAAAAGCAATGGCAACAAAAGCCAAAATTGACAAATGGGATCTAATTAAACTAAAGAACTTCTGCACAGCAAAAGAAACCACCATCGGAATGAACAGGCAACCTACAGAATGGGAGAAAATTTTCGCAACCTACTCATCTGACAAAGGGCTAATATCCAGAATCTACAATGAACTCAAACAAATTTACAAGAAAAAAACAAACAACCCCATCAAAAAGTGGGCGAAGGATATGAACAGACACTTGTCAAAAGAAGACATTTATGCAGCCAAAAGACACATGAAAAAATGGTCATCATCACTGGCCATCAGAGAAATGCAAATCAAAACCACAATGAGATACCATCTCACACCAGTTAGAATGGCGATCATTAAAAAGTCAGGAAACAACAGGTGCTGGAGAGGATGTGGAGAAATAGGAACACTTTTACACTGTTGGTGGGACTGTAAACTAGTTCAACCATTGTGGAAGTCAGTGTGGCGATGCCTCAGGGATCTAGAACTAGAAATACCATTTGACCCAGCCATCCCATTACTGGGTATATACCCAAAGGATTCTAAATCATGCTGCTATAAAGACACATGCACACATATGTTTATTGCGGCACTATTCACAATAGCAAAGACTTGGAACCACCCCAAATGTCCAACAATGATAGACTTGATTAAGAAAATGTGGCACATATACACCATGGAATACTATGCAGCCATAAAAAATAATGAGTTCATGTCCTTTGTAGGAACATGAATGAAGCTGGAAACCATCATTCTCAGCAAACTATCACAAGGACAGAAAACCAAACACTGCATGTTCTCACTCATGGATGGGAATTGAACAATGAGAACACATGGACACAGGAAGGGGAACATCACACTTCAGGGACTGTTGTGGGTTGGGGGGAGGGGGGAGGGTTAGCATTAGGAGATATACCTAATGCTAAATGACGAGTTAATGGGTGCAGCACACCAACATGGCACATGTATATATATGTAACAAACCTGCACGTTGTGCACATGTACCCTAAAACTTAAAGTATAATTAAAAAAAAAACACTCTTTGTGATTGGCATTGTTAGTCTAGACTTACAGCGAAAACACCGAAGGCTTGAGAGATGAAATGATTCACCTAAGCTCACATTATGAGTGAATATATGAATCAAGACTGAATCCAGGGCTGACTCCAAAGCCCTTGTGGTTAATCACCATGCGATACTATGTACCTGCTTCCCCAAAGGATTTCAGCTACTTGAGAACTGGGACCAGGTCTTTTTCTTCCAAATATACTCATGCCTGGCACATTGCTTGGTACATAGTTGGAACTCAGTAAATTTTTGTTGAACAAATGAATGAATAAATAAATGCATGAATAAAGTACAGTCAAGAGGTAAATAAAGAGCCAAACTGCTTTCATTTACTTGAAGCCCGATTAAGGACAGGGTCTCATTGTTAGTTCAAGATGCTGGGATACTAGTTTAGCTGAGCCATGCAACCTTGTTAATTTTAGTTATTTTCTCTGGTAACATTCCACACTCATTGGTTCCCATGGTTATTATTGTACTACATGTTGCTACATCGTACCTGATCTGTGACATGAGGAATGATTTTAAATATACCCTCTGGGGCAGAGGTGGCACTTTGGAGTTCTAGTTGGAATTGCCCTACTAATCTCTCTATGGAAGCTTATTGTAGGGGAAACACACAATATACCAAAGAACTAAATACAAATTTTATTCAGGTATAATATTCTCTGATTTTAAAAATGGGGCCAAAAGCATTAGCAATACTTTTATGTTAGATAGTTAAGAGGTTGTTAGCACCAAGCTTATTTCCCTTCACAAGTGAATCAAGCAATTAATAACAATAATCATACCTTACTTTTTATTATACAGAATTTTTGAGGGTATAAGTCTTTATAACTCTTTATAGAAATCTATGTATTCAGTGTCACAGGAACTACTCGCAGATGCCACCTTGTATCCATCTTTCTTTCTTCCCTAATAACAGAATGCTGATTTTGGAGGGGCAGCTAGCAATGTGCTTCCTTTGTAGTTAACTGTGGTCATGTAACTAAGTGCCAGCCAATGAGATGCAAGTCTAAGGTGATGAGTATTTCTGTCAAAACCTCTTAAGTTGGGGCAATAAAATTTAACAACCATTTATAATTTTTTTAAAAAAACTTACCAAGCAAGGAATAGAAGATCATTTCTTTGATCTGATGGAAGGAAATGAAAAACCACTAGCTAACAACATACTTAATGGTAAAACACTGATCCTTTCTCCCTAAGATCATGAACATGACTAGATTGTCCTCACCTACTACATCAACTTAAAAGGGTACTGGAGACCCAAGTCGGTGCAATAAGGTAAGAAATAAGAAAGAAGAAGCATAGATATTGGAGGAAAAAGAAGTTGTTATTCATAGATGATGTGATCATATACACAGAAAATTCTAAGGAATCTATAAAAATCACACTAGAACTAATGAGAAAATTTATGAAGTTTGCAGGATACAAAGTGAATACGCAAAATCAATTGCAATTCTACATGTTATCCACAAAGAATTCGAAAATAAAAATGTTAAACGTCCCTAGAAATAAATAAAACAAAACATGTGCAAGATATCTACCCTGAAAATGACAAAACATTGCTCTGAGAAATTAAACAAGATATGAATAAATGAAGATATATGTCATGTAAAATGATTGGAAAATTCAATATGTGTAAGATGTTCAATATCCCCACAAATTGATCTATGGTTTCAATGTTGTCTCAATAAAAATCTCAGCATATTTTTTGAAGAAATTGACAAGTTGATTCTAAAATTTATATGGAAATGCAAAGGATCTAGGATAAACAAAATGAAAGAACAAAGTTGGAGGATTTATGCTCCTGATTTCAAGACTTTTTATAAAGCTCTGTAAGGGGGGTAGTGAGGCATTAGTGGTTACATGGGTATATGCAATGGATCAATGAAACAGAATAGTGTCCAGAATTAGACTCACACATATATGGTCAATTGCTTGTCAACAAAGACATTAAGATAACTCAATGTGGAAAAGAAATTCTTGTGTAACAAATAGTGCTTGAACAACTAGATATCTCTGTGGAAACAAAAGATGAACCTAGACCTTCCTTCTCATTCCAAATACAAAAACTAATCTGAGATCAGAAGCCTAAATGTAAGCATGTTAAGCATAAAGCTTCTAGAAGAAAATATAGGAAGAGTCTTTGTGATCTTTACAGTAAGCAAAAATTTCTTAGGACATACAACACACCAACCATAAAATTAAAAATTAATAAGCTGGACTTCATCAAAATTACAAACTTTTGCTTGACCAAAGGTATCGCCAGAAAAATTAAAACACAAGCTATAAACTGGGAGAGAATATTTTTGACTAAAATATCTATTTTTTGGCAAAATATATTTGACAAAAAACTTGTATCCAGCATATATAAAGTACTCTTACCACACAATATTGGAAAGACAGTCTAATCTTAAAAAAATGGGCAAAAGATTTGAAAAGAAACCACAAAATAAGAAATAAGAATGGCAAATAAACACAGGAAAAGGAGCTCAACATCATTCATTATTAAGGAGATGCAAATTAAAGCTACAATGAGATGCTACCCCACACCTATTAGAATGGCTAAAATTTTAAAAACTGACAACATCAAGTGTCAGTAAGGATATACAATATCTGGAACCCTGTCACACTACTGAAGGAAATGCAAAATGGTATGTTCACTTTGGAAAACAATTTGGTAGTTTCTTTAAAAAGTAGAAGTACCATACAGTTCAGCAACTCCAGTTTAGGTGTCTATCAAAGAGAAGTAAAAGTATACATCTATACAAAGACTTCTACGCAAGTGCTCATAGCAGCCTTTTCATAATAGCTCCCCAAAATAGAAACAACCCAAATGTCCACCAATAAAAGAGTAAATAAAATGTAGTTAATATATACAATGGATTATTAATTAAAACAAAAAGCAGCAAACTCCTGATACATACAAAATAATAGGTAAATCTTCAAAACATTATGTTGAACCAAAGAAGCCAAACACATAGGGCATATACTACATTATATATTTATATAAAATTCAGGAATAGGCAAAACCAATATAAATTATAGAAACAGAAAGTGGTTGCCTCTGAAGTGGTAGAACTGACTGTAACGTGAAATTTCTGAGGTGATGGAAATATTCTACATCATGTTTTGGATATTGATTGCAATGGTATATTTAACCATCAAAACACATGAAACTGAACATTTTTGATCTGTGCATTTTAGGCATGTCAACTATACATTAAAAGGAGTTGCGAGGGAGTGGGCAGACAGTGCCCTTATTGCCCCTATTTTCCTCCTTTCCTTCTGACTGAAATGAAGAAGTAATGATTAGTGCCCCAGCAACATTCTTGGACTGTGAACATAAAATCCAAGTGTCAATAATGGTGAAGCAGAGAGGGGGAAAAAGGCCTAGATTCCTCATGTTTATGGATCTGCCATACTACCCCTGAATGGCCTTTCTCTGTATTTCATGTAGAAGAGAAAAGAAAATATTGACTGGGCGCGGTGGCTCACGCATGTAATCCCAGCACTTTGGGAGGCCAAGGCGGGTGGATCGCTTGAGGTCAGGAGTTTGAGACCAGCCTGGCCAACATAGCGAAACCCAGTCACTACTAAAAATACAAAAATTAGCCAGGCATGGTGGCAGGTGCCTGTAATCTCAGCTACTCGGGAGGCTGACACAGGAGAATTGCTTGAATCCAGGAGGCAGAGGTTACAGTGAGCCGAGATCATGCCACAGCACTCTGGCCTGGGTGACAGAGTGAAACTCCATTTCAAAACAAAACAAAACAAAACACAAAAAACAAAAATACTCTCTTTTTAAGCCACTGTCTCAGATACTTGCAACCAAACAAAATTTCTAAGTGTTACAATCATTGATAAATTTCCTTTATGGTTAAATTATTTTTTATTATGTTAGATTGTAGTTGGGAAGTACACTGAGATGTTTTTTAAATGGTATAATAAAAGCTGTTTATCTTTTATAGAGATTGATGCCTTTGGTGTATAAAAGTATTATAAATTAATAAATATTTGGAACATTATTTCATATATACTAGATATATAGCAGTAATGGGCTTGCTTTTGGGACAAATCAAATCTTGGTACAGATCATGGATTAGTCATGTGGCCCTGGGCAAATAGCTAATCTCTCAGAGCCTCTTACTTCCTCTGAGTATAGGGCTGATGTTATTAAGCTAGCTTTAACCTGCTGTTTAACCTGCTGTTATTATGAAGGCTGAATGAGGTCATGTATGTAAAACCTTCCACACGAGATCTGGCACAGAGCATATGGTAGCTCATTTTCAATAGGAGAATATTTGATTCTGAACATGTCATTCACTGCACAGGTAAGCCGTCACAAAGCAATCTGTCCTCCACCATCACCTGCATAATGTGTGGTTTTAATAGCTTATTATAGCATATGAGAATGGAGTCATTGCCTATGGAGTGATTTACTACTGAATTTAACAGCAGTGAAGGCTGCATTGGCCTTCTCCAAGCAATAAGAGAAACCAATATTTCCCAAAGTATGTCAGAGAAAGTTGCAAAAATTATTATTTTGCCAGAAGTCATTGTCATGGAGAAAGACTCTGGGAAAGTGAAGGTTATTCTCAAATAACCTCAGAAAGTGGTGGCCACTGAGGCTAGAAAGTGTCTGAGAGGCTGGGGCTGGGCACCATCCAGTGGAGCCTATGGTGAAAGTCTTGGTTCCCTCGCCTGCATAACACGCATTCTGGTTTGCCACATCCTGCCCTATACTGGGAGGCAAATGCAGAGGCCTCAAGGACCCACGGCTAGAACCATGTAGTTCAGATGACCTCACCTCCACTCTAAGCAACCTAGGCCTCTGAGAGAACTGCTGAGATCCAACCAGACAAGGCAGAAATGCCAGGGAGTTAGCAAGCTCCTGGCAAGTGCAGCTCAGAGCGGGAGTATCTCCACAGAAAATCAGCGCACAAAGATGCCAAGAGAATCATTTACTTACCTGCAAGGGTTGGCAATTTCTTCTGGTGTTGTTTTCACAAAAGGGGATACAGGTTTTTCCACAAAAGATCCGAAGCCCAGTCTAAAGTTGCTGGTTAATTTAGACATCTCTTTGGAAAGCCGGGAGCCCAGCTCCTTTATTGTGTTGAGGTCGTCATCCATGGAGGCGGAGAGGTCCATGAGGTAATACAAATCCACCGGGTAGTCCTCAGTCTGGCGGACATGCACCTGCAGAGTCTGCGCACCACCTGCAAAGCCCAACAGGAAAAGCAAACCCAGGAAAACACACTGAGATTTATTTGCTACTGGCCACTCGCTGGGTCAGCTGGCTATTTCACCTCAATAAGAACTTACTGAAATACATATGATTTTATTAACTGTGTGGTCAAGATCCTAAAAGAACCAACCCATGAAATTCTTTCAGCAGTGAGTTTAGAACTATTGGAGGATAAGTTAGGATATTTTATCTCTCCTTGGGAGAACTAGCATCCATTTAGATAGAAGATAAGCTGAATTTTTTGTGTGTTGTTTTAGAAAAGGAGAACCAAATAAAAGAGAGTTTAAATCTACATTACAACCCTTGAAGAAATGTGAGGTAAGCCTTAACAACATTTGAATAATTTAAATGGTTACTATTAGAGAAGGCTTTTTTAGTAACACAATTGGAGTGCCGGGGCCAATGTGAATAGAGAAATGTGTGAGCCTAATAATTTTCTATTTCCTTAAGAATGGGAAATTCGAGTCATAATAATCAATGATATGTAATATGATACAAGACACATTAGCAAGGTAGCAGAATTACCATATATGACATTAGATCTATTTACATGAGCCAAATCCTAACATACCTGGTCTCAACTTAAGGATCAAGCTTTGAGGCGCAATCTGAACAATGTCAGAACTATTTTTCTGTCTGCCTACACTGAGAGGCTTATTTTTAAGTATTTCTACTTGGGAGACAGGGTTTTCGATGAAGTTTAATTGACATCCTTTAGCTAAAAGGTTTGCTGGGGTATCACACCTTTCGCCAACTCCAGATGGATGAGTAAAATTCTAAAAAAGAAAAAGAAAAACAATAACCAGAAAAAGAAAACAAATCTGAATTTCTTTATAAGATACCAGCAATTGAAAGTTTTTCTGCACAATTTGCTAGTTAAGCATCTTGCCATATTGTATCCCTACATGACTAACATTGATTATAGGTCTAAAGTTAAGTTATAGGTGAATAACCAGAGAATTCTGCCGGTAAAATTCTGAGTAAAACTGGAGTCTCCTTTCAGTTATGTTCAATTGAATTCACGTAACAATTGCATGTGTGTGTGTGTGTCTGTGTGTGTGTGTCTGTGTCTTAAGCTCAGTTCTTTAAAGCTTTGTCCCAGGCCATGACCAGATCCTTGAAACTGTTGGGTTCACAGAGTTGACATCATCCCATGAATTTATCTGCTCAGGGTGACCTGTAGGTTTGATTCCATGATCAAATCTTTATCACTAGATTTGGGAATTGACACACTGTCCAAGGGCTCCAGGGTGTCAATCCCCAAATCTAGTGATAAAGAGAGATTCTGCAGATTCCTAAAGGGTAGGGATTGCAACATCTCCCCCATCTAGCACTCTCTGCCAGTTGTATGCATCGGTCTGTTACCCTTATATTGCAGCATTACTTCACCTAAATTGACCTCTTGTGGACTTAAACCCAGAGTCTTGAAGTATCCTAGTTCAAGATCCTTTATAACTTTCTCCAAGATTTGAAAGTGAGGAAGAAAAGTGAAAAAGATGGGTTAAAAGTCTGCTTTTTGCTGGTGCCTGTAGTCCCAGCTACTTGGGAGGCTGAGGCAGGAGAACGGTGTGAACCCGGGAGGCAGAGCTTGCAGTGAGCCCAGATCATGCCACTGCACTCTAGCCTGGGCGACAGAGCAAGACTCCGTCTCAAAAAAAAAAAGTCTGCTTTTCTGCGTGGGACACAGGAGTTTCCCACAAGGATAGCAGAGGGGCAGTGAGATGTAGTCTTTCCCAGCAGAGATGTGGCCGTTCAAATTCTGAAACACCCAAAACAGGGAGATGGAGCTAATAGATTAAATACCTGTCTTACCTGATAGGCGTGGCTGCTTTAGAGTGGGCATGACACTATGCAAAGGGGAACTTGTTGCCCATTGACTTTCATGCTTAGAGAAAACAAAACCAATGCTCATACTATTTTCCTTGCCTCTTAGAACTCCAAGCCACTCTTGCTGTTTTCATCAACTAGGAAAGTTAGATTTCTTCTGAAATTGATTTTGAGAATACAATTTGTTATCTATCAGTAGGCCTGTGCGTGTCTGAAGCTCTAGGCCAGGCATGGCAAACTGTAACTTCCCATGATGTAACCAAGGGAAACAGTGGCTGGCCAAGGCTTCAGAATCCTTCTCAACACAGTGTCATTGCTATCACCTCTATTCATAGCCTTTGCCAGAAGATCAGAGGTGGTGTTAACCACATGACCTATTTTCTATCTGCCCTAAGCAGAAGCCTAATTTACTTTTTGCTCCAACTGCCTCGACTGGCATCCTCATAACTACTTCTAATATTAGAGTGGCCTCTTAGAATAATTTGGTTTTACAATTTGACAACAATTTGGCTACCAAGTATTATACACAAGTAAAGTTATCAGCAGCAACTTAGGAAACTCTCTTAAGTAAATGCTGAAAAATGCATTTAAATGAAAATTCTAGGCTGATTTGTTGTTGTATCTCTCTGGCATGAAACTAATACTTCTTCAAGAAGTCAATATCCAAAAAACATGTGATTTTTTCCCTTCTTGTATATTCTCAATCCTGCTTTGATACAGGAACTAAAAAAAAGCATAATTCTCTTGAATTTTTTTTGTGGCCGCGTTGGTCAAGGCCGTAGTAAGGGACTGAGCTGTGTCTGTGCTCTCTTGTCTGTGAGGCCACACTTCATGGATACACACTGAACTCGGAGTTTGGGTTTCCACAGGTAGAACCCAGTTCTGAGTTTGGTGTCGAGGTTTGTTGCTCTTTGAGCATGCTACTCAGCTCTTGCTGCACTTGGTATTCGTATGATTTGATTTATGTTTAGATTATCTTTATGAGATCCAGTGCATAGAGACTTGTTTTAAAATTCAGAAAGCTAATGCCTCTCTTCCTTACCATGAATCAGTTAGACATCATTCTCTAGTGTCTTAGGATGGCTTGGTACATAGTCCCCAATCATCTTCATACTGCTTTCATGTAGTTTTCGGTTTGACCAGATAAGGAGTTCCTATTTGGCACTTTGTCACTGGTGTGGTACAGAGTCACTGAGTTTATGAAAATGCCATTTTTAAAGGAACTGGATAATATCTGACCAGTAATATTTGCCCCAAACTTAAAACACATCCCTTAGAATCTAGCAGTAGTTCAGAATGGATCCTGGTACCCAGAGGGAATACAACTATAATATGAACATCAAATGTATGTTTAACTTTAGAAAATATCATCTCCATGAACTCTGATTATCCAGACAGCCTCCATATTTTACATGTAACCTGTAGAAATGGCTTTACAATAAAAGAAGGAACCAGGTAAAATAAAAAAATCCCAAGTTAAAATTTTTTTCCGAATTATTTGACATCCACTCCTTCTACAAATTGTTTTTGAAAGTAATCACATGAATGCCATTTTGATCTACCAATGCTCACCTTCTCCTTTCCTGATTTGTTTTACTTATACAACTCCACAAAAAAGCAAGTCACTATCAGAAATATCACTGAGGAAATTAACATGAATTTAACTGCAGACAGGTTTTAAAAACACATTGAGGTCATTTATTTTACCTCCTGAGCACACCAGGCACACTGAGGTCCAATAAGCAGGCAGTCTTCACAGGTTTCTGCACCTCCCAGGGCACAGCCACCTAGGTTTAGACCCAGCAAGATGCAGGGATTAAGTACACTTTCAGTCATTCCATTTATGAGACTGATGGCTCTTACATTACTTGAACAAAACAACATCAAAGTTTAGTTTAGTATCCAAAATCAGTCCTCGAAATGTTAGCAATTCACATAAAAGTTTGTATTTTACATCTATCACATGTAAAATATGTGTATGTATATTAAAAATTATGTATGTCTTATAAGCCAAAATTATCATGCTCTTTTTTCTTAAAATGTGAAAGTTCACAAATATAGGATTATCCTATTTATTATTCTTAGCCAATGTGTGCCACTTTAATTTTTAAAAATTACTTGCAACCATTAAAAAATGCTTCTTTCTTAAACAAGTTATTTCTGTTTTTGAAATAAATCCTCTTTCTCTTTCAAGATTATTACTCCTAAGTGGAAGATCTTGTGGTAGAATAAAATAGAAAAGTTTCAAAAATGGTTATCATACTGGCACTAAGTTCCATTGGGCAGTAATGTTATTTAATTCTCCTCATTAAAATGCCTGTGCAACCTTTGTATTTATTTACCTTAAGCCTAGAGCATTCACTGTGGGAACTGCCCGGTGTTTGTCTGTAATTTGTTAAAGTGTTCACTCAGTCACAAAAGAGCAATGGAACAGATCAAATAAAACATGACTTCAGATCTAGTTTCTGAACCAAATGACAGGTTTGTCAAGCATACCACGAAAGTAATATATCAGAGAACGCAGGTCTTACCTTGTACGTGATCATTCCTTCCTAGAAATAGAAAGAACAGGCAAAGCAGTTCAATCCCCATTCGTTTCAGTTCTTGCTGTGCAGACCGATTAAAAAATGAATTACCTTCAGCGTTACAAGACCAACGCTGAATATCGTTAAAGTCTTTCTTTCTTGAAGTATAACATTTTAAATACTACTTACACTGCTTTGAAAAGAAACTTGAGATATAAGTTAGAAAGTTTTCATTAAGACTGAAATGAAAACAGAGGCTACCTGGACAGGTAAAGCAGAAAAGCTGTGTTTAAAAGCAACTTCAACATGATTTACTTCCTTGTTCTCCTTATAAGGAAGGCAGGTGTACAATCACCAAGAAGGTGGGGAAATTCATTCAGTAGAAATTTTGGTGTAAGTTCTATGAGTCTCTCTGCATCCTAGAGAAAGTTAATATCTTTAGTGAAATATTGATCAATGAAAAGTCACAACAGCAATAGAAATATAGTCATTTTAAAAATAATTTTAATTTAATGTAAAGAATAAAGATTAAATAAAGCATATAGGCTATATATGAGGAAAGTAAAAAATGAGCTTAATGAAAATGCCTGAGATTTTAGTGTTTCATTGCTAAATCCTTTGCAAAAAATTGAAACGAACCCTGAAAAAGAAAAATTATTATCTTACAGTAAATGAGAAGGAAGGCTAGGGAAAGCAAAGCACTGTTTCCTTATTTTTTCAAATTAGATGAAATATATTTTTCCATAAGTATAAAATTCTTATTTTAAAATTATATTGGAAATAATCATAATATATAAAAATCAAAGGAGATCAAAATAAGAATGTCTCAAAAGACACTGATGACAACAATGATGAAAACAGAAATGATGGTGCCCAAGATTCTGAATCCCTCAGGCTAGGGACCAAGTTCTCTATGCAATGTGCTGTTCCAACCTCTAGCTCATGATTTGGCACATAGGAGATATTTATTTGTTGAGTGAAAGAGTGACAATTCAAAATATATATGATCTATGGCTAAATCCATGAGGTTTTTTGTATTTTTCCCCCAGGGTGTTCTTCAGGAAGGTGTTTTGAGATTTGTAGAGTCTGTGAACAGATAAGAATCGAATTCTCACTTCGTCACTCTAGAAACTGCTGACCTTAGAGAGACTTTTCTGTGGCCAGGCTTATGTCTGAGGAGATTATCTTTTCAAGGAGCATTCCTGGGTAAGCATGTGAAACCTGTAAACAGAGGGAAACGGACTATGGTCAATAATAATTTAATTCTACATTTAAAAATAACTAAAAGACTATAAATGGGTTGTTTGTAACACAAAGGAGAAATGCTTGAGGGGATGGATACCCCACTTTCCATGAGGTGTTTATTACACATTGCATGCCTGTACCAAAACATCTCATGTATCCCATAAATATATACACCGACTATATACCCACAAAAATAAAAACTAAAATAAAATAATTAAAAAAAAAAAACCAAAGAAAGAGAGAAACTAATTATAGACTACCTAGGCTTTTCTCAGAAGCCTATGTTATGTTCAATTTTGAACTCCATCATATCCAAGAAGCTGGAAAAACATGGCAAGAATTTTGCGGTAACAATCCAGAATTATTGAAGAATTGGAAGATATGCATTTTGAGAGAAAATTTATATAAAATTAGTTGATTTAACTTGAAGAAGAAAGATCGAGCCACAAATTGTTTGTGTCTCTGTTATTGTCATTTTAAAAATCCAGTATTAACTATTATTCATTCATTATTCATTCATTCAACAAGTACTTCTTGGGCATTTACTTTCTGTCAAATATTATTTTTGAAGCAGAGGCTACATCAGTGAACACAACCAAGTTTTTGATCCATGCAGCATATATTCTAGGCTGGAGGGCAGTGCAGGGAGATAGACTTCTAAAATCAGGCAGTGCCCAGGGCTATGAATCATAAGTCTGGGTAAAAGGAAAGAGGGGCAAGGGAGTGTGTGATTTTCTTTAGAATAGTCAGGGAGGGTTTCCCTGACCAACTGGCATCTGAGAGAGCCCTAGATGACTTTGACAACACAGCTAACTATGAAGGCCTGAGACAGCCCAATGGCAGGTGTTTTCAAGGGCAAGTGGAATACAAGAAGGGAGAGAGAGAGGGTAATCAGATTTGAGGGCAGAGGTCAGATCATATGTAGTCTTGACCTTGAATTTTATTCTATACCTTGTGTATCACTGGAAAGTTGAAAGTAGAGAAATAATACTATTTAATTTACATTTTAGAAGAACCACACTGGCTGCTGAGGAAGTGAAAATGTATGCGGCAAGATTGGAAGGTGAATGGGGCAAGAGAGGAATGCATGTCTCTGTCAAGAACAGAGATAATCGTGGCTGGGACTAGGATGTTTGTGGTGCAGGAGGAGGGGGTGATCAGATTCAAGATCTATTTTGAAACTGGACTGTGCTGATAGATTGGATGTGAACATGAAAGAAAGAGGTTTCTGTCTGGCATAGATACATTGTACTGGCTGAGTGATACATTTTACTGAGAGGGATTACATTGAGGAAGAATCAGGTTTCATGTGGAGGATGAGGATCAAGAACATGGTAAGTTTGAGATGGCTAGAAGATAACCAAGTGAAGATGCCACATAGGCAGGTTTGATATCTAGGTCTGGAAATGTGGGCAATGTCAAAGAGCAAACTGTAAATTTGGGATTATCAGCATGGGTTTAAAGATATGAGGCTGATGGTGTTCAGAGATATGTGGCTGAATGAGATCCCTCCAGGAAGCGAATGTATATAGGGAAGAGCTCTGAGGACTGAGCCCTGGGGCCTCTAGATATCTGTAGATCAAGAGGAGAAGGATTTAGTAAAGGAAGCTTCTATCTAAAGAACACTTCATCTTGCTAAAGAGGAACCTGTCTTTGTTGGAAGACAAATTCAAGTGTCTCTCACATTTCTGCACATCTTACAAGCAGAGGACCTGGCTGCCTTTTTTCTAGACTCTCTTTTCCAGGATGTTTATAAAGTGAACGGCCTTTGAAAATACAGACAGTGTCCCTCTTTAGGGAAAAGGAAAAATTGCTTACAGCTTTGGAAGATAGAGACAGTGTCAACCTGCAGAACAAAGAGTAGGCCTGTTTACTGCCCATTATAAAAGGTTCAGTTTCCCTAAACTCAAAGTTCTTCTCTTATAACACATCTTACTACATGTGCAGGAGTCACCTCTTTCTTTTGTGTCATCTTGTGGGAAATGGTATTGGGGAACTGTGAAAGAATGTGCTGACACTCTGACCACTGCAATTGCTGTGAATTAAAAAGTTCTTAAAAAAAAAAAATAATTAAAAAGTTCTTTTTCTGTGATGCAGGCATCGCATGTCTCCATCAGTACCCACAAATCCATGACAAGCTAACTTGTCAGCTTGCAAGTCAGGTAAAAGCCCAGGCCCTTCATAGTTCTTGACAATTTCCCACACAAAATCCACCTTTGTCTGGAGACTGAACATGCAACTTTCAAACCTCACTTTGGAAGAAAAGATCTTACATCCTACAAAACTGCCTTGGACTGACAAGTGCTGCCCTGGGCTCCAGAGGTTTCCCCAGGTCTTGAGTTGCCTGTCTGCCCATAGACCTCCCTGGCAGCCGCTAGCAGGCACTCTAGAGGAGCTGGATCGGGGTGGCTGCCCAGCTCTGGATATGCCAATCCCTGGAAACTCTCCATGGTTCTAGCTGCCACCAACAATCTCTCCTTCCTGAGAACACAGTTAGACTACCTCTCCTGGCCTGTTTTGCAGCTAAGAAAATCCCAACAACCAGCTCTTGCCAACAGAATACGAGTGGAAGTGGTACATACCCCTTCTAGATCATCCTCATGTCCCTCTGACAACCAGATGCAGGCAGCAACAAGGTCCTAGAACTCTAAAACCACAATTTGACCATGTATTTAAATGGACTTGTGCCATCCCACATAAAGACTTCCATCTCAGTCCTAGAATCATAATCACACTGATTGATTTATTCTCTGTCCCCCATGGCTGCCCCTCCAGTGCACACCCTCCCTAATTTTCAGGCCTTCACACAAACCATTTGTTCTTCCTGCAGGCCTTGGGTTGCCTCTCATGCCTCTCACTTGGCTAATTCAGCTTGCCCTCCAGGTCTCAGTGTAAACATTAGTGTCTGCAGGAAACACTTTTTGGTTTCTCTAGGCCTCCCCTCCTGTGGACATTCCCCAGAATAGCCATTTTTGCTCTGCTTGTAATTGTCAAAATAGTTGCCTTTACTCAACAAATATTTATTCAATTCTTGCTATGTATCAGACAGCGACTGTGTCTCAGGAATCTTTCTATTCCTAGCAAGTAACACAATGCCTGGCACTTTGTAAGTAGTCAATTAATGTTTATATTGAGAATATGGGTGAATTTTAAGTCTTCATTGTCTAGTATTTCACCAGTTACAAAGCAGGTACTTCATGGATATTGAGTAAACAGATGAGTAAATGAAAGAATGGTTTAGGAAGGTAAATAATACAATTAGGAAAGGGAAAATGTGTTCCCTGCTTGGGTTGTGCCGAAAGCTGAGAAAAAGCTTAAAATGCAACGTAAAGAAAAGGCAGGGGGGAATTTGAGACAATATAAAGTATAATAATGTTATGAAAGAATATCTATCCACTCTGTTTGCACCTTGGGACTGCTGGCTAATTTGTACCAAGGGGCAAGACACCGGGAAGACATAGCCTTGCTTCCTAAGGAGGGTGCCTGGTGTCCTCTTTTGGAAAGTACCACATCCACCCTGCTGTGGAGGGTGGCGGCCCTGCCTGTCCCATGAGCTGTCAATCCATGAGATGCCAGCATCCTGTAAAGTCCCCAGATGAAAACTGTGTCTCCTTAGCCAAGCCAAATGGATTACTTACCTCTGTTTCTATGTATGTAGAATCTGAAATGGGAAATACAAATGGAAAATCAGGAGTTTGGTAATGGGAGGTGAGGCTGGCAGGATGTATGGAGAGAGCACATAAGGTTGGAGGGAATGAGGTGCTTCCAGAGTCAATGTTAGGAGGACTCGGCAGCTACATAGAGGCAGAAGCCCAAGGCAGAAGAAAGCTACATGGGGTGGGAGATGAGAGGACCAATATGCAATCAGCAAAGAAAGGCCTTCAGCCACACAAACTGAAGAGTGCTAGAGTCAGATCTACAAACTCACTCTGCCGGGGGGAAGGAGCACGGCCCAGGCCTAGAGCTGCCGTGGATCCCAAATGCCTGTCCAGTTTGGATCTCTGGGAGGCCTGGCTCTTAGCTTTCCCCAGGATCCCGTCTCTTTTAAAGCAATGTGTATTCTTACAGCAAATTCCCATTACTTGTGGGTGGTTGAGAGGATCTTACATTCTTTAACATCCAAAGGTTCTGTCATACCATCCACATTTTCAGACAGGTTGGTCAGATTCATTAGATGGAATCCTACCATCCGGATTGCTCAGAACCCCAGCCTAGGGGGCTGTGACTCCATGTGGGAGTCTGAACCTCCTCAAGGGGCCTCAGCTAAGCAGCAAGGGGGTGGAGAGAGCAGCTCAGAGCTCAGGGACACAGAGCTTCTGCACTCCGCCCCTCTGCTGGTCCTGACTTCGGAGACTTAGAAATGGGCTGTCCTCAGCGGTGCTCTGACTTCAGGAAGCCAGTGAACCGGTGTCTGAGTCACTGCAGTTAGCTTGAGTCTCTCCCAGACCCAGCCATTCATCCACATCAAATAAAGACAGTCCAGGCCCCAGCTGGGCCTGCCCCGGGGCACCTCACAACACTCCTGGGAGAGGAAATCCTGAGTCAACCTGGCTGGGAACCAACTGGAAACCAGGGACTTTAGTCATGGCTGTCTGCTCTTGGGCGGGCCTTGCTGTGCTACCTGCTTCATCTGAAGTACCGGTGACAAGTCTTCCACCTCCAGGTGTCTTTCTGTGAAAACGTTTCATTGCGAGTAGCTAAAAGAAGGCAAGGTAAATGGCTGCTTTGTCTCTGGGTCTCACTCTGAGGTAGCTCCAAAGCCTTGCACAGTGGGTTGTTTGCAGAATTCTGTGGCTGACTTGTGGTTGTACATAACAGGGGGAGCAAGCAACCTGGAAGTAGATACAGTTGTTCCTTTTTTTGTGACCTTCAGAAAGATTCCCTTAAAGAAGACTTTCCTGTCATCCTTGTTCACAATGCCCACAGGATGCTAAGTGCTAAAGAAATGTTTTGTGGCCTAGGCCTTACATTCTAGGCTGGAGTTTCCTTTTTTGTTTATTTTGGTAAAATTTACATAACATAAAATGTAGCATTTTAACCATTTTTAAGTATATGATTTGGTGGCATTAAGAGCATTCACACTGTTGTGCCATCCTCACCACTGACCATCTCCAGAACTTTTTCATCAGCCCAAACTGAAACTCTTCACCCATTAAACAATAACTGTCCATTTCCCCTCCACCAACCCCCAGCACCCAGCATTCTACTTTCTGTCTCCATGAGTCTGACTACTCCAGGTGCATCACATAAGTGGAAACATATTTGTCCTTTTGTGGGAATGGCCTATTTCATGTTAGCATAATGTCTTTAGGGTTCATCCATGTAGTGGTATGTGTCAGCATTTCCTTCCTTTTAAAGGCTGAATAATATTCCGCTGTATGGATATACCACATTTTGATGGCTTAATCATCTGTCAATGGATGTGCTGTTTCCAGCTTTTGGCCCTTGTGAAGAGTACTGCGATGAACATTGGCATAGGGATATCCATTTGAGTCCGGCACTTACTTTTTAAAGCCATCATGATGCCCATAATGGGAGGAAGCTGAGTGTAGTGGGAAGAGTTTGGTTTTGGACGTAGGGAGTCCTGGGTTCAAAATTGCAGTCCTGCCAGGTCCTCCTGTCTATCTGTGGGGAGAGTGTTTATCTCTGAACACTTTACTTTTGAGACTATGAAAAAGGGATAATATCCACCTTTCAGTAATATGGCGAAGATTTCATTACACCATTTTGGGATGAGTCCAGGTTTTGTGGGGCCTAAAGATTATACCTTTTGGGAGGCCTTCTTTAAGAAAAGAAATGCAGGCCAGATGTGGTGGCTCACACCTGTAATCCCAGCACTTTGGGAGGCCAAGGCAGGTGGATCATTTGAGGTCAGGAATTCGAGACTAGCCTGGCCAACATGGTGAATCCCCATCTCTACAAAAAATACAAAAATTAGTCAGGCATGGTGGCACGTGCCTATTGTCCCAGCTACTTGGGAGGCTGAGGCAGGAGAACTACTCGAACCCAGGAGCAGAGGTTGAAGTGAGCCAAGATTGCACCACTGCACTCCAGCCTGGGCAACAGAGCGAGATCTCTCAAAAAAAAAAAAAAGAAATGCAAAACTGGAAATAAATCATGTGTGAAAGTGTATATTTATTTCAAATCAGGGGGGAAAACCCATGACAACAGATTACTGAAAGCTTGAAAATTCCAGTCTCTTTGTTTCTTAACATCACCTCAGGCACTTCACCAGAAATGCTTTCTAAAAAACGCTTCCCGATGGTAATCTGGCTTCCATCCCACCTGGAGCCACCCGCAGCTCCCAGATACTCCCAGGCACCTGTGCACACTGGAGCCTAGGTTGAAGCTCTCTCAGTTTCCTGTAAACCCTCCTTTGGTTTCACTTGGGATGCATGTTTATTGTTGCTCATTTTAGTGAGAACTTACCAAGTGCCCGGCATCATTCAATATTGTATTAGGGTAGCCCTATTTTGTTCTCACAAGGCCCCAATAAAATGGGGACTATTCTATTTTCATTTACCAGATAAGGAAACTGAGGCATGGAAAAGTTACACAACTTTCCCTCACTGCTCAGAAAACAGGGCCCTGGAGACAGATCGCTACCCTCCCACCTGAGTTCAGAATCACCCTGCAAACCGCCTCCTGGTAGATAAGAGATGTACAAAGAATCATCAAAAAGATGCCAACAAGAAGTGAAATTCCACGAGGAACTTGAAAAATATGTTCGCCTGTCTATCTCAGGGCTCTGGTTCCAGCTCTAGCTCTGTGTCTAGTGATTTCCTTTTGGGTTTGTTTGTTGCTTATCCTGTAGATCATTGGCTGCCAAAAATGAGACAAAGATGTGGTCCTGGATTGTACCATCTTTCTCTGCTTTAAAGTCAGTACAAATCACTTAAAAACAAAATGAAACAAAACATGTTGCCTGGCCCTTCAGGGGAAGCTGAGCCTGCTGGTCAGGAGCCAGGGCCTGGCATTGAGTCCAGGAGAGCACGACTGTGGGCATTTCCTGTGGTCGGGAGATGACTCAGGATGAACTCCGGCCTCTGAGCCACAGGCAGCCCCGGCACTTCACAGTTACCACCCACACCCCACCCTACTCTGGAGCCTGGCAGTCACACTGCCAGCTACAGGGAGCCTGTCCTGTGAGTTAGGCCTGCTCCAGAGGCCCATGCAGTCAGGGTTCAGAAATTATATTGAAGTCTAAAAGAATTGAACTCTTTCTGTCTTTTAGTTTGTGGAATAAATCCAAAGACGAGATTTTCCAGAAAAATACCATTGGATGTGAATTTATTCTGAATTGACTCTGAGAACTAGACTCGTTAGGCCCCTTTTTCCTATCTGTGAAACAAATAGCAAGACGTCACATGAACAAACACTGATTGCCGAGTGGTTCACTCATTCACAGCTTGCAGAGCTGCTGAGCCTTCTTTTTTCATTTACTCATTTATTGCTTCAGCAGCCGCCTGTGGAGACCCCACAATGGACCAGGCACTGTTCTGAGAGCACAGTGTTGATTAAAACCGACAGGGTCTCTGCCTCATGGAGCTTACATTCCAGTGGGAGAGACAGACAAGAAACACACGAACAAATAAAGATGTCAGATGGTAACAAATGCTGAGAAAAATAAAGGATGGCAAGGGGTCAGAGAGTGGCCAAGGTGGGGTGGCCAGCAAAGCCTCTCTGCTCAGGTGGTGTTTAGGCATAGCCTTGGGGAAAGGAGGGAGGGCATCGCAGGGCTCTCTGGAGGACAAGCAGTCCTGCCTGTGGGAAGAGCAAGTGCAAGGTCCTGGTACGGGATGGTTTGTGGACAAGCAAGGTGGCGAGCGAGGCTGAAGCAGAGTGAGTAGGTGAACTCAAGGAGTCCAGAGGAGATGAGCCAGACAGGCAAAGGGAAGAGGGCAGCTCATGAAGGAGGGGTGGGTTCGGGGGGGCGATGGTCAGGGCTCCAGATTTGTATTCTGAGTGAGAAGGGAAGCTTTTATGGAGTTTTGGTTGGACATGATGTAGCTTATAAGGTGGCAAGTATGCACAGACTATAAGACGATAAGGATGGAAGCTGGGGGGCCTTATTGCAGGCTGTTTCAGCAGAGATTATGACAGCTTGGTCTATGGTGGGAGTAAAGGAGGAAGTGAGAAGTGTTTGGATTCTGGATATATTTCCAAGATAGACATGATTTACAAACAGATTCCTCATAGGGAGGGAGAGAAATCAAGGGATCAACGATGACTCTAGCAGTTATTGAGGCCCTGAATCAATAACCCCACCATCACCACCAGGGTTCTCCAGCTGTTTCAGAGAGAGAATACCATCTGCTCATCAGCAGAGTCATCGGGAGCTCTAATCTGCTCTAACAACTTGGAGGGTCATGAGGAGTCATAACTCTGCAAAAAGCATTCCATGGTAGAACCAGAAAGGTCTGAACTATGCAGGCCAGTGCTGTATGGAGACTGTTTGTATGCTGTGTTAACATTCCTTCAGTCCAGTGGAGGTCTGATTAGCCAGCATCTTCTGTTCTGGAATTCCCCATGACTTTTTGGTTGCAAAAGAAAACCTGGAAAATCCCTGTGGTCCTCTAGTTCTCTCTAGCTGTGCTGATAGACTAATTGGGGTTAGTTTCAGTAACAAAAGTCTCCCCTAACAGAATAAAAAAATACTCCTCTTAAGAAGGCAGAAGAGATGGGTATATTTTCTTTTAAAAACTCCTTGGAAAGTGGAAGGACTTCAAACTTCTTTTGACCTTAAAGATGCAATTTATTCAGCTGCAACAATAGGGAAAGTTCTAATCCTTTAAAAAGCTGGGAGAAATGGTGGCCAGTAATTATTATCTTTTTATTGTTGTTTTTTTAGACAAGGCCTCACTCTATCACTGGGCTAGAGTGCAGTGGCATAATCCTAGCCTCACTACAGCCTTAAACTTTGGGGCTCAAGCGATCCTCCCACCTCAGTCTCCTAAGTAGCTGGGCACATGCCACCATGCCAAACTAATTAAAAAAATTTTTTATAAAGATGGAGGTCTTACTTTGTTGCCCAGGCTGGCCTAAAACTCTAGATCTCAAGTGATCCTCTTGCCTCAGCCAGTGATCATGTTTGAGGCACATCCTTGGGTGGGTCCGTGGAGGATTTATTACTTTTAACTGCCATTTTATGGAATTTTCTGATTGTTTCAGATGCATACTCAGTGAATCCTGTCAGTAAGTTTTCAGGGAATCAAATAGAGTAAAGGATTGGGTATGAGGTGAACACCCTAATCGTTAAAAAGGCTAAACAATAAATTATTCTAACAAGCTAATCAAAATGGCATTAACCTGGTGATGTCTCAAGACTTGGAAGTGGAGAAAGAAGAAAAGCCTTTAAAGCAAATTCAGCTGGCCTCTAATTAAAGACGGTGTGTCAGATTTTTACACCACAACAGACGTAACGAATCTATATATTGTTGGGCATAATTACTTCCAGACAAAAAGCGGCTCCGGTGAGCAGTCAGGTGTGAGGCTTGTTTGGGGAAGTATGAAAACCACCTGCCTGGGCTGCAATCTCTGTTGCGTCCTGACTACTCTGGCTGGAACTTTGCTGCTCCTGAGCCCAGGGCCCTTTCCTGGCACCCCCTAGCGGTTGAGGGTGTAACAACCGAGGCATGATGAAGCGAGAGGCTCACAGTAGTTTCAACATTTATTAAAGGAAGGAAATGAATCATTTTCTTTATATCAAGGAGTTCGATGTTTTAAAGTTTCAATCAAAACACAAATAGGAAAGTTTTTTGATAAAAGACAATTGCTGTTAGTTGCAAATATTGGGGGAGGGGCAAACATTCCCTATGCGTTGATGAAATTAAGTTATCTTGGACACCAATAGAGTAAGGCTCAGCAGCATGGAAAAGGCAGTTGTCAGCCCTGGTCTCAGTCCAGACCTTGGTGGATTGATTATTGGACATTTGTGGCATGGTATAGATTGGTCTTGAAATTGTTTAGGCCCTATTAGGCAACCAAAGATTAGGAAGACAGGATTTAAACGTTAACCAACAGAAGGATTTATTTTTATGAATGTTGCTGGAGGAGGAGCACAGCTTCCTAAAATGTGATCTGAAGTGAGCTGTTAATCCTTGCCCTGATAATGAAATGCTCCTGCAGTTTATTTAATATAGACTATTAAATCTTCCATCAGAAACTCACAATGTGCATTATAACCTATTAAACACTTCAAGAAGCCCCACAGGGAAGAAAATTGTTTACTTTTGTTTAACAATTAAACAAAAAACTATTTTCATTATCCTATGATAATATTGTAGTCAGATTTCTTAGGAAAAGGCGGGTGTGAATTCATGTGTTTACTGCTGCCTTTTTTGTGCATTCTGCAATTCAAAGATCTTTCAAGATGGGTTTTCCAGGAGACGATTCATTTTCCCAGGAAAGCCCAGAGAGGAGGTCCATTTTGATAATAGTTCAGATAAAACACTTGCAATAGTGATGGCTCATTATAAATTTCTGGACTCAGACCCAGCCTTATAACCTAGTATAGTTAACCTAGTGACTATAGCCCAGATACTACAGTTTTATTACTGAATGACGTAGACTGGTTTTCTTTGCGAAATGAATTTCGAATACGGCTATCTATTGTTTTCCTGTATCTTCTGGGCAGAGGATCCCAGTTGCTGCTTGCATCTGCCCTTGGTCTCTTTCTTTTTGGTACAATAGCCTGTCCTCAAGCTGTCATCTGCCTGTCTGTCCATCTACCCATCTTACTTGCAGAAGGTCCAGAAGAGTAGCTCCGTTAAGGAAACAGCATTCTCTTCCTAAGGTAGGAAGCATCTCTTCAGGTGAGAAAGTGTGCAGCATTTTTTCCAAACTTGGATTTTCTGCTGCTTTCTTATGATGCAGGCATCAGGCAAGGTGGGAGCAATCTGAATGAGTTTGGCTCTCTTCTGTTGACACCGTCATTCTTAAAATGACCAGTTTTATCAAGAGTGTGCTTCTTTCATTGTTGCAGTAATCTGAATGAATGTATATGTATATATATGGTCATTTGTCCACCTCCTGGGGTCAAAATAGTATATAAGAGTCACTGCAATTCATTCTGCTTGGTTTTCTAAGGAAAAAGTAAAATATGATGTAGGTGTTTTAAAAATGGAATCCAGTAGCAGATAGGAAACAAAAAGGAGATATATTTGCAATTTGTGAGTCTTTCTCTTTTTTTCCATTTTTCTCAGATAAACAAGGTAGATCTTGTTTGCATGAGCTACATGCAATTACAGTAGTAGTCAGAGTCACAGTTTGAAAAGATCTAAAAACCAAGAAACACTGAGGCATGAAACAAAGTTTAGTTACTACATTGGCTTTACTTAGCTTTGGAATGAGTCAAAATTACAGTTATAATAACATTTTCAGACAACCTTACTCTAAATATGTCACATCATCTCACTTAAAAAAATGATTTAGCCTGTTTCATGGAACATTGCAAGTACGAATTCCTTGTTCCTGATAACAGCCCTAAAACAATAATAGCGAACAATGTCTCTTATAATATGCCAAACACTGTTATAAATCTTTATCACAATGTGAGGTGAGGTACTGATATTTTCCCCATTTAAATAATAATATGTAATTTAATATTTTAGAAGAGTTTTAGATTAGTACAATTTCTATATATCCCATAGCCAGCCGTCCCTATTATTAATATCTTATGTGAGTATGGTACATTTGTTACAATTTTTTTTTGAGACAGAGTCTCACTCTGTCGCCCAGGCTGGAGTGCCGTCTTGGCTCACTGCAACCTCTGCCTCCTGGATTCAAGTGATTCTCCTGCCTCAGCCTCCCGAGTAGCTGGGATTACAGGCATGTGCCACCACACCTGGCTAATTTTTGTATTTTTAGTAGGGGCGGGGTTTCACCATATTGGCAAGGCTGGTCTCGAACTTCTGACCTCAGGTGATCTGCCTGCCTTGGCCTCCCAGAGTGCTGGGATTACAGGTGAGAGTCACCGCACCTAGCCCATTTGTTACAATTAATAAACAAATATTAATACATTATTATTATCTAAAGTCCATACTTTTTTTCAGACTTCCTTAGTTTTTACCAAATGTCTTTTTTTCTGCTCAAGGCTCCTCTTGAATTCTCCCCATTTTACAGAAGAAAAAGAAAATGACTCAGGTTAAATAACTTGGTCGCAGTCTCATAGGCACTAAGCGGAAAAGTTGGCCTCAAATCCAGGCAGTCTGATGGTAGGCAGGTGGTTAACCTTAATACTAAACTATCGTTACCTTAATAGTGTTATTCAACTTGAATGACTGATTTGTCCAGGCAGCAGAGCAGCAGGGTAGTGTGCACACCTTACCCAGGGGGCTCCGCTGGTAGTCAGGGACTGGCCAGAGTCACATGGGCAGTTTTCAGTACTAGAACTAGAACAACAGCTCCGATTCTCAGAGCGTTGGGTGGCCTAAAACAACATAAATCAATTTTCTGACACACGGTTCAGGGAACCAGAAGCCTGAAAGCAAGCTGTCTGGAGGCTCTGAGGGAGAAGGGGTTCCCTCCCCCTCCCTAGCTTCCGGGGGCTGCCGGCACTTATTGGCATCCCTAGACTCGTAGATGCATCATTTCGATGCCTCGTCTTCACATCTTCTCCTCTGGCGTTCTCCTTCTCTGTGTCTTTTCCTCTTCTTATAAGGACACTTGTCTTCGGATTTAGGACCTACCCAAAAAATCTGGGATTATCTCATCTCAAGATCCTTTACTTAATTACATCTACAAAGACGCTTCTTCAAATAAGATTCCATCCACAGGTTCTGGGAAGGTGAACCTATATTTTGGATGCAGTCGTCATTCAATCCACTACAGGGGCTAGAAGTGCTCAAAGGGTTGTTGTGAGGATAAAATTAAATAGAATTACATGTGGTACTTGCAACAGTAGGCATGTTTTTTAAAATGACAGCCATTTTTATGATTACTCTTTTCTACAATATGAGTCCTCCTGATGCAAAAGTTTCCAAAATGCAATAAATTCGTTCATCCATGCCCAGTTTATACGACTATTATTCATTTTAATAATTGCTTTATATTACAGTTTGTAGTTTCTAAGTTTCTAACACTTGGTCCTGCCAGGAACTTCACAAGGCTGTGTGAATTCAGCCTCTTTTTTCCCTTTTCTTGGTGGCCTAGGTAGTGGTGAGCTGGGGGGCACCTTCGGTCCACACTTTCAGCTAACAACACTTGTCAGAAACACACACTGACATATGATCTTCTCATGAAGCCAGGGTCTTGATGAATGAATCCCTTGTCTGTTGCGGATGTGGGTAGACTTGCCACAGAAAAGCAGCTGGACAGCTTCAGCTGTTGCTCAGCTCTGTGGTCACCCTCTGTGGTTGCTGGGTGCTGCATGCTCCTTTTCTGCTCCAGATCTTTATTGAAGGGACAGAATTCCATCTTGGGGCTGAGCATGGACCCCCACCCACCCCACGGTGCATTACTGCTCCATCCCTTGCCTGGGCTGTGTTCTGCAGTCACGCCTGGCAGTACAGGACTCTGAGCTGGCTTCAGTGAATTCCTTCTGCATTTGTCACAGAGTGTCCAAATGTTAGAGCAGGAAGGGTGAGCCAAGTCCAACCCACTCATTGTCTCTCCATTCCCTTCTTCACACCGTTGTTGAGTAGATGCACTGAGCATCCACTTTAGTAAGGCATGATGCCAGGAGCCACTTATGGTGGCCAGCAAGCACCATGGGCAAGCAGTGGGGCACCCCACACCTCCTGAGGAGCTGTCCGTGTGGTTTCCAGTGAGTGTTGATGGTTTATGTGTTACCTAGAAAAAAACCTTTAATACACCCATTTTAAAGACCTGGGTTTATCTGCTGATAGAACTTGAGGAGTCTTTGATTTTGGAAGGGGGAAAAAATTGCATCTTCATTTGCAGTAAGCCCAGAGTGAAATTAAACATTTTCTTCCGTTACAAATGTAGACAACAAACCACTGTAATATTAGCAGTACTTGGAACTCTCACCAACAGGAATTACACATATTTTTCACATCACTTTACAGTTGTTGCAGATATCTCAAAATGTTGTCAACGCTTAGCACTGTGTCAAAATCACAGTGTTCATTAGCTCTGCCAGTGACCTTTTTATTTAAAGTGTTAATAAAGAGGTACATGTGTTACTATAATGTAAATTTGTTTTTCAATAATTTGATAACCATGTTTCAGTCTAATTGGCTTTCTTTCTAATTGTATGTAGTTTATTTTAGGAATTTTAAAACATTATTTTTTTCTGAAAAGGGATTCATAGCCTGCATTAGACTGCCAGAAAAGCATATGGCACACAGAACAAGTTCCGAACCCTTAAGTAAGGAAAGGACACTAGTCATGTAAGCCAAGGACCCTATTTTTAGACCCTCCAAATCCTGCTGAAAAGCTCTTCCTCCTTTTATCTCTGAAATAATATTGAGACATGTGCTATACAGTTTCAGGTCACATAACTGTTCCTGGATCACCCAACTAAATGTACAGGTTTTCCCTGTGGAAAGTAACAAACATAACCTGGGTTTCCAGAGTAGGGTATAGTACTTGGGAATTACTTGATCAACTTTTACTTCCCTTGATATTAGTTAGGCTGATACTTCCAGATTTTTCTTAACTACAAAGTTAAGAGAGACCCTGGGTTTTGAGAGAGTACAGAAATGAGTCCTGTCAATGACTGGAAGGTTGAAAATTAAAACATCGTAAAGAAAAGTTTAAACAATTTTTATGTACCTAATTAATGCATTGATTTATGCATTTATCTTAAATTCAACTTTTCTTCAGCCCATACTTTTTTACTTTTATTGTAGATATAACACCTTGACCTCTAGACTCAGACCCAGCCCTTGATCTAGTAACTGTAGCCCAGGTACTACAGTTTTAGTACTGAATGACCTAGGCTAGCCCACCACTAAATGACCTGTGGTGAGCCACATTTGCATTTCCATGTGTCAGTCCATGAATGAACATCTTAAATATTAGCTATTGTATATAGTCCTCTCTGGGTGGCCCACACTTCCATTTGGTGAGCAGTGCCATCTTTGTTCAGGCAATAAATTGAATATTGTGTTAAATTAAATACATTTGGTTGATGTGATTATTTCAAGTAATTGGATGGGAAAGATAAAGGTGTGTGAATACTATTTGCAAGAAGAGATGTCATGAACTTGGAAGTCATTAGGTTGAAAGCAGCACACACTTAGCCTCGTGGATGCCCACTGAACGGAAGAGAAGGGTACAATTTTAAAAACCTATAGAAACACACCCCTGAAGCCCAAGTAAAGGGTGGGATGGAATTGGGGGTGTAAAAGCTTTTAACTCTCTGGAACAGACTCTTTATTCCCTTATTCCATGTCCCCTTAGAGCAAACTTTTATACCCTTAACTTCCACACATGCTTCAGAAAACAGCCTGTCTGCTTTTGACAAGCAATTTAAAAAATTCACTCTTCCAACCTCCACCTCCCTAAATGGTAGTCATAATTTTTGTACCCAAAAAATTATTTCCATCACCCCCTAAAACCTGCTCAGCTCCATACCAAGCTTCTTAGCTCATAGGTAGGCGATGAAGTGGTCTTCAACCCACTTTAGCCTTTAAGTGGTCGGACATCTCCCAGCCCTTTCCCTCCACTCACATGTTATGCAACTGGCCAAAACACTCTTTTTATAGGTCAACTGTCTTTGATGAGTTTCCATAACCTACAGAACAAAATCCAAATAACTTAACCTGACATTCAAAGCCTTCCATAACTTTGCATGACTTCCATAACGTGCATGACTCACTCTCCTGTGAAAGCAATACCTCCTGAAAAATAGATTCTTTTCCCATTTCCCAAACAACCCATTTTTTACCAGCATAGAAATACATGCTCCAACCCACCACATCTGGTTAGATTATACTTATCCTTAACATCCTTAACTGCCAAGATCATGTCTAATATCTCTTCAAGTATCTTTGGTTAAAATGCCTGTCCTATGTGAATTTCCAGAGTCCTGAATATGTTATTCAGTTGGGACTTTTTATGAACTATGTTGAAGCTGTGACATATGTTCTTTAACTAAATTGTATTTTAATTTCTGGTTTTTGTTTGTTTGTTTGTTTGTTTGTTTCTCAAGACAGGCTCTTGCTCTGTTGCCCAGGCTGGATTGTGGTGGTGTGATCATAGTTCACCACACCAGGCTGAAGTGATTTTCCCACCTTAGCCTCCCAAGCAGCTGGTACTACAGGTGCGTGCCACCATGCCCAGCTACTTAAAAAAAACATTGGTAGAGATGGGGTCTCTGCCTGTTGACCAGCCTGGTCTTGAACTCTTGGGCTTAAATGGTCTGCCCACCTCAACCTCCCAAAGTGCTGAGATTACAGGTGTAAGCCACCATGCCCAGCCCTATTTTAATTTCTTTGAATTGAGAACTAACACAATTTCAAACACACAGTAGGTATTCAATAAACCCTGGCTTTGTCATTTATTGATTATTTGATCTTGGGCCTGTTACTCGCCTTATCTAACCCTTAGCCTTCTTATTGGTAAAATGATAATAATTGCCACCTTGCAAGGTTGTTGTTATAATTAGAGATAATATAAGTCAAAGGTCTTGTATAAAATATTATTAGGCATCTCTACCCCAAAGTAATATATCATCTAATTGGAGAAATTGATATAAATTAAAAGAGGCAAATTGGTGTAGGGGAAGAATACTAATAAGGAGCAGGAAGACCTAAGACTCATCTCAACTTAGCCTCTCAACAAATGAGTGACTTTCCTGCTCCTTCTTTTTCTAGGTCTTACTTTCCTCATTTCAAATTGGAGGGAGGTGGTGAGTGTGGAATAGAGAATCCCAAGATCTTTTTCCACACAATGATTCTAGAAACAGAAAATAAAAACAAGAGTAGAGATATGTAATTCTGAATTTTGAGGAGTGTAAAGAGAAGACAGTTATTCCAGGAAATTTTTAGGAAGATATGATTTAAGACAACTCTTGAAGAAATTGAAGAACACAAACTGGTTGGAAAAGAGAGAGTGGGTGGTGGGCAGGACCAAAAGAAGCACAGACAAAGGAAGATTAACATCCAGGCAAAATCTTGGAGTAGCTGTGAAAAAACCATCAGACCCCTGGCTAGATGTGGGGAGTTGGGCTAAGATGCAATGGGACAGGAAAGGGAGGACCAGTTGATGTAAACCTCAAGCCCTAGGCCTTAGAATTTAGATTTGAACTGATTGGCAATAGAGAGCTGCTGAAGGTTCTGAACAAGGGAGTAACAGGGTGATAATAGCATTTGGGGAAGTATATTGTGGCAGCTACTCTGCTGTCTATATAAAATGGAGATGCTAGAGGCAGGGACAACCAAAAGGATCTGTGGAAATACTTCTGTAGGATCCAGATTAGATTAGCTTCTTCACACCCTGGGATCCAGGAATGAGGTAATGGTATCCTTGACTAGGATAATATGGTACAGGGGTCCCCAACCCCTGGGCTGCAGACCCGTACCAGTCTGTGGCCTGTTAGCAACCAGGCTGCAGAGCAGGAGGTGAGCATCCAGCAAGCTAGTGAAGCTGAGCTCCGCCTCCTGTCAGATCAGTGACGGCATTAGATTCTCATAGGAGCGTAAACCCTATTGTGAACTGTGCATGTGAGGGATCTAGGTTGCACTCTCTTTATGAGAAATGTAATATGCTTGAATCATCTCAAAACCATCCCCACCCCACAGCCCCCAGTCCATGAAAAATTGTCTTCCATGAAACTGGTCCCTGGTGCCAAAAAGTTTGGGGACTGCTGGTATAGTCGATTGTTTTACTGATCAAAATATTCATTTATGCTAATGTATGCTGGGCTTAATACCCAGGTGATGGGTTGATAGGTGCAGCAAGCCACTATGGCTCACATTTACCTATGTAACAAATCTGCACATTCTGCACATGTATCCTGGAACTTAAAATAAAATAAATATTAATTTAATCTCTCTAGGAGATTATTATGCATTCATACTCCCTGATTTCAGGCTTGGCCATGTGACTTGCAATGCCCCTATTATAAAGAGTATCGTGCCTATCATCCTCTTGAACTCAGAAGTCATGTGGCTTTCTTTAGCCAATAAGATATGAGTGGATGTGATACATGCTACCTCCAAGCAGAAGCTTGAAGAGCCACTTCAAGGTCTCACCATCTTCTCTTTTTCTTCTGCCACGAAACTAGTAATGTCACTGATAGGAGCTGCTCCTTCAGCTTAGGTACTGAAGTGAAAGGGTGTGGGGTAGAGCTGCAGCTGACCCACAGCTAACACATATTTGTAAGACATAAACACTGGCATCATAACCCACTGAGATTTTGGAATTGTTACTGCAGCTTATTTTAGCCTTAGCTGATGGATGTAGATGATGACTGTAAAAAAAGACACCACTAAAAAGAAAAAAAAAGAGAGAGAAGAAAGTCGCTAATGCAATGAGGAAGAGCTGAGCAGCATCTCTTGGGTTCAAGGCGTTAGAACATTACCTCCTCATTGATGAGGGTCCTATTAAAGGTTTGGAGGTGGGTGGGAAGCAAAGGGATCATGAATCCTGTTGTTGACAGCCTGAGGTAGAGCTGATATTAGGACATCCAAAGGGAGAGCCCTTGGAGGTCAGGCCTCCCCTGACTTTCTTCCCACTCCTCATCTCTCATTTGATCCTGGTATGAGGAGGAGGGGGCTAGAGCCAATGGAAAGTACCATCTCCAGGCTTCCAAATGGGATTGCTGGGCATATGAAATGTCAGTCCTAAGAATTTGGCTTTTCATCTGTAGGTGGTGGGAGTCTAATGAGATGAGAGCTGTGTAGTAGGAGTGAATGTGGAACTAGGGCAGGGATTTTGATGGACTGGAAATGGGTAGAGGGTATTAATGACTCTGGGCAAGGGGTGAAGTATGTGTGAGCTAGAGCAGGGCACAGGAATGGAGAGGGAGGGGCATCACTGAGATCAAAGTTGCATGACTCACTTACAGACTTACTACTATTCGATATCACATTTGCCCTTTATATTACACATAGAATCTCATATTCTCAATGAAACTTCCAGAACTGAAATCCAGAAATTAGTCTCTACTCATAGCTTATCACAGAGCCTGTCTTATCTTCCATCTAACAGCCAAGGCCGCTTATCTATCAAAATAACACTGATGATAATAATAATAGTTATTTAGCATCTACTATGCTACTATGTACCTGGTGCTGTGCTAAGCATTTTCTATACATTTAATCCCACCTGAGAATGGTTCATTTGTTAAGTTAATGTCTTTGAGCTCAAGACCCAGCCCTCCATACTCCGCTTTGTGATGTGGAAGCTGAGACTCTGCAAGTCACACTGATACTTATGCTGCCAGCTGCTTCATGTTAGGCTCTGCACATAGGGGCAACAGAGGACTGTGAGTCTTGAGGAGGGAGGACCTGTTCCTTCTTGTTTGTTTCCTGTTTTAGCAATGTCTCCCCAGCAATGCCTCCTTGCCCTGGCAGTGGGTTCATTCCAGTAGCAATAGTGGAATCTAGTTTGCTGGTTTTTCAACCGTCACGGAACCAGTCTCATCATGCCCACTCAGCAACCCTGTACAAGCCCAGCAATGTGCGTCCTCAGAGGTCTGGGTGTCAGCCCTGCAGGAAGCCTCCTCTAAGTTTCTCAGTTTTAGTAATTCCAGCTTCCTTGCCTTTGTTCTCCAGCCCTCAGGGTGGCAGCTACTTCCTGCAGTTCCCACCTCAGTGATATCTCAGATTCAGCGTTTTACCCTTCCAGTTGCCTAGTTAACAACTTTCTACCCACTCAGTGATTCTTTATGTTTAATTCTTTCTGTTGAAATAACGCGCTGTTTCTCTCTCCTGCTGCGACCCTGACTGGTGCTCTGAGGTAAATGTTACTTTTTCCCTTGTATAAATAATGTAGCCAATGCTTAGTATTATGCCCACTGTCATACTGCTAATAAGTGATTCCAGTCAGAATTCAGATCTTTCTTTTAACTCCAGAGCCCTGGTCGTAATTGCTCCCATCCCTGCTTCCTTTGGGGTCTCACGATCTTGCTCACTTTTTGTGTCTGGTGTCTGCCATCACTGGGCGACCGCTCTGGAGCAGGCCCTGCTCTTTCCCCCACCCTCTGAGTGCAGGGTGGAAGGCCCAGGGGGTGCATGCTATAGATGGCATCATTGCAGCCCTGTCGGAATCAGAGAGATGGCTGGCTGCTGCTGGTGCCCACATCCATGGTGTCATGAGTTTAGGACTTGGCACCCCAGGACCTCCTTTGCAGCCCTTGACTGAGAGCTCTCTCTGCTCAGCTTCCCCTGGCAGCTTTGGAAGAAAAGTGGGGCACCAGCGTGTGGACAGCGAGCAGCCCGGGGAGGGAACCAGGCTGGCTGGAGCGGACAGGCAGTGGGGCCTGCTGGGAACTCCTCGGTGTTTGGCTTCTCTGTTCAGGAAGGAAGCAGACACTTTAAATCTTAGTCCTCTATGGATAAAGCCATCCCAGTTTAATGTGTTTTTGCTTAGCCCCAAGCTGGAGTGTTCCTCTTCGAGCCAAACAAACAGAACAATGCAAACATTCCCTCCCCTCCGCCACCAATTTCCAGGCCTGGGAGTCTCCTGCTGATCTGATGTGGTGGCCTGTGCTGTGGGTGAGGCTGCCCTGGTGGAATGTGGGTGAAGGGTGAGCCTCAGCCCGGCTCCCTCCCAGGATTCCAGGCAGCGTGACCTAACCCTTCCCTGCACACTCCTCAGCAGAGCCTGGTGGAGGAAAAAGCCAGGCTCAGTCAGCACCAGGCCTAACCTGGCCTGCCCTCACCTCATGATCCTCCTGCCTACTCCCCCTGGCTCTGGGCCAGGGATGATCCAGCTGACACCTGGAAGGTGGTTGAGGGTGGCCTGGGAGGCAGGCAGGACCCTCATGACACTCACAGTGCCCTTGTGCCTGACTTCATAGATTTAGAGAGAGAGGCTGGAGAATCAGTTATCTACAAACAACTCAGAATTGTGAGAAGGGCCGGATTGTTCTCCGTGCTCCTGATGTTGAAAATCTTTATAAATTGAACAAGTCAAAGTGTACTGACTGCTTACAGTGTGCCACTGGCAGGAAGGTACCAGCTCAATTCAGATGTCTTGCATAGCAGGGCACTTGGGGAAACAGAATTTGTGTTGTCGACATTCGACATTGTAGATTTGTCCACTTATTACGATAGTTTCCTAGGAGATGAAGGTAAAGTGTCTTGAGGAAGGGGTGCCTTTGCCTAATTTGCATAAAGGCACCAAAGGGGCACTAGTAGTCTACTAGGACCATCCCCCTTCCTCACCCACATACCCTTGCTGTTGATTTCTGTGTATCTGTTGGTATTTGTACATAATACATACATAAAAGTTCTTGTCCCCTTCTGGAGAGGGGAATTGGGGAAGAAGCTGCCGAGGAGAAAAGTAGGGAAGATGGAAAAGCTGGCATACCTTCCACTCTCTAGCCTAGTGGTCATGGGGCCGATGGCCAAAGCAGATAAAAAACTCTTCATTGAGTCTCAGTAGTGAACTGCCTCAGGGCCCAGGGGCAGGTTGCTGGCAAAGGGGCTCTTCTCTCCTCTGCCCAGCATCCAGTACTTTTGTGGCACTGGAGAACTGCAGGCCTTGGGGACAGGCAGGAACTGTACCCTTGGCAGGAACCCTCACTACCTAAGGATGGGCAATGGCTTATGAGTGAGAAACACGGAGCCGTGGGAACTCAGAATGACATGCTACCTGGAGATTGTGGTAACGCCCTGTTTTTTTGTGGGCATATCTACGAGCCTCAAGGACATTGGAGACAGCCACCTAGCAAGAGCTGGGGGCCTGTGGGGGAAGCTGGGATCCTGCTGCTTTACATTCAGCAAATATTTAGAGAGTGTTGGGGAAGGTGGAGTTTGCTCTGTCATCTAGTGTGGTCAGGGTGGGCCTCTCATAGAAAGTGACTAACAAAGTAGCCCAACATGGGGTAGGCGTGCATTTCAGGAGGAGGAACCAGGTGGTTGCACATCAGGCTGTTCTGTGTGTCAAGAACTGCAGGCCATCCAGTGATGGTGGGGCAGTGAGTATGGGACAGGGATGCAGAGGAGGCCAGCGAAATAGTAGGAAACCAGAACCTTGAAGGTCCCAGACAGCACTGAGGTTTTCCTCTTGATGAAATGAGAGGGTTTTGAGCAAGGGAGTAACGTGGTTTGATGCGTGCAGATAAAGGCTTTTAAATCAGCAGCCATTGCAGGTTTGTTCACGGCAGTCTTTTATGGCGGTGCTATTATTATCCCCATCATAAAAGCAGGAAAGCTTTGTTTAAAGGATTTAAGAAATTTACCGAAGGTTAGCCAGAGTGGAATGGAAGTTGGGATTTGAACCCAACCTGGAGCCCTGCTTTTAATCACCAATGGATGCTCCCTCTCCATGGCTGAAAAAACTCGTCATGCTGCAAGAACCTTTTCCTTCAAGCCTAGTACTAGGTGTGACAACACCCTCCATACCTGCCAAGACCTTTCTGATCTCCCAGGGATTGACTTCACTCTGCAATCATCTTTCTTAGTGATTGGAGCACCCAACTGCTGGTGATCTCTCAGGCATGCAAATGACTTTGGCTTAAGGATCTTATCTCAATCTATAGGGAGATCCTCCTGGGATTCAGAGACCTAGTCCCATCGAGGCCTATACATCTATTTAATTAAAAACAAGTTCAAATCTTGAGGTTTGGGAAATTGCCTGCCTAGTAATGCAAATCTATAAATTCTACTTCCTGCTGCTTCCAGGCTGACTGTAAATACCCTGAAAAATCAGCCTCACTCGAAATGTTTTGGCCATTCCACTTCTGGCTCAATAGGTAGTAATAAGTAAAAATGAAAGTGGTGAGAGAAAAACTAGATGAAATTAAAACTAGCCCTTCACAGGGCTCAGCTCAGGGATGGTGGTTAAGGACTTCTGGCTTGTTCCTGTCATGTCTGACGTGGCTCTTTAATTCCTAAACCCGAGTCCTCAGGGTCTGTACAGCCACCTCTTCTTTCCCTGATGACTCACCTTCAGCTCTGAAGTTAGAAGAGACAGATGAGTCATCATCATTTCAGAAGCAACAACTGATGCAAAGAATCTCAGTTTTGCTATTAAACTAGGGCGGTTATTACATATTCTCAACCAAAAGCAAGCACTAAGCCCTGGCAGGGGCTATCCATGGAGTACTCACAGGACAAGGGTGCAGGATATTTGAGATTTGTGGTGTTCTAGGAAATCCAGTTGCATAGGAGCCACATATTCTGTGAATTTGAAGTCAGGGTCTTGGGCAGCCTGAATTCTCTAAAAGGTCTCGCTACCACTTAAGGACTGATACATTTCCTGAAAGATACATTGCCTTCCTGGTAATAGCCGCTGTAGTGATACAATAGTAACAATTACAGTACACCCCAAGGTACTACAATCCCCAAACCATCTGAGTTTGCCTGACAGTCCCTGGTATTCATTTGATGAAGTCAAGCTTTGAGATAAGCACACTTTCCAGAGCTGGTAGTGATACTGCCTGGATTCTACTTGGACTAGTGTGCCCAGCTAGTCTGTTGAGCAGTCCCAGGGAAGGCTGTCTGTGGAAAGGTAAACGAGATGCAGATGTGAGCCCCTCATTTCATTGCAGCATACATCTGCCAACCCAGTGAACACTGTCATCATCTTTTATCACAAAGACCCACCCTCCCACTCACCTCTTCCAACACTAACCTAGGGCTCTCTTTTAGACCTATTCAGAGATTCCTGGGCTACTCCACGATGGCTAATAGCCCATTGCTTGCTCTCAAGTTAGCTTTTAAGTCTTCATCCTGCCCACTGATGAACTTTTATTCCAATTGCTTAGCAGTGGCATTCTCAGGGCTCAATGGTCATAGACTCATGCTTTCTGCCATTCTGGTGACACAGCACACAAACACACATGTGCACACACCCCACAAACCATACATACACATCACACACAGAGGTTTCCAATAAACCAAATGTGTGAATCTTTTCCAGAGTGAGGGCAACTAGACCATACCAAAAGATAGAATTGTTTCATTATCTTCTTATTTTACTTGGATTCAACTCTTATTTCAGTAGAATTGTTTTATTTTTCCAGGGAGGGTTACTGTGAAAGGAACTTGATTCTCTCTGTGTCATTAGAAATGTATCTCTTTCACACCAAGCTCCATGGTTTTGCCTCTAGAAATGAGCTCCCGAGTCAGAAAGAAAGCTCATTTCTTTTTGGAATTTGATTCTTTCAGGCAGCAGATGCTGAGTGCCTACTGTGTGCAAGATCCCAGCTAGGTTGTTCAGGATATAAGAATAGATAGACTAAACTCTCTGCCTTCTGATAAACAAAACTTAAATGTCCTTGCTGGCAACATGAAAGACAAGTTACATATGTCTATATTTAACTCCTAAATAGATAACTTTGTGGATCCAATCTCAGTGAAATCCTTTGCCATAGATCTTTTGACAATTTGGGGCTCATTTCTGTGGGAATTTACAGTGTCATTGCAATGAAGGAAACTCTTTTCCATATTTTGTAAACTTTTGCAGAGTGCTGCCCTAGGGCAGAAGTGATTACAGCGAGCTCCTATTAATTAATTATGCCTATCTGAGTGCAGACGCAGAGCAGCCAGTGGGCTTGGAGCTGCGTCTGGCAGCCTGTGGAGGGCTGGGTGCCACAACAGGGCTATTGTTCTGCTCACCATTGCCTTTGGCTCCCTCTTGGCATTGGTTCCTAATTGCCTCCCAACTGGGTAGGTCTGAACCTGTTTTCTGAGCCTCCTTGGCAGGTATGTAACCAAATGTCCCCAGGCCTCACCAGCCTGCGGGAGCCAATTAGATGCCACTTTCACTGAGAGTTAGCTAGCTACTTGCTCCACCTGTGTGACTCCTGACCTTCACACCTCCCCTTTCTCAAAGTTTGTCTGCTTCTTTTGGGGGAGTCCACAGAATGTATCAAGTAGGCAGAGAATAAGTTTGCAGCTCTTGGATGTTCGTGGCTTGTCAACCATTTGAAACTGCCCCTCTTTCGGTATCCTGTGTCTCAATTCCCCTGCTCAGGGCCAAGTCTCTGGCTCAGCCCACCTGGCACAGGTGGCTGAGCTGCTGGCTGGGGCACCCATGAGCTTTCAGGTGCCCAAGCTATGCAGAACTCCCTGGGGACCTCAGGGATGTTGTTCAGTGGGCTGCGACTATGGCACAGCTCAAAAGAGAGCACTGCAACATCTCTCATGAAACTCTTTCCTGTGAGGCTTCTTTCATTCAGGGCTTGTCTTCCAGGGTCACGAAGCTAGCCCTTGGCCTCTGCCCCACCTGCAAAGCGCCACAGAGCTGTGTTCCCTGCATTCCTTCTTGTGCTGTGGTCCTGCCGCATTCCTCGCAGAACTGGGGAAAAGACCCTCACCCTACCCTGTGAAATTTCCTTATAGTTTGAGTCTCAAAGCTGCTCTGCTTGCACCTGAGGATCTAAAATTTTCTGTGCTGACAGCTCCTCAGTTTCTGGCTCTGGCTTTGCCCTCCTTAGGGGCTCACACCCTACTGGGCCTCCCTCCTTCGTCCTGCAACTCCCCCAATTCTCCCTTAGTGCCCATCTACTGTTCATTAAACTCCTCCTTGCTGCTCCAGCTAAAAATCAAGAGGATGCAGATCAACTGTGCAAATAAATACTTGGAGACTATGGATGGGTTTGGTTTCAACTGGCCCTGTTGCAAGAAAAGCACTGAGCTTCTAACATGCATATTCCTTTTTCTGGCTTTAGATGGAAAACAGCTTACAGTTTCTTGACAGCAAGGTCCTTAATTCCTTTCCTTAATTTCCCCACCCTGTTTCCTAAAAGGATAAAATGAGATAATGCGGTGAAAGTTATACCTAAATTGCAAATGGCCATGTCAGTGTAGTATAAGGTTAAAACCTTGCATGCGTCAATGCTCAGTAGGTACCAATACTGAATGACTAGTGGCCATGACATTTATTATTTTTCTAGTAATCCATTTAAAATATTTATTAAACATCTATTATGTGACAGTTTCTATTCTAGACATGGGAGATATAGGGATGAAAAAGAAAGAGATCCTAATGGGGAAAGATGAATGCTAAATAAACTAGTTAAAAACAATAAATAAGAAAATATCAGACTGTGACTAATGCTCTTCAGAGAATTGACTTAGAGTAATGTGATGGAGGGTGACTACGTGGTTCTGTTAGAGCAGGAAACCAGGTCAGGCCTCCCCGAGGCAGTGACAAGTCGAGATCAGATTGCAGGAGAAGTCATCCAAGCAAAGGTCAGAGGAAAGAGGACTCCAGGCAGAATAGCAGCTTGGGCAAGGAGCAGGGGTGAGCTTGGTGAGCTCTGATGATGGAGTCCAGGAAAAGGGGAGGCTTTTTCTGCTTTTTACATAATGGGAAGCAATTAGAATTTGAAACAGGGGAGTAACATAATCTGGTTTATGTTCAAAAAAGAGAACTTAGGCTGCTGTGGGAGGAAGGGGTTGAAGTGGCTCAAGAGAGGCAGCAGGAAGACCAGGCAGGAGTCTGATCTGGCAGGATGGTGATGGGGCCAGGGTGACCAGATCCAACTTGGAGAGCATAGACAGATTTGGGGTCTTTGGAGGTAGAGCTGACTGGACTCGTTGATTGATTGGATGTAGAGATCGAGGAAAGAGGAGGCTCCAAGCTTCCTGGGCGACAACTATGGAAACCAGAAGCCTCTTACCAGATTGGGATGCAGGTGGCCTGCATCAGGGTGGTGACCAAAGTGTTAGGAGAGTGGCTTATCCTACAGGAGGGGGAAGGGGCACTGGCACCTCTCTTTTTCTCTCTGACATGTGTGGGTACTGCAGGAAGATTGGAGAGAATCTGCTAGAGCAATCAGTTGGTTTCGGATACTTAAAAAGCAGCTTTTGAAAGCAAACCATAGCCAATTCCACAGGCTAGAAGTCAAATAACTTTAAAATAGCCCAAGGCAGGTATAGTGAATTAAAGTGGCTAAAAGTTCTGTTTACTGTCTGAAATATCCATGGCAGCGGTACAGAGAGTTCAGGAGCTGGGTTGGGCTTGGGGATTTCTGATAACAGTCTTCACACTGGAATTTAATTTGTTTTACTTAAAGGTAAGCCTGAGCACTATTTTCATGAAAACTGCCTGCTCAATCTATTCTTTAAGGACCTGAAAACCCAGACCCCAAAGGAATGTTCTGCTTTGCCAACATTCACTGTCCCGGTGTTTGCTGACTTCACAAACAGAACTTGATGAAAATATGAAAAGACCTGAGAAAGGGTGAATGTATGAGAGGAAGATCCTCTGGGAGCCCAAGGAATTTACAGATCCCTGAATTTTATCACTGTAGTTACTTTTAAATTAAAGACAATAACTGTTCCTTCCAGGTTCTCGTTGACAAATAAGAATGCCGATGTCACTCAAGCATATGATATGATAATCTTTCCCAGAACTGGGAGTATTCAGAACTAACCAGACATGGGAACTGTGTTTTTTCAATGTCTGAGACTTTCTCCTAATTCCATCTTAGTCACACGTAGTTACTCATTACCTTGAAGGGCATTAAGAGTTTATCCATGGCTGCTGTACATTTTGTGCTGCTTTGCTAAATCAGGAAAAAATGCAGACAGCTGAGTCATAGTTTTCAATTAGTTTTTCAATTTCACCAGGAACAAAGTTTTTCAATATCTTTATCAATTTTGTTGCTTTTCATATTACTCTGATTACATACTTTGCAGGATAATCCAGCCTTTTCCTGAAGTATATTAATAATGCATAATATAAATGGGGAGCTGCATTATCAAAGTACTCTTAAACAGAGGTGAAAACTTGAAATCCAGCAAGATTTAGTGATTCACATTCATGGTCTATAGAGATGTGACAGAGGAAAGGAGAATAAGACAATTAAGAACCTTGAAATCATGACAGGGATTTATTACCCAAGAAGAACTACTCTATATGACTTTGAAAATCTGAAATTTATTTAATTCAACAGATATTACACACCCATTTTATATCCAGTCCTACTATATGGAATAAGTATTCATACATTTTATCAATAAAATATTTTAAGTACTGCTGACATGTAAAACACTGTGGATATAAGGGCCTCATCTTCAAGGAACCTTTATCTAGTTGGGTAGACAACACAGATGAACTAGTTCAATGGCAGCACAAAGTGAAATGTGAGATGATTTCAAATGAGAGGTATGGCCAATATGTGCTTGAAGGTCAAAGACTGTTTTCTGCCTGAAATAGTCAGGTCTCTGACCTCAGCTAAATGGTCCTTGAAGGACAGGCAAGATTTGGGTGGGAGAGACTAAGGGACAAGTTTCTTCAGGCAGGAGGAATAGCACACACAAAGGTACCACCTGGGAAGGATTCAAGCGTGCACATAGCAAAAGGGACCCACTTGGTGGGATGGTTTTGTGGGGACATTGTTAAAAAAAAAGTAGACTAACACAAATAGTGTCATTTGCTGGGACAGAAATAACATCCTTTCTGAGACAATAATGGCTTGGCTGGCACTGTGTGTATATGCAATTGTGGAGGAGCTTAGTCACAAATAATCTTTCTTATCTATTTGCATGAGTCAGGCTGGAGCTAGAAAAATTGATGAAAAATCAACTCATTAAAGAAGCAGTAACTCACTCTTCAGGAAGTAGGAAGAGGAATTAAGATGGACATACAGATTGTAGTTATTTGAGCAAAGGAGAGGCAAAGTCACCAAATGGTAATGTATTTACCTGCCAGTCCTATATATTAATTTCCTCCACTGAAGAGGTTTGATTTCAGAGGGATTAACTCTTCTTTGGGGGGATTAAAAAATAATCTCAATAATCAAGAGATTTATTCAGCTCAGTGGTTCAATGGGTTTAAATCCAGAATGAGAACCCTAGAGATTGTCCAATTCTTAATTTACCTGGGCTGTTAATTTGCCACATGTGTGATCCTAGATATAATTATAAAGCCCCAGTTTCTTTTTTCTTTTTCACTTTTTTTTTTTTTAATTTTGCGATGCAGTCTTGCTCGGTTGCTCAGGCTGGAGTACAGTGGTGTGATCTCGGCTCACTGTAACCTCATCCTGAGTAGCTGGGATTATAGGCTCACGCCACCATGCCTAGCTAATTTTTTTGTATTTTTTTAGTAGAGACAGGGTTTTACCATGTTGGCCAGGCTGGTCTCCAACTCCTGACCTCAAATGACCTGCCTGCCTCGGCCTCCTAAAGTGCTGGGATTACAGGTGTGAGCCACTGCTCCTGGCTCCCAGTTTCTTCATCTTTAAAACATTTACCCAAATGTCTCAGAAAATGAAGTGTAAGATTTATATTCTCTCTCTTTTTCTCCATCTCTCTCTAACTAGGGTGGTGCCATGAATATCAAATACCCTATTTTCAAAGCTGTGATTGGCTCTGCCACTCACTACCTGTTGACTTTGTACAAGATGCTGAATTTCTAGAAGGCTGTTTCTTCTTCTTTAAAGCCTGGATAATAGTATGATTTGATAAAGGTATTATAAAGATGAAGACAGATAACATGTGCAAAGTGCCTAGCACAGAACTTGGCAATTCAATAAAATAAAGCTATTTTTCCTTTTGTTAAACTTGTATAGTTATTTACAGTTTATAAAGCATTTTCATGAACTTCATGATAACCTCTTAAGGTAGATGCAATTATCACCAGTTTTGGAGATAAGAAAACTGAGGCTAAGAAATACCACAGCCATGCTACAGCAGCAGACAGAGTCGTGCAGTCTATCAGGCCTATTTCAATGGCATTTACCCTCTGCTCTAGCTGTCTTTTGTGGTGGGACATGCAAACTAAAATGAAATAAATTGTATATTTATTACATACAATTCATAGTGAGCATTCAATAAATGTGGTTCGCTTCCGAATCTCATAAGGTAGCTAGTGAGGGCTCTAGGCAAAACTAGTAAGCTGGTCAATAATTTCTTAATTTTCTACCTCCGTGTGTCTGATATGGTAGCAACTACCAACATGTGGCTATGAGCACCTGAAATGTGGCTAGTCCAAATGGAGATGTGCTGCAAGTATAAAATACTCATTGAACTTTAGAGATTTCATGTAAAAATATGTAAAATACCTCACTGATAATTTTGAAAATCAATTACATAATGAAATGACAATATTTTGGTATGTTCAGTTAAATATTTCACCTGTTTCTTTTTACTTCCTCATAATGTGGCTACTAGAAAATGTTGAATTGCATATGTAGCTCACATTTGTGGCTTGTATTATATTTCTATTGGACAGAGCTACTTTATGTAACCCTTTGCCCTTCTAAAGGTGTTCCCTGGTCTCTTGGCCCTCCTCCTTCCTCACCAGGACTCCAAGATCCTCCTATCTGACGAATAGTGTTCTGCTCACCTACTTCATGCCAAGATGTTAATTTCTCTTTCTGCAGACAGTCTGCTTTTAGAAGAGGTACTGAAAGTGGAGGTTAATACACCTGGGTGTGGAAGAGATATTAAAGCAAGGATCAGAATTTCAAAAGTCTACAGGAGTCAGGATACTGTAAAGTAGACTAGGTGCAGCCTGCAATAGGGAGTGGTGCAGACTGTGGCAAACTGAAGAACACATGCCTCATTCAAAGGGAACAGCCACCACCAAACTCTAGCTAACTGTTGCCATATCAGAATTTGGGCCCAATGTGGCCAATCTTTTGATTTTTTTACGGGCAGCCAGAAATCTAGTTTCTTATGTGATGTCTTCTGATTTTCAAAGATTTGTGATGAAATACTTTCAACAAGCATTGTAAAGGGCCTATCAAATCTGCCCAGCGGTTCCATTTGGCCCACTTGGCCTCAGCTTCCTACCAAGGCTCACCTGGTGAGATGTGTGGTAATCTGGACAGGTAGTGCTTAAGACATTGGCTTTGGCTCTTGACATTTGTAGAGCTGGAAGAGTCCTGCTTTGTTATAGACAAGATACTAAGGCCCAGAGCAGACAAATGGCTCACTCTCAATCACACTATCACTCCCTTAGGCCAAGAATGCCAGACTCGGCTGGGCGCGGTGATTCATGCCTGTAATCTCAGCACTTTGGGAGGCCGAAGTGGGCGGATCACGAGGTTAGGAGTTCAAGACCAGCCTGGCCAACACAGTGAAATCCCATCTCTACTAAAAATACAAAAATTAGCTGGGCATGGGGGCCCGCGCCTGTAATCCTGGCTACTCAGGAAGCTGAGGCAGGAGAGTCACTTGAACCTGGTGGTGGAGGTTGCAGTGAGCCAAGATTGCACCATCGCACTCCAGCCCGAGCAGCAGAGCAAGACTCCGTCTCAAAAAAAAAAAGAATGCCAGACTCCTACTTTCTGTGACTTCAAAGTCACTGAGTCCTCAGTCTTTAAAACAACAGTCAGTAGGCAGCTATTGATTTGGCAAAAGAAAAACAACAACAACAACAGTCAATGTCTTCTGTCTGTCCCGAGGTTTGCCTCTGAGAAAGGCCCTTGGTGAGCTGGAACACTCTGCCAGGTGGGTAAGTCTTAGAGCAAAAGATGCTGTGTCCACACTGGTCTCTGGCTGGCTAGGGGAATGGTACAAATGGCTAATGTTCTTCATGAATTTCTCTCATACATCATATAACTTATTCTATAAGGACATATACTAATCATTTACAGAGTGAGCTGAAATCCCTATATAACCCAGGTGGAGAAAATCACCACACTGGTGAATACTCTTGTTATTTATGAGCAGGTGTACCTTCTAGACACCCGAGTTAGGCCCAGAGGGAGAAAGTTTCCTTAATCTGCAGTTGACATAAGATTTCTGTCTGTGTCATGCTCTCAATGTGTCTGTCCTCTTCCCAATTCTAAAGTGCAGATGGCCTAACCCAGACAGCAGAAAAAAAAATGCAGGTATGAAATTTAGCATTCTCTCAACACGGCATTTGTTCATTCTAGCCTCTCCTTTTGCAAATACATCTTTAGAGCTCTTAAGAATTAAACTACTTACTTATGTTATTGATAATGGTTCCAAAACAAATATCAGACTTTAAGTGATTTCAACCCTTCCTGCACAAACTCTGGGACTTTCCTAGGTGATGTAAGAGTACTGAGCTTTCTAGGTTATGGGAGCATTGCAGAGATAGGCAGAGTTAATTTTTTGATAATTTGTAATATCATGGCTTCTGGGGTTTTTAAGTCTTAGAGGCAATTTCTTTTCTATGAAGTGTCTTCAAAAGTTCACAAAAATTGCGTATTATGAAAAAAAACTGCATGCATTTCAATTTTTTTGCACCAAAATAAGCTCATATTAACTTGTTACAATATACCTGAAGATGATCTAGTTTAAGGGACTAGGAAGGATAAGACATATGCTGGGCAAGGTGATTCACACCTGTAATCCCAGAACTTTGGGAGGCTGAGGTGAGTGGCTCACTTGAGCTCAGGAGTTCAAGACCAGCCTGGGCAACATTGTGAAACCTTATCTCTACAAAAAATACAAAAATTAGCTGGGCATGGTGGTGTGCGCCTCTAGTTCCAGGTACTCGGGAGACTGAGGTGGGAGGATCACTGAGCCTGGAAGGCAGAGGTTGTCAGCCAACATCACATCACTGCATTCCAGCCTGGGTGACAGAGCAAGGGTCTGTCAAAAAAAAAGAAGAAGGATAAGACATAAATTCAAAGAGAGCACATATCAGAGCATCAAGAATTCTGCTAAAATTGAAGCAAGAACGAACATGAAATTTATGGCGAAGTTTGAGTGGAAGAATGGTGAAATCATTAATGATTTATGAAAAGTTTATGGAGACAATGCACCAAAGAAATCAGCAGTTTACAAATGGATAACTCATTTTAGGAAGGGTTGAGATAATGTTGAAGATGAAGCCCATGGCAGCAGACCATCCACATCAATTTGTAAGGAAAAAAATGTTGTTCATGCCCTAATTGAAGATGACCAATGATCAACAGCACAAACAATAGCAACACCACAGACATCTCAACTGGTTCAGCTTACACAATTCTGACTGAAAAATTAAAGTTGAACAAACTTTCCACCTGATGGGCACCAAAACCGTTGTACCCAGATCAGCTGCAGACAAGAGCAGAGCTTTCAATGAAAATGTTAAAACAAATGGGACCAAGATCCTGAAGCATCTCTTTTTGGAATGTAATGGGAGATGAAACACGGCTTTACCAATATGATCCTAAAGACACAACACAATCATAGCAATGGCTACCAAGAGGTGGATGTGGCCCAGTCAAAGCACAAGCAGACCAGTCAAAAGCAAAGGTCATGGCAACAGTCTTTGGGATGCTCAAGGCATTTTGCTTGTTGAGTTTCTGGAGGGCCAAAGGACGGCAAGGTCTCCTTAGTATGAGAGTGTTTTGAGAAAGTTAACCAAAGCTTTAGTAGAAAAATGCCCGGGAAAGCTTCACCAAAGAACCTCTCTCTATTATGACAATGCTCCTGCTCTTTCCTCTCATCAAACAAGGGCAATGTTGTGAGAGTTTCAGTAGGAAATCATTAGGCATCCACCGTATGGTCCTGATTTTGGCTCTTTCTGACTTCTTTTTGTTTCCTGACTTTAAAAATATTTTTTAAAGGGCACTCATTTTTCTTTAGTAGTAACTGAAGTATTAAACGTAAAAATGACTACATTGGCATGTTTAAGTTCCCAGGACTCTCAGTTCCTTAGGTATGAATTAAATGGCTGGTATCATCACTTATAAAAGTGTCTTGAACTTGATGGAGCTTATGTTTTCGTTTGTTTTGTTTTGTTTTGTTTGAGGCAAGGTCTCACTCTGTCACCCAGGTTGGAGTGCAGTGGCATGATCTCTGCCCACTGTAACCTCTGCCTCCCAGGCTCAAGTGATCCTCCCACCTCAGCCTCCCAAGTGGCTGGGACTATAGGCACACACCACCATGCCCAGCTATTTTATTTTTATTTTTTGTAGAGATAGGGTTTTGCCAAGTTGCCCAGGCTGGTCTCAAACTCCTGGGCTCAAGTGATCCACCTGCCTTAGCCTCCCAAAGTGCTGGGATTACAGGTGTGAGCCAGAAGCTTATGTTGAAAAACAAAGTTTATATTTTCTGTTTTTATCTTTTAATTCCATTTTCCACTAACGTTGTGAAGTCCTTTTATATTATGCTTTCTGTCCCTGTCAGCTGTCTAATAAGATTGGAAAAGCAGGGATTATTATTCACATTTGAAAGATATGAAAGTTCAGCCCTAGGAGACTGACTGTGTGCCCCACCTATTTGACAGGAGCAAAGTGTCTCCCCGTCCCCATAGATTTTTCTATTGTATGTGAAGCAATGAGGACCTAAGAAATCTGTAGCTCACATTCCCAAGCAGAGCTGAACACCATTCCACATAATACATTCTAACATTGCCTTAGATATTCTGTGGGCAAAAAATAGACCAACCGATATATACCTTCATATTCATATTGATCCTATTGTATCTGTAGACCTAAATCATAAGGATTATTTATAACACTACATTTTTAAAAAATCAAATAAGAAATAAAAACAATGAACTGGGCGCAGTGGCTCACGCCTGTAATCCTAGCACTTTGGGAGACTGAGGTGGATGGATCACCTGAGGTCAGGAGTTCAAGACCAGCCTGGCCAACATGGCAAAACCCCGTCTCACCTAAAAATACAAAAATTAGCCAGGCATAGTGGTGTGTGCCTGTAATCCCAGCTACTAGGGAGGTTGAGGCAGGAGAATCACTTGCACACAGGAGGCAGATGTTGCAGTGAGCCAAGATTGCACCACTACACTCCAGCCTGGGCGACAGAGTGAGGCCCCGTCTCAAAAAAAAAAAAAAATAAAATAAAATAAAATTGCCACAATTTTTGATACTCTTGAATGACATGGGAAAGTTTTTCCTCTCTCCATTGGAATCCAAATGAGAGACCATATCCTTCCAAACAGGAGCAGCCGAAAAACAGGTGGTCTTGACTGGCTCTCTTCCTATGACCTCCTTTCTCTATTTTTAAGTAAAAACAAAAAAAGATGAGAGAATATTTTGCAATAGCCATAGAGTTCAAGAAAGAGGTGGGGGAGGCCTCAACTCTCAGAGAGACAAGGCAGGAATAGATGACAAAGTATGTAGCTGGCAAAAGAGAAGGGAAATGGCAAAGAGAAGACCAAACAAGTCAAGAATGGGGGACAAGTGTGCTGGTGTAGGACACCAAATATGAGGTCACCTGGAAAAATCCAAAGATTCTTTCAAGAATGGCCACCCAAGGTACATAAAAACACATTTTGAGTTCAATTTCTATTTCGTTGTTTGATGTGAATAATCTAACGGTATTATTTTCTACAGTGTTCATTTTAATTTATGGTTATCAATTGCCTTATTCTTAAATGCACTTTTGTGGCTTAGCCTGGAAACTCTCCCCACTTATTATGCAAGTTCTATAAGACAATATGTTCAAACAGTTGAATTAAAAATATGTTTAGGAATACAACCTGTCAGTTGAAGACTGTCAGTAAGGACAATGACAACCCTGAAGTGAATTGTAAATGCAGGTTATGAATCATAGAATTGCTTTAAGAAACAGCAAAGGCCAACTAGTATTCAATGGTGTACCACATTCATTTACTACTGCAACCCCGTCCCTGGCATGGCGGGCATTGGGAGCTTCTGGAGAAAATATGGTAAGAAGAAGTCTTACATCCCATGGGGACTAATATACCCCATGCTTAGCATATGTTTTTGTATTTTTAACAGATCAAGGTATAAAATAATTATATTCAGATCACCACACAGCCCACAACAAATGTGCTTGGATGCTGAAAAAAATATTTATATATATAACAGAAGTCCTCTATAATAATAAATTACTTACTGGCCCTAGACTGTACGACAATTGCTCATAAAGGAAAAATCCTTCAGTCATTCCAGAAGGCTCTATGGAATCCCTCTGCTGCGCACTGTTGCAGGTATGGCAGATGTGAAACAGGCAGGAGTCCCTGCTCTCAAAGGGCTTAAATCATGAGGGAGGTGACAGATAATAAACTCTATTTAAAAAACAAAATATATAAGACTTTAGATAGTACAATGTGCTAAGGAGAAAAAAAATACTGGGAAGGGAAATAGGAACTGTCAAGGAGGTAGAATGGGTTCGAAAGCCCTCACTGAGATGGGACATTTAAGCATGTCTAATGGGACATTAGAATCAAGTATGATGCCTCTATGTGATTTTTTTCCCCCAAAGCTGGTAAGTCACTGCCCAAAAACAACAGCTCATATCACATTACTCCATTACTCTCCTGCTCCGAAACTTTCAACAACCCTTGGCCAGTGAAATAAAGCCCAAGCTGCCACTGCACTAGAATAAAATCCACAGTTCTTACAGTGGTCCATTAGATACCCTGTACCCTCCAACTATGGCACTGCCTTGGGCATCAGCACTGACTCTACAGAGCTCTTCTGCCTGTTTGACTTGCTGTCCCCTCATTTCATTCAGGAATTCGTTCAGGCTCCTAAGAAAGTGTCATCTCCTTTTAGCAAGCCCTGGCCACCCCATCAGAAATGGCGCCCTACGCACTCTCTATTTTCCAACCCTGCTGTATTTTGCTTTATAGCACCTATTGCTACATGATGTTGTAGTATATCTTTGTTTATTTGTTTACTGCTTCTCTCTACACCAGAATTATAAGTTCTGTGAGAATGAGAGCTTTGTCCATTTTGTCACTGTTCTATCCCCAAGCATTTAGTATAATGCCTGGTGCATAGCAGGTACTCACTAAACATTTATGAATAAATGAATGAATGAAGAGTGGAAGCAGGGGGCTGTCAAGGCTCTCTACAGTCTTGTCTGAGGAAGACTGTCCAGTCCTAACTCATGGCTGTCCCTGCTCCCTCCCCATATGCCTTAACCAAATTCACTCCTCATCTGTCACCAACCACTGCCAGTATTGTCTCACTTCTGCTCAAGGGATTCCTAATACTTGAATGCCCTTCCTGTCACCTACCTCTGCCTGACATAACATGCCTCTTTCAAGACTCAGTTAAAAAAAAATCCTTTTTGGAATTTTTCCCCAGTCCTCTGCCTGAAGCATTTTTCCCTTCCTGGAGCCTAGAGCTCTTTATTCTCTGGTCTTTCCCTAGAGTCCTGCATTCAGTCCACCTGGCTCCACTTGTGAGTACACTGGAACCCTGGGTGTGCAGGGTATTCTGTTTCCAGGACAGTGCTGCGGTGTCATGTGTGCTCAATAAGAGTTGAATTCAGAGCTAGGAGGAAGAAAGGATTGAATGGTAGCTGACACCACACTCCTTGACCTCCTTACTTTCACTCTTTTGCTTGTACTGAGCTACAGTCTGATTTACCTTTGGGTGTCGTCAACTCACAGCAATGTAGCTTTTGTCCTTCCCACGCAAGTTCTGCCAAGTTCTTCCCAGCTTGGCTCTTCCTTGCGCTTTTGTTGTTGGACATGCCCCACAGCACCAAGAGGTCCTTTTTTGTGTCCCTACCTTTAATGCTCACACACTTTCCTGACCAAGCCAGAAAGTCTCATTGACTTGTATCCAAACTATTTATTACTAGCACTTCCCAAAGTGTATCCTGGTGGCACCAATTCTGGGAATGGGTCTGTGAAGGGAAAGGCTTCTTCCTGAAGTGGATTCAGGATATTGAATATTCTGTGAAGTTCTGCAGTAAAAATACCTGTTGAGCATCATCAAGCCAAAGAATCACATATTTCTTTAACTACTGAACCATTTTTCCCCTGTGGAGTACTTCCTAATACTCTGAAAAATTACAATTTTGCAGAACAGAATTGTACTATATTTTCCTAGATGACGTAGGTGTGCAAGAATATTTGTGAAATAAATCGGGGACTAACCTGCTGATAGCACCACAATTCATGCATATATAGAGAGATAGAATAATAGTCAATAGCATAAAACATAGTATAGCAGCAGACAGCATTAGTAGATGCTCCTTACAAAGCTGGCACTGCTCTGGAATTCACTCAATTCAGGAAGACACAGATTGGTTAATAGCCCTGCTAAATTCACACAGCTATTAAGTAGCAGATGATGGCCTCAAACTCAGGGGTCTATCTTTCAGGGGCTTGCCTTAGTCACCCCACTCTGGTAATGCATACCCCACAGATTTCTCTATAACTGAGATTTATATGGAACTTTTCTAAGAGCAGGAAACTAATACTTATTTTGTACCCACTCATTTAAAGTTCTCAGTAACCTTGTGAAGCAGGAATTCAAATCTATATCTCAAGTCTTCCAGTTACAGGCTTACTTCCACGTTGCTTTTCCATTTGTGAAAAGGCTCAGAAGTGCTACTGGGACCCATTAGTGCTCTCTGATCACTTGTTAGGGTTTCCTTATGGCGGCGGCTCATTTGCAGCAATTCCTTTGAGAAGCCTGGAGGAAGGGCTGAGGGAAAGGCCTCTCCCAGGGACTGCTTGTAAGCACAGAAAACATATCTGGAAAGAAAAGGCGGCATTAAGCCAAGGGCACACATACATCAAAGTAGCTTTTCTTTCCTTTCACTAACAAGTCTGAGAGGCCAGGAATAAAAGACTAAAAGGGTCTGTCAGCCAATACAGGTGAGAATTGTCGATTATCAGACTCCATGGGAAAGAGAGGAGGGCTTGATGACTGGAACATCTGCTGCCCTCCGAGAAAGGGGCCCACCTAACACCGAGTTGAATCTTTCTCGAAGCTGCAATGTGCATCCTCCTCCACCCCAAACTACACAAAAAGGCATCATAATGGAAGCGTAAGACGAAGGCAAAATGAATGCCTTTTCTCTCCCTCTCTCAGAAGGATAATGGTGGCACAGTCCAGGCTGATCAAGTTAAGGCTGAGAGGAGAGTATGTCTGGGTCTTTATCTTCAGCAGGAACCCATTGGAGGATGGTGGATTGTGAGAGTGTCCTGGGACATGACCCTCCCAGATGTGGCATCCCCCAGAGGAGCCCTTGAAAGGGAAGCAAAACAGGGTCAGCTGGCCTGCTGGTCACCATGCTGGGCTTCACTCTGGGCTGATGCATCACTAAGGGAAATCCATGGGGATTAGGTCTCCTTTGGAGAGAGATCTGAGCCTGCAGATGCCTCTTAGTGAAACTGGGCTCAGTCCAGAGCAGTCTTGCTGGGCTTGAAGGTACTGTGGCAGACGGTGAAGCAGCCAGGGCTCTGAAGTCAGCGGGTTGGTGTGAACTGCTGTTCTACTACCTTCTAACGTGCTCTCTTTGAGCCTCGGGCTTTCCCACTGTACAATTTATATATTAATAATAATTCACTGAGTGGTTTTAAAGAGTAAATGAAATATATGTGTATAGACTCCGTAAACTGAAGTGCTGTAAAATGTAAGCTGTTATAATTATGAGACCATTTTTACCTATCTCAGATCACCTAGGTGGCCACTGGAATCAGGACTTTAGCAGAATCATTTTTTTGGTCACACATTCAAATGTTGGCTGTAAAACTTGCCTCCCTTTCATTAAGCTAATACTTACTAATATTGATTAGATGGTAGGTACTATTGGAGCCATAGAGGATATAGAGAGAAGACCTGGCTCTTGGTCTTGAGTAGCTCATAGTCTTATAAGGACAACAGCCCTGTAAACAGATATTACACCTGACTTACACAAATTCAGCCCAAATCTGTGTGTGGGTGGGTGGGGAAATGGTGAGGCAGATGAGGGAGAGAATGAGACTGTGACGGACTTTGCAATAGGATCTGCTCAGGGCTACCACGAATGTAAAGCTATAATGTGCACCTGGGGGAAGGTGGTCACTGGGAAGTTGGAGAAAGTTTTGCAGGGTTAGAACCACCTTGGTGACAGATCATGGGACAAGCTGCCAAAGACAGCAACTCCCTGAAATAGAGGAAACTGCAAAGGCACGATCCTGCAGCTTCAAGGAGGAAATCCAAATGGTTCCAGGACCACCCAGAATGCTTATGCCTTGCAAAACTCTAGGGGGTGATATTTCAACTATACTCATCATAGATTAGCATATTGCTTAAGACTATTTTATGCAGATGGGAGTCAAGTGTCTTGAAGGAAGGTGACTTTTTTTCCATTCACAAATGATGCTATATGGGCTTACCAAGTTCTTCCCAAACCTTGAGCTGCTCACACAGGCAGTGGCACCCAATTTGAACCTTGCATTCTCTTCATGCTACTTCCCCTTTGGGTGAGAAGGAAAGGGATGGTCATGTTCTTGCACAGGAAGAAAGCGATGGTGACAGCCTTCCTAGGGCCAGTGGGGCCTATACCACCTAGCTTATAAGAAAGGCTAACTAACAAACCTCTACCTTCTCTTTGAATCATCTGGTTAGTCTTGTTTTCACACTGTTTTTCTCTTATTTCTTTTCAACTGAGACTTACAAACATCAGGACAACATTTTCCCTTTAAAAGCCAATTTAAAAGGTGCCATGGTTAGAGTAAAGGCTGGAGAGTAAAGGCTCCTTCTTGCTCCCCCACCAGCCACTCTTCCAGGTTAAAATGCTTAAGGTGTGATGACTGGCCCAAGGCCAGGCCTTTCCTGAAGCTTTCAGACTGATGAGAACCCTCTTGGACTTCCTGGAAAGGAAGTAAGGTCATGGTGAGTTCATTCCATCACATTAGGAAGGGGAATTATTGGGTACTTGCGGGGAAGAAAGCTTTCTCAAGCATAAGGTTGCCTAGAGTGAGAAAAACCATCCTGATCGTTTCTCTCCCTCCATGCTTTGTTTCTTTTTGGCACCATGAAGCCTGGGTGCCCTGGATGCCTGGGCAAATGTGTTTTATTCCTCTTGGCTCCATGCCCATCCAAGCTGTCCCTGCCCCAGGCCAAGGCAGCTGGAGGTGACTCATTGTCTGAGTCTAGTTCCTGTAGATTCTGGGCTGATTTCGTTTCTTTAGGAAACTTCCAGCACTGCCCTAGACTTGCCTTAAATCAAACCACTCTTTGAGATCAGGGACTGCTGCTTTCTACCATTACTCCTAACACTTAGCACAATGTGGGGCATGTGGTAGGCACTCAGAAAATCTGTTGAATCAATAGAATTAATGGTGTATTTTACATGGATTTGTGTCTGTCATGTCAGGTTTCTCCAGACGAACAGAATCAATAAGATTAGATAGATACATAAAGATAGAGATAGAGAGATATTTACTCTAAGGGATTGGCTTACACGATTATGGGGGCTAGCAAATCCAAAATCTGCAGGGTGGGCTGGCAGCCTGGAAACTCAGGGAGAATTGGCTACTACAGTAGAGTCAGAATTCTTTCTTCTCTGGGAAACCTCACTTTTTGCTTTTAAGGCCTTCAATTGATTGAACTGTTGAATATAGCCCACTTGTTATCAAGAGTAATTTCCTTTACTTAAAGTCAACTAATTGTAAATAATAATGACATCTACAAAGTACCTTCACAGAAATACCTAGATTAGTGTTTGATTAAATAACAGGGTACTAGAACCTGGCTAAATCGACACGTAAAACTAACATCACATCGTTCGTCAAATGATGTTCATGGAAACAGCCACCACTACCATCACAACCATAGCAAAACAACAACAACAAAAAAACCACCACCAAACAAATAATGAAAGTCCAGAAAAACAGCTAACTTAACATCTGTACCCCAGTTCCAGCTAGGTGCTGCCAGCACCAAGATATTTAAAACACATTCACTGTCCTCAAGGAGATAACTCTTTAGTGAGGGAGACAGTCCAGTAAACAGATAATTACACATTGATGAAATAAATACTATAATCAAGATGTGAATAAAACTTGCTCACTGTTGTTTAGAGTTTGGTAACCTTGAAGCAGTCAGAATGACCTTGGTAACCCGAGAGAGGGTCTGATGTCAGCCAGGCTAATATTACAACCTAGCTGCTCTGGGGAGAGAGTTTAAAATACCATCTTTAAATAAATGGACTGTGAAACAGCCAAAGGGTCTTAATGCCAGCAAATGTCAAAACACCCAAGGCAATCTGGGTATTTGGGGAAAGACTTGTAAGGCTACCACTCTCCTTCTTGCTCCCTGCAGCTTTTCCTGAATTCCAATCAGACACACAGGGCCCTGTCTGAAATCGTCTGGACAAATCCCCCAAGACATTGATGCCTGGGAGGGCAGGTTAATGATGTGGCTCCGTCTGTTGCCTTACCTATGGTAAATGAGGCCCAGGGCTAAATTTGGCAATGTTTCTATTTCTGGAAGGATAGCCTTTCATCTTGTTTCCCTTCCCCCAGTAGTTGTGAGCAGACTGCAGGCATCTGTTGACTCCAACAGTTCTGATAGCTTTAATATGCTCATTTTCTTCTACTATCTTTCCAACAATATCTGTTGTCAAATTAAAGATTGGGCTGTACACATTTAGTTGCAGATGCATTGCTAATAGCATGATGTTGGTGGTGTTGGATTCCTCCCTTGTCTCCTGCATAGAAACATTAGGATCATGCAAACAAATACCAATGTCCCTGCGTTCTTGTGCCAGTCCCTGTGGTCAGATCCATTAATGAGACTCCAAAACTGGGCCTGCCGCTGACTCTTGTGGAAGCAGAGAAGTTGAGGACAGTAGAGAGTCTCATTGGTACAGAAAAAGCAGCAGGGATGGTAAGATGTCACATTAAGAGTCAGAATCTGGCTGGTCAAAAGAGTATTCAAAGACTGCAACCTGCTGCCCAGGAAGAGGGAAAGCCTCCAATCTCCTAGTGGCTCTCTCAGGATGGTGGGATTGGAAAGGGGCACAGAGGAGCCCTCATTGTTTACTTTATACACTTCTACATTGCTTAACTTTGGTACAACGAATATATATTACTTTGGTAATCTAAATATTAAAAACATTTTTAAAAAAAGATAATTGCTTACTTAACACAGTAACAACAATAACAGCAACAACACAAGAGGACCAACTGACCCTGACAGGGAAATACTCTGGACCCCACCAAGCATACACAACATGAGGGCAGATTAAAGGCAACTTTGATCTTCTGGTTCTTGCTGAGGATTTTAAATGCACTACCTATCCAGGACAGTCCATTCACAGCAATGTAGCCCACTTTCCCCGCCATCCCAAACCCAGGATCTTTGTGCTAGGAAGTCCCATAACCCCACCTAAATCTGATGGGTGGTAGGTGGCAATGGCCATCTGAGTGTTGATTTGCCAATCTAGATGGAGCTTAGGACTGACACGCAGTTTAATTATCATGTAGAGCTGCAGCTGGAGGTGGCTGGAGTGAGTTGACATCTGCTTTTGCAAAGCACAATTTCTGCAAAAAAAATAACCACCAGAACTCTTGATTCTCTCTAATTAATGAAGAGGAAGCCTAGAATCTTCAAAGTCCACGAATGTCATGCTGCCATTGTGTCAGGATTGATCTCCTTTGTTCTAGACCGAAGAGCATGCCTCTCCTGCCTCTCCTGCCTCTCCTAATTCTTTATAAATTGAATTTTTCGATTACTAGTTGTGACAGCTATGTAACGTGACTTCAGAAATTCACCCGCAGTTCATGCTAGTATTAGAAGCTTGAATAATAATAATTTTTAAAAAGAACCATAATGGAACAAGCTTTCTGTCTCTGACCCAGAATTAATCATAGTGAAGAGACACCTACTGAAAGGAGGGTCGTTAATTAGCTCTAATGGCTCTTGCTGGGTGGAGTCTGAATGATTAGGAAGTCTGCAGACAGAAGGAAGGAGGAGATGCTTCCCCTTCCCCGTCTGTTTCCATGTGATGCCAGGGTGAGGCATGATGGGATTTGCTTCCAGGGGACAGGGAGTTGTGATGGAGGCCAGAGCTGCGCTCAGCTCAGTAAGGGATGCATTAGCCTGGCAGACCAACAACTCCGAACATCCTCCAGGAAAATCAGGGGAAGCGGGTGGTTGTTTCCAATGCAAATGGCCTAACCCTGTGGTCTTATCTGAGCCTATAATGAAACCCAGCACACAGAAGCCAGAGTGGGATCCTATTAAGCCTTATGTCAGATCATTTCACTCAGCTTCAAACATTCCAGTGGACCCCATCTCTTTAAAAGAGAGCAGACATTGTTCATCAGCCTGGAAGGTCCTGCCTATCTGGCCACTGTTTCCCCTATGACCTCATTTCCTACTCTTCACCTCAACTCACTCTGCTCCTGGCACATTGGCTTCCTTGATATTCCATCAACACTCCAAGCATGCACCCATCTCAGGGCCTTTGCACTGGCAATTTTGTCTGTCTGTAGCACGGTTTTCCAGATTTTTACTTGCCTCACTTTTTTTCTTCTTTTAAGACTTTGTTTAAATATTACGTTCTTAATGAGGTGACAGTGACCACTCCATGTAAAATAGAAACCTCTCCCCCAGCACCGTCCTTCCTCTTTACCTTGCTATATTTTTCTCTTAACCACTTAACACACCTTATACTTTCCTTATTTATTATGTTTATTGTTAAATCTTTGCCTCCTCTATCTTCCACTAGAGCGTAAGCACCACAAAAACAGGGATTCTTGTCTGTTTTGTTCACTAATGTATCCTCAGCATCTAGAACTGTGCCAGTTCAAGAAATACTAGCAGAGTGGAAGAATCAGTCCTTACACTTTGGAGTGCTCGCTGGTCTGTGCGAAGACTGCATGTGCCCATCCACATGACTGCTCAAACATCTTATAAAGGCAGTTCCTTTTTTTTCCTCAAGTGCCTAGTGAGAGTATTATTGTTTCCTTTGATTGCCAAATGTTAATAATTAAAGCAAATAGGGTGATCAGAGTTAACTATTACTTGAGGTGTTTATTTCTTTTCCGGTGGCTTCTATTAGGAAAATCTTGTCTGAGACTGGGCAGGAATGGTGCTTTTATGGGAGGGGGGTGGTTTTTGTCCCCAGGGTGTATGTTGTTTTCTTTCAGTCTGCAGAGAACGGGAGGTCTTTAGAGACATTGTGCAGTGGAAATCATGGTGGTCAGAGGCCAGGGGGTTTCCTTGGTGTAACTCAACAGTGACTCCACTGAGGGGGAAGCATTCTTAGGCACCCAATGAAGAGGCAAATATGCTGAGGAAACAGGACCAGAGCCACAGGAGAGAGCTTTAGGGAGGGAGCTGCAGTAAAGCCTATAGCCCCTGTCATCTCTACAGATTGTTTCCAAACAGTAGGGCCATAGATCTCTGTATGAGATACTTTCTCATACAGAAGAAAGAATTGAAGAATGCCTATTGAGTCTTGCTTGTGTCTCTAACTTACTAAGGGTTTAATAAATCTGGCAGAGGTTGCAGTGTAGACAGATCAGGCCTTCCAACCTTCCACGTTCTACTTGACTTGTGCCTTACATCCAGTCCTTAGCTCAAAGGGCCTGACAAAATAGGAAAACATGTATGCATTCAGTTAACAAGTCCACTAATGCTGGGCTCAATGCTGAGTCATGATGCAAAGGTTCTATCCCTGGTGCTGCAGCTGCTGGTTGAGTTAACGTTGGCCATTCATCTCCCTGTCTCTGGTTTCTAATTCTATCTTCTTAAACTTTACAAAGTTTTTTTTTCTTCTTTTTTTTTTTTTGTGGCATTCATTCCTCTGAATAACTGTTTCTTTAAAACAAACAAACTTGCATTTTAGCTTCAAGGGTACATGTGCAGGTTTGTTATATAGATAAACTCATGTCACGGGGGTTTGCTGTACAGATTATTTATTTCATCACACAGGTACTAAGGCTAGTGACCAATAGTTATTTTTTCCGATCCTCTCCCTCCTTCCAACCTCCACCCAACTCTGTTTCTGAAAGAAGGAAAGAAAGAAAGAAAGAAAGAAAGAAAGAAAGAAAGAAAGAAAGAAAGAAAGAAAGAAAGGGCCCAGAGAGGACAAAGTATTTGTCTAAGGCCATACTGTTATTAAGAGGTAGAACCAAGACCTACACTAACTCTGCAAATCCAATTTCTGTCCACAGTGCCCTTGAGATCAGAATGATACTCACTCCATTTCCTCTAAAAGCTACAAATGAAACTCTTCTTATGAGTAAAAAGTACTAACCCAAATTGGATTATTACTATAGTGGTCTCGCAAATTTAGAGGATGTTCAGAGGTCAGAGATGAGAACCCTGGCTAAATCTTGTAGGGGTGAATGTACAAACGATCGTGTTTTTAAAATATTCTAAATTCAAATTCCAAGAATGACATTTAACGCATCCTTCCAAAGCCAAATTTGGCATAGTGCTCTGGTTCTAAATAGCAGCATTGACCTTCCCTCTTAGACTCATAACCTAAATTATTCTGAAGATTCTTCTTCCAGACTGCTCCCGACAACCCACCTGGAGCAGTCTCCAGGACATTCCTGCTGATTTACAACTGCAATCTTGCTAAAAGGAATGGAAAAGAGCCAGGATGAGTTTCTGCTAGACAGAATTACTGGCATGAAATACTAACATGGCTACAACTTGGCATATGAATGACTGACTGCACCAATGCCCCACCCCCCCTTTTTTTATTTCACTGAAATAGGTTATTTGTTGGAAAATTGAGGGAATCTTGTTCCTCAACCCCAGCCCCTAAAGAGTGAAGGAAAAAGGCTGCTGACTGTGCTACTTAGGGCATGCTTGAACATGGCTCCCAAAAGCCAGCCTTGAACCAGGAAGCCTTTTCTTGTTCAGTTTCCATGTCAGTGGTTTGTCTTTGATGAGCGTCTGTGACTGCTGTGTGCAGAGCCCTTCTGTTTTCTGCCTTTATAGAAGGAATAAAGACGACTAGGCAGGAGGCAAGCAGTAAGCTCCAGCTGTCCCTGGTTAAGACGCAATGATTAGCTGTAAATCGTCCATTTGGCTTAGGCAAAATATGGTCTAAATGAAAAAGGGAATGCCTTTCCCTTGTATTTATTCTCTTCCAGAACCTTGACTCAAGCTGTCAATTAGTCAATCAAATATTTATTGGCACTCCCCACTCCTGATTTTACACAAAGTGCAGGATGCCACAAGAAGTAAAACATTACAAGGTATTCAAGACTTAGCTTGGAAAATAGGGCAAGTATTCGTTCGTCAAGAGTGGAAAACTCCGATGACTATGGGGACCAGGTGGGCAACATGAATGAATGAATGAATCTGTTTCATAATAGCATTTTAAGGTGTATTATTTTCACACATTTTTCTTGTATATTTAATACACAGGAATATTCTTTTCTCTACAAAATCAGAGCCTTGTTGGTCTATCTGTAGTTTTCACATTCTGGTGAGAAAAAAATGTCCTCCTCAATTTTTCTATACGATAGGGTTAGTGCCAAGACAAATGGCAATCAAAACCTGGTTTCAGTGTTAAGAGACAATTGAAAGAGGACAAGAAAGTGATGGGGACTGTATCCAGTTAGAGAGCTTATGGGTTACTGGAAGGGAGCAGCTGCTTGTTAAGTGCCATTTGCTTTGTTGCTGAGTGAGCATGGGGGCCTAGAAATGTATCTTCAAATTCTTCTAAAACACTCTATTTCCCCAAGCTTGCCATGGGGTATGTTGCCATTTCTCTCCCTTAGACATCTTTAGGTTTGTCTTATCCTTCCATTTCTCTGAAGTGGATGGGAGGCTCCTCAGTGAAGGCTGGGGTGTTTTGTTTATTTGTTTTTATTTGTTGTTTTGCTCAAAGGGCTAGTTTGAGCTTGTTGCACACAGCTGCTAGGCAGAGCTTACTCCACGTCATCATCAGGCTCACCAGGGCAGAGAGGGTACCCACCCTATGGTCTGGTCAAATTCATGCAGAGTAATGCACCAACGCATGTGTATCAATTTCTTACTAAAGAAAGCAGAGGAATCCTCCAAATGACACCCAGGCCTCATATAGATAACCTTGAAATGGCCTCTGTGGTAGATTGCAACATGACCACACAGGCCTTTCTTTCTTTTATTCTTGCCTCTTTGCTACCCCTCCCATGAAGAAATCAATTTCTCACGTTTGACTTTTATACATTGGTCTCGTATATTGTGATCTTAATAAGCTCAGTTATTAGTTCTAATATGTTATGTTATAGATTCACTAGGATTTTTGATGTAGACAGTCATGTCATCTACAAATACAGACATTCTTACTTTAAAAAAATATTTTTCTCCACTCCATTTTGGGTGTGACTATGTGGCTTGTTTTGACCATTGGGATATTAGTAAACATAGTACAAGTAGAGACTTGAACAGCGCTTGCACACTGAGGCTGGCTGACTCCTGCTGCTCCAGATCCATGGGATCACCATGTAAATGAGCTCAAACTAAGGCCACTTAACGGAGAAATGGGGCCCACACTCTAGCAGACAGCCTGTTACCCCCCAGATGTGTGAGTCAGGCTTTTCTTAGACCAACCATCTGGCCCAAAGGAGACCTACAGAAGAACTGCCCAGCTAAGCTCAGCCCAAATTGCCAGCCCACAGAGTTGTGAACTAATAACCTGCTGTGCTGGTCAGTCCAATGGAAGGCTAGATTCTGTTCACTGCTATATCAATTTGTTCCATACTCAGGTAATGAAGATGACATGGATACATAAGAAAAGTGCTTGTGAAATCACAGAAACTCTGTGCAAGAGTACTATACCAGTTCCCTCCTCCTATATCTCCACGTCAGCCTTCTCATTGTTTGGATGTCTGTGATTTAAAAAAAAGAAAAGGAGAGGGGAGTATAGGCAGTGAAAATTACAAATCAGGAAAAGCAAAAGTAGGAACTGTGCTGGTTATTGATCTTGAAGTCAAATTTACCAGGTTAAGCCTACATCCAAGTTGGGAATTGCATAGGTGAGTGGAGAGTACATAGATTAAATAAAGAAGAGATAGCCTAGAGGCATAGTATATGTATGAGCCATGAATGGTGTCTTTCTCAATTTTAACAGCCTCTTTGCTTCCTAAATCTTCAAAAATTGGACTGTTCACATGGGGCAGTAAGCCAGCCCCAGCACATCCTTGCTCTTGCCTCTTTTTCTCCGATCTAATTCCCTGGTCCCCAAGAGTTTTCTAGTTCATTTTTTGGCAGAAACATCAATTTTCCTCAAGTGCAGATATTGTGCCTTAGACTACAATCCAACTTGGAACCTGGTAAGTCAAGTTCTACTTAGTGAAAGACATAAGTAAAGGCAGGAATTGGATTCAAATATATTTTCTTGAATGCAGCTAGCTGATTTGCTTATGAGGTTTAAATTTTTTTAACTTAATATAACAATATTTACTTACAGATTTAATTTAGATATGGCTCTTGATATTGGGAACACAAAAATCAACATTAAGTCCCTTCAATAAGAACTCCACAGCCTAATAGGAGGGTTCAAAGTGTGTGTGTGTGTGTGTGTGTGTGTGTGTGTGTAGAGAGAGAGAGATATACAAAAACTAAGAGTGTGTAACTGCCCAGGGAGCACCATAGATGAAGGAACTAACCATACATATGCACATAAGTTGAGTGAGGAGTCAGGGAAAACGCCATCAGAAAGTGATGCTCAACTGGATTCTTGAAGAAAAGGAGAAGATTCCACTAGGCAGATCTGGAGACATGAAAAAGCACTATGGGTTTGGGGAACAATAAATACTTAGTTTGGCCAAAGCATAGGGTATATTGATGTGAGGAGGGAAAGATGGTATGGAGGGAATAATGAGAGATGAGGCTGGAAAAGTGGGCAGGAGTTTCTGGATCTCAAATAATCTTGAATAGCAGTCTAGGTGCTGTAGGTGTTAGATTGTGTTCTCCAAAGTTCTTGTGTTGGAAAGTTGATCACCATTGTAACAGCACTAAGAGGTGGGACCTTTTAGAAGGGATCAGGCCATGAGGGCTCTACCCTCGTGAATGGATTAACACCATTATCATGGGAGGGGTTCATTGTAAAAGGATAAGTTGAGCTCTCTTTTTCCTCTGTCTCACCCTGTCTTGTTCTTCCACCTTCTATCATGGGATGATGGAGCAAGAAGGCCCTCACAAGATGCTGGCCCCTGATCTTGCATTTCCCAGCCTCCAGAACTGTAAGCTGACAAATTTCTGTTCATTACAAATAACTCAGTCTGTGGTATTCTGTTATAGAAGCACAGAACAGACTAAGACGGTAGGGAATTCAAAATTTATCCTGTATATGATAGGGAACCAGTGAAAAATTTTAAACAGAAGAGAAATGCATTCTGATTTGTCATTTTGAAAGATAACCAATGGTAGAACGTTGGTGAATTGGAGGGAGGGGGATCGCCTGGAAAGTTAGTGTAGCAGTCTAGGCAAATGTGGATGAACTATAATGCCAGTGGACATGAAAGAGGAAAGGATCAATGGCAGATCCAGGTGAAGGAGGAGGACAAATAAACCTGAGGTTTCCTGCTCAGGCACTTGGTTGAAGTAACCTGATGTAGCAGAGCTGTATGTATGGGTGAGCTTTGTGTTATTAAACAAAATAATCATTTTAATATTACAATTTGACATATCTATCAACCTCCTATGGGGCTCCCCAAAGAGGTAGGATATTTCAAAGGAGAGAAGCAGTCAGGGCATAGAGTAGATAATGGTTCAGAATGGCTAAGTACAAAGCTGAATGCCAGTAGTGTGAAGGACAGTCAAGGGCCTTCTTTTGGGAACTCCAACCTAAAATAGCAGTCTGGGCTGGCCTGCCTGGATTGGCAGGCCCATGCACTGTGGCCAGGTTGGGGTGCCATGCCTGTGAGCAGGCTGGCTGGATCCCCAGATGACCTTGGCCTGTAGTTAGCTCTTATAACTACATCTTGGGTGTGGCTGATTTCCAAAGTAGCAGCAATGGCAGCTGACAGCTTTGGAAGTGTTTATTTTCTGTAAAGAAAAAATGCCCATAAGAAATACACCTCCCAAGTGGTTGTTCCTCCTGGTTTGATTAAGAGCTTCTGTGGCTGAGAATATGCCTATGGTTTTTGTAAAGCCATTAAAAAATTAATCGCTTTTTTCTTAAGTCAAAATGCCTTGAATCTCTTAGGTAATTTAGAAGAATCAGTGTAAGTTCTAACCCTGGGAAATATGTCAAAGAAATGCCTGCTTGCACGCTTTAGTTCATGAGAGTATCTTTTCCCCTTCTGCATATCACAATAAAAGTAAATTCCAATACAAGGATTCAAAGGCAGAGAAGGAACCTAACCCTAACAATCAGATTAGAAATAAATGCCCTCTTTGAGGATCTGAAGTTGGAATACAAGATTCCACTAAGTTTGAGGCTCTCTGATTAAAAATTCTTGCTGTCACCTACAGCTCACAAGGCCAAAACATCTGGTGCTAAATTTGCTTTAGTGTATGGTAAATGGGGAAAACATTGAGAGATTGCAGAAATAGGATTTTGTTTGTAAATTGAACTTTAGCTATTGTACTTCATCCAGGGAACACTAGAGGGAGTATGTCAGATAGAGGAAAAAGATTACAATGGGAATAAATGGGGAATGAAGAAAGGAGAACTCTAAAGAGGAAGGCGTTTTTGCATATCACTAAGGCACAAAATTTTCCTCAGGCAGATACCAATATTTGTATTATGACCAAGTGACTTTATATTCAAAACCCTGTATTAAAAAACTTTATGATCTTCTGAGCCTGTTCAGAATCTAAAATAGGAGAGGAAAACTATTACTCTCTGACCAGAATCTGTATTCTGTCCATTTCAGGCATTTTATGAGCCAATACAATACAGCTCTACCTGTGATTTTTTAATTTTAGAGGGTACATTATTTGGATGAATAATCTTTCACAGATATTGGATTTTTTTTTTCTTTACAGTACTAGTGGTCATACTTCCAAAAGTTCTCATGGTGAATAGTAATGATACCAGGCATTTTCAGACACTTGTAAGAATAAAATATGCTCTTCATAGATAACCTGAATTGGAAGCCCTTTTCTCTCCATTTTCTCCATAATTCTCAGGTATTAGTTCTACACTAAAACACCATTTTACAATCCAGAGATACTGAAGTTAACTGGCCCAATGTCATGCATATGTCAAAGCAAATACGAACTGATATTTATTTCCCTGTTTTAAATTTCCAGTTCCTCATTTCCTTTGTGCCTCTTGAAGATGCCAAAAAAGTTAGTGAAGACTAGAGTCTCATCACTGATTTTTTTAAAAAAAACTTTAACAATTAATTAGTACAATCAGAAACAAATATCTTAAAATCTTAACAAGAGACTGTTCAACTGGTTATTAAAATATTTTACTGAATAAACTAAGGCTTTTATGAAATACTGTCTTTAAACCATAGCAGATTTTTAAAATGCAGCTGTTAAAAGCATATGTGAATCCAAATATAAGAAAAATCACAATAAAGCATGCTAAGTTAATAAGGATCTGCTCTTTTACAAACCTTGGGGTAGGCTCACCTGGACATTAATGTCAAGAGAGTAGAAATGACATTACAAACTCCCTAAGGCAGCGTCTGTTGGAAACGATCGGTGATACTGACAAGAAACACTCAGCTCTGAAATTTGGGTTTGCATTTGTTAGCCATGCATTATCCTACTTACCTCTCAGGGTAGAACCTTTAATTTCAGAAAGTGCTGGCATGCATTACTGCACCCGTTATCAAAAGTCTTTGGCAGAAACGCCATTTATCCTTGTTGTGGTAATGAACAGATTTAAAACATTCTGGTGTCACCATCCCTGAAAAAGCACATTCATTTGAATATTTCTTCCACCAGCATAATGAAATATTTCATGAAGGCACATGGGTGTAGAATACTATGGAGAGATATTGCTGGTGAATGACAGAACGTCTGGTTGATTTACATGAAACCCCAAGTGCTCATATGAGAATAGGTTAGGTTTAGATTGACGAGCAAATGTGTAACCAGACTTCTGGCTGACAAATGGCAGAACTATGCCAGTATATTAGCTTCTCTGGAGAGAGACCAAAAGTGAAACGGGAGGATCAAGTTCACTCCATAAAGGACATTCAAACCTAGTGGATGGCAGTGTGGCTGGGATATTAAGCACTTATAGATATTAATACCCCAAAATAGTATTGAGTTTACAGTTGAGCTGGCCAACTGTAAGCCAATGGTCAAACTCTTATAAAGCATTGCCATATGCTGTGCGTGTATATTGACATTCCTTCAGGAGTATCCTGGTGTTTTCAAGATAAGTCTATTTTATTGGCAGCTTTGGTCACTAACTCTAAAAATGGATTGTTTGGGTAAACTAGAAACTGAAAATAACAACTGAAGAGATTAGTGTAAAACATGGTGCCAAGCATTTAATGGTCCAGATTGAATTAGATTTATTTTGGCGCAGCACAGCCGTGAACAGAAACATCCACACAGGCTTTGTAGAGAAGGATGAAGAATTTGGACCCTTACTCTCTTTTCCAGACTAAGACTGAAAGTTCAGGACTTCGGATATGCATTCAAGGAAGTAATATGATAGTAATAATAAATACTTCTCAAGTTCCCATGGTGAGCCAGGCCCCCTGCTTGGCACTTAGTGTACATTATTTCATTTGATTCTTACCACCACACTGCGGGTGGGATTCACAATGTTTGCTTTATAAATGACCCTGAGGTTCATAGACGTTGGTTGACTTATCCAAGGCCATACAAGTAAGTGATCAAGTCAGGATTTAAACTCCAGTCTGACTCGAAAGCCCTTTCCATCATGTTACAATCCTTTCCAAATGTCTGATGAACAGTACTGGTTAAGGTTTGCAGCTTGCAGGCCCTTTGGTATTTGCAGAGCATTGAGGCAAGAACAACAGAGAGAGCCAAGAGTCTTGGGTTTGAATCCTGGCTCTACCATTTATTCACTGTGTGATCTTGGAAAAATATCTAAACTTTCTGGGCTCTATCCTCATCTATAAAAATGTGGGTATGTGTTGTGTGGTGGGTAATAGAAGATTTATAAGCTACCTTTCATTTCTAACTTTTGATGATTTTGTGAGCTTTCAAGGGGCTTTTAATTTCCTGTAATTGAGGTGCATGTTTGGTCTTTTGCTCTTTAAGTAACTCAGCTGTGAGGAGACACTTCCATTTGAAATTCAAGAACTGACTTAATTTCTGCTATAGAGACACTATTTCTCCCCTCTGTAAAATTCATTTCTCTAAGTGGGTTGTCTCAACACAAACTATCTTTTATTTTCTTGGTGGACAGCTCCACTGTGTACTGAAAGTGGTGCTCTGCTCATAAGTGCACCATAACGAGGGTTGTAGGACATGCTAGGAATACAAAATGGTACATCATAATATTACCACAAAGGAATATCACTAGAGTTGGCTTTCATATGAAGGCAATAAATATTACTTCTTGTGGGTTAGAAGACGAAATATGCAGGGAGCTGCCTATTTTGGATGTTTCGGTTTATTTCTGTAAATTAATGAAATTTTATTTATCACATGTCCCTCCTTATTTATAATTCTGTACAGTATGCTGACACCTCTGCAAATGGCTGTCTATGCTTACAGCATACCACCCATTTCTAGTTTGGCCTGCACCCATTCCTCCTGTTGATGGAAATGTATACATTGGATCTCATGAACATTCATCACCCACTGCTCTGCATTCTTGAAGATCAAATGACATGGGCCATGCTGTATGTGGGGAGCAATGTTTCAGAATTCCTTTGATGTTGCTCCTTGTGACAATGGCTAAATCCAAGCTTTTGCTATCTGACCAAATGCCAAATGTGTTAGCCTGAATCTCTATGATCCTATAGATAGCTGGATGGAAAAATAAGATACAACCACTGCAAAAACCTATTTTCCAGGGCTAATTAAGGTAAAGTTTTGATTAATTGAAAAGCTAGCTGAGCAGGGTGTTCTTGCTAATTAGGAGCTAATGTATAACACTTAAAAAATTCATTTAATATATACTTTGTGCCATCTATGTACACAGTATTAAGTATTCAAAGAGGGGAAATGTTCCTATATTCTTTGTATCCAAAGCACTTTCTGATTTTCTTCTACCAATTACTTCTGAAAAATTTGTTCTACTTGTTTTCCTTTTCAAGGCTTTTTTGTTGTTGTTTCTGTTACCAAGATGTGATCATGCAGAATATGTATTTTGAATCAATTTTTATTCATTTAACATTACAAGAATTTAACCCAAGTATTGTGTTAAGTGTATATGACAGTGTGCTTAAACATTCCCTTATTTGCTTAAAATTTGGATTGTTTCCACTTGTTTTCCATGATAAAAATGCTATGAAGAAAAGCTTTACATATAGAGGTAAAGACAAATTTTCATATGTGGAATTATTGGATCAAAGAGGACACTTTTAAATGGTCAATATTATCAATATATTAATTGCAGTTGCTTTCCAAAGGAGTAGTACCATTTTATACTCCTTCTCTCATTGTGTGATAATAAGTTTCTCCTTACTATCTTCATCAGCATTGGATTTTCGTTTGGACATTTTTTGCTTATGCAACAGGCAAAGTTCTTTTGAAAAAAAAATGTAACACCCACTATCTATTGAATTCACCCAATAATCTTATGAAGTCAACAGTTTACAGATGAATAGATACTGAGATGATTAATTGATTTGCTCAAGTTCATATAACTATTATCAGAGCTGGACCTTGATCTTGCTTCTTCTGAATCCGGCCCTGTTGTGTGTTTCCACTCTACCACAGCTGTCCACTACATAACAGGAAGGGCAGAGGCTAATGAGCCCTTCAAGATAAGCTTGAAGAAGCTCAGTGGTTGGTGTGTATCAAGGTGGAATAGATGAGCAGGACTGGAGAGTAAAATGTCCAAATGGCTTTGTTTCTTAAAAACCAAACATTTCCTCAAAAAGAGTGAATAATTTTGATTAATTTATACATGCTGTTTCACTCATCCACATGTACATTAAAAAGGTTTAAAAAGAAAAAAAAGTATGTTATTTAATGGTGGCTTGGTGTTGGAATATTTTAACTAAATTCAGATATATATGAGTAACTCCAGTTGGAAGTTGTTCATGCATATCTGAAAGCAGAATGTGGCCTTTTGACTTTAGCCTATTAAACAAAAGAAAATTCATAGTTAAAATTCCACTCTCAGCTCCCCAGCCAAGATGGGAATGGCCCCAGCCATAAAACATGATGGACAAGGCTGCCACCAGGCCCAATAATCTGTTGGCATTATAGAGTAGGGTAGGCAAACCACAGTAAATCAAGGCCTCGCCTTCATTTTTCAAAAAGCCGAATGGATTAAAAGTGTGTGCGTCATTCTTTACCGTGAGAAGGCAGACAGGTTTTGCAACAAGCTAGAGGATGGTGTGTGGAGTAAATAACAAATGCCTCTTGGTCGGAGGCTGTTTGATCGCTTCAGGTGTCCATGTGGAGGGTCATCTTGAGAAAGGGACTTGGGACTATGTGCTTTCTTATTCTTTGCAGGGATGAAAAAGAGGAAAACCCAGTTTGGAGGCCATAGTCTGTAAAATGGCAGGATCTGCCAGCTTTGGCACCACAGAGTGTGGCTTTGGGCAGAGCAGTTTGTGCTTCCATTTATCTGGAGTTTCCTGGTGTGTAGAAGCCCCACCCCTGAGCACAGCAGGAGGTTGAATAATGAGGATTGGCAAAACTCAGGGATGTGCTCACCTCCCTAGATTATGAAATCCCATTGTCTAATCAGACCATCCCATAATGGACATTAAAAACAAACAAACAAACAAACAAAAAAAACAACAAACCAAGAGTATTTATTTTTCAAAGAGATGATTGTGACCGTGGATGGCAGAAATAATGTCTTGTTAAAATGACTCAATTCCTTTTAGGTAATTGCAAGGGCGGCTGGTTTCTTCAAGCATTCAGATGAGCTCCTCTAGAAGCTTTTCACAGGGCAACGAAACTGCTTTGGTGCCTCCTTCAGGGCTAAGACCATGATTTGGATTCACCCTGCCTTAAAGGAGAAAAGTTGGAAGCAGCAGGAGGCATCTGTAGAGAAGTGGTGAAGTGAACATCTCTCTAGGTCCCTTGTTTTGTAACCAGATTTTAATCAGTGAAGAATTCTGAAAAAATAACAGAAAGCAGTTTGGAAGCAGCTTTCATTACAAAACTGTATAGTCATGTCTCCAAGCCACCAAAGTATTTTATAGCCATTTGCCCGAAATGTCAGAGTAAATAAGCATATCGTCCAGAGCGCTGCCTGGAACCAGAGTCTCGTTTTGTTGGAGGCATTAGGGGAAAGGCAAGGGAGCTCAGCTCCAGGGGTATTGCGCCCTAGTCTAGTCTAAATGGCTCTTCTCTCTGACGTGACTGGAGTGTTTTCTGTCACCTCTAAACATTGCCTGCAGTGATAACATTCATTCCCCAGGCTCAGGCCCCCTGTAACAGTCAGGAATGTGCGGAAGAAGCCAGAGTGGGACAAGATGGCTGCCCTGCCCAGCCCGCTGCTGGCCGGATGTGGAGCTGGGAGGAGCTGACTCTCATTTTGCCCCCTGTTGTCTTTGGAAGGCTTTCGTTTGGGTTTTGAGTGGGTGGTCCCTTAGGTCTCCTACTACATTCCAAATATTTCCAAAACGTTCTGAGAAATGGTGGTGCAACTAAATGAACATACTCTCCTGACTAATGTGGGAAGCTGATTGGGGCTGGCAGTTCCTCCTTCACATCCCCCACTTTGGTTGACACATAGAGTGTGTCAATCTGAAGTTCTAAGATTCTGGGTACAGGTTTTTTTTTTTTTAATTTTACAGCCCCTTATGGTTTAATGCTCAGTGGTTTCCAGGCTTTTTGGATGGCTCACTGGATTCAGTAAAAGGTTTTTAAGCAGATACTCCCAATACTTGTTATTTGTAAATTATATATATGTTATATGTACTATTGAACTAACATATTATAGTAATTAAAAACAGGGAAAATGTTAAAGAATGAAGCAAAGAGTTCGGGGTGGTGGCTCACGCCTGTAATCCCAGCATTTTGGGAGGTCGAGGTGGGTGGATCACTTGAGGTCAGGAGTTGGAGACCAGCCTGTCCAACATGGCGAAACCCCATCTCTACTAAAAATACAAAAATTAGCTGGGTGTGGTGGTGCAGGCCTGTAATCCCAGCTACTTGGGAGGCTGAGGCAGGAGAATTGCTTGAACCTGGGAGGCGGAGGTTGCAGTGAGCCGAGATCACACCACTGCACTCCAGCCTGGGTGGCACAGCAAGACTCTGTCTCAAAAAACAAAAAACGAAAAAGAATGAAGAAAAGATGAAATAATATTATTTTATTGATGGTACAAAACCCCCTTTTGCTTTTTGCTTTCCTATTAAGGTTCTATACGCATTTTATATTTATATGTAACTGAACTGAATATGCTTCATTTGAAAAGTTTGATATAACACTTTGTGATACAATTCAAAAGTCTGCTTCTAAGATCAGTCTATTTTGATACCTGGCTTTAGTGATTCTCATGGCTAAAACAATACTACAGCGATAATGCAAGAAGGGCATAATTGGCTGTAACTGCTAAGTTAGACTCACTTTTTTACCCACATCCACCAGCTATGCAAAGGTTCTGTTGAAAGTTTACCAATACATTTTCATCTGCCTTGGGTCAATCAACAGTTCTTATATTCTAATCAAAGTGCTTCCCATTGACCAAACCCAGAGAAAGTCAGAAGGCAAAGAAGTCTGATTGATGCACCATTTTTACATAGATAAGTAGAGACAGAGATAGACAGATAAAGATATATTCAGTGTTCTCTGAAATTGTACATTTGAAAGATTTTTAAATAATTTAGAAAAACCCCACTTCTCAGTTTTTTTACACTTTATTTTTATTGAGGTAAAATACACATTTAAAATTTACCATCTTTACTATTTTTAAGTGTACAGTTCAGTGGTAATAAACACATTTATATTCTTGTTTTCCCTTTCATCTCTCCCTCTTCCCTATCTTTCCTGGTCTCTGGCGATCATCCACTTTTTTAGCTCCCACATTAGTGAGAACATGTGATATTTGTCTGTCTGTGCTTGGCTTATTTCACTTAACATAATGGCCTCCAGTTCCATCCATGTTGCTGCAAATGACAGGATTTTATTCTTTTTTATGGCTGAATAATATTCCATTGTATATATATACCACATTTTCTTTATCCATTCATCCATTGATGGACTCTTAGGTTGAACCCATATCTTGGCTATTGTGAATAGTGCTGCAATAAACATGGGAGTGGAGATATTCTTTCAATATATTGATTTCCACCCTTTTTTTTGGACATAAATATATGTCCAAAGCTCTCTGAAACTGTACATTTAAAAGGTTTTTTGTTTGTTCATATAAGAGATGATCTTGCTGTGTCACCAGACTGGAGTGCAGTGATGCAATCATAGTTCATTGCAGCCTCGATCACCTGGGCTCAAGCAATTCTCCCACTTCAGCCTCCCAAGTAACTGTGACTACAGGCAAGCACCACCATATTCAGCTAAATTTAAAATTTTTTGTAGAGTCTGGGTCTCACTTTATTGCCCAGGCTTGTCTTGAACTCCTGGACTCAAGTGATTCTCCCACCTTGGCATCCCAAAGTGCTAGGATTACAGGTGTGAGCTAATGTGCCCAGCCTACATTTAAAATATTTTAAAATAATGTAGAAAAATTCCATTTCTCAGTTTTCGACACATGTACGTATTAGAATTTTTAATAACGGTAACACTGTTTTCAGAACCAACATTTCTCAATGGTGGAAACAATTCTAAATATCCACCTTCAAAGTGTTCTCTCCATAGCATACATTTCTTTTGTCAAAGCAGTCAGTTTCTCATTCATTAGTTACAATTCAGTACCTTCATTTTTGCAGAGCTGTTAGGTTGCATATTCCAACAGCTTCTTGTCACCATGGAAATCTTTGAAAATACTTTTTACATAGTAATGTGACAGAAAGGGGCTCACCCGATAAGCCATTTTGGTTTATTTCTGCTAGGTAGGATTACATTTTAGGAACAGCTCAGGCAAATAGTGAGGGAAACAAGTGGATCCATCTAAGTCCCTGTAAGTAACACCTGGTGCACTGGGGTGGGGTGACTGAAGAAGGGTTGAATAAAGGCAGTTACAAAGACATGTGCGCAGTTCAGAGAAACCAGCAGTGATAGGGAAGCAATAGCAGGGGCCCTTCCTGCTTTCTCCTAAGCCTGAAGGGGTAAGGAGAGGATGCTGTGATCCAAGCCCAGGGAGAGAACTGGAGCTCTAGGAGTGGGGGCATGGACTGCAGCTGTGACTCTGGTAGAGGGATTATATTAGTTTGTTCAGGTACCATAACAGAATCGCACAGATGTGATAACTTAAGCAACAGAGATCTATGTCCTCACAAGTCCAAGATGCAGGTGCTGGCAGGGCTGGTTTCTTCTAAGGCCTCTCTCCTTCCAGTCTTCACATGGTTTTTCCTCTGTGCCTGCATCTGTGTCCAAATTTCCTCTTCTTATAAGGCCACCGGTCATATTGGATTAGGGTCCCACCTAATGATCTCATTTTAACTTAATTACCTCCTTTAAGGTCCCATCTTTAAATACAGTTACATTATGAAGTACTAGGGGTTAGGAATTGAACATATTAATTTGGGGGGACTTAATTCAGCCCATGACATGGACACTGCCAACCTGTGGCCCACAGGGAGGAAGTGTTAATTGATCTTTGCTCTAGCCCACCTGGCAGCCTACTGGTCTGCCAGCATCTCTCATTGGCCAAACCAGATGGAAGTCAGAGGCAAGTAAGCTTGTTTAATGCCACCCTTGAAGGTCAGTCTCTTGAGATATAGACAGCAGAAAAGAGTAATCTGCAGGAGCAGAGAGTTTCCAGCTCACAAAGTCACTGAGCTGAACTTAGAACACAGAGATTTCATGACAGGCTTATAAATGATTTAATGTAGCAAGAGGGAAAGAAGTAATGATCAGAATGAGCCAGGGTGTTTGGTTTTGTGGATTGCACAAGAGATGCTAATATCAGGGAACTGCTGTTACTAGGCTCAGCATTGCAGTGACAATTTGAATCTCTCGTATGGTGCTAGTCCTTGTGAGAATTAGAAAAAGGCATCCCCTATGGGCAGACAAACGAGAAAACATTGCCTTCTGCTGGACCAAGCAGTCTTTTTGGTATACAGCTTTTGGTGAGCAACCTGTTCATCCTACCCAGCCAAACACGCACTGTATGACCCTGTCAGTGCCCCTTACCATGGGCTCAGCTGGAAGGCCCACACTCTGCCAGTCCATTCTTTCCAGCCCCTAGCAGGAACAACTTGAGGACAAATTTTGATGTTGTGCCTGCTATAGTCTGCAAACTGCCAGCCTCCTAGTTCCACATGGAAAAAAAAATCATTAAGCCATGAAAAAATTCAAATCTATCACTGGCTGTCTTATTAAATCATTCAAGCACCTTGTGCTGGCAGTTTCTGGTTGATCTGAACTTAAGTTTTTGGTGGATCTTCCACCTAAAGGGAGTAATTAATGTTAATTTAGATCATTGTTCCTTGTTAGCACTTCTGGGAACCCCATTTTGAGAGTTTAGAATTATTAGCAAAAATGAATATAAGCATTGGCTATAAGCATTGGATTTTTTTCATCCATCGAACAGACTGCAGCTTACGGTGAGAAAGCCACACACTGCACAACTCTGGGGGCGCCATTCACGTAGTCATTGTACATTTGTATGGGCTTTCTGACAATTTTCTAGCAGATGGCAGTAAAGACTTCTAAGAATAGTGTGCCTCCTCCATCCCCAGTTGATCTAAAGTTGCAGTTTGAGTAAGTGGTAGGTTAGGTATCCATGTGTGTGAGGCACTAGGAGTGGGGCTGGGGAAAGGAAAGGACCCAGTGAAGACAAAGGCGTGATCCCCATTTCTCAGTACAGTGGAGGAGGGAGACATATGGGCACCCCCTTATGAAGCCTCAGCTTCAGAATAATACCCAGATGCACTCCTTCCATCTGGCCCACCCTATCTGGTTCTGTGATGAGGTGTGAATGAGGAGAACATTCCACCACCCCACTCAGGCAGTGGCAACATTGGGCTATTAAAGCTATTCTTCAGGCTCGAAGGGCCAAGACTCTGAGAGACCCATGATAGCCACTGCCAGGCCAGGAGAGGGAGAGTTGCAGAGGCCCAGGGGACTGGGGTGGACGGTGAGCACGTGGCAGGCCCCGGAGCAGCATGGTTGGTTCCCCAGCTGCCATGGCTGTCTTTTGAAGCCACTGGAACAATACTCAATGCACCAGAGCCCCCGTAACCATGAACTGCATCCTTGCTTAGCTAAACCTAGTTTCCTTTTTTAAGGAGAAAGGAGGGGAGCTCTTTCGCAGTATCCACAAAGCCAATACAACTACACATGGGAAGCCACTTATATCCCTGCTACCCTAAGCCCAGCTCCCCACTGCCCATGAGGACTAACTCCCTCTCAGCTGCATTCCTCGGGCTCTCTGCTAGTCTTTGCCAATACTCATCCTCTAACCAATGGGCTCTTCCTACTCTTCTTTTTATGACAGATGCAGCAAAGAGGTCATTAGATAAGGATTCTTTTACTTGAGAATAGGATTCTGACCCTCCATGCATGAAGAGCTTGTGGCAGATACTAGATTGCAGTAAGATGAGGTGGAATGGAAGGTGGGCACATGGAGACAAATGGGGTTGGCAGCACTGACCAATGGTGCAGAGGGCCAATTGGAGGACAAAACAGATGAGATGAATTAGTTTGGGGAATTCACACTTCCCCATGACCACAAGGTTGAAGCTCTTTTCATTCTCAAAAACTCAAAGGCATTTATCTTAGAAATTTAAGAATTAACTCATGGTTAATGAGATGCTTCAACTGGTGAGGATAAGTCTCTGTGCTCTGTGAGGCGCTTTTCTTGGGAGGCACTTGAAAAATACCTGGGAAGATCCAGAGGCTGCTGCATTTGAGTTTCTGCAGGAAGCTGGATTTGTGGCCTCAAAGATAGTAACTCACTGCTGACATCTTAGAAATATCACTGTTTCCTTAATTTAATACATGCCAAAGTTGGTGGCTGAGAGATTGTATCTTACAAGCCTATTACCAGCCGATTTACTAGGCCTTCGGGAACAACTTTGGAAAGAGGATGTTAATCAAGCGTTCATTTTATCTTCTTTTTCTCCTACACTTTTTACTTTTTCTTCCTTATATTATTTTCTCACTTACCTCCCTAAGTCTTTCTTTTCTACTTCCTTTCTCTCCTTTATGTCACCCTCTCATTACTTCTCTTTATATTTTTTTCAGATTTTACACTTCCACACCCTTCCTGCCCTTCAACTCTGTTTCAAACTTTTAGCACATTCTATATGACAGTGAGACATAAGCAGACTTCATGAGGCAAATTTATGGCATCACAAAAGGTCTCTTCTTGTGGAGGGTACTTGCTCTCTTATGGCAGAATTACTTCTGTTCTTTAACATGTGGTTCCCTTTTGCTTCTGGGCAGAGAGTAGGAGAAGAACCAACTTGCTCACCCCTCCAAACTCCCACACAGAGCAAGGTATCAGAGCCTGAGCAGGGTGAGCTGGGCTAAGGCATTTGCATGGCAAAGTGGGTGGTGCCAGCAATGGGAGATTGGTTGCACACAGGGGGACTGAGCAATGAGTAAGTGTATTAGCCCATTCTCACATTGCTGTAAAGAACTACCTGAGACTGGGCAGTTTATAAAGAAAAGAGTTTTAATAGACTTACGGTTCTGCATGCATGCTGTACAAGAGGCCTGATAGGAAGGCCTCGGGAAACTTACAATCATGGCAGAAGGCAAAGCAGAAGCAAGCATATGTTCACATGGTGACAGGAGAAAGAGCTACACACCTTTACACAACCAGATCTTGTGAAAACTCACTCACTATCATGAGACCAGCAACGGGGAAGCCCACCCCTATGATCTAATCACCTGCCACCAGGTCCCTCTCTGAACACTGGAGATTACAATTCAACGTGATTTGGGTGGGGACACAGAGCCAAACCATATTAGTAAGTAGATCAAAGATATTGGGAGCCAGGCTTCTTACCATCAGAAAATAATTACAAAAATGGGAAGGGACCAGTCACAGTGACAATCCCAGCATTTTGGGAGGCCGAGGCAGGAGGACTGCTTTGAGTCCAAGAGTTTGAGATTAGCCTGGACAACATAGTGAGACCCTCTCTCTGAAAAATAAAAAATAAATTAGCTGGGTGTGGTGGTATGTGCCTGTAGTCCTAGTTACTTGAGAGGCTGAGGTGGGAGGATTGGTTGAGCCCAGGAAGTGGAGGCTGCAGTGAGCTACATAATGGCACCACTGTACTCAAGCCTGAGTGATATAGTAAGACTCTGTCTCTAAGAGGGGGAAAAAAAAAGGAAAGGGAAAATGAAATCTGTGGTTGAAAATTCATGCTTTCCAATATTTACAGACAAGGTATAAATATGTGTGTGGACATACACATGTGTATACACATACTCCCTAACCCTGTCTACTGACAAGACTTGGGAACAGTGACATGCAAGTAGCAAAGAGTATACCTAGTACCTAAACCTTAGCTTCTAAATGTCATTCTCCATCAAAAGAAACTAGGGCTGACCGGGCGTGGTGACTCATGCCTGTAATCCCAGCAGTTTGGGAGGCCGAGGAGGGTGGATCACTTGAGAACCAGCCTGGCTAACATGGTGAAACCCCGTCTCTACTAAAAATACAAAAATTAGCTGGGCTTGGTGGCGCACGCCTGTAATCCCAGCTACTCAGGAGGCTGAGGCATGAGAATCGCTTGAACCTGGGAGGCAGAGATGGCAGTGAGCTGAGATCATGCCAGGTAACAGGGCTCTTTGGAGAATTCCAGGGCTGGGGCAGGGAAAGTACAAAATAAGCCTGAAACATCTTGTGGTGCCAGTAGGCAAGGCGATGCTTAAAGAATGACAGGGACATGTCTAAAAAATAGACGCTGGCTTGCAGGGCTCCCACGGGCCAAACGGGGGATAACTTGAACATCAAAACAAGTAATGACTGCAACCGATTAGAATCCACTGAGTAAAACAGGAAATTCTGAGTCCATACTTACATAAGGTAAATGAATAAATTAAAAGTTTGAGGACGTTTGGGGTATTTCCATGGTTTCAAAGCACTTCCTCACAACATACTTATTAACTGCAAAGTGTGAAAGGTAACTTTACAGTGGAGATGCCTGGCAGACACCACTTTAATTAAGTGATCAAAGAGAGAGAGTATCATAGGTAATGAAACACAGTGAAATCACTCACGTCCTGACGGGATGCAGTGAGGAGAAAACAGCTTCACTTTGTTGATATTCCTGCCAAAATTGGACCACGCAGAAACTTCAAACAAACCAATCTGAGACACTCTGCAAAATCACAGGCTCATAATCTTCAACTGCGTCAAAGTCATGAAAGTCAAGGAAAGACTGAGGAGCTATTTCAGACTGAGAGAAACTTAAGAGACATGACAATTAATGTGTGAAACTTGACTGGGGTCTGAGGTTTAGTTGGTAGTAATGAGTCGGTGTTGCTTTGATGGTTGTGTTGTGGTCATGTAAGAGAATGTCCTTGTTTTTAGCGGGTAATGGAGCATTTGTTCTGTGATCTGCTCTCAGGTAAATTAGGACACAAGTTCTTTGTATTGTACTTGCAACTTTTGTGTTTCAAAATTTAAAAATATTTCATAAACCAAATGGCATACCCACTTTGGGGAAAAATAGACATTATGAGGTAAACACAAAATTCCCATTAATTTAGAACAAAGCATGAGAATTTCCGGAAATTTTGTTTATGGTGGGCCACACTGGGCTATCTCTGCCTTGCATCCCTGGGGCTCTCTATTCTCTCTCCTCAGCTCTCGAGGGTCCTCTGATGGCAGAATAAAAAAGCGCTATGATTTGTGAGAGCCCTAGGAAGGCTACAGTATTAGGTAATGGAAAGGGTCATCATCTTACCTCCTGACTCACTGGCCAGAGGACGGAGCGACTGCCCAAATCAGACAGCTCAGCGATTCACCTCTGAGCTGCTGCTTTGGGTGGAATGGAAGAAACTGGTTGGTGTCTTAGGTATAACATGAAGTGCTCAGTAAGTGGCAGGAGGACTTGTGGCTTGCATCTCTTTTCCCATGTGAAGGGCCAAATGTGGAAATAAAAGGAGGATACGGAACATTTTTGCTGTTGCAGAGCTGTTTTGTCCTTCAGAGTCATAGCAAAGGGCTCTGTGAGAGGGATGAAGTATATCACCTAAGAACATGTGATGAGATCAGAATACCTATTATGAGTCTATAGCCTACCAGAATCACTATCACGAAACGGTGGCTTGCTGTGCCGCCCTTGACTTTTATGAATGGGTCCTATCTGAAACAGGCTTGGGAAACTGTCATTGTATTGGTGGAGAAATGTGGTGGACACTGCCCAGTAGCCCCTGCAGCAGCCCCTGTACAAAGTGAGTAAATACTATCTTTCTCCAGAGAATCTGGCGGGCTTTATTCTTTTTGACAGTAAGAGCTACAGATGCAAGTTCTTTTCTCCCTTTTCACCTTGGCTGCCAGGAAACATAATTATTGAAGTTTAACTGTAGTGATGGTGGAGAACTTTGGCCTATAGAGCTACATTCTGTGTACTCCTTATGTCTCTTCCCTGTTAATTTATCAAGTCCAGATTTCTACGTTTGTAATTGTGTTTCCTACACAGTTGCCTCAAATCTTCGTAAAATACAGGTTTGTAAAACAAAATAAAACAAAACAAAAAACCCAGATCATTGGAAGAATTAAGTTGAAGGATCCAAAATCTTCTCAATAAAATTGAACTAAATGTTAGGGAGAAAATAACAGTAATGGAAGTTCCTTCACGTATTTCTTAGGAAAAATTGTTGTTCCTGGCTAGGAGGCCAGGAACAATATTTATGGTCTTGAACATGTGTCAAAGACATGAGTTACAAAGTGGATAAAATGGGATTCCTGCCTAGGCTTCCCTGAAGAAAATAACAAATAGTTCTCAAGATATATGAAGGGCATGGGAAAACTATACAGGTGTTTGCAAATCCATAATCTGATGTGTGGAGAACATGTGACCAAGGGTAAAAGAAATCAAAATGACATTACTTGGAAAGTATCCCACACCCTACTTGATTTTTTTTTTTTTAAAGGACAGTTCTTTCTTCTTACACATTCCAGTATTTTCAGAACAGAAGTGACAGCAATGTCAACTCTTTGGACATCTGCTCCAAGTCTCATTCTGGCAAGGGCAGAGCTATCAAAGACTTTGTCTGTCTGCCTGACAATTTCATCTCTCAGAAGGTAGAGGAACCCGTGAGGAAAATGGCTGCTCTCAAGTGAATTCTGATCAGTAAAAAAGGAACTGGTTGGAAATGTGGAAATACTGAGAATCTCAGGAGAGATGTTTTCATTATCTTCGCCCCCTCACAGAACTCCCAAAGCTCTTTATTTAGATCTTTTCTTACTTCTCCTTATAATATTGTCACTTATAGACTTGTGTCTCTAAGATTGTCCCTTGAGGACTGGGACCACATCACATCATCTTTGTGTCTGCCAATGCTTGGGGTAGTTATCTTTTAAACACAAAAAAATCAATCAAATGTGCTTAGTTGGAATATGAGCATAGTGACTTGCATAATTTCAGGATAATGTGACAACATTCTTTAAGAATTTTTTTTCTTGATCATAAAATGTTTTCATTGTTGAAAACTGGAAAAATTATTCAGGGAAGTATAAATGAGAAAATACAAACTTTCTATAATCCTCCCACTTGATAAGCATTTTGAAGTACTTTCTCCTTGTTATTTATTTTTAAGACAGTGTATCTCTCTGTCACACAGGCTACAGTGTAGTGGCGTGAACATAACAGCCACTGCAACCTCAAACTCCTGGGCTCAAGCAATCCTGTCTGAGCCTCCCAAGTGGCTAGGACTACAAGTGTGTGCCATCATGCCAGGCTAATTTTTAAAATTTTCTTGTAGAGATGACTCTTGCTATATTGCCCAGGCTGGTCTCAAACTCGTGGCCTCAATCAATCCCCTGGCCTTGGTTCCCAGTGTTGAGATTACAGGCATAAGCCACTGTGCCCAGCCTCTCCTTGGGTTTTATACTTATTTCATAGTTTTGATCATACTGTATCTACAGGTCTGTTCCTAACACTTTTTATTCACGTTATATCCTAAGCATTTTCCATGTCATTAAAATGTCCTCATTTTAAAATGACTTCATATTATCTTGCATGTCTTTAGCGTAACTACTGTCATTTAAAAAATAAAGCAACATAGGGATTTTCACTGGCTACAAGTTCTAAGAATTGTGGTATGTCTGAGAAGTCAAAAAGGAACCGGCAGGGCAGGGGAGACAGGTGAAGTCCCAAGTTCTTCCTCCGGTTTTGGGTTTTATCCTGAGTCAACTGTGGTACATCTGGAAGGTGAGTTGATGATGTGGAGTGACCAGGGCTGACGAGGAAGAGTTAAAGCTGGAAGGAATGCTCAACCCAGAGAAGAGCAGAGCCATGGAGTCACGTTTCCACACTTGAAGTATGACTGACTGACTCTGTGGCATCCCGGTTGGCAGCACTAAGGCCGGTAAGTGGGAATTTCAAAGCCACAATTTGGACTCCTCTGCAAACAAGTTTGAGAGCTGTTCCCTAAAGCTACCTGATGCCCTGTGAGGCAGGCAGTGCCTGGTCCCTGGAGGTGTTCAAGTAGGGCAGGTGGCTTCAAGGATACTAGAGGATAGGAAATCCCTGCAGTCTGGTTTATGGTCTGGGTCCTGTGTGAGCACTGGAATAGCCTACATCAAATCTTAAGTCTCTCAGAGTCGCATAAAACAACCGAATTCTTTAATTCAAAGCCACGTTTTCAATTCTGAGCAGCCCAGAGACCTGCCATCGCTTTCTCGCGCCGAGTCACGTGGTCTGGCAAGGCGCGCGGTTTCCTCCCTAGCCGCCCCCAGCTGCCCTGAACCTTCAAAGTCACATTTCAGTCACTCCCCAGTCTGACCAACAACGCTCACAATGAGGGCGCTGCCAGCACAGGCGACGGCCTGCGCTCCAGTCTTACGAGGAACCCCAAATTCAAGACCCCTGTGACCCAGGCCTGTGTGCCCCGACAGGCTAAACCTCCGCCCAGGGGCTTCCCGATGTCGGCTGCAGCGGGTCTGGGTTTTCGGCCTGCAGAGCTCGCGTCTGACGGCTGAGGAACAAAACACCCTCCCTCTAGCGGCTCAAGCGCACACACCCTCTTGCCTTCCGCAGCCACCGAGCGAGTCACGGGAGACACTCTGGAGCCATTTTGCGGGGCTGGAATTCCTTCGCCCGGCGGAGCTCGGCGCGCACCCGTCAGCTGTGCCGAGGACCCTGCGCCCGGGGGGCCCCGCGGCCACGTGACCCCCATCTGGCTCTCGGCCTGGACTGAGGGGGCTGAGCTCATCGCGTTGCTATTCGAGGGGCAGAGACTGCCTGGCCTTCCTCAAATCCTGAGCTCCCGGCTCTCCTCCCTCCCCCACCTACTTGACATCTCAGGCTTTTTGTGGAAGGGGCAGGGCGATTGAGAGGTCGGTGACCTTTGTCCCAATGGCGCTGGCTCTTTTCCTTTTTGGCTACCCTAATGGAATGAGGATATAATCAGTCATATCTTAACATTCATTGAGCCCCGGCTCAGGCTGGGAGGCACTGCCTTTCTCCTAGTGAATTTTAAATCAGTATTTGTGGGATTTAAGCTCCAGCGGATAAACCTAGAGCCACTGGCCATGAAGGGTGTGGCAGTGGGGTGAAAAACGGGACTCCCGCCTCCACTCCCTGGCTTTCCTCATTCCAGCCACTATAGAGGGGAAAATACGTAGACCACAGAGCAACGGCCACACCCTCTTTCCTCTCCTCCAACCCCAGAATTCCACTTCAGTCTCAGAGCTTTCAGCTAGGTGGGGTTTATCCCCAAACATGCCACAACCCCTCTAGTTATATGGGAGCGGTAACTGTGAACCACCATCGCTGGCTTGATCCTCCCTTTTCCGTGGATTGGTGCTCCTGAGTATGTTTACCGGTTTCAGTACATAACACAGCCAGATAGAGGGCCGCGGACTTCAGCGGCGAGAAGCTACAACAAAAATAGGGTGAACAAAAACGAAGGTGCCCAGGAGCCTGAATTGCATTTCTTTCTTACCTTTGGTCATAGAAAGGAGCACTTAGGTGTTTGGCTGGAACGCAAAGTGAGACCAGAGCTTACATTCTTAGCAGCCTGGGTTTGTCTCGAGAGGCCATGCTTCTCTCCTCCCTGACATTTTGCTCTCAGAAGCACCAGTTAGCATCAGAGGAATGTTGTTTCCTTCTCTGAAACAGCCATCAAGTACCAGCGATTTCTTGGCTCCGGCAAGTTAAGTGCTCTGACCCCTCCCTTATCTAACTCACCCCGCACACCATCCACATGGCAGGGGACGCAGCCAGAAATGGAGCGGACTGCATCTTTTCCTTGCCCACTCTTTTTATCACCATGACAGAGCCACTGGACACCAGGAAATAAATACTGAACCACCACACTAAAACGTTTACTCCACTTTGGGCAGAAGGAGCCTATTTTGCATATTAAGTGCCTCCTATAAAGCAGTCAAGTGAGGGAAAGAGGAGTTCTCGCTCCTCCGTGAATGCTGCACGGGAGCCTCCAGTCGGGAACAGCTGAACAGGTAGCTCTGAAAGAGGACCTTGGTCATAAACGCATAGATAAGATTATCCCGAGGTTCTCGCCCACATGCTTCCTTACCACAGGTGGGAGGGCTGCTGTTAGGCTGTCTTCCTTGCTGAGCATTGACAAGCAATGAAATAGTTGAGGCGTAGCAGCAAGAAAGGAGGAAGAAAAAGGGCCTGGTTTTTTGGTCTTTAAGAACAGACCACTAGTGGTGTATTTTGGGCTGGATATTTGCTGAGCCGACCGTTGACGTGCTGAGCTGACGGTTGACGTGCTGAGCTGAGGGTTGACGTCTCTGGTCATTACACAGATTTAAATAACCAGCAAAAGTGGGGTGGAAAGGTTTTTCCAATTGTTTTCAAGGAAATGTATTTTGAGGATATATTGAATCTGACATAACTTTCAACTCACTTTCAAACCAATCTACTGAGCTGAAGAAAGAGATCAGAAATGAAATGAAATTCTGATATACACTTAATCGACTTAAAAAAAATTGACAGGAAAAATAAAATTTCAGATGTTTTTTATTCAAAGGTTCTCAAAAGAAATAAAACAGAAAAGCTAACAATCTGATCAAATGTACAGTTCAAAAATGTCTTTTGGCGTTTAACAACAAGTCCTAGGAAAGAAAACTACAGAGTTATCTTGAACCGGACAAATAAGTTACCACTGGCAAGTCTGTGGCACTAGTAAAACAAAAATAAAAAATTAACTCTCTTGATCATATAGATATCTCTATGAAAATCTTTTTTTTTCAATCTGTACAAAAGGTCTTTCTTCATAAATTAATTTTTTTATAATTTAATGGCTGTCTACTATGTGATGTTTAACTGATTTTTTTTTTTTTATGTACAGAGGTTATGTTTCCCAAATCTTACCCAGACGAGTATGGCACTTAGTTCAGACATTTCTAGCAGCAGATTTCCCCTCCCCTCTAACCGAGCTATCAAATTTCTGTCTTAACTAATGCAAAAATATCAAGTAGTGAGAGACCCAGGTTTATAACTGTACTAGGTACACAGAGGGTGCTGCGTTCAGTCTGGACTTTCACAAAGCAGTAATATTCCAGGGAGCATAGAACCAATAATACCACAACTTTAAAAAAATGAAACAAAAACAAAAACAAAAACACATTTCTCTTATGACTATGTAATTTTCACTAGAATCTACACTTCTCAGAGCAGCAAGGACTTTTGAAACTATGAAATGTCACTGACATCTATCATCAAATACAAGCATAAAATTTAAGAACTAAAAAATACTTGAAAGAAATAACTGCTTAGCCCTAGCTCCTGAGCTAGGAGGATTTGGTCTGTGGAAACAGGGAGGGCCAGCAACCTGTCCCAGCACAAAAGAAAATAGACTCTGAGGTAGATAACTGATCATACACAGCTGACCAGACAAGTACACAGTTTTGGAAGACAACTTAATTTACCATTGCTTTTAAAACATATGCAATTGCCTTAATAAAAGAGCTTTAATAACAGTGAATTATCTTATATGTACTAAAGTAGAAATAACTGTGTATTTATGAATCAGGAATTTCATAGTTTCAAAATTGGTTTTCTTTACACTTGAACACTTGTAGTGATGATGTAAAGTGTGGCACTGCTTGGATCCAAATCTTCCTTCATGCTTTTTTGTTTGTGTGTGTCCATACATCAATTAAAATTATAAAACCTAAATGCAAAGGTACAAAAAAGGCACATTCTCCTAACCGCAAACTGGTCCGGCAAAAATAAAGAGCACAGAAGATGTGATGCTGAGACAAGTTGGAGCTACTGGTTACTGGCTCTTCGGTCTTTGGTGAAGTTACCTTTAAAAGTGCCAAGTCATTTTTATTTTTCAAATTTACCTAATAGAGAGAGAGAGAGAGAGCTAGTAGCCAATCGTTTTGCTTCTATTCGTTATCTCAGCTTATGTTTGAAGATAAATCCTTACTTTTAGCTTTTGCCACTTTGTTGCAATAGCAACATTTTTCGGTTTGCCAGATTTCAGGCATAATTCTCATTCTAAAGCACTATCATTAGTATAAAGGAAGGACAAAACATTCAGTGACTCCCCTCCCCCACCCCCATCCCCAACCCCAACACTACCTACACTAAATCTAGTACATCAAGTTAGCTTTTTTTTTTTCCTGAAAAAAGGCAAAAAAGACTTTACATTGCATCATACAGCAGATATCCTAAATCAGTCAAACTATCAGAGGAAACTGTTGGCGTACAGCCTTACAAACAATTTACCCTAATAAAAGTTCCCCAGTCAGAAAATGTGTTTCACACAAAACATTTTTCCCTTCTTGCATTTCACTACCTTACACATTATGTGAAAAATCATTAAAAACACCTACTACATATTTAAAAAAGCCAAAATTTCAGCAACTTTTATTGACTACCTTTTAAAAGCCCTATGCTGCTGTTTTACAAGGCATAATAGACCAGCTCATTTGGTCAAAGCATTCTACATCATTAGTTTGAACTAACTTTTACTGAAACAGCTACAGCATCAAAAGAGTTAAGGCAAATTGGAATTCATAGAAAAGGATAAGACACTTCACACTACGTTGAAAGAAAGACAGAAAGCTAAGAAAAGAGACACTGACGGCAACACTGAATTACAGCAACACTCGCACTGCAAGCACAGAACACCATGGGTGAAGTCGGACTATTTAAACTTCAGAAAGCCCATTTCATACAGCTGGAAAAAAAAAACACAAATTAAACACAAAATGAACAAAACCACAAAAATCCGGTCATGCACTTGGATAAGTCTTCATGGTCTTTGTGCATACCCAGAAAATTGAAGTTTTCTTTTCTTTTTTTTTTTCTTTTTCTTTTTTTGCATCATAACATTTGATAAAAATCTTTTGTTTTTGTTTTTTGTTTTTTTTTTTTTACTAAAATAAACCTGTTCGGGGGAACAGCTACTAGATGAATTTAAGGGTTTTATGCACCTTATAGAACTTATAGCAAAAATAGTTTTAGTTGATTTCATTATAAATAACGTTTTCAAGAACCTGTGCAAAACTGTCAATAATTTCCTAAAGCACAATTGATCAGAAAAATCCATGATTGTTCAGCCTTCACACCCTTCTTCATGTAAGAACACCTTTCTGTACATCTGGAAGAGAAAAATAAAAGACAAATGCTTTTGTAGATTTGGTGTGAAACACTACAGAGCTTTGTAATCTGTTTCTTGTTTTAAAGAGATATGTGTTTGAAAAAGGTTATGCTCATCACTGATGGTAGACTGATAAATGCAGACTCTGGAACTGATGGTTACTTTCAATGCCTGTCACATCCAGGACTTGCAAAATACTTTCTTTTCTAATTTAGAGCCAAATTCATTTGGGTCTCTAAAGAGTGACTTTATGAAATCAAAAATACATGTTATCACCAGGGCAATCCAGAAACCAAGGTATTCTATATCACCAGGGCAATGCAGAAACCAGGGTATTCTAAGTTCTACACAGCTATTTTATTACAGTCTGCATGGTAAAGTGAAAAGTTTTGAAATTTGTGGTTCAAGTGAGAGTTGGGAATATAATCTTTCAATCTAAGGATATTGACATTTATCTAAATTCATAATCAAGATGTTGCTAAACTTGTAATGCTAGATTGAGCAACATCTTATGCTATAGGTCCTCCAGTTTCTGAGTATTAAAGTAATATGATATAGGATACTTGTATTATAGAACAATTTTGGTTCTTGGTGTTCTCTGATGTTACAGATTTTTATTTTTTTCTTTTTAGTGGGGAGAGTATACATTTGGCTTCAGTATAAAGCATTCTCTTTAGACAAAATGATTAATCTTAAATTCATAAAATCACTGATTTTAATATTTCAACAAGACTAGATGCCTTGGCCACGATTAAAGCAGTATGATAAAATCCGAGTTATCCCAATCACCATTCTGATTTTAAAAAAAGCCCTATAGATTGTGCTTGATTTGAGCCCCCCAGTTATGAAGACCTTTCCCTCATACCTCACAGTTACTTATTAGGTTGAAAGGTATATGGAGAATGGTCATTAGACGTCTCGACAGCCACCTGCTGTTGACCACTTGCCTCCTACAACAAACAAAGCAGAATGGATGAGACATGTTAGTGAAAAAACCTCAGCTCTGCTACTTAGGCCTGACTGAATCCAACAGTGCCTTAAAAACAGTTACTCTTTAAAGTAAATTTCTTCACGTCATGTAGAGCTTTCAAGGTTAATCATTTCCCTAAGCAGCTGGCATGTCTAACAGACCCAAAGCACCTCCCATCCAAATGTTTATGACTTTCCTATTCTTATCAAGCTACAGCATATCAAACAAATCTCTTACCCTCTTATCCCCTGGGGACAGATGTGATTTGGAATTCAGTATTTTCAGATTTTATAATCTGAAATGTGGTATGCATATGCTGTATATCATTTAATGCCTCCAGTAGGGTCTAGGGCTGCACCTCATAAGCAAACATATTAATAGTTCTACACTGGAAGCCATGAAGCAGCACAGTTAAGTGGGATCAAGATTTTGTCTCATCTCAATTCAGGTTGAGTTTTGCCATAGGTCAGGTTTTATGCTAAAGTAGTTACAAAGATAATTTTTATTTTCAGATTTCTTTTTGGGTTTCAGATTGCAGGTAAGGAATTGTAGGCTCTGGTAACTGTGGTTGTCAGTAATTGCACAAACAGAAGTAAAATACTACTACCACCACCACCACCACCACCACCACCACCAACACCTACTACTACTACTACTGCTACTACTATCACCACCACCACCACCACCTCCACCAACAGGCCAGAGTCCTATGATCCTTTCCTGGAATTGGAACCTTTGGGATCTGCCTAGTGGGCAAGATCAACTGGATTGATACATTTCCTTGAAATTTTAAGGATACTTTGCAGGAAAATGCCACGTTTTCTCTCTAACCATAATTCAAATGCTAGACTTCTTTCTTTCATATCAGTATCTTCCATAACAAGAACAGTTATCTAGCCATACTAACAGCCTCTGTAAAAACAGCTATAGCTTCTTCTTCATCCCTGTAGCAGTTTCAAAACAGCTTTCTCTTTTCCACTAAGTATCTTAACTACAACTGATTTCTTTTCGTCATTATTAATTATCATTGATACGATCTTTAGTACTGGGACTGCAAACTCCAGATTTATCTTATTATGTCTGTAGTATCATTTTATGAGAGACAAGACAGAACGTCCGAGGGGTATGAAAGGCACTATAGGCTTAGAAAATATTTCTGGGAGTCTTAAGAGGTGTGGCCTGGATGTTGTTACCCTAATTTGTCATGATCATAGCTCACTGTAGTTGCAAACTCCAGGGCTCAAGGGTTCTTCCTGCCTCATACTCCTGAGTAGCTGGGACTACAGGTCCATGTCACCATGTCTGGCCAATTTTCAAACAATTTTATTTTTTGTAGAGATGGGATCTCACTATGTTGCCCAGGCTGGTCTCTAACTCCTGACCATAAGCAATCCTCCCTCCTCAGCCTTCCAAAGTGTTGGACTTACAGGCATGACCCACCACATCTGGCTAAACGCAATTCTTTATGCAAATATTTGACGTCTGGTAGATTTTTCTGAGTTCTATTTAATTTACCCATTTCTGAAACTACTTATAGCCAGAATGGTCACTGGATGGTCTCTACCAACCTCAACAGGAACCGCTGTCGTCTGCATATGTGCATACTGTGGCAAGTAGGCTCCTTGCATAGCTGACGTTGCAGGCATGTACTAGAAAGAAGAATGAGGTCAGAATGGGCAATGGTAAACCATGCAAAATTTGGAGTACGTGGGGGGATTGTGAGATGGATATAATGTATTTGGAAATCTCAAAGAAGAAATTTAAATGGGCTACACCTCAAAGCTTAAATAGTGCATATAAATATGTCATATGGAAGGTAAACTGTTTTCTACTTTTTGAATCTGCTAAACTAAAAATTCCACATTTCTTTGGATTTGCTAACAAAGTGAAGATAAAAAAAGTTTATTATGGGTGAAGATAAAAAAGTTTGTCACTCTCAATAATTCAGTATCACTAATGTGTGATTTTAGAAGATCTCTCCTCAAAGGACCTCATTATTTTCTAGCAGCCCCCTAAACTAGTACCTAGTATTGTTTCTACAGGTAGAGCCCACAGGGGTAAGACTTATTAGACCTCTAACAGGTCACTGCAGATTAGGCAGCAGAGCCTGGCTTTTCTGACACTGACAGTCATCCTTTCCCAAAGGCAGGAGAAATTTCTAGTCAGTCTCATTGGATATGTGTGGCCCTGGCTTAGCCTTCACAAGAAACAGCTGTAGGTTTTGAGTGTATAAGGGGAAAACGCACCACCCTTTGTTCTTTTAAGCCACTATAGAATAGAGGCTAAATTAAAATCCTTTAGCCATCTTACCAGCAAAATGCTAAGCATCAAATCTGGAAGCTGATCTGGTGCCAGCTCAACCTCATTACCCAAAGGAGTCCCCTGGACTTTGGTGAAATATTTCAATATTAAGACCATGATTCAATACTCCCAAACTCCATAAAAGAAGAAATAAGCGAGAAATAATTCCCTGCTTTTACCATCTTGTATTACCTTCGTCTTTCGCTTCATGACACTGCCACAGGGACAGTGGTACTAGTTATATAGATGACACTAGTCATAAAAGGCTAGATGTGGTCACGTGTGGGTGCTATATTCTCGTAAAGGAGAGATACCCAGAGAATAGACTTTCAGTTCATCAATTAATTAAGAAATAGCTGAGTATTTACTTTATGGAAGGTCATGTGGGGGGAAGAGAGGGGATTAGACATAATCTGTTATCATAGAGGCTGTCATTTGATAGGGAAGATACAGGCTGCATTAATTTACCCTCCTCTGTTTACAGAGACACATGATAATTATTTGCCACCTACTGTTCCGGTGCTGCCTAGTGACAGATGACTCATCTGCTGGGCCAGAGGGCTGATCATTGATGCGGGCTGTAGTGACATGGTGTGCTCCATTGAGGGAGTTAACACGGCACCCTGGGGAGTTGGAGACAGGAGCAAAATTAGACAAACTGAGGCAAGAGTTAAGATCCTGTAATTACTTTTTACAAAGGAAATACCTTAGTTTGTTTAAGAATGTGAAGCAAAAACAACCTTCCTCAATCTTGCAAATGGCATCATAAACAGTTTCCTAAAAATCTTCTAAATTGCTCTTCCTGAGAGTTTTTTAAGAGCGTTAGGGGAAATGATATCTTGGCATTCACTTCACAACAATCCCTGTATTAAAGCCAGTGTCCCTCTTCTCCTTCCCTTTCCCTTCACTTCCAGTAACTGGAAGCAAGCTAGTCCAGCAGGAGGAGCTATCATAGGAAAAACAAACTGATTATCACTGCCTGCCTAGGGTTACAAAACGCTTTCTTAAAAAAAAATCTGGAAAAAAAAGGCAGTTGATGTTTTCTCCAGTCACCAAACAATGTATTATATTTAATAAGATCAATATAGTATTTTGTTTAACAATGTTCTATCCAGATAATCGTCTGGTTCAAGATCAGGTTGTTAGGATCAAGAGCACATTTCTTCATTCACTCAGTGTTTCTCAGAACTTTAAGTTACATTTTGGTGCCTGGGAGGGAAGGCAATTCAGATATGATTAATAATCTGAGTCCAGATTCTTTTATTTAATTTGAAAAAATGTTAGTCATTAAAATCAAATTAAATATATTTAGGAAAATAGGAGGGAAAAAAAAAACAATTGCTTCTAACTCAGCCAGTCTAATACAACCACTGTTAGCAATGTCAGGGTACTACTGCCAGATCATAGCCTCTGTGTGTTTCTGTACAGGTTCAATCAGAGCACATCAACAACTTCATATCCTGGGATTTTGCTCTTAACTTTGCATTCTATTCTAACCATTTACCTAGCTTGTTGAAAAACTATCATTATCATCATTTTTTTAAATGGTTACATTGATTGTATAAACCAAAATTCAATGAACTCTTTATTTTTGGACTTTTGCAATCACCTCATTATCTGAGAATGCAAGTATTCTGACACGCTCTGTAACTACTAATGTATGTTTTGTTATCACTGTACCTGGCATCCCTTAAATACAACTGTTATTTATTGATAATTAGATAGACAATCTAGGACAGAGTTAGGTGTACAGGAACTTTAATTCTGATGTAAATCAGGCAGTTTAAAGCTGGGTGGGGAAAGGTAATGAATCCTCAGATAGCAACCTTCTGCTTACATTCCTAATGTCTCCTCAAAGATGTTAAGCTCAGATACGTGCAGTCTTTTTCTCAAATGTTGCCAAAAAGAAAAAAAGATATAGATGTGTGTCAGAGATAATGTTTGTCATTAATACATTCTGTTAGAAATTTTTTTTTTAACATGCATCATCAAAAAGCAAGTGGTAACACGGAAATGACTCAGAAGCCTAGAAGATGGTGGAGCAGTTTCCTGCTCCTTTTTCTCATTCATTGGCACCATCTGTAATAGGAAGTCCTCAAATTCAAAGCAAGCTGATTTCCAAGCATTCCAAAATAGGGTAGCATGGAGTATCAGGGACACAGATTGCTATGGGCATGTGTGGATCAGTGCATGTATATTATGTACACATGTACAGGTAAGTGTGGGTTTGAAGATGTGTCTATGTATGTGCACATGTATAGATCTATATGTATGTGTATATATCACACAAAACGTATACATATATCAGAGCGCGCCTCTCCTATTTCATCACCTAAACATGTTTTATCTGCTTCTTAAAGGTCATCTCAGCAATTTCTCATTCAGAACCTGTTATCCCTGGATTGCTATTTCATATACATGGTCTTACATCGCAGTATCCACTTTAAAAGGTATCCGAAGACAAATTGCTGTCTGAACATAAGGCCAAGAATACAGTTCTTTTTCTAAGCAACCAAATCTGTTTTTATTTTACACATATTGTGAACTGTATTGCTTACCAGGATTCCCATTTTGCATCAGTTACTAGAAAGCTTAGAGCCAAATTTGTGATTTTCTCATGTGAGCATGCAGGGTCATTGTGTTGGACATCCTTAGCCTTATTGTAACTTTGTTCTCCATATGTATTTTTAAATTTTCAAACCCTTCTTCCACAAACTAGATCTTATGTGTCTTTGAAAAACACATGAAATACACTATATAATAAGTATAACTCATTCAATTTAAAAAAATGTAATATATATGAATGCTCACGTCATTAAGAAATCACATTTGTTATTTACCAAATAATGTGCTACCACTTTAGTATTTATAATCTCCATAGAAAGGCCAAGTAACACTGATGAAAATCTTCATCTCGGTTTTGAACTTTATATCTGCATTAAACAGAATGTAAAAAATGAGAGCGGTTTTATCCCAAGTACTATTAAAAATGTAGCCTCTCATTTGAATGATCTCTAAAGAGCTGGTATGAATAAGAAAATGGTGCCCTGCCTCAAATATGATATATTTTAAGTTCTTATAGAAAATGTAACTTAATATCTTCTACCAAGTTGTTTTATAAGGATGAGAAGAAGTTTTATAATGAAATTGTACATTCTCATATTCCATGTTTAAAATTTCCCAAATCCTATACCACCCTTGGCAAATGGTTTTAACCTAGAGAGAATATACACATAACTTACTTGTAAAACACAAAGTCATTAAGATAAAAAACTTACAGGGTGCTGTAGAATATATGGTTGAGGTTGCATCCACGAAGGACTTTGCACCTAGAAAAGGGAGGATTTTGAAAGAAATATTGATTTTCATTGTAAAGCTTACCTATTTCTTTAGAACTCTTTTTAATCATGTTAAAAATCTACAGAAAGAAAACAAGGAAACAATACTATCAATGATTAAAAAGATTAAGGCAGTTAGAATTCTTGGCAAACTGGTCACTCTGAACAGGATGAAATGATTATTTAGAAACAATTTCTATTTGCCCACTCAAGAAGTAATTGTTGAGTATCAGGCAACAAAGAGAAAAAGGCGAAACAGACTGGGCCCCACCCTCAAGAAATTTACTATCTATGCAAGGGAGATAAACACAGCAACAACTCAAATAGTGAAAAGTGTTAACAATCAAGGTATGAACTAGGTGCTTTAGAATTACAGATGAATGACGATTAATTCCAGCACATCTTATTAGAAGCTAACCCTTAAAGTATGTGCTTATTTAATACAAAAAACCAAATTCAATTTCTCTTTCATATCTAGGACATTAATTTTAGAAATCTTGTATTGTGGTCAACAATTTCTACTTAGTGCAGAAAATAAAAATCTGAAATTCAGATTAAGGAAATTAAACTTCAGTAACTAGATTTTGACATCTACAGTCAAATGGGCATCCACACAGTAGACCCTCTGAATTGAGAAATAGATGTGAGAGTCAGGTTTTGTGGCAGGAAAGAAAGCATGTGTAGTCTGCCACTCAAGAGAAAAACATATCAGCCCATTTCTTGATGCCCAGAGCTTTCCAGAGTCTAAGTAATTTTATTAAGTTTCAGTTTCCAATTCTTAACAACAAAACCCTCCTGCATTTTATCCCCTATTGTTAACTTCAGAGGTTCAACAGAGAGGATATGGGGAAGAGTCATGGGGGAAGAATGTATTGCGATTTACCTTGATAGCAGAGCCCCGATACTTGTTTTCTCTGGTTTCCTTTGCCACCTAAGGCAGACCAAAGTTAAGTGCTTCTGCCTTGTTAACATTTCAGTTATCTGGACTGTAGCCTTTCCCCATTGGGGTTGGTGGTTTCTTGCAGCTGCCAATTTCTCAAATCCAATTGCATAAGCTTATGGTGGTTTAGTGGAGAAAGGCCCACTCCAACATGAGTGCAGGGCCCTCACTGGATATATGATGGGAAGGCAAACAACTCCCTACAGACCCTAATTTGGGCCAGATGCCCCCATTTTTTATATGCTTCAGTGGTCTTAATAATCTAATAGCTTATAGCATTACAGGATTAGGGAACTATGACATCTAATTTTCTTTCTTAAGCAGCAAATCAGCTGCTGTCAATTTCTATTCCTCAATTTTCTAATTATAAAATGGGAATAATAATGTTTTGTAAACTCTTTACTATTGGTTCTTAACCTCTTTAGGGTCATGGAGCCCTCTGAAAACCTAATTAGGGAAATAGAACATTTTTCCCCACTTAATTGCACACACACAAGCAACATTTTGCAAACAACTTAAGGAGTCACAGATCACTTAAAGCTCATCCACTGACCCTACTAGGTCCCTGAACTTATGTAGTTAAAAATCAGTCTTTGAGGCTATGGCACCGAGTGTCAGGCAATGCAATGAAATTCCATATGTATCTTAGAGAAATACAGAATGCCCAGGAGAGGAAATAAGGCCTCTGAAATAATATGTTATTTCTAGTTAGCTATATCAAATCTATTACTGACACAGATCTCCTAATTTTTATTGTACAAAATGGTTCTGTGGCCAAATGCACACTGGTTTTATATTATAAGAGGGAAAAAGAGGTGTTGGAGAAATGTGTTAATAGCTGTAATATCTATAGCAACATAAATTCAAATTAATACTTACAACCTTTCATTTGCCTGAGAATAACTTACACTTGCCCCTATTTTCAGTGACATATAAATGACAGAGGTTTCCAAGTTCAGACAGTTAAGAAAGACTACCTTTTCATAGCAGACACATGAATTGTTAATTAGGGAAGTGCACTAGAGCAGATCTCACTGAGTCTTATACAGTCAAAGAAAGGATAGGAATCCTAAATCCAAAACAACTAAAGAGGCATTAAATTAGTCAATACTACGCCCAGCAGAATGAAGCACCAGAATAAGTAACATAAGAACCCAGAGAGAAAAAAGAAAAGAAAACGAGTGACAACTCAGGGAAAGGAGGCTGTAAGAGCCTAGAAGCATAGGAGACTGTGAATGATAATGCCAATCCTCAGTTTTAGCGTATCTAATCACTTCTGTTATTCAAAACCATTTTTATGTTTTTAGGCAGAATTAGTTATATGACATTGCTTATGTTGGCCAATTCATTATTTAAACGTATAACTAATATACTCTTATTATCAGCCACCTAATCATGCATATTAATGATAATAATCATAGCTAACATTAACTGAGTGATAATGATATGTGAGGTCCTTGGCTGGGCTCTTTATACAGTCTCATTTGGTTTTCATAATTCTCTCAAGCCTATGAGATAGAAACTATTATTATCCCCATTTTAAAGATGAGGAAACTGAGGCTTATAGAAGTTAAAATAACACAACTATTAGATTACATATTGTAGTCCTCTAACCCCAGAAATTAGGACTACAACATCTAATTCAATTGTTTTAAAATCAAGAATACACAAAAATTTAGTCACACAGGATCCTGATGGTCAACAAAAGGGAACTCTGCTCCCACATGTCTGCAACTGAACTCCATTATAAGGTTCCTATCTGGGTCCAGGAAGTAATCCTGTTAGAGGTTTTCTGACACAGGAGGAGAAATGCATGTACACTACTGGGTTCATGGCGGACAGGAGCTACCTTTGCATTAAAATCAAATCAAATCTTGAAATACAAGACATTTCAAGAGTTTTTGTTGCTAAGTTGGGAATTTATTTTAAGGTAAAGCCTCCTCACTTAACCTAAACAGGAAGTCACCTTTTTGCTTTTATATTTTTACCTCAAATGTCAGCTGCATTGCTCACTTAATGCTACCTACTAGAGACACATCTTTATGTATTACCATGTTTATACTTGTTCTTTTATCAGTTCCTGCTGAAGAATAAACAAAAGCAAGGGTACACACCTATTCTGTATTATATCTAACGGCAATTATCTTAAGTTTCAATTTTTGGGACACATGGTGTCCAAAAGCAGGGCCCCTTGGTGAAGGAAGTGTTTGGGTTCATTCCAATCCAAAATGCTATGATTCCAAGGACTGACCACTGACAAACATTTTCCTTTGCTTTACATTCTCCTATACATAAATTGCTCTGCCAAATACAAAGCAGCTCATACTAAATTGGGTATCCAAGCTGCATAATATTTGACTCAAATTTCATAAACGCTCAAAATTTTAAGACACATAAAAATGTAGCAGAGATTCATGGTCCGCAAGTGGTTATACTGCTGACGAATCCTAAAGGTACAAACCTGGTAGGCAGATACAGGAGATGCAATATAGGGTGTAATAGAAGTTTGAGTGATCATTCGGTTTGTAGCAATACTGTATGGTGAAGGATAAAATCTAGAACAAACACAAAAGCCTTTATTAAGTAATCCTTTAAATAGAATAATTCATGGAACAAATGTCTGATATTTTCCACCTTCACATTTTCCCTCAAGCCATTATGGATTTATTTTAACGACATACCCGTTCTGTATAGCAGCTGTAGTTGGGTCGTAAGTAAGTGTCATTCCAGCCTATGGGAAAGAGAAAGAAATATAAACATTCATCTAGAAAGGCATGATTTAAAAATTCTATTTTTAGCCAGGTGTGGTGGTGTGCACCTGTAGTCCCAGCTGCTGGGGAGGCTGAGGTGGGAAGATCCTTTTGAAGCCCAGGAGTTCGAGGCTGTAGTTAGCTATGATTACATCACTGCACTCCAGCCTGGGCAACAGAAGGAGACCCCTGTCTCTTAAAAAAAAAGGGGAGGGAGGGGAATTTGTACTTAGAGTCTAGTAGCATTTGATAAAATTGGGAGTTTCTGTTAGTCAAAATGACTATAAATATGAAAATTAATCTCTGGACCTGCACTGTCCCATGTGATAGTCATAAGCCACATGCAGCTATTTAAAACTACATAAAAAATCAATCTCTCTAGCATACTAGCTACGTTTCAAGTGCTCAGAGAGCCACCTGTGGCTGGTGGCTGTTATTGGACAGTGCAGATTCTAGAACATTTTCCCTAGACATTCTTGGATCAATATGTTATTGTTTTTAAAATAATAATTCATGGAAAGTCAATACAGGGAAATGGACGTCCAACATTTTATTACGAAATTGAGAGTTTTAATTAAAAAAAAAACTATTCAAAAGAGAGGTGAAAAAAACCCCAACTCAGTGATAAATGTACTATTTATATATAAATATTTAGATTACTATTTAGGATAACTTCTAAATATTATAAATATAAACCCCTCTAAGAAACCATGCTAGCCTGGGCAACATAGTTAGATCCTATCTCTATAAAAATTTTAAAAAATTAGGCCGAGCACGATGGTTCACGCCTGTAATCCCAGCACTTTGGGAGGCTGAGGTGGGTGGATCATGAGGCCAGGAGATTGAGACCATCCCGACTAACACGGTGAAACCCCATCTCTAGTAAAAATACAAAAAATTAGCCGCGCATGGTGGTGGGTGCCTGTAGTCCCAGCTACTTGGGAGGCTGAGGCAGGAGAATGGCATGAACCCAGGAGGCAGAGCTTGCAGTGAGCGGAGATCGTGCCACTGCCCTCCAGCCTGAGCGACAGAGCAAGACTCCATCTCAAAAATAAAAAATAAATAAAAAAATAAAAATTTTTAAAAATTAGCCAGGAGTGGTGGCATGTCCCTGTCGTCTCAGCTACATAGGAGGCTGAGGTGGGAGGACTGCTTGAGCACAGGAGTTCAAGGTTGTGGTAGGCTATAACCACACCACTGGACTCCAGCCTGGGCAACAGAGACCATGTTTCTTCCTTTCTTTTTTTTTTTTTTTTATTTTGTTTTTTTTTTTTGAGATGGAGTCTCGCTCTGTTGCCCAGGCTGGAGTGCAGTGGCATGATCTTGGAACACTGCAGCCTCTGCCTCCCGGGCTGCAGCGATTCTCCTGCCTCAGCCTCCCAGGTAGCTGGGATTACAGGCATGGACCACCACGCAGGGCTAATTTTTGTATTTTTAGTAGAGACGGGGTTTCGCCATGTTGGCCAGGCTGATCTCTAACTCCTGATCTCAGGTGATCTGCCTGCCTTGGCCTCCCAAAGTGCTAGGATTATAGGTGTGAGCCACCGCGCCTAGCCTACAGAAACCCTGTTTCTGAAAAAAACCAAAAACAAACCCAAATCACTTGTGTTTTTCTTATGGCAATTTAGAATGCTCTTTTACTTCATGTGTAGCTAGCTGGTAAACACAGCTGCTTCCACCACCTATCGGTCCATCTGGAGAATCACTCTGTTATCACCATATATAATGAAAAGAATTTTAATTTGGCATCACTTGAATTATAATGTACCGAAAGGAAGATTTAATCCTGGCACCTATTTCAGAAGTGTGCAGCCAAGTCAAGATGCCTTTTTGTGTTACTTTTCATGTGGGCATTCAAGATCACACCCCCTCCCCCACCCCGCAAAGTTTCAAGAAAGGACTTACAAGTCTCACCTCTCCTTCTCTATGCCATGGTCTTCCATTAGGGATGTATTTGTTTGGGTTCTGTCTCTTTTTCTGTCCTCCATCAGCAAACTTACACAATAAAGGTTCTGTGGGGGCTAAGTAAACAGAGAAAAATAAAATGAAACCACAATGATACGTGTATGTGGATGACAAAATGTATTACAAAAATAGGAATAGTGTTCACGCTATTAGAAAATTCATACAACACTTTAAGGCAAAAGCAGTTTACTCAGACCTTTGTAAAACTGTCCACGATGAAAAACATAGTGCAGAAAAACATACTAGTTATTATTTCTGAACATTTAAATAACTATTCTGAGGAAGCAAAGGAATCTTTCGATTCACTTTCACACTTAAGAGTAGACACATTTCTTTTGGTTTTGGGCCCTCTCCAATTCCACCTCTGGACCGTCACCAAAATAATCTTCAAATTCAATAGGATTGTGCCATCCTCCCCTCCCCCAACTTAAAATGGTCCCTTAGCGTCCCATTATAATTCCTAAGAGGGACCCTTCACTTCTCCCAGTAGAAAACAAGCCACCTCTACACTGCTCGCACATATATTTTTATTCACAATTTGTAACAATTGGTGAGTATGTTTACTTGCTTGGTGTCTGTTTCCCCTTCTAGGCTATACGCCCCATGGGGGCAGTAACATTGTCTGTTTTGTCTATCACTGTATCCCCAGTGCCTAAGTGTCTGGACTTTGTAGTTGCTTATTACATCTTGGTTGCATCAGTGAATGAATAGAAATAGGTCTCATATGTTTATTTTTGGGATACGTCAGTGAAGATGGCTGTTGTGAGAAAGCTAAAAATACTTGTCCACCCTATTTAAAGGTTTTTCTGTGCCTTTAATCATACAACTGGGTATTGCTTTACTATATATCTATATACCACTATATATAGATCTGTATATTATTACTATATTACTTATAATATATATTACTATATACCTATACATTTATATAAATTCTTCTTACAGAATCCATGAGGCCAAAACAGAAAAGCAGAAGATGTAGAGAATATTTTCAAAGATATATACTCATTAGAGTTAAAAAAAAAAAAAAGTCTACAGACAGCACAATAGGGCACCAGTAACTTTTCCTTTTCTTTGCTTTTCTGCAATGGAAATAGCAGTGTATTCCAGAAAGTTGTGCATTTTTCTGTGTTTCTAGTTAATGTAATAAAGGCAATCACACCTTCCTGTCTGGTTCCCACATTCTGTCCTTTGTCTACTGTAGAACCATGATTACTACTTTCAAGTTCTGTTTCAAAGTTAAATAACCACGAAGAGAAAAATATTACTTGTGGAAAATTTACTCCTTTCTCCTGTGCCTCTTATTATCCTAATTCATCTCTTATTTTATTTCATGATTACCCACCCACTAATGACAGGGTGGAAGCAGTAGTGTCTTTCAACACTTCTCTGCCAAAAAACAAAACAAAAGAAAACAAAAAGCCCAACTGTAACTCCTTCTGGGTGAGCTGTCTGGGCTGCTGCCTGGCACTCCTTTCTTCTTTCCCTGGTGTGAACCACTCTGGAGGGATGGGTTGGAATGCCAACTCACTTCTGAATGACAACTGGACTATGGGTATGACGAGTCAGGAACAAAAATGTTAGGTGTCTGGTGAGACTATCAGCAAGCCTTGGCCCAGATCTAGAGAGGTTTATCCACTGACATTTGAGGTTGTAAGATGTTGACTCCACATAATCTCGTAGAGCAAGAGAGAAGATAATAAATTTGGTGGTGCTGGTACATAGTGGGTCTTCTCTAAAACGAGGTGCTTTTATCTAGAGGGTTTATGAAAACTAGGTCCTAGACTGAAATTTAACCTTTTTTTTGTTTTTTTTAAAGAAGTTACTTGGCTCAGCAAGTGATCCCAACTGGCCGTTTTTCTCTATTAGCATAATTTCTTTCAGAGACAGTAAATGATCAGGTTGGACTCATTCTAGAAGTTCAGTGCAGGCCACCTAAACAGGCAGGTGTGAATAAAAGCAGGTAAGCAGCCAGACCCTGATGCCTGCCTAAGCTCAACATGTGCTGAATGACCAAGTGTCCCCATCTGTGGATAAGGTGCTTCTAACACATTTTCCTTCATCTAGACTCCAGCCTGTCAAAGAAAAAAAAAATCTCAGGTGACAATAAAGCCTGCTAAAAATGCATAACAAGGAGGTAAACATCAAGGGAGTGATGACATGTTTGCAATTAGATCATTTAAAATAAACAAATGGAAGAGGATATAGCTGAACCTTTCAAAAAATGAATTATATTTACTACATGATTCTATGCTGTCATTAAGCTATTTTTTCCCCGCTAAAAGCAAAAAGGGAAGTAGTTACAACAGTTTGTATACTGGCAGGCATTTCATATCTTAGGAAAACAAGCTTTTTAAGAATTATAACCAGTAAAAATGACACATTTCTGAGATAGTTGCTGGCTGCTTGTTTCAGGGAAATGGGAGTACCCCAATATTCCATGTGAAGCAATATAAAATTCTAACAGCTTTCCTCTTTAAAATTCTCTTTGGTCTATTTAACCATCAAAATTTTAACTTAATGTCCACTATGTGCCAAGTACACAAGAGCTGGGGATACAGTGGTAGATAAAACAGGGTCCTTGCCTCCCTGGGGCTTGCAGTTTAATGGAGAAAAGAGTGTACCTAATCTCATGAAAACCCATTTAGTCATTTATGGAACAGAGCATTGTTTTTAGAGGTATTTGTTTTCAATAAAAATGCTAACCAGAAGCAAAATACTTTTGATGCAGAAACAGCTGTATTTCTTTGACAATTGCTGTTCCATTTATTTGAAGGACATTATTAGAAACAGCTTCTCCCTATAAGTTCTTAATGTTTTATTCATTACAAAGATTGTCCATGTGCCCTAGGAAAGCAAATTACATCAAGATTTAAGAAATTTTTAGGTATTTTAGGGTGGCAAAAGGGCCTGACTTATTGTAATTGATATGTGGTCTTACCATGATGTTGAGCAAGGGTTAGATGATCTGTTAGATTTTTGGGTAGGAAAAACAAACAAAACACACTGATGTCATGACCCACTTATTTTTAAGTGTGTGTGAGCGTGTTACAAAATGAGAGATCCTCATTTGGCCAGCATCTCCTGTGGCTTCTACCAAACCAGCGGTAGTCCCTAGTTTGCCTTTTGGAGCTGAATATACAGGTTACAGGTTGAAGAATCAGGAGATCCTATGTGACAGTAGCTTGTTCTATAGAGCGTACCTTTCAGCTGAACTCCAATTGTTTTTTACAAGGGAGAGATACCGGAAGACTGACATGCAGAAAAGGAAGTGCCATAAATACTAGTCATATGACTTTGAGTGATATGTAAGTTTGGCCAAATTAATATAAAAATTAATATGTAACTGTCAATCTTCTATATGCATGGTTACTTTTCCAGATTAGCAACTTTTTACCTTATTCTGCAAAGCAGTGATTACAAATAATTCTGACAAATGATTTGTGATTTAAGATGTATTCCTGTGTTAAAGTACTATAAAAATGATATAACCTACCCTTAAATCAACTGATTTTGCCAAATATGCAGAGCATTCTAGGTTAAATTTCCCCTTAATTAGTTGTGATCTTTTGGGTTTGTAAAGGGATTCTCATTCTCATCACCCAAAACTAAAGAGTTATTTTCCTGTTCATCAGAACCAACAGGAACATGCATCTCCAACAGCTTGACAACTGCAGTGTTACCTTGAGCATTTGTTAAAGGCCCCAGGCAACACTGCAATGCAAACACTGATCTAATATTTTCCGGCATCTCTTAAGAGCCATCTAAGGTAATCATGTCACTGGATTCTCCAGTGTGCTCTCAACAGAGCTTTGAGAGTGGGATGGTCTCTTACACAAGCTTGATTTTGTGGTACTGACAATCCTTCCTGAGACTGTGAGCTCCATGGATAAGGCTCAGGCTGACTTGCTGCCCATCTCCACCGAGTATTTTCCTTACCGATCTTCTGAAACTTAACTCTACAGTGATTTGTGCTCCAATGTCTTTCTTTGATATTTGTACTAAAAAATCACTTCTAGAATGCCTGCTCTGAGTAAGCACTGTAGCTCATGATGAGATCTGCAAGTCCTCCTCACTTATCAAACAGCTTGGAAGGACTTGGAGCTCTCTAGAGTTTGTAACAGAACTGATCTTTTCCTCAGCAGGTTCTAACGAAGGTCTTCTCCGTGCTTTTCCCTGTCAGATGCTGACAGCAGTTAACAGGTGGAGAAACTGTCACTTCCAAACTTCCATCTTTCTAGTTATGCTGTATTTTATCCTAATCAAAACACTGTAAAATGTAAACTGCCCTTGATAGAAGCTTCCCTATCCACTGTGGAAAACTAGTCCACTCAGCAACTGTAATTAGCTTTCTTTCTGATAATGTTGGCTACTTTCAACACTCCTCAACTCACAAAATGCAAGGAACTAGCTGCTGCTTTTAAAACATTTCAATAAGGATCCAATAAATATTATCTATTTTTTATGGGCACAACATCGTTTCCTGTTTTAGCCCTCTCCTTTTCTAACTGAATTCTGTTGACCTATTCAACCACTAGGAAGAGCTACAGCTTTTCTCTGTGGACGTTCTTCCTCCCGAGGCTGTTTAGGTTTCTCCTCCTCCCCTGTGCCTTAGGTAGTGTTTCTATCTCCAACCCAGTTTGAGAAGAGAGTAACATTTGTAATATCGTCATGTTACAATCATGTTACCTGATTATATATAGTCATGCTTTGCTCCTGCTGGGTTTGAGTTTTCTTCTTATTGAAATTCTCCTTCACCTCACTTCCCAACCCATCAACTAAGAGTTGTTTATCAGTAAAACAATGATTTGACAATATTAAAGTCATGTTAAATACAAAACAAAAACTCCATACCTCCCATGACTCCAACAAACATCTTTTAATTTTCTATATTTACTACTTTTCTAAGTCTATGTAGAGCCATTTATTTTTCACATTTGCAATGATAGGTCCTTTTCTTCTACCATTTATGTTGTGGGTCCTTCTCTACCTTGTTTAATGGTGACATAGTATTTTATTTGCATAGTTTATTATTGTAACTAACACCGCAGGAACATCTGTGTGTGGATCTTAATCTTTTTTAATTCCAGTGCCAACTGCTATAGTGGTGGGTGTACTGTATGGTGGTATTCTAACCAGTATTCTAACTGGCTCATAATTAGTCTCCAAGGGTTTAAAATTCTGCTTTTGTATTTACTAGCTAGTGACTCCGGGAAAGTTATTCAATGTCTCTGGTCTCATAATCTCTGAAATGGGGATGATAATAGTGCCTACTTCAAAAGATTGTTATAGTTAACATAATAAGTGCTTAGAAGAGCTAGTGTTCTTAACTACTGTGGCAACAGGGGGAGCTCAAACTTTTGAATTATGGCTCCTCCTCTTGTTTTCAAATGAAGAAAAATTCTCAGGAGAGGGACACTTCTGGTTCAGAAGGTCTAAACACTTGGGGACTGGCCTGTTATCCATGGGATTTGAATCTGAGAGATTTAAGGAGCTGGCTAGAGTTGCTGCCTTGGCTTCTTACAGAATGAAGAAATGTTGAAGTTATAGTTAAGGATAAAGTTACTGGTCAATGTCTTTTAGAAAACTGTTACACAATAACACCTACAACTTCTACCCAAGAGCCTTGTGCTTTAATAAAATCTTACTCCACTATTTACTCCTCACTGGCAGAACCTGATCGTGAAAGGGTGTAAAATGTTGATTTGTGAGGCTGGCTGTAGGCTGGGTGTGATCGATGGTGATAATTGTTGTAAGGCAGCCTCACCATAAGCCTGGTGTGGGGACTAGAACACTGGCACATCTCAGGTTGTGGGCCCCTGTCACTTTTTAAAAACTAGTCTTCTCCTCCTCAGTAGGAATGAATTTGAATTCTGGATCTGCAAGACCGCCCTTGCCCCACTGGCCACCTAGGCCTGTTCCAGCGCTTTTGCTGTCACGACAACAATTCTTCTTAAGAGTATAGCCCTTGAAAGGTACAGCTCATGATGCTGTGTGAGTTCAGATCCAGTTCTGTTTTATGTACCGGGTGAGGGAGATATGACTGCACATCCTGAAGGTACCAGGGACATTCCACATGTCTTCAAGTATTTCTTTTGTCCTAGAGCTACCAAAATTTTCTGTTTTTACAGGGTAACAATGCTTAAGAGAAATATTAAGGGAACAAAATGGGCAATAAAAACCTTTGAAAAATCTCCAGGCCTTTTACTAGATTCATAATTTTCCCTCTAAACATTATCTTTTCTGCTACCTGGCATAGGACAATGCCCTCATAATATCACTATACACACAGAGTTATGAAATGTGGGCAAGAGCGGTTTTCAAGCCCCACTGGACACATAACCAATTGGAAAAGTCAGAGTAACACAGAAAGCAGATGTAAAACAAGCTGAAGCCTTTGAAGGGAGTCTGCCAGCAGACACATATGCACTTCATTGAGGCTCCTCTGTGACAAGATGAAGCTGTGAGCGATGTGGCAGAATGATAACAGTGCAACACTGAGAATCTAACAGGCATTCCCTGCCCTTAGCACACAGGGACTTATTCACACTCCATTAATGTCATGGAGAGGTTCAGAAAGCGAGATGGGAAATCATACTGTCTCCTGCAGCACTGAACACACAGTTAGCCTTTGTCTTTGAGAGGTGGTGGTGGTGGCGAGGGGGAGAGGTGTTTGTGCAGGGAGTCAGGGCGCCAGAGCTGTTCTCAGCTCTAGGATAGTTCCAGCTCACATGCCATACGCATTAGTCTTCTCAAAGACTGTACTCTCTTCCAGGAAGGTCCTAGAAGAGCATTTTTAGACAAATCACTGAATCATGATCATGTGTTTCAGTGTTTTTGCCTGAGGCATGTCTCCTAATTTGGACACTGGTTCTAGATAACTAAAACTTCCCATCTCTGTTTCTAACATTCATTGTGTAGAAAACTGCCACCATACTATTTCTGCATAATGGAATTTTTATCAAGCAAGTATTAAGTGGTTGTGGAAAAACTCGATGGAATTCACCTAGCTGTGTCATGAAGAAGCCATGGGTTCTTTTACCCTGGTTGGGGACATTCCATGTAAATCTGACTTAATACAAACAAGCCACCTCCAATATTTCAGGAAAAAATGCAGGACTGGGTGGGGAAAGACAGAAGGAAAGGCCACATAAGCAATTATTTTTTCCCCCAACAAACTATAATATACATTTAAAGAAACATCTGCTATAAGAAAAGATAAAGCCTCTTTTAAAATATAGTGACATCAGACACAAAAGCACAAGATTTTAAAAGAGCATTTCAGAAAGCAGACGGCACTAGAAATTGTGATGTGGTACATTAGATTTTTACAAAACTGTAACCATGTGCTTTATTATGTGCCATGCCCCAGGCCAGAGTGGAACATGGCTGGCATGAGGGACCCAGCCATGCCACTCGGGTATGGAAAGAATATGGTGGCAGGAGGGCAGGCAGTGTAGAAGTGACAGCTCATGTGCATAGCTGACTTCCTCCTGCTTAGTCATCTAGAGACTTCCTTAAGAGTGTCACAGCTAGGATGAGTTCATTGTTCAGTTTGTTCATTTTGAGAAAGTATCTTTCGGGAATTGTGTCTAACGTGGGTTTCTTTTCTGTACTTGGCTCCAATGTCATGGGCAAACTGCCAGCCATGCAAGAATCCAAGTATTCTGACAGGAATCATCCCAGATAATTCTGCTTACGCCAGCTAAACAACTTGCATCATTAAATAAACCGTCTTCTGACTGTATTTATGAAATGTTATGTCTACCTATCAATGAGACTACATTATGCAAACATTCAAGTGGAGGCTCATTCAACTGACCCCTGCCTGACAATATTTTTGTTTTTTATCTGGTTCTTCTGATAATAATCATATGCCCTCCACAGAGAAACTGATGCTATGGAGTAACCATTCAGGGGATATAAAGAAAGAACAGTATCTAATACACAAACTGGTACTCAAAAGAATTCTGAAGTCACCATGTATACAAGAAAAAAAAAAAAAAGAAAAAAGAAGTCTAGAGAAGTTGAAAACTCTTTCACATTCTTTGTGGGTTTTCAAGTCTACTGGGGACTTGTTTTGGAAAAAGCTGAATTCACTGTGCCAGTGTGCTTCCAAGTCTGGCATTATACATTTAACATTCATGCCTAAAGGCAATTTAACCTCCTGTGCAAAAAGGTGGTATCCAAAAAGGCCCTCAAATTAGCAATAATTCTTGGGAAGAGCTCTGCATGAAAAATGCTCTTAGAAACCTGTTGGTAACTTCTGGTGGTAGGGTGATGCACAAGTTCCCTGAGTCTAGCACAAAATTAAAAAGAAAACATAGCTCCTGCCCCCAAAGAACATGCAATCTAATTGTCAACCAAGACTTACACACTCAAAAGATCATTACACATTCAAAATGGCACAAAATTAAGTGCTAATTCAGAACAAAGTGAACAGCTTGACTGAAAAACTGTACCCCTGCAGTAACGCTCTCAATGTAAAAGGAACTAATCTGTTTCTTGTGCTCCATTTGTAACTTGGCACAGCTTGGAAGAAATTACTCTTTACTAGCTGTGAAGGTGAAGAGGATCCTACGATCATTTACATGTGGTTTGGAAATCTAGGGCTTTTATTTCCCTTGAATGGATGTGACCAATAGTCTGCAAACCCCCTTCAAAGAAAACACCAATGACAAAACCACGAAGTTCTTTAGAGAAAAAAAGAGACTGTCTAACCTTGATCTGTGACACCCTGAGATCTACTGTATTCAAGGAACTGAAGAGCTTTTGTTGTTATTAATTTAGCAAACCATTCCTTCAACAGGGAAGATCTTATCTTAGACTGATACACCATCAAAACAAAAGTGTCCTAGATGTTTTTCCTTCTCAAACTTTCCTTGTTGCACACAAGAATGAGTTAAAAAAGCAAAGAGGTCACAAGTAGGTGGATGAATAGGTGGTCACAAGTAGGTGGAATAGTCCCTTCAAAGGGACTAATGTGTGGGGCCCTGCTCGTGCAAAGGCTGACACCGTAGGAGCAAGAAAACGCCAGCTGGGCACAGGTGCTCAATGCCGGAGGCTGACAGGGTAGGGTTTACAGAAGACTCCCACGTACAAAATTTCTCCTTTGTCTTTACTTGGGCAGAAGTTAAAAACATTATTTTCTCTTTCCATTTTTTTTCAACTCTACTGATGTTGATGGGAAAACAATACTAACTTAAAAAACAAAAAAAGGAATCTCTTCCACTAGATTGAGTTTCTTGAAATAATTACTTCCAGGTTTTATATTTTATGCTCCAAATTTGTGTATGTAAGCAGTTCAACTTCAGATACAGTCACAGATGCAGTGTGCTCTCAGGTTTTAGTATTACAAGATCAGGTGTAGCCTGTGGAACTGCACATACAAATTAGTTTCTCTATGAAATGAAAAGCAACTGAATACAGAAAATTAAAGTGAATTTCTAATGGTAAACATCAGTCATCTAGCTAAAGATAAAACAGTGGAGCTACGGCGGAATAAATACTAAACACTAGTTATACGTGCACAGCCTTGGAGAAACTGCTCTCTTCCATGACTTCTGGCTGGAATGAATCTAACTTCAAAACACCTCAATGTTTCTTGGCTGTGTCTCATGTGAAAAACTGGGATAAATATTCTATATTGCCTCTGTGCTTGCTTTCAAGATTGGGCCTGACCTGTTTTTTTATGTTATTTAATAAGGTTCAATTCACTGAATCTATTAACTTCAGTGTGTACATATTTTTGCATAGAAAAAGTGGCAAAAATCTGTGTTTTGGCAAATGGGGCACTCTGTTCTAATTCTTGTGGATTCTGTGGCAGTTGCTCACTTTAGAGACTCCTCCCCCATTCAGATATGAGCACCAGTGTCTGCTCTCCCAGCCTGAGTATTTGGGATAAATCTTCTTGATATGGTGAACCCACTTGACACTCCAACAAACAGGTGGCCAGGGTAGCAGTTAAAGGCTCCCTCTCCAGACCTGTACCCAACACTAAGTGAAACCTCAACTTTAACCCTTGGGCATGCTTGGGCAGAAGCTGGAAAGTAGGACTTTTAGCTGACATGGACCTAAGGCTCAAAGAAGACTTGCTGATCTGGGATACAGATTGGGAAGTAGAATTACAGATGCATTATGCCAGCTAAACATAAGATGACTAAAATTACAGGGGAGAAAGATGGAGGAGGGTGTATGTGGCTTTTTTTCTTTTTCCCCATTTTAACAATTTCATTACCTCCCCCTCAAAGCAAGGTGATGTGGTTTCTAAATTTTGAAACTTTCTCCTTTCTGGCAGGTGGCATGCTAGTGGCTGGCTGCAAATCAGATCAGAAGACATTTCAATTTCCCCCCACATGGTAGCTTGTTAAGAACATGGTATTGGCCTGGTGTTACAGTGTAGTAAAATTTATTCAAAACCACCAAATATTTGTTGTTGCATAGTATGGCTCAAAAGTTGTGGTGGGCATGAAAATAAAAAGCTGAAGATACAGTTTCTACTTTCAAGGAGCTTCTAGTTTAGTGGGACTGACACATGTAAACATGTTAAGTGCCACAGCACACACGGAGGTGTCCTCAAGGTGATGATCTGCAGACACAGCATAACCCAACTGGGTCAGAGGAGGTCCTTGCAGGGAGAAGGCAAGCCCTGAACACAGTCTTGAAAGCTGAGGAAGAGACAGCCAGGCTAAAGGGAACCAAAGGGATCTGGGTCATTGGAAACCATGAGAGAAAGCCAAGAAAAATGATGCAGCACGCTGTGTTGGGAATACCATTTGTAGTTCAATGTTGGAGGAGGATAAGCAGGAAGGCAGAGGATGGAGGGAGACAGGACTGCAGAAGTAGGCAAGGGCTCCTGTCACCTTTGGCTTTCCATGCCATTCCAGGAATCCTCAATCTTTCCTTCTAACTGAGAGGGGGTCGATTTTTAACAATAAAGTGACACATAGGTATATATTTTATCTAAGTCTCTCTGGCTACAGTCAGGGAGAATACCTTAGAGAGGTAAGAAGAAATAGGGCTGATGCAATGGTGCAGATGAGAGATGATCAGAAATTAAACTAGGCAGTGGCAGAAGAAAGGGAGGGAGAAGGTAGATTCTAGAAATAATCAGAAAGAAAAATTTGGGGACTTGAATGATTATTTGTATGTGAGATACAAAGCACAGGGGAGGTAGGGGAGTCCAGTCCTGGGTTTCTAGCTTGGGAGTCTGGGTAGATACTGGTTCCACTAACTGAGAGCAGGAAAACAGGAGGAAGAGCAGAATTAGATGGGAAGTGAGGTAAGGGGGACTAGTGTAGTTCTGGAGAGGATGAATATAAGGTAACTGAGGTCAGGCAGTCTGAAACTCTGGGGAACAGCCAGGATGAGAGATGAATGAGAGTCAATGACTATGAATATAAGTAGTAGTTAAAACCTTGAGAGTAGATGAAATTATCAGAATCCTGAGCCAAAAAATGGAATTCAAGGCAACACTAACAATTAAAAGCAGATAGAAGAAATAAGTTTACAAAAGAGAAAGGATTAACACAAGATGGGAAGAAAACGGAGACAGGTGCAAAAGTAGTCAAGGGAGGACGCACTTCATGGATGAGTGAGGGGCCAGCAGTCCCAAATACATACAGCAGACAGACACAGGATAAAAAGAGGGGAAATTCTCCAGATGGGGTAATCAGGAATTAAGAGTTACAGGTTGAACTGTGTGGGGTCCTAACACCCAGCCCTCAGAATGTGATCTTACTTAGAGACAAGGTCATCAAAGTTAAAGTAAGATCATGGCGAGGGGGTAGGCCTTCATCCAATATGGCTGCGGTCTTCCTAAGAAAGGGAAATCTGGGCACAGAGACAGATACACAAAGAGGGAAGGTGCTGTGAGGAGATTCGGGGAGAAGACAGCCATCTACAAGCCAAGGAGAGAAGCCTGAAACAGATCCCTCATAGCCTGGCTTGGGTGTCTGGGTAGAAGGAACCAACCCTGCTGACATCTTGATCTTGGACTTCTGGCCTCCAGAACCCTGAGACACTAAATTTCTATTGTTTAAGCCACTCAGCTTGTGGTACTTTGTTATGGCTGTCTAGCTAACTAATATTGCGCATTTACCAAGAGGAATTTCAACCACACACCAGGGAATGTCAGATTGGAGAGAGTGATGCATAAATGGGAAGTAAGGAAGTGAAGACTACACTTTTAAATGTTGACATGAGAAGGTGCTGTAAGGAACCAGAGTGCTTAGTTTAGTTTCTAGATTGTAAAGACTTAAATGATTTCAAACACAAATGGCTATCTTCTTGAATATTTTTGGCATGAAGTAATTCATAGTTTTTGTTCACTGAATCCTGTGATTTAAAAAATGTCTATTGTAGTTATGTTCACAAGTTTTGTTCCTAGTGTTACTTGTTTGCACGTTTCCCCCCATTTCGTCACCAATTAGTCTTGCTAGATATCTATTTTAGTAACTGAAAATCAAATTTCTCGGCTTTGCTGAAAAAAAAAATGAACAAAAGCAAAAGACAGAGACTGAAATTATAGGAGAGCAAGGCAATGACTGGCAGAGCAATGTCTCAATGAGACGGCACCTCAAGGACAGCTTCGAAACCCTTGTACATGAGACTTTAAGAAAGGGGACTGATAAGACTGGATGTGGGTGTAGGTCCCCTTGCTGGGAGAGAGCAGGAAGCTGACGGAGCTTCTAGCTGGTGATTTCAATTTTATTCATCAAGTAGGAAGTGAAGTCATCCACTTGAGATTAGGGAGGGGGTTAGGTAGGGGACTGAGCAGGCTGGGGAAATTGAGAACTGCTGCTAGGGAAGGGTAAGGAAGCTGAGTGAGGACTGGTGGTGCTGAGCAATTGATTAAGCTGAAGACATTTAATTTGTGGTAGTGCCAATCTTTGGCTGCATGGATATAACAGGAGTGGTGTGCGTGAATTACAGCAGGATTAATTCAGGTTCAGCATTCTGTCATGACAGTGTGAACAAGGGATGGGGTGCAAGAAAAAGGAGAATGCCACTTAAGAAATGATTTTAACACTCAAAAATGGAGACCAGACTTAGTAGGAAAGAGAAACAGGTAAAGGAGGATGAATAAACAGTGAAAAGAGAAGGATCCCTTTGTATTTCAGATCAGGGTTTGTGGGAGTTAGAGTAAGTGTGACATTGGAATGAAAAACCCATGAAGTGTGGTGTTCTTGGTAATGACAACACAATGTAAAACCATGGGAGAAAGTGGCTAAAGTGGAGTGGACATAAAGGCCATAGGAACTGAGGTCTAGGCACTGCTGGGATAGAAAGGTACCACAGTGCTCAACGGATATGATCAAATGAAGGGAGGTTCACTGAGGATGGTGATAAGGTGGTTCAGAAGCTGGCTGCTGCATCAAAAGAGGAGTGAATTGCACAATGCTTTACAAGTCAGCTCCTTACCACTGCTTCCATTAACATTTAAACATCCAATGCCTATGCCTAGGGAGAGGTGAATTTTTAAGTCTTATTTCTAAATCCAACAAAATGCATCTTAAAGAGTGAAATGAGGGGTTTTTGTTCTATTGAAGAGTCATCATGTGCTAAAGTTAAACATACATCATATAGAAGACTACTGATGAAGTTTCAGACAAACAACATACCAGAAACTCCTGGTGGTGTCTTAATAAATTTTCCATTAAAATGACCAATAACAGCTTCACATTTTTCTGTTGATTCCATCCTATTTATAATAAAAATAGAATACATAAATATTTAAAGGTTTCTTAACTTTCATCTTGTTCGGTGCATGCATAAACATTCTTATAGGTTTTTTGGATATAAATGAAACCTAGTAAAAATGTGAATATGATAAAGGGTCTATTCTACCTTTTATCTAACTGCTGCTTTTGTACTTCTATAGTAAAATGACAACTGATAACAATAGAGTATATTCTGAAGCAAAGCAAGAATCTACTGAGTGTTTAAGATCAAGTATATCAAACGGATAATTTTATTGTAATTGTTGTAAAATTGAAAAATCAATACACAATAGCTTTGTTAGCCATAATAGTGAATTGCAGATACAACAGTTTAAAATACTAGGGTATTTTCTACTTGCTAAAATACTAGTCATTTTAAAATTGTCTTTGCTTTCACAAATTCACAAAATGACAGACTAAAAAGTCATGATAACAGCCAGTATCAGTGAGAGGGTGCGCCTTATATGCTTCTTACATTTGCTTCAGGTTTAAAATTAAATTAGTGAAGTCAACTATATACTTTCTTTGTCACCTTGGCTTTGGAGGAGTAAAGGCTGGAGGCTAACTTTACAACTTAGTCAATTCCTATAGGTGGCTGAAAGTATCTGAGAAACATTGCTGGGAACTTAAATTACTTCAAATCATTTTTCTTTAATGGATGCAACACTGAATAATCTACTAAAAACACTCTATACTCCTGGACTACTCAGAGAGTTACATCTTAGTTTTAACAAACAGTGATAGTTTCAAAAAACAATGTAATTTAATTGAATTCTCTCTTTGGATACAGAAATGATACGACTTGATCTGTTTTCAGAACACCCACAGAGGTGACAAAATGATGCTGAGCTATTCAGTGACTCACTTGCGTCATTTTAACAAGTGGAGCACATGCTGGAGATGCTGGCCTTGGTGACTTACTACTCATAGGATGTTTTAGTTTTATGATAAAACTAACTGGCCTGACAGAAACAGCAATGAACTAAAATCCAGATGAACCAAGTACTAGCCCCTGCTTCATTATTTGGCAGTTAGGTAACAATGGAAAAGTTCCCTTTTTTGTCTCAATTTTCTTCTATATAAAACAACATAATAATAATGCTTTGTTGATATATAACAGGTCTGAGGTAAGATGTGATTGTCATTTGTGTATAAAAGCAAACCCTCAGAAATTCTTCCTACAAAATCAAAGTCATTACTTTAAAATATATACACATTATTTGTTATTGCAGAGTATTAATAAGTTTCTAATTAATGCATCATATAAAAATCAGCTTTTATACATGGGCTTTTAGATTAGAATTCTGATCAAAATCAAAGAGCTTTCTATTTAGTATTTTTCCATCAGAAACCAAAATAACCACTACTCTGAAGTGTTTTTTTTCTGGGGAGAAAAAGATAAAAAATTAGATGGAAGGAGTGAGGGCACTTTAGCTATAACTAGACTTTTAGACTTTTTTTTTTTTTTTAAAGACAGATCTGTCACCCAGGCTGGAGTGCACTGGCATGATCAAGGCTCACTGTATCCTCCAATTCCTGGGCTCAAGCAATCCTTCTGCCTCAGCTTCCCCTGCAGCTGGGACTATAGGCATGTGCCACCATGCCTGGCTAATTTTTAAACTTTTTGTAGAGAAAGGGTCTCACTATGTTGCCCAGGCTGGTCTCAAACTCTTGGGCTCAAGCAATCCTTCCGCCTTGGCCTCCCCAAATGCTGGGATTATAGGTGTGAACCACTGCATGCGGCCCCTAGAAGATTTTATTTATTTATTTATTTATTTTAAGACAGTCTCGCTCTGTTGCCCAGGCTGGAGTGCAGTGGCGTGATCTCGGCTCACCGCAACCTCCATCCCCCAGGTTCAAGCGATTCTCATGTCTCAGCCTCCCAAGCAGCTGGGATTACAGGTGCCTTCCACCAGGCCCAGTTAATTTTTGTATTTTTAGTAGAGACAGGGTTTCGCCACGCCGGCCAGGTAGGTTTCGAACTCTGCCCGCCTGGCCTCCCAAAATGCTGGGATTACAGGCATGAGCCACCATGCCTGGCCTAGGTTTTATTTCTCACAAAAAAAAAAAAAAATCTGAAATAGAAATTATAAAATGTTAGTATTTGTCATATCTGTGTGGTGGTTACACAGTTATCATGTCCTTGTCTTACTTTTCTGAATGTTTTACATATTTCATTTTAAAACCTAACTCATTTACTTTATTGATGAATCAAATTTCCATCGAATAAGAAAAAACATACTGATTTATCTATTGAATTTAGGAGACTGACTGTTATTTTTAAAAAGTTAGAAGCATCCTGATGATCTAAGGACACACACACGTTCAGAACTTTTGCTCATGTGATAGTTCCTTTCCATAAGGACCCAAATATTTAGTGTGCTCAGCTTCATGAATTCTAATGAACTTGCAAAAGATCTGGAAAAATGCAGTCTGGTATTTACACATAATTTAAGTTCACAGTGCAACTGCTCCCATAACCCTAGCTGAAACTGTCTCTTCTTAGTCATTTTTAATTTTCCAAGATAACTTGGCAAAGCTATTGTTGTTGACATAATAAAGACTGGGCAGAAGGCTTACCTAGCAAAGCCAACACCACGACTTGTACCACTGGAATCACGTAGTATCCTTGTAGAAATAACTTGTCCAAATGGTTTGAGCATATTTTCTAGTTCTTGCTCATCCATGGAGAGTGGCAAATTAGAAATGTAGAGGTTGGTAGGATCTTGTTCCTGTTGCTAAAACAGAAGAGAGTGTTGTCCATTAATTTCCAACAGAAGGTGAGATATTTATGTTAACACACCTATTTTTATTAGCTACTTTCTTTGCTCAAGTCCTTTTAAAGTACTCAGAACCTCAGAACACCAAAGTCACCCTGGACTCTTGAAAATAGTGTCTGAAGCTTGGACAATCTGTGCAGGCCAGACACGATCCCACCAAGCCCTTCTTAGCAGATCTGGAAATGGCACTACTGAGTTGGAGAGGATGCCCTCATGGAACCACAACTCTCAGTTGTTTGCGGTGTTTCTAAAAATAACTGACCTCTCCTCCACTGTTATTTTTAGGAGTCCATTTCAGGCACACTATTGCGCAGGAAGCTATTATTTCAATTTAATTATTGCTAATAATTCAACTTAGAGATACATGAAGGATTCTGGACCAAGTCATCTAGCATCCAATAGGGATCTGCCTAAATTTCCGTCCTCTGCTCTATGGCAAAGTTCACACTACTTTTGAGTCATGATCACCAACAGTAAAAACAGGTAATTTAACGAAAACAAGAAATAACAAAGCCGTATAAAATAGTCAATTCTGGGTAGGGAAAATTTTAGACTCTTGGAAAAGCTGAACTCAAGAGTAGATGGGAAAGGAAATACTTTGTTCAGAGGACATGGCATTGACTTGGGACCCAAAGATCAAGCAGAAGTCAAGAGGCTTGCAAAAGGCTATCTAAGGAGTTTGATTTTACTTTGTCAGTCACTACTGCTTCAGCTTTCCTACTTAAGCAGTGCTAAAAGCAAGGAGAATAATTATGTAACTGTAGGCAAAAGGCAAGGTAGTCTTGCCAGAGCTGCAAAATGTTCTTGAAGTCTTGTGTTTTATCTTTAAAAAAAAGTCATGTAAATTTTGCAATCTACTTCCTATCTAAGTTTATTTTAATAGAGAAACAATGTTTTTGACCTAATACCAGTAAGTAACACCGACACTCCAGGAAGATAAGCCATGCTTATCTTGTGATATTACGCACATGAGCTGCATAATGACATTTCAGTTAATGGCGGATGGCATATACGATGGTGGTCCTGTAATAGAGATGAAAACTTCCTATCACCTGGTAATGTCTTGATGATCCTGACACTGTGTAGCCCTGGCTAATGTGTGTGTTAGTGTCTTAGTTTTTTATAAAAAAGTTTAGAAAATAATAAATAATAGATTTTAAAATAGAACAATGCTTATAGAATAAATGTATAAAGAAAATACTTTTGTACAGCTGCATAATGTATGTGTTTTAAGCTAAAACACACATACTTGACAAAAGTCAAAAACTTAAATTTAAAGGTTTATAAAGTAAAAAAGTTACAATAAGCTGATTCATTAATGAAGAACAAAAATTTTTCTTTTTTTGAGATGGAGTCTTGCTCTGTGCCAGGATGGAGTGCAGTGGCGCGATCTCAGCTCACTGCAACTTCTGCCTCCCGGGTTCAAGCGATTCTCCTGCCTCAGCCTCCTGAGTAGCTGGGACTACAGGCATGTACTACCACGCCCAGCTAATTTTTGTATTTTTAGTAGAGATGGAGTTTCACCATGTTGGCCAGGATGGTCTCGATCTCTTGACCTTGTGATCCACCCACCTTGGCCTCCCAAAGTGCTGGGATTAAAGGTGTAGGCCACTGTGCCTGGCCAGAAAGAAATTTTTTAAAATAAATTTAATGTAGTCTAAGTATACAGTGTTTATAAAGTCTACAGCAGTGTAATGTCTTAGGCCTTCCCATTCACTCACCACTCACTCACTGACTCATCCAGAGCAACTTCCAGTCCTCTAAGCTCCAGTCATGGTAAGTGCCCTATAAGGGTGCACCATTTTTATCTTTTATACCATATTTTTACTGTACCTTTTCTATATTTAGATACACAAATACTTATCATTGTATTATAACTGCTAACAGTATTCAGTACAGTAAGATGTTGTACAGGTTAGTAGCCTAAGAGCAAGAGGCTATACCACATAGCCTAGGTGTACAGCAAGCTACACCATCTGGGTTTGTGTAAGTACACTCTATGATGTGCACATGATGACAAAATCACCTAACAATGCATTCACCAGAATATATCCCCGTCATTAAGCAACACATGATTGCACACTGGTAGGTGACGGGGAAACAGGAGGAAGAAGAAACTGCAGTTTGAAAGCTACATCTTGAAAAATAGGGCGGTTTTGGCGGCATGGAAGCAGGGGAATGATATGATCAAACCCATCTTAGTTTTGATTTTAGGTTCTATCTTTTAATAAAGATGGGGACCCCTTAATTAAAGGGCACTAAAACACTCTTTGGACAGAGATATGGTATAAAAAATGTTACAGAAGAAACACATATCAAAATATTGTGAGGCCAGGCACAGTGGCTCACACTTGCAATCCCAGTATAGGCCAAGGTGGGAGGATCATTTGGGACCAAGAGTTTGAGACCAGCCTAGACAACACAGTGAGACCTCATCTCTTAAAAAAAAGTCAGCGAGATGTAGTGGTGCCCATCTGTAGTCCCAGCTATTTGGGAGGCTGAGGCAGGAGGACTGCTTAAGCCCAGGAGTTCAAGGTTGTAATGAGTTGTGATCATGCTACTGCATTCCAGCCTGGGCAAGAGCAAGATTGTTTCTCTCGTGTGTGTGTGTGTGTGTGTGTGTATACACATATATATGGAGTATATATGGAGTGGACTTTCTTTTTAAGAATGTTCATAGGAGAATTTGTTATGTATGAAGAATTTTTAGAAGGGGATCGACAATGTAGGCACTAAATCTGTGTTTTAGTTGCTTCTGTTATTAAAATATTATTAAAAATATTACACATGCTTTAAAGTCTTGATTCAACTTGAAAGTTTACCGATGAGGAAATAATATTTAAAAATGCTATAAATCAGAATCCCAGAAAGAACTGGGCTCTTAACCCACTCTTTGATATAGTGAAATAGAGTAGACTAACGCAGGTAAGTATTTCCTATGATGTGAATGCATTTGTTTTCAATAGCAACGACCCTGTCGGTTAAAAACCTAATTTCATTTGGGATGACCTTTAGCGCTAATGTTATTTATGTTTCTTTTCAAACGGTCAACATATCTTACAAACATTGTCCACAAAGTTGCAGTAATTTAAAAAAAAAAAAGAATGGAAAGAAACTCCAAGCTGGCAGCACATGCCACAAAATAACAAAGTGTCCATGAATTCTTTTTTTTCTAATCCCTTCTTTTCACGGGTGTTTTTTTTTTCTTTTTAAATTTTACTTTCTTTTTAGTTGTTGTCTATGCATTCTTATAACCACACATTCACTGTGAACAAGACATATAATGCATGTGATAACTGGTGGTGGTTCTTGAAATGAGGATAGTTTAGTATCTTTAAAAGCAGTGACAACCATAACTGGTTTATTATTTACAATGCTATGTGTGAAAAAAACACTTATTCTTTCAATTATAGGTGACCAAACATAAAAATAGGGTCAACAGGCCTCCTTTGTCCCTAGGCATGGAAGGGTTCAAGGGCTTCCATAACAAGTAGAAAACTAGATCTCACATTGGCCGTCAGAGTGATAAACAGCTACTAACGTTCACGTGAGTAGAAAAGCCAGGATCGGAAGTCCTGCACAGCGTAAAGCACTCAGTCATCATCCGAAAGAAATTAACAAAAACCTCCCCGTGCGTGTGGAATGGTTCCTAAAATGCAAGAACGGGGACTTGGCAGTAAGAGCAGACATCTGTTTTCTCTTGTACAGAATAGGTTCAACAACCAGCAGATAGCCAGTCACTGGCATGTGACTGCAAACTGCTCAGAGCATGGTGAAGCTCTGGATGGAGAGGGGGGATTATATTCCTGCTCGTGTGACTGCCTATTTATTGAAAAAAAAAAAAAAAAAAAAAGTGTAAACTTCCCAACAGCCAAAAAACATATGAGGATTTGCTGACCCCCATCAGGCCATAGGAGGAAATGAAAGGCCTACAGAAGCCACTTTGCTAATAGATATAAACAATGTCCATTAGCGTTTTCTGTCTTTGTAGCTCGTTATCTGCGTTTCTTTTCCTTTTATAGAATGTGAGTCTTTTATTTGAAAGATGTACACATTTGTAACATTTGCCTAGTTTAACATAAACAGGTTTTCCAAAAGGCCCAAGGCCATTAGGTTAAGTTTCATCAGTGTACTTGATGGATATAATTTTAAACTGTCCCTTTCTTAATTCTCAATATCTGCCCAAGCTTGGAAAAAAGTTATTTTCTCAATTATTTTATTTGATCATCAACAAAACAAACACTTAAAACCTGCCACATGGCAGGTACCAGACAAAGCGCTGAAAATTAAAACAAGAATAAAAACCAACCACTGGTCTCTAATGCTCTCATTTTGCAGTTTTGCAATTTAGTTTTGAATATTTGTGGGGTTCTTTTTCAACTTAGGTACCCAGTATGTCAAACAATATTATATTTCTGTCCCATCCTCTAAGTGATTGCCCTTAATTTTTTTCTGATTATATAAAGATGAAAGACTTTAATATATGGCAATATGAATTTTCCTGATTAGTTCATTAGAGGAGAGTGGAAAGTGACGGGTACCCTCCCTATCACCCAAGCACAGGGGCTGGACTTAAACTCCTTTTAAAAATCATTTCCCCACTGGGTGTGGTGGCTCATGCTTACAATCCTAGGCAGGTGGATTGCTTGAGCTCACGAGTGCGAGACCAGCCTGGGCAACATGGCGAAACCTGGTCTCTGCAAAAAAATACAAAAATTAGCCAGGTGTGGTAGTGCGTGCCTGTAGTCCCAGCTACTCAGGAAGCTGAGGGTGGAAGGATCGCTTGAACCTGGGAGGCGGAGGTTGCAGTGAGCCGATATCACCCCACTGCACTCCAGCCTGGGTGACAGAGCCAGATCTGGTCTCAAAAAACAAAACAAAACAAAACAAAACAAAACAAAAATCATCTCCCTGAAAGATGTGTTTCAGGTGCTCCTTTATCCAGACAGCATAAAGGGGCTAAGTCAAGTCTAGATACTCAAACTCATGGTTCTATGGTATAGAACAATAAACCCACTGACATTTAAAATACCTCTTGTAACTATAATGATATCATAAAAAAGAAATCAGGTCTAGGAATCTCAAGTCATTCTACAGGGACCTAAAGAAATTCACAATATGCAGAATGTTGGCAGCTGGCCAGCACCTCTGAACCTGAGTACTGGTCCTCGCCACAGATGATGGAGGAAGGGGTCCTTTTCCTTAGCCAATGTATAGTATCAAGCTTTCTAAAGAGGTCTTTGAACAGTGCTCATTTTCAACCTGGGGGAAAGCTAGTATTTGAAGAGCGCTGTAGACACGACATATAGTGCCAATATATACCCAGTCCAGTGTTGAATAAATGCATTGTAAAGGCTTCTTCAAAACAGTGTATAGTTAATATTCTATGCTGCTTAATATTACAGGCATTGAAAATGGTGCCTAGGTAAGTGTTCAGGGGCCACTCTAACTGAAGCCTCTACATTCTTAACAGATTGCTAAAATAGAACTCTTTCTAATTCTGTTTAAGGGGAGACCACAAAACAATGGGTGTCAGGCACTCCCACATTCCAGAGTGAGAAATCAGACCACCTAAAGACAGCCTGAAAGGCGCTGGCTGAGAACTGGTTTGGGACACTTAACTGACTGCTCACTTCCTATGTCTAAGAGACTGGGGAGACTGAGAGTGAGCATTTATGGGGAGAGAAACGCTGAAGCGTTCCAAGTCTCACCATGTGAATTGCTTTCCTCTCACCATCAGTCAAGCAAGAGAGGGCGACCACTCAGGGAGCTCGATCTGTGTCTCAGGAACCTGAATGGATACAATAGATAGATGTCTAACTTAAAATCTAAGGGAATCTTCAAGGAGAAAGGCTGAAAGGCTGACAAGTATGGCTGGGAAGTAACTCTCTCCTAAGGATGACTGGCAAAGGTAGATCAGATGTGGGCCACACAGGTAGAGTTGGCCCAGGGTTGTGTTAGATCCTCCCAAGAAGGCTGCTTCGAGGGGAAGAAATTCCAGCAGAAAGGGGCTGAAGATAGACCATTAGATTATCAGGAGCTGACCATGTCAACCTGAGGACATGTATTCTTTCACTTCAAGGAGCTATAGGAGAGAAAGATCAATTTAGGGAGGTGGGGATGGAGTTGGTTAAAGACCTCAGAAAACCAAAGCATTCCATGAGAGAAAACATCAGCATGCTGCCTGGCTAGAAAAATCAACATCAGATGACCTCACTGTCAGGTCATCCTTTTCCAGCACACCATCCCTGGAGGGGTTAAATGAAGCCATGGCTAGTGAGCTGAAGGAAGAGTGAGAAAAACACAAGCTTTGGAAATAGGAAAGAAATGAATCATTTGCTCATCTCACTATAAGCTTGCTACTTGGAGCAGACCTAATCCAGGGAAGGGAGAAGCTTCAGCTGAAGATTCACTACATGATACTCAAAATTTTTGTCAAATAAACAGTACTGGAGTATTAAATTACAGGCATCACACACACTTAACATCATAATCTGTTCCTGAAAATCAGAAATTCAGCATCAAAATGTTAACCGAGAGCCTATTTCACATTATGTTAAACAGGAAAAAATTATAATGTATTACACATCAGTCAAAATCCTCAACCAAATTTTCTAAAATGTAACTATTTTATTTTCCTATTTTTCTATAATTCCCTAAAATGTAACTAAATACACTCATCATTACATCTGTCTCTGTATGTGTGTGCACACATATAACAAATGGTTCTGTTGGAATGGAAACACTGCTGCCTGATCACCAAATAATACGGTTGTCAGCCAACAATTGCTTTTTAGGCTGTGATGTCTCTCAGCATCAGCAATATCCAAGACACACATCCCTTATGTTGACTCTCAGCAGTTTTAAAAACATCTACATATGAGTCTGACATTCTATAAACTGTATTTGCTATGTAACTTGAGACTCTGACTGAAAATGTATTGAAACATATGTACGCTTCATGGAGTTTGGCTATGAAAAATTGAGGCATTCTACCAAACACATATCAACCAGAAACACCTGAAACGAAAGAAGCTTGGGGAACTTCTTGAAATAACGACAGTGGCTGCAGAAGTCGTGAGACTTGCCCTGGATTTTATCCAAAAGCAAGGAGCTTCAGTGAGTGCATTATTAATAGAACGGACAGTGGGGGAAAGAAGTAAGTTGTTTTCCGAGTGTGCCCTAAAAGTCCTGCTTATACAATGCCGGGTTACCCATTGTTTACAGAACCAGATTAAACATTCTGCAAATCATTATGCAACATAGGTATCACATAGTCATAATAAACATATTTAAAACCTCATAATCACCGTCTTTCAATAATGTCACAGAGAATCTCTACGCGATGGACAAATAATCTGAAAATCATGGTGCTCACATGAGGCCAGGTGTGGTGGTTCATGCCTGTAATCCCAGCACTTTGAGAGGCTGAGGTGGGCAGATCACTTGAGATCAGGAGTTCAAGACCAGCCTGGCCAACATGGCAAAATCCTGTCTCTACTAAAAATACAAAAATTATCCGGGTGTGGTGGCATGTGCCTGTAATCCCAGCTACTCAGGAGGCTGAGGCAGGAGAATCGCTTGAACCTGGAGGGGCAGAGGTTGCAGTAAGCCAAGATTGTGCCACTGCACTCCAGCCTGGGTGACAGAGTGAGACCCTGTCTCCAAAAAAAAAAAAAAATCTATCTATCTATCTATCTATCTATATATATATATATATATATATATAGTCTGTTTATTTTAACTTCTTACTCTGGAGTTTAAGAAAATCTAAAGTAAGTCCAACTCAATGCAAAGTTTTAAAAATATTAAATGGCAACGGCTACTTAGAAAGGTGATTCCTCTTACTAATTACTGAAATCTTTATGTTGATTCTTTCATTCAAAGTACATCTCTACCCTATAGCTTCACACTGGTTTTTCAACATCCTTAAGGTCCTGGGAGGTAACTTATCCGCTTACCAGAGTCCTTTAACTTCTATGAACCTTCTTATGTGTATGTAAATGCTTCTCAGGGAACAATTACGTGCTACAATTCAAAAGTAGCAGAAGACAGTATAAAATTACTTTCCTCTTTACTTGAAGAAGCCAGATAATATAAAAGTATTGCTCTTTTAAAAAGAATACTCAAAAGATCAAACTGCTGAGTTTCAGGCTTGTTACTTTCCTCTTTACTTGAAGAAGCCAGATAATATAAAAGTATTGCTCTTTTAAAAAGAATACTCAAAAGATCAAACTGCTGAGTTTCAGGCTTGAAAATATTTTCTGTAGCAACTGAAGAACTCAGGTTTTAAAAAATTTAATTAATTACACAGATGTCTTAATAACTGCACTGTAGTCAGTAGGTATTATGATGTAATGCAAAATTACATTTGGGTAATAAAGACTGGGACATAAATATCAGTTTATTCAACAGAGACTCCTAAATGTGTTTGGTGCATAATGGAATGTGTATTATAGAATGTAAGCACTTAAGAGATGCATGTCATTCCAAGTGTGACTCTCCTTGTTGAGCCTTAGCTCTTTTAATAAAAAGGCCATGCCCGTTTGAAAGTGGGGTTGGGGGGAGATGCACAAGACAATCTAAGGTCCCTCCAGCTTTAGAATTATGACTGCACCTGAACTAGGGATTTAGATCATGTAAGGCCAACTTTTTCAAGGCCATCAAGTCTATCTAAGGCATCATTACTTTTGGAAGAGGGTCTGAGCATCTTAAACTAACTTTCAGGATGAACCTAATGCAAAGAGAAGGACACAATGACTGGCTGATCAACTCCATTTACATCCAGAAACTGTGATATTCTAAGTCAAAACCGTAGAGGGAAACTACCATAATATGAAAGTTTTCAAGAAAAAAAAAATGTACCTTATCATAATTAACATCCATGTGTACTGTGCTAAAATATATATTAAGCATGAAACATGGTCTCCCATTTTATAATCCCCTAACATTCAAGCAAGTTACTCACTTGAAGAAATTTTCAACAATATTGCTCATCTAAAATATGCTAAAAGTTCATCAGAAATAAATTTTGAATAAAGTCATTATAGAACTACTAAAAAGTAGATTTATATACCATTAATAATCAATACCTAAAAATGTCTCACTATTGCACAGTAAAAATAGCATCTGTAGCCCACATGTGCATTAAAACTACTTGTTTTATTATTTGTATAATGTATGTGCCAGTTATATATATTTTTGAAATAGAATATGCTATATGCTATACATAATTATCTTTTGAAACATGTCTAGAAGTGTATTCATTCCCTGGGCATTGACATTTAAATTTAAAAAAAAAAAAAACAGTACAGATCTTAAAGACTCACAAATACCTGATTACCTGAGAAAATATGCTGCTATTTCTCAATTTACTTATGGGGTTACATAATTTACTATGTAAATTTTATATATTTATAAATCCTCCTTCATAGATTAAGTTACAAGGAACAGTCCTTTGCACAATAGTGACTGTGGAGGCTGCGGAGGCACAGGACAAGTGTCCAGAAGGCGCTGTGCTGAGTGGGATGAAGGGGAGATTACAGATGCAGATAGAAAAAGCAGACCTGTCGGGCTTCACAACCAAAGCTGTGGAACAGAGAAGCAATTGCTGGCTCTCAACTCACCTTTGCCATTTGAGCTTGAACCCCACTGGCCTTCAGGGCAGACACAGCTTTTTGAGCTGCTGCAGGGCTGTCAAAGTCGACAAAACCATAACCTGAAATGCAAAAACACACTTAGTATTTAAGCCATTATTCTGTGGTTAGGTAAAAGGGTAAAAGAACAGCTCTACTTTGTTTCTGGTGTGGGCAAGAGACATGAAAATGTCCTGAGGGAGCTCAGGCGTTAACAGCTGCAGGCCAGTGGCCTCCTGGGCCCTTCTTCCCTGTCGTCTATCACCAGACAGACAAGCCTGCCTTCAGAGGGAGTTGGGGGAGTAAAGAACCAGCGTTTCCCTATTCAAGATCTTACGTGTCTTGTATTTACTGGTGGGGGGGAGACATCTAAGTTGCCAACCAAGTTTAAAAAAAAGAAATTTAAAAAAAAAGGAAGAAAAAAAATAATCAACTTCAGGGAAATAGCATTTTAATGATTCGGTAAGAAAGATGGAGACATCCTACAGAGTTTACAAATGACAGAAACAAAAATTATGTTTATTTTGTAGATAAACTTGTATTTTTAAAAATTTGAATAAGTACAACTATTAGACACCCCCAATATAAAATAATCTAAAGTTTAGTACTCAGTTAAAGATATCATATTTATTTTCTTAAAATACAGCTCATCACACCCCTTCAAAATAAAGAAGAGCTGGGGAAAATGCCTCAAGACACCTAAAATATGTTTTGGCAGTTCATGTTCTAAAGTCTAAAAACAAAACATAACAAAACAAACACATAACCTCCTTAGAGATGCTCTGGTTCAAAGTTTCCTTATCCATAGCTTTACAAACATTTTTAATGAGCTGGTCATCTGTCTTCCCAGGCCACAACAAGTCAAAAGCAGAAAATTAGGGGAAAAGGGGGGCTGGGGTGATGGCAGGTCTGCTACAAAGTAAGTATATGAATGGCATCTAACAGTCAAAACTACTAACAAGCAATAAAAGAGAAAAACTATGCAAAGAATAGGACTTACACAGCATAAGCACTAACAGCCTCATGAATCTCAACAGATCCCATGAGTATCACCGTATCAAAATAGAGAATCACAGACTTTTCACTGTGATAATTCTTAAGTTATTGAGAAAAGGGTCAAGTTATATTTAGTAGACTAACGAAACGGTACCAGGCAAAATACCAGAGCCTTCCATGGAACTCAAACTAATTGTAAATGAATAAGAATACTTTGCAAAAGAAAAGCATCATTGGAAGGTTGTTTAGAAGAGGAGCTAGCCCTATCATTTACTTACAGAAATATTACTAAGTAATATTTCTATCTAAATTAGTAGTAATTTAGATAGTATGATACTAGTGACAAAATCAACATCAATAAAGTCAAACAGAAAGCTCAGAAACAGCCCAAAGTCAGTTTTGCAGTATTAGTACCAAAAATATTGCCTGGTAACGAAATAAGTTATAATGAGATGGAGCAGACTATTGACTACAGAAATAGATGTTTCAGGAGAGATGAATGTTAAAGCTGAAACAAGAAGCGGCTTCCTTATATATTACTTGGAATTGGGCTGAAATAAGGCTTAATTTGATTTAGACAGTAGAGAAATAGCCAGGCTGGAGAGCAAAAGGAAGAGGTTGATCTAGGTAAAACAAAGAATGATACTCAACTACCAGGTTAGAAATAAGGTTAAACATATCTTGGATGTTTTTTTAGACATCTGTTGTCCATGCTAACACGCAACAAAGCTCTGTGGATACACACACAGGCATGTACATGCACAAACTCTCTCTCTCTCATATAGTTTCAGCAGGTCATAAATGAGAACCCAGCTACAATGAAATGATACAGCTTTTACTGATGGATATTTAAGTTTTTTCCTTCAATTTTGCTATTGTCAACAAATTACAGTAAACAGAAGATCTCAATTTTGATGTTATTGTATTTGAAGTTACTATCAACTCAGGTAATATTTGCATTCTGTTATCTGTTATTTTCTTATAGAGAAATCCATAATGCCTGCATTTTAGTTAACTGTTTACATCCTTTTCTGGCCTTTCCCAATGCCTACCACACTATGGCTGTTTTATAACCATTTGCTGAAGACAAACATAATAGTTAAGTATGCAACCTTGTGCTCTTTCATGCTGTCTATCTGTATTACTTTCAAGTAAATAGAAGACAATATACAATTTGAGTTATACAGACTCTATGGATTTGATTATATAAATAGGTGTAAAGACGTTTTTGAAGGCAGGGTTCACTAAATAACATGGCATCCTCTCACTGAGGCTTCCCAGGAGAATTCCTCTCAGGTTTCAGGACCAGGAATAGTTATGTTACTCCTGCTCTCCTCTCACATTGTGATGACTGAATCATGGGGCGAGCTATGTTTTCTATTTTTGCCTTGGCCAGCAGGAAACACAGGGACATTTGGTAATAACTTAAAGCTGCCTGCTTTTACCCTTATTTTTCCTGTTAGTCTAATTCATCCTGAAACTATTTTTGCTAATGTGTATAAGTATTCTGGTCTTACATGCACTTCTGTAAGTATAAATAATGAATCAATCAATTTCATAACCAATCTTTTGTGAGCTTTTCTTTTTGTCCTGAACTGACATATTTACCAGCATTGGAGGGCTTATAAATGCCTTTTGTTGGCTAAACTTTGAGAGAAACTGAAATGTAAAATAGCAACTGAATTGTGAATTTTAAAATTTAATAACTTAGGTACATGTTATTCTAATGTTTCCTTCAGCTTAATTCTCTTGAAAATACATGTTCCAAAAATATGTTTTGTGGCAAAAAATGTTCTGTAACCCTCTAAGATCTCTCATTCCCATATATAAAGTCCTTTGATCTGCTTAATTTCAAAAAATTAGTATATAACACAAGTACCTTTCATTTATATTAATATTCTATAATCTTTTATGCATTTATTTATTTATATTCATTTATCAATCAGTCATCTATATGCCTATCTATCTACCTATCACGTCAAGTTATCTTGGGTAACATGTTATCTAACTTTATCATGAGTTAAGTGTTATTTCTTCTCATTTGTCCTGAAATTACTTTTTTCTTGCTTCTAGGATTTTATAAACCCACTCTTACCCTCTCCACTCACTCACTCACCCACCGTCTCAACCCACCAGATATCTGTTGACACCTATTGCTGGGAGGCTTGTGTGAAGCAGAGAGCCCTGGAAGGTTTCTATTACTGCCCACACACCCAAAAGCAGTGTCTCCCAAAAACCACTTTAAAGGAAGGTCTCCAGGAGACTTCTTGTATCTAAAATAAGTTCTGAATTAGTCCTACCCTTAGAAGTCCATAAATCTCTCTACTATGGACCCTTACCAACTGTTAAGGGTTTGTATTGTGACAACATGTTAGATTTAGCATTAGTTTATTTTTTACCCATACCTTTTCTAGATCACGTAGAGCACTTTGAGGAATTTTGGCTTCTATGGAATAGGTTGCTTTTGGAGCAGAGTGTAAAATAGTGTGGTTTTCAGTTCAGGGATGTGGTGAAGCATTCAACCTCTGGGTCCTTTCTTTTACTTAAATTAGGGCAGCTCTGCTTTTTAACACACTGAGCCGACATTAAGATTTCTTTTGGGGTGGGGAAGAAAAAGAGAGGAGGTAGGGTATGGATAAAACCACTTGTCTACTCTGATTTCTCTCTAGTTTCAAAGTGATGTTGGTGATCAGCCTCCTATTTTTATTCCTGCAAGAGTCTATTTTTCTTTATAAAACCAAAAGATTTTTTTTCTGTGTCTCTGCTCTCCCAAATCATTTATAAATGTTAAATAAGACTAACCTTGGAAACTAAGTATATGCATTTCAGTCTATAATTTGACTCTCTCTAGTTTAATTCATTTAAAATATTTATTGGGTACCACTCTACATAAAGCACGCTCTATTCACTGTCCCAAGGCAAAATTGCCTTAATGTGCCATGTTGATTAAACATGAGCTTAGCTATTTGCTACAATAGCTCCTTTAAATTTAGGCACTTTGAAGAAGAGACAGAAATACAATGAACCACTTCAAGTCTAGATTAAAGGAAATGCTTGGCTTATAAGGAGAGGCCCCTACCATAGGGTTCATTTATGTTCTCTGCCTTTTTCAGATTGTGCTAAGCCACTGCCCCGTCACCACTACTTGAAAAACTGGGGTCTAATTAACGAGGAGATTTGCCTTCTCTGCCTATTCCTGTCAACTTATTTCAATTCATGGGGTCAGTAGTTAGATTCAAAGTCAGCTGACTCTATTCTTCCCTTTTCCTAGAAATCACATGCCTATTGTTAAGATGCTGGATCATTAAAAGTCAGAACCACAGAGCATCAGTGCTGCCTACTGTAGACGCCTCCTCTTCCAGCTCATGGGGCTGGATGAGCTCATCCTAATTACATGGAAAACTGAAGGTCAGTGCATCAAATTAATGCAGCAGCATATTTCAAAGGGGCGCATGACCTCCCCTCCCTATTACAATTTGGTCAGTGAAAATGGTTGTCTCCTCCCTGCTGCCAATATTGTCAACAGGCATTCAGCAGAGAACAATTGGGAGTACTGAAACATGTAATTAAGTACTGCTTAAAACTACTCTATTCTAATTAATAGAGCCAATTTGCACAATATGTAATCTTTTCAGTTCTTTAGTACAGTCCAATGGTCTTCAGTAAGCAGCTCTAATCTCCTCAGGCTCAGGAAAGAAAAGCTATTTTCTAACTCTACTCCCCTTTTAAAAGCAAGGGCTAAATGCCAACCCGTATTTTGCATGTTAACTCTACTGGCGTCAAATCTGGAATTCTGGCAAACTGCTAGCTGCTGTTGGGTTTGTAGCCAAAACCCAACCAGGGACAAATGTAAGTAATATGCTGACACTGTGCAAGACAGAAACTGGGTGATATATAAGATCTGGTTTTTAATAAAACGAAGGTGGTTTTGAAACCAAAGATCAGGTTTTAAATTCCATCATTTTTCTAAAGCTATCATTTACCAAATAACCAGCCAAGAAAACATACCTTTGCATTTGTTCGTTGTCTTATCCAAAATTGCCTTTGTGGAGACTATTTTCCCATATCTAAAAAAAAAAAAAAAAAAAAAAAGGAAAAAAAGAAAAGAAAGAAAAAGAAGTTATAAGGAACCCTTATTAATGCCTAAATCCAAAGAACACACATTCTTTTCAAACATCTGCAAACTTTAGAGTACAAAATTTTCTTTACTAAGAGACAGGAAATGAGAATTCTGAACTCAAAACTGAAAAAAAGGGAATGGCTAGGCCTCTTGTTTGAATTGTGGGATTGCAGTTTGAAGTTCAACTCTGAAGAAATCAAGTACTTACCTGACAATCTTAGGACAGAAACATGGGATGTGGGCTCTATACCAAATATTTTCTTCTAATAACAGTATATCAGTGGTAAAATACAAAGCCAAATGCAAGGTTATAGAATTCTAACAGGAAAGTACTGTCCTATGATCCATACAGCTTTTATGAAATAGTAACAGCGGAAAGCTGCTTGCATTATTCTATTCATTTTGGTTCTGTGGACACCATTGCAAGGCTCCATATCGCCACAGAAGGGCAGGTGTGTGCGCATGTTTATGTTTAGCACACTTAATGGTGTCAAACAGATCCTTTTTACTGAGGACTTTTATAACTGTTCATAAATACACTTATTTACACCACTTGTAACTCAGTAATAATAATTATACAGTAAACTCACTTTGTGTGCATGCACATGTGTCTAAGAAACGGACAATCAAGAATATAATGAAGAAGAATATAAGAATTAATCAGGGATTAATCATTAATTTTATGAAGTTTCTATGAGAAATATGTTCAAATTCCTTTATGTGCCATAGATGCTGGGGAATATAGGAAAAATTAAGAACATTAAAATTTAGCATACTGCTACTGAAAACGAAGCGACAGTATAATGTAAATATGAACCGAACCCCACACTCTCTCCATAGTGGCCATACTATAAGGAAAAGCACTGTTATCTATGCTTGCCTTCTAAAAATTGAGGAAAAAAAGTTTTGAAAGATAACTTTTAAAATTGTTTCTTAAAAATCAAAGTAAGGCTGGGCACGGTGGCTCACACCTGTAATCCCAGCACTTTGGGAGGGTGAGGCGGATGGATCACTTGTGGCCAGGAGTTCGAGACCAGCTTGGCCAACATGGCAAAACCCTGTCTCTACTAAAAATACAAAAATTAGCTGGGTATGGTAGTGCATGCCTGTAGTACCAGCTACTTGGGAGGCTGAGACAGGAGAATCGCATGAACCGGGGAGGCGGAGATTGCAGTGAGCCGAGATTGCACCACTGCACTCCACCCTGGGCGACAGAGCAAGACTCCATCTCAAAAACAAAACAAAACAAATCAAATCAAAGTAAGACTCTGGGAAATGCATTTAACTTACTCGATGCATCTGAGTCTCACGTTTCCTCATTTACAGTCTACTTTCCTAGACATTTACTTCAAAAATTCCACATTTGCTCTACTTTAATTTTCTCATGAATGATTTTGAGGACAAAAAGCATATTAAAATTTTTAGGAAATGGAAGTATTTTGTAGCATTTTAAACCATTGTGAATATTACACACTTGTATTTTATGCACTGAAACAAGCTGAAATATATTTATCTAGAAGAAAAAAAAATGGCTTGAGCCACTTCTCTCCTTCAGTTAATCTTCCTTATGTTCACTCTGTGTAATCATGTAATCAAATGATTACTAACTAGGCATGAAAGTAAAGATAATTTCAGGTTCAAATGACAATTACATCTAAGAGGCATAATGCTGCACAAACACCTTCAATTCCCTGTTGAGATTCTGAGCATTTTAACAATATTAACACAGATCACTAGGCTTACAAAGAAATAATCTATAAAAATCTACAAATGAGAAAAAAATAAGTGATCTAAAGACAACCTTTCAGCAACCATCTATCTACCTAGGTTACATGCTTGATATTTACCAGCTCCTATCGTTTGAATATTTCACCCATCCAAATCTCATGTTGGAATATGATTCCCAGCTGAGCATGGTGGCTCATGCCTGTAATACCAGCACTTTGGAAGGCCAAAGCCGGCGGATGGCTTGAGCCCTAGAGTTCGAGACCAGGCTGGGCAACACGGCAAAACCCCGTCTCTACCCTCCCAAAGCACAAAAATTGTCTGGGCATGGTGGTGCGGGGCCTATTGTCCCTGCTACTTAGGAGGCTGAGGTGGGAGGGTCGCTTTAGCCTGGGAGGCAGAGGTTGCAGTGAGCCATGATCTCGTCACTGCACTCCAGTCTGGGTGACAGAGTGAGACCATGTCTCAAAACAAAACAAAAACTCCCAATGTTGGAGATCAGGCTTAATGAGAGGTGTCTGGGTTGTGGGGGTGGATCCCTCATGAATAGCTTGGTGCCATCCTTGTGGTAGTGAGTTCTTGCTCTATTAGTTCTGGTGAGAACTGGTTGTGCAAAGAGCCTGGTACCTCCTCCTCTGTTTTCTTTCTCTATGTGATCTCTGCACACACCTTCTCCCCTTTGCCTTCTGCCAGGAGTGGAAGCTTCCTGAGGCCCTCAACAAGCAGCAAGCGCTGATGCTGTGCTTCTTGTACAACCGGCAGAACTACGAACCAAATAAACCTTTTCTTTTAACAAACTACCTAGCATAAGTATTCCTTTACAGGAACACGAAAAATGGACAAAGGCACCAGGACTCTCTCGTGTGTACAAGTCCTTGACAAAAGCACTTTTAGACTGTATCCCTGTTTCATACTTTTCCAAAAGCGGGGGGACGGTAGGTATGACTCCAATTTGGGGTAAGGAGATTGAGAGTCACAGTGATTAAGAGACTGCTCAAGCTCTCAGAGTTCAGGGCATTTTGTAAACCAAACAGAAGAAAGGCTCATTTAGGAGAAGGAAGGTAAAGGGTTGGCCTTCGACACTTCTAGTTCTGCTTTCAACATTTAATGATGGGAAAGACAGGAAAATGCATGGAGAAAGGGGAATGAGGAAGTAGGCAAAGAGAAAAGGCTCAGTAGTGCTGAATGCAAGCCATGCCACACCCTCTCTCAGCTTGTTTGCTACATCTGGCATGAGTCCGCTCTGCCAGTGCACCTCCCTTCTCTGTGGCAGGTACTCCCCCATCTCATTCCATCTTTCACAGCCCTCTTTCAGGGGTTCTTTGCCCATTCAGCTTCCTCTTCTCCCTCCTTAACTAAGTACTTTCATCAAGTTTAATATTTGGTCTTCAACTGTTTCTTCTCTTAGGAAATTCATTCAGTGCCATGTTTTTAATTAATGAATCTCCTCTGATGCTGCTCAGTTCTTCCTTGTGTGTGTATGTGTTTTTTTTAAAACTCACCAAAGCTTTGGTTTTTCTCTCTTCCTCTTTCTACTTAAATACCTTAATATTTTATTAGGATTCTTAAATATCCAGTGAAATATTTAAGTAGTGAAATATCAAGCCCACGACTTTCTAAATCTCATCTTCAATATTATCTCAAACATGGCTTTCCCTGTCTCTCTCCATATCTCTTTTCATTCACTAGCACTCACTCTCCCAATCTCCTACCAAGCTCGGGGTCCTCGTGCCACCACTAACTCAGTAATTCCTGAACCCAGGTGATCAATAACTCTTCCAAATTTTGTCTTTGATATGTTTCCAATCTTTACTTTCTCCCTTCACTGTTCCTAGACACATGCAAAAAACACATAATAGTTCTCCCTGCATCCAGCTTTTCAACCCTGTCTGTTGCATTAATTTACCTTAAATACCCCTTTAAACATCTCTCCATTACCTATTCTACCCATGCTTGAACTTGAAGAACTTGTTCAAACATTATCTTTTCCATGAAACTATCACTAATCTCTTCAACTATTTAGTTGGCTATTTTCTAAGAAACTAGAAAGGGCATTACATTTGTTGACTTCCTACTTATGTCCTAGACACTGTGCCAGGTACTTTGCATGTATGCTTTTATTTAATTAACTTCACAACAATCTTATGAGGTAGGTGTTATTATTCCCATTTGTGCATATGAGAAAACAAAAAGCTCATACAAGTTTTGAGCATTACACCTTGCCTGAAATCCCAGAGCTCACAAATGAGTAAATTTTCATGGCAACTTATCAATGAAATGATTTTGAGAAACAATGCCCTCTGAGTATGGAAGAAGAAGGGTAATGGAAGGTCTGTACGGTACTCAAATATTCATTTTCCAAGCACAGGACATTTTTTACTCATTTGTTTTAAACATAAGAAATAAACACGTGGCTTATGGTTGAAAGAGGGATAACAAGACAGAGGATGGTGAGTAGAAAAAGAGTGATTTCTGACATTTATCAGTTTTACTTTCTATTGTGGTTTTCCTTGCAAGTTGTGGAGTAAGACTGAAAGACTGTGATTTCACAGAACATCAGAAACGGATTCCACTCTGTCTGTGGGGCAGCTGCATACTGGCCTTCTGCAAACAAGTGGCACAGGAAGCTGCTTATTTGGATTTACCTAAGGTGCTGAAGGGCTTCCCTTTCCTAAAATATTCTTCTTTTGGGCTGTCCACTCAATTATACCACTTCCAGCACAAGAGGCTCCCATTAAAATACAGACCCCAGAACTAGAAGATGCAACCCTTGAAATCCGTCAGGCCCTAGCTAAGTTAGCTCCTCAGTGGGCAACTTGGATATCTTATTGTGGCAATGCAGTATAGAACCAGTAGTTTTTGATGTCATGACAAAAGAGCCAGGAAAGGTCCAGATCTAGAATATGAGGAGGAGCCATATATCAAATGGCACCTCAGGGACTGGGATAAGGAGTGGGAGGGTTCACAGTAGTCATCATCTCTCTCTACTCATTTTACTTGCAGTAAGATTTAAAGTGAGGGGTGAGGGGGAGCTGTTATAGACAGTTAACATTTAATCTAATTCTGTTGTCAATCACCAATGCCTGTAAGAGTAACAGACATCTGGGTACAAATTCATAAAGCAACCAGATCTTCACCTCCCCTTGCTCCTATCTGTAGCTTAATTTTTTTTTTTTTTTTAAATCATCAGCCAGGCACGGTGGCTCACGCCTGTAATCCCAGCACTTTGGGAGGCTGAGGTGTGCAGACTGCTTGAGCTTAGAAGATCGAGACCAGCCTGGGCAATGTGGCAAAACACCCTCTCGACAAACAATACAAAAATTAGCTGGACGTGGTGGTGCACGCCTGTAGTCCCAGCTACTTAGGAAGCTGAGGTGGGAGGATCACTTGGGCCTGGGAGGCAGAGGTTGCAATGAGCCAGGACTGCGTCACTGCACTCCAGCCTGGGTGACAGAGTGAGACCCCCTGTTTAAAAAAAAAATCACTGTTACGGAATAGGGACATATGATGTACTAGGAGAAACAGGTCTCCTGACTGGCGGAATTCACACTCTAAGGACACTAAGAAAGTGCACGACCAAACAGCATGATGTAGAATTTCATGAAAGAAAAAAAAAAAAAAAAAAACTGTGACTATGAAGATTCTTTGGATTTCATCTGGCTTCAAAGTAACTGGGTTAGACCACAGCCCCAGCTACCCAGATTATAATATTCTTTGCTAGAGTAGATAATCCACTCCAGAGCAAGCTCTGACAGTAAAAAGATGAAGAGTAATTAAGAGACATGACTATATAATAATATGAATTTCAAAGGGAGAGGATAACAGGTAAAAGCTCATGTTCAAACCTCTTGGCCCAAGTGAGCTTGGCTAATAAAACCTTTTACTTAGAATTTACTAAAACTTCTTTAGTTTACACCACAGTTTTACTCATTTCTTTCTTTCCATTTAGATCTCCTCTTTCATCTGCTACAATATAAAATGTAGGTATATCTCAGTTTGCACTTAGTATATAAAGCTTAATTTTCTCCTCTGCCTCTATCACTTAGTTACTCCTAAATTCTACCTTTTTGGTAATTTATATTACAAAAGAAACACAAGCTTATTGTACACTTAGAAGACAAAGAAAAGTAGGTTGAAAAATTAAAATCACCTGAAGTCCTGGATATGATTATTGGTGCATATCATTATAGACTTTATCCACTGGCACGTACAAATGTATAAACGTATGTGTGTGCGTGCAAGCATGCGTGCGCGTGCACACACACACACACACAATTTTCCTGTGTGCTAGGGAACGTGCAGCTTTTGAAGAGTCCAGGTTATAAGCCAAAGCTCTGGAGAGTGGCGTCCACTCCAACCACCACCAACAGATGGCGACAATGGTTGTTAAGTTATTTTAATATTGGTCATTTCAGTTGTAAATTCATTTAAGGCACATGGGGTCATTTGCAGTGCTTGTGCTAGTTTTAGAATATTTTATGAATATTATTAAACCTGAAAACACAATGGGTGTGTTTAAAACAACAGTAAAAAAAAAAGTGATATGTATAAACAAAAAAGATACTTTAACTTTGAGAAAGGGCAGAATGTTGCTCATGCATATAGAATGATAGTTTTCATAATAGCTGCTCCTGAAGGACAAACAGGGATTCACACATCCCGTAAAAGACGCTGTGCCTATGTATATGACCATAATTAGCAAGTAGGAGGGACAGGGGATTGAAATGAGAAAAAGAAGAGAAAAATAAAACATCAACATCAGAAAACTTATGACCTCGTGAGTTAATTCAGGGGAATAATAAAAGTAATTACTTACAGGTATACAGCTCCTACTCTATGCCAGGCACTATTCTAAGCGAGATGTGTGTGTGTGTGTGTATATATATATATATATATATATATACACACACACACACACACACACACACACACATATATATGCGCCAATTATTTTAATCTTCTTAATCTTTTGGGGAGGTGGAGTATTACTCCTACTTTGTAGATGTGAAACTCAGGAGCAGAGTCAGTAAGGGACGTATTCAAGGTTACACAACTAAGTAGCAAAGATGGGAGGTAGAATGTTTGCTTTGGAGTTTAAAGGCCAAGCATGTTGACAGCTATGGAAACTTGGGTCACCAACCACAGACTGTGCCACAGATTGAAAGTAATTCCCAGTTTGACTCTGCACACAGCTCCAAAAGAGTAAGGAGATGAGGGGTGGACTCCGTAATTGCTAAGGTCCTTAAGACAGATGCTGATGACATTCAGGAAGAAGTTACCTGACTAAAGACCTTCTGGATACATGACATTGGTCTATCTTGGAATAACATGCCCAGTAGAGCATATACCTCAGTGAGGGGGTCGGCAGGACTGGCTTTAAAGCTTAAAAGGAATAACTAAGGTATCTATTTGAGGGAAATGAATTTGAGGACTACAAATCTATTTGAGGAAACCCCCTCTTGTTATTTTGGAGTTGCTGGGAAAAAAGAAAAAATACAATACACGTCCTCACACATGTACACACAGATGAATGCAGTTTTCTAACTCACTTTTTTGGCTGCTTTGTTTTTTCAATGGCCTCCCAGACAAAGGGGATTTCCTAAAACTTGCTTTAGCTCTTTCAACAGTGGTTGGATAGGGGAAGGAACACAAAGTATACATTACGTCTGTTTAGCAAATAAAGTTTTTTGGAGAATGAGGCCTAAAAATAGTAGAAAGGGTCATTACCCATGTTATTCTGAATTCTCACTACCTGGAATAATTCAGCTGGTTATATTTCCTTTATTTACTTGGCATGTAAAGTGGTATTTGGAGATGAGATAGAAGATGTAAAAATTTATTAGGCAATCAAAATCAAGTAAATTTTATATGACATTTACCTCTTTTGCCCTGATGATTTTCAATGTTTCTACTTCCAAGACACAAAAATTAAGGGTATAGAAAGATATTCCCCATTTCATTTGGTTGTTCTGGCCTAACTCTTACATTAGATAGCTGCCCCTTCCACTTGTGTTATATGGCTGAGTGTACCTTTATGAATAAAAGATTCCTGGTGTATGTAGCTGGAATTGAAGCCAGGGTTTAAAGGAGAATGCTTGGCAAGAAAAGCTACTGCAGACCTAAAGGTCAGAAACAACTGAAAACCAGGCGCTGAAGGTGAAGGGATTACGGGAAAGATAAGTACAGTCAAGAAAGGAGAGATCAAACCAAGAAATCAACTCAAAAATATTTATAGCATGTTTACAGTATGCCCTTTCAAGGCCTGTGAAAAATACAGCAGATGCCACACCTACCATTAAGGAGGACAGTCCTTTGGGGTATGTAAAAAACTTTTAATACTAAAAAATAACTAAAAATATGAGACCCTGTATGATGTATGCTAAATAAAGGAGGCATAAACATAGAGGGAAGGTCAAGTTGAGTAAGAAAAACTGGAGAAAACAAAAATCTAGGTGGGCTCTGTAGGACAATAAAGAATCTAATGCAAACCTATGTAGTGAGTTATGGAAACTTAAGTCTCCAAAAGTCTTGGAGGACTCTGCATTCTAAGAAAAGGACAGAGAGAACAGAATGAGACTGGAGGATTTGGAACTGTAGAATGAAATCACAAGAGCAATTATTTTAGTAAGATTAACGAAAATTTTTGTCCAGGATTAGCAGAGAGAGATGCCACATTTTATTTATTTTCTTGCTTTTTGTACTTTGGCAATAACACTTAAGTTCAAGAAATTACAATGAGGGATGACGAGACGGAGGGGGTGAATGGAAAGGCTCTACAGGGCAGGAGAGATTAAAGACAAAGGATTTCTTTGAAGAAGTCTTAAATGCTTAACTTGACATCTGAGAAAAATAATCCATGGTATCTGTGCAATGGAAAGCCAGTGGCTTGTCTCTGTGAATTTAGAAGATGGGGAAAAAGAATCACAAAGTTCACTTTTCTGAACTGTCCTGGAAAGGAAAACAATTTCAGCTCCAGCCACAGATGCAAAGCCTGCAGATTTGAGGTGATTTAGCAGAAGTTCAGACAATCCTCATGTGGTCTAACTCTCAGCTAGCCTAGCTGCCTTACAGCATGTGAGCTGATGAAGACTGAATTACAGAAGCATTGGGACAGTTATCACATTTTTTCAAGAGAAGATACAGACATCTACATACCTGATTTTTCATAACTTTGAAATTTTCAGATCAACACATCCTTTGAGAGTACAAATGAAACTGGTCATCTCTACCCAGATTTTGAGACTAATAACCTTTTCTCACTAAATTGAGAATCATTCCTGTTAATGTCTTACCAACATGCCTGGGTGAATCCATTATAAATAGTATATGAAGGTAACAATTGATGCTGTTTACTGTATGTATAACTTGGACTAAAAAATTCATATAAAACACTAAAACTATCTCATTAAAAATCGCTAAGATGCATTTTTTTGCCATAGACTATGAAAAATGTATAACCTCTCTTCTAAATAAAAGAGCATATTATAAAGCATTTGATTTATTACACAGACTTGCTATTATAGTTTAGTATCAAGTCTATTATGATCTGCAATCAAGGTAACGTAGCTTTACATTATTTTATGGTCTTTTAAGAGCACATTGCACACAAAAGGTCATTTACATTATCTTATGACAATATTTTTACCAGAAGTCACTGTACTACAGCACTTAAGGATGTAGTCACAGATGGCCAGACCCAAATTAGTGCTCCCGAGTACTAACATGTCAGAGGAAAATAATATGTGCCGAAAATGAAACCCAGAATTTTGCAAGTAAAATGTATATTATCTATCATAAAAATGAATCCCTAAATGTCTCAAACACTGATGAATGTCCAACTTTTAAAGCAAAGGCAATTTGATCATAGAAAGTGGCCTTCTATTTCTGAATTGAATTTATGAACTGACAATAATTATTTCTTAAATTTTCTTCCTCTCCCACCAAAACCTGTAATGTATTTTCTTTGCTTTGACAGTGTCACCCTTGTGTTTATATACTACTTAACTTTACTGAAACATAAGGAAGACAATGTTATAATGGAAAGAAGAGAGAGTTGCCACCAGAGAGACCATATCAAGTGCTGATATGGCCAATGGGCAGCCCTGTGACTCTGGTGTAGTTAGTTGCCTGGCCTCAGGATCCTCATCTGTAAAGTTGTATGATAATGTCTCCCTCACAGCACTGTTATAAATGACCACTATGGTGCCTGACATATAATGAATATTCAATGACTAATAAGTGTTATTCTTTTCTCCCATACCCTTCAATTAAGGGCACTTCTAATTACTTGAGACTTGAGAGCATTTACCTAGACTACCTTCTTACCCTAATATCAATGTGATCCAATGTGGCAAAATATTGAGAAAAGAGAGACACAACTTTTTTGTAACTTTTCAGCACAGTTTTTTTTTTTTTCATATTGTAACCTCTCAACATACATTGGTTTGAGTGAATAAAATATAAACATGTAATATGATTTTCCCCCAAAAAGTGTTTGGTGTGGGGAATTGGCAGCAGTGAGGAGAAGGGAAATACATTTTGCCTTAGAAAATGAATATGACCTTATAGTTTATGCCAATTTAGCTCAAAAAATCACAGGAGGGAAGCAAGGCAATTTAGGAACTTAAAATGGAATTAAAAATTAGCACCCTCCCCCCGCCCCCAACACCACGGAAACAAAACTATAAGGGGCTGGGGTGGGGCGGAACGTGTGCAAAAAACCCAGAAAAGCTTTCGTTTCTAAACTGTTTTTCAAGTGTCTCTAAATTTGTCACTCCTTTTAAAGTAAATCACACAACTGGAAATCTTACACACACATACACAACCAGATAACTGTGTCAGAATCTGTAGAAAGTGAATGCATTAAACTCCATCACTGAAAACCATAAATGACTGCTTCATTCAAAACAAGAACAGCATGACAGACAGTAAAAGTAAACATCCTCTCTGAAGCAAAACAGAGTTATCTGAAGCTATTAAAACAGTGTGCAAAATTACCTAGAAATTTCTCTTGATTCTGATACAAGCTAAAAAGGCAAGAGTCAAATTGGACATTTCTTCGACTGAACACTAACGCTGGCTTTGATCCAAAACACTCCACCAGCATATTGATTTTCAAACGTAGTCCATCCTTTTCTCAAGTAATAAATCCTGACTGCCCTGTGACCTTGAAAAGCCAGTCTGAAGAACAGACTGACAAGGAAAATGATATCTATTTTACTCACTTCAGCTCTAAAAAATTTGGGGATAGGATATAAACATATCCCTAGTAAAAGACACACTTGGACTGTATAAGCAAGGGAATGCTACCACAGCCTGCCAGCAGAGTTGACGTTTCTAAACTTAGACGTTTGGCTCAAAGGTCACTTGTGACAATGGTTACAGCTGTAAGAGCGGATCTGATGGAAAAGGATACATAGCCCCCCGTATTGATTTCTTACTGGTTTGTCTGCAAACTACCCTGTCCTTAGATACTGCAGATAAAGATGAGCAATCATTGCGGAGGTAGGATAGTACGGCTCCAAAAATTCAGAATCTTGAAACTCAAGAAAATCAGAGAGGAATTATCTTTATATGAAAACACGTAACTATAAAGAGCACCAAATGCTGTAAAATTACTTTAGTATCAGTTTCTCACAATTACCATATCCCAAATGAAGGTAAACATGCCTCACCCTCAATAGAGCTTGAATCCACTGTTTTCCAGATAATGATGTTCTTCTGCTTGTAGTTGGCAAGTGTAGGGTCTGGGTATGGAGATCAGGGCTAAAAGTGCTTCTTATCTATATGATTGTCAGTAAGCATTTACCAATCTTGTTTTGAGAAACCTTGCATAATAGGAGAGCTGTTGATAGGATGGCAAAATGCTATTCAGATTCCTTAAAAAACAAAAAAACTAGATTCTAGAAACTAAAGGCAGATAAGACCAATGTTGATCTGAGGCAAAATTCTAGATTGGATTAGTAAATAGAAGGTCAGAGACACTTATGAAAAGAACAAGTACTAGCAAAGTCCTTAAGAGCAAGTCATGACACCTTAATTTTAGACTTGTAACCTCCAGAACTGTAAGAACATTAAACTTTTGCTATTTCTACTTTGGGGAGTGGTGAGAAAATCAGGGCTGCTTAGGAATGTTACATAATGTATTCTGATTTGAGTTAAATAAAAAAATCATTATTTGCTCATACATCAGATGAAGAAACCTGGGAAGATGAAATGTGGCTTGAGTGAGTGGGTAACTGGATGAACGAGTGATTGAGTTGTCAACTGTTGGTTAGCGGTCATGGTGAACACGAAGGGAGGCATCTGGGGATATGCCATATAGCTCTGTTCTTGGCCAGCACTTGTAAAAGACATTTTAAACAATGACATAAATCAGGTCATTGGTGGCACACTTATCAAATATATAAATGTCCCAAAGCTCAGGGGGATGGTGAATGTAAGATGACAGAATTAACACTTCCAATTATTTCAACAGGCTAGAATGAATACTTAGCCAAAGTCAATAAAATAACATTCACTAGGGAAAAATAGGTCTTATACATAAGTTCCAAAGGGGCAAAATCAACTGTACAAATTTAGAAAAAGCCTTGGCTTGTTCACATGAAAATATGTTTTTTTTTTTTGTTTGTTTGCTTTTGATTAAGCACAAGTTCAAGTTCCCAGAATAACTAAAATATAGGTTGCACTGAAAAAAAAAAAATGAGCCGATCATAGAAAGACACTATGCTCTTGGGCCTTTCTGCTCACCATTCTCCAACACTCACTGTTATGGGTTGAACTGTGTTCCCCCAAAAGATATGTGGAAGTCCTATGCCCCAAGACCTCTGAAGGTGATCTTATTTAGAAACAGGGTCTTTGAAGATGTAGTCAAGTTAAGATGAGTCTCTCAGGGTAGGCCCTAATCCAGTGTGACTATTGTCCTCATAAGAGGGAGATGTGAACAGAGACACATGGGGAGAAGGCTGCGTGAAAACGGAGGCAGAGATTGGAGGGAGAGATTCCTGCAAGCCAGGAACTTACTAAGGATTGCTGACAAACTACCAAAGCTGGAAGAGGTAACGAAGCATGTTCCCCCACAGGTTTCAAAGGGAGCATGGCCCTGCTGACACCTTAATTTTGGATTTCTAGCCTCCACAACCGTAAGACAGTAACTATTAGTTGTTTTAAGCTACCCAGGTTGTGGTACTGTGTTACAGCAGTCTTAACAAATGAATAAAACTCCAGCCAGCTTGCCTGTATATCGCTATACAGGTCCCTGTCCTGCCCTGCTCCACCTTAATTTCCTGCCCTTTAAGATTTTCCTTCACCAGGGAAATTTAGCATCTTTCTGCAAGACTCAGTTTAATGGCATTCTCTAGCATTTTCCGACCTTCCCTGGCTGAGCTGAGTGCTGTCTCTGCACTCTGCCCATGGCATCCTGTCCACGCAGCATCTTGGTGCAGCAATCAGCACACTGCTACATTATCTGCATGGCTGTCATCCCCATTAGGTGTGTGCCCTTGGACTGTGTGTTTTCCTCCTCGTATATGAGGCCTCAGCATAGTGCCTGAAAATAATAAACATTTGACATTCAGAAGAAAGGAGTGGAGGAATAAATAAATAAGACAGCCTGTTTTCATGAAGTGTTTTCTACATTGAATGCAATTATTCTAAACATCTCCTTTAACCTGGTCTTCTGAGCTCTTTCAGAAGAGAGTAAGCACCATAAACAAAGAGCTAGAAATCACATCCTACAAGGAAGGAACAGTTGAAGTTCTTACCGATGCTTACCTAGAAAAGGAAAGACTATAAAGCAGGCCTTTCCAAGAACTGGAGTCGAGTGTTTGCAGTCACTAGAAGTTTTCTAGCAGAACTAGCCTGGGTCAGGGAGGGTGCTGCAGAGCAGGGTTTCACAAAAACTAACCTGGGGAAAGATGATCACCACTGTGTCAGCAGAAAAATAGGTGCCATGGATTTGTCAAAAAATTAAGTTCGATTATGTACTTCTAATTTTTTTGATAGTGAAATGGTCTTTCTTTTTAAGAAAGAGTGATAAAAGATGGTGGTTGTTGGAGTTTGTGTTCTTTTTGACTCTATGCTGGATCCCTAACCCTAATTATTTTTGTTTAGTTTACTGGTCCTTAAAATCTAAAAATCTAGGAAACTACTAAAATATGGTGGGTTGGGGATAGAGGCTTTGATATCCCTGCTTTGAAAGAGGACTGGACTTCTTGTTGATACAAGATGAATGTCAGTAAATATAATGATTACATGTACAGAATTACTGAGTAAAAGAATAGCGGCAAAGATACCTTTTAAAAACCACACCTCACAGCATTCAATTTATTTTAATTTCAAGTTATAAACTGGGACAAAAACGTCCCAATACAATTTTGTAAAATCTTGTATGAATTGACCATGCCACAAACAAAAATCCACATAAGAGAAAAAAAAAATCAAACAACAGGGGGAGGCATCTGATTAGCTTTTCTCCTCATTCTCTCTGGGATTCAGCTGAAGTGAGCATGTTATCAGCAATGATGCCTCCTCACACTTCCTGTGACTATCCTGCTGAATTAGCAGAACACAACCCCTCCACTGCCCTGACTTCCTGCTTCCTCTCCCGCTTTGTTCAGGGCTTACTTAACTTTGTATGCTTAAATGGTCAGGGTAAAAATGGGTCCTGAACATCCATGCAGGATTTTACAGGTCTGTCAAAAGACCCCTCAGAGCCAAAAAGGAGTGAATCCTCCAAGGGGAGCTGAGATCCTAGTGATACTAGAAAATCACTGAAGACATGGGGTCAAAGCATGGAACCAGAAAGCTTCTTTACATGACATGGTTTTATATATATATATAAAGTATGTTTTTTATACATATATTTTATATATATAATGTTTTATATATATAAAACATACTTTATATGTGTATAAATGCATACACGAGTGTTTATACAGACATACACATACACTCATATGTGCATATGTCTATACACACACATACATAAAATAAGTATAAACTATTTTATACTTTAAAGAGTAAATGTACCAGCTCTGGCATTAAAATGGGATTCAAGACGTAAGGCAACCCAGGTGGAGGTGAGTTCACTCTTTGCAGACCTCACCCCAGAGGCTGCTGGGTGATGATGGAGGTGGGGGCAGAAAGGGTAGGTGGGCTTTCTTTGAGATCGAGTTGAGGGAAAGGCAGGGATATGAAATGATTATCTCTCCTGTGTTATTTGAGAAATATGTATTATAAATCATCTATATTGTGATCCTAATAATAATAATTCCCATTCTCTTGTTAGGAACACAGTATGTGTTGTAGAATGGAGGTACAATAAATGATACAGTCCTGAAGAAAACTTATGTGCCCTTTCCCACTACTTAACTGCTCAGAGCTCAACTTATCAAAATATTTGTTTTGTTTTACCTGGGTCAGCCCCCACCAGGCCAGCCTGGGACCCTTCCACAGGCCAGTCCCTGTTCCAAACCACATCCAGAAGAAGGTGATAATGACCTCCTTAACACCCAAGCCTACACTGGGCTCAGTAATTGCTCCAGGCCCCTGCTTGTTTCCTCTCACAAACACCTTAACTCAGAAGGAAGGCAGGGAATGGCTTGAAGCTGAAGCTCATTTCCTAGACCTAACTCCAAGCTCTTCCCAAACCACACAATTCACTGATGGAGCCAATAAGACAGGAACGGGGAAAGTGAAGTACAGGATGGGTGGTGGAGAGTAATAAGCACTTCTAGGTCCATTAAATGAAAAATCAAATTTCCTTCTAGTGGCTGAGCATAAAACAGAAGAAACAATCATAGAAGAATCAGAGAGATGTTGTGATGGAAACTCAGGAGATAACAAACCCGTTTTTCTAAAACCAACAAGTACCTCAGAGAGATGAAGCCCCATAACATTTCAGCATGAACTCTAGTGAACTTAAAAAAAAAAGAGATAAAAAGTGCATTCATTTTAAATGCATGAAAACATGAGTGGTACAGCACTTATTCTAGTACCACAGACATGAGATGCCCATATTTATAAATCCTTTTTTTGACAATGATTATTTTGAAAACTCAGTTCTATCAACATTTTCATTCTTTCTAATGAGGAAATCCTCCATCAATGTTCACAGAGCATTTATCTATAGTACTTAAAGATTTCCATTTAGCTGACACAACATTATGTAAGGAGATTTTGCAGAAAAGGAGAATAAGATGTAGTAATGCATTTTAGGTGCTCAACAAAATATTTTTGAGTAACCATATGAGCTAACAGAAGGAGAATTTGTTATTTCTAATGAGTTTAGCAATGAATATGTGGGCAGTCAGAGTAAAAACCAGGAGAGAGCTATGACAAGTACTTGACTTCTATGACAAAGTTTTAAAAGTACTGTCACATTTGACACATTATCTCATCCAAGCCTGCGGCAACCTGGCAAAGGCGGTACCATTAATCCTGTTCTACAAGGAAGGAAACTAAGGCAGAGGGGACAAATGACTCATCTTTCCCCACTGCACTGCAGTTGAAAGAAACCAGAAAATAAAATCAGGTTATTTGGTAGGTCCTCAGTAACGAGTCTGAGTCAGGTTCCACTGAAGCTCTTTGAGTAGCCACTTCCAGTGACTATGTGTGTTAAGGAAACTGTTGGCTAAGAAGGGAAGAGATCATTACCAGAGCCAAGAATGGACCCGAGCCAGGAGGAATGTATGGAGCCAAGGAAATAATGCAACACAGCCCCCTTCTTTAGGGAGATGAAACAGAAAAAGTTCAACCTAAAATTCAACCCTTTAGTCACCATTCCAGGCTAAGTTTAAATCACAAGTTTTAAATGTATACTAATATGAGTAGAGACTTGAAGTGATTCTGGGGGAAAACACAACCCAAAACGGTAGTTTTTGAGACAAACACTTAAAGCTATAATGGATACCTAAGATTTTATCCTGAAATGTGAAAAAAAAAAAGGGATATTTATCTCAGAAACAAAAAGGTCAAAACCCTTCAGCTCATCACATAATAAAAGCAAAGTAATGAGGATTAAAATCTGTTCCAATCAACCCTGCAGAAGAAAGAGGATGATATGTTTAGAATCTAAAGAATATGATTTGTACACACAAGCTCAACAGAGAGAGAGAAATGATTCCTGGAGAAATGGCATGTGGTGGACCTATCCACCACTTGAAAAGGGGATGAGAGAATGCATAAAACATCATTTAGGGGGAAATTTTTTAAATGTATTTTATTATCAAACTAATGAACCAAGTGAAAAAATGCAAAGGTATAATGATTTGCAGGAACATCAAGCTCCTACTCAGAATATGGAGTAGCTGGGAGAAGGAGGGTGGCAAAGCAATGTCTGGCAGCATCCGATTCACCAATGGGCTGAGATGCTCTTACTGTTACACCATGCAGCAAACCCAGACATGACAGTTACAGGACAGCAAACTCCTAGAGAACTGTTCAAATTGTTGTGTGTAAAAAATGTTAATGTGCTGGAGACAACAGTGACAATCAATTTCATAAGACCAACTCGTTCCTGCTCTCGCTAAATGAAAAGAAGGAAAGCTAAAGTATGTTTGGGTTTTCTTTTCATTTGTTCTCAAGTTCAGGAAGCACAGAACAGATTTTCGTAGAATCTTGGCTAATTGGACTTACAATCCTGATGTAACTGTATCCCATATAGTCATGCCAATTAAAAACTTCCCAGTCGAGAAGGACTCTTTTCCCCAGGATCTTCATTATATACTTCCAAAACTACATGTAATGTTAACTGTTCTTAGCTTCCCTTTGTGTCTAGGGCACATTTACGGATTGGTTCCCACAGGATTCATCCTGCCAGGTATTCTGTGCATTTTTAATTATTTGTTTCTTATGGTCTTCACAGCTGACAAAGAGGACCATTCATTAAAAGTATAATTTGGAATGGTCACTGAGTCTGATACTCTTCTGCATAGACTGCAAATTAATTCAAACCTTTAGCCAAAGTGGGTTAGGATAAGCTGTCCTTCATCATTTTCTCCTGTTATTTTACACTGAGCAGCTCATGTTAGGGTGTGAAATTTAGGTGTGTTCCCTTTTCTAATAGAGATAACACACACTATCAAATTGGCAAAGATAACAACAACAACAAAAACAAAAAGTGAAAAATCCCAGGTCAGAGGGAAAATGACAAACTAGGCATACACATCTGGTAAGAGCAAATTGGTTATACCCAGAGTGCAGTTTGGCAATCTGCAGCAAAAGCTAAGTCATTTCTCCTAAGAAAATTATTAAGAATGTATACAAACACTCTGTGGCAAAGATTACATAGAAAAGTTAACAATCTAAATACTAAGTGAACTGCAGAATAGCCACAGAGTGGAAAAAGCATGTCATCAGTGATACTGTATGGCCTTGTTTTTTAGCGGGGAGACAACCCATGCCTCTAAGAAAGAGGGAACAGGATATTGTATCCTGGGAGACACAGACCATGAAGAAACCAAATACACATTCCCCACCTTCTTTTCTCTTGAAATACCTAGATCAGTGCTGTCCAATAGAAACAGAATGCAAATCACAAATGCAGCTGACATTTGTAATTTAAAATTTTCTAGCAACCACATTAAAAAAACAGATGAAATTATTTTCAATAATATTTTCAATACAGTATCTCCAAAATATTATCATTTCAACATGTAATGAATATAAAAATATTGAGATGTTTGACTTTTTTTTCCTAAGTATTTGAAATCCAGTGTGTATTTTATACTGCCAGCGTATCTCTATTTGGACTCGCCACATTTCAAGCACTCAATAGCCACATGCGGCTGGTGGCCACTGTGCTGTGTACGCAGATATAGATGTTTATGGGCTGTTGCCTCTTTCACAGTTTAACATTTCCCTTGCCATGGGAAATAGTAGCTTGGCACCATTTAAACCATGGCTAACACAGTTGCAGACTCTGCTTTAGATTGTTTATGGTAGTTGCTTTAAAGTGGGCTCACATTAGGGCAATAATCCAACTTTTGTACTTCTGAAGTTATTTTTCTAACCCTGGGTCTCAGGGAGATAATCACTCACTTTTGGGGTTAATCTCTGAGAATGTCTGAATAGCAAGGCATACTTGAAAAGTCCCAGAAGCATTTTCTTTTCGTTTTTCTTTTTCTTTTCTTTTTTTTTTTTTTTTGAGCCAGAGTCTCGCTCTATCGCCCAGGCTGGAGTGCAATGGCATGATCTCAGCTCAATGCAACCTCCACCTCCTGGGTTCAAGCGATCCTCCTGCCTCAGCCTCCTGAATAGCTGGGATTATAGGTTCATGTCACTGCAGCTGGCTAATTTTTTGTATTTTTAATAAGGCGGGGTTTCACCATGTTGGCCAGGCTGGTCTCGAATTCCTGACCTCAAGTGATCCGCCCCACTCAGCCTCCCAAAGTGCTGGGATTACAGATGTAAGCCATCGTGCCTGGCCCCCAACAACTTTTTCCTTTCAATGTACTTGGTAAGACTAATAAATGGTATAAATTAAGTCTTGTGGCACAGCAGAACATCCTACAATTCTTCCTTCATTCCCAACTCTTAGGGCTTTGAATGAGCTTTAATCATATACTTTGAGTGAAATGAATTATAATATATGACTTGAGAACACACCTCAGAATGGTACATTTGTTTGATGAGCTTCATTTTAAGAAAAAAACTGGGGGGGAGGGGAACCACATATTTATTCACTGCCTAAAAAACAAGAAATTGACTAAATCTGAAGCCAATTGACCCTGCAGATCCGCAGCCTCTACTTGTCTGAGATACCAAAATTTAACCACATGATGTTAGGGGAGCAATCAGGGAAGCCACTAGCTCTTAGGGCACCTTTCTTGCAAATTAGAAAAATGTACCCTGTATGGGAAGGGTCAATCTCTGAAGTACAGGACTTGGTGACTCAGTGTGAGATGGATATCAGCTCCATTCACCCCCGACCAGGCATTCTTGTGCTTGTGCAGGTGACAATGCCCACAATCGTACATGGAATCCTGGGAACAATGTCCCAGTTAGCATACAACAGCAGACACAGGTAGAAAGCTTTGGTGACAGCAGTGAGCTCAGTATGTAGGTTACAGATTTCCTCTGGACATCCCAGTACCAAAAATACCATCCTTATTAAATACTGCAAAATTGGTAACTGTCCTCCTTATGGAAAGGTGAGGCAGAAAATAAAGAATACCAGATTTTCAAAAAGTAAAACTACTGTTATGCATCCAAATTGGAAATTAAAAATTTAAAGCCTAGGGCAGTTCTTAATATGAATAAATATGTGATGAACTTAATGAAAATATTTTCCACAAATCTTTATAAAATATGTAATACATGATTCTGGGAGTGTCCACCACCCAATGATATAACTGAGAAAGTTGGAGTTTGTTGATTGCACACTTTTTCACTCCTCCTTTACTGTAGTGACGAGAGACTATAGAGTACTCAATTTTATGTATACTAGAAAAAAGTTACAGTACATTCTATTGTCTATCTAAATAAGGTCTAGATGAAAGTGCACAATAATGGCATGTCAAGCTCATCTCCCCAACCAAATCTGGTATTCCTTATACATTGGGAAAGCAGTCATCATATCCTGCTTGCTATCTATATATCTTTTTCTCACATATATTTTAATCTTGTTAAGGATAGAAACTGTTTTATTCATTTTTATGTGCTATGCTATCTACCACAACACCTTTGACATAATTGGTGCTAAATAAATGGTGGTTGAATTGATTTTTTAATTTAAAAGACTTAAAAGTTCAAAAAAGAAAAGGTAGTGGCCATAAGACAGAGAAGACAGGGTGTGCACAGAGGAGCCTCTGATAATCACCCACTCAATAGGCAGAAGAGGAGAGTTGAGGAAAGAGAATGAAGCAAACACTATTGGTTCCAGGCCCTATTTGTGCCAGGCACTGGCCAAGGAGCTTTACATATGTTACCTTACTTAATCCTCATCACAGGCATTATAATCCCTACTTTATGAACAGAGAACACTGAGGCCAGGAAGCAAAAGCAAGTTGTCCAGGATCATCCACCTATTACACAGGCAAGCAGGGTTTCATTAGGCCTGCCTGAGCCAAATCACATCTCTCTCCCCAGCGCCCTCAGCACTGGAGGCCAGGCATGGTGGGAGGAGCTGCTGAAGAAAAAGCCAAGAAGCCAGCTGCACAGACTCTGAAGAAAAATTCTATTGCATGTCATCTAACGAGAGAGTTACATTTTCCCTTTTTCCTTTACCTGTAACACAACTCCTTCCAGTCCACTGAAACAAATGTTTTCATTTTGAATAACATGACCATCTCAGCACAAATTCTAAATTGATGAACAAGTTATTTTAATAACATTCAAGATAAAATTCCAGGAAAAAAATATTTTGAGCTCTTATTCCTTTGAAGTTTATGGTAACAATGACTTGTTACTCGTTTTTCCTGTGTTTTGGATGTAGTTGGAAACAAACAGATGTCAAAGCCATGGTGATGCTCTAAATCATTTGTGGTGATCTAAAAGTTCTGGGAAAAGCATCTGTAAATTAATTTTTGCCACGGTGCCAGGAAGTAAAACACAAGAGTGTATTTATTACACACCATGATGTGTCTTTTAAAAAGGTTCTTATTGAAAGGTCCAAAACAGCAAAATGAATATAGTCTATATCTTCCCCATACTGACATACATCTTTACATACGTGTGTGTGAGAGATGCAATTAAAATATATATATATATACACACACATACACATACATACACGTATATATAAAAAACAGCCTTTGCAACCAAAGTAAACCGTTATAAGCTACTGTGAGTAAACACACAGCAACATGTTTTAAAGGTATTTATCTTTGCATTGATGTTTAGATCATTACTGCTCATCAAATGTTCACAATACTCAGAGTGCTATGTAACTCTATGTCCTCATCCTTTAGAAGCCTGTACTGTTCAGGTTCTGATGTCTCAGTCATTCTCACTCTTAGACACACACATAACATGTACAAATCTGTTGCTCTGTTGTGTAGACCTTAAAGGATCAGTTTAGATTAATTTCAGTATTAGCCAATCAACTGTTGAGAGGGCTTCTTCACCAATGGTATTACTTTTTGATTCTTACTTTCTTCTATATACTTTTTAATGTTATTTTTTTCTAATTTTTCATGACCTATGTTACTTTTGACAGAAAATATTAAAACATACTATTTCTTTGCTGTCATTTATTAATGGATCAACCTTATTTAAGGACTATAGGTTAAAATACCTAAAGTAGCCAGATGAGACAATTATTTGAAAACATCTCTAATTCTGCTCAATTCCAGTGACAGCTTTAAAAAGAGACATCTTTGAGTTTATCTTCTTATGGCAGATATGAGACTCTGGAAGACTTTAGAAGGAAGAATTTCTCAAAACATTTTCCCAGGAGGTAGAGGCCCAACACTAGCTTTCGGTTCTCCAAGGTGTAATCTAGTAACAGCAGAAACACGCTAGCATACCTCAGGGTACATGGGGGAAAGGGTGGAACAGAGACCCTAAGGAAACAACAATAGAAATTATAGGGGGCTTGGAGTGTGAGGAACCAACAACACTTGAAAAAGATCTGAGGCAGGTGCAAATTCAAGTAGGAAGAAATGTAGGTAAGAATTTTCTGATATACAACTTATAAAAGATGGGCAAACTGTTACCACCATCCAGAAAAAAAAACCTAGCAAAACAAAGAAAACTTCCTGAGTCTAAAGCTAAATAAATTAGCAGTATTTGTCCATCCATTAATGTTTGTAAAACTTCCAATTTACTTTTTTAGAAAACTGGGATACCCATAGGCATGTTAGTAAACATACAGATTTTTTAACACTTGCTATTGTAAAACTCATGTAAGTCTTAGAGGCATGATCAATACCTTTAAGCCAACTTAAATACCCAACTTTTATAGACAGTGTCATACACCAAATGATGGTTCTGAATCTGGTGACTAAGTACATTTTCACAGTTTACTCTCATTTTCCCCATTTCTCCCCTTTTATAAAATGTTCTTTTAAAAATATTATAAAATTGGTCTTGAAGAATCAGAAAAATTATTAGTTATTTTAGAGCTTAAAAAAATATATGTTTGAGTGGGTGGAGGGATAACGAAAATTTTTTAACAGAACTGGGATGTTGGCTCTGTAAGTATTAAATCCTTTTTACTTAATCATATAATGAAAATTTTTTCATGTCATTAAATATTCCTCCAAAGCAAGATCTGCAATAAATGTTTTAATGAACACACTATAAACTCATTATTTCTGAGTATTTATATTGTTTCCAATGTTTTGGTATTACAAATGACATTGTGATAAACACCCTTTTACTACCATCTTCAGTCCCATAATGACCTTCCCTCTACCAGCACCCATCTCACTGTTCCTGCAGGGTGAGTGACTGTGGCAGAGGAGAGCCCTGAGTCCCGGCACTTTCATCCTGACACTGAAGCTGATTACTTGGTACCACTGTCAATGACAGAAAGTCTCCCTCTTGGTAGCCCAAAAGGGGAAGGGGAATCTCATCTTCACTGTGAGGAGGGGAGAATTCAGAATTCAGGGCCCAGAAAGGAATCAGAACTGAAAAAACAAACCATAAACCACAAGAAAATAAATCTTAATTAGACAGTATCTCAAGGACATTGTCCCTGTTTTTAGGGACTCCTAGAAATGGGTGTTCATAAATAGGGAGGCAATAGGGCAGTTGTGCTGTGCTACCATCTGTTTTATGTTTTAAACTGAACTAGCAAGGTACATTAAAATGTTCAAATAATTTTATCTCACATCTCAATTTCCCTTCCATTTTGAATCTCACAATAAATATTTGTGTTGATAAATGAACCTGGGCAAGACCTAAGGTTGACCTTTCACCTCCAATCTAGTTATATGTTTTAAAACATTTATGACTAAAATTTCGTTTTGCAGTCTTAAAATGTGATCCTAAAACCTAGATGAACTTGCCTGTGAAATCAAATGACAGTAACTTGTTTTTCAAAGGGCTAATTGAGATGTCCTGAATTCTGAGCAGCTGCTTTATTACTGTCATTTACAGAAATTTACCTTAAATATCTGACCCTTCTCCTCATAGAAAATGGCTTCTATTAATACTTGGCATAATATCATTAAACTGGGAGACAAAAATCATCTTCTGAGAAGCATGTGTTTTGAGTATCCAATAATCTAAATCTATGTTCCCATAAAATTTTAAACATAAATAATCTAAGCAGCTATTCACTTGTGTTCCTTACAGTAACTGAAAGATGTAACACATGTAATGCAAAATAAGAAAAGCTTATTTTTAAAAGCCATTATATTTATTTGTTAATAGTGCCAGTGGACTATTTAGAGTATTTAAATGTTCAAACAGTCAAGTCTCCTCTTAAGACTAAGTTAGAGTCACAGCAGAAATAGAGCATATTCTAGAGGTCAGACAGACACTCACTCCACCCGGAAGCAAGCATCCATATCATCTGCTCATGTCAAAGTCCTTAAGAGGCACATATCAAGTTAGCATTTCAGAAAGGAAAATCAACAGACTTTATATATATATATATGTGTGAAAAATGTTAGATTGCCATTACCCCATTACCAGTGAAACTTAGGGATGTCCAAATGATATGTGAAAAAATAATTATTGGCTGGGTGAGGTGGCTCACGCCTGTAATCCCAGCACTTAGGGAGGCCGAGGTGGGCGGATCACGTGAGGTCAGGAGTTTTGAGACCAGACTGGCTAACATGGTGAAATCCCATCTCTACTAAAAATACAAAATACAAAAAAAAAAAAAAAAAAAATAGCCGGGTACGGTGGCAGGCGCTTGTAATCCTAGTTACTTGGGAGGCTGAGGCAGAAGAATCATTTGAACCCGGAAAGCGGAGGTTGCAGTGAGCTGAGATCATGCCATCGCATTCCAGCCTGGGCAACAAGAGTGAGACTGCCTCAAAAACAAACAAAAACAAAAAGAAAGAAAAGAAAAAACAATTATCTCCCATGAACTGGAATAAGGGACCTATGAAGCCACCATGGCATGGAGCTCATGGAAACTTACTGATAAGACAAACTGAGATCCCAGGCAACACTTCCATTACAGACCACATCCAGAAGAAGACCACTGCCAGCTGGGCAAAAAGGCTCACTTCAGTGAAATGCTACACCCAAGGAGGGGCAACTGCAGAGTTCTCAAAGATTCCTCTTTTCACTGAATCTCAGGCAAACAGAATCAGACTTCTAGTGAATATTTCTAAAAATAAAGGCAGAGTGTGCATTACTTGTATGTTCAAAGATGGCTGATTTGCATTTCAGAAATTCTCTTGGAATGTCATAAATTTTTAAAAAATTAAAAACAAGAAGTCTACATTAAAATGACAGACTGATTTTAGTTAGCAATACAGCAGCACTGAGCCACATTTTGCTGTCTTATTGTAGCCAAATTACAGCCATGGCTTTGTCCTGGGTCTGCATATGAAAATGGAACAAGTTCAGTGGGGCCTCCTGTTTCATTATTAAGCCTATCGGATTACTGGTTCTAATTAAGGATCATGTTACTGGCTACCACACAGTTATTAATGTGCATTATTGCCATTATAGGAAGTTCTGACCTCTGCTGTGAGTCACCTGGAGTAAAATTTAATTATCAACCAGAGAAAATGGGAGTAAAGACGATATAAAATGGCTTCTTATGAGGCATCTGTGATTGTAAAATACTATTTTATAGCACTTGTTCTGCCATTAGGAGAATAATTAGAGTGGAGCCCCTTTTTAAAACCTAAAAATAAACTATCCAGAAGGCAAGACCACAATATATTCTATTCTACTTTTGATGCGTTATTAATTTAGCAAATTGCATAATATATTTTTCAAAGTTCAAGAACATGAGCTACAAGAAACTGAATTTACTGAATGAAATTAGGCTAACATTTAAAACAATATCATAGGAATCGCAAATATGTTTTAAATAAACATATTTTCCTATCCTACTCTTTGTTGGCCAAATATAACATCTTCAAAAGATATGAATAAGTTATTTTTCACTGGTGTGCAAGATTAAAGATATGAAAAGTAATTAGGAATCTGAACAACTTGTCATTAGGAAAGCAGCTGCTACCTTTTAAATGGACATTTTCTTTCTTTTAACCTGAAAGTTATATTTTTTAAAAGTCAAGATGAAATCGGTAAAACAACCCACTTCTGATATTTTAATTGTAAAACTAACGATGCCACATAGTCCTCGCAATAGCCAGTAAAGAAGGCAAAAGAGGTAACTTGTAAGCAGCAACTGGGGGGAACAGCAGGTATTACTAAGAAAGACAGTGGTTTATTCCTCTAGAAGTTTTAACCAAGATTAAGCACTTAACTTTCTGAGATACCTTCCGTGGAGCCACACCCAAAGGCAGAAGATGGGCAAATATATTTTTGCATCCCATTCCCTATCTATGATGTTTTGCCTGCCTTGATGAACACTTCATTTTTCTTTTGTTTTTTGTTGTTGTTATTTCTAGAAGTTGTTTCATTCTTAATGAACACTTTAGTCTACGACTCCAACAGTATATGGAAACACCAATGGTTTCTATAAAGGTGTAAATTATTCAAAAGGAGGTCAAATTTTAATTTTCAAGAGCCAAGTGCATGGAAATGGCAAAACATTTACAACTGTGTTCATTTTGCAACTATTTACTGAGTGCCTACTAAGTGTTAGCATTCAGTTCAGACACTAGAGAGAACAGAGAAGAAAACCCATTATTACAGTACAGATGGGTGTTAGGTACCATGAGCTATGGGGGGCTCTGCTGGTTGGGCTTCATATCATCCCACCATTTAGCACAGTGCTGGACACATAGTAGATGCCCAATAAAAGCTTATTAAACTGGACCTAGTATACAATAACTCCCCAGACTAAAAAAGTGACGTATCATCTTTAACTTAAAATATAATGATAAAGATATATTAATAGACATTTCTAGCTATGAGTCTCTTAGGTTTGGTGGTCTACATGATAGGATACATACCTCTATGTATCTCCTACAAATAAGCTTAGAATGTTACTATTTTACGCCTGTTTTACAAGAAAGGACACCAAGTCTCAGGCAAATTTGCCCAAGATTACATGGTAATTTCAGAAGAAATGAAACTGGAAACTCTTTTTCTTCCTATTGTGAAACCCACAATGCTAAGTAGAGTAACTCAGAGGGCACTCGAGTCCTAGAGACTAGTAGACAGAAAAACAAGACAACAGCCCAGAAAAGAGGGCTATACCAGACATTTTCATACCAGAAATGATCAGTTTATAGAGAGCAGCTGAAAATAAAGGTGAGGGAGGAAAGGGTGAGTTACTAACATTTAAAGGCAGGAAGTTAAGCCTATACGGGGAGGCTAGTAGTGTTTCAGGGACCACTGTGGAGTTCAAGTGGCACCTGAAACCGCCCACACCTGATGAAAGTGAGGAGACCTGAAGTAGAGATTAGAAATTCATATTCCATGTAACAGCATTTCTATTTTAAAGATAAAGAAACAGAAACGCAAATATTCAGTGCATTCTTAAAGACTGGCTTGTAAGCAACCCTTGCTGGTAACTGGTAGGTCCAAGGTCCGAAGTCAGGTCATCTGTTTCTAAACTGACTCCAAGTCATATGCTTTGTCTTTTACTTATTCTTTGAGAAGACAGCTCACATAAATCATATCCCTTAAAATCCCATTGAAAAATGTCAGAGAAGTTCCCCATGGGAGGGCAGAATGGGGATAATATTCAGTTTTCCAGTGCTTGTTCTGATTGGCTAGAGTCTGTTTTCTAACTGTTAAATATTTTGATGATCACTTCAGAAGTGGGTGGTGAGTAGTGGGAACAATCTTTCCTTATAACGCTAGATTTAAAACTTAAAGAAGGTTGGATACCACTGTAACAGTCCAGGCTATACAAAGTATGGTGTCAAAATTGGTATTGCAAGCAGACAATGGCTGTTCAGAGTGAAGGAGCGTTAGTAACTTCACTTTTCACTTCCCAGAACCCGGCATAGTAGGCACTCTCAATAATATTTGTTGAATTACTTGATAAACAAATTTTCCCCAAATCTTGGAAGCCTTCTCCGGTCTTTAGGGTTTTCTCAACCACTGAATTTCTCCCAGGTATGCCCCTTCTTAAAAAAACTTTTAGCTAGAGCTTTGGCTCTTGACCTCTTTTGTTCTGGGTCTTTACAGTTATCAGAGATGGGCTGCGATATTACCGACCGTAGGAATGTACTCTTTAACATGAATATGCCAGTCCAGAAGTGATGCTAAAAGTATTTAACTCCTTGTATGACACAAACACTAAGCAAAGTGGGCAGCAGTTCATGGGGTCTCCTGGTGCTGCATGGGGCCCTGGGGCAGCCTGGGCATTCTTTCAGAAGAGTGGCCTGCTTTCCTGTCTTTCTAAGGAGGGATTTTGTTTATCAAAATGGTATAAAATGAGAATTAGAACATATCCTTAAAATAGAGACAAATCACAGAAAATATCCAAATCTCCTTTAAATCCATTTAAAAAGTGAACCTAAATTGATCTGAGTTCTCATGTTGTAAAACTGGAAAAGCTTCCATCATCCGTCCACTCCTCCTGAAGATACATTAACCAATGCAGGAATGGGGTTAGGATGAAGACAGCCAGCAAGCAATAGGTGCTACATATTAATTCTCTCAATGATTAATCCTAAGACTGAATCTTTCAATTGTTTTAAGCCTTCCTAAAACTTAAGACTCTGAAGGCAATGCAATGGAATGGAAAAACTGAAGAACAGAAATTAGCAGTCTTAGACAATAACAAAATCCTCTAAACACTATAGAGTTATGAACAAAATTTCTTAAAGCTACCTTCCAAAATACACCAAAGAAAACCTTATTTTTCATTTGGATTCCCTGATAAATTGAAACTAAATATAATATTACAAGGAAGTTCTGCTCAAAAAGCAAACTTTGAAAAGAATGATTATGAAAGAAACTTCATTGTTTCCTTTTCTAGCAGTACTAAGAAAAAAAGATATTTTCTTATCACCAGTGAAAAAAATAGGTATAAAACCACTGTCAGAGTCTTTCAGCTTTAACTTAAATCATGTAAGAAATGAATATCAGAAAAATGAATGACTTTGAACTAAAGGGGAAAAAAATCCACTTTGAGTATTAATGCAGAGGTGGGACCATGGCTTTTTTCTTTTTTTTCACTAAGGGCCGGCAATTAATTGCTTAGAATGCTAAAGCTGTATTCTATTGCCTCTGTAGATGTACGAATTCAAATGGTTTAAAGTTTCAGTGAAAAATTCAACATAACTGCTCACAAGACATTTCAAACAACTTTACCACCAAAGCAAATACAACCTTGCCAAAACACAAGATTCTCAAACAAATTTTAAGGTAATGGTTATAACACCATACTATGTTTATTTAAACACCATCTTAAACCTTACTTTTATCACCTCTTACAGCATCAGTGTGATATCCAGTGATGTAAGAGACAGCCACAATAATGAATTCCAGTGATGCCAAAGATCAAGTAAGACTACAGAACTGGAAAATTATTCTAAGCAAATGGTGGTGAACACAAGACAGTAGTAGAACTAATCAGTTTTCTCATCGAAGGTCAACAAGTACCAGTATAAACCAGCCCTGAATACTATGGGTGAAATCACCTGAAGGTCTGTCTACCAATTTCTATCTGTGGAAGTTGTCATTTTGAGAATTACATTTTTACTGATCTCTAACACCATACAAAAGTACCTTCATATATATTATGATTCATAACATTTTTAGACTAAGGAATTTTGCTGCACTTCAAGGGCAATGTCTCAAATCTAGCCCAATAACACACCAGTAGAAGCCCTGATATCCTTAATCTTCTGTTTGAATAGAGTGCTTTATTACTTAGTGCTTTCATATTCATTATTTCAATCTTAATTCAGAGTCCATGATTGAGAAATGAGGCTAAAATAAACAGCAACAAATTAAGCACCGTCTAATGCATGGAAAATAGGCAGGAGTGGTATTTCCGAGCTTTGACCATTCTAGAACAGAACAATGGCCTGCACAGTGATTATCTCTAATTTTATTACCGGAAAAAGTTTTCCTAATTGTGATCCAATTAAAGGATGCTATGTATTGCACCTAAAACATAGTGAGAAAGTAAACCATTATATAAATCCACCCCAAGCCAATACTGGATTTATTTTCCCAAAAGAGTATATGCATTTGATATCCCAAATGCTCCCCAACAAGGTATTTTAAAGGTGTCTCATTCAAAATATCCTCTTCACCAGAGGAATGAAAAGTTTCTGGTTGATGTTTTTCATTTACTTACAAGAATAAAAATGACATTTACCCATCTACACATTCAAACATAAATGCTTATGTGCAGGTATGTGTGTATGTGTATTTATGTATGTAGCATGTATACATATTACAGCCTGTCTTGTTTTAGAAAGGACTTAGGGTAGCTTACAAAGAGACATACCCTAGAAGGCAAAGGTAAAAAATCAACAGCAAAGAACACAGGACAAAGGCAAAAATGAGGCAGGAATGAAATGGCTTTCACAGAGGCTGACTGTTTCAAGTGCTTCTCATTGATGGCTGAGCCTGAAGAGCTTGTCTAATGACTATCAACCTGCACTGATCAAATACAGCATATGACCTAGAGATGAAGCACCTGATTGACAAGAAATCTATCATAAGCAGCTCTTCAGCACAAGCATAATTCAATGGTAATTGGTCCTAATGATGAGTCTGGAATGCAAGTGATAAATGTAATGTGAATGATGATAAGAAAATGTATCTCAATGCATCCTATTGCTTTGAAAATTGACGATTCATATAAGACATATAAGGTAAAACTCTATAATCTGAAAACTTGATGAATTAGTATAACTTATTTCTTGACTATACTGGAAGACAGCCCAGTTAATGATTACTTGAGTTTATTAATGTTTTATAGAGGGATATTTAATACCAAAAAATCTGAAACAAGCAAGGTTCCAGGACCTTAGAAAGATGAAGAGAAATCCTTTATTTCTCCTTTTTTGGATCACAGAGCAGAAAGGAATCTGCCAAGAGTTTCAAATAGCTTTCCTCTTGCATGCCCACTCTGATGAGTTACTAGTGGTTGTATTGTATAGGGAAAGATTCCGAGGCTCAGCCAGGCACAGTAGGAAAGAGTATTCTCATCTATTTATTAGCAATTCTGCCAGGAGAGAGGAAATGAGGTGGTACATGGCCACTTGCTTGTTTATTTCTGATCTCTGGTTTAATTTGCTGATGTCACCAATGAAGAGCCAGAGGCTAAAAGTATCTGATTATTTACCACTGCTTAATAGATGTATTTATTCGTAGCCTGCTTCATTACAAAAATGACTTGATGTGTTACAGAAATACACATAACAATAAATAGATGAAAAAAATCCAGGATGATAGAGAAGAATATGTATCATGTGGGAGGATAAAGTTTGTTCTTGTGGCAAATCCTAGAGCCTTCATTTTCAACACAGCCTTTCCCAGCACTGAGTAATCCACATTCACTACATTTTAGTTGCTCATCTCAGAGACAGAAAGAGAGAGAGAGAGAGAGAGAGAGAGAGAAAGGAAGGGAGGGAGGGAGAGAAATATGTACCCCAGGAATAGGTCATGAGTTTGGCTATCAAGATAAAAATGCCTCCGCAATTAGGGATTTGGGCTCATACCCAGCCTTCCTTTGTGCCATATAAAGCAGCATTTTATTCTTTCATTCAAAAATATTTACTGATTTTGCTTATAATAAGCAAAAATAAGCAAATTATACAATATGTTAGGGGATGGTATTATGACAATAGCACAAGCAAAGCGGGGTGGGGGGGTGGAGGGGGGTTGAGATTGAGAATGCCCAGGTGAAGTGGAGGCAGATTACAATTTTTTAAAGGGTGGCTGAAGTAAGCTGATGGAGAAGGTGACATGAGCAAGGTCCTGAAGGATATGAAGGAACAAGTCAGAAGGATCCAGGGGAGGAGCAGTGCAGGCAGAGGAGGAAAACCTGGTGTAAGGCACGTGGAAGGCCTGGTGCACTTAAGAAACACCAAGGAGTCCACTATGGCTGAAGTGAAGTGATGGAGGACAGTAAGGGGAGATAAAGTCAGAGAAGTTATGGGGAGAGGAGGCAGAAAATATAAGGTCTTGTAGCCATCGTAAGACAGCCTGGCAACCGTGTCAGTGTGGCAGCAGCACTCCGAGGACCCTGCTGATGGAAGTTTTAAACACTAACAGCATTACAAGTGGAGAATGGAAGACTGCCTAATCTGCTCCCATCCAAGATCATTTAGGAAGCATCTCCTCATTTCTCCTCAATGTGGTATTAAAATTCTTCTGCCCTGGACATTTGTCAGTGGTGGGACCCATGGAGTACATCTTGGTCTAGCAGTATCAGAGGTCAGAAAAACCATTACATCTGTGTAATAACAATGAGGTACAAATGAACAGCCCTGTAAAGAAATAAAAGCAATCCAGAAAGACTCACAACAGATATATCATTACTGTCTACACAAGCCAAGGAAACGCTGGTACTGTTAGGCAGACATTGAAAGGAAAGCAGGGGAGAGGAGGAAAAGAAAGGAATGAACAACAATGGCATGATGAACTGCTTCCAGAAGAATGTTCCTTCATGCTCAAGGCTGGGAATTTATCAAGAGGTTTATCAGGAACTCAGGTAGAGAATGAAGCAGACGGCTGCATAGTATTCCATGGTGTATATGTGCCACATTTTCTTAATCCAGTCTATCATTGTTGGACATTTGGGTTGGTTCCAAGTCTTTGCTATTGTGAATAGTGCTGCAATAAACAAACGTGTGCATGTGTCTTTATAGCAGCATGATTTAGAATCCTTTGGGTATATACCCAGTAATGGGATGGCTGGGTCAAATGGTATTTCTATTTCTAGATCCTTGAGGAATCGCCACACTGTCTTCCACAATGGTTGAACTAGTTTACAGTCCCACCAACAGTGTAAAAGTGTTCCTATTCGCCATAAAAAAGGATAAGTTCATGTCCTTTGTAGGGACATGGATGAAGCTGGAAACCATCATGCTCAGCAAACTATCTCAAGGACAAAAAACCAAACACCGCATGTTCTCACTCATAGGTGGGAACTGAACAATGAGAACACTTGGACACAGGAAGGGGAACACCACACACCGGGGCCTGTCGTGGGGTAGGGGGAGGGGGGAGGGAATAGCATTAGGAGATATACCTAATGTAAATGACAAGTTAATGGGTGCAGCACACAAACATGGCACATATATACATATGTAACAAACCTGCACATTGTGTACATGTACCCTAGAACTTAAAGTATAATAAATAATAAAAAAAAAAGAGAGAATGAAGCAGATGCATACCTCACAGGAGGTTTAAAAGTCAGAACCAATACTTTTAAATTGTGATTTATTAAGCAGGCAAAATACAGGTAATACAAACCTCTGCATATGAAACACATATCCAGGCAAGTTGCTGAATGTTTCCTGTCTTCAAATAATTAAAGGCGGGGCAATTAATTCAATGCCAAAGTAAATTCCTACCAAGAATGGGTATAAGAAAAATCACATTTTAAAAAACTTTCAACAAAGATGTCAATCAAGCTAAAAGTTGCTAGAAATCATGATTTTGAGTATTTGCTGACTTTAATGTTTACTGACAGTCCAGGAAACTGTTGTGCATCCACTAATTTCTTTGCAGGGCCATTAAGAGAAGGGACCAGATTCTCCTTTCCAATGGAAATGCATTAGATATCCAAAATATCAGCATTCCCAAGTGAGCCACTTTGATAATAAAAATAACGATTGCTATACAAACTGAAAAAAGAAGGTGACTAAGCAATGTTCCTTCTGTGATTTTAAGGGTAGTCAAACAGAGAGCATGAGAAACATTTGCTTCTACCTCTTTCCCCAAAAAGTTTGAGGCTGCTGGCAAAAATATATGCAACACCACAAGACAAAAATAGATATAAAGTTCAAGGTAAGTGAAGAAAAAATCAACCCAGGAGTAGTTTTTCCACAGACACATGAACCTGAAAGTGAGATCCTGCAGAGCTGCTAATGTTGGATGCAAAGCTGACTCATAACTTCTTAGTAGTGAACATAGGGAAATACAACATTACGAAATTGAGTATTCATTAGAGTAAAACCAGGTCCTGGGCTTAAGAGAAGTTCTGTTTTTCCCAGCTCTAATGCCGGAAGGAGCGTCTTCCTGTGGTTCCTCCTAAAAGCCATACTCTATGTGCAATGCACGGTCAAGGGATCACCTGGGGCCCAAGTACTGGAATTCTACAAGGGCAAATAGCTATGTGGTTAATGCACAAGGCTTTCTGATAATATTGCTGCATCCAGGGATAAATGGCACATTCCTTGGAACAGTGGCTACCAAATTAGGCTCTGAAGAAGTACTTTAGGGGTTCCATCAATTTTCCATATGAATATTTTGTATTTAAAGACTTCTTAGCCTTTAAGTACAAAAACAAATAATAGGAAATGCAGGCAAATATATAGCACAACAAATGTTAACTTACTGATGACCACATCTACATTAAGTTGCTTCAAGTGCTGACACTAGACAAATGTATCTCCTGCTATCTCTTTGTATAAGTGAGTCACCGATTAGGAAAGTTGTAACTCTGCGTTGGTATTCTTTTGGAAATTCAAGTCTGCACATGTCCGTTCATATAAAACTGTACAAATGACCTACACATCCATCATGCTCAAACAAATGCCAGGCCAAGAGCAGGTACAACTAGTTGGCACACACCCTCACCATGATCTAATAGACAGCTGTATAATACTAAAGTGCCTACCGCGTTGCATCATGATAAAGTGACATCATTGACTGGTACTGATGCTAAGTTTTGGGTGCTTCTGGTCTGACTTTTATATCTATTATGAGGCACGTGAATAGCTGTATTATTATGAATTCAATGTTGAGGCAAAAAAATTATTTCCAGTTTCTATTAAGATTAATTCAAGGGGATATCAAGACAAAATGAGCTTGTTAAAAATTAAAACCTTTTGCAGCTGCATAAGGATTTTCCAAATGTCATACAACCAAAACAAAATACAGAAATAAATTAGGTATGTTACTGATACTGTTCTGCAACTGTTATCCACATTTTTGAGTTTATCAAAACTGTCTCACTGTTCTCCCTGATAAGTTTATAAATGTAAATTTGTACTTATAAAGCATATAATTAAAAATACCACTTATAAATATTTTTGTATATAGTTTTGTTGAACATTTTTTTAAAACTACACTTGCTGGACTAGTTCTCTTAAACATGTCAGGAGATGCTGATTCTGTCAACCCTTGGAGACTGGGTGGGGCCTGTCACCTCCAGCAATGACCAGCCTCATCCATAGGTGGCAATCCAACATAATCTAATTCAATGCCAATATAACATAATACAAATATTATCCTTTCCTCTGTCTGCCAAGTTGGGAAGCTCTGTGATGAACAAAGAAACTCCAAATCCTTCATACAATTCTTCATAAATCTTATTTCTTCGAAGAGCTTGTGTCAAGACCTGCCCAGTGGAGAGGACAAAGTTAAGTTCTTTGGCAAGAAACTGAAGTACAGATATTTCATCCTCATGATAAAGAGCAGAGTTAAGTGTAACATTCACTTGTGAAAAGTAAAGTGGCAAATCAAGAAGAGTGGATATTTCAGGAGATATGGACTCTTTTCCCAAGCCTGCCCCTTCCTAGTTTTGTGACTCCAAAAAGGTCATTTAACCTTCCCTGAGCCTCAGCTTTTTCAGTTATAACATAAAAAGACGAAATCAAGCTCTCAACTGGGATTGACCATTAGAAGCTTTAAAAAAGCTTCCCAGTAGCAGTAACATTAATACATGCCAAAAGTGTTCAGAGCACTTGACATTAACCCACTTAGTCCCTACAAGAACCCTACGTTGCAGATATTATGATTATCCCGACTTTATAGGTAAGGAAACTGGGGCACAGAGAGGTTGAGAAATTTGCTCAAACAAGAGGCGGGGCCAGGTGGAAAGCTCTGAGCCTGTGCTCTTTAGTATAAGTGCCTGTTATGCTGTTTCTCCATTAAGTATCTCTCTGTCTTCTGACTCCTGAATCTATAGAAGGACCTGACATGTAAATTTTGATTCTGGTGCGTGTTCCTCGTTAACAGCCACTTGACTAGAAGAGATGTAAAGTTCTGTAATTCAGACTAGAGATGAAAAAAGTTCAATAAACTTTTTAATTAAATAAATGCTCAAATTCTTGTGCCTCAAAAATCAGAGCCAAAATTAAATAAGTATGGCTTTTAAAAGGTAATTGCATGCTGTCAAACTTAAACTAAGGGTAATGAATAGGGGTGGTGGAGGAAAATCTAAGAAACAAAATATTATCTAGCCAGCTACACAGGGGCATTGAAATAGGTTAAGCATTGGAGCAAAAGCTATGCCTCATATTAAGGGACAGTGAAAACAATTCCACAATTTATGGCCTGGCTTTGAAGGTGAAGATGAAACACTTTGGAAGCCCACTTGGAAAGCATCAGTGCTCCTGTCCAAATGGGCTAGCAGGCCCAATTTGTTTCGAGGACCACAAATGAATGTCTCTTTGTTTCATCTTTAAAGAACTAGTCCTTATGCTGCAGGAAAGTGTCCTTTGTAAATCTGGAAATCTAAAGCTGTACATGCAAATGCTGATACTCAAACACATGCTGATCTCCCATGCAGATTCCTTTATTAACATGTGACACTTAACAGAGGCAAGAAGATGCTATGGCACAAAGAAAAAATGAGGGAGACAAGTGGTCCTGGCCCCTTAAGCAATTTAGACAAGCGTTAAGTCTGGCATGGCCAAGTTAGTAAGCGCATAGACAGGCAAGAGGAGAGAAAGTCCATGTGCCCTGGCAGCACCATAAACTTGGTCAGGATTGTTTGTGCTGTGAGTCTACTTTCTCGCTAATTCTAGATACACCATTTATGGAAACTCATCTTCCTTTCCTCCCACTCAGTTCCACGGCTCTCTCACGAAATTTCGTCTCAAAAGTCTCCAGTTTGAAGTCAAACAATTCTAATCAAGGGAGTTGCAAACACTTTATTAAATAAAAAACAACTTTTCAAATAATTTATACACCTAAAACAAAGTATAAACATCTAAGAAAATAATTAAGTATTGGAGATCACTGCTGACCATACAGGCTATCTCGACTGAGAGTTTCGAATCCACTATAAATAATCAGTGAGTAATAAACAAACAGAACACCTGTTTCAGCTGACAGAATGTTTAATTACTAGTCTCTCTTCTGCACTGAAGATTCAACAGCCTGGAATTCATGCATTACTTCTTTCTGTTTAATAGCCACACCAAAAGTACACTAACTCATAAAGCAAACAGGCACTCAATTTGCAGTTTCCCCTGAGAGTAGATGAGAATTTCCAGGTAAGAATAAAAACAAACTCTTTCTCCTGATCCCTATATTTGTTAATGATATCAAATTCCCAGTTTCTTAAGACTCCAAATCTTATACTCATCTTTGAACCACATTCTTCCTCTACCCTCCCTCTGGCCCACATTCTATCAAGGACAAACCTTGGGGCAGCATGTATCACCCACCTTCTCAGTGAAGTACAAGTCCTCTTCTGGTGTTAAAGATTCCCCCCATCATGGCATCAGTGAATACCAGACAGGGCAGGTAGGCAAGCTAGTCCTGTCTTCAGTGCTGGGGTGGGGCTGCCTAGCTCATCCTGAAGATTCATTCAAATGCCAAACTTTGCCTGATGCCCCCCATCACATGCAATCACTCCCTACTTTGTAATCTCAGTAGTAACTTTCTATCTCTCACATTCTGATCTACATTATGTGTGAAGTTCATTTTCTACACCTCCTTAAAGGTGGAAAATGTCTCAGTGCAGTATCTAGAAAAATCACTGGCATAATGTCTAATAAATATTTGTTAAATTACAAAAAAAATGGGATTCACCATTCACTTCTCCCCGAAGTGTCTTGATCTTATGTTTTAATCAGATTTATACTTACAGCAAAACTATAATGTTCTTATATGCCCATTATTTTCTAAAGCAGTATTAGGACTTGTAAGACAGTGACCCCTAAAAAATTGTTTCTTTTCATATATGCACAAACCCTCTCAGGCGCCTAGCAAATGACAAGTTGGATACCTTCTCTATGCTGTGTAATCTTGGGGAGCTGCACATTAGACAGCTAACCAGGAGCTGAGTTTCATATGACCAGCTATGCTAAAAGGGATTATTTTGCTAGATGTCAGGAAAGACAGGTTCCTCCTCTATCCTCCTGCCTTTATTTTGAGTTTTTTATTTTATTGGCTATTCAAGTGGACATAAGAAAAGGTGCTTTTTCTAATAAAATCTTGTTAAATCTATCATGGCCCAATATCTCTTAGGGTCCTGGAGAAATTAGTCTATTGTAGTTTGTGGTGCTGATGAGGAAGCAAGGGTGCTGATGAGGTAAAGAGGAAGTTAATAAAGTAGCATTCAGGGTACACTTGGAGAGGCAGAAAGCACAGTGGTTCAGAGGATGAGCTCTGGAGTCAGACTGTCCATTCTTAAGTTCTGGCTCCACCATTATCAGCTGTATTATCCTAAGCAATAAGAAAAAGAAATATCTTTCAACTTCATTTTGTTCTTCCTCCATGTTATGAAGCAGCAAGAAGGCCCTCACCTGATGCCAACATCATGCTCTTGGACTTTCCAGCCTCCAGAACCATAGCCAAATTAACTTCTTTCCTTTATAAATTACCTAATTTGTGGTATTCTATTATAGCAGCAGATAACAGACTAAGACAGAAAATTAGAGATGATAATTTTGCTCATAAAACTCTTCTAAGGGTTAAATAATAAAATACTTGGCATAGTTATCGGGAGACAACAAGCATTAGACAATTTTTGGCTGCTAGCATTATTTAGATGTTTACACATTACACAGAATTTTTTTTCACATGCATTTATTATGAACTAAAGATGAAGGGAAAAGTTATACATTTCTGAGATTCAACAGTAACTCAATAAGGAAATTCTACATAAAACCAAGCACAACTGCCAAATAAAGATTTTAGAGGCTTTTATTCCTGATGACAGTACTTTCACCTTCGTATAATGGTTAAATATCCCCAAGCTGCTGCTACAGAAATCCAAGGCTCATATAAAGGAACAAGGAAAGGATGTAAATACTATCTTCAATCACAGAGAAGGAAAGGGTGATTTTTAAAAAAATTCTTATGGTTATGATAATTATTTCCAGTGCCGGCTCCCCAATTAACTTCTGCTAAGGCTGATATTAAAACGGGTTTGCCAACAGCTTGTGTGCAGTATTTGGGCATTAGAAGACAGAATGGCTCTTTATCATGCCTAGGAGTAACAAAAAGATACCCTAAAGAAAAAGGTCAACTGACAATAACGAAGATTGGCTAAATTTCTAAATATCCATGCTTACCAGCAGATTTTATACTAAGGATACATTAGAAAATAGACATAACTGAGATTTTCTGTCAAAATATCAAATGCATGTATGAAGTAGGTACTTGGTAATAATTAATATTTGAGGTTTCAACAACTCAGGATGACATTAAAATTCCCTGACGTGCAGTTATGCTTAATACTGCAACAGCACACATTTGAATTGTGGATACTCTCACAGAGGAGAGCACGTTATGAAGCCAGTGAAGAAGCATAGCCCATTACCTAAGGTCCATATTTCAATAAGGTTTTGTTCTAATTGTGTACACAGCAATTTTCAAGAGGGGATTAAACACTGTGTTAATTTTTGAAAACTGCCACCCCCTAAGAAGACAAACCGACTGACAGTTCTAATGATAAAATCGAAGAAAGTATACACAGAGGTATGAGATGGTTCTCTATTGGGAAGCAGGTATTTATTTCATGGGATTTTCTTTTTCTGTGATGCTAAAATTATTTCTGTGAAATCTGGGGATTTCCAAAAGTCTTCAGACTACATACCTTGGTATGTCAAAGAAGTACTGTACATAAAGTATTACTTAAAGTGCCAACAATCTTCTAAACCAAGAGAAGTAATGATGCAACTAACATGAAAAAGAAAAGGATTCTATATTTCGCTTACCCAAGAGATGAATGGGAAGAAGATTCAGTTAATTACACAATTGCTCTTAAGCTCTCAACTCTGCTTTGGTGTCCATTTATTGGGCAGGGGACGGGGGATGATTGCGAAGGTTCTGTGTTTTGCTCAGTCTCAAATGCATCATGTGTTAAACTCTTCAACATGGAACCTTACTGGAATACTGTCCATGATGAGAGAATTGAGTTACAATCAGTGACTCAACATTTTGACTTAGCAGATTGGCATTCCTTTTTACGATGGGACAAATTCTGTAAACTGCACATCGTATAGATCACACTTTTCAGCAAAATGCTCAAGTTCCTTGGTCTAAGCCCTCATTGTGTCATTTATTATGTGTCATCCTATTATGCTAGCAATAACAGAAGCAAGCCAAGTTCCAGAAAATACTGTTATTAATATTTTATGTATGGAGAATCTTCTAGATCAATGAATAAAGAACTTGAGAAGATAAAAATGAGTTGTTTTCTGGAACAAAAACATTTGGAAATCAAAAGAAATCCTATGATTTATAAAACAAAATTTGTAAATGGGTGCAAGAAGCTATATAATAGTAATAGACACAAAAATGGAATGCATTTTCTATAAGTAACTGCAGAAAACTCATCACTTTAACCCAATTTTCACTTTTTGGGAAGACTAAAACATTTTTTACCAGTCAATAAAGATTAGTTTTTATTTTTTTAATTTTTAAAGGACACACTTAATGAGAGAAGAACTATTTGCCCACAACCCTATGTTTTTGTTTACTTTTATTTTTCTTTCCTCGACCCTCAAAGAAATATAAGAAATAAAAATTCACTAGATACAGATTTCAGTAGCTTTGTAAAATACCATTTTAAAAAAAACAGAAAATTCAAACAACTACAATACAATATAATATAGCTCAATATGTCCTAATCTCAATTATCTGAGATGTAGTAGCTACCAAAGAAAAAATCATCTGTGGATATTTTATTGTAATGCCTGTGAGTTAAATACACCATAACCACTATCACCATCACCAGCAGTAAGACAGTTCTTCAATTTGCTTGGAAGATAACACATAAAGGGTAAATTATATCTTAAAGAGAAGCTATTTCCTTATATTAGCCTCTAATTTAACCCTACACGAAGAGCTTCGGGTTTCTAAGACTCAGAGGCGTTGCTTTAGAATGATGCCGAATGCAGGCAATGAAACCTTTGGTCTATGTCTGTCACATCTGCATAGCAATCTGAATACTCCTGTGTAGAATACATGTGAAGCATGTGTGTCTCTTTCTTTCTAAAATAAATGTAATAACTAAGGGTATGTTCAGGCTTTTTGGACTGAGTCAAGTCATTTGACCTTGGGTCCCCTAACTCAAAATTCTCTCTTCAATTTAAAAGTGAGAACTGAGTCCCTCCTGGGTGGAATGATTTTCCTACCTCATCATAGGATCATTCTTTTGTATTGAAAATAAGGGCTCTCCTATTTCAGGTAATTTCTATACATTCCAAAGGATTTCCTATTTACATAGAGATTTCAAAACACTGGGTCTGTTGGGCCCATTGCTCCTTTCAGAGTAAATGTTGAAGGTAACTTCATAATAGGGTAAAAGCTGATTAAGCATCAAAAAACTATTTAATTTATTAGAATGCCTTCACTTTCAAATTTTACCCTAAAGGTAGCCTAATCATTTTGTAATAAAAGCGATGATTATTTAATTTCAGGGTGGAGAGAAAACATCTTTTAGCAGATGGATTGCTTAAGAAATCTTAGTATTACAGAGATCAATGGAGATGTACAAATAATGAATATAACCATTTCAAGTTGTCCTTCTCCTGTTAGTTGCCCTAATTTCTTATGACAGTAAGAATAACTTAAAATATTCTTTTAAATCCCAGCTACTTGGGAGGCTGAGGCAGGAGAATCGCTTGAACCCGGGAGACAGAGGTTGCAGTGAGCTGATCACACCACTGCACTCCAGCCTAGGCAACAGAGTGAGACTCTGTCTCAAAAAATAATTTAAATCAGCATTCAACAAACTAGCTAGTGGTTTCAGAAAAGCAAGTGGTTCATTGGGCCCTATTTGTAGATAACAAAAATAAAAGCATGGTCAAATCTGGGGAACACAGGGAGATGCTGGAGTTTTGGGACTAAGAGAGAACCACTAAAAGTCGGTGCCTTTCATGTGTGCTCTCTCCCAGTTAATGCAACTAGAGGCTTCCCTCTCACCTATGAGAGTCCTTGCCTTCTCCAATCCACTCTTCCTACTTTTGTCAAAATTAGCATCTGAGAGAGACAGAAAGAAAGGAGAGAAATTCATTATGCTACTCTTCTACTCCAACAGCTAACTTTTTCTCTGTAACTAAAGAATAAACTCCAAACTAAAATGTTAGCGTTAACTGTCTTAGTCAAGATGCTAACAATATGCCCCCAACCTACACCTCCAGCCTCATATTCCTTTACACCCACTGACACCCCGTCATGGGAACCCCGGGTAACTAACAACTGCCGAGTGCCAGCTCTGCACCAAGAAGCCCTTTCTGTGCCTTTTTAAACATCCAAGGGTTCTCACACCTCTTGGGCACTTCTTGATGCCTGGAGGATACTATTGCTTTCACCCTTCATGAAATTTTTGTTGTCCTTTAAGACTGAGATGTCATCTCCTTCCTGAAAGCTACCCCAATTCCTTCACATCAAGGTTAGCTTTCTTCTGGCTTCTCCCAGTACACCACATTGATGATAATACTATCCTGTCTCTCTGCTGACCTGTCTTGCTTTACTGTTTCACCTTTTAAGATCTGTGCTGTGTTCAAAAGCACAAGGAAAACTTACAGAGAAAATAAAACATAGGGACAGAAAATAAATATGTATTGAATATTATAAATGAGGAAACAGATTACATTTCAAAAATATTTCATTTTAAATAGTAACAGGCTATCATATCATAAGCTAGATTTAATTTCACATTTCTATTAAAGTCATATGTTTTACTGCACTTGGAAACAAGTTAAAAATTTACTGAATCAAGAATTGGTTTAGGAATGAAGGAAGGGCTGTCTGTAAAAGACGCAAAGAGTAGAGATTTTTCTTTTAATATCAAGTCACTGGTTTTTCCATTAAAATAAGTTACTGCTACACTGAGTTATCTAGAACTCTGCATATGATGTCAATACCACAGCAACCTTTAAGATACCCGGCCTTGGCCAACAGAGACTCTCAGACATTTACTCCACTACAAATCAGGGAGAGCCATTACCAAATCTTGCACACCTATGCTATTTGTAAATCTTTAAAAAAGGCTGGACATAATGGAATATTTCACATGCCACAGTAATTATTATGATGAGCAATAATCAGGGGTGGGTAGCATGTGGCTGCAACAATTCTTCTGCAAACACAGGCATATCTCAGAGACATTGCAGGTTTGGTTCCAGACCGCTGCCATACAGCGAGTATTGCAATAAAACAAGTCAAACGAATTTTTTTGTTTCCCAAGCATATGTAAAAGTTATGTTTACACTATATTGTAGCTTATTATGTAATAACATTATGTCTAAAAAAGCCCGGTGTGCATACCGTAATTTAAAAATACTTTATTAGCCAGGCACAGTGGTGCACACCTGTAACTCCAGCTACTCAGAAGGCTGAGGCAGAATCACTTGAGCCCAGGAGTTCAAGGCTGCAGTGCACTACAATCATGCTTGAGAATAGCCACTGCACGCCAGCCTGGGCAACACAGTGAGACCCCAATCTCTTAAAAAATATTTTATTATAAAAAAGTGTTAACAATCATCTGAGCTTTCAGCCTAAGTTGTAACCTTTTCATTGGTTAAGGATTTTGCCTTGCTGCTGATGGCTGCTGACTGATCAGAGTGGTGGCGGCTGAAGGATGGGATAGCTGTGGCAATTTCTTAAAATAAGACAACAATGAAGATTGCTGCATCAATGGACTCTTCCTTTCATGAAAGATTTCTCTATAGCATGCAATGCTGTTTCATAGCATTGAAGAGAGAAGGCTCACTTCTCTCAGCCTTCACAGAGTTAAAGAATTAGGGTCTTGCTCTGGATTAGGCTTTGGCTTAAGGGAATGTTGTAGGTGGTTTGATCTCCTATTCAGATCACTCAAATTTTCTCCACATCAGCAATAAGGACGTTTTGCTTTCTTATTCATTTGTTCACTGGAGTGGCACTCTGAATTTCCTTCAACTTTTCCTTTGCGGGCTGTTTGGTGCAAGAGACCTAGCTTTCGGCCTGTCTCGGCATTTGGCATGCCTTTCTCACTAAGCTTAATTTTGATTTTAAAAGGTTTTAATTTAAAGTGATAGATGGGAGATTCTTCCTTTCACTTGAACACTTGGAGGCCACTGCAGGGCTATTATTTGGCCTAATTTCAATATTATATCTCAGAGAAAAATGGAGGAGAAGGAGACAGAAGGGGAATGACCAGCCAGTGGAGCAGTCAGAACACACATAACATTTATTGATTAAGTCCTATATGGGAATGGTTTGTGGTGCCCCAAAACAATGAACATTAAAGATCACTAATCACAGATCACCACAACAGACATAATAATGATGAAGAAATCTGAAATATAGTGAAAATTACCAAAATGTGACGCAGAGACATAAAGTGAGCATATGCTATTGGAAAAATGCCAATAGACTTGCCCAATGCAGGGTTGCTACAAACCTTCAATTTGTATTTTTTTTTAAAAGCAGTATCTGCAAAGCACAGTAAAACGAGGTATGCCTGTACCCCTTCCTCCCAAAAAAAAAGCCTCAAGGAAGAGGAGGTTGGAGGTTATGTTAGCATTAAGCTACTTCCCTGGCTTTCTCAGCTTTCAAAATCAAAATCTGGTAGAGCTTCTTCCTCCTTTGTTTTAAATGTACAATTCAATATAAATTAAGCTTATTCTAGCAGAATTTCAAGGATGGAAGAAACAAGAGATACTAATATTTGTTCAGAGACAATTGTGTTGTAGGCTCTGGACCAGCTCTTTTACTTACATTATTTGATTTAATGCTTATCACAATTTTTGATAATAGCGTTATTTGACCTATTTTACAGTCTGTTGACTGAGAATTCAGAACTTGCCTAGCACTTTTAGGTAACTCTGGGATACCAAACCCAGCAATCCTGACTACAACGCTTTTGTAGTCTGGGTGACAAATCTGTTTAAGATGATACGCTGTTAGCATCATGTACTGTCACAGACATGTGGCTAAGTAATGTAACAGGCACTTGGAGAACAGAACTATATGGAAATAAGATGCTGATTATGAGCTGGCAATACATAAAAATTTAGAAATAAAGAGGAGAGTTACTGGTGTGGTCCAAGCACAAAGGAGGCAAACAGCGTTTGGACCTGGCCTTGCTGAATAGAGATGGGGAGGGGAGGCACCGGATGGGAGGTAGTAGAGGAGCAAATGGTTCTCCTGTCACACTGTAGGGAGGGAGGAGTCAGCCGGTTCTTCTGGTAGGGAGAAGAAGGAAGAAGGGCTGGAGAAGAAGGAAGAAGGGCCAAAGAAGAATCCACAAAACTTAGTGACAAAGGGACAAAGAGAAGGAGCTGCTGACTCCTAAAGCTTTCCTAAAGCTTCATGTTTAAGAAAGTAAATTTGGAAAAGAGACAGTGTTGAGAGAAAGGATATTTTGAATTTGAGGTTGAGTATGAGGTAAAAATAAAACAAATAAAATATTCAAATGGAAAATGTGCAGGAAAGTAGAAAGAGTGGAGAATAACCCTATCAGAGGATGGGACTATGGAGGAGGCAGCCAAGAAAACAGAAACCAGAAGGGCAGAGAGTTGAGCAGGAGAGGGATGAGAGTGAAAAAAAAAGCTAGGGAAAATAAGAGATATTTAAGATGCTAGTGCAGTTTCAGTTGAAAGTCTGAAGGCAAAATAAAAATGGCTAAGATGTCAAGAAAATGGACACAACATGAGCCCTCAATTCATCCATCTAAACAGTCTGCCTGAGAAGTCTCAATGAGAGAAATATTGCATTGGCAAATATTTATATGACAAATAGACCACACAGATAAGCACGGTCAAGCAGAGTGTTTGTTTGGCTTGATTTCAGAGAAGGAAGAGAATTAGGCCAAGGGATAGTAGATGAATCCTTTTGGCTACCTGGATTGTTCCATTTCCTGAACTTGCTGGTTAACTGTACTGATATCTTCTTTGTGAATAGATAACCTCTTAGAAATAGGGAGCAAAGTTGCAGCAGCCTACAGCAGTCAAGGTTCCAAGATTCCTCGTACGTGTTTCACAATTTAGAAGTTAACTAGAGCTGGTTGACATCTTTCATTAAATGTTTCTAGGAAATTTATCTCTTTTCAATCCAGATTACCTGACAGCACTGTCACCACCCTGTATCAGGAACTTAGGCTAGTTGGCTTCCAGTCTGAGCTCCTACCCCACATGCCTCCTCCTCTTAGCCAGGGTGATCTACACTTTCCAGGGTCATGACTCCCTCTTTCGAGTCTGGGTGGGGCTGCCTTTCCCTGTCATCTCAATATCACAACATCTGCTTTTCCACTGTAACCGCCTCTAACATTACAGCATCTCTATGTTCTACTTCAAACACAGTTTTTAAAAAATATTTTTTGTTTTCCTCTCTAGTTTTTAAAATCTTCATGTCATACTTGCCTTTGGACTTCATGCACTGTTTGTATGGAACTGGGCCACCATGATAAACATTCCTGGCTTGTCCCCATCTTTCTGTTAAATAATCCTCTAAAATATCCAAGCCCCCTGCAGAGCCAAATCATTTGTTTCCTTCGTTACCCCCCTAATTCAGCCTCACCAGGTCAATTTGTAATTACAGTGCTAAATTTTTAGTTCTAAGTATTTCTTTTCTTTTTTAGAGGTATGGATTTATATCTTTTTTTCTGAGATGTTTCTGATACCTACTTTTCTAAAAATCTCTAATTATGTCCAGTGGTTTTTTAAGCTCTAGCATGAGTCCCTTCCTCATAAGGTTCTTGTCACTTCTATGTCACCAACTAGCTCTTCTTTATTGGAAACAATTAAGTTCAGAACAGGAATGCTCTTTTGTGCTTTCTCTACATTCTAAGGCACGAAACTCTCAGCAAGTCAAATTTGGTATTTACTAGATTCTCTGTGTTAAATGGAATGAAGTTTCCAGCAAATTTTGAGATAGACTCTTCTGTTATTGTTATGTTTTGCCTCTGCATGGTACATATCAAGAAGACTATTATCAGACTTCAGTATAAAACCTGGGATTGTACAAGAGCCTTCCTTTGCAAGTGACGGGAGAGAGTGAGGGCTGCAAAGCGTTATTGCTGCTATTGATAATAGCAAGGAGAGTAATGTTTACACACGTTAAGAAAATCCATACATGTCAAAGAGAACAACAAAAAAGAAATGAATATTCTAGGAAAAATGATAAAATGTTCTTCTGCCACATTTGTAATATGATTCAGTTCAATAAAAAAATTACTGACTCAATTTTTCAAGTACATATTTACTGTATATAAAACATGGCATTACTCCAGTATTTTAGGGTTAACTGTCTCCTTGACATCAAAACTCACCCTACATAATTCAACACTAGCTGAAGAACAATTTGTTTTTTGAATTCCTCTCCTCTTCTCTTACACCTCATGAATTTGAGAGTTACGTCCATTCTTCTGCTTCTTACAGTCATATTTTTAGTTCCTTAGACTTTATGGTGCTCTTATCTACCTGTAATTACGCTGCAAAAACATAAGACAACGCCACTGAAAGGCCAGCAGCAGAGGAGATAGCAAAAGGCTTATTTGTGGTCTTGAACAGCTGCAATAGGGCAGGGCGTGCCTGGCAGGGTTCCCTCTGCCTCCAGCCAGCAATGACAAACCCCAAGAGCTGGGCTTGCTTTCACAGCAGTCGCTAGTGCAGGACATTATTTCACTGCCCCAAAAGCCAAGGACTGGAGTCAAAGTCCACAAGGGCTGATCAAAAAGGGGGACATGAGAAAAACACAGGGAGAGTGCTGGGAGGGATGGCCTTCTAGAAAGTTCTCCAGATCCTGAAGAGCAACCACCTGCTGTCCCACCCCTCCCCTTTCAAAACAAACACAGCACAACAACCATCACTCCTTCCCCCACCCATGGAAGGCCAGATGTTACTTTTAGTTCCAGTTTGGAAATAACTGACCAAGTTAGTTTTGAATTTTTTTTTCTTAAAAAAATAAGAAGTAATGAATCTGGATTTTGACCAGGAAAAGAGAAATGAGATGTTATCAGTCAGATGTTTTGAAATTCAGGTAATAGGAAACATTCTCTAGCAAAAGTCTTCTATTGCAGTTATGCAAAATTCTCTCTTTAAGGGACCATTATTGTCTTAGGATAAATAAAAAGTACGCTTATATGTGTAGGCTTTTCTAGCTCGATGCAATTTGATGCTTTCAGTCCTTACACAATGATCTTTGCACTATACAGTGCTTCTGGCTCCTTGTTTTAAAATTAGTGCTTTCTTACTTAGTGAGTTAGTGTAATTGCAGCAAAGAAGCACATTTATATTCTATTCATTGACAACATTAGCATATAATGCAAATTTACTTTGGAACTTTATGCACATGCACACATCCCTTCAGAACACTCTGAAAGGGCAGAATTGAGTTCTTATTCCTAAAGTGATGAGGGTGTACAATCCAGACCACAAAACTATGGATGCTAATGGGGACAGACTAATATGGTCCCAGCTGGAATTAAGAGCTTACAGTCAGTATGACGTTAGATGGTTAACAATCTTTCTGACAAACAATGATAGCTAAAGTTCCTCTCATAGGATAGACCGGCCCTCAGAGGTGCATCCACAAAAAATGAGAACTCCTGAAAAATATCTAGCCATAAGTTTTTTTTAAAAAAATTCATATTTTACTTCTCATATGCCCATAAAGTCAAATTCTATTGAGAAAATGCTCCAATTCATTTTGATATGTAGCCAGTCTGATGATGTTAATATTGACTCAAAAAGTATTTAAGAAGTTAAAACTTGAAACCCATTTTATTGTTGTGACACTGAGAGTCCACAGATACTTCTTATAAACTTCTCTTATAATGCAGTATATATCACTCTATAATATGATCAAGAAAATACTTAGCAGCTAAAATAATAGGAACAACTACTACTTACGGTTGACAGAGCTTCACCAGGTCCTGGTCGGTGGTGTGGGGAGGCAGTCCTCGGATATAGAGGTTCGTTTTGCTGAGCTGATCCCATCCTGAGTTGCTACTGCTGCTACTGTTGTTATTACTGCTGGTGGTGCTGGGACTGGGAGGGGCCATGGGGTGGGCTGGGACCAGAGACTGCTGGAAAACAAAGATCAGGAGCCTTAGTATGCTAGCATTAGGAGGCTGACACCAAATAAAATGAAGTTACCAAGATTTAAATATAGATTACTTTAAGCTACTTTGAGTTATAAATTTTAATTTACACTTTAAAAAAGGTCTGTTCATGCTACTTTAAAAAAGCCCTCTCCTTCAACATAAAATTGATAATAGGGTTTACTAAGTAAAAGTTCTCTATGTGCACCTTAAATGTGACTAAATTTATGTAACATTAATTTATTCACACATTTTTCAGGAACACATCTGAGACTCAAAACGTGCATGAAGTTAGATGATACCATCTTAATACACAGTAATTTAGAAATCACTAGACTTTTGAAAAGGTTTTCAAATTCTGAAGAACGTTTGATTGAAAGTTGCTTAAAATTTTATTAGGATGACTCTTAAAAAAAATTACTTCTCAAGTACAAGAAAGTTAGAGTTTAATCCAGATACTCCAATAAGGACGATCTCACCTAGTTCTAAGACAGGCACACGACTTCATTGAGACATCTGGGTAAGATTCCCAGGCAGGCTGCCTTTCGCTCTGGCTAACCTTGTGAAATTTAACCCCTGTGAGAATGGTGTCCAAGCTGGAAAACTTCCCAGCTTGCAGCACCCACCACAACTCAAAGTAAAGCCTGCAACCAAAGGACTCAGTGTGGTTTTACAGTCGGCAGCCACCTAGGAAGAATGTCTGAAATTGTACTCATACCAGATAATTCTCTGTGCACCGACTGAAAGAAACCACAGTTCTCTGACCCAGTGCCACACACATGACTTTGAGGAAGTTAAATGGCTCAGCTTGAGACAAAAGGGCACGTAACCCCAAGTGTCCTCACAGCAAACGCGCAGCAATTTCACACCAGGACAGGGACGTTTTTTCACCTCACATTTTCTAAATCATAAATATACTGTACTAACTCAAGGACATCACTCATGAACAGTTTGAACATCCAAAATTAAATAGTCACTAGACAGTCAAAAGGTTCAAATCTCATGGCTTGGTTTTTACCAGCACAAACAAGAAAGTCAGGCATGTCTATAGGAGACAAATCAAATCCCACAGTGGAAAGTTGGAGAAGCAGACCCCTTACAATAAGCATATCCTCATTTACCTTGTCACCAACCTCCGTTGCCCACTATAGATTCCTAGTTTTGTACCCAGCTTCTGCCATGGTCATCCTAATTCCATAATATCTCAACATATGGGGATCTCATTAATTTATTTTTATTTTTTATTATTTGAGATGGAGTCTCGCTCTGTCACCCAGGCTGGAGTGCAGTGGTGCAATCTCGGCTCACCGGAACCCTCCACCTCCCGGTTTCCAGTGATTCTCTTGCCTCAGCCTCCTGAGGAGCTGGGATTACAGACGCACAACACCATGCCTGGCTAATTTTTGTATTTTTAGTAGAGACAGGGTTTCACCATGTTGACCTGGCTGGTCTTGAACTCCAGACCTCAGGTGATCCGCTCAACTCGGTTTCCCAAAGTGCTGGGATTACAGGCATGAGCCATCGTGCCTGGCCCCATTAATTTAGATATGTTACCATTTTTTCTGGTCCTATATCCTTCAGATTCTTCCTTCCACTGCCCAGGTTCCTTGCTGAGATATCATCTGAGTCCAAACACCACTTTATTTAAAGAGATTCTCTTTTAGAAGGAGAGCAGCAAAGGGTCAATAATAGTCAATGCAGAAATGCTATTCACTGAAGGCTGAACTTGAACTGGGAACATCGGTATTGCTTAATCCCAAAATAAAAGCAGCCTGAGATCATATCCTACCAAATCTATTTGATTCATGCCCTTAATGAGCAGCTGAACTCATATCCTTTCTCCAAACCACTAGTTTTTCTCTAGGGGCTAACTACTTACTAGATATAAAACTAAGACCAAATTCTGACACTTGCTCTGCCACAGGTGGCACCTCAGAGCACTGGCCATGCCCCACAAAGCCTGTGCTCCTTCTCTGAAGCCACTGAGTTGCTACCTGCCATCCAGCCCTACTCTATTTTTCACATCAGTGAGAACAGAGGTGCTGGAAAGTAGCCCACACACCTGCCTCCTGTCCCAAGCCTTTGATTGACGCAGAGAACTTGTAGCTATTAGAACTAGACAGGACTGAATTTTCTCTTAAACCTCCTTTGATTAGTGTCTCAGAAACCATCCCTGACACAAGCCACACTGTTTTCACAGTAGGACCCAGTATGTTTAGCGTAGCTGTTGGGCGATGAAATGTGGTCATCTGGGATGAGACTTGGAGAAGTCAGTAAGAAGCTGTGGATCAGGCCCGCCCCTACCTCTTAGTGGGATTACATCAACACGAAGTAAATGAACCATCAGGCATTTTAAAGACTGCATTCCAAGACTGCATTCACTTGAACCTTTGATTTTGCCAGGAGTGGAAAGGGAGTGGCGGGCATGCACTTGTATAATTAAAGAAACATTTGGATGTATGACTTAGTTGGAGATTATTTAGACATGAAAGTAGTAGGTTTTTTTATTTATGTATTCATTTCTGGCCAAAATACAGCTATGATTTACATATCTGAATTTACAGAGCCAGTTTAATATAAATTTGATGGCCATCCATATTTACTGCAGTATTTTCCCAATGTGGGAAGCAGGTACAGCCTGTGCTTCCCTGCTTCCCCTGTTAAGTTTCCCCTGTGAGGGAATGAAATCTCCCAGCATCTGATCCCAGGCAGAAGAGGGTTCCTAAATGTACCCAATGAGGACTACTAGCCTCTGGTGAATCCTATACAGAACAAAGTTCAAATTCAAATTTTATTTCCAAATCAATTCTTTCTTGGGGCTAACTGAAGACAGAGAAAGAAAACTGAAAGAGAGAAGCGTTGAATTATTCTAGGTTGTCAATTTTTAATTTTCTGGTGCAGAAATTTTTAAACCCAAGATTACGTTTTTAGAAGTCACTGAAACTGGGCCGGGCGCAGTGGCTCACGCCTGTAATCCCAGCACTTTGGGAGGCCGAGGTGGGTGGATCACGGAGTCAGGAGTTCGAGACCAGCCTGGCCACCATGGTGAAACCCCGTCTCTACTAAAGATACAGACTCTGCTGAGTACTTTACATACATTACCATACTTAATTCAATCAGACAGGCAGGTAGGTTATTGTTCTCCCATTGTGCAGATTAGGAAACCGAGTCTCAAAAAAGGTTAGGCCATGTGCCAGGGCCACACATTTAGAAGGTGGCAGGGCTAGAATTTGAACGCAGGTCTGCTAGAAAACAAAGCCAGAGCAGAGCCTTCAAACAGTACTCTACGTGGGACCCCAAAACACTTTCTATGTCCTGAATGCTCTATTTGTATTCTTTCATTTTCTGTGCCCATCATTTTTGCTGACTAATTACCAAATTCCAGCTTCTCTGAAATTTGATACTTAATACCATTGGCAGATATGTTTTTTAAGAAAGTAAAAGGTGCCTTTAATGTTTTTTAAGAAAGTAAAAGGTGCCTTTAAGTTGACTTAATTAACACACAGTCTGTTAAGTATTAAAAAAACAAAGATTAGCTCTTAAAAAAATCAGTTTTAAAAATTCTACTTTATAAAAATCTTTTCATTAAAGAATAAATTCTACAAACAACTTCTGAAAGCTTCAGCATATTACTGCTAAACATTAGAGTCAACATTTTAGGATGACGTGACTTAAAACAGTGAAAAATTAAACCCTCATTCATAGATTAAAATGCAAATACTGACAAGCCTTTAATTACAGCTTCAGAACTCTGATAAATTTACAGCAATTACACTTTGCGTTAGATTAGGTGTCTTGGCAGCACAAATGATAAACAAATTTTTAAAAAGCTTACAAAGGGACAAAAAGGGACAATATTTTAGCCAGTTCCATTTTCATCACTGGTAGTCCTTCTACATTTTGCCTCTCAAAACCCGGAAGCTGCCTTGGAACGTGAAAAGACCCTCTATGGATGAAGCTTGCAACTATTTACACACATTCAATCTAATTAGGGGACCTGGTGGCTGGATAAGCATGCTAAGTGCCCACTCATCCCAAAAGAGCCTAGTAGTCTCTCAGCCTTCTCTAGCCTAATTTTTCCTGTTATCAGGTCAGGCAAACAAACTACATTCTTCTATCTCCAAGGGCAAAGAAAACAAGCTAATTCAATTTTCTTGATAATATTTATATGGGCTTAATTTGCATGCCAAAATGGATAGAAAACAAAGTCACTCGTGAATAAAGGGGTGGTTGTATTAGACCCTCAGCCTTTCCTGCACGAGTGGTTTGGCACCATCAGGAAGAGCGTTCATCAGCACTCAGAGAGAACTTCCCGTATGGACAGCACTCAGAGAGCACGTCCTGTGTGGGCAGCATTCAGGGAGGACTTCCTCTATGGATAGCAATCAGGGAGCACTTCCTGCATGGACAACACTGATGCCTCCTTCCCGCCAGAAGCCCCACTGGGCCTCCTACACTAAAAGGATCAACAACAGGCACAGGGCAACTATACACAGGGTAATACTATCTCCCTCTCTATCACATCACCCCCTATAGAGAAGAGAGAAATAGTCTCTCCTCTATGAATACAAATCTAAAGGTCATTTACAAAATTAACCACATGTGAACTAAAATACATTAGTAATCATGTACATTGTTATAGATTTCTATGCAGCAAAGATAATTTTAAAACAAAAACTTGTCATTTAAAATTCTATTGTCTCATTTCCTTCCTATTACTAATAGGCTAAAGAACAGTGCTCTGACCAATCTTATAGCTGAAGCTGTCCTCCTCTTCCCACCCCCACCTTACTTAGCCACTTCTCTAATAATTCTAGTACGTTTTGAAGGGAAAGGAAAGCTAGGACCTGCCCTTTAATTTTCTTCAAGTCTTCTTTAAAGTTTTCATCCTTATAGTTCAAGAAGGTTATCATTCCCACCCCTGTTGCCCCTACACCCACCACCACCACCACGACCACCACCACCACCATCCCAAACAGCAGGTTGGTTTAATACATCAACTATTTCCTTCATCCAGAAGCAAAATAATCACTACAGTTGCTCCTGAAAGCAGACAGAAGTTTACAGAACATTATCATTTTCACAGGGAAACAGTATAAGATCAAGCCTGAAATGAACTGAGTACTATGTGAAGACAATGTCTGCTACACTTATTTCCATACACCAGTTCCTCTCTGTATGCTTTCAAGATGTAAAAGGAATTTAACAATTTAAATAAATTATCAAAAAGGAATGAGGGGGGCCCCCACATGGGCCAGTTATCACTACAGTCAGAACATTTTCTTTGTTTCCTTTTGGCCATATGAGTGACTGAGAGAGGGCTGGGAATGGTGGCTGGAAAGAGAAGTTCTGGCACAGGGAACTGGAAAAACAAAACTAAATGTGGGAGGTGAACTGGAGAGGGGTGAGAAACTGGCCAGGAATCAGTTGCTCCTATGGATAGGTCAGAGAAGGAATGCCTGAGGCCAGGATGTTAAAAAACACATAGCTACTAGATTAATGAAGAGTAAGGCCCCTTTACACAGCCAGTGTGTCTCACTTATACATACCATGGAGTTAAGGAAATAATCAATTAATCCCATTTGATAACAAGGATATCAAAGCTTAAAATCACATAGCTAATTAGTTAATGAAACTGGTTCTCATATCTTCACTGTTCCTTGTTTGGAAAAAAACTTTGCAGCTTCTCAAGACTGTGAAACTGACCAATAGAGTATTAAATTTTTTTTTTGGCTGGATTAAGCCTGTCAAAGGAGAGGGGCCCATGTTACCTTCACTATTCCAATAAAACCTAAAAATAAAAATTCCCAATATGTTTCACAATTAATTCTCAAAGATATCCATCAAAGTTGATCCTTGCATGTAAAACTGCAATCTCCACATAGAAATCTCTTTACCTAAGTTCATGAATAAACCATCATTTTCTTATGCTTCAGATAAAAGAATTAAAGTTAAGACTTGCATTGTTGAATACAACATGACTGACTGAGATTTCCTTCCAGATCCCATCAAGACATTAGATTCCTTATCATTCAAGTATCTTTTAAGGGTTGGTTCTGTGCTCCTGAATGCTTATCAGCCCAATTGTTCTATTTCCTTCAAAAGTTCTTCTAAGAACTCCAGCGACTCGCCAAGTTGCCCACTGAGAACTCTGGGCCAGGAAACACACAAGAGTTTTTGTGCAATTTGTTCCATCTAGTTTTTGTAACAGCATTTATAAGGGGTATGGGTGTGTGAATATGAAGATACCAGACTGAAGACATTAAATTTAAATTAATCACCACAAAACTAGAGGGCCAAAAGAGAAAGTAAGGGGACTAAGGCAATGATTTCAAAATTTCCTTGCCAGAGAATGCATTCATCAGAAAGGAAAAGCTTTTAAGAGTGGGTTCCCAGCCTTAGCTACCCTTAATTGCATTGCTTATAATGGTGTAGTACAGTACAGTTTCTAAAAATAGAGTTCAACCAAGGGAAGATCAGGGAGGAGGGAGGATGAAAAGACAGGGGACAAAAAGGTTGAGGAAGGCTTCACAGAGGGGGTGGATGGCTGAGTGAGCTGAATACAAATGACATGTCATTAAGAATAAAAGGGGTGGTGGCTCATATCTGTAATCCCAGCACTTTGGGAGGCCAAGGTGGGAGGATCACTTGAGCCCAGGGGGTTGAGACCAACCTGAATAACATAGCAGGACCCTGACTCTACAAAAAAAATTTGGTGGCACACGCCTGTAGTCCCAGCTACTGAAAAGGCTGAGACAAGAGGATCACTTGAGCCCAGGTCAAGGCTGCAGTGAGCTGTGATTGTGCCACTGCACTCCAGCCTGGGTAACAGAGCGAGACCTTGTCTCAAAAACAAAAACAAACAAACAAACAAAAACAATAAAAGGAATGGCAAATCTGAAAGAAAGGTGGGTAGAGTAAGAAGAGGAGTGACCAACAAGGACATAGACTGGAAGGATCATTCTTCACAAAAGCCAGAGAATTACCCTGGTTGGTTCAGAGGAAGCTCCCACAAGTTGATGTTGGGGTAGGAGTGTGGTGGTACTAAAAAGGTAGTAGGAAGAACCTAAAAAGCAAGGTGGAATGTGGACATGATGTCACAGGTTACCAGAATCTCACATGTAGAAAAGAATTTAAACACAGTAAATGAAGAGCATGGCTTCTGGAGAATGCAAAACTAGAAAAACACTTCCCTTCCTTCTATAAAAATAATGTTTATAACAATAATAATAAAAAAAATTGGCTGGGCACGGTGGCTCATGCCTGTAATCCTAGTACTTTGGGAGGCCAAGGCAGGTGGATCACCTGAGGTCGGGAGTTCGAGACCAGCCTGACCAATATGGTGAAACCCTGTCTCTACTAAAAATGCAAAAATTAGCCAGGTGTGGTGGTGGGCGCCTGTCATCCCAGCTACTTGGGAGGCTGAGGCAGGAAAATCATCTGAACCCAGGAGGCAGAGGTTATAGTGAGCTGAGATTGCACCATTGCACTCCAGCCTGGGCAACAAGAGTGAAACTACATCTCGGGCGGGGGACGGTGGGGGGGAGGAATTGAACGGAAAAGTTAGAATATCCAGATTCAAGTTTTGTCCTGGCCAGGAGCAGGAATGAGTATTATCCCTGGAAGGCTCAGGTCTTCACGTGTGAAATAAGCAGGTTAGCCTGGATGATTTCTAAGCTTCCTTCCAGCTCCAAAATACTCTAAAATTCTGGATAGTGCTGGACAGTGCCATCTCCAGATAAGACATATCAAGACAGAGCCCAGTCAGGACCTTTAGTACTCTTGTCTGTCTGCCAAATAGAGAAATGGAGCAAGAGTTTGTTAAACTGGCAGACTCCAAGGCCAACTTCTGTGACATCGTGCAACTTAAGACCAACAGACATCATACTGCGGCACCATTTTCCTATGCCCCTTAGGCCAGCATGGATTCCCGACTTAGTCATAAGTGATTCTAAGAAAATATTCTAAATATGTAAGCTATCCTAAAACAACAACTGAAGCCTAAAGGAACAAATGTAAAACAAAAAACAATCTTAAAGAGCTCCTGAAACCAGAGTATCCTTAAGGTAGAAACAATATTACAGCTGAAATAACCATAGTAACTTAAGATCTATAGAGACTGTATGTTACTTAGCAGCCTGCCATCTTTGTGTTTCAACGTGTAATCAGTATAAAGAGTTACATTTCACATTCTATTCAATCTCTTCTATATAAAAGGACCCTGTAACAGCTCCAAAACCACTTTAAAAGAAAATTCAACACAATAAATAAATTACAGCCCAAACAAACAGTAATTAGAACGCAGTAAACACAAAATCCCACCCAACTTCAGGTGCAAAATTAATTATTCTTCTGAATTCTGAATGCAGGTGTGCAGTGTTTTCCTCCTCCTTGAATTTCCAGATCCATGCCAGTTTTCTTCCTCAACACAGAGCCTTGTGAAGGGGACAAGAGCAAACTCTTCCTTTACTTTTTACTCAAAATAAATGGAAAAAAAAAAAAAAAGAAAGAAAACTTCCTAGGGGAAGTGAAACATTACTTTTATCATGACAGTTCAGAATACCTCTGCAATGCATTTCCTGCCTCACCCCAGTAGATTTAGGATTCCAGGGCTGACAACTTCCTCCCAGCTGTTTTTTAAAGTCTATCTACAGTACAGTCTGTATCTTAGTATTTCTTGTAAGTAATGAATTACCGCTGAGATTGTAAAGTCCTCAGGGTGGAAAATACCCATTCAAAAACATACTTTCTCCACATTAAACAAACTTACTGAAAGTATTATTAGGTGATTAAATATTAAGTTAGAAAACTTATATGAGTAAGCTTATAAAAAAAATACTCCCACAAAACCAACTTATTTATTTATTCTTAGATCCAGCGGGACATGTGAATGACCTTGCAGTACCATGGGTTTCACAATTTAGCCCCTAGAGAAAAAAGCATTATCTGTACTTACAGGAAACTGAACAAGTATTTGCAATCTCCCCATAATAATAACTTAAAAACATAAAATCTTATCTGACAATGTTGTAATTTTGTGTATAAACATCACTGAGAAAATTTTTTGAATTAATATAACTCAACAATACTGTCTACTTTTGTTTCTTTCTCATGGTAAAATCTAGTAGCTTATATCTGATATGAATAATTAGAGAAAGTGAGTGATACTAGAACAGCTCTTCTATTATATATCAGTCTATGTATTTCTTTTTTTTATTTTTTAATTTATCTTATTTTATTTTTTTAAGAGACAGAGTCTCGCTCTGCCTCATGGGCTGGAATGCAGTAGTGCAATCATGGCTCACCACACCCTCAAACTCCTGGGCTCAAGTAATCCTCCTGTCACAGCCTCCCACGTAGCTGGGACAATAGGAGCATGCCATCGCGTCTGGCTAATCAAATAAATAAATAAATAAATAAATAAAAACTTTCTTTGTAGAGACTGGATCTTACTTTATTGCCTGTGTTGCCCAGGCTGCTCTTGAACTCAGCTTCAAGAGATCCTCCTGCCTCAGCCTTTCAAAGTGCTGGGACTACAGGCATGAGCCACTGGGCCTGGTCAATCTGTGTATTTCTGTGTCATGTTTGCGTGTGTGAACAGTCATGTTTGTGTGTGTGAATAAAGATAGAGGGGAAGAGATGGCTGTCTCTAAGCTATACTGCCTGAGAATGGGGCTTGCTGGGTTTTTTTTTTAACATTTTCGTCCAAGATCCACCTCAAAAGTTAACTTTTTGCCTGACCTCTCCATCCTATATACATAAATAGGCACAGACATATAAAACTGAAACGTAAGTTTTGTGAAACAATATTTTCCTTTACCAAATACAATGTACCCTAATGTTATCTTTCCTAGTATATTTCGTTAAAAGAAATAAACGCTGGTTGTAACCCACTGAACTGATACTTCCCACTAATATTGCCACCTACAGGTTAAAAAACAGTGGTCAGCAGCGTTTCTCAAACTGATGTGCACGTGAAGCACCTGCACTGTTAAAATGCAGATTTTGACTCAGCCATTTGGGGTGGGGTCAAGTTTCTGCATTTCTAACACAAGCTTCCAGGTTTTGCTCATGCACAAGGCAGGACTCCTGGTCTGTGTGAATGAATTTGGGAAGGGCCCCCTTCCAGCTTTAAGGAGGAGCAAGCTGCATCTATTCACACAGTGAGATAAAAACCTTTGTTCCACTGATTTCAAACCCAGTATCTGCTCAGAATAACAAAATGCTAGAGCTGGGAGGGGTATGAGGGATCATAAGAGCCAATAATTATCCACTAGAAGTATAAGGAAATCTTGGGAGATGGCAGGAGGGGAAGCAGAGGTGGGGACATACTTGAATTTTTGGCAAAGGGAGCTTGGCTTTGAAAATGCTGAGAAACACTGATGTAATGCAACCCCTCACTTTTCAGGAAACCTGAGGCCAGGAGAAGTCAAACCACATATCCAAGGCCATACAGCTAATCAGAGGGAGAACTGGGCTTCCAGTCCCGACACTGCTGTCATAAAGCACCAGTCCTTGTTTGTTACGAGGATTGCAGCAAAGATGATGGTACAGGCCAAATTTTATTAATGAGTTTTTAAAAACTGAGTAAAATTGATATGCTAGACCTGTTAAGACAGCAGACAAAAATTATTTTGTGCAGCCTCTTTTATACCTCAGATTTTATCCACTGTCAACTTCTAGATCACTTACTTAGATGTCCAGGTCTATGCTAGATATCCAGTTGCTTGCTTTAAAGAAAAAAAAAAAAGGAAACACACCTATGAAATTGATAATTTAAAGCTCCCAAAAAATGCTCGTGAATGCCACCCATTTCTATTTTTGTATTTATTTATATTAAGAATTTTTGAGTAGCATACAAGATCATTATCTGTACCATTTACAAGAAGATACAAAAATCAAACAGGTTAATTAAAGCAGTTTGGAGACTGGATGCAGTGGCTCACGCCTGCATCCCAACACTTTGGGAAGCCAAGGCAGGTGATCACTTGAGCCCAGGAATTCAAGATCAGCCTGGGCAACATAGCAAAATCCCATTTATACAAAAAGGAAAAAAAAATTAGCTGGGTGTGGTGGTTCACACCTGTGTCCAACTACTGGGGAAGCTGAGGTGGGACGATCACTTGAGCCGGGAGGTCAAGGCTGCACTGAGCTGAGATCATGCCACTGCTCTGCTCTTCAGCCTGGGCACCAAAGTAAGACTCTATCTATAAAAAAAAAAAAAAAGCACTTTGATGCTTTTCTGTCATAAGAGTACACTCAGAGTCAACTACCAATTTAACCGGCTTGAATTAGGAACCCTTAAAGAATCACTAGAATTGCCTACCCATGGTCATGTCTCCCTATATATGTCACAAATTCATACACTCAAAACAAGTTACTTCATACTCTGTTTCTTTAAAAATAAAATGGAGAGATTTGTAAGATTGTTTTATTTTGTGAACTCCACTGTTTGCTTCTTCCTAAAGCTTCACAAAGCATATACTTAGATAAATTCTCTAAAACAAACTGGTTTTCCTTCAGTTAATGTGGGCCGGACGTGGTGGCTCATGCCTATAATCCCAGCACTTTGGGAGGCAGAGATGGGCAGACTGTTTGAGATCAGGAGTTCAAAACCAGCATGGGCAACATGGCAAAACCCTATCTCTACAAAAACACAAAAATCAGCTGGGCATGGTGGTGCATGCCTGTAGTCCCAGCTACTCTGGTGGCTGTGGCCAGAGGATCACTTGAGCCCAGTTGGCAGAGGTTGCAGTGATCAGAGTGTGCACCATTGCACCCCAGCTTGGGGGGCAATAGAGGAAGAACCTGTCTTAAAAAAAAAAAAAAAAGTTAATGTGAACCTTGCTTCCAGCAGCCCACCATTATACTCTGAAGGGCTGTTTCTAATTTGACCTAAGCATTTTCCCATTTTTACAGGGACAAAGTTTATTTCAGGTGAAATTTCTATTTAATGATACTGCATATTTGGACTGAGTATCTACTGCTAACAACAGCCCTGAGACTTTCCTCTGTTTTATGGAGTCAGCCCATGCACTATTGTCTAATCACTTTAGTGGTGATGGTATCAACCTGGGAATACATAGGTGCCCTGGGAGCTAACCAAACCAAATGCTGGCAAGCCTCATTCCTCTCTTCATCTCTTCTGAAGCAGATAAATTGAAGTAGAACGTCATTCTGTGGTAAGCAGGATCTGGGAAATGCTTTCAATGTTTACAGAAATCGGATGCAACATTTTTTCTTTTCGTTTTAAAATTATTTCACAATATTCTATTTGGAGTAGGAAGTTATTGCTCAACAAGAAAAAAAGTGAAGATATTAGTCTTTCTCTGCACCTTTTTACTTTTCTGTTGCTAAAGCTAATCATAAAGCATCATTTCATCTCTTTTACCAAAATGTGCACATTGCTAGTTATTGAAAATGTCAAAGAAAATTTCTTTTCCAAAGAACCTCGGACAACATAAAGTTCTGGCCTCTAGAACAGAGACCCAGGACCTCTGTGTGTTTGGGGGCTGGGTGTGGAGATCAGTGGGCAACACAGAACTCAGTTCCTACACTTGAGTTTTCTGATCCTTCTCTTCTTTCATGATATTTAGTTTCATTATAAATCTTTTTTCTTTGCTGTGCATGATCAAACATGCAATCTTTCATTTTCCATTGTTATCCCAGATTAAACTAATTAGTGACGAGTACCCAAAATGAGTTTTGTAAATCTCAGCCTTTCTAAATGCACAAAATAAGAAAATGACACCATCTCTCCTCACTCACCACAGAGAAACACATTTATGAAGAAAATGATGCCTAAGTGGAAACTGGCTTCAGGAGCCTCACACTCAATGACTAGTGACGGGGAGCAGCTCTCTGCCCACCCCCACCTAAGCCAAAGCCACCAGTGGGCTTTCCAGAACAGGAAAGGGAAAAACAGACTAGAGCCCAAACATGGAGAAACACTATGGTGGACCCCTGCCCAGAGGACAGGGCAGACAGGAACAGCATTCTAGGTGTGGCCTGCAGCTACGCCAGGACCTCAAAGCGAAGTAAACAGAAAAAAGCAGTAGCATGGAAACTTCAGAGCGCCCCGTACGATATCAAATCATTTTGCTAAAAAAGAAAAAATGCAGGAAGAGGATACACAAACAGTTTTAAAATTTATATTTCTTTAAAAAGACAACTTCACATATTCCTAAAATTCAAGTCTTCGGATCTAACAGTTTAAATCTTAGAGCAGAGCAAAAAGAATGCATTAAGAGAAATGGTGGTTTGTTGTTGTTGTTGTTTTGTTTCTGGTAAAGATCGGAACCAAGCATGATAACTTCTAGTATGGAAAACAATTTAGGAAGGAATAGACAAGCTTCCTTTTCTCCACTGCGGCCAGGAAGCTGGGGAAGTCCACCCACACCCTCGTGGCAGGGAACGGTGGCAGCCACTCTGCTCTTCCCCGCAACCCAGTAGTTGCTCCAGTTACATAAAAATTGCTCAAATTAAAACATCATCCTACCTTTAGAAGAACTTCCATCACAAAGCAAATTAAATGAAGATAAAAATCTGCAGGACAGTTTAATCCTGCCTGGATATGTTTTTTTAAATTAATATATAAATTGTAAATATTGCAGTGAGAACTTATCCATAAAATCCTGGAGAGGTTATCTCATTCTGCTCTCCCCAGGAATACATGTAGAAACTTGGTCTGCCTTATAGACTCTAACTAACTTCATCTCTGTTCTCCCTAATTGCAAAATTCAATCTTCCCTTACAATAATAGCTCATATGCAAATCCTGGATAGCAGTCATCCTAGAAATAGATAAAACACTGGGAACAATGTTTTCCCTTAATAGGGGGATAGGTTTAGCTCTCTTTTTACCCATTTTAGTAAAATGGGTAAAAATGGATCTATAATATTTTATCTTTTTGTTACTATCAAAATAACCTAGGCAGTCCTTAAAAATAGTTTAATAAGCAAAAACTAAAGAGGAAAAACCCAAAGCATGACAATTTCTGGAAAATATTTTTTCCCCAGAGAACTAAGTGTTACGCATAATACTAATTGCTAACATTATTGAGCATTTACTCTGTTTTTGGCATCAAGCTAAATGCATTCTTCATTCAGTTTACAGATAAGAGAACAGAAAAGGGAGTTCCCCAAGGTCACCGAGGAGGTAGCAGTCAGGTTGTGAAAGATCAGTCGACAACCTCTTCAGGAGCTGAGTGGAAGAGAAAATGGGAGTGAAGGAGGCATATGCCATTCAGTTTCACCATACTGGGGGCTTTGTTTGATAGAGAACTACTCTATGAGGCTTTTAGAGAAACTGACCTTTGCTACGAATGGTATATCTATGTCATGGTTACTAAACATCTTCCAATAAAACATAACCAAAAGGTTTGGCTCAAGAAACTGGTTGCAAAACAGTACAACTGAGTGACACGGCCTTCCTTCCTTCCTCTAATACCAACAGCACAGCATTACTGTGAAGGATTATTGCTAGAAAACATTCAGGAAACCTGCTTTCCTTTAGATCCCAATATATGATATTTCAACTCAACAAAAAGTCAGTACTTTCTAAATGGTGTTTCTACATTTGGATTAAAGAACAAATCTCCCCTACCAGCCTGTCAACCCCTGCAGGATAAGGGACCAGGCCCTGCCTAGTAATCCCACCCTATGTCTTAGAGCCTGGACTAAGCTTTATGTGTTTGGTGAAGGAACATAGATTAACATTATGTTAGAAACCATGAAGCTGCTGCAGTGATTAAAATGTTATATGTTGAACACCTCCAGCGTATAAGGAGGTGGGTGAAGTTGGCAAGGGCTAGATGGTGGTGGAACCTAAGTATCTTAGAAAGGAGTCTGAAATCTGGGGAGAAATGCATTAATCATATCATTTTCCTCACTGAAACAGAATCTTTCACTTGAAATTTATTATATTTCCTCTCCAGACTAAAGCATCTCCAGAACAATTTCCCAACTCCATGACAGGTGGACTTTTAAAATTCCTAGTTTAGATTTCAAAACACCAGGGACAGTAGACAAATTATGACTGATAGCAAGAATTATAATTCAGAAAAAAATTTGAGTCCTAATAATCTTATTACCTTTGCATACATGGGGTATATGGGTATCTGTCTTTTCAAAACAGATTAATCAGAATTACTATAAACCTTCAAGAAGATGTAATCACTTTGGGATCCTCCTGCCTTTGGTAATGGCCACATCTGGTCAGGCAGTTGTTATTCATTCTTTCCAGGATTTGCTTTATTAGACTTTCAACTGAAAAATGACACCTTCACTCCAATCCTTCTAATTGATTTTTAACCTTAGAGAAGTGTGAGAGAGTTCGTTAGAGGACTAACTTGTTAATAGAGTCATCTGGGTGGTTTGATAAAATTCTTTCAGAAGAATCACAACACTCCCACCCCACAACACTAACGTAGTTTACTTAATTTTTTTTTTTTTAAAAAGCTACTCCTTAAAATGCATTTCATCTCTTTAAAACATTCAGTTCACATGTAGAGCCATCCTAATACAATTTAAATGTGATTGGCTCCTGTCAGGAAACGTAAAATGTACGATTTATACAGTAACTACAACACTGTACATGGACATGAACCTATTCCAAAATTTAAGATGAAATATCAATGGAGAGAGTGGAAAGTGGCTGTTAGTTTCCAAGGGATGCTGTAACCAATTACTACGAACTGGGTAGATTAAAACAACAGAAATGCATTCTCTCCCAATTCAGGAAAACAGAAGTCTGCAATTAGGGTGTTAGCAGGTTAACATTCCCCCTGAAAGCTGTAAGGGAGAAGCCTTCCTTGCCTCTTCCAGTAGCGACTCCTGCTGTTCCTTGCCTTGTGACGGCAGAATACCAATATCAACCTCCATCTTCACGTGGCCTTCTCTCTGCATCCTATCCTCTTCTTGAAAGGACACCAGTCAATGGTCACTGGTCATCTCAAGATCCTTAATTAATTCTACCTGTAATTAATTAATTACAACCACCCTATTTCCAAATAAGGTTACATTCTGGGGTTCTGGTTAGACATGAATTGGGGGGGGGGGAACTGACCCACTACAGTGGCTTTCTCTAAAGGACTATTTTATTTTTAAAAAATAGACAAATAATAAGTATACAAAATGATGGAGTACTTAGTGATGTTTCAGTACATACAATGTGTAGTAATCAGATCAGGGTAATTAGCATATCTATCATCTCAAACCTCTATCATTTATTTGTGTTATGAATATTCAATATCCTCCTTCTAGCTATTTGAAACTATACATTATTGTTAACTATAGTCATTCTATGGTGGTATAGCGAGCTATGTAATCAGAGCACATACAGAGAATTATTTTACAGAAGCAGCCACTACGTTGTAATACCAATGAGTTCTTTAACCATATTTAGATCCAGATAACAACTAATAGGTCATCTTGTCCAGTCTCATATCCAAAGTAGGAATTTTCTTTAAGGCATAGAGATTGGGGATGGAGTAAATAAATAAAAACTTAAGGTCGGGTGCAGTGGCTCACGCCTGTAATCCCAGCACTTTGGGAGACCGAGGCAGGCAGATCACAAGGTCAGGAGATCGAGACCATCCTGGCTAACACAGTGAAACCCCGTCTCTACTAAAAATACAAAAAATTAGCCAGGCGTGGTGGCAGGTGCCTGTAGTCCCAGCTACTAGGGAGGCTGAGGCAGGAGAATGGTGTGAACCTGGGAGGCGGAGCTTGCAGTGAGCCAAGATCGTGCCACCGCACTCCAGCCTGGGCGAGGGAGCGAGACTCTGTCTCAAAATAAATAAATAAATAAATAAAAACTTTAAATGTCATTTTTTAAATGAAAAAAAATTGAATTTTCTTTATGGCATAGAATTTTACCTATAGCATAGAGATTTGGGGTGGGGGTAAATTTAAGAAATTTAAAATGTCATTAGAAAACAGCAGATGTCCCAATTTATTTCTAAAACATTTCTAACTGCTACAACATAGAACAAGTCTAGTCTCCCCTTCTTTTAACCAACTTTAAATCTTTAGTGATAACTATTATCCCCCAATAATATTCCTCTAAACCTCAAAACAAACAATAACCAAACAATTTCTTTGGCTTGGGCAACTTCTAAGGAGGCAGTACAGCAATTAGGAATGAAAGGATGGATTCTGAAATTACAGTTCATATCCCACCATGGTCACTCACTAACTAGGTGACCTTGGGCAAAGCATTTAAAGCTTCCAAGTCTCATCTCTTCATCTGTACAGTGAGGAGGAGGATACCATCTATTCCATACTAGCTCGCAGTGTTGTTGTAAAGATTACACAAGCTAATTAATAAACTGTCGGGCTTGTAAGAAGTGCTCAGTAACTGCTACCTACACTTGAGTCCATCTTTCTCAATGTCTGATATGGTTTAGATTTGTGTCCCTCCAAATCTCACACTGAAATGTGATCCCCACTGTTGAAGGTGGGACCTGGTGGGGGGTTTGAATCATGTGGCAGATCCCTCATGAGTGGCTTAACACCATCCCCTGGTGATGAGTGAGTTCTCACTCTGAGATCCGGTTGTTTAAAAGTGTGTGGCCTTTCCCTCTCTCTCTCTTGCTCCCTCTCTTGCCATGTGACACATCTGCTCCCACTCTGTCTTCTGCCATGACTGTAAGCTCTCTGAGGCCTGACTTGAAGCCAAGCAGATGGTGGTGCCATGCCTCCTGTACAGCCTGCAGAACCATGTGCCAATTAGATCTCTTTCTTTATAAACTACCCAGCCTTGGATATTTCTTTATAGAACCACCAACAGACTAACACAATGTTCATCTCTAAATTTTATTTCCTGATATCCAGGAGGGCTCCGCCGAGGGCACACATGACCAGTTCTAACCTTAAAATCAGCCTATACATATAAAGAGCTTCTCGATCCCCCTCGTCCTACTCAGGGGCTTGGAGGCTTCTTTGCACAGCCTCATAAAAAAATAAATAAATAAAAAATAAAAAAGAGAGAGAGAAAGCTAACTAAAACAACAACAACAAAAACCCCTAGGTTCAAAAGTAACAGGCAGGTGAAGCTGGGAGAGCCACTTCCCCAGAAGAGGTCCCTGGAAGGCCTGGCCTGTTCCAGACTGTCATTGTTCTGGGATTTTGTCACTTGAGATTGTTTTATCATCTGAAACTCTAAAGAGAGAGGCATTTGGGTCAGGGCCCCACTTTAAAATCTCAAAACTTCCAGGATGTGACGTGATGAAATGCTCATCACTTAGGACAACTGAGAAGAGCATCAGGAAGGGAATGTAGAGATGCCCACGTGTTCTGTTCGGGGTGCCTCCCTTTTATTATTCTCAAGCTTCACAGAGAGAAGAGAATGCAAAAGATCATCCCATCTACATTTTTTGGTAAGATTATTAGATGCAAGGAAGATACTCTTCCTCTATCTATGTACCACATGACAAACCTGCGCTCACAAGAGACTCAGAATGGATGCTGGCTATATTGGTTCGAAACGTCCACTGAAAGGCTGGGTTTCTGTGGTAACCTGGGAAACCTAGGAACCTGGCTTCCAAACATGGTATAATGTTTCTACACACAAAAACATGTGTTCTGACTTCAAAAAGCCAAACTGAAAGAACTTCTGAACTAGAATTTATTTGTCTAGGTAGTATGATGATTTCATTTCTTAATCAAAATATCATAATTTTATTAATATAGGTAAAACTATGCTAAGGGCGTAAGCAGCTAAATTAATTTGTTGGCTAATACTCATTTATAGTCAAACCAAATACTTTGAATTGAATGTTTATGTCCTCCTAAAGTTCATTTGTTGAAATCCTAACCCCTAATGTAATAGTATAGAAGGTGGGGCCTTGGCCAGGCACAGTGGCTCACGCCTGTAATCCCAACACTTTGGGAGGCTGAGGCAGGTGGATCACGAGGTCAAGAGTTCGAGACCAGCCTGACCAACACAGTGAAACACCGTCTTTACTAAAAATACAAAACTTAGCCAGGCATGGTGGCGCGTGCCTGTAATCCCAGCTATTCAGGAGGTTGAGGCAGGAGAATCACTTGAACCCAGGAGGCGGAGGTTGCAGTGCTGAGAGCTGAGATCGTGCTATTGCACTCCAGCCTGGGAGACAGAGTGAGACTCCATCTCAAAAAAAAAAAAAAAGATGTGGCCTTTGGAAGGTGATTTAGGTCATAAAGATGGAGCCCTCATGAATAGGATTACTGCCCTTATAAAAACATACCCCAGAGAACCCTATGGCTCTCTCTGCCACATGAAAATACAGCAGTCAGCAGTCTACCACCCAGAAGAGAGCCCTCACCAGAACCCGATCATGTTGGCACCCTGATCTCAGACTTCCAGCCTCCAGAACTGTGACAAATAGATTTCTGTTGTTGATAAGCCACCTAGTCTACTTTGTTAGAGCGGCCTGAACTAAGACATCAACCATTCAGGTCTTTTTATACACCTAGTCATACTAGAATTCCCTCAGTATTTTTCACAGAAATGCAGGATTTTATGATTATTTATTCCTATTACAAACGTGGGCTTACCTTCCAGTGTGCCGCTTTCTGGAAGCTACTGTTATTTTGTGTACATCACCACTCCTCCTAGCTAGGTGTCAGCTGAAGAACTGGGAAGCATGTTTTCTACATGGTGTACAAGTTGCTGCTTTCAACCAATTTGATCACAGGACACTGTCTGTTTATCAAATTCTAAGACTGTCCCCACCCCTTGATATTCCTGGCTGCTTTCCCCTCTAGCTGTTCAATAGCCCTATATATGGTTGTCAGTATAGAAGTTAAAAATTTCAAAATGTTATTAGCTGCAGCAGCTGGGGATGCGGTGATGCTAGTAAATGGGAAAAGACTGAGGCAAGTGAGATTACATTACAGTATCTAGTCTTTTTATTTTAATGATTTTTTTTTTTTGCAGTCTTCCCTTAGGAGGGATGAATAAGAATTGGGTAAATCTCCACATTTTAGCAAGAGCTTTTAATCACTAAATGTTTTTTCCTAAAGGTAGCATTAACTGGCAGGTTTTAGGGATGGTGCCTGAACAAGCAGAGGCAGGGAGAGGAGCCACGTCGTGGTCTGGGTGCCTCTCTGATTAGACAGCTGACCAGTTTCAGGGGAGGAAGGGGTTTCTGCAATGGCACAAGCCCTGGAACATTTTCTGTCTGTGCTGCAAATGACAGTCTTTCCTACTCTGTGTACAGCAGAGAGGGTGAGGAAAAGGGTCAACAAAAAGAAAGAAAATGGAAACTCATTCTCATTGCTCACAGTATTTGGGCTCAATATATGCTCAGGAATCTCTCCTTTTTGTGACAGCCTCCCCCACAAAACACACAGATCCTCCCACCCCATAATGTGCAAATGCATACACTGCCACCCCATCAGGCAGTTACTTTAAAAATTATATGGCAGACATTAGACAGGAAAAAAAAAAAGAAAAGAAAAAGCTTTTCCTTATCCTAGATTTCAGAGAGCTTCATCTGAACCCAGAGGTTTATGCCTGGCCCTGGCATCTTAGCTGGCTCAGCATGTCCACAGGCTGACCTCTGAAACTATTTCCAGTGTCCTAGAGGAACTCAGAATGGCTCTCATGCATCAGTCCAGCTGCTCCGGTACTACAGCCAAACAGGGTTCCAACTAACATGTGCTGTTAGCTTTTCTGACGTCAATCCTAAGCAAAGTATCCCAATTTTTCTTTGGACTCAATTTTAACTCAGTTACTCATAAGACTGTCATTCTCTTATTTGGCACCCATTTACATTTCCTGCCTGCATCACCCCAGACTTAAAAGATCACTGCTTTAGAAGACAGTTCATTTCTCATCACTGAAAGGTTCAAACACACAGAGCAACCGCTCTTTGAGGAATAATTCACCCAGTGGTCCTTAGCCTTCAGTGAGATTCCAGGTAACCCAGATAGCCTAAAATGCCCCCCACATTGTTTTTGCCGGCGACAGAGGGACCCAATGGTTTACATTTTTAATGAGCACCCCAAGAGTTTCTGATGCAGGTGGTACGGTGAGGGGTAAAACCAAGACAGCAAGTCTTTGAAATTCAGAGACCCAGTGCCCCTGCTAAGCTGGAAGGGCTACTCCACGGGATTCCACAGCTAATCGGAATCTTCTGGGCACTCTAGCTCTGGGTCCGTGTCACTCCCAAAGCAGCCCCATCTTGTCCCTTGCTCCACACAGAGTCCACCTTTCAACTCTTCCAAATGACACTTGACTTGTCACTCCCCAGCAGGAAAAGGCGTCTCCTGGTTCTAAAACTGCCTGCTCTCTGCCCGCACCCTTCAGATCCTCTTTTGTGTCAGCTGAGCCAAGCAATTTCCGGTTCCCTGAACTGACACTTCTAACCAACCCTCCCTGCGATGCGAGAGGTTTTCATGGCTCCTCTAATTGACATGTAGGGAGTTCCTAGGTTAACAGGTCTACAAACTTTATTGGGATAAACAAATTGCTGGGATGAATCCCCCTGGGGGGAGGCCTTCCACAGCATACACCCACACAGTGACAGGCCAGATCTTTCTGTTCCTATTCAGGCATAGAGTAATTTCCACATGTGCTCATCTCACAAACTGTCTCCATCCTTACTTTAGTTGACGTGATTGTTTGTGGCAAAAATTTCAGAAAACAGCTGTCCTGGTCAACCCAACGACCTCATTTTAATCAGAAAGGGTGGAGCACCTCTAGGCGCATCCCTGACACAGAGCACTGTCACACACTGACAATTCTTGCTGAGATAATGACCGATAAGTATACCTAACTTCACACCCTGGATGTGTTCTGGAAAAATTTGATATGAGCAAATCCATGTTTTAAATGTGATGAGGAAACACAATTTTTAAAGAAAGCCTGAGAAAAATACCAGAAAATGCTGTGCCCTGCAAAATATGCATGAAATACATAAATGCTATTGTTACAAAGAGAGGTTCCAGTGCTCAAAGATATTAAACAATCTAGCTGGTAATGATAAACATACCTAAACAAAAGCTTAAAAAACAACTCAGCAGGATGGGCGTGGTGGCTCATGCCTGTAATGCCAGCACTTCGGGAGGCCAAGGCAGGTGGATCACCTGAGGTCAGGAGTTCAAAACCAGCCTAGCCAACATGGCAAAACCCCATCTCTACTAAAAATACAAAAATTAGCCAGGCGGGGTGGCGCACACCTGTAGTCCCAGCTACTCAGGAGGCTGAGGCAGGAGAATCGCTTGAACCCAGGAGGTGGAGGTTGCAGTGAGCCAAGTTTGCACCACTGCATTCCAGCCTAGGCAACAGAGCAAGACTCTTGTCTCAAAAAAAAAAAAAAAAAAAAAAAAAAAAAAGGCAAAAAACCCTCAGTAATTAACCAACAATCACATAATGAGGAATCCTTTTATAATGAAAATTACTAGTTTTTTTTTTTTTTCAATCAATCCATCTAAGATGTGTCCCCTGTATTCTGGTGGGGAGGGGAGGAGAGGAAAATTTTACCAAAAACCTGAAGGTTGAGAAAAACTAAAGAGAGGCCCCTCTAATAAAACATATGTACATCTTTAAATTCTTACATAAGACTCAAGAAACTTAAGTTTTAATGCTACTTCATATTCTTACAGAATTGCAGCTCTGTAATAGCTTTCAAAACAATCTTACAAATGGGCAAGAATATTACAAGAACTCACTCCCATTCCCTAGAGGTAACCTGATACCTTAATGGGTAGTGGTGCAACCCATCCCTTTCTCAAGACAACAGGCATTATTGCTTTTCCACTCCACCCACTTACACACCCCAAGTGAGATGTGGTGGATGAAACCCATCACATCAGAATTGTTCTAATGTAATAAAGAGCAGGAACTTTAGGAAAAAAAAGAGATCATCTGCCTGGAAGAGGTAGACCTTGAATTTCAACTTAAAGAAGAGAGGGACACAAACTTGAAGATAGGACGCTGTAGTTCTGTGGCCAGTTGTGATAGCCTAACAAAAGCTTGGAGGAGAGGAAGGAAAGACTTCAGAAAGAAAGGAAGGGCTCAAGACTGATGGCTCATGCCTGTAATCTCAACACTTCGGAAGGCCAAGGCAGGAGGATCACTTGAGGCCAGAAGTTTGAGATCAGTGTGGGCAGCATGGTAAGACCTTGTCACTATGAAAAAAATTTTTTTTTAATTAGCCGAGTGTGGTGGCACACGCCTGTGGCCCCAGCTACACAGAAGGCTGAGGTGGGAAGACCGCTTAAGCCCAGGAGGTTGAGGCTGCAGTGAGCCATGTGCATGCCACTGCACTCCAGCCTGGGCTGAGACCCAGTCTCAAAAAAAAAAAAAAAAAAAAAGCAACGAGGAACTTTTGGCTGGAATGGCAGGTATGAACTTGCACAAAGCAGAGGATGGGAAGAAAGGGGCAGTCACTCAGGATCCTTGAAGGCTATGGACATTGCCATAGCCATTAACATATTTAAGCTATTAATATTTCTGTAAAGAAATATCTTCTAACTGCAAGTTAAAAACAACCACCAAAAAAAAAAAATAACATTTCCATATACATTATGTACAACAGAGCCACCAATATAATACTTCTGCTATGGAAGCTAATGTGACCACAAGTGAGTCATGAAGTATTTTGCATTTATTTCAGGTCCAACAACGTGCCCAGTTGATGAATTTTGCCTAAATTGAATGTCTCTGGTACCACATTGTTATGGGGTGAATTGTATGCACCCAAGAAGACAGACTGGAGTCCTAACCCCCGGTACCTTGGAATGTGACCTTATTTGGAGACAGGGTTTTTACAGAGGAAATCAAGTTAAAATGAGGCCCTAATCTAGTATGACTGGTAGCCTTATTAAAATGAGAAGTTTGGACACAGACAGGCAGGCACACAGACAGGCAGGCACACAGACAGAATGTCATGTGAAGACGAGTTATGTTGCCACAAGTCAACTACTAGAAGCTAAGAGAGAAGCCTGGAATGGATCCTTCCCTGGCACCTTCAGAGGGAGCATGGCCCTGCTGACACCTTGAACTCAGAATGCTAGCCTCCAAAACTGAGAAAATTAGTTTCTGTGTTTAAGAAACACAGTTTGTAGAACTTTGTTATAGCAGCCCTAGCAAACTAATACTCAGGTGCTTCGGTAGTCTGCTTGGGCCAGGTTGTCCTGTTGACTAGTAAAACACACATTTTGCCATAAAATATTTTTAAAAGAAAAACATTAATATTTTGCTTCCATGATGCAATTACTATTTTACCATGGCCTTCTGTCTCACCACTTCAGAATTATGGATAAGTCTTAGGGATTCAAAACAAAAATAACCAATGTAGGGCTGGGCACAGTGGCTCATGCCTGTAATCCCAGCACTTTGGGAAGCCAAGATGGGCAGACCACCTGAGGTCAGGAGTTCGAGAGCAGCCTGGCCAACATGGCGAAACCCTGTCTCCACTAAAAATACAAAAATTAGCCGGGCGTGGTGGCACATGCTTGTAGTCTCAGCTACTCGGGAGGCTGAGGCAGGGAGGCGGAGGTTGCACCGAGCTGAGATCGCACCACTGCACTACAGCCTGGGGCGCAGAGGGAGACTCCATCTCCAAAAAAAAAAACCAAATTAATTAATTAAATAATAACCAATGTAGTAACGATTACACAGATATGTGAAGGATGCTTCCCCAAATAAAACCAAGCAAAAGAACTATCTAGTCAAGATTGAGCTCTTAATCCAAAACCTTTTAACCAAACCTATGAATCAGACCTACCTTCACTTGGTTTTATTTTGTACCTACCTATACTGATGGTGCTAATAAGTACTATCTGGTTTGGGTTTCATTTTCTTTCAAGTCCTTCTGTGCATCTTCTGGTAAAAGTGTCAACAAAGAAGGATCCTACACATCAGGGGTCTGCAAACTATGGTCTGCCGGTCAAACACTGCCTGCAGCTGGCTTTTGTATTTAAAGTTTTATTGAAACACAACCATGCCCATTTGTTTATATATTATCTATGGCTGCTTTCCAGTTACAAAGGCAGTGCTGAGTAATTGTGACAGAGACCTTATGGCCTACAAAGCTTAAAATATTTACTATCTGGCCCTTCACAAAAAAAAAAAAACCCTGATCCCAACTATAGATAGTGTATGAAATATATGAGCAGTTCCCACGTAAACCTTTATTGCTTGTTTCTCTCGATTGTCAATAATCCCAATTCCATTAGTACTATTTTCCAATCCTATTTCACACATTTCACTAGAGAACAATAAAAAGAGGAAGGGCATTCTAGCACTTTGGGAAGTCAAGGTGGGAGAACTGCTTAAGCTCAGAGTGGCTCAAGACCACTCTGGGCAACATAGTGAGATCTTATCTCTACAAAAAATTAAAAAATTAACTGCATGTGGTGGTGTGTGCCTGCGGTCCCAGCTATTTGGGTGGCTAAGGTGGGAGGATTGCTCCAGCTTGGGAGGTTGAGGCTGCAATAAGACATGATTGCACCACTGCACCACACTCCAGCCCGGGCAACAGAGCAAGACCCTGTCTCAAGAAAAAAAAAGAGAGAGAGAAAGGACCTCTTAGAATGTTAAATACTACCTTCTTTTTTGCTTAAATTTCTCTTAATGCTCGCCAGTTTTTCTGCACCCCTTTTAAAGAGATAAAACCAAACTCGGCAATGAATTGATGTCAAGAACATGGAAGATATATTTCCTTTTTTTCCCTATTCTAATTTAGTATCCTAATAAGCAGTTTCATAGAGTCAGTTAAAGGGTAGACTAACTCTAAGGTGACAATCAACACAAAACAGCCCATTGAGAACTCTGTTTCTATACAGGAAACAAATCAAATGCACCTGGAAGAAAAATGGTCAAAATTCAGGTAAACTGTAGCATGTCAGCTGCAAATCAGACATGTTCTTACTAGGCATTTCTTAAATATCTGAAGCTCTTATGGCACTAATTTCTAACTTATATAGTTATTTATACACTTGCTCCATACTCTCTCTTAGACTGTAAGGTTGACAACAGGATTACTAATTTGTTATTGCCCTCAGGGCCTAACACAGTTCTTGGCCCATAATGTACTCTAAAATATTGACTGAATGAATGATAATCCAAGCTGAATTTGGTTGAAAATGGCCAAGCTGGCCGGGCGCGGTGGCTCACACCTGTAATCCTAGCAACTTTGGGAGGCCGAGGCGGGCAGAGCACCGAGGTCGGGAGTTTGAGACCAGCCTGACCAACAAAGAGAAACTTCGTCTCCACTAAAAATACAAAATTAGCCGGGTGTGGTGGCACATGTCTGTAATCCCAGCTACTCGGGAGGCTGAGGCAGGAGACGCACTTGAATCTGGGAGGCGGAGGCTGTGATGAGCTGAGATCACGCCATTGCACTCCAGCCTGGACAACAAGAGAGACTCCATCTCCAAAAAAAAAAAAAGAAAAGAAAACAAGAAAAAGAAAAAAAAAGAAAATAGCCAAGCTTCACTGGCAGTCAGGATCTCTGGGTTCTAGTCCTGGTTTTGTTACAAATAAGCTATGCGATGTCCTCACCTCTAAAATAAGTACTGGGAAAAGCTCATCTCTGGGTCCTTTTGGCCTAGTATACTACACTTCTTTTGTAATAACACATTATATACTGAACATTCCTTCAGATCACTTCATCCGAAACACTAGTATCACATCGCAGAATTCATTCAGGATAAAATTTCATGTTGTAGACACCAGAAACAGTTGGTGAGGGAGACCGACAGACTTCCACCCACTTTTCGTTGGACTATGCAACTAAGAACCTTAATATAGATTTTTTTTTAGATGGTACAAGTGAACAATTTAGTCTAGATTACCTATTATAACAAAGGATGATCAAGTGGCCATTCAGAATTTTCAAGAACACACAGCAGTGTGTTCCTCACAGACGAGCCTTCTCCACAGTAGGGTTGTAAAGTCCTAACTGTGGTTTCTTCTATACAGGAACTTACACCTAGAAACCACAGAGTAAATTCTGCATGCTGTAATAAGTCAGGCAGGAAGGGACTGAAAGTATGCAAATTTTTCTACCCACAGCCAATTATATGAGAAAGACAAAACAAATTTAGAGGACAAAAGAATATTCATTATTAGAATGTGTGAGTTTTCCAGATCACTGACATTTTAAACTAGATTGATTTCTCAAGTCAGCTTTCTTGACTTTGTAAATGCTTTAAAAAGCAATAAAACAGGTGGAAAAACTGACCTTAACAGAGGAGAAATTAAAAGCAAAAAAAGAAATGAGAGTTGGCAGATACTAGTTTATTTTGCCTGAAGTTAACATGCAACTTACTATTGCTAAAGGCCTACTCTGTTCAGAGAATGACTTTTTAAACCTCACATAAAAGCAATTCTGAAGTTCTATCAATGATTTTTTAAAAAGATACACTCTTTAACATTCATTAGAAAAACATTAGTGCAAGTGTGTGCCATACTTAGAAAAACAAAGATTTTAAGGTAGGATGGTGAAGCACTAAGTAAAAGTCAGAAGATCCAGCTTTTCAAGCTGTGAGAATTTAAACAAATCACTCAATGTTTCTGGATTTTAATTATTTAGGAGTAAATTAAAGGGGTTGAACCCGATAATCTCTAATGTCCTTTCCAACACTAAAATGCAAAAGCTTCTTTTAAATAAGTGGTTCCCAAACTGTTCCAAGAACACAATTAGTAAATATTCTAAAACTAAATTATTCCATGATCAAGTAATTCTAGGAAAACAAATCATGAAGTCAGACAAATATCTCCACTGTAGGACTTCTTGAAGACTTTTTACTGCTAATTTACACTTTTACTCTCCTGGACAATACTACATAGTATGTAGTGTTTCCGAAGTTTCTTTGTAAAATGAGTATTTTAATTCCTTGAACACTTTCAACCTTTAATAGAATCCGTGTATCTTAGTAAGCACAATTAAGGAAAGCAGCTTTGAACAATAAACTTCTGAATTTAAAATCAGATGCTGAAGGCCGGGCGCAGTGGCTCACGCCTGTAATCCCAGCACTTTGGGAGGCCGAGGCGGGCAGATCACGCGGTCAGGAGATCGAGACCATCCTGGCTAACACGGTGAAACCCCGTCTCTACTAAAAATACAAAAAATTAGCCGGGCGTGGTGGCGGGCGCCTGCAGTCCTAGCTACTTGGGAGGCTGAGGCAGGAGAATGGCGTGAACCCGGGAGGCGGAGCTTGCAGTGAGCTGAGATCGCGCCACTGCACTCCAGCCTGGGTGACACAGCGAGACTCCGTCTCAAAAAAAAAAAAAAAAAAAAAAATCAGATGCTGAAAGAAGGAAAATGCTCACATAATAGTCGAGGGCATCTATTTCAGAAACTGTAATAACATCTCCATAGTGTTTACATATCATAAAGCACTTTATCTTACATTAACTCTTTTGACCCTTAACCCTGAGAAGCAAGGACAAATATAATAATCCTCACAAGTCTTTCTCATCACAAGGATTTTCGGCTAGTGAACAGAATGATCACAATTTTCTTCCACGATTATAACCGTAGGCTTTCCTTGACCCTTCCTCCAAAATCCTCTTTTGTATACAAACTGACCTGTTAGGAGACACCCCAAGGAAGGAGGGAAGCATCCAGAGTACCTGTGCCAGGTAATGTGCCACGTGCTGTCACCCAGATGATGTCATGTAATCATCTCAATAACACTGAGTAACTATTACCCCTGGTTTTGCTGCCAAGGAAATTAAGACCCAGAAAGTTTAAGAAATGTCCCTTCGAGTGATAAGAGCTGGGATCCACACCAATGTCCAACTTTTTTTCTTTAAAAGCAACCTGTGTTTTGAAATGGTTTGATAGTGAAATTTTTTTAAATGGACGTTGGCCATGTGGTTCAGTTGAAAAAAATTAACACTTTATTTTGGTTTGTGTTTCATGGTTTGTGGAATCTGTTTGAAATATGATTTGATTTACACAAATATTACAACAGTAGTTAGAGGGAGGTGTAATTTATACAAGAACTTCATCTTAATAATTACAACCACCTCAGTTCTTACTAGGTGCCAGACAGACCCATATGTACTATCTCATTTAATCCTCCAAACAACTCCACAAGGAAGGATCCCAGGACTATTCTACCTTCAAGGCTTTTACCTCAGAACTTCCTCTCTGAAGCAGCCTGTTTCACCTCTCTCTCCCAGGGACTTTTCTTTTTATCTTTTTTTTTTTTTTTTTTTTTTTTTTTTTGAGATGAAGGAAGTCTCACTCTGTTGCCTAGGCTGGAGTACAGTGGCACCATCTCAGCTCACTGCAACCTCCGCCTCCCGGGTTCAAGCAATTCTCCTGCCTCAGCCTCCTGAGTGGCTGGGATACAGGCAGGCGCCACCAAGCCCGGCTGATTTTTGTATTTTTAGTAGAGACGGGGTTTCACCATGTTGGTCAGGCTGGTCTCGAACTCCTGACCTCGTAATCCGCCCACCTCGGACTCCCAAAGTGCTGGGATTACAGGCGTGAGCCACCGCGCCCAGCCGTAGGGAATGTCTACCTGCGCATGCACGTGGCACTCTCTGACCGAGGTCCGGGGACTTTCCCCTAGGCGGAAGGATCTTATCAGAATCTCCATGCCCCACCCTATACCAAAAGCTCATTGTCTTTCTTGATTTCACGTTTCCTTAGCCTTTGGAACAGTGCTCTCAATTTTCAGAGCATACTCATCTTACCAATGTCAAACCCTATATAAACCCATTATCCAGATGCTTTCCCTTACTTATTGCTCGTGGAGGGTCAGGATACCATGCCAACTCGTACCTCTGAACTCCCATGGCTCCTTACTACTGCTTGAGTCATCCTTGCACTCATTTCTGTTTGAATGCTCACCAAATTCCCAAGAGCATTATTCCAAATCTTTTGTCATACTCCTTAAACTGAAAATCCCATCTTTTTTATTTTATAGAATCTGAACAGACAACCTCGCCTCCTTACTGAATCCTAAGCTTTCATAAAAAGGTGAGCTTCACTGGCCTTCCTGCCTTCTCTAGCATAACCCATTTTCTCCTTCCTGTAATCACTGTCAGGAAGACTTCTGAGGAGCCCTTTCCTGTAAGACTAATCCTGCCTCAACCTTTCATAAAAGTAAGCCCTATTTCCAAATATTCCCTCTTTTTTCTAGCACCTTGCTTTACCTACAAACACAGATGCTGAAATAATCTTGTCTCTAGGCTGTCACTTGAAATTTTCAGGAAAAAAACTCTCTTTGGCGTCTGACTTTCCTAAAGACACACCCTCTTCATTCATTCACTCTTTAAACCCTTTGGAATGTGCTTCCCTCACCCCTGCCTCCACCCTCCTTTCCCGCCCCACTACACACACAGGACTCCACTGAGACTTCTGTTTTAAAAGTTTACAAAGACCTCCCAATGGGTATTTCCAATGGCCCTTTACTAGGCTTTTGTCTTTCTTGACCTCTTGGCAACATTTAATGGAGCTGACCACCTCTTCTTAAAACTTTGTTCTCCTTGGCTTCTGTGACACTCTCCGGATTCTCTCAGTTTTGTGCCACTTCTTTCCTCCTACTTTGCCTAAGGCTCCCCCCTACTCCTGCCCAATATAGAATCTGTGCTCCCCGAAGTCTGTCCCATCTCTTGTCTTGACACATTCTCTCCTCGGAGTGCTTTAATCCATTCCCAATGCTCCACCTATTAAATCTGAGAAGTTTCTGTGCTTCTTCCCCAGAGCTCCGGTTCTCTAACTGCTTGCTAGAAATTTCTGCCTGGGATGGCAAGTGGGAAGAATAATGTGTAATTCATGTGGACAAGTTAAAATGGCCAAACCAAACTCACTGCCTTTCCCCCAGAAACTCTTATTTTGGTAGGCTGAATACTCTAAACCACTCACCACTATATCTGCCCATCTTCCATATTCCTTTGAGGTGGGAGATGTTTTAATATAACCAATGTACTTGTTAGACTATAGATATTAAAGGTGACTGTATAATTATGAATGACGTATATTACCAAGAATGAAATTTGCCATATAACAATGTGTTTGAGAAGATCCAGGACAAACACGAAAATCCATGCAGACATGTGAGGCAGCTTCTACTCTGACTTCAAGGTAATCTCAAGGGAGTGGTAAAGAAATGCTTACAACCATCTCCCCAACCAAAATAACTTCTTAAAGTGGTTTTCACTAGGGGTGTGTGATTAGCCATTTAGGCTGGACGATTCTTCCTTATGAGAAACTGAGCTGGACACTGCAGGATATTAAGTATCCCTGGTGTCTGGACACCAGTATCAGAATTCAACAATCCCTCTCCAATTTATTTTAATAGCAAAATAATAACAGTAATAATAATAATGATGATGATGATGTGGAAAATCCTTGTAATAGAAAGGCTGGGTTTTTCCTCATCACTGAGCCCCAGAGCAAAAAAGGTTGCAGTAACTTTTCATTTTCCCAATCATTTACGACTAGAAGCCTACGATGGTCTATTCCCGAGACCTTCCCCTCCCCATCCAGCCAGTCACCAGCCAAATCTTGTCAATTCTTTCTACACAATATCTTGAATCCATTCTATTTAATACATTCACACTGCCACATTTTACATCTTTATTTCAACTGAGACAATACCTTCTAAACTCAGGCTCTGCTCTCACCCATTTTAGCAAGCTTGCTCCTATTGACCTCTGTTCTTCAAACTCTACCCTGCAGTCAACCTAACCTGAACTACCCACTACTTCCCTGATAAAGCCCATGTTTTCTATCTTCAAATCTTTGCTGAATCAATGTTCTTTTTACCTGAAATGTCGCCTTCCATGATGCAACCAATTATCCTGTCTCCTGAGTTAGAAATTTTGTTCAAGTTCTTCTCCCTCTCCTTCCAAATGCAGTCACGAGAACTTTTGGAGGACACAGATCCCTCTGACAAATGGATGAAAGCTATGAATCTCTACCAAAGAAACAGCCAATGTATGCACATTTTGCATACAATTTTAAGGGCTTCCTGTATTTCAGTATCTATAAAATTTGGTCACTCCTCCTGCCTACAATTTAACTGACTTCTTTTGGGTCCTCACTAGCTCTCAGCAGTTTTAACAACTAGCTAGCTGGTTTCCCTGCCCAGTTTCTCCCCTAATGTGCACCAGTATTATCTCCTGCATGCCACCAGTTTACTTCGCAAAGATTCCTGTATGCTTTTTTTTTTTTTAAATCACTTACACCTACAACTCAATTAATTATAACTCAATGTTTCTGAGCCCCTCTTAAACTTTCAGTTTAAACAAAAGAACTATTCACTGTCTTAGAATTGGTCTGATACATTTAACATATAAAACTGAGAATACAAAATAGAGCCAAAGTACTTTCTAGAATATCTGAATTGGCAGGGTTGGGTTGATCACAAATGGTCTTCCAAAAAGGATTTATAGGCAGTTCTCCAAAGAGGAGAGAGACAAAGAGATTTTGTCTTAGAACAGAGAAAGAAAATGCTGGACGATAGGACCGATAACTAAGAAAAAAAGGGGGAGATTTAAGAATCTAAGACAATTCAAAACAATGAGGCTACATATTTGCTCCCAACCTACACAGCACCAAAACAATGAGACTGGAACCAATTTTGCAAAGTGATACATCAACTAGCAAAGTAAGAAACAAACAAGGTAAGAGTGCTTTCTTCTCTCTTAGCCCCTACTTCCCCTTCCCTCTCTTCAGCACTCCCTGCTCCTCCCCATCTTGCTCTGGAGCTTTGCAGCCTCTGCAGTGCACACCTAAAACTCCCCAGACACACTGAAAACTCCCCTGGGTTATACACTAACAGCTGCTTCTACAATGCTGACATTATCTGTACCTTGTACTTCTTACAGAAATCCTTACTCTTCCATTATACATTAAAGAAACCTCTAAAGAAGCCACACCTCCCACTGCACGGCCCTTTCAAAAAGGGAAAAGCTTGCACATGTATCTCGGAACTGGAAATTAAATTAAATTAAATTTAAAAAACGAAAGAAACAAAATGAAAAATACAAACATATATATGAGGAAAAAAAAAAAAGAAGCTAAGAGCCAAAAAGCAAGTTTGCAATGAAGACAATCATATGTATTCATAATAAAATAAACCCAAAGGATTCCAACATAGGTAGGACAGTCTTGGCTTGTCACATTTAATACAGAAATTAAATGTGGAGAAAATTTATCTGTCCACAAAACAGCTGTAAGTCAAATGAAAACAGGTGATTGTGATAATGCCTCTATATTTAGAATATTTAGAACAGCTACTCTCCTGAAAAGTAATCTAGAATATGAAATTTCATATATATAGCTACGTTTCCCCCTCACTAACTCATGTACATAAATTTGTGCCTTAAAAATGTTTCAAAAAGTACAGAAGGCATATTTAAAATATGTATAAAAAATAGGAAAATTTTAAGTTATTAAGTTAAAAAGTATCTGTCAGAAACAAGTGATTTCTAAAAAGGTAGGACAGGAGTTTGCAGGAAACAAAAATAATACATAAAGAATAGGAAAGGACCACCCCTCAAAACTCAGGCATTAGAAACAAGCAGTACCTTCATGCGTGATTGAAATTCTCAAAATGAATTCTTTGCAATTTCACCACAATTTTGAGACATTTAAAAAATACAATTTTCTAGGTTTCGTTTTGTTTTGTTTTTTCACTGTCTTTTTCTTGATAGCCAAAGGACTGCATGCTCATTGTGGGGGACAAGAGAGACTGGATGGTTGAAAAAAATGTAAAGGATCATAAAAAACAGTCATTTGTGATTCTATAGCAGAGGAAGCCATTTGTTAATATTTTGGCATATTTCCTTCCAGTTTTTAAAAATACATTTTTGAGATTGTATTGCATATACAATTGACAAACAAAAGATAATCTTCTCTAGTTTACATTACACTGTTATGAAATTCCATATGTTTAAATGAATAAAGTGGAGCCAACATAGATTTCTATGTATTAGGGTACTGTTCTGTGTAACACCAAGTTTCTTGCTGCTGCTGTCGTTATATTAAGTGTTAAGTCCCAACAGTTATATTGATTTTTTATTTTAGTCCAGGATTTCATTTGCTCCATTTAATTCTTTCACCTTATCCTAATTCCAGGAAATGCTTTCTTCCTTTCCTCACAGTGTGTTCTATACTATTTTAAAGTTTACACCAAGATTTTAGAATGTGTTAAGCAAAGCATTCTGTACAGATGCGAGTTTAAAAACAAACACCCACTAAACACCTACAGATGTCCAAGGACAAAAAAAATGTTTATTTTTCTGAGTAATGCAAAGACGATATCTTTGAAAATCAAATACACAAACAAGACAAAGGAAAGAATTCAGGAAATAATTGTGCATATACTAATAATCAAACCTGTTTTCCAGCAAATTAAAAAGTAGCATTTTTCACTGATAAGAATGATCAATGCTCTTTTTACCTTCCTAATATATTTGCATGAAATAAAGAAGAAAGGATTGAAAGTCTTCCCCAGAGAGGAAGCAAATTCTGCTATCGAGGGCATAAACCATGACCAACTGTTTAAAAATATGGTGGGATCCACTTTTCTACTTCTTGGTACTTTCTTTTTTTAAAAAAATGTGGTTGAGAATTTCATTTTCAACCTCAGGTCCTTACCCTTTTTCAGGCTGCCCCTCATTCTAAACACAGTCCATTCTTAGAGGCTGTAAACACGGTCCATTCTTAGGCGACTGTGTCAAGGTCTCCCTAGACCACACAGAAGTCTCCTAGGACCACCCGCTGTTGCTTGCTCTGTGGGGACATTAATAATAGCACCTTAGAAGGATTAACAACTACCCTGTGAAGTGGGCACTATTATCTTTACTTAGCAGAAACTCAGACTTAGGGAGGTTAAGTGAAAAAGCATGCAAATGGTAGAGCCACAACTTAAGCCATAGTCTTTCAATTAGGTAGAGTGCAGGCGGAAGCATGGACCAAATGGTTCAAGGAGGTAAAATGTGAAACGTGCGTTATCAGGGCCTAAGGAATATGCTAAGGGGCAAACTTTTCAGTGGAAAAAGTAATAGTATGTCTTATTATCATGATTTTTTTTATAATGAGTTTTAAAAAGCGAATTGGATTTCCCTGAGAGAGGGCTGCTAGATTTAGCAAATTCAAAAATGCAGTGTGATGAAAATCTGGGACATACTTATACTAAAAAATTATTCACTGTTTATCTGAAATTCAAATTTAACTCAGTGTCTAGTATGTCATCTGTGAAAGCCTTTATAAAACAAACAAAAAAACACTAATACATTCAAGAGCTACAATTCCCACATCTGAAATCTGGACACTGTGGGCCACATGTCTTTGGGAGGCCAAGTAAAGGGAAGTGTAGTGAGGCCACAGCTGTTCTTGACGGGCTTTCTTTTTCCTAGTAGCAGACACAGCCCTTGACTCCAGGGACCTAGCTTTCACCATGTAGGCCACTTAAGATGTCACTGCCTCAAAACTCCAGACCTTCTCTATATGGATGCTATGAAGATTAAATATGACTGAGGTTTATACATCCTTAAAATATTTATTTATTGGGTGAGTACTTTATAAATATATTCTCAGAAACCTGGATCAGATAGACTCTTACCCTCCTAAGAAAGGTCTCAAAAATAAAAGTACTAATATATGGTGAGCCCAGTTGACAGTAATCTCTAAAAATAAGGAAAAGTAAAAAACTAGAAGTATGTTCAAAACCTGAAGTGAACTATGGAACATGTAATGAGATGCCAAAACGGTCCCTAGTAGAAAAAGTGGACAATCACGATGAATTGTACAGTTTTCAAATGGCTATGTATGGGTAGATTTTAAAATATCATCATCATGACTCATAGATCCTACCTGACCACAAATACACAGAGATAACATAACATAAAAATGGGCCAATACCTTACTTATACATACCAATTTACCTTTCTGCTACTCTCCACTAAACCTCCAATCTCTGTAGCTTGAAGACGTTTACTTTCTTTAAAACAACAACAAATTGGGACTGTTTCAGGCAGTGTTCATTTAAATATCTTCTATGCACAAGTTTAATCTTCAAACTTTAACAAAACCCAATCTACTAAACACAAATTGCTGTGAACAGAAACTGCCTGAAGAGGATTAATCAACAGCTTTGTATGTCATCCTCTAAACAAGGCCAAACACTGAATCACTGTTGAATTCCTCACGTGCAGCTACACCCAGTTAATCTTGAAGAAGGCAGTAAACTATGTAAATCTACTTAAACTGGGAAGATAAGTACTTCCCTCATCAAAAGTTAGCAACATTTAACAAGTACAACTATTGGAGGGCAAGACCATTAAACACACACAGATATAAACACACACATACACACATGCAGAAAAATTTTGCATTCACTCCCCTACCTCCAAAACCCTACTGGAAACCACTAGGACAACATACTGCTTAGCAAAAAAGGCCTTCCTACATGCCACGATGTGCAGAAACCAAAGTATGGTTGGTTTGTAACTTAGCTACCTCAAGAAAGCAGTTCCAAAATGGAAGGAAACAGGAAGAGGAGTAGCTAATAAAAGAATTCAAGAAACAACACAAAGGAAAAATGAAAATACCAATTTTCTATATCTAAAAGCCTTTGAGTATAAATCACTTTTTTTGTTTCAAAACACACTAAAATATTTTCATAGCTACAAAAGTCCTGATAAATGGTTTCATTTTGGTTTTTGGGGTGCTCTTTTCATACGATCAGATTGGATTTGCTTAATGAACACCATATACTTCAAAGTCACAGTCAACAGTAATAGAACGTACACATTTGTCCACTGAGACTTGAACCAATCATCTTTATTTAGATACTGCCTACTCGGTTATCACTCCATTCAAAAGCTTCTCACTTTGACTTGAGCTGAGCAGGTGTATTTCTAATGTGCTCACAGGCCTGTGAGGCAGGAAAATCCTGTTGATCCCAGATGATGCCAGAGATCAGTACTCCCTGATGCCCTAGCTACACTACGTGGGGGCAGGTGAGAGATGAGTACCAACCACCGCTGCTTTAACTGAAACTAGCTCACTCCTACACAGTCGACCCTCCGTATAAAGAGGTTCTGCATCCGCCTACTGTGGATTAAAAATATTTCAGGGAAAAGCAATAAAAATAGCAATAAAACAATTTGAAAATAATACAGTATAACAATTATTTACATAGCATCTACATAGTATCAGGTATTATAAGTAATCTAGAGATTAAAGAATACGAGAAGATGTACATAGGTTATATACAAATACTACGCAATTTTATATCAGGACCTTGAGCCATCCTGGAACCAATCTTCCTCGGATGCTGAGAGATGACTGTATATGTAAAATGTAGAAAGCTTTAAGAGTTGTACAATCATTCAGTACAGCCACATTTTTATATCAATGCTGCTTCCAAACATCACAAACTTACCATCTGTATCATCCATTTGCTTCATCATTCACCTCCTAGCTCACAAGTTCTCCCTCCCCAAAAAGGTGGGAGGAATCCCTAAACTGGACTTCTGAGATTAGAAGGGTGATGGGCTATGATGCAGATAAGTTCTCTATGGGTTGCTATTGAGCAGTACATGTAGGCAGGCAGCCGTAGTGTGGTGGCTTGGAAGGGAGTGATTGTCAGGGTTCAAATCCTGGCTCTGCACTTTGAGTTGAATAGACTTTGGGCAATTTGCTTAATCTATGCCTCAGTGTTCTTAATTGTAAAATGGATATACAAATATTGCCTGCCTCACAGGGCTTTTAAGATGACTAAATGAGTTAATCTGCCAAAAACATTCAGAACAGCAATCAGCAGGTAGTGAAGTACTCAATGAAAGTTAGCTACTACTACTATGTATGTATAATGCAAGTGTGATTCCAAACCATTACGGTGTTTTTTCCAAAGGTGACTGTAAAGTATTCCTTACATTCCATTTTTTTTTTTTCTGGCAAATTAGCTGAGATCAGCTCTAACAGCTGATTATGTATTTCTAGACTAAAATCAAACTGCATCATATACCTAAAATCTGCCAATTCTTTCATCAAAATGAACAAACTAATATGAACTGCAAGGTTGAAGCTTAACATCACAAAATCTTATAAAAAGCATTAATTAGACTTCCCATTTAGGCTAAGCCAGGATGAGATCACAAAGTCACTCATGGTAACCAGGTCCCCGCGCTGGAAGTGTGCTTTCCCAGTGAATGGCTAAATACTAACAAAAGAAACCTTTGACTCAAATACCACTGGTACCCGGGGTCTTGTGTCTGTATAATGCCTACACATTCATTTCTTTCTTTGCCTATAGAAAAAAGAAAGTCTGTTTGTTTTTCTGATTCAGTCAGCCCTTTTAGTCTTTGAATCTAAGGAGAGCCCTGTGAAAAGAAGAGCATCTTATCAGCGTGCTCCAGACCAGCAGGCTACCCCCCTTCACACACAAAACCTCCAGCCCCTCACAGCCAAAGGCCTCGCCCTCAGAGCCTTTTCCCCATTTCAGAGCTAACACCCCGCCGGGTTTTGACAACAAATAAATGAATACACAAGGCCCTAACATAATTAGCCATCTTTTCAGGTAGAGTGAGGTGGGTGGGGGAGGAGGGGTTGCAAGGGGAATGTTTATTGTAAATTGGCTGCATTTATGAAGTTGATGTAAGTGTACTGGATCCGAGAGCATTTCTTTTAAATGAAGCCACATGAAATGACTTCGAGATGCCTGCTTCTGAATCTTGACTATCTTAGCATATCCTTCAGCCGAGTCATAAATGCAGATTTTATTTATTTAATTAATTAAAGGAAAGAACTTCTTAACCCAGGTAAAAGTTCCATGGACTTCCACATCAAGGGCACACAGACCACGGTGTGTGTTTACTGCCTCTTTAAAGAAAAGTTAACATAGAAAAGAACCAAAGACCAGAAGGCAGAAAACATTTCTTTTCGACACTGCCAAAATACTTGCAAATACACTTACGCTAGGACATACACACAAAAAAGAATGACTCTGACGACAACAAGACCTAAACATAATCAATAATCCTGTAAATACCTAAAGGGAAGCCACCAAGCATCACTGCCATCGGTCGTGATCTTAAGAGAGCCACGGTCTGCATGGAAGGCTACAGTTCGCTTGCATCCTTTTTGGGATAATAACTTAATTGATTTGTCTCAGTGGCTAAGGATGCAGACAAGAGATTTATTATGGAGGAAAAATATCTGCAATCCTGTTTTTGTTTTCTCAACAAGCATCTTGCCACTGACCTCTAAATCAATTTAACCTTTTCTAAACAGACTTGCACATTTTTTAGATAATTTAAAGCTACGTTTTGTTATTGCTGCTGCTGAAAGGCTCTGTGAGATGTATCACAACATGGCTTCAGTAACCTTCTTTTAAAAACAAAGATGAAAAACAAAAGGCCTCAACTATAAGCTCCCAGCTCCATTCCTTTTCCCAGCAGGGGATTGTGATCTAACCACTGAAGTGGCTTTCGAGTTCAATCTGTTAAAAAATGTATGAAACGGTATTAAAATAGGAAAGAGCATGTGTATGACTCAGGCATATCCAAGTATCTTCTGCAACTAGGATGTCACAGGATTTCCCTGTGCTACTGAAAACCTTGAGAAAGTGACAGTAGAAGTTCCTGTTTCTTTCTCTTTTTTTTTCTTTAAATGAGGGGGGCGCGCGCGAACACACAGACACACACAGAGACACAGACACACACACACAGACACACGTCTTCCGGGTTTCCTACGAATCAGACAGGTTCTCTGAGGTTCCTAGCGAAGACTGCACACCAGCGTGACGACTTATTACCGCACTCCGCTACACACAAAGGTTTTGGGAAAAACCCAAACTTGTTGCAGAGCTGGGTGAAGCCCCCGGCCCGGCGCGCTTCTGCCCTCGCCGGCTCTCCGCTCCTGCCCCTGCCCCTTCCTCCACTTCCCACCCTGCCCGGCCCGGGCGGCGGCGGCGAGGGCATCTCCCCTGCTCAGGTCGCCGGCCGAGCAGTCCCCGCGGCCGCCTTCCTGGGAAACAAGGTCACCGCCCAGCCGGTCCCTCCGAGGAGGCGCGGAGCCCCTGAGCGCGGCCCCCTTTGTAACGCGGGGCTCGCCGACCTCGGCGCGGCATCCCGGCCGCCGCCTCACCTGCTTGCGATAGGGCGTCCGGCAGTTGCTGCTGCCCCCGGGGTTGCCACTGCTGCTGGGGAAGATCATCGCTGCGGGCGGCGGCGGCGGGTGCGGGCGCGGGCGCGGGCGCGGGGCAGCCTCGCCGCGAGGGGGAGGGCGCAAGGAGGTGGCCGGCCGGGCCCGGGGCCGCGGCAGCTCTGGGAACTCCCTCTCGCCGCGCGGCGGCGGCCGGCGGGGGCTGCAGCTCCGCGCTGACTTCCCCTCCGCCTTCGACCTCCGCACTCGCCTAAAAGTACGGCGCGGCAGCGGGCGAGACTCGAGCAGCTCGGGCAGCCGCCGCCCTGCGTGCCATGGACGGGAGTTCGCGCGCGGAGCTGGCGGCGTCGCCGACTCTCCCGGCGGCAGCGGAGGAGCAGCGCCGCCGCGTCCCCACCTACCGCGGCCTCAACCACCGCCCTGAGAGCGCGCCGGCCGGGGGCGGGGAGGCGGCAGCGCACCGCCTCGCGCCGCGCCCAGGCCCACCCGCGCCTCCCCGCCCGCCCGCTGGGCGCGGCGCCTGCCGCCCCATCGCCCGCCCGGCCCCCGCGCTCTCCCTCCCGGGATCGGGGCCGGAGCCGGGGCCGGGCGGCCCGGGGAGCAGCCGGCGCCCCCGCTCTGGTGCAATGGTTGGGTCTGGCTCCCCGCATGCCGCACATTCCTCGGAGTAGCCAACCCCCCTCCTCTGTTCTTTTTCCCCCTCGGTTCTTTCCTAAGCACCAGCGGCAGCTTTGCACCCCGGCTCGAAGCCCCTTTTAAGGTCGTCGCTTCGGGGACCACTCTGGCACCTCGGTCTTCCCTCTCTTCTTCACCTTTCGAACTAGGCCCCCCGCGCCACTCTTCAAGAAAAGGTGTGGACAATCACCCCTACTTCAACGAACACACGACCCTCCCGTCAAACCTCTGCAAATCTCCATCCCCCGATTCACACGCTAAAATTTTAGCAGAGGAAACAGCTCTCCACTCCCCAGCCCCTCACCCAAATACGATCGGTAAAGTTTTGTTTTATCCCTAAGCCAGAGTTTACCAGCTTTCCTTCAAGATGATAATATCAAGGAGCGAAAATCATTTAAGGCCACCGGTTTGGTAAACCTTTCTCCCTAAAACCTGGAACAGTGTAATCCTTCCTTATGTTAATTATTAGATGCGACACAAATGTGTTTTCTTAGGACACAGAAACTCGGCAAAAAAGAGACAAAGGGAGGAGGGACTTCCCTTTGTTTCCCGATGTAAATGACCTACGGCTGCTCAAGCCGTCCCTTTTCTCGACCACCTTTCCGTGGACGTATGAAGCCCCGAACCTGTGCAGTGCAGAAGGCCTCCACAGCAGCCCGGACTGACAGAGCCTGCGGTCTCTGGATAAGCCACTGGGACGGGCTTGCCATCCTTCACATTGGCCTGTTCCACGGTGACTTTTACAGAATACTATCGCTGCAGTAAATACTACAGAGTTCTTCCTTGGTTTCTGGTCTCTTAATACCTTCCTGGAAAGGCTCATCTGCCATGATAATGAAAAATCCTAACTTGTCTAAAAAGTGAAGGCGTATGCCTTCTGGCTTCCCTAAGGAAAACAGTGTCCCCTATGGAAATGAAGTCTTCTGGCAAAGCTGTGGCCATTCAAAGGCTTTTCTAGCAGCAAGGAACTGGAAAAAATATTCATCCTAGATATCCTGCTGGTGACTTAGTGAACCTCTTCCATACTCAGGCTCTTCCAACATTCTCCAGCCAGATAACTGGAAAGCCTCACCTATTATAAATAACCGTATAAAACACACATGTAATTCCTGATTCTTTTCATTAAAAAAAAAAAAAAGCAAAGTAACTTATTCTGGGCACAGTGCTAGGTGCACAATGGACGAGTAAGAACTTGCCAGACAAAATTTACGTAAAAATCTGTCCTTTAAAGTGATTAAGTATCAAACACAGTATAATGAGCATTCATTGAAAATTGGTGTATCTGGTGGAACTATTTTCTGCTACTCCATGCATAAGACAACTGTTTTGACTTCCCTTTTGCTGTCTCCTCTCACTAGGACCCTTTACTGCAAGTTATCAAGCACAAGTATAAAATAGAAAACATTCATCAGAATGTTCAAGTCATAGGTGCCTTTCTCTGAGAACTTACTGCTCAACACCCCAGCAGCTCAGACCTGTCGTCTGTGCATCTATGGAAAAAATTCCCTGTACAACCTCAGTTGTCAAGAGTGGTCTCTTAGGAAACCACAATGTAAACCACAAAAGAAGAGAATAGATTAATTTTTCTATGGCTGTACTCTAAGGTCATGATATTTTGGATGCTGTGCAATCCAGAATGCTAAAATTTGATTGGATACACTCTGCAATAGTTTTATGGGGATAAGAAAAGTTTTTAAGTGATGATGAAATTTAAATTAGAAAACTAAAAGAATTCTAATACTAAATACTAAGATATACTAAGAATACTAAAAGAATGTTAAAAAGACTCTGGCCGGGCACGGTGGCTCACGCCTGTAATCCCAGCACTTTGGTAGGCTGAGGCGGGCGGATCACGAGGTCTCGAGACCATCCAGGCTAACACGGTGAAACCCCGTCTCTACTAAAAATACAAAAAATTAGCCGGGCATAGTGGCGGGCGCCTGTAGTCCCAGCTACTCAGGAGGCTGAGGCAGGAGAATGGCGTGAACCCAGGAGGCGGAGCTTGCAGTGAGCCGAGATCACGCCGCTGCACCCCAGTCTGGGTGACAGAGTGAGACCCCGTCTCAAAAAAAAAAAAAAAAAAAAAAAAAATTAAAAGACTCTAAGACTAGAGAAGGATATCTAAAAGCCAACAAAATGTATGTTCTATAATGGTGAATGACATAAAAGGAGAGAATATAAGGCATATATGTTTTAAAAAAACAATGTCCACCGGGGTTCAAAAGTTCCAAACTTAACTAGGTACTGTGTTCTTAAGTAAAGCATTACAAAGAGATAAGATAGATTGTCTACCCTCAACAAAATCTAAAATGTAATGAAGTCACTCAAACACAAAGAATGCAACGTAAGAAAAAAAAACATAACTATGAGACCCTGTATATAACATACACACTCAATTATAGATTATTCATAAGTGCTTAGTTGTAAGAGTGATTACAGGGACAGATCCTGGTGAGGTTCATCTGAAAAAGTTCCTCGACCTTTGAAACAAATATGTTCTAACACATAGAAAGTAAGAAAACAGTCCAGAGAGACTGCAAGTTATCATGGTAAAAACGGGGCTTTGGAAGAACCTGTCCTAGAGATGCTCATCCTCTTTTTTTTTTGAGACGAAGTCTCGCTCTGTTACCAGGCTGCAGTGCAGTGGCGCGATCTCAGCTCACTGCAACCTCTGCCTCTCGGGTTCCAGCGATTCTTCTGCCTCAGCCTCCCGAGTAGCTGGGACTACAGGCGTGTGCCACCACGCCTGTCTAATTTTTGTATTTTTAGTAGAGATGATGTTTCACCATGTTGGCCAGGATGGTCTCGATCTCTTGACCTCGTGATCCGCCCATCTCGGCCTCCCAAAGTTCTGGGATTACAGGCCTGAGCCACCGCACCTCACCAATGCTCATCCTCTTTCAAGGGAAACAGACTTTGCTGCCTGGGCTGTCCTATGTCTTCCTCCCTCACCTCACTCAGCTGGTAGGTAAAGAAGCTGTGGGAATCTGATCCAAGGGCAACTGACAGGCCAGTGACCTATGACCTGGCTGGGACTGAAAAAATGAGCAGGACCAATCCAATTCTCACCCTTGGGGATTTGATTCTGAAAACTTCAATGGCTGAACCAGTTACTAAGGGGCCAGCAACTATAAGAGTGCCAGGGGTAGAGTTGAGGCCACAACAAGCCAAAACCATATGCAAGCCAAGGTTATGAGGAAGCAGAAACTATGAGTAAACAGGAAGCTTACTGGCAGCGGGCAGAGAGTAGAGCATGCCAGGAGTGGGTGAGCATTTGGCCATGAAATGATGGAGGGGGCTGCAGTCCCTAGAGCTGCTTTGGCTCTTAAGACTTACAACAGCCCCTCCACATGTGTACTTAAAACACCCTTCTTCAGAAAGCTTAAAGGAATCTGGACTTTGCAATCCAAGGAACAGAATTAAAGCAGAACCAAGCAGATCTGGGTCCATATTTCAGCTTCCCACTTGTGCTCTGGGCAAGTTTGCTAACCTCTCTTGAGTGCCAGACTCCTCACAAAATTGTCTTAAGTACAGTACATGGACAAAAGTGTCAAACTCAGTAAATGGCAGTTGTTGTTATTTTTTTCCAGGTTTTATCATGGTGATGCCTAGATTTAAATGGTTGCACTGTGCAAATAACTGATGCTGAACATCAAAGAACAGGAGCAAGGGTACAGCAGGAATTAAGCACAAGCAAATTTAGGCAAGGGGAGGGCATTTTTGTAAAAAACTGTTAAATGGCTGAATGAATATTCTTTCTAAGGTTGTGTATACTGCAGATTTAACTTTAAAAGGAAAACGAAAGTCTAAAAAAAGGTCTGTTTCAAGAGCCTAGGTGCACTGAAGTTTTTCTTCATCTGTTTTTGTCCAGTTTCCTTTAAAGAAGTTAGGTGTTGGAGAAGAGCCATTTTTGAATGAATTGGAAGACTGTGAGCAGTATCAGAGATCACTCTCATAAGCCAGGAGGTGTATACCAACTAGAATAATAAGGATGCAGCCACCAGTACATGCAGAAGCCTGCAATCTAAAATAGGAGATGACACACATAGGTAATAATGCCTTCTGCCACTTAAAAGAGCTCATATACCTGAAATTAGAGAATTGAATTTGAAAGACATTTGTCCCAAAGCAACAATTTTAAAATGAAAGTTTCATTTTTAAACCTTTCACGTCTCATTTAACTTTCACAACAACCTTTGAGGTTGGAAGGGTTATAAGCCTCAATGTACAGATGAAAGAAAAAAAGTTAAGGCTGGGTGACCTATCCACAAAGCTAGTAAGCAAGTAGCAAACTAGGATTAAAATCTAGACCTGGCTAGGGTTAAAAGATTTACTAAGTCTTATGCTCTCTAAAACTCTGTAACGCCGCATCTCAAAAAAAGCCTTATAGATGATGATGCTTCAATTCCTAGGTGAGTACTTGTAAACCATAGAGCGCCCAAATTGCTTGCTGTACACTAATAATGCAAGACATTAAGTGATAAGTGCCAGGCAAGTGTTCTAGACAATCGTGTGCTATGGGAGTCCACAGCAGGGAGAGATCAATATTGGATATAACATGGGCGTGGGAAGCTCAACTGTATAAATGTTTTGTTAGAAGGATACTCAGAAAGAAGCATTGTGCAGATGATCAGAAAAACAGAACTACAGATAGAAGGCTAGCATGAGGGACAATGCAGACTTGGGGTAATCACTGCTGAAATCATTGCTAATTGATGAACTTCCTAAAAGGGGAAGGTGAGGCGTCCTAGAGGACCCAACACCCTAATACACATATTACCGAGCCCCACATAAAAGAGTAAGCTTTGAATGAAATTACTACAAAGAAAGTATGGTGGCGAAGCTAAGCTTTGAAAGAAGGAAAAAAAATGGGGGCAGAGAAGATGTCCAAGAGATAAGAATAGAACACCTCTATCAAGAAAAGAACTGACCTACAGCAGGTTCTATCCCTCTATTGCTGTTGAACCATTTCAGGCACCCATTTTTATTTGGGTGAAATTGAAAGGTGAAAGGAATTAAGAGGAAAAATTCATTCAACACTATATCAGACTGCAACCTTTAATGCATAAAATATAGCCACACTGTATAGGTTAGTATATGCAGTTCACACCAAAAAAAACCTATTTACTTTTGAGAGTCTATGTATAAGAGCTCACAAAGCCTCTGGCTCCCAGCAAAACAGGAGAAAAAAAAAGAAGAAAAAATAGGGGGTCAGCAGATTCTTTCTGTTCTTTCCTCGTACAAAATAGAGTTGATAAAGTACCCTATTTCTAAAGTAGCAGCAACATTTTCTATTATTTACTATTTTGCTTTTTAAAAAATCTGCAATTCTTATTCCAAACGTAAAGGCTCCCTAGACATGTATAAAAGTACATGCGTATAAAACTGAAACCACTGTAATAAAATAAAACTATAGCTATAATCCTAGAAGGTATAGAGAACAATACAAACACAGCCATATTCTGATGAGTCCTACCAGAAGCCATAGTCTGATTATTCTGTCCTGGTTAACAAAACAGAATAAATGAGTTTTGTCCCACTGCTGCTTCTCTGCATGTAGTATTAAATAATAATAGCTGTCATTTATTGAGTAACTAACTATATTCCAGGCACTTTCTAAGCACATTACACACACATACCCCAGGACAGAAGAATGACTATCCCATTTTACCAAAGAGAAAACTGAGTAACTTGCCCAAGGTCACAAATCCAATACATAGTAGAGTTGGGGTTTGATCTTGGGTCTCTTTGACTCCAAAGTCCCCTGTCTCCAATAATATTAATAATGGTTATTACTACTATTAGCTATGGATCAAGTCCAAGCCCCATAGAGAAAAACTTACATGGTATTAAGAGCCAAAGCTTGGGCATCAGAACACCTGACCCTGAATCCTGGCTTCACCATTTACCATCTGTGTCACATTGGGCAAGGCACTTATCCCTTCTAGAAGCCCCCATTTGCTCAGTTGTAAAAGCATGTGGATTTACATTGAATTTCCATTCCACTGAATATAAATGCAAACTTTCCAATATTCGAATATATCGTGAATAGTACAGGTATATATATTCAGCCCCAACCTAGCATCTAAATCTCACTTCACTGATGGTTGCTAAGGTATAACTTCTCTCTTTAAACCAGTTTTTTTGTTTTTTTGTTTTTTTTTCTGGAATCATTGGTGGGACAGAGTTAGGAGAGAAGCAGAAAAATTTATCTTCTGGGATATTGTAGGATGGCTGAGATGGTGGTTAGGTGAAAGTTATTTCCAGAATCCTGAACTGGAACCAAGTTTTATTTTCCCTCAAAAAAGGGTGAGAGACCATATTAGATATTAGCTAAGTTATGAGATTCATAGATGCTTATTTTAGGTCAACTAAAATCCTAATCACCATTTACAACATCTCTCTATGAAGAAACATCCTCCAAATTTGAAACAAATAACTTATAAACATTTTGTGATCTAATCTGTTCATAAATTAGTTATTGCTCTGCTCTGGCATAATAGTTAATAAAAATTCAAAGCTGACAGCAATTTTTGGCATAAGGGTTATCTATAAGTTTCTGTCCCTAAGTTTTTCTATTAAAAAAATCGTTGAGTTAGCTAGCCCAACTAACCTGGGAGGCTGAGGCTGCAGTGAGCCGAGATTGCACCACTGCACTCCAGCCTGGGCAACAGAGCAAGACCCTGTCTCAAAAAAAAAAAAAAAATCTATAAAAACAGGTACATGGAGTCATATCCTTTTCAAAAATACAACATCTGAATAAAATGCCATTTAAATTAAAATTCAAGATTTTGCTTTGGCTTAAACAACAGTGAATTTGTAGCTATAGATCAAATTCCACAGCAAAATAAGTAAACTATTTGGGATACCAAGACAAAGAGAAGGTCCATTTTTCATATATTGTGAATTGCTGTTTTCCTAAATTGACTGGACGATGTCTCAATCTTCTATACTCTGATTGTGCAAATCTAGTATGGAGCTGTTATTCTCCATGCCTATTGTAAGCCTATAAAAATGTAAGTGCTTATTTTCAGAATATTTCAAGTTAATTCAATGAATTTTCCATGAATTATAGTAAAACTCATAAATTGTGATGGAAAGATATTACTAGGTAATCTCTGAAATTACAGTAGTAGAGCTGGAGTTTGATCTTGGGTCTCTCTGACTCCAAAGAGATGGAAGTAACATAATTACCTATGTATGTGAGCAAACTGTGGGTAAAAGACAAGAGCTGAGGTGAGGAAGGAAGGAATGGGTGTGCTGGGAAAATTTCTGATCACATCCACTCTTGCTACTAGGACCTGGGAAGAGACAGAAAGTACTTAGGAAATTTAAAAAAAAAATTGTGGAAAACTGGAGCCAAAAATCTTTATATCGTGGGAAACAAAATTAATTCAAACCTGGAATGACCATGTCCTTTACATGAGTAAAAAGCTAACTTTAACAGCAAACTGTACCCGGGAAAAACAAAACCCTCATGTAAGCTAACAATTGCAAAAGGTTATTTAATAAGAATTTCCTAATTATCTGTAGGGAGAGGGTGCATAACCAATGTCTATCCAAAACCTAAGATGGATAGCACAAGTAAGGTTTTAAAGCATTCAATACACAGAAGGAAAGAAACAGTAAGTTTCCTTTCTCTTCAGTTGCTAAAATTACCATTAAATTAGGTCTATTTCATTTAAAGAGGAGGATGCTAGAATAATTAATGATGTCCTTTATGTAAATGAGAATACTGAAAAGCCTTTCATTCTCCCCTGAATTATAAAGGTTCAAATAAGAAGATATGGAATTACAAATGAATTTCTATTCAGTTGAATATGTATGAAGGTAAAGTTTCCAACATCAGGATACATAGTTAAGAGTACTGAAATAGGATATTTAAGGAGTTTATAAAAATTCCCCACCCTGAGTATCTTTAAGAATGACTAGTTCTGGGTTATCTAGTATGTTTAACACATGGGGTGAACTGATGACAGACCTGTGGCAAATTGATACTCCCCAAGTGAAGAGAAGGCAAATGAGGAAATTCCGATGTTGCCATGACAATGTGACTGATCATGACATCAGTGATTCCTAATTCCAAACTGTAAAAAACACTCCCAGAACGCTGACAACATATTAGATACTCCCAGAACCACCCTTCCTTCACCTCCCAATCTAATGTTTGATCTAGTGGCAAATACAATGTTTCAAACAAGTCATTATTATTAAGTGTTAAAATTCAGTTAGACTCTTTTAAACTGGAGAAAGTGCCAGAAGGAAGAAGTAGATAACTTCTGAAGACATTTACATTTTTGGGGGCTATTTACATTTTTCACATGTAAGACATAATGAATTTATAAAAATGTTACAATTTATAAAATGCTTTATTATGCATTATCTCATTAAAGTCTAGGGGAAGGAGGCAGGACAGGTATTCTTACCACCTGCCCCTGCCCCGCCACCAGTGCCGACCTTTTTTTGAACAGGTAGATACCCTCAGGTCGATCAGGCAACTTGCCCTCTGACATGAAGCCCTAGAAATATAGAATTTCAGAGGTGGAAAGAATTATTAAGGGCCGGTCCTTGTAATTGCTATACAATAATCATTATCAATAAATCTTTCAGTAATTGAATGAATGCTACTGTCTCTCCTTGGACACCTAGACCAATAATAAATTCATTCCATCTATTCATATTTAGCCATATCTACTAGAAAACTTTGTTAAACAGCCTTGAAATCTGAAACCATCCATCATAGTTCTACCGCAGGACTAGAATCGGTGGCTTCTATAGATTGTATAGTGCTTTTTCTCTGTATTCTGTACTGGTCAACTTATAAAAGTGAGAGCTAAGTCATCTTTTCTTGCGCTTTAAGAATCTTATAAGATTGCTTAAGCAGTCTGTAAATCTCTAACAATTTAACTTAACCTAATGTCCTGCACATAGTTATGTTTTGTTGCAGGCATGAATGGATGAGGTAAAAGTTTTCTTGCGCGTGCACACACACACACGCATGCACACACACACAGAAAGGACAGAAATAATTTTCACCTTCTTTTCAAAACCATGAATATCTGGGTTAAAAAGAGTTATATATATGTAAAAAATGTAGTGATGCAGTAATCAAATAAGAAAGAACATGCTTTATAAACTACATAGTGAATTTGCATCCTAATCTTTAGATTACTTAAGATCATAAAGAGAGACTGTAAATAAGTGTTGCATTTTGCAACTGTATGTGACTTACTTATTCAGTAAATGAGATTCTATGACCAAATAGTTTCTCTTGACTTCAACCATTAATTGTCAGAATAAATCTTCTCACTTTATTTTTTGGGTAAAAGAGAAGTATCACACTCATCTCTCTGTATCAGTGTCCTATAAATATTCAGACATAAACTGTATGTCATGCAATCTAAGATACCACTGATTGTGAGCTGCCTGAAAATTACAGAGATGTTAATTGACATTTGAAAAAAGTGGACTACAGTAATTAAAAGACACCATAACTTACAACCTGCATTTCAACTGCAGAGATGTTGAAATGTAAAAAAGGTGAGTCTTAGAATCTATAAAGCATGGCATACAAGTACATGAATACACAGCATGCAAATGCATATCCATGTCCTTTCTATTCATAACCTTGGCTTTAGAAAAATATTTGTCAAACACTCATTTTTAATCTTCCTAAGAACACAGAGCTACTAAGTTTTTACAAGTAAATGACTCATATGCTCAGTTTTTCCAAGGAGATCTGACAGTGTGTCTTACAAGTAGTGGGCACAGTCTGCACGCATCAGAATGAGAAACTTCACCCTAATCTCACAAAGACATCCATCACAAAGGAACAAGCTGAGCTGTCTGCTTCCCTCCTCAGCTCTCTCTCCACAATCACGTCATTCTACTTCAAGTGTTTTTCAGTGCATTTATATAATAAGAAAGATGAAAGGGAGATGAACCTAAATCTATAGATATTTATCAGACTTTGCCACTGTACACTTCTTGCTGTTACTGCTTTAAACTGTCAGTTGCAAACATACCTTGAGAACATGAATACTGGACTGTTACTTCTTTGGCAAGTTTTAGTCAAATGCATGCATATACACAGACACGCATACACTCCAAAGATCAGTCATCAGTACTGTTCCGGCACACGGCATCAATTCCAACTGATGAGCCTCACAAATTTCCACCCTTTTACGGTACCTGGAGTGCCAGTTCTTAGTCTTTCTGGGTCTTCAGATTGGAAAAGTAATTTTTACATAGATCAGGTAAATCAGATAAAAAGACATATATCTGAAATGATTATCACAGTCCTTAAAATTTATATGAAATTACAAAGTGAATCAAAAGCAATAACAACAGTTAAGATGACCCAGTTACAGGAAAAGATGTAAATGATTCACATTTGGAACAACGACTATTAGTATCTGATACTTCATATTTGTTCAGGAACTGACTAGTTCCTTGCATTTCCTCTTCTTCCATATGCAGCATTCCTTTTAGTCATTTAACTGCTGGTGTGATGATAAAACCAACATGAAAAACTGAAACAAACCAGCCAATTTATTTATTGACTGCAGGTTGATTAACCTGAGGCTTGGGGATTATCCATTAATTTCATTTATCTGTAATGTTCCCCTTGTTATAAAAGAAAATTATAATTGATCTCACCTTGAAAGTCATCTAATAAGAATTATTAACATACCAAACTACTGATATAGCCAAGCCTCTAACACAGGGCTTGGCACATATTAAGTGTTTGAATATTGGTTCATGAATGTTGGAATGAATGAATAAGCAATATATTAAAAATGTATGCAAGTCCTATTCAAACAGATGTTATTATTCTATAAAGTTAAAACAAGCTTATGACTTTCAAATACTTAAGAAATACTTAAGAAGGTTTGTAAATGAGTCACTGTTATCTTGGGTGAGATAATTAATCACGGTTAATTCAGTGATAAATTTTACATTCTAATTTACCAGCCAAACTTCCTCAATATTAAAGAATATCATGCTAAATTCTGTAATTTGTAATTTCTTGATTGATTTAAAATATATTCTATTTTAGGGGGACTCTTTTAAGAAGTCTTAGAATTCACTTAAGCTATTTGCTATGAACATTATTAAATATATCAGGCTAAAAAATATTGCAAATCACTATAGGAACTGTTTTCCTCCCTTTCTATGCCTGTTTGGCCCTTTATTTTAAAAATGAATCATAATTTAAGCTTTTAGTGACTGACAGATTTTTTAAAGTAGGTGTATAAACTCTTTAAAAAAATTTTGTTTTAGTCCCATGTCTACTCCTAGGTGTATAAACTCTTGTAGTTCAAAATCATATCATTCGTTTCATTCTATCATTTAACATTTAAAAGGTTATATCAGTAAATAAGAATGGACAAAGTGCTGATAATTGCTGAAGTTTTTCTTTCCACCTTATTGTATGTTTGAAAATGTCCGCAATTCAAGTATTTTTAGTGGATGTCAGTGTATTAAAAGACTTGTGAGGTTGATTCAGAGGATCCCAGACAACAAAAGTAAACTGATTCTTGGTGCTACAGCACCTAGGAAGTGACTACATAGCCGGTTATAAGTTTTCTTTTAAATAACTACTTTATCTGCCCATTTACCTTTTCCTCATGAATCTCTCCTAAAAAAGAAAATGGGAAAAAAACCAAACATTTAAAAAGTTATGAGACTACAGTCTGGATAGTACAAAGGTTACAGTAAACCCATTGAGAAATGCTGCAAATCTGAGTGATGAAACAAATAGGAGGCTGCTAATTTCTACATTTGACAGTGAAAATACACGATTTTTAAATTAGCAGCTTATCTGTGATTCATACTGACTCTCTTCTCTTTCTCCATATCTTTTATGGAGTTTTCTCGAGCTTGAACTGCTGGAACTCTTCTGTTTTTCCCTCTGACTGGTCCTTATTTACTCCAAATTGTTGTATACCCTGCTTCCAAAATAATTTTTTTCTGGCCTCTTTGGCTGTATCACTCTACTTCCTAAAACTCCCACATCAAATGCAAATTTCTGAACAGCACTTGTAAAGCTCTCCACTTTCTAACTCCCTTGTCCCTTTACCTCTATTTCCAGCTACTATTTGTGTCTTGGCTGCCCATGAACTCACTCTTCTCTAGCTCTGAGCTTTGCCAGGAAACAGCCTCTGTTTTTCCATCAGCCAAACCACACTCATCCCTCCGTTTACTCTGTTGAAATCATGCCTCATGGTCTACCCACTCTGAGTTTTTCCTACTCTCATCTATTTTCCAAGACCTCTTGCTACATTTTCTAAGGATGGTATTAATGCCTAAATTAGGCCAGCTCAGTGTCTTTACATTATAAACTCCTCTATTGAAGATACAATGATGGCCAAGATTTAGCACATACTCCCCATACGTACTCTATTGAAATGCAGCCTGCGACAGTCAGCAAGTACCCATTGACCTGGCTTCACTGTCAGTCAGTAGTTCTCGGCCTCCTTTCCAGTCCAGCTCACCTGAGGATTATGATATATTCCCCTCAGTCACTGTGGCTCACTTCTACATGATCCTGAGCCAGAAATTATGAGGACACATGCTCCCAACTTTACTGAAAATTTTTGTTACAAAGAATGAACCAGAACATGGTTACAGGAACCCAGAAAAGATAAGCATTAACCTCAGTACCCCCTACAACTTTCTCTGCTATAAAACAAGTTTTGCTGTCAGATACATAAAAATTATAGCCTCTTGAGGTAAGAAGGTTTGGAAATGATTCACTGTTATCTTGGGTGAGCATTTATTTATTAAAACCCAAGATGGTACCACGATGTATTTTAGAATGACTAAAGCAACCAAGAATTACTTTCCCCGGATGGCACAACTTCTGTTGAAACTCCAATGGTTGACCGTTCTGTCTTCCCCACACCAAGAGGCACCGTCTCTTCCTTTTCCTCTTCAAGGTACAGCAGGACAGCTCTTGAGATCCACTCTAACTTATTCTTTTTTCTTTTTTTTTTTATTATTATACTTTAAGTTCTAGGGTACATGTGTACAACGTGCAGGTTTGTTACATATATATACCTGTGCCCTGCTAGTGTGCGGCACCCATTAACTCCTCATTTAACATTAGGTAGATCTCCTAATGCTATTCCCTCCCCCCTTCCCCCACCCCACGACAGGCCCCGGTGTGTGATGTTCCCCTTCCTGTATCCAAGTGTTCTCATTGTTCAATTCCCACCTATGAGTGAGAACATGCGGTGTTTGGTTTTTTGTCCTTGAGATAGTTTGTTGAGAATGATGGTTTCCAGCTTCATCCAAGTCCCTACAAAGGACATGAACTCATCCTTTTTTATGGCTGCATAGTATTCCATGGTATATATGTGCCACATTTTCTCAATCCAGTCTATCATTGATGGACATTTGGGTTGGTTCCAAGTCTTTGCTATTGTGAATAGTGTCACAATAAACATATGTGTGCATGTGTCTTTATAGCAGCATGATTTATAATCCTTTGGGTATATACCCAGTAATGGGATGGCTGGGTCAAATGGTATTTCTGGTTCTGGATCCTTGAGGAATCGCCACACTGTCTTCCACAATGGTTGAACTAGTTTACAGTCCCACCAACAGTGTAAAAATGTTTCTATTTCTCCACATCCTCTCCAGCACCTGTGGTTTCCTGACTTTTTAATGAGCACCATTCTAACTGGTGTGAGATGGTATCTCATTGTGGTTTTGATTTGCATTTCTCTGATGGCCAGGGATGATGAGCATTTTTTCATGTGTCTGTTGGCTGCATAAATGTCTTCACTCTAACTCATTCTATATGCTGCCATTTATAGTAATGAGTAGCGGGCAAGGAATGGGCTTTCAAGAAGAACTACTGTGTCAAAAAGACAGTTCTACTGGCTGTTAGCTACTTTCACCTAAATCTACTGTTCAGCTGTAAAAAGCAAAAAGACAACAATATCATCCTCACAGAGTTTTTGTAGGAAACAAAGCAGACATTTCAGTTTGTTAAATGACAAAGATATTTATCATCATTTATTTACCTTCTTCTAATGCCCACCTTTTTCAGATAAATATAGCATATAGCTAAGCACTCTTCCTGGGTGATATCATTTCATCTAAACCTAAGCCTTGAGTTTAGGGGGTCGTGAGTAAGCCTGACAGTTCCACTTCAAGAAAACCTACACATCCACTTTCTTTCATTGACTGACATCATTGTGTATCATCAAGTTCTGTAATTCCAATTCTTCCATCTATTCTGTACTCTTGTTCACAAAAATTATAGCATTAGACATTTTAATTGTGCCAGACATTGTTTTAAGTATTTTACAGGCATTATTTCATCAATCCCCACACCACACTATTATTCTCATTTTCAGACCTGGAAATGTAAGTTTCTCCCTCATTCTCTTTATTCTCCCATCCTCTAGTCTATGAGGTCACCATCACCACCACTAGCACCACCAGCACCCACCCCTCACAGCTCCCCCCGCCCCACCACATTTAATTTACTTAACAAACCTAAATTCCCCAGTCAGCTAATTCAAGTTTGTTATTTCTAGTGCCTGGTATTCATAGCCCTTTCATCCTATCTTTAAAATAAGCATTTTTTTCACCAGATTTTTCTATTCCTCTCCTGAGTTACTCACAACCTCCCAGGCAAATCATACTATGCTAAAAACTCAATTTTAGTTATACCTTTACTGCTGTATAGCATTCATTTTACTCATTTGCAAGTGGCTCCCTATCCCATCCCAAGGAGAATTAATTCCAAACCTTTTAGTTTTTTTCTCAAATTCCTAATCCTACCCCTACAATGATAAGGTAGAGATCATTCATTATTTACATGAAATTCTCTCAGTTATCTCTCAAATACATATCTATACTTTTGCATCTCTTCTTGGCACTCTTCTCTATCCTAGCTAGATAGCTTCTCTGTGTTCAAGATTTAGGTTTCCATTTGCATCCTTGATTTCGAATGAACTTCTCTATAACATACCCTCACTTGACTTTCCCCAGCCCAACTTCTATACCAGTTTGATTGCTTGCTTTTCTTTTTCTTTTCTTTTCTTTTTTTCTTTCAATTTTTCTTGGCAACTTAATACATTTTTTACTATAAAAGTAATACATTAATATATTTTCCTTTTAAAAATGTGAACAGCAGATGCAATGGCATTTTTCCAGTAAACTAACTTGCTCAAGTCTTCTCTATTCTAAAAAAAAGCGGGGTGGGGGGGAGGGAAATGATTCCCTTGCTTCTTATGCTACTTTATTCCTTCTCTCTTTCGCTGCTGGAGTTCTTGAAAGACTGTCCGTCAGTGGACGTTTGCACTTCACTGCCCATTCCAGATACAGACCACTATAACTTGGCTTCTGACTCCCACTTGTCCCCACACAACATGATGTAGTTTTATGACAGCACCAGCCACTCATCTTCATGGAATTCCAAGTTGTCTACTCTTTTGGGGTCCTCCTTTACCATCTTTTTTTCTCTGCTCTAGGTTCTTTTCCACGTATGATCTCACCCACAACTAACATTTCAGTAATCACCAGTGAACAAAAGAATACCACAGCCAGAGCTCCAATCTTGGCTCTTCTCTTGGGATCTAGACCCCTGGTTCAAACTTCCTTGAGGTCCTGTGTCCCCTGGTTGGCCTTCGCTCCTCTCTCTCTCTGATATCACTACTGAAACTGGTGTGCCCCACCAAGGCCATTTGTATTGTACTTTGGTTCTATCTATCTGTCCATTTCACTGGAGGGTAAACTCGTCCAGAGCATCCGGTCTACCTCAATGCCTTGTACACTGTTACAACTCTAGAAAGAAAAGTTATTTAAAATTTATTGACTTGGAAGTTCAAGAAAAAAAGTGCCATTTCTTTTTTTTTTTTTTGAGACAGAGTCTCACTCTGTCGCCCAGGCTGGAGTGCAGTGGTACAATCTCAGCTCACTGTAACCTCCGCCACTTGGGTTCAAGTGATTCTCCTGCCTCAGCCTCCCAAGTAGCTGGGATTACAGGCGCCCGCCACCACACGCTGGCTAATTTTTGTATTTTTAGCAGAGACAGGTTTCACCATGTTGGCCAGGCTGGTCTCAAACTCCTGACCTCAAATGATCCACCCGCCTCAGCCTCCCAAAGTGCTGGCATTACAGGCATGAGCCACCGCACCCAGCCAAGTATCATTTCATAAAATTAAGAATTTAAGCCAGAGGTGAGAGATTGGGGGGGGGGGGAAACAAAAAGAAAGATGTCTCATACTTATTAGCACTCTTACTGTCTGTTTTGTCTGGTTTTCACTCAGAAAGCCTTCAGAATCTGAGAAGCACGTTTTCTCTCATGAGTGAAAATACTCTCAAATGCATTTGGGACTGCTGGTCATTTCCAAAGTGCAGGGGAATGAAGCCCCATTAACTGGCCACTTCTGGATGTTCATGCTATAACCGGGAAGCTGAGCAACTGAATTTTAAACTGCTGTTTGGGTTCTTCTTCAACCCAACATTCAGTTAAAAACTTTATATGATTAAAAAAATACATATTTGGGTCTTCTTATGACTACTGTCTATTCACTCACAAATGACTATATGAATAGCAGAAATTAAGAAAGATTTTACAGAATGTTTATAACCTTTCATGTTAAAAAAATAAAAGGCAGCAAAGGGATGAAGAATTGAGAACTCTTTCTTGGTATTTATTTTTGTCCCCTGGGCAACTAAAAAGGGGGAAAAAATGAGCAGCAATAGGAAGGTGGGGGATTTAAAAATCCTTAAAAAAAGACTGCCTTAAAAATAATCAGGAATTGATCATCTATTCACAGATAAATTATTAAGATGAAGATCTGAAGGATTAAAAAAAAAAAGTCTTCAGATCCCTATTAGACCTTAATTTTGGCTCCTAAATGGAATATGGTCAATAAAAAATGACTGCTTCCCTTCTTGGAGTCTGAAGTTAAATTATCATCTCCATTCCTGCCAGTGTGGCTGCTTAAATGGGGCAGTGTGAAGTGAGAGCATTTAAAAGCACTACTATTTTTTATAAGGTAGTCCAGAATCTCAAGTTTAACGGTATACACTTGTTCAGTGCCTCTGTAAATAAATAATTTCTTACTACTATTACAGTGAATCCTTTTTAACCTAAAGGGAGATGATTAGGTCTCTTAAATTTTTCAAAATAACATTTGTCTTCCAGCTGGCTTTTAATTAATTTATATTTTCTTAGCTCCCTTAAAGGCTAACTAAAAGAAAACACAAAATGCTTACATTTTATAATTCCCTAACAATGTTCCTCATCTATTCATTCAGTCAGTGTTTACAGGGAGTCTAAAACCACCGGGTACTGTGCATGGAGAAGGAGGCCTTATATAAGGTAGCTGAGGGGCCATGAGCAAGCAATGCTGGAAGGAAGGAGAAGCAATGAGGTAGAGGAATCATCACTTGGAAAGTGAATCACAGGACAGTGAGACTCAGAGAGTAGAAGAATGGCAGTAGACAGTAAGAAGCAAAGCAGCCGGACTCTAACCCAGCTAAACAAAGAGCAACTACAGCAGAAATGGCAGAAGTTCAAGGGGAAAAATTCAAAACTCCTGCTCTTGATTTTGTGCCTTGAATGGAAAACTGTCATCCAACTGGTCTCCATAGACCCACCTAGGAGGCTGCTTTCTCAGGTTCTGTTGAGATCGGGTTTCATAACTAAGATTCTTATTCCCTTATATATTCTTAGAACAATTCCACCTCATTACTTAACACAAACAGTAGTGGGTCTCTATTACTGTGCTTGCAATCAGAAGTATCCTGCTAAACAAGCACTAATAAAATTGTGCAAGAAACTGCTTCTTGTAAGTTAGTACTTAGCAACAGCAAGTCCACTTAAGAAGGAAATAATTTAATGTCAGGCAGCACCACCTGCTCATTTAAGGCAAGTTATTAAATTATTTCCATGTCTTTCAAAACACTTATATTAAGAAAAATCTGCAGTCCTTGCACTTCCACGATTGGCAGGCACCATGTTCATTTTATCATCCCAATTAAAGTGTTGCCTGGTGTCCAAACGAAAGAAAGGAAGAAAGAGAGAGAGACAGAAGAAAGAAAGAAAGAAAGAAAGAAAGAAAGAAAGAAAGAAAGAAAGAAAGAAAGAAAGAAAGAAAGAAAGAAAAGAAAGAAGGAAGGAAGGAAGGAAGGAAGGAAGGAAGGAAGGAAAGGAAGGAAGGAAAGAGGGAAGGAGAGAGGGAAAAAAAGAAAAGAGTCTTCTCATACACAATCTAAGCTGTCTCTAATTTTTTAAAAGGAATGGCAAGATACATGCTCCCTCTCCCTCAACAAACATAAAAATTAGATTATCCTTTATCAAATTTAAAATGTTTTTAATGTTTATATTTTAGTGTCTCTGAAAGAAACTATCATGTGACATACATGAGTTAATTTTATTTGTTGCCAATTCTTATAAAAAGTGGATATAGATGTTGTTAAAGTAGGTTTTAGAGATTCCATTTTAGTTTCAAGTGTATACCTTTTAAGTCAAAGGAGGTACTTTGTTTGCTATTAGAAGCCAACAGATTTTTGACAAGATGGTCTTAAGGACTGTGTTATATTTAGGAATGAGCGCTTCCTCTCCAGATCTGTGCCGCCACCTCATTCCGGGTGACTTCTAAACAACCTAGGGTCACAGTGGCCTCTCTTTAATTAGTATCTCACTGCTGGAGGGAGGGGAGCATGTCAGGGGGAAAAGAATGTAAGAAGACATTATAAACAAAGGTCTTCAAGGCAACTTAGTGGTTTGGTCAAGGAATGGAAGAAAGCCTAGCTCCTTTTTTGTTACCAAAGTAAGGCCGGAAACGGTTTTGATTCCTACAAATTGAGATGGTTGGAATTTTTCTGTATGTTTGTTAATTCTGCCTTAACGTGTTAGACTTTATCTCTAATCAATTTGATAGCCTATGACTGAAAACTCCACATTCATTGTTTAGATGACAAAATAATGATCCATAAAGAAAACAGAAGATTCAGTGGACACTTTTCCATCTAAGGGATGATTCCATTAAGGTTTTAGCAATATCCAAGTTACGTTAATACAACATTTTCCTTCTTTAAAATAAAGAAGTATAATATTTAGGAAAGTAGAGGTCAATAATAACTATCTAAGAGATATTTTTTAAATCCATCATAGCTAAAACTGTACCTCCCATATATATACCTACAACTAATTTTATGAGGCCAGGAACAAAATTCTATTTAAATTGAGCTCACTGCAATAAATAAATGAGTGAATAGGTAAAGAGAACTGAGTCAAAAATAAATTTTACCTGAAAATCAAGAATGACACAATTAAAAAAATTGTTAAAGCCTAAATATATAAACATATATGTTTATCTGTATCTATATTTATGTCTATCTGATGGTATATATTAATACATAGAGATTTCATATAGATCCAATTCCACAAGGGAATTACATTTTTAAAATATCAAAGACTAAAATTCTTGAAAACTAAGACGGTTATCTGTATGAATAAGGAACACTTTTAGAATATTAATTCTTCAGTTAAAAACACTGACACTGATTAATGGTTTCTGTTGGGTATTATTTACAAGAAATCATCTCAGCAGGGTGCCTGTGTCCAGTTTCATAATCACATAGTACACTCACCCTACAGGATTATGTTCTAGGCAAGTTCGAATGTTAAGTTGAATTTCATTCTCTTCAGGAAGTGACTTTTACTCAAGATTGAATACAGCTGTTAGCACAGATCACTGTTCCAAAAACATTTCTATGAGAGCTGGAAGAAAACACCATTTTAAGAAATGCAAATTCACTTTCATTATTTCAAATCTGTGCAAGCAAAGCTGGAAGGGAATCTCTGGTCTCTGTTTGTTAGTTAAATTAGGTTATTATAAATATTTAAGAGAAAACATGCAGGATGGCTACGAGATGGCTATAAGACTTTCCATGTACTTCTGGAGCCTACATATTTTAATCACCAGTTTGTTTATAACAAATACAGTGGCTTGGTTTTTGTTTCAAAAATCAAAGTTATACTCAATTTCTCCTTAAATTTCACTCTCTAATACAACTTGGTTTTCTCTCTTTATATTCACAGAAATGTAGCCTGGCAAAAAACGTGGGGTGGCCTCAGCAGAGGAAATGCTGCCAGCTGAAAACACCGGATGTAATCGAGACCACAAGAGACACAGACTTAGTTATAAATGTCGAACTAAAAAGAGGTATTGGAAAGAAACAAAGTCTAACTTTTTATTGGCTGGATTAATTATTGTAGTGAAATCTTGCTATTTCATAGTTTAGTCCCAAACAAAACAGCATGTCGGGGAATTATTTTTATAATCCTAGGTTCCACTTTCTAGAGCTTTAAAAGAAGAAGAAGAAGAAGAAAAAAACTCTATGGATTCTTACCATCCCTGGCCATTTTCCTACTACTGTGGGTAGGAGAACAGAGGTTTTGGGTGTCAACCTACGAGACAGTACAGGATAGGTTGGATCGGCTTCCACAAATAGCTGGGAAAAGAGCATTTTTAAAGAATGTCTTTTAGCATCACAGAAATGTCCTTTTACTATATAAAGAACCAGAATAAATCTGTCTATAGATGGACCCGTAACAGACTAAGTTAATTAGTATTATTAATTCTCTTTGGCAATGGGGTGGGGATAAGAAAACTTAATTTACAAAGTCTGTAATAGCTGTTTTTCTATTCCCGCCCTTTGACATTGTGCTTCCTTTTGTATGGCGTAATGGTGATAACCATGTTCCTTCCCTATTGGCTATGAAAATCCAAATTTGAATTCAAGACAAGCATAACACTTTGGGATCCCTATGATCCTCCTAGTTTGGCTATTAGTGCTTTCCAAGCTGCACTTTTCAACAGTTATCTATTGCTTTCTATGTAAAGATTGTTTCAATTAAATACATTTGTCTGTTCAAAAAATAATTCTTCAGGCAAAAATTTAAAATTTAATTTACTTTTTAGCCAGGGAAAATGATATTTTAATTGTCAAAATATAATAGTTTTTATTTAAGACCCTGACTAAAGGGAGCAGTTAGCAGTTTTTGCACTTTAAAGTTAACAGGAAGTCTCCTTTCTTCCTTTTTTTTCATATAATATGATCAATGTTTCTTGGAAAGGTTAACATTTCTCATAAGAGATTAAAGGACCCACCATAACTCACACAGGAGAAAGTGGGCATCTTCTGATGGTAAGAACAGGTCATTTTTGAAACTATGTTGTTATACATGTCAGCCATCTTATTAAGTAAGCTCTTGGAAAAAATAAAAGAAAATCTTTTGCCACTAGAGGGAGTTCAAAATTCCCTTTGTATCAGTAAACACGTAAAGTGCATTTAACCTCTGAAACAATAAAAACTATGATTGTAGTACACTTTTTAAAAAATTAAACAATAAGACTAAATCAAGAATTAGGTTTTTGGGGAATATATCTTTTCCTTCAGTTAGAATAGCTATGGTGAATATATGCCATGGTTATTATGTACAGCACACATATGTTAAAGGTAACTTAATAATTTTAATATCTGGAAGCAGTACAATGAATAAGCATTCTTATTCATTGGGATTGTAATCTTTTACTCTTTCAAGCTGTATTTAATAATAACTGTGGTAGACATTTCCAGAAATACCTGCCCACAATCCCTCCCACTCTGCATGTGCTTTCCCAATGTGATTCTCTCCTCCAAAGTCCAGGACTGGAACCTGTTTCACCTCTCCTTGCCTAAGGGATGGCCCTGTGTGACAGTAGAATGCAGAAGTATGGCTGAGTGACTTTCAGATCTGGGCCTGAAGAGGCTTTCAGCCAATCACCCTGTAAAGAAATCTGGGCTAGTCTGCCTTCCAGTTAGAATCCACATGGAAAGAGAGGCTGTACAGAATGAGAAGCTACACAGAGGAGAATGGAGGCACTCCAGTCAACAGCCAGACAACTGTGAGGCATGTCAATGAGGCCATCTTGGACATTCAATCCCCAGCTGAGCTCCCAACTGCATGCAGCTGCCTGAGTGACCCAGCCAAAGTCAAATGGAGCAGAAGAGCCACCCAGCTGATCCCAGCCAACCCAGGAAAATGCAAAATTTTAAGTCATTTTTAAGTTTTAAGTCATTTTTAAGTCATTTTAAGTTTTAAGTTGGAGGTAATTTGTTACTCCATAATAGATAATTGAAACAATAATACTAGTAAATATGTTTGTATCATGGTCTATATTTTTTAAAAGCCCTTTTACATCCACTATTTCCTATAGCCATACCATGCAGTGGGAAACTAGATCAAAGGTTAAATATCCTGGCCAAGATCTTGGAGTGCTTAAAAACAAATACAAAGTTTAAGAGAGAGATGTTTCTCTTAAGTAAATGCTATATATCCCTATTTTTCTACTTTTTATCTTATGTAGTAGTGATTAACAAATAATCAAGTATTGGTTAACAACTACTTTCTCCCGTGCTTCTTTTCCATAAGAACTAGTTAATCTAAACAATTGTATTCATTTATTTTTCTATTAGTCCTACCAGTTCAAAAAGTAAAAATAGTATTTTGGGACCTGTGCCTCTTTATTTATGCACACCTCTAGCTGTGTTTTGATGTTTGAGAAATGTTAATTATTTGAAAGTTCTACACACAAAGCACTGACAGCTTCAAGTGGTAAGCTGAATTTTTAAATGTGAAATGACCCTTAATTCTTTCCTTGCTTATTCTCATTGTAGACAAGTTTTACAACTCTCCTATCTGCTTGACTTTCAGTTGCATGAAATAATGATGGGGCGCTTAGCACCAGGTCCTTTGCATTTTGGTTCCCCATCCCCCTTTCCCTCCTCCAGGGTTACCTGTGATATTGTATATGACTGATATGGACATGACGGTCCCAGCAAGAGAAAGACACTGGATTTTTCCCACTGATAGCTAAGTGTTCTTGCGGGGAGTTGTGTGTGGCAGGAGGAATGGTCTCAGAATCCAAGAATGGCCTGGGTTACCTAGGCAATAGTCTAATAAAATAGTCTAATAAAATTAGACTATTGCCTAGGTAACCCAGGCCATTCTTGGATTTATTAGTTTATTCTGAAAATCTGCTAGAAATCAGATTTTCAGAATAAACTAAGTGGTCCACATTCAAGACAGAATAAAATTCAAGTTTTGAAAGCTTTGGATCCAGACCGAATCAACCTACTAGCCAGATTCTTTTCTGAGGAAGCAAGCATCCCACTATCTTTTGGTACAAAGGTTCTCATTACCTGCAGAAGACATGCTACTTCCTCGTTTCCCACAGCAGTCACAATGCAAATGAGAACAATAAGTATAAATGTTAAGTTATAGAGGCTGGAAGCCAGGAATCTACTGGGAGGCTGTTAAGATAAATGTAGATTAAGCATCTTCTACTTGATACCTTCCAAAGTCTGTTTCATAATCTTAGGCTAAAGAACCAAATCTTTCACATGGCCCACATATCTCTGCAAGACTTGACTCATACTTATTTCTCCAGTACTATCTTGCACTATTGTCTTCCTCACCACTAAGAACCAGGTAATCTGGACTTTCAGTTCCTTATACTTGCAAGGCAACCAATCCAGCAGTATGTTTCACACATGCTATTCTCTATGCATGGAATGCTCCTTCTCTACCTCTTTGCCTAGTTAACTCCAACTTATTCTTCAAGGCTCGGCTTAAATTACTTATACCAGAAAATCTTCCCTCTTAATCCCCAGAATAGGCTGGGTCTTCCTGTTATATAACCCTCATATAGCATACTGTATATCTCCTTTTCTGGACTCACAAAGCTGCAATCTAAATTATTATTTAATGTCCATCCTTTCTGCCTCATTATAAAAGCTCTTTGAGAAACGGGGTTGTGCCTGTTTTGCTCATTGTTTTATCACCAGTGTTTTGTATAGTACAGAATAGGTATTCAATACTATTTATTGAACATGAATCTATTATATTTAAAGAATTTAAAAATGTATGTCTACATATAAACTTGCATATGTTACATTATATTATATGTACTTCTGAAGATACAAAGAAGAATCTGACAGTTTCAGTAAGAAAAAGACATGCACAAATGACCAAGTGGTAAAGCAGACTCTGATCCAGTAATATGAAGAGAACTAAATAACATACCATGGAGAACAGGGAAAAGGGGATTGACTCTAAATGGTGACCATAGGAAGCTTTGTGGAGGAGAATCTGAAAGCGCCTCTAAGAACAGGGAAGATTTATACATACATTTTTCTGGCCCACTAGAAACAGCAATGTTCACAGTGTTTGCCATCCCACTAACATTTTTCTGTTCTTCACTCTTCCTTTTCACTTGGTATTCCCGAATGCCTTCCAAACTCCAGGAAATAAAAGAAACAGTGGTTTAATGGGGGCATTGGCAATGCTTAACTCAAATAAATGACATTTTGACAATAAACTATTAGAACTGTGTGAAAACCGATTTAACTCCTTGCAGCAATAATAGCTTGGCAACTGTGTAAGAACTCAGATTAGGAACTGCAAATCAATTGTCCAAAAGAAGTCTTTTCTTAAATCCAGATATAAGGTATAAGGAATGTAAGATGTTTGGGCGGGGAAAAGGGAGTAAAGGTCACGCAGGCCACCTGGTGGCAATGTGTCAGAGAAGGAGCCAGAGCTTTGGGAAAAGTGAGGCTCACTGCCAACACTGCAGGAAATCTTTGTGACACACTGGTGTGTCATGAAACAATGATTGGGTATCACTAATAACAAGCATTTCACTTAATGGTTTGGAATTCGGATATACTACATAGCCTGCCCAACTACCCAGAACAGAGCAGAATTAGATCTGGGAAATCACCCTAGTTGCCCAATCCTCAGGGAATTCTCATCCTGTTGGATCCAGCAAGCTGAGTTACGAGCTACTCTTCTCTTCTGAGGTTCCTGGCTTCTAGCTAACTGGTCACATCTCCGGGATGAGCACCTACTCTCACTGGTTTTGATACGAATATTAAAAAAAAAAAAAATCTTTAGACTGAGTGAGGTAGCTCACATCTGTGGTCCCAGCACTTTGGGAGGCCAAGACAGGTGGATCGCTTGGGCTCAAGAGTTCAAGACCAGCCTGAGCAACATGGTGAAACCCTGTCTCTACAAAAAAATACAAAAACTAGCCAGGTGTGGTGGTGCACACCCATAGTCTCAGCTACTCGGGAGGCTGAGGTAGGAGGATCGCTTGAGCCTGGAAGTTGAGGCTGCAATGAGCCGAGATTGTGCCACTGCACGTTAGCCTGGCCCACAGTGTGAGACCTTGTCGCCAGAAAAAAACAAAACAAAACACAAAAAAACTTTAAAACAAGTTTGTTCACAGTTATGAGAACTTGAGTTCACTGAATTCAAGTTTTCAGCAACAAAATTCCATTTTTAGCTTCACAATTAAAACAAGTGAAATTTGGTCCAAATAACAAACATTAAGTGACACTGAGGTATAATTTTGATTCCTGGATTTACATACAGTATGTCAATGTTAAAGTGAAAAATAGGCTTCCGTTATGAAAGACACATTTGGTAAGCCACACTGCCTACATAAAATTTTCTGATTCTGATCTGCAGAAATGTGGCTTGGCTTTGGAGACTGTTCTTTTTCATATCATGTCTTCACAGTGCTATCTTAAAGCCTTTTGGCAACAATTCTTCATAAAGTGAATTTTAATTCCCAAGTATATTTTAATATCAATCTTTCAACACAAAGCACTATAATTTCAAAGCAGTTTGGAATATCTAGGAACATGTCTGTGCAACTGAACTGCGCTTCCTCTTAAGTATGGCATTGTGCAATCCTCGTTTACTTTGGATTATGTGATAAGGACTCAGCTCCTAATCATTTTAATCTCACATTTTTATGACCCTTTTGTTTAAAGTCAATATTTTAATTGGCATATCAAGATCTGAATGGATCTTGGATTAGAAATTGTGTTTAAATTGAGAAAAGGGCATATACTAGTCAAATGACTTCGATATGAGCACAGGAGCTGAATTTTCACTGTAGTAAAGGAGCTTGTTATAAAATAAAACGTTTAAAAGTAATGAAATAACATTCAATAGAAAAACTGTAGTCACTAGTTCATGAGAAGTGTTTAGCTGATACAGGATTCTAGTCCATTTAAAAAACAAATAAAAACCTCTACAACTACTGCTTTGGGCAATACATATATATTAAATTCAAAAATATTTTCAAAATCTTACTCTAGCCAATAGTTTCAGTCCATCCAATTACCAACTATTTCATCAACACTACTAAAAAATAGGGCATGAGTGTGAGCTCCTTTTCCCCCCACATTGCTCACCCAAAACAAACAAACATGAAAGAAAGAGCCTTTGAGGGAGACAGAAAGGAAAAAAAAAAACAGCAACGCACAGGTTAGAAAGAAGTCTCTAACAGTGCTATCCATTAGAATTTTCTGTGACGATGAAAATATTCTACATCTGCAGTAATACAGTGGCCTCTAGCCACATGCAGCTAATGGGCACTTGAAATATGGCTAGCATAACTAAGAAACTTAATTTTTAAGTAATTTAAATTTAAATAGAGTTTGTGGCTACCCTATTAGACAGCACAGGCTTATAATTAACTAAATCCCTGAAAAATGAAACTATTGTTTATGATCAGTTAAATATGGCAATTATCTTGCGGCCAGCAGGAGTCTAGAATTATTTTTATCTAATGGTTATCTGATGATCTTTAAAAATCATTACTAAATCAGCCATGAAAAAGAGCTTGGACTACAAATAAATAAAAGGAGCTTTGACTTCCTGGTCAAAGATGGCCAGAAATGGTAAGAATCCCAGGGCAGAAAAGACAAGCCCGACCCTGAGTCCTATTGTTACTGTTCTGCCATCTTACCCAGCTTTCTCAGGAATTAGACATTTAAAGAGGACTGGTATTTTAGCCAGGGCAGTTCAACATGACCCCAACTTTCTACAGAATAAGTAGAACCAAGCAGAAATGAAAAGAAAGATCTTGCTAACTTTCTATGGAAAGAGTGGGGTTATTTTAAACTATCACTACACCTTAACTAAATAACCTACTGGATATACACTCTGTTGAGACCATGAGCCCCTTATGGGGGACATATAAATATTTAATTGGGGTTTTATCTCTTTTTTATTGGTATACCAACAATTTTTTAATCATACAGTTATTATGCCTTATGTGTGGTCCCGAATACTTTTATTCATTTAAGTTTCACAAACACTGAGGTAGGTGGAGAAGAAATTATTATCCTCATTTTATAGATTAAAAGAAAGGCTTGAAGTTAAGTGATTTGCCAAAGGTGACCCGAACATCAGTCCTCTGATTGCTATTCCACATCTCTTTCTTCAGAGTATTTAATAAAGGAACGATTATATAGTATATTTTACTGTTTAATAGTTGGAATGCAATAGGAATGGCAGATTTTTATATTGTCCAAGCCTTAGGCTTTTCTTTGTATTTTGGAGGACCTTTTACATTAGAATTCCAGCCTTACTTTTTTCTGTCAAAAAAGGCACTTATTTTCAAGATCATCTCTGGCTATGAGAAAAGAAACCTATACTCCTCACATAAAAAGCAAGGAAAAGCAAGAAGTTATATGAGCAATTGAAATAGAATGATGGAAAATCTTGAATTATTTTAGGTCCAGACTGTATTAATCTTCTTTGCCTAAATTTCCTAGCACTCAAGAATGCATTCATTATAGTATCCTAATGACTTAGAGTGTGTAACTAAATGTTTCATCAATAGCCAAGTTATTATTTAATGAGAATGGATAATTTGACTGGGGTATAGAGGAGCAGGAGGCAGTTTTGATAAGCATTACAGGATTCATCAAGTCACCTCCATGAGTCCAAGAGATTATCAATAAAGGTTTCATGATTGCTACTTGACTTGAAAAAAGTTAAAGTCACCCAGTTTAACTGCTACAATGGTCCCTTCCAACTTAAGTAACATATGTAAGTAACTGTGATAGATAATCTCCAATGAGCCACTGTCAACTCCTTCCTTTCTGGTACTCACCAGAAAAAGTAGAATCTACCTCGTCTCTGCTCGAATTTGGGCTGGCATGGTGAGTGGCTTTGACCAATAATGTGTAGTAGAGGTGATGCTGCTCCTGGCAGCTTATTCCTCTCCTCTTGGAAGCTGACCACCATGTAAAAAGTCCAAGTATCTTGAGACCACTGACCCGTGAGAAAGGCCAAGCTCCCCGTGTAGAGAGAGAAATGCTAACAATAAAGCAAGGGGCACCAGCTATTAAAAGGGAAACCTTCCTAATATTCTAGCCCATCCAAGCTGCCTGCTGAATGCAGCCCACTGCCTCACCCAGATGATGACATGTGGAACAGCCAACTGCCCCTCCAAATTCCTGAGCCACAGAATCATGAGAAATAATAAATCATTACTTTTTTAAGCCACAAAGTTTTGGGTTGATATGTTTTATCTATTACCTTACTTGATTACCAAGCTTGCTACTTCTCCTTTTTATTCTGAATTTTAAAAGTAACTTGAAAAGTAGTAATCTCTCTTTCTCTCATTCTTAATACAAGAACTAACTTTCAGCTGTCCATTTTCACTCAAGTTTAAATATGGCTGAACACAAATATTTCCGAGGGTGCTGCTGTCATGGAAAAGGCCCACCCAGACAGAAAGCTCATCCCTGAGGTTTCCTGCTACATTCGTCCCATTCTTATTGCCACCATCTAATAAAAATAAAATTTTAAAGGAGCTAACAGAATAATGGGCTCCTGGAAAAGCATAGCCTCCATTTTCACATTGTTTGAAGACAATGTGTTTAGCAAAAGAATCTGTAGCTAAGGTCTTTATACAGAAATTTGAAGGGCAATGAAGAAAAATAACCAGACGAACCTGGGGAGCATAGCTAGAGAAGTCTACAATGCTCAAAGGGAATACTCTCCAAGGTAAAACCTACTGTATAGTGCCCCATTCATTTAGCTTGGACCCTGGAAGAGCGATGTTAAAGGAAAAAAAGAAAACTTATACAGAAATAGAATAGCAAATTGACAACTACTATCCCAAAGGCCGCCATCCCAGAACTTCATGGTTGCCCTTAGGGACACCAAACTTATCTCCACCACTGCCACCTGCTTCATTTTTGGTCTAGTTTGTTGCTCCCACCTGAGCCCTTCTAAAGGAACTCTTGAGAAGGGAGAAGTGCAAAGCCTAGATTGTTCTCATTTTTCTTGAAGTCCCTCCCAGTTTTGCACAATTAGCAAGAATAGTATATAAACCATAGGAAAGTAATATAGAATCCACAAAGCAGTCTACCTAATGCCTCACTCAATTTCAAAAATTGCCAGTTCTGTCAGAAATGTCAACACTCCAATCAAGTATTCACTACACAGAATCTTCATCTTTCCATCAGTAACAGTGAAGGAGTAACAGATGTTAAAATATGACCAACTTTGTGCCTGACAAATGAATCTTGAAATATCCGTAGCAATATGAACAAAGGCAGTATGTGAATACGACACTTCGTCTGGATCGACTTCCCAAGGGTTTGATGGACAATGTCTCAGAACATTTTTGCATCTTAAGAATGTATAACATAGATGTTCAAATTCTGAGGGCTACAGATACAAAGGAATGGTCCATATTGCCTGTGCTAAACACATAGCTGTCATTCAGGAAAAATCACAGGCACTGATTATCAAGGGACCTGAGTTATATGTCACAGTTTTTCTAAAGTCAAGTTCCAATTATCGCCATATTGATACTACCTCATTTAAGGGATTAATGATACACAAGTGAAATTCTCTAAAACAGTTTCTAAGAGCCTGACTCTTAAAAGGCAGGAGAATCACCTTGTTCATCCACTTTTACTCCTGTGATCAGGGAGATTAGCTAAGATTTTTGACAGGACCTGGACAAAAACTAAGAAATGCCTTAGGGTCCTCCTGTTCCTACCATTGCTGGAAGGGAAGAAGTCACTTTGATGTTGATACCCTCTCTAACTTCTCAAGTCCTTTTTCTTTTCAGTAGCACTGAAAGCATTCAGAAGTAAAGAATATTCTTCGAGATCATTATAGCAGACTCCATAGGGGAATCAAGTTATATAAAAAGTCCATTGTTTATGCAGACGAAAGGCAATCTTCAGAGGCTCAATACTTTCTTTTTTTTTTTTTTTTTATTGATCATTCTTGGGTGTTTCTCGCAGAGGGGGATTTGGCAGGGTCACAGGACAATAGTGGAGGGAAGGTCAGCAGATAAACAAGTGAACAAAGGTCTCTGGTTTTCCTAGGCAGAGGACCCTGCGGCCTTCCGCAGTGTTTGTGTCCCTGGGTACTTGAGATTAGGGAGTGGTGATGACTCTTAACGAGCATGCTGCCTTCAAGCATCTGTTTAACAAAGCACATCTTGCACCGCCCTTAATCCATTCAACCCTGAGTGGACACAGCACATGTTTCAGAGAGCACAGGATTGGGGATAAGGTCACCAATCAACAGGATCCCAAGGCAGAAGAATTTTTCTTAGTACAGAACAAAATGAAAAGTCTCCCATGTCTACCTCTTTCTACACAGACATGGCAACCATCCGATTTCTCAGTCTTTTCCCCACCTTTCCCCCCTTTCTATTCCACAAAACCGCCATTGTCATCATGGCCCGTTCTCAATGAGCTGTTGGGTATACCTCCCAGACGGGGTGGTGGCCGGGCAGAGGGGCTCCTCACTTCCCAGTAGGCGCGGCCGGGCAGAGGCGCCCCTCACCTCCCGGACAGGGCGGCTGGCCGGACGGGGGGCTGACTCCCCCCACCTCCCTCCTGGACGGGGCGGCTGGCCGGGCAGAGGGGCTCCTCACTTCCCAGTAGGGGCGGCCGGGCAGAGGCGCCCCTCACCTCCCGGACGGGGCGGCTGGCCAGGCGGGGGGCTGACCCCCCAATCTCCCTCCTGGACGGGGCAGCTGGCCGAGCAGAGGGGCTCCTCACTTCCCAGTAGGGGCGGCCGGGCAGAGGCACCCCTCACCTGCCGGATGGGGCGGCTGGCCGGGCGGGGGGCTGATCCCCCCACCTCCCTCCCGGACGGGGCGGCTGGCCGGACGGGGGGCTGACCCCCCCACCTCCCTCTCGGACGAGGTGGCTGCCGGACGGAGACGCTCCTCACTTCCCAGACGGGGTGGCTGCTGGGCGGAAGGGCTCCTCACTTCTCAGACAGGGCGGCTGCCGGGCGGAAGGGCTCCTCACTTCTCAGACGGGGCGGTTGCCAGGCAGAGGGTCTCCTCACTTCTCAGACGGGGCGGCCGGGCAGAGACGCCCCTCACATCCCGGACGGGGCGGCAGGGCAGAGGTGCTCCCCACATCTCAGACGATGGGCAGCCGGGCAGAGACGCTCCTCACTTCCCAGATGTGATGGCGGCCGGGAGGAGGCGCTCCTCACTTCCTAGATGGGATGGCGGCCGGGCAGAGACGCTCCTCACTTTCCAGACTGGGCAGCCAGGCAGAGGGGCTCCTCACATCCCAGACGATGGGCGGCCAGGCGGAGACGCTCCTCACTTCCCGGACGGGGTGGCGGCCGGGCAGAGGCTGCAATCTCGGCACTTTGGGAGGCCAAGGCAGGCTGCTGGGAGGTGGAGGTTGTAGCAAGCCGAGATCATGCCACTGCACTCCAGCCTGGGCACCACTGAGCACTGAGTGAACGAGACTCCGTCTGCAATCCCAGCACCTTGGGAGGCCGAGGCTGGCGGATCACTCGCGGTTAGGAGCTGGAGACCAGCCCGGCCAACACAGCGAAACCCCGTCTCCACCAAAAAAATACGAAAACCAGTCAGGCGTGGCGGCGCGCGCCTGCAATCGCAGGCACTCGGCAAGCTGAGGCAGGAGAATCAGGCAGGGAGGTTGCAGTGAGCCGAGATGGCAGCAGTACCGTCCAGCTTCGGCTCGGCATCAGAGGGAGACCGTGGAAAGAGAGGGAGAGGGAGACCGTGGAGAGGGGAGAGGGGAGAGGGGAGAGGGGAGAGGGGAGAGGGCTTTTTTCTTTTTTTCCCTGAGACAGAGTCTCTGTTGCCCAGGCTAGAGTGCAGTGGCGTGATCTCGGCTCACTGCAAGCTCTGCCTCCTGGGTTCTCAATACTTTCTTATAATTGTGAACATAAAGGATTTATCCTTCTCCATTAGGAAGCCTGACCACATGAACTTCATCTCCTATCTGAGGCAGGACCCAACATCCCTGGCCTCAAGAAACAATGCACAAGAACAATTCTGACACCTAAAACGAATCCAGCATCCCTGACTTGATGATGCTTCCACCTCAGCTCCACCTTCAGCATACACTTACCAACTGATCTTTCATCCATCGTTTGACTCCCAAGCTGAAGAACACCTCAAATACCCCAGGAAGGATCTCCATGTACCACCTTCTCCACTGGATGAGGCATGAGGGTCGCCATATTTACTGCTAGCAAAGCCTGTCCCCATCTCTCCCCCACCCTCACCAAAATCTAGTCACTCTAAAATGGCCTCTCCGGTGATGTCCCTAGATCTGCTGGCACAGAAGTGGAAATATACAGTACTTTCCATTTCCATTTCCTTAGTAGGTTGTTGACTCGAGGTCACTCTCTGTAACATTCTTTCTAGGGATTCTTATAGCACAGACGTATTTGTGCACATTGGAGGCAGCTATCACCTTCTCCCAAGAAATCTCACTTACAACATCTTCTCACATCCTCTAGGTTTCCATCTTGGATTATTCATCAGTGTGTAATCATTTTAGCAGGGGAAGGTAGATTGTTTTGCTTTTTAAAAAAATTGAGATATAATTAACAGAATAAAATACATAGATCTTAAGTGTTCAGTTCATGAGTTTTGACAATTGTATACAGTTGTGTAACCACCACTGAAAACAAGACATGAGACATTCCCTTCCACGAGTGTTCCCTCATGTCCCTTTCCTGTCAACTCCCTCTCCAACCACTGTCTGATGTCTGTCATCATAGAGGAGTTTTGCCAGTATCTGGATTTCATGTAGATGAAATCACAGGATAAAGTCGTTTTTTTGCAACTGGCTTCTTTCACTTGGAGTGTTTTTGAGAGTCATCAATATTGTTGCCTGAATCAGTTGCTTGTTCTTTTTTTATTGCTAAGTAGTATGACATTTTAAGATAATTTGTTTACCCATTCTCCTGTTAATGGACATTTGGATTGTTTCCAGTTTGGGGCTTTAAAAATAAGGCTGCTAAAACATCTTTATGTAAGTCTTTTTTGTGAACCTATGTTTTTATTTCTTGTTGGTAAATACCTAAGGGTGGTATTTCTGGGTCATACCAGGTAAATGTATTAAACGTATGTTTAACTTTTAAGAGGCCGGGCACAGTGACTCACACCTGTAATCTCAGCACTTTGGGAGGCCAAGGCAGGAGCACTGCTTGAGGCCAGGAGTTCAAGACCAACCTGGGGAACATGGCAAGACTGCATCTCTATAAAAAATTTAAAAAATTATCTGGGTATAGTGGCATGTGCCTGTAGTTGCAGCTACTAGGGAGGCTATGGCAGGAAGATCTCTTGAGCCCAAGATTTGAGGCTGCAGTGAGCTATGCTCACACCACTGCACTCCAGCCTAGGCAACAGAGTGAGACGAAAACTTTATAAGAAACTGCTGAACAGTTCTCTAACATAGTTAGACCACTTTACATTTCCACTATGATTAAGAATACCAAGTGCTATACATCCTCCCTAACAGTAGGTGTTGGCCGTCTTTTTTATGTTATCTATTCTAGTGAATGTGAAATGGCCTCGAATTATGGCTATAATTTGCATTTTCCCTGATATCTAATGATGTGAAGCACCTTTTTCAAGGTTACTAGCCATTCATATATCTTCTTTTGTGCAGTGCCTTTTCAAGTATTTAATTGGATTGTTTGTCTTTTTATGGTAGATTTGTAGAAATCCTTTATGTATTCCAGATCCAAATACTTTGTCAGATATATATGCTATGAACATTTTCCAAGTTGGAACCTGTCTATTCAGTTTCTTAAAGATAGTATATGTTGGTAAGCAGAAATGTTTAATTTTGATAATGTCCGATTTATCAATTTTTTGTTTATGATCTGTGCTTTTTATGTCATGTGCAAAAAAGCTTTGCCTACTCTGAGATCACAATGACACTTCCATGTCTTCTTCCAGAAGATTTACAGTTCCAAGTTTATATTCGGGTTTATAACTCAATTCAAATTAAATTTTTAGTATAGAAATAGGTATAAAATTTCATTTTTTTCCCAGAGAGACTGCTTCTTAGTACTACATTTGCCCATAGTTTGGGAAATAGTAGTATCCAGTGTATTTGAAATCTAATTTAAACACCTTAGTTTACATGTAAGTTGTACATGCCCACGCCATGCTGATTTTATTTTCTGCTGCATTCAACATTCTAGTAGAACTAGCCATCCCAATACTGAGAAGTATTACAAGGATAGATCATTTAAACTGCACATCCTACAGCAGCTAGAGACTTTGCGTTATATAAATATTTCACTTTGATTTTTTTAAAGCAGGAGCTCAGATATAAAAAGACTCTTAGGTTCTAATTTTAGTGAAAGTCTTATAATTTGACTCATAAGTACAACTATTTAGAATGAAATGTTTCTAAGTGTAAAATATCCACGACTTGTTCCTGTACTTGAAATGGAATAGAGAGGCAACAGGAGGCCCAACGCAGGCAGCAGAAGGCAGGAAGGAACAACCGCCTGCTAGAAAGGGCACTAAGGGAACTCATGGGCAGTTTCTTTCTTTTTTTCTCCTTCTTGTTTCTTTTTAAACCCTGCCTGCCAAATTAAAATGACCTTGAGGCTGGGCGCGGTGGCTCACGCCTGTAATCTCAGCACTTTGGGAGGCAGAGGCGGGTGGATCACTTGAGGTCAGGAGTTCGAGACTAGCCTGGCCAACATGGTTAAATCCCATCTTAATTAAAAATACAAAAATTAGCCGGGTGTGGTGGCGGGCACCTGTAATCCCAACTACTTGGGAGGCTGAGGCAGAAGAATTGCTGGAACCCAGGAGGCGGAGGTTGCAGTGAGCCGAGATTGCGCCACTGAACTCCAGCCTGCGTGACAGTGAGACCTTGTCTTAAGAAAACAAAAAAAAAAACAAAAAAAAAAACCTTGACTTACACAGAAAGAGAGCACAGCCCCTCCTCTGGACTTAGAAGCAGCCCAGAAGAACTGAAGACAGCCTCATAGTATAATGACAATCATGAAAGATTTGAAAATCAGTTAAGCATGTGCTATAGTCTGAATATTTGTCCCCACCCAAATCTCATGTTGAAATGTGATCTCCAATGTTGGCGATGCAGCCTGATGGGAGGTGTTTGGATCGTGGGGGTGGATCCCTCTTGAATAGCCTGGGCCATCTCCTGGTGATGAGTGAGCTCTTGATCTGAGTTCACACCGAGATCTGGTCATTTAAAAGTGTGTGGCACCTCCCCCCACCCCCACTCTCTCTCTGGTTCCTGCTTTCGCCATGTGAAGTGCCTGCTCTGGCTTTGCCTTCTGTCACGAGTCAAAGCTCCCTAAGGCCTCCCCAGAAGCTAAGCAGATGCCGATGCCATGCTTCCTGTACAGTCTGCAGAACTGTGAACCAATCAAACCTCTTTTCTGCATAAATTACCCAGCCTCAGATATTTCTTTATAGCAATGCAAGAATGGCCTAGCACAGTGTGCTTTCTGTCACATTTTAATTCAAATTCCATTAACACAAGAAATAGAATATTGGTCAATGAATTAGGCCACTCTACTTTACTTGTAGAGTTTCTGTACTTGTAGTACTTGTACTTCTGTACTTCTGTACTTGCAGAAACTCTACTTGTAGAGTTTCTGGTAAGATGTCAACTGCTCTCTACTTAGCTTTCCCAGATACTAACTCAATGGGGATATCTTTGACCCCAAACTCTCTTTAGGAAGAGTCCAAAGATTGCTGGATTTCTTGTTATGAATGAAGTACTTTGATTTCCACAGTAATAAGGTCTACAACAACATTCTGTTTTTTATTGTACAGGTAGAAAACCAGTGTGTGTGTGTGCGTATAAGAGTTAAGTGGGAAAATGGAACAACTTCTTTACAAATATTATAAAATACATTGTATAAAATAAAACACACTCTATTCCCTTATATTTAAGCATCTATCAAGATTCATGGAGAAATTTTTCAAAGCATACTCTGAATCCTGATGCCAAAAATCATTTGATATGTAAACATAAAGTACGTGGAAACCACATACATAAAATCATAAAAGTCTCAGCTAAAAGCACAAATATCTAGTTACATATTTATTAATAATAACTAACTTTTATTGAGCACTTTATAAATGCCATATACTGTTCTGTGTACTTTGCGTGTCTTACTCAACTCATTTATTCAACATGATAAAGCTGTGAAATTACTATCGCTATTCTCAGTTTACAGAAAACCGAGAAACAAAAAGGGCAACTTGCCCCGGATTACATTCAAACTCAGGCAGTCTGACTCCAGAACCCACTGCCTTTGTGCTGTGCACTGAACTGTGTCTCCCAAAAATGGCTATGTTGAAGACCTTACTCCTACTATGACTGTATTTGGAGACAGGGGCTGTAGGAGGTAATTAAAGTTAAATGAGGTCAAAAGGCTGGGGCCCTAATCCTACAGGTCTGGTGGCCTTACAAGAAGAGGAAGAGAGAGGAAGAGATCCCCCAACCCCAGCACCAAACACATATGCACTAAGGAAGGACACATGCGCACACAGCAAGGAGACACCCTTGGCAAGCCAGGAAGAGCCCTCACTAGAACCTGACCATGCTGGCACCCCGATCTTGGACTCCCATCCTCCAGAACTGTGAAAAAACAAATTTCTGCTGTTTAAACCACCCAGTCTATGGTATCTTGTTATGGCAGCCCGAGCAGACTAATCAATCCACTCTGGAAATTTCCCTTCCCAGAGACTTCCAAATAAGGGGAGAATCAGAAAGAATAAAAGATCTAATTTTTACTCCACCTATAATTTCTTCTCATACTAGTACACTTGCCCCCTTTTACCTTTTCACAGGGTACTAAAAGCAACTGAGAAACTGAAACCTTATTGGATTTTATCATTATAAATATTCATAGATATTTTTTAATATTCACATCAATACATGCAGGTTAAGACATGTTTACTACATTGATCTTTGCAAAAGAAACATAAAAGCTTCTGATCAATATAAATGTAAAAGTTTCTGGTCAGATTTTTAGCATAACTAGATTTTCAGGCAAAGACTCTGGGACTAAAATGGAATAAGAATGAAGACCTTAAATGATTGCTGTTACAGTGTTCCTGATTTATTAAAAATAATCACAAAGCATTACTAGCAATGCCAAATCTCTAGCATTCTGATCAGTGAAAGGAATTATCAGTGTCTAAAAGGTCTTTGTCAACTCTAACATCTATAAACATTTAAGTGGTATTGAGCAGATTCCATAATCTGATCTGCTTTTAACTGTGGAAATCAATACAGTTATTAAGAAGCTATTTGAATAATTCATGTTGTAAGTGAAGGCCTTCAGAGTAGCCACAATGTGCTTGCATCTTAATGGTATTTTAAATAAAGTTGTGTCTTGCTACAATGCACATTTAGTAAGCAAGACCAATCCCCATCCATCAGTTCAGAGGCGGTGATGAGAGAAATTCTGACAGTTTCAGAGGAACAACTAAGCTATCTGGTTTTTATAAATAAGGGAGTTAAGGGAAAGTTTCTTCTCCCAGTATCTCAGAGGAAGATAGTATCTGCCTTTTCATTCACCCCACTGCCTTGTTGCTGAGGTCTGACATTCTCTTGGAGATACTGTTCAGTGATATCACTGCAAGGCCCATCTGGCTATGTTAACTGGATTAAATGCATATCCATCAGCTCCAAAAAAAAAAAATGTATTAAGTGTCAAGTGGTTAACTCCAGGTAAAGACATCTGGGCAAGAATAGTTTTCTTTCTTTGAAAGTTTTTCAACCTTATATCATTATCATAACGTTTCCCTCACATTGAAATCAGAGTTTAAATAACACCTACCTTCAAAAAGTTTTACATTTCAGACAAGTATCAAAGAATATGAGACTATAAGCAGAGGCTCCAAAAGTTACCTAGTCCCAGCCTCATCCAATACTTGAACCCTGTCTATGACAGTCCCTCCATGTTAAGAACCAGTCTATTTGAACTCATCCTGTTCATAAACTCATTGCCATCTTCTCCAGGATTGGCCGATTGCTCTTCAGGCAATTATGACAAAGCTCTTCCTTATGCTGAGCCCATATCTGTCTCCCTACACTTCTACCTGTTTGTTCTAACTCACCCTTAGGGGTCACTTAGTCAAGTAGGACACCTCTTTTACTTGCGATCCTTTCTGACACTTGAAGGTAGAGATTATGGTCTTTCTTTCCTCTTAGGCCAAAGCGTTCTCAGCATCTTCACTTTTCTCATGCTCTGTTCACATCCATGGACACATCAATATCAATGGAAGGGTCTAAGATATATACCTTTGGAAACCGTGTATGTGAGAGAACCCAGTGGACATGTCCACTATCAAAACTTATCTCTATTATAAGAAATTATTTCTGTTTTAAACTAATTACCAGATACCAGCTAGCACCTTTTCTTTGTTGTTTGTCCACCCCATTTTACTCCCCATTCCTCGGACTGCTGTCCCCTCCGGTTGACAGGGCTTTCCTCTCCCATCCCACAAAACGTTCCACATGCTTGCCTTGACTTTTCTCTCCATTCTTGTCATGAATACTGCCCTCTACTGCCGCTGCACCCTGGCCACACCAGACTACTGATTGGCGCCTGAAAGTTCCAAGCTTTCTTGCCACCTCATGTTGTTCTCCACCAACACCACCTTGCACCCCTTCTTCATGTAACTAATGCTTACTCCAGGCAGGCAGCCTGAGAATGCAAAGTAGAATGTGTTAATCAGTATAGACGAAGTACTTACGAAATAACCTTCAAATCTTAAGGACACAGTGAAAGTTTACTTCTCATTTATATTCCAGTTCAATAGTCCAGGGGCAGGGATAGTATTTCTAGGTGGGCGAGTGAGCTACACATGGCCATCCTTCAAGGTCCGAGAATGTGGCCACCTTCTACACCTGACCTCCAAGGTCATCTCAGAAAGTGAAGAAAGATCATGAAGGCTTGTATAGGAGATTTTATGCCCAGGCCAAGATGTAGTATATGTTCCTTCTGCCCACATTCCACTTACCACAACTCAATCACAGGCCTCCAAACTTACTGCAAAGAAGCTAAGAAATGGAGCTGCAGGAAGAAAATGAAACAGGGTTGCTAAATTCATAATTCTATTTTGTTCTTCGTGAAAGTCTATGCTTACTGATATTACTAGAACTGGTATTTTTAAAATGATACAAGAATATACAGTATTAGAAAAGGATACTTATAAAAGGATAAAAGCACTGCTCCACTGGGTGGTGAAATTCTGCATATTTACTTGTTTCTTTCCCCAGCTGAACTGTAAGTTCCTGGAGGCCAGCAATGTGGCCTTCATTTTTATACTGCTAGAATATAGTGCAGGACATTCCTGCTACAAATGTCCATTTATAGTTGAGACAGCATGAATGAGTCTTTGTCTATTCTTTCTGCAATTCCTAACTAGATTGCTAAAATGGTACTTGAAAATCCAAAGATCAAGAGATACTGCAGCATGCTCTTCTGAGTGCTGGGGGTCAAGAGATGCTACAGTAGCTCTTACACAGAATTGGATGATGCCCTTGATAACCATGGGGAAGATGCAGCCATCTCCTTTCCCCAAGACTCTGATCTGAGTCTTACTCATCACTGAATCCTTAGCACTCAGCACTCTTAAAAACGGTTGAACGAATAAATGTAAAACACTGAAAAATATTGTTATAAATAGGCTAATCAGATCATAGGCTATGTTAACTTTAATTTTCATGCCAAAAGTAACAAAATCTGATAACAGGACCAGCCATAAAATGCTGTCAAACAGTTTTTACTGGCTTATAACAATTATCTTTATATCCTTTTATAATATTGTCTATTCTTATATTCTTTCCATAATATCAGCTCTAATATATTTTAGTCTAATAATTTTTTTAGAAAGTTGTATTCATTTTTAAATAAAGTGAAATGGTAGAAATCACCTGACTACTTGGGGATTTGAAAACCATTAACTCCCCCTCCCCCTCCCCCTCCCCCTCTCCCGTCTCCCTCTTTGCACGGTCTCCCTCTGATGCCGAGCGGAGGCTGGACTGTACTGCCGCCATCTCGGCTCACTGCAACCTCCCTGCCTAATTCTCCTGCCTCAGCCTGCAGAGTGCCTGGGATTGCAGGCGCGCGCAGCCACGCCTGACTGGTTTTTGCATTTTTTGATGGAGACGGGGTTTCCCCGTGTTGGCCGGGCTGGTCTCCAGCTCCTGACCGCGAGTAATCTGCCTGCCTCGGCCTCCCGAGGTGCCAGGATTGCAGACAGAGTCTCGCTCACTCAGTGCTCGATGTTGCCCAGGCTGGAGTGCAGTGGCGTGATCTCGGCTCGCTACGACCTCCACCTCCCAGCCGCCTGCCTTGGCCTCCCAAAGTGCCGAGATTGCAGCCTCTGCCCGGCCGCCAACCCGTCTGGGAAGTGAGGAGCGTCTCTGCCTGGCCGCCCATCGTCTGGGATGTGAGGAGCCCCTCTGCCCAGCCACCCAGTCTGGGAAGTGAGGAGCGCCTCTTCCCGGCCGCCATCCTGTCTAGGAAGTGAGGAGCGTCTCTGCCTGGCCGCCCATCGTCTGAGATGTGGGGAGCGCCTCTGCCCCGCCACCCCATCTGGGATGTGAGGAGTGCCTCTGCCCGGTCGCCATCCCGTCTGGGAACTGAGGAGTGTCTCTGCCCGACCGCCACCCTGTCTGGGAGGTGAGGAGTGTGTCTGCCCGGCCACCCTGTCTGAGAAGTGAGGAGCCCCTCCGCCCGGCAGCTGCCCCGTCTGGGAAGTGAGGAGCCCCTCCGCCCGGCAGCCGCCCCGTCTGGGAAGTGAGGAGCCCCTCCGCCCGGCAGCCGCCCCCACTGGGAAGTGAGGAGCGTCTCCGCCGGGCAGCCGCACCGTCCAGGAGGGAGGTGGGGGGCAGCCCCCGCCAGGCCAGCCGCCCCATCTGGGAGGGAGGTGGGGGGCGCCTCTGCCCAGCCGCCCCGTCTGGGAAGTGAGGAGCCCCTCTGCCCGGCCGCCACCCCATCTGGGAGGTGTACCCAACAGCTCATTGAGAATGGGCCATGATGACGATGGCGTTTTTGTCGAATAGAAAAGGGGGAAATGTGGGGAAAAGAAAGAGAGATCAGATTGTTACTGTGTCTGTGTAGAAAGAAGTAGACATGGGAGACTCCATTTTGTTCTGTACTAAGAAAAATTCTTCTGCCTTGGGATGCTGTTAATCTATAACCTTACCCCCAACCCCGTGCTCTCTGAAACATGTGCTGTGTCCACTCAGGGTTAAACGGATTAAGGGCGGTGCAAGATGTGCTTTGTTAAACAGATGCTTGAAGGCAGCATGCTCCTTAAGAGTCATCACCACTCCCTCATCTCAAGTACCCAGGGACACAAACACTGCGGAAGGCCCTAGGGTCCTCTGCCTAGGAAAACCAGAGACCCTTGTTCCCATGTTTATCTGCTGACCTCCCCTCCACTATTGTCCTGTGACCCTGCCAAATCCCCCTCTCTGAGAAACACCCAAGAACGATCAATAAATACTAAAAAAAAATTAAAAAATGGGGGATGAATGGAAAGAATACCTGCCCTGCTTGGTGCTAAATGTGGCTCTCCCCTTCACCAAAGCTCATTTCTCATTTTCAGCTCTATACATCTCCAACCTGATGAGGCCACAGGACTCCCTGCTGCCCTCAGTATGACTTACAAACAAGCCCCACCTCAAGCCCACCCTCCTTCTTTTGCAGATTCCTTTCTCACCCCCTCCACTCTGCAGCATACACCCTTCACCCTGCTGACCACACCAACCATACCAGCACTTGCTGCCATCCTGAATGACAACTGCCACCTGCTGTATACCAGGCACAGAGGAAACACTCTTTTTGTGGAATCTACGAGGGGTGCTAAGCACTCTATGGGAATCACTTCATGCAATCTTCACAGTGCTGTACGCAGGTACTAACCTTGCACCCATTGGCCAGGTGCTGTGGCTCACACCTGTAATCCCAGCATTTGGGAGGCAGAGGTGGGTGGATCACCTGAGGTCAGGAATTCAAGACCAGCTTGACCAACATGGTGAAACCCCATCTCTACTAAATACAAAAAATTAGCCGGGCGTGATGAAAGGTGCCTGTAATCCCAGCTACTTGGGAGGCTGAGGCAGGAAAATCGCTTGAACCCAGAGGGCGGAGGCTGCAGTGAGCCAAGATTGCACCATTGCACTCCAGGCTGGGCAACAAAAGTGAAATTCCATCTCAAAAAAAATAAAAAATAAAAAATGAAAAAAAAAAAAAAACAAAAAACATTAACCCAGTTTGTAATAGTGGTGGTTTGTTTTGTAGATGTAGATAGAATGCCTTCTTCCTTTGGATTAAATCATTACAAGCTGAGATATCATCATTAGGAAACTGTAAAAGCAGGAAATGCTGTCTTCCTTTTCCAGTCTATAATTAAACAGGAAGATAAAGATACAGACTGAAGTAGCTCCCAAGCCAATATTTTGAAACTTGTGTTGACCTGACTTAAATACCTTACTTAATACTGTGACTGATTTTTATTAAGAAAAACAACAACAACAACAAACTCAAGTATCTAAAACTAGAAAAAGGACAGGTGCAGTGGCTCACGTCTGTAATCCCAGCACTTTGGGAGGCCAAGGCAGGAGGATCACTTGAGGCGAGGGCAACATAGTGAGACCCCATCTCTACAAAAAACTATAAAAATCAGTCAGATATAGTGCTGCATGCCTGTTGTCCCAGCTAGTTGGGAGGCTGAAGTGGGAGGATCCCTTGAGCCCAGGAGTTTGAGGCTGCAGTGAGCTGTGATGAGCACCACTGTATTCCAGCCTGGGTGACAGAGCAAGACCATGCTTCAGAAAAAAAAAAATAAATAAATAAAAACTAGAGAAAATATCATAACATGTTTATTGTCTTGATGTTTTGTATTAATTGTCAAAGAAACACTCAGGATCTCTAAATTTATCTGCTTGTGTTAAACCAATGTTTGCTCTTTGGGTGTTGGTTGTTTTGTTCAAAATATCCGTGATTAACCCTGATGAGTGTTCACCTTCCAGTGCCTTCATAGTTTTTATCTCCTTTGATAAATGAAATAAAGAAGCAACAGGTACAAAACTAATCCAAAAAAAGTATTTCCTTTACAATGTACAAGTATAATCTATATTTGGATTAAAATGTAAACATCAATAATTTATCATTTTGGTAGTAAAATAACCTTAGTGTGTTATTAGTAATTTTCAAATCTACTTAAACCCAATGCACCAGACAAAATATAGAAATAAAACGTTTAATGCAGCACTGTTTTTATTATTATTATTATTATTTTTTTGACAGAGTCTTGCTCTGTCAGTCAGGCTGGAGTGCAGTGGTGCAATCTCGGCTCACTGCAACCTCCATCTCCTGGGCTCAAGCAATTCTCCTGCCTCAGCCACCCGAGTAGCTGGGATTACAGGTGTGCGCCACCACTCCCGGCTAAATTTTGTATTTTTAGTACAGATGGTGTTTTCACCATGTTGGCCAGGCTGGTCTTGAACTCCTGACCTCAGGTAATCTACCCTCCTCGGCCTCCTAAAGTGTTGGGATTACAGGCATGAGGCACCGCGCCTGGCCAATGCAGCAGTATCTTAAAAAATCATCCTTTTATTATTTCCATCTAAGTTTTTTTTCAAATTATAAAATCTTATATTTAGGTTTTATCTATCTAATGAAAACCAAATAAAACCTGAATAAAAGCAAACTTGAACCCCTTAAAGAGGCTGTACAAAGAATTTAAGTATCAATCATGGCAGGACTAGAGTCCTTGTCATCTGGATCTCCATGGGGATGTGATCTAGTTTGAGGCCTAGAAAATCAGATCAGTTATGAGAAGGCTCTATGGAATTACTGGAACTTAGAGGAGATGGAAAAAAAAAGATACAGATTGATATGGAGGCCTCTGAGCTCCCAGGAAATCCCAAAGTCCTCATCTAAAGGTCCCAGGGCTATCATGGTGAGCTAATAAGTACAGTCATTCCTCATCCATGGGAGATGGGTTCCAGGACCCCCAGAAGACACCAAAATCCCCAGATGCTTAAGTTCCTTATATAAAATGACAAAGTATTTGCATATAACCTAGGGACATCCCCCTGTATATTTAAATGATCTCTTAATTACTTATATTAATAACACATAATACAACATAAATGCTATGTAAATAGTGGTTATACTATATTTTTTGTTGTTGTATTGTTATTCATTGTTTATTTTTAAAAATATTTTCAATCTGTGGTTGTTCAATCCATGGATGCAGAACCTGCAGATATGGAAGGCCAACTGTATTCTCTTCCAAGGTGTGCACTTTTACAGGTCAGTGCAACAGGCTTAGAATGACCTTATTACGAGAATGGTAATCAACAGTGTCAAGTGCTTGTACCACGTAATCACAAAGCTAAGCACTGGAGGGTATAGCAGAGAACAAGACAGACGTACTACCTGCTCTCACAGGGCTTACAGTCCAGCAGAGAAAACTGGCATTCATCAAACAAGTACGAGTATGATAAAAGTCTCCCAGGAGAAATTAGGAGCTTATGAGATCACATTACAGGGACTCCAGACTTGGTGAGGGAAGTGATAAGTTGTGATATTTACATTTGCTCAAGTCACTTAACCTTGTAATGCCTTAGTATCTTCATCTGTAGGATGGGGTAATAGTAGTGCTTACCTTACAGGACTCACGTAAGGATTAACAAAGCACTAACCACAGGGACAAGCACTGGATAGGTGATTGTTGTGTGTTTCTGTAACTACTGTTATGATGATGATGATGATGATGATGATGCTTATTATTACTATTACTATTGGCCTGAATAAGGAATAAAAGTTTGCCAGGCAAAAGGGAGAGAAGGGAATAGCAGGAGGAACTAGTCCAGAGAGAAAAAAAAAAATATGTGCAAAACCCTGGAGATCCAAAAGGTTGTGGTGCTTCCAGATGGACAAAATTAAGGCCTGTAAAAAAGAAATAAACTAGAGATCTCTAAAAGGGAGGATCCTTCTGGATCCTTTCCAAAAGTTTCCCCTGTCATCCTTACCATCGTAAAAGCATTTCCCCTTGACTCTGCTTTTCTTTCCACATACCATATTATGATCGTTCTTTTCTTTTTTATAATTTTCTGCATTTTCCAAATTATCCCTGTAAGCATGCATTACTTTCATAATTTAAAAAAAGAATTTTAAAAGTGATCCCTTCATTCTTTCTCTCCCCATAACAACCTAACTTCTGCCAAATTTGACTTGTATTCATTGCCCTCTTATGTCACTTCCCCCTCACTCAACAATGCATTGCCACCACTCCAGCATCATGTTTCTCAAACACAGATCTGCTCTCTCATTCCCATGCTTCAAACATTTCATGGCCTACAAAATAACACCCAAGCTCCTCAGGAAAATCACCCAAATGACCCAGAACCTACATCCAGTCTATCTTTCTCGTGTCATCTCCTACCACTCTTCTCCTTACCCACCCTTCTTCACAAGCACCCTCAGCCACACAGAACTTCTCACCAATTTCCTGAATCCAGTATATACTTTGGTGCCCCTCTACCTTAGTTCATGATAGTTTTTATGCTAAGAGTGGCTTTCCAGCCTTCTCCAGCTAACAAAATTCACTCCTCCTTCCCAACCCACTAAGTTTCAATGTCATCTCCTCTATGAACGTTTCTTCTATTCTCTCCACCTCACCCCCAAACACAAGCCCTTGTAATGACCTCTATGTTTATCTCCTGCTTATACTGAGTTCTATCAAAGTAGAAGCCATATCTACTTTACCTTTGTTGCTACATCCAGATCATATCTCAATAAATGTCTGTGTTGTTACTGTTCAAATTAAGATAATCATATAATGGTTTCTTTGAGGAAACCTCATGAGAGGTAGACTGTTTAAACTAGACATAGAAAGGATGCAAGGACAACACACCATTTCAATTATTTACTCTTTTCATGCAATGTTACATGAGTATTTACCAAGTTAGCACACAGTTACTGACTGCTTACTATTTGTGCTAGGTACACAGTTGTGAATAAGATGCTAAAGATACTAAAGAAACACACAAATAAATGCATAGTTATAAAATGCAGTAGGTGCCATATAAAGAAAGAACAGGAGACCATGAAGGATGGCAACTTTGAGGTCCTGGGGTACCAGGAAGTGCCTCTCTAAGGAAGCAACTGGAACAATGCAAAGTGAAAGTGGAGGAGGAATTAACCATGTAAAGAATGTGAGAAAGAGTGTCCCAAAAGAAGGGGAATATACTGGGAGGTCCTGAGGCAGGAAGGATCTGGGCGTGTGTAAGGAAGTGAAGGCCAGCATGCCTGGAACCCAGTGAAGAAGAGGAGTGGCGAGCCAACCTAGAACTCCTCTAAGGAGCTGGTCCTGTGAAAGAGTCTGCACTTTCTTGTAAAGGCACCAGTAAGTCACTAAGGGTTTTAGGTAGTGGGGGTGGGGCTGGGACAGTGACAGGATCAGATTAATGTTTTTCAAATATCACCATGAAATGAGCAATTGAAATTTCTTTTAGGTAGAATTACTAGTGAGATGGAAAAGTTCTCCATTTATTTGATTTTTCAGTATACTTAGTATAATAATTATTTGAACATCCATCAGTAAACATTATATTCAGTCAAATATTTGTCTCTGATCATTCTTAAAAGTTAAATTCAAACCACCTCTGTAGCTGTCTCTCTTTCTCTGAATCGTATACTTCAGGTACACAAAGTTACAATGCAGATCCTGGTTCCTAGAATGCCACATTATACATGCCATTAAATGTTTAATCAGAACTATCATTCCAAAAAGTTTAAAGCCTCTTTTCAAGAAAAAGACCGGTATCTGATGTCAATTGAAACTCAATTTTTTCATTTTTACTTCAGTTGAAAACCTGGCCTTTTCTACCTGAGCTGATGCTTTATAAATGGCAATATAAGACATGGTACAGGCTGTTATTTTTGTTTGTTTAGAAATGTCACACTCCTCTCTGTTGCGAACAAATGTGCTCAAGTTACAATTATGTCAGAAAAAGTAGATACCATGCAGTATCATTTTTTAGAATGTGCTTGTGACATTTTGTTAAACCAAGAGAAATGTTACAACTAGAAAGGGTGAGAAGAAAGAAGAAGATAAATATAATTGCAGACTGAACAAAAATGAACAGGAACACACTTGCACACTTCAGTTTATTAACTGTGGCTGGCAAGCAGTCATGCTGCATGGATACTATTTACTGCTTGGGAGGAAAATTGTGAACCTGCCTGGAGAGGACACCAAAGGAATATCCAAGCCAAGGAAAGAAAGAGAAGGGAGAGAAAATTATAACCATCACATACAATGTAATATAAACTCCATTCCCAAGCTTTTTTTTTTTTTTTTTTGAGACGGAGTCTCGCTCTGTCGCCCAGGCTGGAGTGCAGTGGCGCGATCTCGGCTCACTGCAAGCTCCGCCTCCCGGGTTCACGCCATTCTCCTGCCTCAGCCTCCCGAGTAGCTGGGACTACAGGCGCCCGCTACCACGCCCGGCTAATTTTTTGTATTTTTAGTAGAGACGGGGTTTCACCGTGTTAGCCAGGATGGTCTCGATCTCCTGACCTCGTGATCCGCCCGCCTCGGCCTCCCAAAGTGCTGGGATTACAGGCGTGAGCCACCGCGCCCGGCCCATTCCCAAGCTTTTTATGGGCAGTGATTTATCCATGATAAAAGCAATATTTGGAAAATCAGTGAAAGAAAAAGAAATACAGATCAAACAGGGGAGCAGAGAGCAAGGACCTACAGGCAATGTGAAAAGAGTGGAACTAATAATTTCAGGAAAAAACAAACAAACTTAAAAAGGTAAAATAGTAGTTGTAACATTGATAATACCACCACCAATAATAGAACCTAATGTATTTAGCACACACTACATGTTAGGTACTGTGCTAAGTGCTTTCTATGGTTTGTCTGATTTAAACCTCTTACCAGCTATAGGGTGAGTCGTCTTTTTCTTTCCACTGGAAAGATGAGGAAATTGCTGTTCAATCCAATGTCAGGAAGCTAAAAGGTGTACGTGAAGTCATCTGGCACTTTTGCAAAGGAATTCTAGGGAAGTTTTTTTATTATTTTTAATCTAGATAATTAAGGCTTAAATAAAATACAGTATAGATTGTTACCTTACTCCTTCTAATGGAAAGTTTTCTAAGCCATATTGTAAATTTTCCTTCTCTTCTAAACACAATACCTTGAGCATAATTTAAAGTTCCCTTAATAATTCACAGTAGACTGAGCATAATTTAAACATTAGCTATCATGCTCTACTGTAAAACAGCCTCCAAGCTGCTAAGATATGTAAGGATGATTTGTTCCTTCACCACATGGAAGCTGAATGCTCTCCTGAGCTGTTCCTATTTCTTATATTTTGACTGTCTGTTCCCTCACTGCCAAGTGATCCACTCTCCAGCAGCAATGTGACCTCCCCTTCTTCCAATTTGGCTTCTTCTCCAGCCTCCCCTTGAGCCACCCACTGCCGGCTGAATTCCAATCAGTTCAATTCAATACATTTTTCACAAAGTCTACTTTGACCTGTACTTGTTCTCTGTGGGCTATTTTATCAACAGTGATAGTAGAGATAGTGTGCCAAATCAAACAAACAACAACAAAAAACCTGGCACTTCTTTTCTAATAAACTTCAGCTAGCCAGATATGAGGGACTTTGTATATCTTATTAGAGGCTGAAAAGATTGACAGGCCTGTGAATTAGCAGTAGTATCCTCATTTTATTTTATTTATTATTTATTATGTTTATTTTATTTTTATTTATTTAATTAATTTATTTATTTATTTATTTTTGAGATGGAGTCTTGCTCTGTCGCCCAGGCTGGAGTGCAGTGGTGCGATCTCAGTTCACTGCAACCTCCCCCTCCTGGGTTCAAGTGATTATCCTGCCTCAGGCTCCCGAGTAGCTGGAATTACGGGAATGCACCACCACGCCCAGCTAATTTTGTATTTTTAGTAGAGACAGGGTTTCTCCATGTTGGTCAGGCTGGTCTCTAACTCCCGACCTCAGGTGATCTGCCTGCCTCAGCCTCCCAAAGTGCTGGGATTACAGGCGTGAGCCACCGCGCGGTATCCTCATTTTGAAAGGAGTAAACTGAGGCTCTCACAGCTGGTAAGTAGCAGAGCTGAGATTTGAACATGGTCTTTCTGATTCATGTTTCACTGCCATAAATGGTGTGGGAGAAAGGAAACACAACCATTTCTTGCAGAACTAATGGCTTCAAGAAATAGCTACAATTTGCTTTATGTATTTGCTGTATGGCAAGTATTGGATAATATTACAGATTCATATTGAAATGATACCACCATGAAAGATGATCTTACAATTTGATAAGGATTCAGAGCACAGACCAGAGATTGCTAAATAGGCAACATACAATATGTGATCAGCTGGGGAGGGCTGCCTATGCACTAACAGGTGCCAGCTTGAAAGTCGCACTTTCACACATCGTGTGACTTTCTCGGTGATTTCCTGGCATTCTCGGGTGCAGCTCACTACTTTTGAGGCAGATTATTGCGTGAGGGCAAAACAAATATGCAAAAAATAAAGGTTTCTCTGACTCATTTTTAAAATTTATTTTTGGGGTTATTGGTTTGTTTGTTGTTGTTGTTGTTGTTGTTGTTGTTGTTTTGAGACAGTGTCTCACTGTGTCACCCTGGCCGAGTGGTGTGATCATTGCTCACTGCAGCCTCAACCTCCTGGGCAAAAGTGATCCTCCCACCCCAGCCTCCTGAGTAGCTGGGTCCACAGGTCCTTGCCAGCACACCCAGCTAATATTTTTATTTTTCATAGAGATAGAATCTCACTTTGTTGCCCAGGCTGGTCTTGAACTCCTGGCCTCAAGTGATCCTCCTGTCTGGGCTTCCCAAAGTGCCGGGATTACAGGCACCAGCCATGGCATCTGGCCTAAAACTGTCAATATCTAAAAAAACAGATCCAGAAACTTGCCACGGAAACTATTTTCAATGTCAAATTACATTTGAAAGCATTTTCTTCCCAATTCACTCATATTTAAAGTTACTTAAATCTTTACACAGGATAGAGAGGTCTTCACATGGCAACCACACTCCACAAAACTTCCTCAGATCTGTAGTAAAAATTGTTGGTCACATCTTGGTTTCCTGGATGTCAGAAAACACTAACTAAAAGAAATTGCCAGGCCGGGCACGGTGGCTCACACCTGTAATCCCAGCACTTTGGGAGGCCAAGGCGGGTGGATCACCTGGGGTCAGGGGCTTGAAACCAGCCTGGGCAACATGGTAAAATCCCATGTCTACTAATGATACAAAAATGAACTGGGCGTGGTGGCGCATGCCAATAATCGCAGTTACTCCAGAGGCTGAGGCAGGAGAATCACTTGAACTCGGGAGGCAGAAGTTGCAGTGAGCCGAGATCGTGCCATTGCACTCCAGCTTGGGTAACAGGAACAAACTCTGTCTCAAAAAAAAAAAAAAAATCTCCAAAGTAACTTTTTAAACATGAAGGCCAATAATGTAAACTATATGCACAGTTATGGAGAAATGGCTTACTGGATGGGGCGGGCCCTTACACTGCATTCACTTTAGATGCACACAGCCCTTATGTGCTGCTTTGACTTTTCTGTAGCCACAAATCAGAAGTGCTCAAGCAAAAATCGCATGAGCTCAAATAGTTCCTTAGTTCAGGCAGCACCTTGAGGATACTGTTTTGGAGAAAAGACCTAATACCCATCATACAGTCTAATCATTTTTTGTGATGCAATTGTTTTGAGATTGTTTGGGTTAGGGTCGGTCTCTATTTATGTTCCAAATAATCCCGTTAATAGATGGTTTTCATTCATGTAAATTCATGCTTTATTTGTCTCATTTCTAGCACTGGCATATTTATTCCTACTTCCCATAAGTATCTACTATTTAGAGAAAACACTGGGTGGCTTCCCGAGTACGTGACATTTAATTTCATGTTAGAAAAATAAACAGGACACCACACAAAGTACTATCATTCTTTCTGCTTCTAAGATTTACATTTAAAATGCTTTTACTTGATCCTCCATGATCTTTTTAATAGCGCAAATTCTTAAAAGATTAAATATATTTTGGGGAAACTTTTAAATCCTTAATTCTTAACAGCATATTTCAAATAACTGAAAGTGATACACATGTTAATCTTTTAAAATTTCAAGCAGAAGTATAAACCAACATAAGCATTGTGTTTCTGACCTATTTAAAAAACGTTTTCCTCTTTCTCCTCCACATTTATCATTATTAACTGTTGACCAAAATCATGTATTATTTCACATGTTACATGGTTAATCTTATTGCCTCCAGTGACCAGGAGGTATTTTATGACCAAAGTTCTCAATAAATAATTTACTCCACTTTTCCATTACTTAGAAAGTAATGTTTCACAATAGGGCCTGACACTAATACTCCAAGCATAGCCACTGATTTACTAAATAGATGATCTAAGGTCTAATGCACCTATCTTCTTTCTAAGAGATCAGTTCATCAATATTGATTGAAACCAATGTGCACAAAAGTATATATTAGGAACACAGGAACTTCCTCTAAACACCACTTAACTTCAAGCCTAAGCCTGCTGAGCCAGGGGAGGATTTATGACTTTTCCTACACCAGCATCATTAATTGGGGAAAATTCTTAATTACAATCTAACACACAATTCAATCCATTAACCTTGTAGATAAGTTAAAACTAACCTCTGGGCCCACAGAAGGCAGATGCTCCCTGAAGCAGGTGATGGCTCCACTCCTCCCCCAGTGGTTGTCCTTACCCAAAGCAAGGCAATCAAGGTGAATGCCCTGATTCTGGTCATAACTTTGAAGAGGCATCTGCTTTTTGCTTTTTGTGGGGAATAGGGAGTTGAGGGCATTCAATGACTCTGAAAGGCACCAAGTCAGAGGAACAGGAGGAGAAGCAGGTGGTGAGCAGCCTGGGTGCCTTCACCACTCAGCATGTCACCATGAGGTAAGGGAATCAACACATATCACACACACACCTCAATCCAGGGGCTTTGCAGATGACAATATATTTAATCCTGGCAACAGCTCTGCAAAGTCAGCATCGTTTCCCCAGTTTTGCAGATAAGGACACTGTGGTTCAGAGAGACTAGCAGTCTCACGTAAGGTCACGCAGGACAACTGTGATATGACCACAGGTCAGTGGGGTGTGACCACAGGTTATCAGCTAGCTAGTTACCAGGGGAAGGGAGTCCTGGCTCTGCCACTACACAACAGTGCCTGCTTCCTTTTCTAACACAGGCCATTGGACAACCTGTTGCTTTTCCGCAATTTCCTCTCTGGCTGTTTTGCTTCTTTTTAATGATGCCCTTGAGTCAACTTATTCTGATTTCACTAATATATCTTATTCTGATTTCACTGATATATCTTATTCTGGTTTCACTAATATAACCATATTGAATGGCGAGGTAGAAGAAAGGATGTGTGTTTTCTCCCCAGTCCCTAAGCTCTGTGAGAAACATCCGTGCCCTCAACCTCCCTTTTCCTATGATCTTGTAAGACATACAGCATCCTCTTGTCATCTCCGTCCTTCATCTAGTCTACAATAATAAGAGTTAAATGAGCAATAAAACTTAATATTATCCCTCCTAGAAAAGGTGTTCTTGCTGGGTAAGGTGGCTCACGCCTGTAATCCCAATACTTTGGGAGGCCAAGGCTGGAGGATCACTTAAAGCCGGTAGTTTGAGACCAGTCTGGGCACACAGCAAGACCCCATCTCTTAAAAAAATTATCCAGGTATGGTGTTGCATGCCTGTGGTCCCAGCAACAAAGGGACTGAGGTGGAAGGATCACTTGAGCTCAGGAGTTCAAGGCTGCAGTGAGCTATGATTGATCCAATGCACTTCAGCCTGGGCAACAGAGCAAGACTCCATCTCGAAAGAAAGAGAGAGAGAGAGAGAGGGAGAGAAAGAAAGAGAGAAAGAGAAAAGAAAGAAAGAAAGAAAAAATATGCTCTTTTGAAAAAATCAATAATAATTCTCTGATGAAAAGAATAAGGAGAAAATGGTGGCATTTCAAGCATCTGAGTGAGAGGCAGGGTGGCCGTGGCCTTGCCTGAAGTTCTTCACTTTAATTCCAGTAAGTGGAGGGACAGGAATGACTTCCTGTCCCTTTCATTTCATTTTTGTAAAGTCAGCGCAACAGTCACTGAGGGCAAGAGCCTGCACCTTCATCACCTCTGGAAGGAAAGCTGCGGTTGGCTGGTCCAGCTTCGGGAGCGCTATAGGCCAAGCATGTGTGCAGGCCTGCAAAGGCTGCAGAAGATACCCCAGCTGGGCTCACACCCATCACTGCCACTCACCGCTGCCTTCCTCTTTGCGTTATAACCTCCACTTTCACTGCTCTGTACTCCATTTGGCTCACACAAGTATTTGCCTACAGCTAACAATTCAGAAATTCTTCACAAATACACATTTCCAGTAGAAAATAATAGGAGATCATAGCAAGGAGAGAGAGTTTCGTTGCCCTTGGACTTGCTGGTTATTTTCTTTTAGGCATTAGCCATTGAAGTGGCCATTTGCTTCGTTGTAAAACAATCCCTCAGGCTTGCAGACTGTCGAGTAGAATCATTATTGCCATCTTCTTGATTTAATAATTTCAATCAATATTCAGTTTTCTATGATAATGGAAGGCAAGTGGCAGAGCAGATAGCCCTGAACAACAGACAGCACAAGAGTTATTACTATTGTTTTCAGCTAGTGGATGCCTCACAGGCTCTTCACCAATTTCCTTTCCAAGTTCTCCTTTGCTTAGCTCAACGGGCCCCAAACTTGGATGTGCATCAGATTCACCAGGGCGAGGGTATTCAAGTGACCTGACAACCTGTTGCCTTGTGAGAAAAACCAATCTGTTTTGTGCTATTTATCACAAATAACTGGCAAGTGGACACTCAAGCATTTGACCATGCTTAGTATAAGGACACAATGCCTGCCCTCTGCTCTGTCTTATGCCTTTTGCCCAAGATTTCTAGGTAGCAGCCCTGAGCAGGCCTTTAATGTTAACATATGACACCAGTCAAATTAGGGCAGAAAAGGAAGGAGGTGAAGAAAGAAGAAAAGGTGCTATTTTGTTGAAAAAGCACAGTGAGTGGTATCTGGGTGGAAGACTTTAAACCTAGGCGGTTTTTGAGATTCTAGTACTGGGTAAGTAGAAATAATACTCTGAACAAGAAGAATATTTGGCAAGAGGAATAGAAACTTTAAGCAAAAGATATGGAACATCATATTAGCCATAGTCATTTCTTTCTTTTTTTTGAGATGGAGTTTCACTCTTGTCACCCAGGCAGGAGTGCAATAGCGCAATCTCGGCTCACTGCAACCTCTGCCTCTCGGGTTCAAGCGATTCTCCTGCCTCAGCCTCCCGAGTAGCTGGGCACCCCCATGCCCAGCTAATTTTTGTATTTTTAGCAGAGATGGGGTTTTACCATGTTGGCCAGCTGGTCTCGAACTCCTGACCTCAGGTGATCCACCCGCCTCGGTCCCCCAAAGTGCTGGGATTACAGGCGTGAGCCACAGCACCTGGCCAGCCAAAATCATTTCTAAACTTAGATAGACATTTCAGTTAAAGAATGAAACCCCAAAAAGAATGGAAGAGATGGGAAGTTAGAAGGCAGTCTAACATTTGTTATTTACAGTATACATGAAAGGAAAATCATAGCAAGGAAATGGGCTCTTCCTGCAGAACTGAGAAGAAAATGGAACCCGCTGTCAAGAGAAGAAAGAAAAAAAAAATGTTATCCATAAAATTAGCCAGATGCTTTTTCTTACCCTTCTGACAAAACCAGGTTTCATTTCTGCCAAAAGTAGTTTTCACATAAAAGAAATGATAACCTGTTCTAGAAAAAAGAGGTTCAAAAAGATGTTCAGAGTGGTCAGGATGGTTAATCCAATAACTGTGAAAGCTGATTCTTACTCACTTAAGCTATTAAATCCAGAACCTTTCAGTAGATATCTACTTTCATTTTATAACATGCCTCTCAAAAAACATCAATTCAGGCTGATACAAGACTAAGTATTTAGGGCTGAAAATGATAATGATGTAGTCTTTTCAACCAGGATTGTAATCAGGAGGGTGAGCCACCGGCCCTTTCAGAATGAGACGCACTTCAGTGAGTTCAACAGCAACTTTGCGGCCGGGCGCGGTGGCTCAGGCCTATAATCCCAGCACTTTGGGAGTTGCGAGGCAGGTGGATCATCTGAGGTCAGGAGTTCGAGACCAGCCTGGCTAACATGGTGAAACCCCATCTCTACTAAAAATACAGAAATTAGCCGGGCATGGTGGCAGGTGCCTATAATCCCAACTACTCAGGAGGCTGAGGCAGGAGAATCGCTTGAACCCAGGAGGCAGAGGTTGCAGTGAGCTGAGATTGCACCATTGCACACCAGCCTGGGTGACAAGAGTGAAACTCCGTCTCAAAAAAACAAAACAGCAGCTTTGATGGAGAGCAACAAAGGCAATTTAACTTTATGTCTCCTATTTCATTCCATGGCTGTTCTCTTTTTTCATTCACAAGTGTTTTGTTTATTATGTGGTCTGTCTTTCTCTATGGTTATGAAAAGGAATTTGAATTTTGTGAAATTAAATGCAGTTAAGCCACCTACGATGAACTTAAAAAAACACACATACACAAAACACTATTTTACTAACTAAATGCCAAAGCCTTTTAAAAGAAGTATGGAGCAAAGTGCTCTCCTATATGCCAGTGGAAGGATAAATCAAGACATCCCCTTCAGGAAACACACACCATGCCACACCACGACTCCCCACTCCACTTGCAGACACATGTCTCAGAGAATTTACCACACATGCATACAGAGATCCACACAGGGATGGGCACCATGACATATCTGTAACTGGAAAAACCAGCAACAGCTTACATCATCAAAAAGTAAACAGTTCAGCAAATTATGATATAATTAAAAAACAGAAAACTACTATGCAACAAAATGAATAAAATAAGACATTTCTCAAAAACAATGCTGCATGAAGAAAACTGCGGAAGGATACATAGATTGTGACATCATAAATGTAGATTTAAAAACATAAAATACAGTTGTACGTATTTTTTATTAACATACAAAAATGTAGGAAAAGTGTGCATATTAAGAGTAGACTTGAAATTCATGGTGAGAGGTGCCTCTGAGGAAGAAAGGCAGGCAATATTTTCTTTTATTAAAAAGAAAAAAGGAGGTAAAGCATATGGTCAATATTGTAATCTGTTAACACTATCAGGTGGTTATATTGGTATCTTTTATATTGTCCTCAGCAGCTTTTTGAATATTAAGTTACTTTTTAAATATTGTGTAACTTTCACTATTTTCCATTTAAAAGTCACACATTTTCTTGAGTTCATTCAATTGCCCATTTACTTATGCATTTGACAAATATCTATTGAACATGTCATTAATCCTAGGATGTGAAGAGTTAAGAAAATATTCTTGCCCTTGCAAGAACCACATGAAATGGACTAATTCTTATTTAAGAATCCTGTCATATTCTGTAAGTAGGTTTCTGTACACCATAAGGAAGGATTTCCACTAGGTTTGATATTGTCCAAGAATAATTGCAATGTGCTTATTTACAGAATAGTATGCTACTGTAGTTCCATAAATAAAATGGTCAATATTTATCTTTATCTTCTTGTCAAGAGTTTTTATTAAAGGGCATCTAAGCAAATGAATCTTGAGGATGTTCCAAAGTGAGTTATCATCAAATAATCACCATGACAAAAAGTCAAATAAGCTAATCTTTCTTTGAAGGTTTTCCAAAGAGACAGATTAATTGGCCAACCTGTCACCATTAATGACAAAAGCATGTGATGTGGTGTAACTTGTATTTGGCATAGTCATTATGATTGTACTTCCAACATCTTATGACGCAATTCTCTAGAAATTCAAGATTAAGTGTTTGGTTCATCCTATCTCTAAGGTAGCCACCAATAGTCTTTGCATAACAAATATCAACAACTATACTGAACAAAAAAATCAAACAGTACTCGATATTGTTGGCTAACTCTAACATTGCTCCTGCCCAACTCAATCCTACATTTTTTATTCAGATTTTTTGTTTGATAAAAGAAGCACCGCTTTTTTGGTCATCACATGTCAGCCCTCAGGCTTTCAGGCTACCTAAGTATCTCTTACTCTCAGAGAAGTACTCTAGATCTTACTCAGGTAAGAAAAGGTCAGACACTAACCAGGTTACAACCAATCTCAGGAGTAAGGAACCCCAGCATTGAATCATTAAAGCAGGCCTGGCACAGGAACCAAGCCGGAGGACTGTGGGGCAGAATCTTCTCTTCTCTCTAGGGCCTTCTCCTGAGTGTTCTCAACAGTTACCAAAGCTCAGAGCAGAGCTCATCAGATTACGAAACTGATTCAGATCATCTAAGCCTATGCTTGGGTCTGATCAAGAAACAGGCAACAAAACTCCAGGTACAAAGGGGCTTTGGCAGAGCTACACCCTCCCCACACCACACACACACACACACACATACACACACACACACACACACACACTCTCACATTTCTAGAATTTCAATCTTTACATAGTAGTTAAGAATGTCATCTAACTTCCACACAGCCTCCCTGTCATGATAATTCTAACACTTATCAGAAAAGTGTTTATTATTTTAAAATGTATCTATGTATGACTATCATATGGAATATACACACAAAGTGTTTTAAGTGTTTTATTGTACTTTTATTGCAATTTATTACCATCTCAAGTGAGTTACATTATGTCTGCCAATCATACCTATAAAAACCAAAGCTCCTAAAATCATTGTTTTATGACATTAAATGTATTCAATAAATTATATGGTACTGATATATTCTAGAGATTCTATATTCTGCCAATCATGCCTATAAAAACCAAAGCTCCTAAAATCATTCTTTTATGGCATTAAATGTATTCAATAAATTATACGGTACTGATATATTCTAGAGATTCCTCTGAATATAACAAAATATAAATATAAAATATTGTTTGCTTTCAATTGATGCTTTGCCAAACTCTAGTTAAAGAGGAAAAAACCCTCTAAATTAGACATCCATGTGAAAATGAGACACCAAGCAGATGTCAGGCTAATTTTAAGATTTTTAAATTTGAGAATTGGAACAGTGAAGTCCTCAGCTTTTGTTTTTATCTGAAATACTCATTTCTCAAATGTTAACACAGTAACAGAAAGCCAACATGTACACAACACACACAAAAACAAAAACAGAACAAAATTAAAGCCCAAATCTCAAGTTCCAGAACCCACACCTATGATGCCATCGTTTGCTGTATCTGCTTTTAGTTGACTTCTTTACAGTTTTGATCTTTATTGTGGATAAGTAACTTAAGTGAACCTAAAAGGAGATAAAGAAAAACAAAAACAAAAAGCTAAGTGAAGCTCTGCTTCAAGGGAAGCAGTGAGGTGGAGTGAAAACAGTGACTTTGAAGTGTGACGGAGGTTTCAAATCCTGGCTCAACTCCTTACCTGCCATATGACCTTGGGCAGTTGCTTCACCTCTGTGAACCCCAGCCTCCTCTTATGTAAAATGGGATGATAATAATTATTTGCTACAGTTGTTGATAAAATAATTTCTTAAAGTGCCTGACAATAGTAGGCAATAAATAAATAAATGTTAACTAATTGTCTTCTCCTTGTCTCTTTTCCCAAACAAGATGCGAATTATCCAGGGAGAGAGCATTAGGAAAGTGAGCAACACTATGGAAGGAGAGAAATGCATAGAATGTTACCCAGTGAAGACTATAAGTCAGGAGGACATTCTAGTCTGCACATGATAACAAAAAGATGGGCGTTCCTGCAGATCATATGGGGGTAAAAAGAAAAAAAAAAAAAGGTGGGCACGGACCAACTGCTGTGAGGAATGCAAAATGAACGCAGCTGACCAGTAAGTGTACAAGGTGAAAGCCTAGCCACAAAGGAGAAGAAAGTTCATTTAGTGAGAGCCAAGGAGAAGAACCAGGATTTCTGATTAAACACCACTTGGATTCCTAGTCTTATCGCCTGAGTGCCATCTCTAAGTGAACCTTATGCACAGCAAGGAACAGTGACGAAAGAAACTACAGCCAAGTTTGTTTCCCAAACGTCAGAGAGGTTTAGCAGAAATAACACTGTGAAGACATGGTCATCTAGACTTACTCATAATTTTCAATGTATGAGAGCACCACAACCATCTTCCATACAAAATAAGCTTTTTGGTCCCACTGGCAGTCAACAAGGCAAAACCTGTCTGGGCTTTCAAATGTCATGGATCAGCTGGATATATAGCAACATAAACAAGTTTTCATCAGGTCTAAAATGCCATCAACAGTAGGATACACCATTAGTCTATGTACCACTAATAAATTTTTTAAATGTTCCAAAATGAAGAGTCTGACAGAAGACTGCTACAGAAAACTGAGACACCAAAGGGTCACATTTTCTAGGGAAGGGCTAACAAGAAATAAACTTGCCATGCTGAAAGAAACAGCAAGTAGACATGTATATCTCAAGCTTGGGACCAGCTGAAGAAAAAAAAAAATCTCTGAGAATGCAAACTGCCAACTGGTACTGCATCCACACAACCAGTGTGGTACAAGAAAACCTCAAGCAGGTAATTTAATATCAAGCAGTCTCAGATTGGTAGTGTCCCTGAATGGCTATCACAAGCAAACACAAATCTCCTCTGAAGAGCTTGACTCTAATCCAGGCTGATGACCCACTGAAACATGCCATCAAATGTAAGACACACCCCAACTTCAGGGATGTTAAAGAATGGGGAGGAAAGGTGTGCATTAGAATTAAAGAAATGTAGTAGCCATTTTCCTAAAAGAATAAGGTGATATTATATATATGGGTCTGGGTCACTCAACAAATATTTATTAGTGGGTATCCACTACATGAGTAACAAAGGTTTCAAAGAAATTGAAGGCACGACCCCTGCTCACAAGTGGCTCATTAACAATATCTCTGAGAACATGGATTCATGTTTCTATCTGATTTAGTTTTGGACTGTTTGCCAACATGGTTATGGCACAGTTACAAAATGGTTAGACAGGTAAATGCACCCTGCTCCAATCTTGAGTAGGCGTTTTTACTGCCTAGCATTGGAAGTTTATCTATGAAAAGTCAGCCTTAATATAAGTAAACTTATTTTCATTCCTTCAATTTCAACAAAAAACATACAATCTATTTTCTGATTACTTTGATTAGCTTTCACTCAAACTAATAGTATTATGTACAGTATGTGGGACAGGTAAATTTGATCATTTGGTTAAAATGTATAGATTAAGTAGATATTATTAACTTCTATTTGGGGCAGGAAAGTTTGAGGTAACTTCATCTTGAAGGCTTTTAAAAAATCTACAATGTAAGACATCATTAAAGTAATTTGTATCCATTAATTCAACTTTGAAAAGTGAACATATATTTTGGTCAAGAGAGATTCAAACTCTTGCATGAAAGGAAGTATCAGGGGTTAGCTAAATCATGGCTCACAGAAAATATTATTTGTTAGCATTAGTTTTGCCTTTACCCATGGATAGGGCTACCTGTGTTAGAATTATTATATATACATATGCCAAAACCCAGCCCCAGAGGACCCTTCAACACAGTCTCTAATGCCATTTCTTGGGAAATGTTCTGTTACCATCATCTAAAAGAATACAGGTTTCCCCTCCAAAGACAGAGCCACTTGGATTCATGCCTTTGTACTTTTCTTGGAATACCCTCATCCCTGATTTGGGTCCTGGTAACTGTTTACAAGAAAACACAAAGAGAATCTTAGGAAATAAACTACATACAAATTAGACATATCATAGGTGCCCTTTCAAATTCCACATGGTCTGGCTCATCTTTACACATTAAATCATTCTTTCATTGCACTTGCAATCTCTTTTCTGAGTTTACCCTCGTTTTCAACCTTAACTCAAACCAGCGTCCTGTCCTCTTTGTCAGAGAGGCAGGACAGGACCCAGAGCTTCCCGCCTGGGGCTGTTTCTCATCTCTTTGGTTCTTGTTGCCACCCAGCCCTGACTCCAGGCTTCCCTGGAGTCCGCCCACACAAGGTGTCTGCAACTCGGGGCTGCAGGGCCTTGAGAGCTTCCAACCATTCTCTAAATGTGTTGTTTCTTTAGTGGGTTCTAATTTCTTCTCAGTTGGCTAACACTCTGCAAGAATCACTATCCAACGCTTTCTAGTTTCCCATCTTGGTACCCACCTCTCCACAGACCCTTTTCTTCAGGGAGTCACTACCCTCAGCATTTCTACCCAGACCTTCTGTTTCCTCTCAGGACTTTATTGGTATTCTGTAACTAACTCTCAAACAAGCGTATCAACGCAGAAATGATTCTGGGGAAGTACCCAAAGAGCTGTCATGAGATAACATAGAATTACAGGGCAGACTCATTCTGGAATGTAAGTTGGAAAGAGGTTAACAGATTTCAAAAAGCTGAAATAAAATAAAGGAGACGAAAAGTTGACCTCGTAATGAATAGACACAACAGTGAAAATCAGGGAGGGGCTAGAAATTTCTGAAAGGAGGAATGATAAAGAAGATTCTTAATAAAAAATGTCTGGCCTGTACTGGCAACATCTGAAGCCTTATGCTGGTAACTAGGATTTCATTGAGTATGGTACTCCAGAGCCAAGACAGTAAAACTGCACAGATATATTTTTAAACCCATGAGGCTGTTGTGTGGGTGTAGATGTAAAAGAAAAACAAATGCAAGCTGGTGTTCTGCTTGGAACAGCTCCACATCACACTCCCCAATATTATTCTATAAACCCAATTTATTTTTACTTCCTAGCGTATGTTAATTATCTGTATTATAGAGTTTTTCGATTGTCAGTAGAAAACAACAACATTATTTACTTCTCACAGTACACAGGTATTTTCCTGATTATATGAAAAAGTATAACATTTATAAATTAAATTTATTCTATTTATCAACCACATCAATTTGTTGTCCTCTTCCTTTTTCCTATTACTTACTCTAACATAAAATATGTTCATACTTATCTATGTTTTATATTTTAACAATAGTGATTTGCATACATATAAATTTTCTAGAACAGTGCCCATCACATGGTAAATATTTAAAAATGTTACCTGTAATCACTATCATTACTATCGTTATTGTTAATAACAATGTTCCTTATTATAGTAAATTCTATCATAGTCTATACCTGCCAGGAAATTCCTACAGCTATGCAAGATGGATGTTGCCTCATCCATAGAACATTTTTTATCTTTCCTGGACAGAAATTAGGTCTATTTCTCTAGTTTTTCTGCAGATCTCTCTCCTGATACCATCCGTGGCCCTCATCTTAGATTGTTAATGTCTGTTTACTATATTCTATTTCCTGTATCAGACTGTACTGTACTCGCTCTCAGAGTGGGGGGGGTATGACCAACCTATGAATCCCCCATATGCCTAGTTAAGAATATCTGTGCAATGAATGTTATAATGTAAGAAAATGTAACAGGAAACCAACATGGTGTAATTCTTGCCTTCAGTTCCAAGAATGGTCTCTCTCGGACCCATGTCTTTTTATTTCAACATTTTTATACAGTATTAGAAAGCATCTGTCCACAATAAAATCTCCAAATCTGCATATAGCACCCTACCCTTTCATTGCACTGACATACTGAGCTGATGGGGATAAGCTGTGGGAAAAGTGGGACAGAAAAGTGACAGATGATCTTCAATATCCATAAGCAAGACTTAGCCCACTAAACCACCAGTTCTAACTGGAACCATTTGGGAGTTATTTTGGACAGTTTCTGAAAGGCAGGAGCCCAATATGAACCAAAACTCAAAAGGGCAATAAATGCTGGGCAGGGAAATAAAAACTATTTATTGGAAATAAAACTGAAAACATAATGCTTCTATGTACAAAATTCAAGTGCGTGTAAATTGGTCACTCTAGGAGGTTGTAATGATTGCCCTTTGAAAACAATGAAATGCAGAATTACTAAAATGATTCAAGGAATACAGACATTTCTATGTAAGTATACATATTAAAACTAGGAGTCTCTAATCTAGAAAAATATTAATTTAAAGGAGATATTTTAAGTTTATAAAGTCATAACTAAATTTATTCATCAACTTATGGAAAAATTAGGAATAGAGGAAAATGTTTGAAATACATATTTTTGGGGAGAGAGAAGCATATTACAAATATGTGTGAATCACAATGCTGGGTTGTTTAAAGAATATCTGGAGCAACTGGTTGATCTCTCGCAACTCACAACTTGTACTCCAAGAAACTCCCTCCCTCATTTCCAAAAGTAGAGACAAAATCATGTTTGGGAAATCCTTTGGTGTATATATATATATATATATATATATAACCTTTCATACATTCTGATTATAAGTAGAAGTCCACTAGGTATTAGAAGAAGTGAAGAGGATTTATACTCTAAGAGAAAGTAAAGGACAAAAAGTTGTTTGTATTAAGGGCTCTAAACTACAAGTTTCAGGCCAGGGTTAGAGGGAGGCAAACATTTCATTTCTCATTGAAAAATTACATTTTAGGAACTGTTTTGATATTTTGAGGTACACTAGCACTCAATCATTCAAGTATCCTGCTGTAAATCTATTTATCGGGCTGACAGTTATTTATGTTTTGCTAAATAACAGGTAAACTTGTATGAAGCAGTTAAATCCTCTCTCTAGAAACATGCTTAACAAATTTCCAAATTTCAGACAACAGACTAGAAAACAGAAGCAAAAACAGCTGGCGTCACTGGCTTCAGTGACCTAAATTGAGCCCAAATCTTCCTCCTCGTTTTGAGTCAGGCATTTTTGTGTCAGTTGACATAACTATATTTTATTCTGGTGTTGATGTAAACTATTTCTCAGAATTACAAAGCCAAACATTTCTGGGAAACAGGCAGAGAAAGAAAACTTCAATAAAAACCCAATACCTACATTAAAAATATATATATTTGTATTTCTGAGTGATAGAACTATAAATCAATCTCTTAAATATTTCTATTTTCCTCAAAAAAAATTGCTTCAGTTGTGTGTCATTCCCTTTTACTGTTGCTAACAACACCGAAGGATAAAACATTCTGGCCGAGCTATAACTATAAAATTAGCCTAACTAACTTTAACAAAATATGATGTGAACTTAAAAGTTAGCTTGTGTTTTGTTTCATTTTAATCGATAATATTGTTGCCTCTTTGCATGTGCTATTTTTTGAAAATGTCTGAAAGAGGAAATCAGGAAATGCATTTTGTATTAATTTCTAGTGTTATTTTCAAACAAATAAAATTCACTTTGTAATTAAATACAATCTCCCTTTTTTATACAAGCTTAAATAAAAGTCCAAATAAGGTGAGTGCTTAAGCTCAGTTGCAAACAATATAAGTATTGCATTCTTTGACAGTCACAGAAATAATTCTCATTCAGTGATCCTTTTATTATTGCTATCTTTAGTTTCCATGGGGGTTTATGTGAATAAAATAAAATAAAATCCCACACGTACTCAGATAGAATTACAAATGAATGTTCTCTATTCCTGTTTATGTTAAGAGTTCCAAGAATGACTATCATGAGTACACATAATGGTGCTCTTTTAGCAGTGCTGACATAAAAGGGCCACTCAACTATGTTGTTTAATTGTATATATTCCAATGCTAGGCAACTCTCCAAACCTTATTGTAAACATTGTATAAGGTCTGTAAGTTTGGCAGAATAATGGAGCTCAGGCTTTTACAGTTAACGCTAAGTGACAGTTGACTTCTCTTTAGGATTGTATACATTGTTTGCCTTGATTAGTGCAGATTGCTCTGTCACGTAAAACAAGCTGGCATTTGGAAACTCAGCCTAATGTTGCGCTCTAAGGTTGTCACTTTTTCCCCATGCACACTGACTTGGTGCAGTGTTTTGTTTCCAGGTCTATAGAAAAAAGTAATCTATTACAGATTCTTGTGTTAAGGCTAGAAATAGAATAGAATAGGAATATTCAATCAACTGCTGTATTGAACATGTATTAAGTACACAGGTATTATGTAGCAACAGAGAGATTTTGTTAATTTCATGGAATTTGTCATTTAAAAGTATTTTTAGGCAAAATTCATGTTTTTATATACTCTTGAAGCAGACCCTAATTTCTGTGCTATGATTAAGGAGGAAGGAAAGGCAGAGAAACATAGGATAAAAGGTAGTACATTCCTACCCTTGAGTTTTATAAGAATGAGGCTCATTTACTGTTCAAAGGACATTGTTTATACATTCCAGACTTCCATCTTATAATTGCTCTAGGATTTGTAAAAAGGAAATCTCAGCAGGGCAGCAAAATTTATTCAAAGCAATAGCTGCACATAATTGGTATAAAATACCAGAACAGTCTGCTCTGAAAACTCTTTTTCTCAGCAACGCAGATTTCCACCCCCTCAACTCTCTTTCCATATGCAAATAAAGTTTGACTACTTCTCCTCTATTACTTGAGTCTTTTCTTCCTCTACTCAGATAATCTATTTTTTAAAGGTCCTATAAATATTTTCAATACCTTTTATATGAAAAACTTTTTTGATGCCCATTTGGTTTTAGTAGTGTTTACCTGGTTACTATGACAACAGGTAAGAAGAACTCATGTTGTAGAGGAAAGCTAGTTTTATCTTTATATTTTCATAAAACATTATGAGTTAATTATGTGTTTTATCATACATAAAGGTTAAAAACTTCTCTGCTGTGTTATTACCATCTCAAGAACTCAATTAAATGAACAAAGGAACATAAGTTTGAGTCTGGATATTATTATTCAAATTTGAAAAATATATTAAAAAAAAGGTGAGTCACAAAGTGTGGCATATCCCATACATTACAACCACGAGTCTAGAGTGTTAGCTGGACTTCTGACAAAATTCCTTCAGAGGTAAAATAAAAAGAAACAAAATAACAGCATCTTCCTGTTTAAAGGGACATGTTCATTCTAAAAGTTATTTCCAACAAGTTCTTTTTTGTGTGTGTTGATGAACAAGCGTACAATAGCTTTGCTAATTTAATACCACTTTAAAACATCACTTGATAGGATTTGGGCAGATTTTCTTTACTGATATGACTGCAAGATCATGGGATTTTGCGGTTGTTCTTTTTGAAAGAGAAAAACATCTCCGTGAAACCAGAAACACCACCTCTCAATAGGAAGGATTAAAAAACATTCTTCAGTCGTGATGGTTGCCTAATAATGTGAACGTATTCAACGCCACTGAATTGTACACAAAAAATGGTTAAAATGACAAATTTAACATTATTTACCACAATAAACAAAACAAAACTTCTTGAGTACGTATGTACAGGAAGAGTCATTTCAAACATTTGTCATAATCAAACTTAGAGCTTGTTCCTTTTAAAATGCAAAATCTCTGATATAATTCTTATGACCTATTAAAGACAGATTAAATAAAGCATAATGTGGAAAAGGTAGGCAAAAAGTAGGCTTGAGTAGTGTAAGAATAACCAGAAAACAAATATCCATTAACTCAATGTCCTGCAAAGTATTTTCAGTTGCGTCGCAAGTAATATATCGTATTTATGGTGTGATAATCTTTCACATTCTTGTTGAATAATTATGAGATTCAAGTGATTGTTTTTTTCAGGTTATGGACTTAAGATAATGCAGATTTCTGAAGACAGCCTAAAAAATCCCACTAATAACTAATTTTCTTAGAAAGTTTCCATTATTGTTTTGCAATAGACCTGTAAAAATGCTATGGTAGGCACTCACTACTGCTTATCTAATTCATTTGAGTAATCACAGCAGATTTTTAAAAAGGCAATGGGTAGCCATGTTAACTGAAAGAAATGAAACTATCCATTAAGAAAAGTAGTAAGCAGCCATTCCTTTATTCAACAAAATTTACTGATTCCCACACTTCATTCGCCTCTCCACCTTTTCCCCTCTATCCTGTGACCTGGGGGCCGACCACAGGCCCTGCATCACTGGTATCCTCCTCTCTCGGGCTTCCTATTGGTTCCAATTGGAGGCACTGGCAGATCTAAGGGTAGGAGGAAAGTGAGACATAACTGGTCCACATGGGCTTAGTCCTTGGCTGAAGGTCATCACCTCTCTCAGGGAGCCCCCAGCACTGGGCTTCCCCTCCAGGTTCTGGTAACTGCTCCCACCCTTTGCTCTTTCAGACTTTGAGTAGTAAAAGCACTCGTATTTTGCTGGCCTCAGAAAATGTCGTTGTCTCTTTTAGGTTTCCCTAAGACCTGCCAACACATTTGTAAACATTCCTTAAATACCAAGTTTGCGTATGTATGTCATGCATTGCCTATCAGAATCCTAACTAATATAATCACATATTCTTGTCAGACACAGTTTTAGGTCCTTAGAAACCCTGAGCAAATCCTGAGAAATATTGTTTTTAGATATGTAGCCATTTATTTTGCTTTTTAAAATTTAATTGCTTTTCAATTAATAATGCCCCATCCATATGTTATTTTTTAAATTATACTAATAGAGTAGAATGGGCCCCCCATTTTTTTTTTTTTTTGAGAAGGGTTCTCACTCCATCACCCAGGCTGGAATGCAGTTGTGTGATCTTGGCTCACTGCAACCTTCGCCCCCCGAGCTCTGTCAATCCTCCCGCCTCAGCCTGTCATGTAGCTGGAACTACAGGAACAAGCCACCACATCCAGTTAATTTTTGTATTTTTTTGTAGAGATGGGGTTTTGCCATGTTGCACAGGCTGGTCTCAAACTCCTGGACTCAAGTGATCCACCCACCTCGGCCTCCCAAAGTGCCGGGATTACAGGCATGAGCCACCACACCTGTCCACCGCCTCCCTTTTCTATACACATTATATTCATGATATTTAACTTAAGATAGTCATTGAATACTTGGTTTTTTGCATTTTATGAAGTGTTTATGTGACAACGACAAACTAACTTGGTAGTGATTGCCTTTGGGGACACTATGAGCAAGTCTCATAGTAAAGCTTGAGATTGAGAATATTACTTAGGTAATTTAGGCTAAAAGCTCATTTTTATCCTAATCACGTATGTATTTGAAGCAGAAGCATTTCATCACTAAAGAATTCTGTCTGTGCCTCATATTCCTCTTTATCATGTTGGTAAACAAAAAATATGGATTCAATTCAATAAACACTTACCAAGTACCTACTATGTGCAAAACATTGTAATAGGCACAAAACTGAACAAAACACACTTCTTTTTTTTTTTTTTTTTTTTTGAGACAGAGTCTCGCTCTGTCGCCCAGGCTGGAGTGCAGTGGCGGGATCTCGGCTCACTGCAAGCTCCGCCTCCCGGGTTCACGCCATTCTCCTGCCTCAGCCTCCCAAGTAGCTGGGACTACAGGCGCCCGCCACTACGCCCGGCTAATTTTTTGTATTTTCAGTAGAGACGGGGTTTCACCGTTTTAGCCGGGATGGTCTCGATCTCCTGACCTCGTGATCCGCCCGCCTCGGCCTCCCAAAGTGCTGGGATTACAGGCGTGAGCCACCGCGCCCGGCCCAAAACACACTTCTTGTCTTTAAGGATCTTATGTTCTTGTAAAGGAAGCCTGCATGTACACAAATTACTGTTTATAAAGTACGATATAAAACTATTTCTAAATACACATGCAACCTCATGCTATGCCTTTTCTTTCCTGATATTTTGTGACTTTCTCAGTCTTTTTCCCCTAGCATTAAATGTTATACAGCATAGTCTAAATGAAATGTCACTTAATGCAAGTTAAAATATAAGAAGAAGCAAAAATCAAATTAGTAAGCAGTCTCCATTTTTTAAGCAACGAAAGAATGAAACTTTACAGGCGGCCTAAGAGTGACAAACAACCAACACAGAATTGCATGTATCTAGCAGGGCGTGGTGGCGCATGCCTGTGGTCTCAGCTACTTCGGAGGCCGATACAGGAGAATCACTTGAGCCCAGGAGGTTGAGGATGCAATGAGCTGTGTTTGCACCACTGCATTCCAGCCTGGGCTACAGAGCGAGACTCTGTTTCAACAACAACAACAAAAAAAAATTAATTAAAAAAATTTTATATACTTGCTTCAGTTTGCCTGCATTTTTCTTCCCTAAGGGACAGAGTCTCACTCTGTCACCCAGGCTGCAGTGCAGTGCCACAATCCTAGCTCACTAGCCTTAAACTCCTGGGCTCAATGGATCCTCCTGCGTTAGCCTCCAAGTAGCTGTGACCACAAATGTATGCCACCATGCCTGGCTTTTTTTTTTTAATTTGCCTGCAGATTCTTAGAGAACGTGGGTAAACTGTGCTAAAAGCTTCCTAATACATTAAGAAAGTTTGATGAAAGGTACTAAAACCAGAAACTTTTATTTTAGGAAGTAAACTTGTATCAACAAGAAAATTCCCTGTATTTCCAGGGATAATAATTCCTCATCTGCTTATTTGACCCTCACTTTCCTTTTAGACTTTATATCTTTCCGATTGAATGTATACATTTTTAACTCAGAAAAATAATCCACATGACTTTTAAGGTGTTCATCATGCCCATCTTTCACCATTGAAAATTAAACAAGTAAAGGAAGTCCAAGTACAAAGCTACCGCTATGTTTTCGGAGAGATTTGAAACAATCTATTTACACATGAATATTATTAACATCAAAAAATGTTTTGGCTCAGCATGTTGTTTAAGATGATTCTCTCAGTTCCAACCAATCTTCTAGTCCTAGCGGGCCAATTGCTCTACCAAAAAGGCACTGCATGCTGTCTACAAAGGCATGTCTCTCCCCATTCTTAAAACACACTTCCTCACTGGAGACCTCCTTGACTATGACACTTGTCAAATAATAATGGTACACATACAACTTAGGTTTCCTTACAGATAGCACGATTTTAAATTGTCCACGGTCCTTTCCTTCTGTGTATCCCAACACTTCGAGAATTCACCAGTTATGGTCACACACACTTATGGGAAGAAAAGTTTTGAACCAACCACGGTGAAGGACGCTTAAAACAGTGAGAAATAAACAAAAACAAACAAACAAAGCTAGCTACAATTGTACCTTGCTTTTACTCAATCATACAATCCTAAGAAGTTGGGTGAAAATCAAATGTAATAAAACAAACTCATCCTTTTCAAAAGACTTAGGAAATTGCACAAACCATTTCTCCTAATATCTAATTAATCTTTAGTATGCCATGGTTCCTGATAGCTTTAGTTTAAATTATACTTTCTATCAAAGAGTTAGTGACCTGTAATCATCTTTGAAATATGTAAATGAACTAAGGTGGCATTTTTACTGGTAAATCTTTTGTAAATTGTGGAAAAATCATTCTCTCTTATTTGCTCAATATATCCCAATTTCTCCTGTATTTGATTTTCCTAATGCATGGCACACAGCCAGTTGTGACATTTTCAGCTGGTGGACTTAATGAGTATATGATCCAAACAGCACGAGGGAAAAGCTGTGCCCAAAGGCACAACGGGCTTGTTGATGCCACCTACTGTGCATTTTGTTTTTCCAAGGTTATCCACATAATTGACTAAAACAGAGCTCCTGAAGCCTAATTGTATGATGATTCCTGAAGGCTGCCCACCTGCCAAGTGTATTCAGATAGCGCAGGGAAAAAAACAGAGACCGGTGTGGAGTGCTTGGCATTAGGAAGGTGGTTCCCATCAGCGTGGTGAACGAAAGGGTTGGCTTCAACAGAGAGAGGTGGTGTTTAATCAGAGCCTCACTGGGTTGTTGTTGTTGTTGACCAAACTAATTACAACAGGTAGTGATGGCAGGATAGAGAAACTTTACCAAGAATGAAGTAGAGTCCATCCAGCCGATCTGGGAAAATTCCAGGCATGCTGAAAAAGTGAAGAGGGTTTTGGCCCCACAGCCATAACAACAAAAATCTTTAGGAATGTGGCAAAGAAAGACTTCAGAAACACAACAAGGCCATGAATAGGCCAGGGGCCATGGAGGGTGAGCAGGGCGCAGCTCTGGGCTACCCAGCTCATCTACAACAGGTTAGACACATGAGAGCAAGGCAGAATCAGCTCTGGATGCTGCTGTTCTGCCAAACCATGAGAAGCAGCTATGCTAGCTGTAGAAAGCACAAAAGTCTGGCCGGCCCTGACTGCCAGGTGACCTCAGACAGAGTGACCATTACTGATTCCTGTTCAGACACCAGCTGGTGCCACTGGCCCCATTCGCATCCCATCCAACCTGTGATCAGTTTCCTGGAGTGATGCTGAAGCTCCTGTGTGGTCTCTCTTCTCCCTTTTTCCTCTGCAGGCCATGGATTGACCAGTCCTGTGAGGTTATGCCCAGACCCTCCCCAGCTCTGGCCCTTCTGCCACTTCCCCTCTCTCTGCCTCCCTAGAGCTCTGCTTCTGTCTCTACACTCTGGGTAGCCTTTCTCATCTGTAAAATGAGTGGCTTAGACTAGATGATCTTAAAGTTCCTTCCCATTCTAACATTCTGTGATTCTTGGATGTTATAAATTCCCAGAATCATAAAATTTAGAGTTGAAGGAACTTCAGAAGTCATCTATTCAACCTCCTACTCAACCTAGGCTAACCTAGCCAGAATTAATACGCTTTGAAGGTTCTATGTAGTTGTTTTTGGCTAGCTGAATATGGCAATAATCAAAGCTTAAAACTTTCAATATAAAGCATGAAAAAAATACATATATATATAAGATTTTTGAAACATTTAAGAAAAGATTTGAAGGAACTGAAGCCCATTGAGCAGCATGTTTTATTGCTTAGAAGTTGGTATCTAAGCAGCAATTCCCAATCTTTGCTTTCACAATATCAGGGGCATATTAAAAAATCATAAGGGATGTCAGAAAATCCTCCAAAAAAAACTAATTTTCAATTTATTATTATGTTTATAAACATATAAGGCAGGGTGATGGGGTGTCACAACAACATCAAATAAACAAAGCCATCAAATAAACAAAGAGAATAAAGAGTATAAAGGGGAAATACAGTTATATTTTGACATGCATGCAAGAAAAATTAAAAAGAACGTCATCTGTTCTTAAAGAGTAGGTTTCAGTGGCAAGCTCCTTTTCAAAATTAATTTTGATCTGTGATAACAAACATACTCTCTCTCTTCAAAAGAATTATTTTCTTCATAGAACCTATGCCAACTACCATAATACAGATCTTGAAGAAATCATTGGATGTATTTAAGAAACAAGTACTTAAAACAATAACTTTTGTGTTTTATTATTAATTACTTAAAGGGGTAAATTCATAAATAAATAAGAGATATACCATCCTTAAAGTTTGGAAGATTCATTAGTGTTAATATATCAATTCTCCCCCAATTGATGTATAGATTTAGTATGATTCCAGTAAAAATCCTAGCAGATTTATTTTTATGGAAATTGACAAGCCGATGCTAAAATTTATAAGGAAATGCAAAGAACCTAGAATAGTTAAGACCACTTTGGAGAATACGCACTTACTATATTGCTACAGTAATTAGTATTGACACAAGGATACATATGAAACAGAGCAAGAATCCACTGGGAGGCCGAGGTGACGGATCACCTGGGGCCAGGAGTTCAAGACCAGCCTGGCCAACATACCGAAACCCCATCTCTACTAAAAATACAAAAAAATTACCCAGGCATGGTAGCAAACACCCATAATCTCAGCTACTCAAGAGGCTGAGGCATGAGAATTGCCTGAACCTGGGAGGCAGAGGTTGCAGTGAGCCTAGATCACGCCACTGCACTCCAGCCTAGGCAACAGAGTGAGACTGCCTTAAAAAAAAAAAAAAAAAAAAGCAGGAGTCCAGAAGAAGAACCACACAAACATGTTCACCTAGTTTACAACAAAGGCAACAATGAAATTCAAAGAAGGAAATGTCTTTTCAATAAATTGGGCTGGATCATTAACAGCCATACTGGGGCACCGGGGGTGGGCGAGGTGGAACAAACAACAATAACAAATCTTGATGCTATCCACACCAAACACAAACATTAATTGGAAATTGATTGCAGGCCTAAATGTGAAAGATAAAACACAGCTTCTAGTAGGAAATGTAAAAAAAAAAAAGAAAAAAATTCACAATCTTAAAGTAAGCAGATTTCTTAAACAGACACGAAAAGCAATTATCATAAAAGATTGGTAAATTTTACTTCATTAAAATTAAGAACTTATATTTATTAAAACTATCAATCAGAGAGTAAAAAGGAAAACTGAAAATTAAGGGAAGATATTTTCATACATATGTGTGATGAAGGATTGTATCCAAAATATATTTTAAAACCTACAAACCAATAAAAAAGACAACCCAATTTAAAAAGTGAACAAAAAGTTGAATTGCATGGTATGTAAATTATATCCCAATAAAGTTGTTATTTTTAAAAAATGATCAAAAAATTTGCAAAAGACTTCTCAAAAGAGGATATCTAATTGGCCAATGAATATATTTTTAAAAGTGCTCAACATCACTAATCATCAGGAAAATGCAAATTAAAACCACAATGAGATATCCACTCACCAGAAGGGCTAAAACTAAAAGACTGACAATATCAAGTTTTAGTGAGGACATAGAGCAATTAGATTTCTCATGCCTTGCTGGCAGGAGAAAACTGGTAGTGTCTACCCAAGCTGAACATACACATATCCTATGACCTACAAATTCCTCTCTTAGGAGTAAGTGCATATGTTGAACACATGATATGAACAAGACAATTACAGTAATTGTATTCAAAATAGTCTTAAATTGAAATAATCCAAATGCTCATTAATAATATAATGGATACATAAATTTTGATACAATATATCCTGTAATCCAATACACATAGCATTAAAAAAAGAACCAACTGCACACATAACAACATCAATGACTCAAACCAAAATAATAAGGAGCTAAGGAGGCCAGACAGAAAAGGATACATACAATATGGTTTCATCTTTATGATGTACAAGAATGGATACAACCAACCAACAAAGATAGAAGTCACACTAGTAGTTACCTTTAGTGGGTACAAGTGAGGATGCTGTCTGGTTCTGGAAATGTTATATCATCACCTGAGTGGTTATTACATGAGTATATCAACCTACAGATTTAAAATTTGTGCACTATATAAGTTTTAAATAAACAAATAAAATTATTCCACTGCACTTTGTGATGATGCACACTATGTTTTAATTACATATCACACCTTCCAGGGCCTAATACCATGCCTGGACAGTAAGTATTTACTGAATTTAATTAAACTGACCAGGTATTTCCATTTGTATCAACTTAACTAGATGATTTTTAGAATAATATGTCTGATTTGCTAATAGAAGAACTATGGCTGTGCACTTCCTGAAGACTCCTTTAAAATTCCCAGTGCATTCACTTATATTTAAAATATCTGGCTTCTTTTTCCCCAAAAAAGGGAGCTAGGAGGATTTGCATACTGAAAAACAAACAAAAATGACCCATTTGCAGGATTTAACAAGATTCAAATCAAAGAAGCAAAGGAAGAGGAAACAAAGAAAGGTGCTGTTGTGGCGCCCTAGAAAGCAGATGCTCATTAGGGCTCAGGCACAGATTACTATCACAATGTACTTATCTCAACATGCTATCGTCAGACCACACAGTCAAATCAAATTTTGAAGGCTCAAAGGATGTGTACTGAAGAACATCCTGTACTGCTGAAACATGTATTTGAATTTTGTGACAGAGACAGAGAGAGGTAGAAAAGAACACCAGATATCACCCACTGTCATTTTAAATCCTATTTGTAGGTTAAAAAATAATCTCTCTTAAAAAAAAAAAAAAGCAAACAAAATCAAGGTTAAAGATTTCTTCTGCTAAACTTAAAGTCTGATAAACAATTACCAAATAAGAAACACATCTTTTTTTAGGTTTTTGCCAATTGAAAAAACACAACTTTTTTGTGATTATTTTTTAGGTAAAGAATAATTAGTATTCAAAAAGTAGAAAAAATGGTTATAAGTAATTTTCAATTTTAGTATGGGTTAAGAAAAAAATGTAAACTGCTTGCTATTTGACTTTATCACATTTAAGTTTCAATCTCATTAGGAGTATACATTTATCATAAAAATACTTCCTATTATGCTAATTAAGTACTTTTGTTCAAAGTATTACATCATGTCTATGGTTCCATAGCACACTTATACGTTACCAAATAAAATTTTATTTAAAATTTCCATATAAAATTGGATAAAGAATCAGAAGAGAAAACCCAAATCAGGGGCAATTGTTAGCAAATACTTAATCATAATCTACAGCATTAAGAGGTAGTAAAGATTTTTTAGCCAAATTTTGTCAGACCCACTTGGTCCCTGATTCCGGCAGATGGAGTGGGAGTAGCTTATACGATGGTCACACTGGTGCATCTACCACTATCACACACACCTGTTAGTGGACAGAAGTCAGTCCAGAGTGGCTTAACTCTAAGAGTACAAGAAGCAAATTGGAGAACAGGAGTGAAGAAGAGAGAAAGTAAACACACTTTGAAACTGTTCAGACCCTTGCTGGATAGGGGTATGGACCTCATGCCACCCAAGCCCACTCTGCAGGACACTGGCTTTTGTGCAGCTCTTCATCACAGAGTCTGTTGAGCTACAACCCAGAAAAAAAACATGAAGGGATCTCTGGTCTGTCTGATTCATCCTCTTAAGCATAGATTTGTTCAGTATTTGTCTTCCTTCCAGGATAAAATTCTTTTTTTTTTTTTTTTTTAAGAGACGGTGTCTCACTATGTTGCCCAGGCTGGTCTGGAACTCTTGGCTTCAAGCAATCCTCCCCCATCGGCCTCCCAAAGTGTTGGAATTATAGGCATAGCCACTGCTCCCCACCCTGGGTAAGATTCTTAACCTGTGCTCCACAGGCTGATTCTAGGTAAACATTTGAGGCTAATAAAAATGTACGCCATAGGCCGGCGCGGTGGCTCATGCCTGTAATCCCAGCACTTTGGGAGGCCGAGGCGGGCAGATTACGAGGTCAGCAGATCGAGACCATCCTGGCTAACACGGTGAAACCCCGCCTCTACTAAAAATCCAAAAAATTAGCCGGACGTGGTGGCGGGCGCCTGTAGTCCCAGCTACTCGGGATGCTGAGGCAGGAGAATGGCGTGAACCCGGGAGGCGGAGCTTGCAGTGAGCCGAGATCGCGCCACTGCACTCCAGCCTGGGCGACAGAGCGAGCGAGACTCCGTCACAACAACAACAACAACAAAAAAATGTACGCCATCATCGGATTCTCAAGGAGGTCTAGGGTCTGGGGATTCCCTAAAAAGTTACGAAGCATTGGCCGGGCGCGGTGGCTCACGCCTGTAATCCCAGCACTTTGGGAGGCCCGGGGCGGGCGGATCACGAGGTCAGGAGATCGAGACCATCCTGGCTAACATGGTGAAACCCCGCCTCTACTGAAAATACAAAAAATTAGCCGGGCATGGTGGCGGGCGCCTGTAGTCCCAGCTACTCAGGAGGCTGAGGCAGGAGAATGGCGTGAACCCGGGAGGCGGAGCTTGCAGTAAGCTGAGATTGTGCCACTGCACCCCAGCCTGGGCGACAGAGCAAGACTCCGTCTCAAAAAAAAAAAAAAATTTACGAAGCATCAACGAACCAGGAAAAGGTAAAAAGAGAATTGGAAGAGATAGACAGAATTTTTACTTTGTCTTTTTGTTTCCTTCTGGTTGCCAGCCTCAAGAGATGTTTGCTTGATTCAGGGCTGAAGGAGAGTAAAGAAAAGCTGTGAGGCTGTAGTAATCTAGTAGTGGTAAGCTCAGCATGAGAAGCAGTACTAGGAACCCTCGGCTCTTAAAAGGAAAAGATTTTATTTTAATTAGGGGGAAAAGGGAACGAGTTTATCTCTGAGGCCAGCACAAGAAAACAGGTGAGTGGGTCTAGAAGTGAAGAGGGCTCTCAGGGGACCCCCAGAGGAAGCTCCAGCACAAACTCCCTGATCCCTGTGACTTCACAAGCTGCACCTCCCATCTTCTTGAAACCCCTCCCCTGCCATAAAAGGGCAAAGCCTTGTTGAAAGATTGTAGAAGAACCCTGTCTTCCCACTCACCCAAAGAAAGCAAAGACGAGTTCCTGGAAATCTAACTCTGAAAACTCACCCCTCTCTCCAAGAAACATCTGATGTGGTGATTTGGTTCAATGGCAGTGTTAGTAGAGAACTATACGTGAATTATAAAGTGGGTTACTTTTACAGACTCTTACAGGTTCGCTGGGGACCATATCATTAAGGATAACTATTTATTTATGAAATGAATTTCAAGTTTTAAATAACCAAATGACAAGCGAACTGTTTGGAATAAAATTGTTGGAAATGCAACTCACTTATAAGTTAAGGTATACCCAATTTTTGAACAAATCACATAGAGCATGAGAAAAACATCATCTAGTAGCCAGTTCTCTGATAGGTAATTCTTTCTGTGTTTATTGTTTTTTAAATAGAAGTATACAAATGATCATATGGAATGAAACCTAAAAAGAGGCTGAGATTAGGCACCTTTTTAAAAGAATGTCATTTTAGAAACAATGAAATTAATCAGAGCTGTACTTTGTAGGAGGCAAAGAGAGTCGTGGGAGTATTTCAGCTAGTGACTTGAAAATACATTTTTCTGGCAAATTTTTCTTTTTATAAATGTCTGCATTTGTCAAAAACCTGTTGGATGATGAAACGAAATTGTTGTTGAGAAGACAAAGGTAAAGTTGACGATATTACAAATATCAATATAATTTACTTTTCCTAATGACTAAATATTTTATCTGAGACCTTATTATATAAACTGTGAAAGTATTTCATTGTAATTCTACTGGTAAGGGAGGGTTTAGGGGTTCTCCAATTCAAATATACTCCCAATTGCAACTCAAAATCATCATGTTTAAAAAGTATTTAACAGGGGAAATAGTATAGTATTATTTGAGGATAATATAAATGTAAGCTCATAATATAAAATTCTGTTTTCGCAATTTGATTCCCTGTCCTCCACCCCCCACCCCCAGTCCAAGAAACTCAAGTTCGGAGCATGGCATTCTATGATGTATCCATCCAATTCTGCCATTCTAAGTATTCAGTTTTTCAACTTGTAGAAGAAACACCTCTAGTATTGTGTGAAATGGGTCTGGGAAGATGATGCATTTTTCCTTCAGGACCAGTGAAAATATTTATGACATCTATGAAATGATCTCATTTTGTTGCACAAAACCTTTCCCTGAAATCACTGTTTATCTGGGACCCAGCAGCCCAACTGCATAGCGCATGTTGTTCAATGGGCAGCCTGAGGAATGGATTCCAGGGCCCATATTGAGGCCAAGTAGAGGACAACAGGACTCCTGAAGCACTTGGATCCAGTTGCAGAGGTGAATATCTTATTTTGAAAGAATTAAAGCTGGCTGATGACCAGATAAAGAGATATCCACTAAAGATCAGGAATAATTTTTTAACATCTTATTTTCTGAAGAAATGCCAGCCCACATTAGACACATTATAAATGTGTAGATTGCAGGCAAGCAATGATCTAATTAGCAGCATTACAAACCCCAAACTTATTTCCTCCCCTTTGCCGGAAGCAAAGCTAATCAGTTAGGAGAAATAAACATCATTCCAAATGGCTCAAAACAATCAAAGTTATATTTCTGTATAACCACTATGCCATCATTTAAGGAGTACATTTCCAACCTGCCACACCTCTAATAGGTTGGCTTAACAGCACATTTGTAAGCATAAAACTAGAAAAATAATAGGGTGAAATAAATTAATTGAATATGAAACTTTAAGGAGAAGTTAACATAAAGTACAAAAAAATTATTCGTTTAAAATTCTAAGTACTCTTAAAAGAATTTATACAGCAGAAAAAATGCAAAACAATGCTGGTAAGTAAAAAAATTCATTTATTCATTTAAAGCCTTATGTCTTTCTAAAATTCCCAGATTTATTGTAGCTTTTATTAGCACTTTTCACTTTCTTGCAAAAGACATGGCAAAGTGTTTAATCCTACATATATCTTAGTGCCTTCTCAGTCACTAAAACCCAGGACATCAGCTGGTGTGCTGCTTTCGTGGGTGCACTACTTTGTAAATATTCTGTGCTTATTTCTTGCCTTGTGTCTATTCTGTCCTCCCTGGTAGCTTGTGAGGTGCTGGAGAGCAGGTACCAGATATTCAACTCTTTAAACTTTCCCAATGTCAAGTGCAAAGAATGATGTACTGGGGTCACTCAGTAAATACAATTGATTGGCTAGTGTTTTAGTCCTTCATCATGAGCCTCAGCAATTTTACAACAACTACCAGCTTAAATCTTTACCTAATCCAAAACACAGATATTATAGTGAATGTAGGAAATCACCCACCAACATTGATTTAGCATGTTTACAGTGCCAGATCTACATGCAAGCTAACTGTTCATATCAGCATCCAACCTCACTTTTAGAATCTAGGTTTTCATATTCAATGTCCAACATATTCTCAATCTTCTAAAATGCATCCATTTAAGAATTAGTTAAGAGACAACATGGGGAGAGAATAACAATGCTTAATTTTATACACTTTTCTCCCCTAGGAGGTTCAGATGTTGATTTTTTCTCTCTCCTTTTTGTTTTTCTCTCATCATTTTGACATGCTTATTTTCCAGGGCTTGTTTGAAAAATTAAAATATTCACATAATTTTGTTAAGGAGACTAGATGCATTGAGGAATTAGATTATGGGAGATATATGTTCAGTTTGTGGTTGGCTTAGCTGTTACCATCCTCTCTACACTCTTCTATTGACCTCATATCTACCAGACTAAGAAATGCTTTGTTTCTATTATCAAATTTGCATATGTACTCAAATTTGTGTGTGTGTGTTCAACACACACCATTTGTTCTAAAATTACATTTTGCTCTGTATCACCTAACCAAACTACCTATGGTAGACCTCCATCGTCCCATTGCTGCCTCTCATGAGGCACAGCTGAGTTCCATCAGGTTTCATTATTTATTCATTAAAATAAAACAGCAGAGGCTGGGCGCAGTGGCTCATGCCTGTAATCCCAGCACTTTGAAAGGAGGCTGAGGCGGCGGATCACGAGGTCCGGAGTTCAAGACCAGCCTGGCCAACGTAGTGAAACCCCGTCTCTACTGAAAATACAAAAATTAGGGAGGAATTGTGGCACGCGCCTGTAGTCCTAGCTACTTGGGAGGCTGTGGCAGGAGAATTGCTTGAACCTGGGAGGCAGAGGTTGTAGTGAGCCGAGATCGTGCCACCACACTCCAGCCTGGGCAACAGAGCAAGACTCCATCTCAAAAATAAATAAATAAAACAGCAGAGGAAACAGAACATTTAAATTCATCCCACATAAAATCCCCAAGCCGATGTTCAACTTTTGAATATTTGGTTTGGTTTTATACCAAATGTTATGGTGCTGCATTTGAACAACTGACAGGTCATTACTACATTTCTTTAAAATAAGCTATTTTAGATTGCATAAAACACTTCCACTTGAGAGTAACTTGACATACTCCTATTTCTATAATATTCTATTATTTCTATAATATTCCAATAAATAGGATAAAACTTTACTGTCTCAATTTAAAAGCTAGATGCCGAAATGGTTTCAATAAACTATTAAAAATACAAAGTCAGAGCAATATATTAGTAAAAATTCTTTTCTTGAATGTATATTACATGGAAATTCCCCACATTTGAATTTAAACTCAAAGCCAAGATTGCCTAAGATGTAAGGTGTATGTAGTTATACTGATACTAAATGACTGAATACTTTCCTAGCTCACCTATCTTTTCCTTTTCCCTTCAAGGAACTTAAGATTTGGCTCCCAACATAGGGGAAAAAACAAAAAGTTGTATGGGAAATTCAAAAGAAATAGCTGTTGGAAGAGAAGGGTGCTACACTGTTGCATTGTAATGCATCTTCATTTTAATAGTTACATGTCCTTCAGCCTTTCAATACCACTTCCAGATAGTCATACATAATACCCCACTCACTTAAGGAAATAAGGTTGATTCATCAGTGTAAAATACTGCATTACCAAACTGACATATTTTAAGCAAACTTTATTTACATCATAAATGTGGTTACTTCTTATGACACAAAGCGCCCCATGTCTGAATATTATGCCTGTGTACTTCCACTTCATTAGATGCAACAGTTTTATGTATCAAATCAGGACTACTAATTTCTGGAGAAACAGATTGATACAATATTCATTTGGCTAGAAGTAAGTAAGAGTTAAGGAATTCAATAAAAAATGCATGCAAAAGTTCAATGCAGAAAAACTGCTTTGTTCTACTAGCCTTTATTAATAGAATAAATTATATCATTTATTATTTTCAGATTCTGAAGCTAGGTTCAGATATATTCTGTGTCATAAGCGTATGTAAAAATGGCGTAAAAACAAAATTGTTTTGTTTTAGAAAGAAACGTATCTTTCGTATAGACATTTCTTCAGCATGGAAAACAATACTTCTTCATACACAAAAACTTAAAAAAATCAAGCTTTCCATTAATTTTATAGAAATATATTCTTAGAACTATGTGAATAAAGATTACAACTGTCCCAAATTGCTTTCAGTTGGTACAAAATATGTAGCTAACTAATCATGGAAAGAAAATTTTGTACTTCCCTTTCTTCAAAAGAAACAGAATATTTCAATCCCCATAACTATTTACATACATGCACTGGCAATAATGTATGTTGTAGTATCTTTGAAATAAACAGACCATAATTCAAGGGTTGCTTTTACAATAAGTGAAATTAATGCAGCCACTGGTTGAAAATGTGTACATACAAATCTTTAAGTTAAAATATGTTAGATTATCAACATCTTTTTTCTGTGTAGCTAAAAGATGGATATTAAATTTAATATAATACAGCATAGGTCATTTTAAAATTGAGAAAATTATTTAGGACAATATGTGGTTATGTTTATAAAGCTACATCAAGCTACATTTCAGAATGAATGTGTCAGCTGATAAAAAGAACCTGCTGTGATAAGACCATCCTCACTGAGAAATAAAAAAAAAAAACAAAAAACCAACAGCATGTGAAATCAGGTTACTTGAAATTTATGTAACTCTACACCAAGGTATTATGAATATTATACAATCTCATTCATTTCCACTCATGTCCTGCTCTTCCATAGTACACTCAAGTTTATTTTACATTTCATGGAGACATATTACTTTTTCTAATGATTTTTTTTCTTTCTGTCAAAGTACAAAGCATACCAATATGGTCATTTGCTCCAATATAGCCCAACGGATGGTATTTTTTTATTAATAAAATGTGGAAGTAACTAGTATGTTTTTATGGGGAAAATTACAAAATAAGTTTACCAAAATAGACTGGATCACTAAAACAAGAAGAATGGTTTGGCATATATAACTTTTAAAAGTATGGTAACAAAACAAACTGTTAAGTTCCATTTTACCTGGTATTATCTGTTCCTTCTGATTAAAAGAATTAGATTTGAGAAAATCACATCTATCTCTTGAGTACAAATTAGCTATCACTTTTTAGATGACCATGCCATTCTTCAGTTTTTGATATAGCTTCCAAACAGAAGTTTCAAAATGACTCTGCCTAGCAAACACATCACTGTACTTTAAACAGAGTGATGTTTTCTATCCCATATTTTCGGAAGGTTAAAGCACACACAGAGGCAAGAATCATGACAGACAGCAGATCCTAAGAGAGTTTATTAACTCTTTAGGTAGATTAGGCAACACTTGTTTTTAAACTAACTACAAATCAAAGTCTTTTTTTTTTTAAATGATTCAACATTACTACCATGCTACCAACAGATACATAAGGGAGAGAAAAAAAAAAGGGCTGCCTGTTCCGAACTCTGCTTACCTAAAATTTGCATCTAGTCACGTGCCATTTTTAGAAGATGTCCCCTTCTGAGATAATCAAGATACTTGTACAACAGGGAATTTAGACTTAATTACCAAACTTTAATACCATGTTATATAGGTCAAGTGAGTATGTATACCTTTCTCCAGAAACAAAGGAATTCCGAATAATAGGATTTCAGATTTAATTGTAGAATTAGCAAAATGTTTTGAGAATGTCATTTACCGCAACACAAATCAATATTAAATGCTTTATGCAGGAAGCACACTTTCAGAAAATGGGCCGTAAAGCTTTCTGGGATCCGACCCTAATTACTAGAGCAGGCTCTTGCCGTTTGTCTCTCTCTTCAATTATTTACAGGGCAAAAAAGCCAAATGGCATTGCATTAGCTACATTAAATGGTATGGACTTGGTTTCTAACTTACTAATGGTATATAAAAATTACTAAGGTAAATGTGCCTGTAGAAACATGGCTTTTTTTCTTCCTCACCTGAGTGGGTGTATTTATTATTCATATTGTTAAGTGTTGAATAAGCTGTCCTTTAGGCACCCAATGCTGCATAATTTAAACAAGTGCATTAAATATATAAGATATCTAAAAGGTAGTGCATTGATTATGCCACAAAATTTCTTTGAACAGCTACCATGTAGCTCACAGAAAACTAGCATCTCCTGCAAGTTCCTAAAACAAATACTGTGAGAACTACACAGAGATGAATAAGGGGTATCCTTGCTGCTACCATCTTGCTGCTTTCTGGTGACCCAAAGTAAAGTGGGAATTGGGGGAAGTGAAAATGAGGCCCGGGATTGCTAGGACATTTCTGGTCTCGAAACTGACAAGTGTCCTTTTTACGTAGACAAATACAGGGCTATGTCGTAAGTACATGAAAACGTGGACCACACACATTCTAAGAAAGAAAAGGCTGAATCAGAGATTCTTTGTACCAGGCCGGAAATGCCCAACTACCAGCAAGCAGAGCATGATTACAACCTCCCAAAGAAAGTTCGGACACTGCATCCATACCTGATTCTTTTGTGATCTAGAAGGGCACCCAGAGTTGTGATAGATGTTAATGGCTGAAGAAGGCTGCTGCGTCCAACTTCCACCCTCCCAAATTCTGGCGGCTGCTTCCAAAGCAGTGAAATTTCCAGTCTTCATGGCCCAAATAATTTTTTTAAATGAGTTCGGGAGGCATCAAATTCTTATTGTAAAAATAAGATAGGCCCACTAACAAAGTACCCAGGGTCCCTAGAAAGCCAGGCGCAATTTGTATGGCTACATGTCATCAACTGTTGTTACCCAAGAGTGTGCCGAGGTCACTTTTTAAAAAGCAACATTGGAAATCGATCTGTGGCAAACATATAAGCTAGTTTTGTTTTTGTTTCTTTTTTAACCAAATACGAAGTCACTTCTTTCTCTGCACTGAAATCTGCCCATTGTCCCTCCTTTGCAAAACCTCTAGAGATTAGAAGGGACATCAATGAACGCGAGTGAACTTTGGCCACTTTTCTACCCAAAACACCAGCGTAAAAGTAGAAATCAGTAACCAGGTGAAGTGCCACACCGCACAAAGATCAGAGGCGAGGGGCGGGCGCTCAGGGCCGGAGGCGGGGAGGAAAATATCCCGGCCCCGCCGCCCCTCCAGCCCCAGTCATCGCGTGCGCGGGAGGTGGAGGGGCGTCCCTGGGGGGCGGGAGGCTCCGCGCCACGGCGAGGGGAGCGAAGAGTTACAGCTTACAGGGCGAGGCCCTTGGAGAAGGGGTCGAAAAGCCGGGCCACCAGCGGATCCAGACGCGCACACCAGGCGACGGCCGCCGGCCAGCCAGGGCTCGGCGAGGGGCGCCGCTCGACCCCACGACCCTCCCCGCTGGCCGGGCCAGGAAGGGGCTGGTGGCTCTTTCCTGTCTAGTCTCTCCCCCCGCGGCTTTCTGTAACCCGATCCCCGCACTCCGCTCCCAGGGAAGCCGCCGCCCCGCGCGCCGCCCGGCTCTGCCCAGGCCAGCGCTATAGTTAGCAACCTTCCAGCAACTCCGCCCGGCGGTGGCGGGGGTTCGCCGCGCGCCCCCCTCCCCAGGCCTGACCCTGCGCGCGTCCCCGGGCCCCCTCCTCCGGCCGTCACCTCTCCCCGGCGCCCCTTTACCTTGGCTTGCAGATACTGGGGGTAATAGTAGGTGGCGTACTGAGGGTACATCTGCTGTTTCCACACTTTGCCCATGAAGCTGGAAGGGAGCCTGCCGTGCAGGGTCGCGGACACTTTGGGGTTTCCAAGTCTCGGGCTCTCCTGCCTCTCCCTTTCCGGCGGCGGCGGCAGCGGCGGCGGCGGCGGCGGCTGCTGCTGCTGCCGCTGCTCCACCTCCCAGCCGGGACCAGACGTCCTCCTCCTCCTCCTCCTCTTCCTCCTCCTCCTCCTCCTCCTCCTCCTCTTCCTCCTCCTCCTCCTCCTCCCAGGCAGAAAGAAAGACACTGCAGAGCGCAGAGGGCACCCCGGACAGGGCGCTCCCAAGGAGTTTCCTCCCGGAGCCCGACTGCTCCGGGGCTGCCAAGGGCTGGCGCGCTGGCCGCGGTCCGCTCGGGCGAGCCGGCTGCGCGGGGCTGAGAGGTGATCAATACAAGTGGAAAGTGCGGCAGCGGCGGCTGCGCTTGGTGCCAGGCGGCATCTGGGGTGGGTGCGCCCGATGTGGAGAGAGGAGAGGGGCTGGCGTTCCGAGGCCGTGGGGGAAGGGCGGGCGGGGGCGGGGCCTGGGCGCCGCCGAGCCCGGGACCCGCTGGAGGTGAGGGCTGAGTTTTAACCACTCCTCACCTCCCAGGCTCGCGGTTGGACGGGCGGAAGCCCTGTGAGTCCAGATCGCTTTGTGTCGGGGGTGGGGAAATGGGAGTGGGAGTGGGGGTGGAGGGGGAATGCGGGGGGACCCAGCTTAAGAACTGCAGGGCGGGCACCTCTTTTGCTTTCCCGAGTTTTTATCTTCGTAAGGGGGAGGGGAAATAAGGGAAAAGAGGAAATCTGATTAATCGTTCACTTCCCACCGCCCAGTAATTTTTTTTCACAAGGGAAGGAAAATGATTTAATGCCCAACAAAGCTGGAGTCTGGACACCTGGGTTCTGTTCCTCCCACCCACCCCCGACCCGGGGCCACAAGACTAATCTAGGTGACCTTGGGAGGGTTAGCGTCCTTCGGTTTGGTTTTCCCAGATGTGAGACGTGAAATCATGCCCCTTGCACAAGGGGAGGCAAAGCACATACATACATACACACACACACACACACACACACACACCCCTCACAACATATAGACGGATCCTTCTAAGAGGGGGATGCCGCAAAGAGGCAGAATGTTATTAGAGGACACAATATAGACATCAGCTTTTCTCTGCCTCTTTCTAATGCTGCCAGACAGTCTGTCAACTCCCACTCAGGAGCAAGGAAACTCCCTGAGTTTGGAATATTTTAAGGCCATTTTGAAAGTCACGCTGGCATATTGTTGCAGTGTGCTTCAGTGACATATAAAATCAATCTCTCTTTCTGCCTCTCTCCATCTCCTAATTGTCACAGCTCTAGACAGCCTCAGACCAGCAGTGGTTCAGTTCACTACATAACTAGATATAATTTAATGGAATTAATTGGTCCCCGAAGCTGCCTGCAGAAGACTTTTATATTCCAGCTCAAAAAGAGAGCTAATACCAAAATGTACATACGGATAGCATAGGTAAGCAAGCATCCTCAAATTAGGGTTCCGGCACATCTAATAAAATGTAATAAAAAACTGTGTTTGTTATTAAATAGACCTTGTTTACTTTGTCATTTTGGTTTTTGAAGAGTCTTTTGTTAATAGCACAAGGTAAATTAAACTCAACTGGAATGCATTATTTTGTTAAACAGTTATTATTTTTATATGATAACATTTTAAAATAGGTTTAGTAAGATACTTTAAAACAATGACAAAATAAGGACCTGAAACCCTTATAATCGTTCTATGGTTTAGACAAATTTCTAGATCTTACATGTTTGACAAAAACAAAATAAATATAAGTATAGGTGAGAACATTTTGGCTCTGCCAGGAGGCAAATCATGTCCCTCTCATTTACCTATGTAAAAGCCTATAAGGAAGCTAATATTTACTATGTCTGCTATATTGTAGGCACTGTTGAGGTGCATGCAGACCTGAAAAGTGGAATGGGTCACTGTCAGACTAGGGGAGCCTAAAATATTTCCCATATTGTTTCAATGTGGGGCCTTTTAATGTTTTTAAACAGGGAACTGACATGAACTAAATTGTGCTTTAGGAAGACTAGGAATGATGGTTTGGAAGAGTGACAGAAGGAAGAGAAGTAAATCGAGAACAATCGCAGAAGTTCTAGGTTTGAGGTAATAAGGGAAACTACCAAACTTAGACTGTTCTACTTACTGTTTTTTCTGGATGATGGAAATTCAGCCTGTTTTAGAGAGCCCAAAAGCAGACCTACACTTGTATAGACACTTGATTTATGACTGAGTTGGTATTATAGCGCAGTGGAGAAAGAATGAACTTTTCAATAAATGATTCTGGGTCAACTGGCAATCATATGGAAAAAATGAAATGGGAGCCCTGCCTCACACATACCAAGGGAGGAGGGTGGAAAATTGAGGTGAATCATGACCTGGATGTGAAAAACAAAAGTATAAAGCTGTTAGAAGACAATATAGAAGAATACCTTTTTGACCCTGAAATAGGAAAGATTGGTTAAATAAGGGGAACAACAGTGTAAGATTGACAGATTTGACTGTTAACATTAAGAACACTGGTTCATTGAAGGATTTTATAAAAAGCGATAAAAGCCACTAAATACCTGTAATACATATAACACAAAAGGTTAGTATACAGAATGTATAAATAATCAATAAAAAAAGAGAACTTGTTAGAATATGAACAAAAGAATGAATGTGTATTTCACAGAAGCACAAATATTCAGAAAACATATAAAAAGATGCTCAAGTTCATTAGTAATAAGAGAAATGCAAATTAAAATAATACTACTATACCATTTCATATTCACCGGATTTGCAAAAATTAAGAACTCTAAAAATATTAAGAGTAGGTAAAAATGTGGAAGGGGGGAAATCTGAAAACACTGCTTCCTGGAGGAAGTATAAATTGGTCTAACCACCACTTTAGAAAACAATTTGGCATTCCTGAATTTCATTTGCATGTTTCCTACAACACAGTAACAGGTACGTACCTTAAATAAATTATTTTATATGTGCACCAGGAGAAATATACAGGAATGTTCATAATATGCAGAAAATAACTCAAATGTCTACCAACTGTAGAGTGGATTAAAAAGGTTTTAGTATATGCACACATTGGAGTCGTTGCAGAAACAGAAATGAATAAGCTGCAGTTAAAAGCATCAACATGGATCATTTCAAAACTGATGTTGAATGAAAAAGGCAAGTCAACAGAATGCATAAAGCATGATTCCATTTGTATGAAGTTCAAAAACAGAAAAAATAACTAAACAGTATGTTATGTAAGAATAGGTGCAAGAGTAGTTTTTAAAAACTTTTATAAGGAAAATCAAAAGTAAAATAACATAAAATTCAAAACAGTATCTCTTAGGAAGAAGAAGGATGAAGTATTTAAGGAGGGGCCGAAGGAGACCTCTAGAAATAGTAATGTTGGATGTTTTGCTCTGGGTTATTGATAACATGAGACTACATTTCAATACTTTTGTTTTAATGTTCATAAGTTCTTTTGTATTTTTGCTGTATTTCATGTGAAAACATTTTAAAACAAAATCAGCTTTTAATTTTAAGCATGATCATTTTCAAACAAATACAAAAGCAGAGGAACCCTCTGTTCCTAACATCCAGCTTCAACATTCATCAACATTTTGTCATTCTTTTTTCTTCCCTCTTCTCTCTTTCTCTGTCTCACACACACACAAACACACACACACACTTACTTTTATTTTTCTAGAGTATTTCAAAGCAAATCCCAAGCATCATATTTCACCAGTAACTATTCTACTACCTTCCTCTAACAAATAACTTTTTAAAACATAATACCATTGTCACACCCAAAAAATTTAACAATAATTTGTTAATGTGAGCTAATACCCAATTCTTGTTCATTTTCCACTGTTGTCTAAAAATCGTTTTTTGTAGTTTGTCTATTTAAATCAGGTTAAAACAATGTCCACATATTAAATTTGGTTGATATGTCTCTTAAGACTCTCTTAATAAAAAAGTTTGTCCCCATTCATTTTTAAATTTGATATTTACTTGTTAAAGGATTTGGGTCATTTGTCCTGCAGAATTTCCCGCATGGCTGATTGCAACCTCATGGTGTCATTTGCAATGATGGTTAGTTCTAGAGGTTTGATTAGATGCAGATTCACATTTTTTTGACAAAGAATAGTTCCTAGATGGTACTGAACACACATAGGGAATGTGATGTGATGTGTATCCCATCAGAAAACCATAATGTCTGGTTGTCTCATTTTTAGGGATGTTAAGTTGATCAGAAGTTCAGGCATTATCAGTCTGACTTGTTCATTATAAAGTTCCCCATCAACCATTCACAGGATGTTTTTCTACATTCATGAGTTTTACCTCAATCCATTTTTTTTTAAATTAGGAGTTACAAATTGTGGTTTTTCTCCTTTTATAATTTCTTCTGCACTTACTAGTTAGAAATTGTCTACGGAGAAGAACTTTCTGTCTTCAACTCTTTGGTTAACTTAAAATACAGGTAGCAAAGGAAAGGTAGGATAAATTTCTCCTATTTATCAATTTTTAGGAGAATGAGTTGGTGCCCTAGGAAACTCCAAAGCTAACTAGTTTTAAGTAAGATTCTGGATTTGTGGATTTTAATGTACTGTATTTGAATTGCTTCAACCCATTGCAGTCATTATTCTTGTTGGTGCTCAAATTGTCCCATTTTTGGGCAATAGGAGCCCCTTCAAATTGCCTCATGTGAAAAAAAAAAAAACAGACTCTAATAGTCTTGACAGTTTTTTTTTTTTTCTTTTGGCTTTTTAGCATGATAAGATTGTCCCAGGTTCTTATACGGTTCATACCCAGATCTGAGTCAGCTATCAGCCATTTCTCTTTAAAAAAAAAAAAAAGTCAGCTTGCCTTAAAAATTTTAAATAATGACAAATTTTCTAAAAATATGTACTACATGTTTAGCACTTTTGTGGGAAGGAGCTCATGAAGGAATCTTAATAAAACTTTGTGCCAAGATGACCTAGGAAAGCATGACCCATTAAGTGCTTTTTCCCGAAAGAAGTTATACATTGACGTCTGTGCCAGCATTGAAGAAGCATCTTCTATGTGCAGGACATTGGGGATACAGCAGACTTGATGCCTGCCTCACGGAGCCTACAGTCTCGTGAGAGAGACAGTAAAACAATGATAAGTTGTGATAAACTCTATGAAGAAAGCAACAGGATAATAGAGGGAGAGTAACTTTGTGGGAGTTGGGTTACGAATCCTAAGTAAAGTAGTTGGGGACAACCTCTTCCAGGAAGTATAATGAATAAAAATGGGTCAGCCATAAGAACTTTTTATGGAGTAAAAAATGGAGGGTTGTATTCCTACAGAAGAAGCAGCAAGTTAAAAACCTTGAGGCATGAGCTAGTCCATCCAAGATCTACAATCTGTTTTCTCTTATAACCAAAGATAAACATTTTTTATAGTTAATCAGAAGTGGACCAAACAAATCAGTTTTGATTAATGCCTTTGTTCTAATGCCGTCTGCCTGAGACTGTTGGAATAATTGGATAAAATGAGACATTTTGCTACAAAAAGCCCCCGTGCTACAGCATTAGTGAATTGTAAATGAGATTTAGGTTCATGAGAAAGGTCTTATGCAGAACCTGGAACATTACTGAGTGGTTACTATTCTTGTTTCTATAGTAGGTAACTAGGCTATATCTGCAATACATTTACTGAACACTTAAACAGAAAGGCAGTAGTTTGATGAAAGTGTTGCTGGCATATATGTTAGCATTCTTAGAGGGTTAAACAAGTAAGAACATAGGTAAAAGGGAACCAATACTTATAATCTACGATGAGGTTTCATCATGAATAGGGAATTGTTTTATAATCTGCAGGAATGTTTATGTATAAATCTTCTAGCCTGATGTTCCTCAGATATTAATCGTCAGACCCTACTTTGTGAAGCCCTAAATTAAGAAACTAAAATCTTTTATGTCATTGCTAAAGAAAAATATTTTCTTTATAAATGGTAATATGCTTTTAAAAACAATTCATTAAAATGAAACATACCATTTTAAAATTCTCAGAATGTGTTCCCCAACCCCACCAGAGCTTGAGAAGCACTATTGACTTCATACTTCTTACCACAACTCATAACTTCCTTCCTGACCAGGCCCTTCCCATTTTTCCAGATTCATTTCCACTATATTACCTCTTGGCACAGAGTTCTTTCCTCCCTTCCATTGCCTGCTTCTTCCAACCCTCACCATATTGTTGTATGGTGAGGGTTGGAAGTGTTGGAGGGTTGGAAGACCAACTGTGGCCTTTTCTAATCCATTTGCCTAGGGCACCTTTCACCTTTCTTCACCTGGTTCATTCTTACTCTTTCTACAAGACTCAGTTCTATCCAGACTTTCTTCAGCCACCAGGTTGGGTCGAGTACCCCTCCCACGGTTCCCAGTCTGAACCTCTCTCCAAACATCAATCATATGAATTCATTCAGTAAATAAGAACACAACTGGAATGGAGGAGGAGCAGAGTTGGAGGAGAGTTGGAGAATTATAGGCAAAAAGATGAGTATGTGCAAAAGTGTATGCCTGGAGATCTACAAATCATTCATTGTGACTTACAATGCCAAGTACATGCTGCTATGGTCTGAATGGCCCCAAAATTGACATGTTGAAACTTAATCCCCATTGTGTTGGTATTAAGAGGTGGGACCTTTCGAGAAGTGATTAAGTCATGAGGGCTTTGCCCTTATGAATGGATTAGTGACTTATAAAAGGGCTGGAGGGAGCTAGTTTGGGCCTACTTTGCCCTTCTGCTCTTGGCCATGTGAGGATGCAGCAAGAAGGCTCTCACCAAACACTGAATGCCAGCACCTTGATCTTGGACCTGGCAACCTCCAGAACTGTAAGAAATAAATTCCTACAGTTTATTTCTGTGGTATTTTGTTATAGCACATGCATTTTGTTAAGGTACATGCAGAGGTGAGTGAGACTGGAGCTGGAAATACTTAAGTAGGGGCCCACATCATGAGAACTTTATTAGAATACCACTGTGCAATGAGTGAAATTTTAAAAATATATTAAGCATAGTCAATAGAAAGAGGCTTGTGGCCGGGCATGGTGGCTCACACCTGTAATCCCAGCACTTTGGGGAGCCGAGGCAGGCGGATCACTTGAGGTCGGGAGTTTGAGACTAGCCTGGCCAAAAAGGTGAAACCCCATCTCTATTAAAAATACAAAAATTAGCCAGGCATGGTGGTGGGCGCCTGTGATACCAGCTACTCGGGAGGCTGAGGTAGGAGAATTGCTTGAACCTGGGAGGCAGAGTTTGCAGTGAGCCGAGATGGCACCACTGCACTCCAGCCTGGGTGACAGAGTGAAACTCCATTTCAAAAAAAAAAAAGAAAGAAAGAAAGAGCCTTATAAATCATCTGGGCTTTATTCTGTTGACCCAAGGGCATTACTGAGGGGTTTTATGAAATCTGAATTGCAATCTAAGTTACAAGGTCAGATTTATGATTAGAAAGAATACATTGTCATCAAGATGGTAGATAGATTCAAGAGGAATAAGTGAGACTAGAATCAGAAACAGCAATTGTTCTGGAGAAGAAGTGACAATGGCTTAAACTAGAGCCAAGATGTATAAAAGCAGTGTCACTGATCCATTCTAGGTACAGGCAGTAAGGAGTGCATTGTCTGTGGAGAATGTAACAACAATAAGAAAATAACTAAAAATCTGTTGGCTTTCCATTATCACTGAGCACACTTTTTATCACTAAACAATATTAGTAATAAGTATACACCCTCAAAAAATATTTTGTTGGTCTGAGTTCCAAACAATTGCCATGGTTACTGTGGAGGTTTAATAATTGTATTCATTATCTATTACTGATGAATAGTTATTCCCCAAATTTATCAGCTTAAACAACAAACATTTATTATCTCACATGGTTTCTGAGGGTCAGGAATTTAAGAGTGGCTTAGCTGGGTTCCGGCTCAGGGTCTCTCATGAGATTAAGCTGTTAACCAGTGAAGTAGTCACCTGAAGATTTGACTGGAGCTGGAGGAACTGCTTCCAAGCTCACTCATATGGCTGTTGACTGGCATCCTCAGCTTCTCTCTATATGAGCCTCTCTCTACAAGACTGCTCCTGACATGGCAGTGGCTGTCTCCAGAGTGAATGATCAGAGAGAGAGTGTGAGATGGTGTGATCGACTGAGACATAAGCTGCAGTGTCTTTTATAGCCTGATCTCAGAAATGACTTACCATCAATCTGCCATATTCTATTAGTCACCATGTGGCAAGGGACACTGCCTACACAAAAAGGTGAATACTAGGGTGAGCAAAATTAAAGATCCTCTTGGAGGCTGGCTACCACCATAATGTATATGGTGAAAACATTCTTATTACTTAGTCTACTTACTTACTCATACAATAAACATCGTATGCTACTTTGAAGTTAATTTAGAAAATTACTCTTTAAGCAGTTACTCCCCATTTCCCGCTCCTCCTAGCCCCTGGTAACCAGCAATCTGCTTTCTGTTTCTATGGATTTACCACTTCTGGATATTTCATATAAATGGAATTATACAACCTATGACCTTTTCTTGCCTGGCTTCTTTCACTTAGCATAATGTTTTTTTTCAGGTGTATCTGCTTGTAGCATGTTTCAGTGCTTCATTCCTTTTCATGGCTGAATAATATTGTTACACACATATATATGTTAAATATATAATATACATGTATATATCACAATTCATTTATCCATTCACCTGTTGATGGATATTTGGGTTGTTTTCGCCTTTTGGCTATTGTGAATAGTGCTGTAATGAATGTTTATATAAAAGTATTTTGTAGGGGTTGGGTGTTACTGATTTTGACATGCCAGTGAACATTTGAGTGTGTTCAGTAGGTGCTCATGCCTGTGAGTCTAAAGCTAAGAGGAGAGGTCAGAGATTGAGACAGACCTGAGAGTCAGCAATGATATATGGGTTGTGGTTAAAATTAAAAGAAGGACAGGCGTGGTGGCTCATGCCTGTAATCCCAGCACTTTGGGAGGCCGAGACGGGTGGATCACCTGAGGTCAGGAGTTTGAGACCAGCCTGGTCAACGTAGCGAAACCCCATCTCTACTAAAAATACGAAAAATTAACTGGGCATGGTGGCAATGGGACTGTAATCCCAGCTACTTGGGAGGCTGAGTCAGGAGAATTGCTTGGACCTGGAAGACGGAGGTTGCAGTGAGCAGAGATCGCACCATTGCACTCCAGCCTGGACGACATAGTGAGACCCTGCCTCAAAAATAAATAAATAAATAAATAAATAAATAAATAAATAAATAAAAGAAGGATGAGATCACCTAAGGAGAGCATGCACAGAAAAAAGAACAATGGACCGAGGGTAGGAATTAAGTCAAAATATTTATGGCATAAAAGACTTGGCTAAAATCTTTAGACATTCTCTGCTCTAGTACCTTGGGCATCCTTAGCATCAAACCAGCTCACATAGGCAGAGCTTCTCATTTATTCTTAACCTATGAACTTTGTAAAACTATATAATTTCCTTCAATTACTTACTCAAGAGTTTAGTCATTTTTATTATTAAGAAATCCCCTTTTATTTCTAGGTGCTCAAATTGCAATTTATGACATTAAGAAATCCCATTCTGTTCTGTGGAAGATAGATAATGTTTTGTCAGTGCTCTAAGATATAAATAGCTTCTCAGGCATCTTTTCTATTTGACTAAATAATCCCAGGCCTTTCATCTTTCCTTTAAATATTTTCTCATATTTAGATGCATTGTCTAGGTCTCCTGTAATTTGCTACATCATGAGTCAGTTGGATAATCTAGTAGGGTGCTATCATGCTCAATAAAGTATGTGCTTTACTGAGTTCTTTTCGTGAATCCTTCTTTTAAGACAGTATCATGTTCTGTTATTATAAAAAGAACAAGACAAACCCACTATTGATTTACTAGTATCTTTAACGTGTGTTCCATTATGAGCTCAAGCCCATTTATTGGCATTTATGTCTAGATCTTTATTTCTCTTATTCTATCAGTAGACAGTATTTTAATTTCAGGGTACATGTTAATATTTCCTTCAAAATTTTTGATTAAAATCTTTTGTTTTACATATATCTCTAATTTGCTTAAAAAAAACAATATTCTTCTTATATTTTTAAGTGTTAATACTTTTGTCCTATTTGTTATACCAGGGTTGAAAATTTTCCCAATTCCTCTTTGTCACTGATAGGGGATACTGAACAACACTGGGGACCTAAAATTCATCCCAATGTGGTAGATTTCAAGCAGATTGACACTAAGCTGTTCGCCTGCACTTTTGGGGATATTACTCTCCATCAAATTATGCTCCTAGGATTGCATGAGACTTTTTATGTTTGCAACCTTCGCACTTTAATGGACACTGGAGTGTAAGCAAGACTGTAAATCTGTCTACAGGACTAAATTCCAGCTCATACGAACCTCAGTTGTTTCCATTTCTTGTATGCTCAATGTAGAATGCAGTGATGGTAAAACATCCAATCTTTGCCAGGACTTTTTGTGTTTGGCATATACATTGTGATGGACACAGCAAGGGTAATGAAATGCAAGTAATTCTGTGCTGCCAAAATGCTTTTGTTGGAAATTTTTTCTGTTTGGAAGATGCCTGGCCTAGCGAGTTGAAGGAAATCTAACCCAGCATTCAGAAGAACAGAAACTACACTCTGATGTCTGGAAGAAAGTGACTCCTGAATAATGGGATTACAGGCCAGTGATGTTAATTGCTGTGCAGTCATTAGGATAACTAGACTTTTTGAAAGATTGGTCTTGTATGTGCTCAGAGGGAGGAGCTAACATACCTTAGTGTTATGCAGGGAGACGAGATCACCTAATAATTTCCTGGGTTACCTACTTAGTTAGTTATCTACTAAACTCCTGGGTAATTGGTGTTGGTGGAGAATGGGCAGAGTCTGTATAGGTCAGGGCACCTACCAGGATCCTGCATGAAAAACAGCCATTTTCTAGTTGGCTTCCTAGAGGTCATGCTCACATTTGACTTCCATGAATTTCTTACACTTGATAAGTCTTATACAATGTCAGACAATTACTTAATGTCACCTCACTTAATCCTCACGATCCCCCTGCTATGTAGGTTACTGTCTTTGCATTTGCAGATAAGAAGACAAAACTGCCTGAGGTTACATCTTGCCCAAGCCTTCAGAGTAGAGGAATCATGATTTGGATGGGGTTTATTCTCATTGCATTATGCCTCATTATTTCACTTTAAGCAAAGAGCCAATGGATGATATAAACAATTCAGTTAATTTTCTAATTAATTTTGTAATTAGTAGAAACATTTATGTAAATTTTCTGTAACATTGTGTATTTATCTACTCTCATCTTGTAAAAGCTTCTTCTGATCTTAATTCACATATAATTATGATTTTTATGCAGTTATAATCATAACAAATGCACAATTTCAGGTTCAATCACTCTCATGTAACATTTTATTCACATTTTTCTATGTTGTATAGCTTTTATAGTTATAATTTTAGTAACTATACAATAATGCACTCGGTAAATATTCAATCATAAAAGAAATGTAGCAGTGAAAATTAAGGCAGTACAAATATACCTCACTTTAGGAAAACCAGAATTATGGACAAGCAAAAAATGCAAAACAGGCTGAATATTTTCTTAACAAAAGGATTCAATATAGAATTCCTTTAAATAGTGTGCTCCTCTGGATCCCTGGGGAAATTCAGGTTTTCAAAATATGTGAAGGTCTCCCTAAGGCTGGATAATTTCTGAGATCCTTTCTAGCACCACCATGATTAATGCATTGGTTGTGTAAAACGAGGATACCGATATATTCTAGGTGTTATTCAGTTACAGAAACCTACAGAAATGAAGGATGTGTTTACTTCTTAGGCCTTGGTGGTTCAATAAAAACTCAGAAGAGTTTTTCTCTCACTCATTCCCACGGTGCCCGAATCCAGGCATTTCTAGAATTGTAGTGTCCTCAGGATGTCAGGGACAGTGTGCGGTCATCTATTCTAGTCTATCCTCTTGCCTCCAGTCGGAGCCACACCCAAAACCAGCCCAGACAGATGAGACTCTGTCCTATTTTTAACAAGATCCAGGGACGGGAGCATTCCTCATTTCCTCAATAACCCCATTTCAAAACCTGTATTCACACTTCCTGTTTAATTTTCATGCCATTAACAGACACTCTCCATGTACTTCTTAAAACTTTATATCTAATATAGGATACATTTTTCATGAACTTAAAATTAAGGAAATAATAAATAGGGCTCACATAGAAAACAATATGCATTTTAGATTGTCTGTGACTTTAGATGTATCAGTATAATGTCATATTATCTTATAACAGGATATACAGTAGCCAATATTATTTACTAAAAATCCCAAATTTTATAAACTGTAAATACATATCTTAAATATCTGGAGACATTTGACTGGGAATATGATTATATTTAAGAGAGAAGATAACAATATGCCCTCACTTACAAGCCCCCCACCCGCCAATGATTTTATTCTTGCTTAGTGAGATTAGATAATATTTAAGTGAGATTTTATTTAAGAAACGCAAGAATGAAAAAACTATAGTTTTATTTTTATTCAATGAGGTTCGAAAAAATCACTATTTACCATACTGCTGATGTTCTGCTAATTGCCTCCCATCAACTTTTATTTTAGTTCTTTTAAACACTAGGAAGCTGAAAATTTTAAGGAGGCTTTTTAAAAGGACAAAGATTAGTAGAGGATAGAACTGGTGACTTTGATTCAGACCTGATGAGCATCCTTACTTTCATGTTTTCTACACAGCCCTTGCCTCAAATCAAAAGCTTGTTCTGGATTGCACGGGAATCTTTCTTAGTAGGTGAGATGTGCTTTCCTAAAGCATCATGAGTTAATTGCTTTCGTTTGGGCTACTTTATTTTATAAAGGTATCCTACAAAAACAGATTGATTATTTGACTCTGATAACATTCTGACAGGCCTGCTTGCTTCATTTTCTGTTTTTGTTTTTGTTTTTTTTTTTTAAGGAAAATTTCTGTTGTGAAGAATGTAAACAACAGTGTAAACACTCCCCTTGTTTCAGTCTCCTCTTGTCTGTTTTGTTTTTTTCTTTTTCTCCGTTTGGCACTGAGACTGATATGCAGCCGCAAGCACTAGATAAGAATTGTCTATCAGATTTAGCCATTCTGCACATGATTAATTTTGTTATGGGCAAAACATAGTGTTTTCTAGGTTTCTCTGGCAGTCACTGTATCAGGTGATACTTGCCCTTAAATCATCTTAGTTTATGTGGAGTAAAGCATGTCAGGTTGAAACAATTGTTTTCTTCCATTCATGCTACAGTACCTCTTGGGCTTTCTAGGATCATATTTTCATTCTTATGAAAATGGTGGCTGGGCCTGGTGGCTTACGCGTGTAATCCCAGCACTTTGGAAGGCCGAGGCAGGCAGATCACAAGGTCGAGAGTCCAGCCTGGTCAACATGGTGAAACCCCGTCTCTACTAAGAATACAAAAATTAGCCAGGCATGGTGGCGCACACCTCTAGTCCCAGCTACTTGTGAGGCTGAGGCAGGAGAATCGCTTGAACCCAGGAGGCAGAGGTTGCAGTGAGCCCAGATGGTGCCACTGCACTCCAGCCTGGATGACAGACCAAGACTCCGTCTTGGAAAAAAAAAAAAAAAAGAAAAGAAAAGAAAATGGTTAATATCACTTTGACAGATTATCTTGATCCTTTTCTGTGACTTATAAAACCCCTATGACAAAGACATGACTTTATTTTTCATGTTATAACTAATTTTGAGGCAAGTTAAACTAGTGAAAAAGAGAAGAAGAAGATCGTGTGAAACAGATAACGAAATAAAACAACCACAAAGCAGAAAGATGTCTTTCCTGTCAGGCTCTGGTAAAAAGATATAAACTCCTCAAGGGCAATACAATTTTGTATTTTACCAGTTTTCAGTGGCTGTATGATCAACAAATATTACTGAGTGGCTAATAGGTCTGCACACTCAGAAAATTTAGTCAAAAATGTATTTCCTAATAATATGAAAGTATAGTGCAGTCTCTTTTTATTGTTTATACAGATAGATTTTTGAGAGAAAGTCTGGAGACAGACTTAGGTTTGAACTCTTGCTGTTTTTATGTGTTTACTGATTTAATTTTTCCAGCTTTATTGAGGTATAATTAACAAAAATTTCACATATTTAAGGTATGCAATGTGATTTTTGAAATACGGATATATTGTGCAATGATTACCACAATCATGCTAACATATCCATGGCCTTGCATACTTACCTTTGTGTTGTTATTGTTGAGCCCTTGCCTTTAATTGCTGTGTGACCCTGGACAAGTTACCTAACCTCGCAGTGCTTCAATTTCCTCATTATAAAATGGAGAGAACAACAATTGTTTCTTCTCAAAGGTTGTTGTATTTTATACATATGAAATATATAATTATATATATATATATGCATTGAGAAATGTGCCTGGTAAATAATGAGCACTATGTATGATAGCATATGTTAGCTATTATTGCTCATTTTAAAATGTAAGATATCATTGCCACTATTATTATAGTGATCTTGGGCATTAGCAAAAATTATGGTGTTTGAAAATGACAGCCAAGAGAATAGGAATTCTTCATAGAAATTCCAGACAGTAAAGGAACTCCTGGGTGGTGTGTAAACATGAATAAGAGGATTTACCCTTTACTGATCAAAATTACCACTATTTTGTGATTAACTGAATACTTTTTTTTTTTTTTTTTAAGAGACAGGGTCTTCCTATATTACCCAGGTTGGTCTCAAACTCCTGGGTTCAACTGATCCTCCCTCCTCAGCCTCCCGAAGTGCTGGGGCTATAGGCATGAGCCACCAGGCCTGGATGATTAACTGAATCTTAAAGTTCAGTTTAAATATCATGAAGATTCACAGAGGCAGTTATGACTTTTCTTGAGATGTACAGAGCTGGCCTGATCTTACCAAGCTTTCCGAGCTCAGGATGGGTGGGCATCGATCTTCCAAACTTCCTTTAGTTAAAGGAAACCTGCAATTTGCCTAAACTTCATACTTGTCATCTTCTCTGCTTGTCCTTTTGTGCTATCTCTAAGTTTCATCTGTGTTCTCCACATTTGGATAAGCACTTGCCAAGTTTCAAACTTCTTTGAATGATATAGAGCAATCCATAAAAATCACTAGGTCTTTTGTAAATTCTCCTTCTTCTTCATGCTATATGTAGGAATTGTTTAATTTCAAAAGCATCACAAGCAGATTAAAATATTTTCCCATTTTGAGTATTCATTAATTTATTAGACAACTATTTACTGAACATTCCTATGGGTTAAGCACTTGATACATAAAGATAAATCAACTCTGCTTCCTGTCCATGTGTCCAAACTTACGTTCCAGTAGTTTAGTGTTGATCCATTCCATAGTTGATCCTCATTATCATTTAGTCTACTTGCTAAAATTTTTTTGTAATTCCAAAGTCAATACTTGTGGCACTTTTGCAATCATTTTTAGATATGTGCAGAGTTGGTGAAAAATTTGAGTCCCTTGCTATGCACATTTCCAGTTGAGGCTGAACAAGGCGATACTCTGCCTTCTTGTTTCAGCCCTCATGTGGTCCTTTTGCAGTCTATTTATTGCCACTTTTTAATTAATTAATGTATTTATTTTTGCATGTTAGTGTTTTTGTTGGTGACTTCCCTGTTTTTAAAAACCCCAACTATAATGCTGAAGTGCTGCCTGGAGTTTCTAAAGACAAGGTTACTGTATTGTGCGGTATGGAGAAAATATATGTTGGGCAAACTTCATTCAAGCACGAGTTATAGTGCTGTTGGCTGCAAGCTCAATGTTAGGAAATCAGTAATACTATACATTCAGAAAAAGGAAGAGGAAATTCACCAGTCTATACATGAGACCTCTCTGGAAAGTGCTCACATAGCATCAATAGTGCATGATGAAGCTATGGGAAAAATGGAAAAATTGCTGAATTTGTGGATTCATGAGATGAATTATGATGCTGAAAACCAAAGATATTTATGGTCATGTTACCCAAGGTCAGGAAAGTGTTAAACCCCTCTAAGTTAGTGTTTTATTATAAAGAAATACTGCATATAATTATTTGTTAGAAATATATATTAAATATGGTGTCTTTAAACACACATAAAATAAAGTTATATATTGATCAGTTGACAAAAAACCTTGCGGCCGGAAGCTTGTGGGAACCTATCCCTGTATTTCCTCTAGGAGCAATGGCACAGTATTTGTTAATCCAATGTTTATAGTGACTTTATAGAATATAACTACTATGAATCACAAAAACTGACTGTACATTCTTTAATACTCTTATAGCTGTGATTCTCAATCAGGGTGATTTTGTATGCCAAGGGACATTTGGCAATGTTTACAGGCATTTTCATTGTCATGACTAGGTGGAGGGTGGGGGATCAGAAGATGGTGCTATTGGCATCTAGTGGGTAAAAGACAAGGATGCTGTTAAACTTCCTACAATGCACAGGACAGCTCCCCATAATAAAGAATTAACCTGTCAAAACTGTCAAAAGTGACTGGGTACAGTGGCTCACACCAGTAATCCCAGCACTTTGGGAGGCCAAGGTGGGTGGGCAGATCACCCAAGGTTAGGAGTTCAAGACTACCTGGGCCAACATGGTGAAACACTGTCTCTACTAAAAACACAAAAATTAGCTGGGCATGGTGGCTGGCACCTGTAGTCCCAGCTACTTGGGAGGCTGAGGTGAGAGAATCACTTGAACCCAGGAGGAGGAGGTTGCAGTGAGCCAAGATCTTGCCATTGCACTCCAGCCTGGGTGACAAGAGCAGAACTCCATCTAAAAAAAAAAAAAGAAAAAGAAACTGTCAAAAGTGGCCGGGTGTGGTGGCTCACACCAGTAATCCCAGAACTTTGGAAGGCTAAGGTGGGTGGGTTGCTCGAGCTCAGGAGTTCAAGACCAGTGTGGGCAACTTGGTGAAACCTCATCTCTCCAAAAAAAAAGTCAAAAGTGCCAAGGCTGAGAAATCCTGCTTTATACCAAGGTCTGCAAATTATTTCTATTAAGGGCCAGATGGTTAATATTTCCACCTTTGTGGGCCATGTGGTCTCCCTCACAGCTACTCAACTCTGCCACTGTAGCATGAAAGCAGCCACTGACAATATCCCAGCTGATGAATGGGTGCAGCTATTTTCCAATAAACTTTATAAAACTAATCAGCATGTTGGATCTGGGCCTGGGTTTTTGAATCCCTTCATAGCAGTGATTCTCAGTCTTTGGATGCTTGTTAGAAGAACCCAGCAGCTTTTAAGCAGTGGTATTTCCTGAACTCCACTCCTTAAAATTCTGATTGGATTGGTCTGGGATATGCCTCCAGGGTTGATATTGCCTAAGGGCTCTCCAGGGATTAGAAAGTACAACCAGCACTGAGAGCCACTGCTCTGAAGAGCTGCGGTTTGTGTATTTGAAGGTCGACTTGCACAGTAAACCCTTATCAGTAATCAGCAGACCCTTTTCTTGCAATCTGGCTTTTGTCCCATGCACTCTCCTGAAAGTCCCCAAATTAATGGCCTTTTTTTGTATTCATTCCTCTGAACCTCTGAGGTTCAGATTTAGAAACACTCCATGTTTCTTGAAACTCCTCACTCTCCTGATTCTCCTCCTGTGCTTCCAACTATTCCTCTATCTCTTCTTCCATCTCTTGAACCTTAAATATAGGTGCTCCCCTGAGAGCTGTTCTGAGACTCCTCTCTGACTAATTTTCCCTGGACTTTGTCATAGCTCTACCTGTCTATAAACAACATTCACACTGCTGTTGGCTTGATGTCTCCCACAAAGATTGGTTTAGTAGGTTACCTGGTGACTCGAGTCTTTCTTTTCTTTTTTTTTCCTTAAGACGGGGTCACACTCTGTCGCCCATACTGGAGTGCAGTGGTGCTGTCGTAGCTCACTGCAGCCTCTACCTCCAGGGCTCAAATGATCATTTCTCCTCAGCAAATTATTTTATTTTTATTTTTTGTAGAGATGGGGTTTCACCATTTTTCCCAAGCTGGTCTTGAACTCCTGTACTCAAGTGATCTGGCTGCTTCGGCCTCATAAAATGTTGGGATTACAGGCATGAACCACCACACCCAGCCTCTAGTCTTCGTTTGATATAGTTTTGGAAATTAGACATGAAAATTATTATTCATGAAACTAACCAAAAGTCTCCTTTTCCAAATATCAATTCCCACCTCATAGGAACTTTCATAGAACATTAAAAAAAAACTGTGATCCTTACTATGGAACCATCTTCACTGGAAAAAACTGCAGTAGTGTCATTTGGGGAATTTGTAGCTTACGTTATGCATCTAGACCTACCTCATGCTGAATAGAAAGTATATACAAATTTAAATAACACTTAATAAGTAGTATAAATGCTAATTTTGCATTTTATATCACCAGAACTGTCCTAGAGTTCAGAGTTATAATAATGAGGCACTTGCTCATTGGAAGATACGATCTATCTGGTAGACCTTGGCAGGAGATAAGAAGCACATACAAACTGTGTAACTGGCGAGAACTTTAAGAGGGTCTGTTTACCAAGGTGTGGGCGGGTGTATTTGTTTCCTAGGGCTGCAATAGCAAATTACCATAAACTTGGTGGCTTAAAACAAGAGAAAAGTATTCTCTCACTGTTCTGGAGTCCCGAAATCTAAAATTACGGTGTCAGCAGGGCTGCACTCCATCCAGAGGCTCTAGATAATTACCTTTCTTGCTTCTTCCAGCTTCTGGTAGCTGTTGGCAATCCTTGGCCTCCTTGGTTTGTGACCACATCACTCCAAGCTCTGCCCTTGTCTTTGTATCACTTACTCCTGTCCTTTCTCACTTTTGTATCACTTTCTCCTCGGTTTGTCTTCTTCTCTTTTGTCTGTGTCAAATCTCCCTTTGCCTTTCTCTTATAAGGACACTTGAGATTGGCCTTTCGGCCCACCTCAATAGTGAAAGATGATCTCCTCATCTCAAGAGCTTCAGCTTCATTACATCTACAGAGATCCTTTTTCTAAATAAGGTCATATTCATTCACAGGTTCTGTGAATGTGGACATGTCTTTTTTGGGGGCCACCATTCAATCCACGAGAGCAGGGTTGGGGGAAGCCAACAAGGAATGGCAAGGCCCTGTGAGGTCTGTCTTTACCACAACTAGGCCTGCAGCGGAAAGGGGAGGAAGCACACGATGGAACCTGGAGCCAATCACTATCACTGTAGGGTGGGGAGGGAGGTACCTGACAGCAGTGTGGCTTTCGAAAGAGAAATTCAATTAATGTGTGGGCTGCCATAAAGAGAGCCAGGAGAATAAAGATCCAGTTTCATCCTCCTCCTACCCTCCTATTTGTGCCTCCCATGAGTCAAGTCAAGATAAAAGAAAAAAAAAAAAAAAGAAGTTCAAATGAGGTTGCCTTCACAAGTGCAGCAATAGATTTAGTTCTTCCTATATGTAAAAAACAAATGAGAACTTTTTTTTTCCCTGTAATTTCAGACCATTACACACTGGTACTAGGAAGTACTAATTACCTCTGTGTTTTGGGAAAAGCACTATAAGCAGAGTATAAACCACCTTAGTCCTTTCCATACATAAGGATAATTCCATTACCATAAGCATTGTTACTATTATTTTACTCCCCTTATTTATATTCCTTCTCTCTACCAAAAGGAATTTAGGTGGCTCATGAAGAAGAGGTTATATTATTATAAGGATGATGAAACTGAAATAGAAAATCAAGACCATGGAAAGGAGGAGAGAGAAAAAATGTCAACCTGAAGGGCTGATATATTTGCTGTGATGGAGCATCAAATTCAGTTCTGCCCTCCTGGCAGCCGTCGTTATGATAACGTAGTTATGTCCACATTTCACTTGAACAGAGCTTCCCTTATCTAGTCACGAGAAACTCTGCAACACACAGTTCCACAAAGACTGTCTCCTCTCTGGTTCATGTAATAGTCACTTTCTATTATTAAAAATTACCAGATAATTTGCAGAGCTAATCACTTGTGAAAATAAAAACTTGTGGGTTGGGGAAAAAAGACTGTAGAGGAATATGGAAGGACTAGAAAGAAAAGAAATAATGAGGGAATGAAGAGGGAACATAGTTACAGTCAATGAAGCTCTTCTAATCATTTATTATTTAGACATTTTCTCACCCCTCCTTTTATATTTTTGTGTTATCGAGGGATAATTTATGTACAATGAAATTCACACATTTAAAGTGAATTGTTGATTATTTTTGACAAATGTTTATAGCTGTGAAACTAGCCTCGCAATCACGATACAGAACATTTCATCACCAGCCAAGATGCCCTCATACCCGTTACACCTAAATCTTTCCCTCCACTGCGGGCTGCTAGCAACAGCTGATCTGCTTCTTATCAATATAGTTTTGGCTTTTCTAGAATTTCACATATATAATATTTTATGCCTGACTTCTTTTACTTAGCATAATGCTTTTGAGATTCATCCATGTTGTTGCCAGATATCATAATTCATTCTCTTTTTATTGTTGACTAGTTAACCACTTTTTGAAAATATCACAGGTTATTTATGTGTTCACCAATTAATGGACAATTGAGTTGTTTCCAGTTTTTGGCAATTATGAATAAAACTGTTATGAATATCTGAGTACAAGTCTTTGTGTGAGCATACATTTTCATTTTCCTTGGGTAAATGCCTAAGTGGGATTAGTTATATGGTATATGTATATTTAACTTTATAAGAAACTGCCAAATTGTTTTAAAATTAGCTGTACAATTTTACATTCCCACCAGCAATGTATACTATTGTTTTGCATATTTGTCAACAGTTAGTATTTTGAGTCTTCTTTATTTGGGCCATTCAAGTGTGTGTGCGTAGGTGGTATTTTTTAAGTTTGCAGTTTCCTAATGGTTAATGATCGATATGGTTTGGCTGTGTCACGCAAAATCTCATCTTGAATTGCAATCCCTGTAATCCCCATAATCCCCACGTGTAAAGGGAGAGACCAGGTGGAGGTAATGGAATCATGGGGCCAAGTTTTCCCTATGCTGTTCTCGTGATTGTGAGTGAGTTCTCACGAGATGTGATTGTTTTATAAGTGTTTGATAGGTCCTCCTGTGTTCATTCTCGTTCTTGCTGCCTTGTGAGTGAGGTGTCTTGCTTCTCCTTCCACCATGATTGTAAGTTTCCTGAGGCCTCCTCGGCCACGCGGAACTGTAAGTCAATTAAACCTCTCTTCTTTCTAAATTACCCAGTCTTATAGCAGTATGAAAATGGACTGATAATATGATGATGTTAAGCATTTTTTTTTTAGTATTTGTTTACCCCTCTTTGGTAAACTGTGTGTTTAAATCTTTTGTTCATTTTAAAAATTGGGCTTTGTGTCTTATTAAATCCTAAAAAGTTCTCTTTGTTTTAAAATAGCCTCATTTAGACAAATCCATAAGCAAATGTGTTTTGCAAATTTTTTTCTTATGAAAAATATTACTTATACCATACAGCTATTGTAAGAAATTAGGTTAGCTATATGCAAAACTTCTGATACCTAGCAGCTACTTAGGAAATGCAAATTCTCTTCCCACACCTTTTCCCTTCACCAATAGATTCAAGTACTCTAGAAAAGTTAAGGATTGTGCAAGCAAGAAAAAGTTTTTGGGTGAGGACATTTTGGAGAGAATAATTTCAGGACACAGGTGAGGTTATAAGGGAAATTGCAAAGGATTAGAGAGGAATGGTAACGATTGAATCAAGAAGCACAGATGATTCAGATATTTGGGAGATGAGGGAAGAAGAAAGAAGGCAGTAGCATAAGTGTGAAGCAGCACAGTGTAGTGGTTAAGCACAGGAGTTTGCAGCCAGGTTTCTTGGCTTTGAAGCCCAGCTCTGCTGCCTGCAAGCCATGTTGAGTGTGGGCAGTCATTTAACCTGTGTGTGAAAATGCAGGGAAGAGAGCAGCTTGGGGGGTTGGGGAAAGCTTAGATTTGCATTTGCTAAAGAATATCAAGTACAGGGACCACAGAAATTCTGCAGGATATGTCAACTCAGATGATGATTTCTCTTTTCAATTAAGTGTGATGTTAAAGCATCTGCCCAGAAAGAGGAAAATCAACGGCAGCTTGAAGCTTAGGGGAAGTGAAGAAAATGAGGGATAGCAGTTGTTGAGACTTAGTGACTTGGCAAGAAAGGCATTAAAAGATCACTAATAGTCGAGAAGGAATCAGGTGAGCTTGGAGGGCATGAATAAAAAATGGCTTCCATCAACAGATTTTTGTGACTCACTCCAAATGACATTTATCAACCAGGAAGCAGGAGAGGGAGAAAACAGAACACAACCTACAGAGGGAAGAGATAGTGGTTGGCAAGACAGCAAATTTATAAAGGATTCTAGACGAGCACATTGTCAAAATGGTCAACTGTTTAACATATATCAAGACGATGGAATAGCAAGACACTAAGGAAGAAAGTGTTCATGAGCATGTTCTATTTCTGTAAGTAGAAAAAAGAAAGGATCAGGTAGGCACGGTGGCTCATGCCTGTAATCCCAGCACTTTGGGAGGCCGAGACAGGTGGATCACCTGAGGCTGGGAGTTCCAGGCCAGCCTGACCAACATGGAGAAAACCCATCTCTACTAAAACTACAAAATTAGCTGGGTGTGGTGGCAGCACATGGCTGTAATCCCACCTACTCAGGAGGCTGAGGCAGGAGAATCGCTTGAACCTGGGAGGCAGAGGTTGTGGTTAGCCAAGATCGTGCCATCGCACCCCAGCCTGGGCAACAAGAGTGAAAATCTGTCTTAAAAAAACAACAAAAAAAAAAAAAAGAAAGAAAGGATCATTTTTTTAAGTGGCAAATTTTAAATGGCAGCTCAAATGAACCAGAAAGTAAGATGGAAAGGAAAGCTGAAAAGGTAGTGGCTCACATACTTCAAGTTTGTTGATAACCCAATGTGGATGAAGTTGAACTGATGCATGGCGAGATATCCGATGGGAGGCTCTCTGATTATGGGGAATTTTAGAGTGGAGAGTTTCGAGGGAGAGAACTTTGGAGGTTGAGGCACATTAACTCATAAGTATTAGAGTTAGAGATGGAAGAAATAGCAAACTGGTTGATTAAAGGACTATCGGGTCAGTGTCAGGGAGTGTAATGCTGGGGGGTGGAAAGTGAAGATGCTCACACACACTGCGGAAGACAGTAGTCCCCATGGGACTAAGAGGCAGGTTTTAGAGATCAGTAGATTGTTGCAGAGATTTCTCAAGTATATTGTCTTGCCAACTAATCCTGAAAACAGGTGGTAGGTCTGGGTCCAGCTGAAGATTTGCTTGACCTTGTCTTACACCTAATGCTAAGCGAGTTTTTGTATTACCTTCTGTGATTGATGTCATCTCAGTATTCACAGCACACCCACACTGTGCTCCAGAAAACATGAAACTAACAAAGCCCAGCTCTCAGCATCTTCCTCCTCACTCTCAGACATAACAAGCCTGCTGGGACAATTCCAATGAGCTGCCTTTGCCTGGGACAGAAACGTAGGGCTGGAGAGGGTGGAAAACAAAATGATCTTCCTACCTGCTTCCTGTGGGGCCATTTTAAGCGGGTGGGAGAGTGGGAGGGAGAGCTTATCTATATTTCAGTGCTGGTTAAAAAACATACCTTGGCTTTTGATTCAAGGTACTAATTTATGTAGTTTACATATTTGCACTCTGAGCCCCACGGTTCTTAACCACAAGTACACAGGCGTGTAAAAGGCCATTTAAGATGAGTCACTGAAATCTCGAGGGGCGTTTGTTCTCCCTCCTGCCTCTTCCACTTCTAGCGTGTTAGGTGAAGTTGTATTTGGAGGAGGCCCACAGGAAGAGCTAAGCAACAGCTTCAGAATTCAGCTGGAGCTTATGGTACATCATGTACCTCAATGGAAAAAAAAATTAAACTTGCCAGTGTCTACGTTAAAAGTTTTTGACATTTATTTAAACAAGGTCAGTTTCTTCTTTCTCTATGAAAATAGGCAAAATATTGCCACCTAAATGTCTTCATTTCAAGTAATTTGCAACACATACACAAATCACTGAGGGGCTAAGGTGACATTATTGATAATTCAAGTTTCAAAAAGGGATTCTGAGAAATTGCTTTACTGCTATGTGTTCCAGACTGACTGCCTCCATTAAGTACGTTCATTAGATAATCGCCTGACTTTTCCACTTTCCTTTTCTGGTGAAGCCACATGTAACATGTCCAAAATGTCTAGGGGAAATCATGGAAATCATGGAACTTGTGCACATGCATACAGCATTGCTTTTCAAAAAGGACAGAATATGTTCAAGAACTATTTATATTCTGGGCAAGCTTTGAATTTGTATATATTATGTGCACAGAAGATAATTTGTTATCATGTTGTACACCAAATTAAATGACCCTTTGATACTGAGGTCATGCCCATTCATATTAGTAGGAGTTAAAGACACCAAGAGGACCAAAAACTGATGCCAAGAATGCATGGAATGGTTTCCATGGAGCATAATGGCACAATTGTCTTATGGAACAAAATTGAAAAGAACTGGAGAACAGGAAAAGGGCGTGGTGTCTGCAAAAATGAAAAACTTTATTCATGGATTCAAATTTATGCTTAAAATGAATTGAATGTGATACACCATTCTTAGTTTTCAGACAAACGTTAGAAACTAGCTAAATAGTGATGGAACTTTTAGAGTAGTCTGGCAAATTTTTCTGGAAATTACTTTCCCTCAACCTCAAGTATTATCACCAGTTCTTTTTCACTCTTCCTGAGAGGATGAAAGAACATCTTCTAATTTTGGTAGAGACAGTGTCTTACTCTGTCACCAAGGCTAGAGTACAGTGGCATGCAATCATAGCTCACTGTAACCTTGAACTCATAGGCTCAAACAATTCTACTTCAGCCTCCTGCATAGCTAGGACTGTAGGAGCACACCACTATGTCTCTCTAATTTTTTATTTTTAGAGACGGGGTCTCGCTACATTGCCCAGGCTAGTCTTGAACTCCTGGCCTCAAGTAATCCTCCTGCCTTGCCCTCCCAAAACGCTGGGATTACAGGTATGAGTCACCACACGCAACGTACTTTTATTTTTTAACTAATGCTTTTGAACAGGTTCCTTTCAAACTCCTTCTCAGGACTTCATGCCACCGATCTTCACATTGCCTTATAAACCTGCCATTTCTCCCTACACATCTTGACGGGCTTGTTAGTAGAGTCCATTACCATGAAGAAACCAATCTGACCAAAAGATTGTTAAATTTTTGCCCAAGAGATATCCAAACAATTTGTTTTATCTTCCTATTTAACTGTTGGTTACATTTTGTTGTATTCTATAACCATAATTAAACCTTCCTATGATTGTCTACAGCTTTGTGAATGCTGAAAACCAATACATTGCTTTAACATTCTTGTATGTAAATATTGGTCACTCAGAGGCTTCCTGATAGTACAATTTGGTGCCATTCTTAGGACCATTACTTGTGTTAAATTCAAATTAAGGTACCTTTCTTATGCCACCAATTGCTTAAAATCATTCCACAGTTTAGTTTGTTTCATAATTTCTAGTCTAGATTGTTTGTTATGGTGCTTTCCCCACTATGTATCTAACTAGTTCCTTTCATACTCTTCTTATAACTTGGAATCTATTTTATTGTTCCCTAAAGCTCCTGACTTTGTTTGAATTTGACAACTTTGGTCATTCGTGGACTAATACTTTCATAGTTACCCCTCTCCCAACTTTTCCCACAGATCTCCTCCTCGGAATCCTTGTACCTTACTAGTGTTATAATTTGGACTGATTACTTTCTAGGTTTTATGTCATTCTATGGCTCCCTTTTACTGTGCTCCTGGATTGGATGGATGTACTGTTTCTTGGATCCTACATTTTTTTCTTTGATTACTTTGCTCCTTTGTTTTGCTGTAGTACATTTTTAAGAAACTACTTCTGAAGAGATACATGGGATGAAATGTTCTGAGATTTTACAAGTTTAAAAATGTCATTTCTTCTGCTCTCACCTCTGAAAGCTTGACTGAGTGTAGAATTCTAGGTTGCAAAAAAAAAAAAAAAATCCGTTAGAACTCCCTAACATGATAAAAGGAATTTATGAAAAACCCACGGCAAACATTATGCTCAATGGAAAGACGAACACTTTCTCCTAAGACAAAGGAACAAGACAAGGAGGTCTGCTTTTGTCATTTTTATTCAACTTTGTACTAGAAGTTTTAGAGCAATTATTCAAGAAGATGAAGTAAAACTAGTCACAGATGATATGATCTCATATTTAGAAAAATTTTTAAAAATTTCCCAAAATTATTAGAGCTAATAAATGAATATAGCAAAGTTGCAGGATACAAGATCACAAATTCAGTGGTAATTCTACAATGAAGAGACCAAAAAAGAAATCAGGAAAACAGTACCATTTATAATACTATCCAAAATAATAAAATACCTTATAAATTTAACCAAGGTGGTGAAAGATTTTTGCACTGAAATCTATAAAACATTGCTGAAAGAAATTGAGGAAGACCTAAATAAATGAAAAGATATAACATGTTCATGAATTAGAAGATTTAATATTGGTAAGATGTCGATACTAAAGCAATCTAAACATTCAATACGGAGTCTATCAAAATTCCAACAGCCTCTTTATTTTTTTTTTGGCAGAAATGGAAAAACCAAACTTCAAATTCATATGGAATTGCAGGGCCCCTAAAAAGCCAAAACAATATTGAAAAAAGAACAACAAAATTGGAGAGCTCACATTTCCTGATTTCAAAAGCTACTGCAAAGCTATAGTAATTAAAACACCGTGATACTGGCACAAGGATAAACATATAGATGAATAAAAGCATGAGTCCAGAAATCACAGATCTGTGGCAAACTGATTTCAACAAGGGTGCCAAGACCATTCAATGAGGAAGAGTAGCCTCTTAACTAAATGATGCTGGGACAATTGGATATCCCCATGTAAAGGAATTAATTTGGATCTTTACTCCATATACAAAAATTAAAGACCAGCCTGGGCAACATGGTGAAACCTTATGTCTACAAAAAATATAAAAATTAGCTGGGCATGGTGGCACATGCCTGTAGTCCCAGCTACTCAGGAGGCTGAAATGGGAGGATTGCTTGAGCATGGGAGATTAAAGCTGCAGTGAGCCATGTTCACACCACTGCGTTCCAGCCTGGCTGAGAGAATGAGACCCTGTCTCAAAAAGACAAATAAAACATAAAACCTCAGAATGGATCAAAGACCTAAGAGTTAAAACTATAAAACTTTCAGAAGGAAGTATAGGAGTAAATCTTGATGATATTTAGATTTGGCAATGGTTTCTTAGATATGACCCCAAAAACACAAGTAGCAAAAGAAAATAGAGAAATGAAATTTCACTGAAATTAAAAACTACTATGCATCAAAAAACACTATCAAGGGAGTGAAAAGAGATAGCATGATAGGGTGACTACAGTCAATAATAACTTAGTTGTATATTTTAAAATGATTTAATTACATAATTAGATTTTTGTTTGTTTGTTTTTTGTTTTTTTTTTTTTAAGACAGAGTCTTGCTCTGTCACCCAGGCTAGAGTGATCTCTGCTCACAGCGACCTCTGCCTCCTGGGTTCAAGCAATTCTCCTGCCTCAGCCTCCCGAGTAACTGGGATTATAGGTGCCTGCCACTGTGCCCAGCTAATTTTTGTATTTTTAGTAGAGACAGGCTTTTGCCATCTTGGTCAGGCTGCTCTCCATCTCCTGACCTCGTGATCCACCCGCCTCGGCCTCCCCAGAGTGTTGGGATTACAGGCCTGAGCCACCGCGCCTGGCCTGGATTGTTTGTAACTCAAAGAATAAATGCTTGAGGGCATAGATACTTCATTCTCCATAATGTGCTTATTTCACATTGCATGCCTGTATCAAAACATCTCATGTTCCCCATAAATATATATTCCTACTCTACACTTGCAAAAAATTTTTAAAAATAATAAAAATAATTTTTTAAAAAAGTGAAACAAACCATGGAAGGGGAAAACATATTTGCAAATCATATATATGATAAGTCTGATATCTAGAATATATGAAGAGTTATTACAAATCAACAACAGCAAAATAAATACCCAGTTTAAAAATAGGCAAAAACCTTGAATAGACATTTATTTAAAGAAGATATACTAGTGGCTAACAAATACATAAAAAGATGGTCAACATCATCAGCCAGTAGGAAAATTCAAATCAAAACCACCATAAGATACCCTTTCATATCCGCTAGGATGGTCATAGCTAAAAACCAAACCAAGCAAGTGTTGTCCAGGATGTAGAGAAATTGAAACCCTGAAACATAGACTAATAGACTACTTGTTTCCCAGTGTCTATTAGTTTGCTATGATGAAGTTTATGTTAAGTGTATTTTACCACAATTTTTAAAAAATGAGGGGAGGGATGGCAGGCTAAAGTACCTGTCACAGTTTTGTCAACTGGGCTAGGCTATAGAATGTAGCTACTTAATCAAAAACTACTCTAGATATTGCTGTGAAGATATTTTGTAGATGTTGTTTACATCTACAACTGATTTTAAGTAATGTCAATTTAAAGCTTTGCTTTAAGTAAAGATTATCCTAAAGTGGATGGGAAGGCCTTAAGAGCACAAAAAAAAAAAAAAAAAAAAAATTCTGCCTCAAGACAGCAGCATCTACCCCTGCCTGATTTTCCATGCCTGTCCTACAAATTTTAGACTTGCCATTTCCCACAATTTTGTGTGCCACTTCCTTAATATATATATATATGTGTGTGTGTGTGTGTGTGTATCTCCTTTTTTTTTTTCTGGAGAACCCTAATTGATACAGTGCCTTAAAAAAGTTTCTCTTAAAATATTGAAGCCATTCTTCCTAATCTTTTAGTTGTTGATGAGAATTTTAATACCATACTTTTGCAGATGATTTATTGATTTCTCTTGGAGGCCCTTGGAATCTTCCTATTTTTGGTTCCAAAGTTAGACAATGGTATCCTGAGTGTCTTTCATTGGAAGAAAAAGAGTTTTCAAATATGAAGATGTGTTTCTCCCTTCAGGTCTGGAATGTGACTTACGAAATTCCTTTGTTTTCTCTTCGCTGTTTTCTTTATTCTCTGTCTGGCATGTCTATTAGGCAGATATTTGACCTTTTGGTTAATTTTCTTTGTCCCCTTACTCTGTTTTTTTGTTGTTGTTGTTGTTGTTGTTTTATTTTTTAAAACAGGTTCTATGAATTATTGTCCTACCTTGGGTTGATAATATTTTTCTGAAATTATATTTGAAATGTTCAAAAGTTCCCTATTCAGTATTTTTTATTTTATTTTATAAGTGTTCTATTTTCTGGAATTTCTAGTTAAATTTTATTTGCTCTAAGCTATCTCTTCTGTTAGTTTTCTGCTTATTTATCATGAGAGGCAAAATTGCATAGTAGTTTATCACTGCAAACTGGAAGCAAATCAAACCCCACCTCTAATAAGAGCTAACTGTCCAAACTTGGGCAAGTAACTTAAGCCATCTCTGCCTCAGTTTCCTGGGGCATAATAACTAAGCTTACATTCATTTTGTGAAGATCTAGAGAGTTTGTTTATAAGCATACTCAGATAACTCCCAGCACATGGTAAGCACTCAATACATGTGAGCTATTCTTACTGGTCTTCTATTTCACATTGCAAGCTTTATTCATATGACTAATGAATCTTGGTTGTCTATTCACATTTTTAAAAAATCAGATTGCAAAGTTGACTTCATGCTGTTTTTGTGGGTGAGACTTACTGACTGGAAAACTTACTGTTATTATGAGTCAGAAGTGGACACTGAAATAAGCTTAAAAAAGAGAACTTCACTATGGAGCACCAACACTTATACTCTAGTTCTTCCTGGATAATCAGCTCCATTTCTTTAGAAGAGAACCCTCAAATAAGTTTGCTTTGCATTAAGAGCTTGACTGCAAGCTCTTCTATGTGGTAGGAAACTGGGATGCATTGATTGCTAAGTATATTCACCTAGAAATGATTCCCCAATTTTCAGCCACACTCTTTCCCAACTTTTGGTCCTACTTGGCTGTGGTTGAGTCATTAGCCTTTTCTGGGTTCAACTATGTGGTCGTGGTTGTCTCGTTCATTGGCTGTAGCTTCTTCCATGTACGTTCTGAGCTGGGGCTTTTTTTCTCTTCATCAATAAGAAAAAACACAAAGTAAAAATCGGCTGTAATCCCATCACACCAAGATAATTATTGTTAGATTTTAGTCTTTTTTTTCTCTTTAAAATCACCAAATGCCCTTCTCTAGTATTGTTTCTATCCATTTAACAGATTCAGCAGCACTAAAGCCCAGCATACAATTTGACAAAGTCAGAATTTCTCCATAGGACGTGGGGAAAGGCTAGGGACACTTGTGTTGATAATAATTATCTCTTGACGCTTTATATTATTATAAACCAGACAGTGATAATTATCTTTGCAGCCAAATCTGTGAATATTCATTCATTTCCTTAAATTTTCCAGAAGTTGAGACAAAGGATAAAAACACTTTCCAAAGGCTTTCCATAAATATACCAAACAGCTCTCGGGGCCAGTTTTACCAGTTTAAGCACAAGCAACAAGGTTTGATAATACGCCCCATTTTCAGCACTGATGATTATTAAGTTTTTTGGTAATTTAATGGATAAATACCTTACTGTTTCAATTTGCAGTTTTTCAACTTGTAGTAAAGTTAATTTAAAAAATAAATTAATTTTTTTATCTGGCTTGTTCTTAGCAAATAGCTCATTTTTTGTTGGGGGTGTTCATTCATTCTTTGTTTTTCCTGATTGTTTTCAACCTTTCCACTAATTATTATTATTATTTTTTTGAGAATCTAATATGCTAGGCACTGTTCCACATTTTGGAAATACAGGAGTAAATAAAACATAATCCCGACCCTCATAGAGCTTATATTTTAATGAGAAGAAAGACATAATACATAAAATGTAGTAGGTCAGATGGTGGTAAGCACTGAGAAAAAGAAAAATAAAGCAGGCAAGGATATGTTGGGAGTGGGGCCTTCTGAGGACCTATCAAGAGGGCAACATTTGAGCAGATATCTGAAGGAAGTAAGGGAATGAGCCATGTCTTTAACTGGGGTCAGAGCTTGCAGGCAGAGGGACTAGCAAGTGCAGAGACTCTGGGATGGAAGTGTGCTTGCTATGTTTAAGGAACTTCAAAGAGGCCAGAGTGGCTGGAACTGAGCAAGTAAGGAGAGTATTAGAAGGAGAGGTCTGAGAGGTGGGAGTACATATGTGGGGGGCAAATCATGTAAATACTCAGAGATAGACCCTTGTAAAATCTTTAGCTTTTACTCTGAGGAAATGGCAAATTATTGGAAGGATATGAGTGGAAGAATGACATGCTGTAACTTATTTATTTTTTTTAATCAACCAAATTCAATATCTCGATCTTGTTTTACTTGTTTTTAGTCCTGTTCAAACAAATCAACTGTACAAGGATATTTTTGAGACAACTGGGAAAATTATACACAGTCTAAGGATTAGAAGGAATTGTTAAATCTTAAATTTAAATTCTAAATTTAAATTAAAAAATTGTAAATTTATTTATATATATATTTTTATTATACTTTAAGTTCTAGGGTACATGTGCACAATATGCTGGTTTGTTACATATGTATACAAGTGCCATGTTTGTATGCTGCACCCATTAACTCGTCATTTAACATTAGGTATATCTCCTAATGCTATCCCTCCCCTCTCCCCCTACCCGACAACAGGCCCCAGTGTGTGATGTTCCCCTTCCTCTGTCCAAGTGTTCTCATTGTTCAATTCCCATCTATGAGTGAGAACATGCGGTGTTTGGTTTTTTGTCCTTGAGATAGTTTGCTGAGAATGATGGTTTCCAGCTTCATCCATGTCCCTACAAAGGACATGAACTCATCCTTTTTTATGGCTGCATAGTAATTCCATGGTGTATATGTGCCACATTTTCTTAATCCAGTCTATCATTGATGAACATTTGGGTTGGTTCCAAGTCTTTGCTATTCTGAATAGTGCCGCAATAAGCATACGTGTGCATGTGTCTTTATAGCAGCATGATTTATAATCCTTTGGGTATATACCCAGTCATGGGATGGCTGGGTCAAATGGTTTTTTTCTAGTTCTAGATCCTTAAGGAATTGCCACACTGTCTTCCATAATGGATGAACTAGTTTACGGTCCCGCCAACAGTGTAGAAGTGTTCCTATTTCTCCACATCCTCTCCAGCCCCTGTTGTTTCCTGACTTTTTAATGATCACCATTCTAACTGGTGTGAGATGGTATCTCATTGTGGTTTTGATTTGCATTTCTCTGATGGCCAGTGATGAGCATTTTTTCATGTGTCTGTTGGCTGCATAAATGTCTTCTTTTGAGAAGTGTCTGTTCATATCCTTCATCCACTTTTTGATGGGGTTGTTTTTTCTTGTAAGTTTGTTTGAGTTCTTTATAGATTCTGATTAGCCCTTTGTCAGGTGGGTAAATTGCAAAAATTTTCTCCCATTCTGTAGGTTGCCTGTTCACTCTGATGGTAGTTTCTTTGGCTGTGCAGAAGCTCTTTAGTTTAATTAGATCCCATTTGTCAATTTTGGCTTCTGTTGCCATTGCTTTTGGTGTTTTAGACATGAAGTCCTTGCCCATGCCTATGTACTGAATGGTAATGCCTAGGTTTTCTTCCAGGGTTTTTATGGTTTTAGGGCTAACATTTAAGTCTTTAATCCATCTTGAATTAATTTTTGTATAAGGTATAAGGAAGAGATCCAGTTTCAGCTTTCTACATATGGCTAGCCAGTTTTCCCAGCACCGTTTATTAAATAGGGAATCCTTTCCCCATTTCTTTTTGTCAGGTTTGTCAAAGATCAGATGGTGTAGATGTGTGGTACTATTTCTGAGGACTCTGTTCTGTTCCATTGGTCTATATATCTGTCTTGGTACCAGTACCATGCTGTTTTGGTTACTGTAGCCTTATAGTATAGTTTGAAGTCAGGTAGCGTGATGCCTCCAGCTTTGTTCTTTTGGCTTAGGATTGACTTGGCAATGCGGGCTCTTTTTTGGTTCCACATGAACTTTAAAGTAGTTTTTTCCAATTCTGTGAAGAAAGTCATTGGTAGCTTGATGGGGATGGCATTAAATCTATAAACTACCTTGGGCAGTATGGCCATTTTCATGATATCGATTCTTCTATCCATGAGCATGGAATGTTCTTCCATTTGTTTGTGTCCTCTTTTATTTGGTTGAGCAGTGGTTTGTAGTTCTCCTTGAAGAGGTCCTTCACATCCCTTGTAAGTTGGATTCTTAGGTATTTTATTCTCTTTGAAGCAGTTGTGAATGGGAGTTCACTCATGATATGGTTCTGTCTGTTATTGGTGCATAAGAATCCTTGTGATTTTTGCACATTGATTTTGTATCCTGAGACTTTGCTGAAGTTGCTTCCCAGCTTAAGGAGATTTTGGGCTGAGATGATGGGGTTTTCTAACTATACAGTCATGTCATCTGCAAACAGGGACAGTTTGACTTCCTCTTTTCCTAACTGAATACCCTTTATTTCTTTCTCCTGCCTGATTGATGGCCCTGGCCAGAACTTCCAACACTATGTTAAATAGGAGTGGTGAGAGAGGGCATCCCTGTCTTCTGCCAGTTTTCAAAGGTCATGCTTCCAGTTTTTGCCCATTCAGTATGATATTGGCTGTAGGTTTGTTATAAATAGCTCTTATTATTTTGAGATACGTCCCATCAATACCTAATTTATTGAGAGTTTTTAGCACGAAGAGCTGTTGAATTTTGTCAAAGGCCTTTTCTGCATCTATTGAGATAATCGTGGTTTTTGTAGTTGGTTCTGTTTATATGCTGGATTACATTTATTGATTTCTGTATGTTGAACCAGCCTTGCATCCCAGGGATGAAGCCCACTTGATCATGGTGGGTAAGCTTTTTGATGTGCAGCTGGATTCGGTTTGCCAGTATTTTATTGAGGATTTTTGCATCAATGTTCATCAGGGATATTGGTCTAAAATTCTCTTTTTTTGTTGTGTCTCTGCCAGGCTTTGGTATCAGGATGATGCTGGCCTCATAAAATGAGTTAGGGAGGATTCCTTCTTTTTCTATTGATTGGAATAGTTTCAGAAGGAATGGTACCGGCTCCTCCTTGTACCCCTGGTAGAATTTGGCTGTGAATCCATCTTGTCCTAGACTTTTTTTGGTTGGTAAGCTATTAATTATTGCCTCAATTTCAGAGCCTGTTATTGGTCTATTCAGAGATTCAACTTCTTCCTGGTTTAGTCTTGGGAGGGTGTATGTGTCGAGGAATTTATTCATTTCTTCTAGATTTTCTAGTTTATTTGCGTAGAGGTGTTTATAGTATTCTCTGATGGCAGTTTGTATTTCTGAAGGATCGGTGATGATATCCCCTTTATCATTTTTTATTGCGTCTATTTGATTCTTCTCTTTTCTTCATTAGTCTTGCTAGCGGTTTATCAATTTTGTTGATCTTTTCAAAAAAAACCACCTCCTGGATTCATTGATTTTTTTGAAGGGTTTTTTGTGTCTCTATTTCCTTCAGCTCTGCTCTGATCTTAGTTATTCCTTGCCTTCTGCTAGGTTTTGAATGTGTTTGTTCTTGCTTCTCTAGTTCTTTTAATTGTGATGTTAGGGTGTCAATTTTAGATCTTTCCTGCTTTCTCTTGTGGGCATTTAGTGCTATAAATTTCCCTCTACACACTGCTTTGAATGTGTCCCAGGGATTCTGGTATGTTGTCTGTGTTCTCATTGGTTTCAAAGAACATCTTTATTTCTGCCTTCATTTCGTTATGTACCCAGTAGTCATTCAGGAGCAGGTTGTTCAGTTTCCATGTAGTTGAGCAGGTTTGAGTGAGTTTCTTAATCCTGAGTTCTAGTTTGATTGCACTGTGGTCTGAGAGACAGTTTGTTATAATTTCTGTTCTTTTACATTTGCTGAGGAGTGCTTTACTTCCAACTATGTGGTCAATTTTGGGATAAGTGTGATGTGGTACTGAGAAGAATGTATATTCTGTTGACTTGGGGTGGAGAGTTCTGTAGATGTGTATTAGGTCCGCTTGGTGCAGAGCTGAGTTCAATTCCTGGATATCCTTGTTAACTTTCTGTCTCATTGATCTGTCTAATGTTGATAGTGGGGTGTTAAAGTCTCCCATTATTATTGTGTGGGATTCTAAGTCTTTTTGTAGGTCTCTAAGGACTTGCTTTATGAATCTGGGTGCTCCTGTATTGGGTGCATATCTGTTTAGGATAGTTAGCTCTTCTTGTTGAATTGATCCCTTTACCATGATGTAATGGCCTTCTTTGTCTCTTTTGATCTTTGTTGGTTTAAAGTCTGTTTTATCAGAGACCAGGATTGCAACCCCTGGCTTTTTTTTGTTTTCCATTTGCTTGGTAGATCTTCCTCCATCCCTTTATTTTGAGCCTATGTGTGTCTCTCTAACTTATGTTTTAAGAAGATCTCTTTGGCAGCTGTGTGAAAAATAAGCCATAGCAGACTAGGGTGGCATCAGGGACAAGGAGTTAGGAGGATTATTGAATAATTAAAAGGACAGATGATGGCAGCTGGGACCAGGGTGGTTGCTGTAAAAGTGTTGAGAAGTAGTCAAATTCTGTCTATATTTTTGCATCTATATTTAAGAGTGAGAGTTATCTATTTATACACCCACCCGCTCACCCATCTGTCCACTGGCCTGTCACCCATCTGTCCATCCATCCATCTATCCATCTATTCTCATTGTAATGTTTAGATTTCAGCATCTGAATTTAGAAAATGTCTATTATTTTAATGCCCCAAAATTGTTGAGATAGCATGGAAATTGCATGTTCCTTGAAGTCTGAAAAACCTTGTTCAAGTGACCCTCTGTGCCCTGTACTTTTCATAGAGATAAGGCTTTGATAGGCCAGGTGCAATGGCTCATGCCTGTAATCCCAGCACTATGGGAGGCTGAGGCAGGAGGATCCCTTGAGCTCCAGAGTTTGAGACCAGCCTATGTAACATGGCGAGACCTCATCTCTACCAAACAAAAAAAAATCAGCCAGGCGTGGTGACCTGCACCTGTTGTCTCAGCTACTCTGGAGGCTGAAGTGGATCTCCTGAATTAGGGAGGTAGAGGTTGCAGAGAGCCGTGATAGTGCCACTGCACTCCACCCTGGGCAGCAGAGTGACTTTGGCTTTTATAGCTTTTTATATATCTTCCATATAAGTAGTCTGTTCAGATCTTTTATCTCTTCCTGAGTCAATGTTGGTCATTTGCATTTTTCTAGAAAGTCCATTTCTTTGATATTTAAAAAATGTATTGCTTTGAGGTTTATAATATTATAATTTTCAATGTCTCTTTATGTTTGTGGCTAAGTTCTCTTATTAGCTTTATGTAGTTGTGTTTTGTCTTTCAATGTATTAGACTAAGTAGTGGGATGTCTGTTGTATCTTTTTCCCCACAGAATAGCAGCTCTTACATAACTTTGTCTGTTTATTGTTTTACTGTTTTTCGGGTCATTTTTATTTCTTAATTTTTTTTTCTTTTTTCTGCTTTCCTTGCTTGTTCTGTTGCTGTCTCCTGATTTCTTGAATTAAATACCTAAAACACGATAACAAAAAATGAACTGAGTTTGCCTCGGACAAATGCTTTGGCCATATCTCATTAGTACTGACATGTCATGTTCTCATTATTGCTCTTTTCTTAGAACTCTGTAATTTCAGATTTTTCCCAAAAGCTATTTATTAGTGGTTTCTCTTTTCATTTCAGAATGTTTGTTTTCAGTTTAGATTTTTGGAATTAATTTCTAGTTATAATTTGTGGTCAGAATCTATGTCTTACATGATTTCTGTTTTGTTGAAATTCATCAAGCTTTTCTTTGTGGCTAAATGCATGATCAGTTTTACACATTTTCCGTGGATCTTTAAAATAGAAAGTGTATTCTTTGTTGAGTACCATGTTCAGTTTGTAGTTATTAGATCAACTTTATAATAGTATTCAGCATTTCAGTATTATACTTTTATCCTTGATTTATATGTCAAGAAATAAGGCCACCCTCAATGTGAAGCAACAAGGATGAAGATTTTTATGATGATCCACTTAATATATCTATTTTTTCTTCCTTTTTTTTTTAAAAAAACCACAAAACAACAACAACAAAACAGAGAAAGAAGTAGTAAGGTCAGGTGTAATGGCTCACCTCTGTAATCCCAGCACTTTGTGAGGCTGAGATGGCAGGATTGCTTGCGCCCAGGAGTTTGAGATTAGCCTGTGCAACATAGCAAGACCCTGTCTACATTTAAAAAAAAAGTAAGACAGATATATGTAAGCCATCCGTATTTGTTGTGTTGTTTATTTACCTTTTTTACTTTATGTATTTTATTTGAAATATTTTCATGACTTTTAATAACTTTTTTGATAGCTTCATTAACATAAAATATCCCTTTGTTACATAATTTTCCCTTTTAATATGGTTTTTGCCTTGGATTCTATTTGGACTGATATTAATATTGTAATCACTGCTTTCTTTTTTTTTTCTGACATAGTTTATGTATATATAAGACTCCATCATTTGGCTGAACAATGAAACTTTAGCTTCATTAAAAATCAATTGAGGTGGTCTCTCAGCCAAGGAAGACGTTGGTGCTGAGGTTGATATTCCTATCAAGAACAGTAACTGCCATGGCGTCCAGTGTTTTGATGAAACCTCGAACACATGGCTGGAAGGTTTCATGTTGTTGGAGCATTTGTTGTATCCCTGGGGGGTTGCAGCTCTCTAAGTTTGCTGTGGCTAAACAAAAAAGACATACACAGATTTCTACAGAAATTGTGAGTCCATGAAAGATTTTGAGATGAGGAAGGTTTGTATCTTTCAGAGTACAAAGTGATTTTGGAACATAACGAATTTCTTTGGACTGTATTACCTAGAAGTTTGTCACCCACATGTGTTCCCGAACTATTATGAAACATGAAAATGTGGGCCAAGAAATAGTTTATCTTGATAAAGAAACAATGAACAACAACAAAATCAATTGAGATAAGTTAATATTGATAATTTGATTTTTTTCTTTAAAAATCATATGCTATGTTGCATTATGCACATAACCTACCTATTTTACATTTTCAGATTGTTATAACATGTATGTAAATTTATATGCTATAATCTCCAAATACATTTGAAGTGGAAAATATGAAAATGTAGGATAATTTTTTAAAATTGGGTGCCACAAAACACTATTTTAGTAGAGGATAATTATAAATGTTGCCTTCAATTTATTTTTCATATTAATTTCAGAAAGACCCTTCTGTGTCAACTTTTGGTGAATAAAAATGACAAGCAATCAAACAATAGCATAAGAACTCTAGATGACAATGTTTTGTCTGTAGTTAATTATCAGGTGATATAGAAAATGTTGATGAGATCAAGCCTCTCCATTATTATTGTATGGGTTGTTCTCTGCTTGTCTTCTGATGCCCCTCACTCAGATCCCTTCCTGCCCTTCTTTGACCTGCTCTGTTCCCTGGGAGGCTGGTCCCCTCAGTGCTGCCTCACCTACTCTTCCTTACTGACAGCTTCTGGTAGAACTCAGTCAATGAGAGCACAGACAGGAGCCTGTAGGGTGGGGCGGGGGGGCAAGAGAAGAAAAATGCTGGAGTATTTCTTCCCCTATATTGTGGAGCCTTTTCCTTCTTGGCTTCAGCTCTTATTGAGCAACACCATTTCCCCTCCTTCCTCCTCCGGCCTAGAGGTGGAAATGGTGCTGATCTCTGGTGGCTTCCACACCCCTCACTGGTCCCTTTAACCTTCCCCACGCCTCTGTAAATTGTGAATTATTAAAGTCTCTTTAGAGGAATCATGTAAATGGAATTCTATTTTCTCCTGGTATCCTCCAGTGCAATATAAGCCTGAGTTCTTTTTTATGAGCAAGAGAAAACAACTCAGCCTTTTAAAGGGTTAGAAGGATATCATGGTGCTGAGAATTAACGAAGCTTGACGACAAGGCTTGAGAGTGGTCAGGAGGCAAAGTGGGGTCCAAGAGCATGGCAGAAGCCATCATAAAGGCTATGGACATGCGCTATGGATATGTTTGGGTCACGTGCTTCCGCCTCAGATCATCCTGAACCCACCCAGAATAATTTTATCCCTGACTTAGCATTTAAAGTCCAAGGAGAGGCCAGTAATGTCTCCTTCTCCTGGTTGTTGTGGGGAGGATGGAGAGGGGATCTGGGTTATTTGGCTTCTGAAATACGAGGTGTCCACAGAAAAATTGGACCAAGAGGATGGAGAGGTGGATTCCAAACAGACAGAAATGACTAATGCCCACTGTAGATACTATCTTTAAAGGCATCTTAACATTTAACACATACTATTATATTCATGCCTATTCTAATACCTTAGGGACTTAAAGGGTGGTCAGGTTAATTGACTTCTCTTAATTATGCAATTATTTGCTCATTTATTTATTGATCTCTCCTTTTCTGTGTCTGCAGTTGAACAAGAACTGCTGGTTAAGTTATCCAGGATGTGTTCCATAGATTTTATTTCTGTCAACCCAGTATATATGTTCAAGTAAAGCAAATATACCCATGGCAAGAAGTTTAGAATCTGTGAATCAGATTCACATATAAATATGCTATCATCAGCCTTTTCCAAGAAACAATATTGTCAGAGTTTGCTGATAACCCTCACAAATGAATTTGTTCTTGGTTATCAGGATAGTAAGTCCATACTGAAAATCAATGTTAATTCAAGAATTCTCAGCTCAAATGCAGCTTGTTCTGAGCTCTAGGAATTGTGCAGGAGAGGGAGAAAGGGATGATTTGTGATCTGAGGAATATGCTTTGACAGCCCAAACCCCAACACATTCAAAAATTTCCACAGGGGCTTTAAAGGTGACCTTGATGAGGAAGGGAAAGCAATCTTTACCTGGTGAAGGCAGAGTAAGAAACACTGCCTAGAAAGATACACACATGCAAATTAAGGTGAAAAGAATTCTGGATTTTACCAGTTGAGAGCTGTGGGATTTTGGAAATACAGTTTAAAAGGCTGGCACCTCCACATAAATAATGGAGAACCTGGAGACTAGCTATCAGACGGTGGCATCTGCCCATAAACGTCCAAGAGCAATGAGAAGATTCAGCTATGGTAAAAGAGAGCACTGGCCCCTGCTGCCCTAAAGCTAAGGACTGTCATTGAAACAACACTCCAAAGGGCTTCTTGGAAGCTGCCTCTGGAGCTGGTCCACAGGGTATAATTATGAGATTCCTGAGCTCCCATGCCACTGTTAACTAGAAATAAAGGTCATCTGACTTATAGTTCAGCTAGAAATCCCTGTCCTGAGTTAAGTCTGAAAATACAAAAGTAGAGGCCTTGTACTTTAATTCACAGACTTTTTCCTTAAAAGGAAGTGCTGGTAGAAATCATGCCACCTCTTCATTGTTTAGTGTGTATAGAAATAAAATGCTAGGTATTTAAAAGTAGCAAAAGAAAATCTCAAGTTTTGTTCAAAATAGAACACATAGGTTCTAAACTATAAAGTCATAGTAAACTGATGCTTATTTCTTTAACGTTAAAAATACTTGTTAAAATACTTGCTAATAATTACGACCTCATTAACCAAGCAGTATTAAGGGACAAAATGGGACACAATGCTCCTGGAATTAGTTAGAAATTGAGTTTAGATACATATAAAAAGCTGTGTTTCATTTTCAAAATGAAAGATGATATGGATTCTTGCTTTCCTAGTTTTTAAAAGAAAGTATTAGATCAAACATGAAGACAGATTGATCTTGGGAGTATTTCTAACTTAAGAAATCAAAATCCATGTTCTCTCAAAATTGATATGAGTTTCAAGGATGGTTTTTTTGTTCAAAGACTCTTTTAACATATTTTGGGCCTATTAGAATTTTTTTTTTTTTTGAGTCAGTCTGGCTCTGTCACCCAGGCTGGAGTACAATGGTGCAATCAGTTCACTACAGCCTTGAATTGCTCAGTGCAGCCTTGAACTCATGGGTTCAAGCTATCCTTCTGTCTCAGCCTGCAGAGTAGCTGGGACTACCAACATGTGCTCCACTGTGCCTGGCTAATTTTTAAATAATTTTGTGGAAATGAGGTCTTGTTATATTGCCCAGGCTGGTCACAAACTGTTACAAATATTATAAACTATCACAGATATATGTCTATTTAGTGCAATCCATGTGTATCACAGTGTTCTAAGCCATTAAATTGGAAGACATGAGCCCTGGTCCCAAGGGACTCACAATATTAAAATCATAGATTACAGATGAGCCAATCTCTGAGCTATGGAGGACGAAGAGTCCCTGGTCAGGAAGCTCAGGTCCTGACTTTACCAACAGTTCTTTAGAACCTTGTTGAAATTAACTAAATGTTTAGTATTTCCATTTCCTCATACTTCAAATGTAGGATAATATCTGCCCTTCTTATCTCATGGGTCCCTGACCTAAGAACATAAGATAATGACTATAAACATTCCAAAAAATCCTAACACATTATTGTTATCTATACTAGACTCAAAACTGCAAAAGGATTTGTGTTTCCTTTTAAATAGCTTTAAGAAGCATCATTAACATTTGTACAACACTGAGAATCTCTTTGCACCCCAAGTTACAGAACTGTGTATTTAGCTACAATTTGGGCTGTGACTTAAGTGGAAGATATAGGTTACACCTCCTCTAACTAGAAGCAAAATGCAAATATTTTGAAGATTTTTTTTTTTTCTGACGCAGAAGTGTGGAAATAAGCAAATTGCAAAAGAAAGAGGAACATTATACTTAAGTCCTGAAATCTAAAAAATTTCAGTTTAGGGCTTTTTAAAAATAATTGGTAAAGTTCCAGGGTTAACCTACTTTGTTGAACCTTTGGGCTGTCCAGTGTGGAGCAAAATTCTTTAGGGATACAATGATACTTGAAAAAAATATTTGAAATATATAAGCCAGGCCGGGCACGGTGGTTCACGCCTGTAATCCCAGCACTTTAGGAGTCGGAGGCTGGAGGATCACGAGGTCAAGAGATCGAGACCATCCTGGCTAACACGGTGAAACCCCGCCTCTACTAAAAATACAAAAAATGAGCCGGGCGCGGTGGCGGGCGCCTGTAGTCCCAGCTACTCAGGAGGCTGAGGCAGGAGAACGGCGTGAACCCGGGAGGCGGAGCTTGCAGTGAGCCGAGATCGTGCCACTGCACTCCAGCCTGGACGACAGAGTGAGACTCCATATCAAAAAAAAAAAAAAAAAAAAAAAAAAAATATATATATATATATATATATATATATGTATATATATATATATGTATATATATATATATGTATATATATATGTATATATATATATGTATATATATATGTATATATATATATATGTATATATATATATGTATATATATATATATATGCTATCACTCACTTATAAAAAAGTATAGAGATCTGAGTAGATACATTAAAGATAGAAGATACTGGTTTTCATTCTAGGTTCATTCATTATAAAATGAAACCTTGACACATGTAAAAAACTTGATTCCCACAACTGTTAAAGGTGTTTTGTGCCACTGCTTCTGATCTTCTTACTGCTCTCCTGGCCTCCCCTAGCGTGTCTGAGTTTCTGTCACTGAGACCAGCTCTGTTTTCAAGTATTTCACATTTAACCTTCCCAGGAGAGGATTGGTTGGGTTCATCAGTCTATTCAGTATTCAGTACCCTGTAAGGTCTCAAAATAGGTCACTTCAGAGGTTACTGGCCAGGCAACTGCTGTTTCAATTAGTTGTGGCTGTGGTGTTGGGGTCATATGATGCAAAGCGCATCCCAAGAGGAGGGTTTCCATGCATGCCCATTTTATATAGGAAGTACAGGAAACATTGGTGGAAGAGTGGTGAAGTGGGATAGGAAAGATCACCAGCAAAGGGTGCATTATCAAGCACCTATAATCAAGCACTGGGTGGCTGGAGTTTAATCCATGGGGAAATCTTGGGAAATGGCATAAAACATTTCCCAGGGTTATCCTAATGAAAGGCAAGAGAGCTGGAATATTGATATACCAACTCCTCTTAATCATTGGTTAAGAACAGCTGAGAGGGAGGTAGAAGAGGGGTGTTCATTCTTGCAGACTGCATTGTTCACACCTTCAGGTAAAGGGATGAAGTTCAACTGGCAGCTGAAAGTGCTGGAGCTCATAGAAATGGTCAGGCCTGAAGGATGGGGGCAGGGTGCCACTGCATTAACTACACATGGTAACTCCAGGTAAAATCGCTCACAGCCAATTTACCAACAGGCTTCTCATATATAGGCTTTGTGGAACAGCCAATACCATTTTTATTAGAACAGTAATTCAACTTAAATTTTAAAATCAACTTAAAGAAACAACACATTTTTGTTTTGACTTTGGGACAACCTTATAAATGCCTAAAACTCTTTTTTTATATTGAATTTAGATTTTTGTACATAAGCTGATAAACGAATATTAATCTTTTCTGTGGTGAAACTGGGTGTTAATTTTTCAGTTTTGTCAGTGTCAACCTAAATAACAAAAACTGAAAGAAAATAGTGTTTATTTGGGAATAAGCATTGCGATGGGAATAGATGTGCCGTAGTAAACTATGTATTCAGGGGGGTAAAGGAAGGCAAAGGTTTTTAAAGAAAACGAGGAGGATTACATAATTGTTTTGAGATAATTATCCTTGGCTACAAGGATCAATAACAAGAGTGGCATCTGTCCAAGTTTAAATAGGCAGTTGCTGGGCAGACGTCCTCACAGAAGTGTGTTTTTGTGTAAGGCTTTGATGGCCTTTTTGCAAGGTTGTGGTTTTTGTAGTCTTTTGTGATAGCTTTTGTTATCTAGCATATGTGTGTGGGAACCCTCCCTTCATGTCCTTCCCCAGATCTGTTTTTCAGTTTGTTTTTAACATGAGTGACTCCATTTTTATTCTGACAACTTTTTATAGTGGTATCAACATCTTTGTCAGTTATTTGAATTAGGCAATTAGTTGCATATTTTATTTTAATTTTTGTCCCAATCTTAATGAAAAATAGAAGTGCTAATATCAATCATTGAACTTTTTATATGCTTAATAATGACAAAGATGAAAACCATAAAGCTTGCCAAAAACCTGAATTCTTTTTTTTTTTTTTTTTTGAGTCTTTGAGTTGTGCTCCATCACTCAGGCTGGAGTGCAATGGTGTGCTCTCCGCTCACGGCAACCTCCGCCTCCCTGGTTCAAGCGATTCTCATGCCTCAGCCTCCTGAGTAAATTCTTTAGTCTATTTGAACTCAAGCTTTGTTTTCAATTTTAAGAACAAAATTAACAAGAACAAAACAAGATTATGATTTGAACATGAAGTAAGACTAGGACTTTGACAGTTTGTTTTGTTTTATTGATTTTAGAGACAGGGTCTTGCTCTTGTCATCTAGGCTGGAGTGCAGTGGTACAATCATAGTTCACTGTAACCTGGAACTCCTGGGCTCAAGTCATCCTCCTGCCTCAACCTCTGGAGTAGCTGGGACTACAGGAACCCACCACTATGCCTGGCTTTTGTATTTTTTTAATTTCTGAGAATTGGCATCCTTTAAGACGTATAAGTCTGCTGATTTAATATTACATTTTCAACTTTTGTGCATGTATCTGGAATACTTTATGTACAGAAATTGGAGACTGCATAGCAGAACTACTTTATGTAAACATTGAAATAATTGAAAATGTCATCTTAGTAAAGTTGAGCCCTGGTAGAGATGGAGTTGTGCCTGGCCAAGTGACTATCTGTTTGAACCTCCCATCAGGATCTGAGTTCTGTCAGTCCTACAAGGTCATAAGGCCAGGCAGGCCCAGTCACCATCCAGTATAGATGGCAGTGATACATTTGGGGCTGAGCACAAGCAGGACCAGAAGCAGCACAAGCAAGCTGTGTGAGTATAGCTCTCAGACCCCATGTCAGAGAAACATCTTAGCTGACGTCCGTGTTCATAAGGATAGTCATTACAAGTAGCCGATGGAAGAGGAAATAACCTAAACACGATTTATGGGTGAATCTGACCAATTTGTGGTACAAACCATAACTCAAGTGTGACTTTGAAAGACTATTGTGTATAGCAAATCCTCCCAGTAAGCCAGCTGCTTGTGGGTGATGCAGGATATAATTCTTTGGCTATGAACTCATAGCGACAGAAGACTTGTATCTTCTTTGCTGAGAAGTGGGTCCTCTGGTCTGTGTGGGATCCTGTGCTAGTGGATCCGACACTCTGTTAACTCCCTGGATAGTGGTGCTGGCTGAGGTCTTGCAGGCAAGAAAGGCAAATACGTATCTGGAGTATGTGTCTATTTTGGGAGAACAAATCTCTGACCCTTCCAGGATGGCAGGGGTCCAAGAAGTGAGGTTGCTGATGTCAGATGTCCAGGTTATTCTACATGGTTGGTTAGTGTCTGTTCTATGGTGGATGGTCTCTGGTGGGTGCTCTCATGTGATATATAGATCTTCATACTTTGTGCCCATGCCCATATCTATTCACATGCTTCTATCTTAGAATTTATTGCACTTAATCTTCCAATTTCCCTTTTACAGGTCTCTGACCACTTTTTTTTTTTTCTATTGGCCAAAAGAGCTAGGCCATTTGCCACTGCCTCTGAATCATATACCTTCAAACCGTGGGACAGTTCTCTTTCTACCCAAAGTGGATATAACCAGGTACCATGAGCATTTGTGTATGTTTACATTCCTATGTTGTCATTTCCCTTGAGTAAATATCTAAAAGTGGAATTTCTGGGTCAGATGGTAAGTGTATGTTTAACTCTAAGAAACTGCCAAAGTGTTTCCAGAATGGCTATAGCATTTTGCATTCTCACCAGCAAAGTATGAGAATTATATGCCAACGCTTATTTTTTTTTTAGTCTTTTTAATTTTAGTCATTTTAATTTGGATGTGTCCTAGCATCTCATTATGATTCTAATTTGCATTTCCCTGGAAACTAATGATGTTGACTAATTCATGTGCTTAATGTCCATTTATATATCTGCTTTTTGAAGTAGCTGTTCAAGTCTTTTGCCCATTAAACAATTGGATTACATTTTAAAAATTGAGTTATGAGATATTTTTATATATTTTAGATATAAGACCTTTTTCAGGTGAATGTATTGCAAATATTTTTCCCAGTCTGTGACTTGCTTTTTTATTTTTTAATAGTATCTCTCAAAGAGCAAAAGTTTTAATTTTGATGAATTTCAGTTTATCAAGTTTTTCTTTTATGATTTTTGTGTCCTAAGAAATCTCTGCTTAGCCCAAGGTTGTGAAGATTTTATGTTTTCACCTAGAAGTTTAATAATTTTAGCTTTTATGTTTTGGTCTATGATCCATTTAGAGATTTTTGTGTGGGGGTGTATTGTGTGAAGAAATACCAAGATCGATTTTTCTTTATATGGATATCCAGTTGTTCCAGCACCATTTGTTGAAAAGACTATCCTTTTCACATTGAGTTACCTTGGCACCTTTGTCAAAAATCAATTCTCTATGTATGCGTGGGTCTATTTCTGGACACACTATTCTGTTTCAGTTATTTATATGTCTCTTCTTATGCAATGATACCCAGTAGCAACATTTATACTTAACATCCCCATCTTGGTTTCTAAGTACCTTTGAGCTGAAAGAAATCATGGCTGATTCTCAGGTATGTGACATAGGAAGTACAACATGAACCTGGGATGTCTTATACCCAAAAGCAAGGAAGTAAAAAAAAGACCAATGCACATGACAGACAGATTGAAGATGCTCCCACTGGCCAAATTTGGGACAATTTTAACATTAAAAAGATCATCAACTGTAACTGATCATAACCCTTAAATCCACAGTGAGGGGGAGAGTAAGGGAGAGAGAGAATGTCTCAGTGCCACATTGAAGGTGACTTTTACATCAAATCCTCATTCTGAAAATCTGTAATTAAAGGGAAATAATTATTTACCATATCTTTTTAGAAGATGACAAGAAAAAAGTCTTCTTTATAGAAGAATAACAGCTAATGTAGAAGAAATGAAAGAATTAGAAAACCATCCTTTTGCAATTCCCAGCGAAATAATTGATTTATGGAAGAATGATCTGTGGATGCTAAAGGCTAAAATCATTAGGAGAGAAATAGTTGTAGAGAAAGGACTATCTCATGGCACCAAAACACCTTCTCACTAATTGCTAAGGGAAACAGAAAACTATAATAAAGGAATTTGATCATCAACACTTAAATGAATTACCTTCACATGATGTCTTTTTTTTAGCAAGAGGATCTATTCCAGGATTAGGTGTTGAACCCAGTGATCATGTTTTCTCAGTCTCCCTAATCTAGAATGCTTTCAACTGCCTTTCCTTGAGTTCCATGCCATTGATATGTTTGAAGATTACAGGGCATTTCTTTTTTAGAATAGGCCTCAATTTGGGTTTGTCCAGCATTTCTTCATGATTGAATCCAGGTTATGCATCATTAGTAGGAGTATCACAGAAGTCAGGCTGCGTTTTCCTCGCTGTATGCTATCTTTGTCACATGAAATCAGTTTGTACTGTTACTCATGGCCTTAACTTTGAGTACTTAAGAGGTGTCTGCTACTATATAGCTCTACTATCAAGTTACTTTTCTTTCTTTTTGTAATTAATAAGTACTTTGTGAGGAGAAACTTTTCAGGTATGTAAGCATTACATTTCTTATCCTATTTTCACCCACTAGTTTTTAGCATCCATTGATATTTATCTGCGTTATTACTCTGAAGATGGCCAAATGATTTTCTGTTTCCATAATTTCTTCTATAATTTATTTTCTGACTTTCTATAGTAAGAAAAATCTCTCTTCCTATTTATTTATTCACTTATTTATATCAGTGTGTACTCAAGAACTTTCATTCATGGATTATAATTACCACCATTTTTATTTATTTTGATGCTCCCATTGGCCCAGATTTTCATATTGGAAACCTCTTCAAGCTTCCTCTGTGTCCCTTTGACACATCCCCTAATTATTTGAACATTTTCTGGCATAGCAGGATGTTTTAGGCTCATCTTCTACCTTTCCTGCCTAGCCCTGGAATTGGCCATTTCTCCAAGAAGTCCTGATTCCTTTAGCAGAGAGTGGTGTTTGGGAGATTTGGGGCAAGTGTGCTCATGATTACTGGGGTATGGCTGCTCCCAGACCCTCTCGGTGGGAGCAGCACTAGGTGTACAGACAAATCATATTCATTTCTATCTCTTCCTGAGTTGCATAGCTCCAGTTCCAGTTCAGTACTACAGGATTTATTCCACTTTCATCTTTTCCCTGTTTGTATTTCTTCTCTTCGTTTATGAGAAACCTATCACTCATTATTCTTAGAAAATTTACTTATTTGTCCAGTCACCTTTATGGACAAGCTAATTTCCCCATCCTGCCAGGCTGTCCCTGCTGTCTGATTTTGACATTGTCCTTGAGTGGGACACAGGTATTGGCTTGCACTGAAATGTCCCTCCTCCACATTCTAATGCTGTTCTCATTATTACCAGCTACCACTGGGCTTCCCCTGATGTGTCACTCCAGTGCTGCTCTCACGCAGGCTGTCTTTATCCATCTTGTTTCTTATGGTAATAGAGATAATCCTAGTGATTCTTCATTAAGCTGAATTCTAGTGATTCTTCTAATGATGATAGATTTTTGTTATGTGTACATAAACATATATATGTATGGGTGCGATATATCTGTATATATATATGTGAATACATACATATGTGAACCTATATCAATATTCTATCTATATAAAATTTATTTAGTTATTTATTTTTTTGAGACAGGGTCTTTCTCTGTCACCCAGGCTGGAGTGCAGTGGCATGATCTTGGCCTACTGCAGCTTCTGCCTACCAGGCTCAAGCAATCCTCCCACCTCCATCTCTTGAGTAGCTGGGGTTATAGGCATGTGCCACCACACCTGGATATTTTGTTGTATTTTTAGTAGAGAAGGGGTTTTGCCATGTTATACAGGGTAGTCTCAACCTCCTGAGCTCAAGCAATTCACCCGCCTTGGCCTCCCAAAGTGCTGGGATGACAGGCCTGAGCTACTTATACTTGGCCATATATGACTTTTAAATCAGGGAAGTATGTTCAACTTTGCAAAATGCCTTTTCATCATTTAGTGAGATGATTAAGTGGGATGTCTCCTTTAATCTATTAATACGATAAAAGATGAATAGGTGTTCTAATTTTGAACTATCTCTTGCATTCCAAGAATCTCATTTTATCATTGTGTATTAATTAATTAACTTGCTTATATTCTATGACATTCTGGCACTATTTATAAATTACATACTGGCCTTTAGTTTCCCTTTTTGTGCTATGTTAGGCTCAATGTCAGTGTCATTCTTTCCTTCTCTCTCCATGCTTAGGGATCACTTAGGATTTGAAATAATGTGTTCCTAGAAGTTTTGCATGAAATCATTAGCGAGACTGAAGGGGCCTTGTGTTCTTGTGAGGGGTTAATCTTTGATAACCACCTCAGTTTCTTTACTGGCAATTAGTCTGTTTTTACAAATCTTATCTAAGGACAATTCTGATAATTCGTATTTCCCTAGAAACTGACTTATCTAGATTTTCAGGTATATTTGCAGAATTTTGTGTAAAGCATTTTCTTACAATTATTTTGGTTTCCTTTTAACCCATTATAATTGCTGGGTTTATGTGTTTGTTTTCCTTACATTTCCTTTAAAAAGTGAGACAACCTGTCATTTTATCCATTTTTGTGGATATTTTTCAGGAGATCAGTTTGTATGTTTATTGCTTCTATATTTTTTATTTCCAAATCATTAATATCTGCTTTTGTCTTTAATTCATTTTTTAAATTTTCCCTGGATTTTTTTCTTATTCATTTTTCTTACCTCTTGCTTTAAATATAAACTCATTTATTTTCTTTTTTCTTATTTAATAATTTGGTTAAGTCTCTGAATTTTTCTTCAAAGCACTGATTTTAGCCATAACACATGGATTCTGATGTGTAGTTGTTTTTATTGCTGTTATTTTCTAAACATCCTTCAATTTCACTTACCATTGCCTTTAAGTCAACTTTTTAAATAGTCTTAATTTTTAGGCAGTTGGGGATTTTTTCTATTTAAAAAATCAATTCTACTTTTTTGTATTATATCTTGAGAATATGATCTGCCCTATTTCTACTTGAATGTATTGGGAGTATTTTGTGGTTCAACGTATACTGAAGGTTTGGGGATATTCTTTGGCAATCAAAGATGAAATAGTCTTTGTTTTCAGGACGAAGTGTGTGATACAGAGCTTTTTAGAGAGACTTTATGAATTACAGAATCTGATCTTATATCTGTACTTTAAAAAAATTTTTTTTTTTTACTATTTTCTTGTACTGTCGTTGGTCAAAAGAATGAGTAAACCTTCCCTGATACTTCTGTAGTTTTATTTCTCCTTGTATTTTATGCTGTTTTTGCTTTAAGAATTTTCACTCCAGGGCCTTTGGTATTAATGATCTCTGACAGATCTTTATTGTAGATTGACTCTTTATCTTTATGAAGTGAACTTATTCATCTTTAGCGTGTTTTGCCATGAATTCAACTTTGCTTGATACTAAAAATGTAATTATTCTGTTAGGTGGTTTTTTTGGGTAATCGTCTCATATATGTGCCCAGTATTTAATTTTGCTCAACATGTATCTCTTGCATGCAACAAATAGTTGAGTTTGGTTTTTGAAACCTACCTAAGAATTTTTTCTTTTAATGAGTGGCTGCTGTGATTTGAACAATGATATCACTCCAAAATTCATGTTGAAACTTAACCCCAATGTAACAGCATTAAGAGGTGTGGCCTTAATGCTGTTAAAATGTGGCATTAAGAGACAATTAAGTCATGATGGCTCTACCCTCATGAAGCGGATCAGGTGCCCTTGTAAAAGGCCTTGAGTAAGTGAGTTTGGTTTTCTTGCTCTTCTGTCTCCTACCATGTGAGGATGCAGCAACAAGGAGGTGCCATCTTGGAAACGGAGAGCAGCCTTCACCAGACCCAATGTCAGCACCTTGATCTTGGGCTTCCCAGCCTCCAGAACTATAAGAAATCAATTTATATTCTAAGTTACCCAGTCTAAGGTATTTTTGTTATAGAAGCACAAATGGACTAAGACAATGGCTTTATCTCATTTATATATGTTAATATACAGCTATGTTTGTTCTCAGTTCTCTTTTGTGATTTCTGCCATTACTGCTTTATTTTCTATTTTGCTAAATAATTTATATTTTATTGTATGTGTGTTTTCTTATAGTTCAGAAGATTTATAATGTGCTTTTTGGCCTCTTATTGCTTATTTTATAACTTTAAATGATATATTTAAGCTTACATATTTTGATTTATCAACTATTGAGAGTACCTATTGACTCTGCTATGAATAAGAAAATTTATGTTCACTTCCACACACTTCTCATTCAACTTCTAATTTTAATTATTTTAATTCTTCTTTTTTATAATTTACATGATTATATACATTTCTTTTTTATGAGAATTGCAACCTTAAAATTTAATTCATAGTTGTGGCTGATTATTTTTAAAGGCTTAGTGGTTTTTTTCTTTTTTCTTTTTTTTTTTTTTTTTTAACAGTTTTAGATTCACAGCAAAATTGAGAGGAAGGTACAGAGACATTCCATGTATCCTGTGTCCCCACACATGCATCATCTCCCCCATTATCAATTTCCCCCCCAGAGTGGTGGTACATTTGTTACAATTGATGGGCCCACATTGACACTTCATTACAGCCAAAGTCCATAGTTTACATTACGGTTCACTTTTGGTATTACATGTTCTATAGGTTTGGACAAAATTATAATGACATATATCACCATTATAGTATCATACAAAGTATTTTTTCTGCCCTAAACATCCTCTGTGCTCTTGCTGTTTAGTCCTTCTTTATCTCTTAACCCCTCGCAACCACTGATCTTTTTATTCTTTCCATAGTTTTGCCTTTTCCAGAATGTCATATAATTGGAATCATAACAGTATGTAGCCTTTTCAGATTGGCTTCTTTCACTTAGTATTATGTAGTTTAATGTTTTCTCCATGTCTTTTCATGGCTTAATAGCTTATTTCTTTTAAGCACTGAATAATATTTCATTGTCTGAATGTACTATAGTTTATTAATTCACCTACTGAAGGACATCTTGATTGCTTCCAAGTTTTTGCAGTTATCAATAAAGCTGCTAATAAGCATTCATATGCAGTTTTTTGTATGGAAGGAAGTTTTCAGATCTTTTGGTTAAATACCAAGGAGTGCAACTACGAGATCATATGGCAAAAGTATGTTTAGTTTTGTAAGGAACCACTAAACTGACTTCCAAAGTGGCTGTACCATTTTGTATTTTTACCAGCAATGAGAGTTCCAGATCCCGCAACTTGTTGCTTCACATCTTCACCAGTGTTCGGGATTGTCAGTGTTCCGGATTTTGGCAGTTCTAATAGATGTATAGAGGTACCTCGTTTGTTTGTTTGAGACAGTCTTGCTCTGTCGCCCAGGCTGGAGTGGAGTGGTGTGATCTCGGTTCACCGCAACCTCTGCCTCCCGGGTTCGAGTGATTCTCCTGCCTCAGCTTCCCCAGTAGCTGGGATTATAAGTGTGCGCCACCAAGCCCAGCTAATTTTTTTTTTTTTTTGTATTTTCAGTAGAGACAGGGTTTTTCCATGTTGGCCAGGCTGGTCTTGAACTCCTGACCTCAGATATTCTGCCTGCCTCAGCCTCCCAGAGTGATGGGATTATAGGCCTGAGCCACTGTGCCAGGCCCTCATTGTTGTTTAAATTTGCATTTCCCTGATGACACATGATGTGGAGGATCTTTTCATAAGCTTATTTGCCATCTGTAAACCTCCACTGATGAGGTGTGTGTTAAGGTCTTCGGCCTATTTTTAAATGAGGTGTTTGTTTTCTTTTTATTGAGTTTTAACAGATCTTTTTATGTTTTAGATAACAGTCTTTGCCAGATACATCTTTTGCAAATATTTTCTCCTAGTGTGTGGCTTGTCTTTTCCTTCTCTTGAATTTGATTTCTTTTTAAGAGTCAGATGTACTGAGGCTTAATTTACATACAGCAAAATTTATCTTTTTTGGGTATACCGTTCTATGAGTTTTGACAAGGGTATACAGTAGTATCAACACTACCACAATCAATACATAGTAGAATAATTCCATGACTGCTAAAATGCTTTCTGTAGGCCTTTGTAATAATCTCCTACTCCACCCTCAGCCTCTGACAACCACTGATCCTAATTGCCATTCTTTAAAAAAAAAGTCATTATAAATGGAGTAAAGACTACATACTATAGTCTTTATTGTGTGCTTTCTTTCATTTAGCATAATGGTTTTATGATTTATCAACACTGTTCCAAGTTTTGGTAGTTTTTTTCTGTTCTGAATGTAGATTTCATTTTATGAATATATCACAATTTGTTTATTCCCAGGTCAATAGACATCTGAATTATTTCTAGTTTGTAGGGCTTATGAATAAAGCTCCTTTGAACACTTTAATACAGATGTTCGGGTGGATATGTTTTCATTTTTTTTTGATAAATATCTAGTAGTGGATTGCTTATTGTATGTTTAACCTCATAGGAAACTGTCAAACTCTTTTTCAAAGCAGCTATAATACATATACATTTTCAACAGAAATAATATAAAAGATGCAGTTGCTTTGCTTTATTGTCAACACTCGGTATTATCAACTTTTAACATTTTAGCCACTCTAATTGGTACATTATAGTTTATTATTGAGGCTCTAATTTCAATTTCCCTAATAATAATAATTAACATATTATTATGTTTGTTTGCCATTTGAACCTTTTATTTGGCAAAGTATCTGTTCAAACTTCCTACTTATTTTTTTTTAATTGGGCTGTTTTCTTACTGCATTTTGAGAGTGCTATATATTTTCTGAGTAACAGTTTAATTTATCATTTTTAAATTTTGTTGTTTGTACTTTTGTGTCTTAAGAAATTTTGCTAGCTCAGTGTTACAAAAATTTTATTTAGATCAAAGATTCATTTCAAGCTAATTTTTTTTTTTTTTTTTTTTGATACGGAGTCTCGTTCTGTCACCCAGGCTGGAGTGCAGTGGCGCGATCTCTGCTCACTGCAAGCTCTGCCTCTTGGGTTCACGCCATTCTCCTGCCTCAGTCTCCTGAGTAGCTGGGACTATAGGCACCCGCCACCACACCCAGCTAATTTTTTGTATTTTTAGTAGAGGTGGGGTTTCACCGTGTTAGCCAGGATGTTCTCGATCTGCTGACCTCATAATCTGCCTGCCTCGGCCTCCCAAAGTGCTGGGATTACAGGCGTGAGCCACCATGCCCGGCCACATCAATCTTTTTTCTTTTATGGTTTGTGCCTTTGAGTGCTAAGAAATACTTGTTGGCCTAATGTTCTGAAGATTTTGTCTTTCTTCTAGAAGTTTTATAGTTTCAAGTTTTACATTTGGGTCTATGATTCATTTTGAATATATATTTTTTTACTTTTTGTTTTTTAATTAAAAATTTTTCTATTTAGAGACAGGGTCTCACTCTTGCTCAGGCTGGAGTGCAGTAGTGTGATCATTAGCTCACTGCAGCCTCAAACTCCTGGGTTCAAGCAATTTTCCTGCCTTAGCTTCCTGAGTAGCTGGGACTACAGGAGCAAGCAACTATGCCTGGCTTTTTAAAAATTCTTTTCGGAGATGAGGGTCTCACTATATTGCCCAGGTTGGTCTCAAACTCCTGTGCTCAAATGAACCTCCCACCTCAGCCTCCCAAAGTGCTGGAATTACAGGCATAAGCCACTGTACTCAGTCTCATTTTGATTTTTTAAAAATACATAATTGGAGGTTTGAGTCAAGGATCAATTTTTTTTTTAACATATAAATGCCTAATTGTTACAGTCCCATTTATGGAAAAGACCATCCTTTCTTTATTGAATTACCTATGTACTTTATCAATACCAAATAGACCAATACATGAGTCTATTTCTGGGCTTCTGTTTTGTATCTTTTTGTATCTTTTTGCCAAGACCACACTTCCTGCATTATGATAGCTTTATAAATCTTGAAATCAGATAGTGTAAGTCCCTCAACTTTGTTTTTCTTTTTCAAAATCATTTTGGCAATTCTGGGACTTGATTTTTCCTATAAATTTTAGACTCAACTTGTCAATTTTTATAAAAATAACTTCCGGAATTTTCATTGGGAATTACATTGAATCTACAGAGGAATTTTGGCAGAATTGACATCTTCTGATTCATGAACATGGTATATCTTACCATTTTTCTGCTCTTTGATTTATTTCATCAAGATTTTATAGTTTTTAGCTTTTTGCTGATTATGGAAGATTATATAGACTTGAAGTAAAAACATTTGTTTCTTCCTTTCCAATCTGTATGCTTTATATTTCTTCCCCCTGCTTTATTGCTCTGGCTAGAATCCTCAACACCATATTCTGCAGTAGTGATGAAAATGGACTTCCTTGATTCATTCCTGATCTTTGGGAAAAACATTCAGACTTTCATCACTAAGTATGATACTTGTAGACTTCACTGAGATATATATATATATATATATATATATATATTTTTTTTTTTTTTTAATTAAACAAGTTTCTGGGTACATGTGATAACTTAATACATTTTATAATTTGTAAAGATCAAATCAGTGTACTTGAGATATCCATCACCACGTACTCTCTTTTTATAATGGTAGAAGTATCCAAATTCTTCTAGCTATTGACTTAATTGATTTTAAAATAATATTAATTGACCATGTCCTTTTTTATGAAACATGATCCCATCTCTACCCATCAACTTCTAGATTTTTTTAAGTAACATTTTTATATTGCTTTGGTTTATAATGTTTACATTTTATTTTGTAACTTCATTCTTGTTTAATCTTAATTCTACATTTGAGTCAATTTAAAGATCATTGCCAGTACTTTAGCCACATTTTCTCCACTCTTCTCTTGGCCAGTGAAGTTCTTCTTCAAAGTTATTTCAGAGGATGTGGGTAAACTATATTCCTAAATTTTTGCATGTTTAAAAATAGCGATTCTTATATTTGAATGTTTAGCTGGATTTTTCCCTATAATCTTGTATGCATTTCTCCATTATTTTCTAGAGTTGAGTACTGCTGTGGAGAAATCCAAAGCTAGCTTATTTTTTAATCCTTTAGTTGACATTCTTATTCTTAGGCCTGGGTTCTCACAAGATTATCTTTTTGATCATTTAAGTTTAAATAGTTAACTTAGAATAGTGCCTAGGATTTAATTATCGCACAGTAAATATTAGCTATGAACCTTGACTTTATTTTCTTTTAAAAATTTTAAATTATAAGTGCATAATAGTTGTACATATTTATGGGGTACATGTGATATTTTGATAGAAGCATACAATGTGTAATGATATCAGGATAATTGGGCTATTCATAGCCTCAAGCATTTATTATTTCTGTTAGTAACATCCTAATTCAATTCTCTTAGTTATTTTTAAGTATACAATAAATTATTGTTCACTATAGTCACCCTACTGGAGGCTGAGAAGGGGAGTGAGTGGGGGGGGTATAAGGAAGGATGGTTAATAGGTACAAAACATAGATAGAAGAAACACTTCGACTTTCTGTTGTATAAAGAGTCTTGTTTTAAGTTATCTTATTTAATAAAGAACTTCTTGTTTCATGGTAAAGAAAAAACATTGTGCATGTGTATGCATGTGTTCCTCATTTGTTTTCTGTCAGCTCTTTTTCTTGAAGTATTGTGTAGATTCTAAGCTGATCCTGTTTGTGAAAACTACTGATTTCTAAATGAGGGAAATTCTTCCTGGACTGGCTATTTCAAGCTAAATGTGGGGGAAGAGCCAGGGGACTGAGCTAAGGTAGCAGTAGTTTGAGAAATCTTAGTCTTCCGATCCTCTCTCCTTAGCACACTGGCTTATGAACTTGGACTGTCTCTGGGATGGTGTGATTTCTCCCCAGCTTACAGTGAAGTCTTGTACCATATAGGACATGTAGTGTATGTGTGTGTGTGTGTGTGTGCACGCATGCATGTGTGATTTAGATTTCCATTTCCTCCATATTCTTGACTCTGTAAGCACTGTTAAGTCTCCTTTTTCCTGTTTATTTACTGTTTTCTTTTTCATCTGCTCACTTTGCATGTCTTTCCATAGTGTAATTGCTTTTCTTTGTTTGCTTTTTTCCTTTTCATTGGCTGCAGAATTCCATTTCTTATTACCGTTCATCTTTGAATGAAAACGATCTGCTCATAACTAGCTATGACCTCAAGAATTTGGAGGAAAGCAACCTAGAGGGTGAGCTGAGGTATCAGACAGTTTCAACTCAGAGGATTAAGTTGAAATAACAGTAGTTTGAGAAATCTTAGAGTTTATGGAAACTCTGAAAGTCTCAGAATGTCTCTTCCCCATGTTTTCAGTGTTCTCTTGTACCCTCCTTGGGTGAGCAAATGGCTTGCATTTTAATAATGGTTTTTGCATGTGATGTTTCCTTTCTTTATTTCTTCCTTTGTTTTTTAAAAATTCATTCATATTTCTCTTTGAAGAGGCACTATAACTTAGTGGTTATGAACACAAACTTTGTAGGCACTTTGTTTAGGTATGAATTTAGGTTCTGTCATTCACAAGCTGTGGCCTTGGGCAAGTCACTTAACCCCTCAATGCCTCAGTTTCCTCACCAGCAACATGGGGATGGTGACAATAATAGTACCTACCTCCTAAGGATATTAGGATCAAGTGAGTTAAAATGTGTAAAGAATTTTGAATAGTCCTGGCAAAGAGCAAACACTAGATGTTTCTAAAAATAAAGCCATCTGTGATCACCTGCTATAAAATCTGATTGCTTCTTTTTATCTCTTTTCCATGAAATCACACTGGCAGACTTCTTGTACAAATGTCATGCCGTGTCGTTTCTCATCCAGCACCACATCCCCTGTGGCTAGCAGGTTGAAGCAAGCTTCCTGAATATTTCTGAGCAAACTCTATGAATTTGCTGTTGCAACTGAAGGATCACTGATTGAGCTCTTCAGAACCATATGCTGATTTTGGGGAACTTGTTGTACTGCATACAATCTGTCATGTGGTGTCTCTCCTCCCAACCTCTTTCAATTCGGTTCAGAATCTTCTGTCTTTGGTAGCCGTTTTTCATAGTTTTTGGTTTGGGTTTGGGATTGGGATTATTTTCCAGTTTCATTGCAGATGAAGTTTTTGTCTGTTTTTATCATTCTGCTTATTGTTTAGGTTGGTTTCAGGGAGGGGAGTAGATCTTTACTAAGTCAAGTGGAACTAGAAGTTGAGTCAATTTGACTCAAACCAATTTTATTAAATCAGATTTTAAATTGCTATTCAGAAAGTATAAAACCAGCATTTATTTTCTGTAAATTAATCACTTGTTCTTTACAACTCAGAGACATGTTTCATTCTAAGTCTCTACATTTTAAAACAGTAACTGAAACTCTTTTATTAAAAAAAATACATTCATCTAGTTACAAATCAAATACAGTCAGTCCTCTGTATTGGTGGATTCTGCATGTTATGTGGAGTCAACCAACCATGGGTGAAAAATATTAGGAAAAAAACATGGTTGCATCTGTACTAAACATGTACAGAGTTTTTTCTTGGCATTATTCTCTCAACATACAGTATACCACTATTTACATAGCATTTACATTTTACTAAGTATTGTAAGTTATCTAGAGATTTATTTAGAGATGATTTAGAGTATACACGAGGATGTGCATAGGTTATGGGCAAATACTATGCCATTTGATATCATGGACTTAAGTGTCTATGGATTTTGGTAGCCAAGGAGGGTCCTGGAACCAGTTCTCCATGAATACTAAGGGGCAACTAAGACAGAAAAGCCTAAACAGCTCTCTGCCCTTCCCCTGTTTTCCGTTTCTTCAGTCCCGCTTCTCAAGAGCAATTATCTTTCACCAGTTTCTCTTTCGAGTTCTGGCAGCTAGCTTGATATATTTAAATCACCAAAAATATATATAAACATCTTTTTTATGTCGTTTAATTTTGTAACACATCAAAAAACAACAAATTGGCGTGTTGGGACATGCTCCTTGTGTAATGTCATGATTCCCTTGATAGAGTTGCACTATCTGAATTTTGCATGTAACTTCATTAACCTAGTCTCAACAAGGACTCTTTATGGTTTGCTGTTAGATTTTTCTATTTACCATCACAGAACCAATTCACTGAATCTCAGGTAAATGGGGGCAGTTTTTCCTGAAGACTGCCAGAGTAGTCTGCAAAAGCTTTGTTTCTGTTGTCATTCCCCTTATGTTTAAGTTAGACATTGCTTCCCTGCCCAGATTTGCTCAGTGTTTTCTTGAAAACACTTTAATTCAATCTTAGATTTTTTTTTTTAACCAAGTCCTTTAATTAGTCATTTGGTAGCTTTTCCTAATACAGGTTCAAGATGTTTTACCCACAATTTCAAAATTAAAGAGTTTTGTTTTTTGGTAACTCATTTGGTGGCAAAACCTGGCCTGAACTGATTTGAGGGAATATTTATCCCCGTAAGTGTCTAATTATGAGCTACTGACCCACATCCCATTGGAACTATTACATAATTTAATATGCATACATGCTCTATTGCCTTTCTAAAATCTGAAGAGTTCTGAAACATTTCTGGCCCTGAAAACTTTGAATTCAGGGATTGTTGATCTGTATCATGAGAGTAGAATGTTACTAGTACTGTAATTACATAGGCGAACCCTGTTCTCTAAATACTATCTTAAGCCAACAGTGCTGTTTGTATTTGTGTCCACTACTGTCCAGTCATAAATAATTCTAGTTATTTAAAAAGATAATTTAAGACCTTGGCTAAATGTTTTCTTGAGAATAAAAAGGCAAAGGACATTGCACTTTTATAGAAGTAGTAATGGCAAGAAGAGCTACCACTCCGGGGCTGGAAGAACAAAGGGAAGAGTTTGGAATTATTAGAACCCAGCAAAATGGAGACTCTGAAGGGCTGGGATTGAGCTTCCGAGCAGGTGGCTCTGCCTGGCTGGAGCTGGTATGTCTGAGGTGGTACAATGAGGTTTCTGGGGCCCTGCCGACAGGAAGAAAACAGTCCTTCTTCCTCCTCTAGCCTGCCAGTCTTGCTCTAGTGCCCTCCATTAACACAGGCTATCAAAGAGCTGGTTGCCAAAGGAGGAATAGTTGACAGATTTTTAGTGCCAGGATTCCAAGGCAGAGTATAGAAGGATGGGTGTAGAGCTGAGAGGCAATAGCTAAAAAAATGGGCACAGACCAGGCCGGGTGCAGTTGCTCATGCCTGTAATCCTAGCACTTTGGGAGGCCGAGGCTGGCAGATCACTTATGGTCAGGAGTTCGAGACCAGCCTGGCCAACACAGTAAAGCCTGTCTCTACTAAAAAATACAAAAATCAGCTGGGTGTGGTGGCAGGCACCTGTAATTCCAGCTACTTGGGAGGCTGAGGCACGAAAATCACTTGAACCTGGGAGGCAGGGGTTGCGGTGAGCTGAGATCACGCCACTGTACTCCAGCCTGGGTGACAGAGTCAGACTTGGTCTCAAAAGAAAAAAAAGGGCACAGTCCAGATTTTAGGCTATTCAGTATCCATATACATCTGTCTAAACATGTGAATTTTCTGACAGCAGCAATAACAAATATATCCAAGTATCCCTCATATAAAAGGTGTTTTCATTCTCTCTACAAAAGGGGACATAAAAATTCAGTATAGTCAAATTAAATCATATCTTAACATTTAATATTTAATATGGGTGACAATCATGGTATGTACCTCTTGGTGATATTAGTTACTCCTTAAATTCATTTCCATTCCTTTACAAATATTTTATAATTTAATGACTAAATTATAAATTTAATCACTACCAATATTTTTTTCACAATAATTAGGGAAAAAGAGAGGGAAAGAAAAAAATTTGTTTATATATATTACATATATAAATTTTGTTAATATATGCAAATATATATTTATATTAATATAAATATAAGTATATAAATATATATTTATATTACATAAATATAAAGTATATATATTTTTATATACACATAAATAAATATAAAATATATATTTATATTAACATAACATAATTATATAATTTATAATATAAAACACTATATTGCCTATAATACATATCATAGAAGATAAAAATATAACCTATATAATAACATAACATCAGGCAGTATATCATATTGTATTTATATAACAAGGAAGAAAATATGCATTGTTGTTGTAGTCCTAGTTTTATAAGGCTGTAGTGATATTTATAACTTCTTTCTTCTATTAAACATCTTGTGTTTTCATTGCCCCCAGCCAGCATTTCAACTGGTCTAAACCCTTTACCTGGTGGGGTGATGCAAATTTTCATTATTAAAGTGTATTTTTTGTGGTCATGCCTTCCTTCACTTGTTATACTTTTCCAATAACTTTTGCTATTGTAATGGAAGTACTAAGAGGCACCTGAAAGAATACTCTGGGTTCCATGTATATTTTCCTTTCTGCTTTCATTTTATAGCCACAACTTTGTGTTGGTACTCAGGATCAATTGCTCCAGTCAATAGTGTGGCCCCTTTCTTTGGCTTCTGATATGGTGGCACAAGGAGCTCAAAATGACCAGGTAACATTTCCAACTTCCAATTCAGTGGCATCATTGCTGTGTCTTTTGGGTGGAAGTATTCCTCTAAAACCTCCAAACCTGCAAAGTTCAAAACTGGGGGGAACAGGCATCAAATAATCTGAGTGGGTATGATATTGAAAGAAGTTAATTCTACTTCTTACCCTTTGATGATTTCTGGACCCATCTATTCTGGCTTGTGAGAAATGACACCATACTGGTCATTGATTCATGGCTTATGGTAGCCTGTAAGGGAGAAACCAAACATTTCATGATATTGTCTCATAACTGGTATTGTAACAGAATCTTCAGTAAGTCATTCACTGTTCTATCAGACTAGTCATTTCCGAGCATTACATTGCATCAGAAACACAAAATTAGGTTTATTAGGTTGTTGCAGCAAGAGAGAATGCACATATTGGGGAACCAAGGGATGTCTCACAATGGGTGAATTAGAGAAGGCATTTATGGGGTTTAGGGAGCTGGAGTTAGTCACAGGATGATGTATCAGTCCGTTCTTATACTGCTAATAAGACACACCTGAGACTGGGTAATTTATAAAGGAAGGAGGCTTAATTGACTCACAGTTCCACATGGCTGGGGAGGCCTCGTGATCATTGCTGAAGGTAAATGAGCAAAGTCATGTCTTACATGATGGCAGGCAAAAGAGCTTGTGTAGGGAAACTCCCCTTTATATAATCATCAGATCTCATAAGACTTATTCACTTTCACTAGAACAGCACGGGAAAGACCGGCCTCCATGGTCAATTACTTCCCACCCAGTTCCTCTCACAACATGTGGGAATTATGGGAGCTAAAATTCAAGATGAGATGTGGGTGGGGACACAGCCAAATCATATCAAATGGTCTTGTCAGGGATTAGTCAGAATCTATAGACCAGACAAGTTGCTGGCACAGTCATTGGCCTTGTCTCTAACATATGAGTTGAGGCAGAGTTGCCATTTGATCAGTTGGTCAGCGGTCTGTCCTTGGAACACATGAGTCTAAATGAGCTGTGTTAAGAGTATGAATTTATATTGCTTGTCTTGCATGTCACAGTTTAGGACAGTTAATCTGTTTTGTGAGTCCTAGTACAGTTTTACAAATTGTGGTCTTTGCCTCAATTCTCAGATACCCCTTCACAGCAACCAACAGGGTATATTTTTCTACTTAATCAGAATCCCTTTCTGATGGACCATTCAGGATGTGATCAATCCAGATCTATACCACTCTTTGAGGGGTCATAACTGGGTATTGAGTTTTCAATGGTAGTTGTTTTTATCTCTTTAATCATCAGGACTTCTTGTTCTCTTTGTTGGATGATCACTTGTTGAATTATGTGGCATGACAGCAGCTGTGTAGTAACAAGACTCTGGAGATCACACAGTTGGCTTCGGCAACCCAGACAAATACTAAGATAAGGATTATTAAACTTTGCAAGGTACTTCAAAATACTAGGTAAACTTCCAAATCTGGGCCATGAAGACATGTCTCATAATCTATTTGGATCTTCCTCAATCAAGTGGCTTTTCCCATTAATTTGGATATGGATTACTCCGACAGTATCTGAATAATTAGTCCCATATCTAGTTACTGTCAGGGATAAGGATCTTAAGAGTACTGTGATTGAAGGCTAGGAGTGCTTATGAACAATTAAGAACCTTAAACCAGCAAAGAGGGAAGGAAATAACCAAGAAGTAAAACTCCCAATATATACAAAGAAGTGAGAGTAAGCAAAGGTTTTTCGCATCTGGGGTTCTTGTTGTAACAGTCTTGGGTGAAGTCAGTCTACTTCAAGAACCATTGGATCTATTGAGCCATAAAATTGAAGAGGCAGAGCAGCTTGCACTGTAGACTGGACTTGCTGCAGAACCTTCTCTTACTGAGTATGCTGAAATTTACAGCCTTATAAGTTATTTGATCAGAGAAGCACACACAAATGTGATATATATTTTCCCCAAATCCAGAGAGGCCCAGAGGTTTGGCATTGAGAAAGAAAAGTTTAAAATACCAGCATAGTATTTAGTTTTCTTGAGTCTTAATACTTTCAGAGAGAGATAAGAGCTGGACTCCAAAGATATACTAGGATGCTTAAGTCTGTTGTCTTTCAGTTCTATTATAATAGCATGCTAAACAAATGGAAAAACATCTCATGCTCATTGGTAAGAAGAATCAATATCATTAAAATGGCTATCCTGCCCAAAGCAATTTACAGATTCAATGCTATTTCTATCAAACTACCAAGGACATTTTTCACAGAACTAGAAAAAGTTATTTTAAAATTTATATGGAACCAAAAAAGAGCCTGAGTAGCCAAGGCATTCCTAAGCAAAAAGAACAAAGCTGGAGGAATCACATTACCTGACTTGAAACTATACAACAAGGCTACAGTGAACAAAACAGCATGGTGCTGGTACAAAAACAGACACATAGACCAATGGAACAGAACAGAGAGCCCAGAAATAAGGCTGCACATCTATGACCATCTGATCTTTGACAAAGCTGACAAAAACAAGCAATGGGGAAAAGACTCCCTATTCAATAAATGGTGCTGGGATAACTCTGTTACCATATGCAGAAGATTGAAGCTGGACCCCCTCCTTACGCCATATACAAAAATCAAAATTAATGACATAAATGTAAAACCCAAAACTATAAAAATGCTGGAAGACAACCTATGCAACACCATCCTGGACATAGGAAGAGTCAAAGATCTCTTGACAAATCACAACAAAAGCAAAAATTGACAAATGGGATGTAATGACACTTAAGAGTTTTTGCACAGCAAAATAAACTCTCATCAGAGTAAACAGACAACTTACAGATTGGGAGAAAATATTTGCAAACTATGTATCTGACAAAGGTCAAATACCCAGCATCTATAAGGAACTTAAACAAATTTACAAGAGAAAAACAGCCCCATTAAAATGTGGGCAAAGGACATGAACAGACACATCTCAAAAGAAGACACACGTGTGGCCAACAAGCATATGAAAAACTCAGTATCACTGATCTTTAGAGAAATGCAAATCAAAACCACAGCGATACGCCATCTCACACCAGTCAGAATGGCTATGATTAAACTGTCAAAAGATAACAGATGCTGGTGAGGTTGCAGAGAAAAGGGAACCCTTATACACTGTTGGTGGGGGTATAGATTAGTTTAACCATTGTGGAAAGCAGTATGGCAATTCCTCAAAGAGCTAAAGGCAGAACTACCATTAGACCCAGCAATTCCATTACTGGGTATATACCCAGAGGAATATAAAGCATTCTACCATAAAGACGTATGTACGTGAATGTTCATTGCAGCACTGTTCACAAAGACATGGGATCACCCTAAATGCCCGTCAATTACAGACTAGATAAAGGAAACGTGGTACATGTACACCATGGAATACTATGTAGCCAAAAAGAGAACAAGATCAGGTCTTTTGTGGGAACATGGATGGAGCTGAAGGCTGTCAACCTTAGCAAACTAATGAACAGAAAACCAAATACAGTATGTTCTCACTTGTAAGTGAGAGCTTGATGAAGAGAACTTATGAACAAAAAGATGGAAACAACAGACACTGGGGTCTACTTAACGTGGGAGGGCAAGAGGAGGGAGAGCAGCGGAAAATATAACTATTGGGTAATGATTTTCATCCTGGGTGACGTAATAACATGTACCACAAACCCCCATGACATGTGTTTATGTAACAAACCTTCACATGTACCCCCAAACCTAAAAAATTTAAAAAATTGTTTTCAGCACGTTAAAACTGTACAAAGCCCTTTGAATGCATTATCTCATTTAATCCTGACCACATTTTATTGAAGTTAACTGCGCAGGATTTTCAGGTTGATCTTTAGGAATCCTTGACTGCCTCTGGAGACACAGATCCACAATTTACAAAATCAAGCTGACGGTCAATGAGAACATCAAGATTTCCTCAAGGCTGGCCTGAGACTACTTATATCAGAATTGTCTCCAGAGCTTAGGGAAAACTTCGACTCCTGGGTTTCATGCCGAAACTTCCAAATTGGTATTTCTGAGGGTAGGGTCCAGGAATCTTCAACTCATTAATCTTCCCACCTTTCAAGGGGATTCTTATGCACCTTGAAATTGGAGGGCCACTGTTCTACCTATATTCATTAATTTCAGATTTCTATTAGATACATTAACTTTTATTAAGAGACAGGTTCTCACTCTGTCCCCCAGGCTGGAGTGCAGTGGCATGATCATAGCTCCCTGCATCCTGGAGCCCCTGAGTTCAAGGGATCCTCCCACCTGAGGCTCCCAAGTACTGAGACTACAGGCAAATACCATGCTGGGCTAATTTTTAAAATATTTTCTGTAGAGATGGGATCTCATTATGTTGACCAGGCTGGTCTCAAACACCAGGTCTTGGGTGATTCTCCTGCCTTGGCTTCCCAAAGATTTGGGATTACAGGTATGAGCCACTGCACCCAACCAGATATGTTAATTTTTTAAGAAGAAATTTACTAAATAATCTAATGTGGTGCTTAAGGCAGTCTACGATATTAAGTTCATAATAAAGTCTTTGGCCTGTTGCACTTATTAATAGCATCTTAATAAAACATCTATATGAGTAAATATTTAAGATACTATGTGATAGTCCTGATATGTGAGGCTTAGGTTCCTAAAAACACCATGGACGCTTTGGGAGGCCGAGGCAGGTGGATCATTTGAGGTCAGGAGTTCGAGACCAGCCTGACCAACATGGTGGAATCCTGTCTCTACTAAAAATACAAAAATTAGCCGGGCATGGTGGCGTATGCCTGTAGTCCCTGCTACTCGGGAGGCTGAGACAGGAGAATCGCTTGAACCCGGGAGGCAGAAGTTGCAGTGAGCTGAGATCACGCCATGGCACTCCAGTCTGGGTGACAGAGCTAGACTCCGTCTCCCAAAAAAAAAAAAAAAAAAAAAACCCCGCCATGGAAGGAGAATTCACAGGCAAGAAATTTTAGAATTTACGGGAATAGAGAGGTTGATGGATTAAAATCCTAAGAAAAGCTATTCTTTTATATATTTATTTGTGTGAACACAAAATTAAAATATTAAAGATATCTGTCTAAACGGACTATCATTGGGCCTTTTGCATGCCTTATATTAGTGTATTATTCCAGATTGTCTGTTGTAAGTGGCAGAAAGCCCAATCAAACTAACTTAAAAACATCTTTTCCCCTTGGCCCATATAACCGGAAAGGCAAGTTGGTAGTCTCGGCAGGATACCGGTGCACTTGGAGACCCCCAGGAATTTGTGTCTCTCCCATATGCCCTATATTGTCCACATTTGAGACAGGTTTCACCCAGTAGTGCAAAAAGATGACCATCACTAAGTCTAGGACTAGAGCACACCGGTATGACATTTCCTGGGAAAAATCCTTCTCTTTGTTAATTCCATTGAAAATCTCATGGCTGATCATCAGAGTTCTATGCACATTGATCAGAGTGATGCAGAACTTTTAATGTTCAGGCTGAAAGTGAAGTCAGCCTCACTAGAATTTGCTCTGAGAGCGGGGGAGGATGAATTCTTAAAGGAAAACCAGGAGGCTCTTTTTAGAAGAGAAGTATGGACCATGCAAGGTGAATACCACAGCTACAGTGGGTGAACGGAGAGGCATGCAGTTGGTTTTCATTTATTCTCTTTAAGATTTTTTTCTTTTTTGAGACGGAGTCTTGCTCTGTTGCCCAGGCTGGAGTGCAGTGGTGCTATCTCAGTTCACTGCAACCTCCGCCTCCCGGGTTCAAGCAATTCTCCTCTCTCAGCCTCCCAAGTAACTGGGACTACAGGCGCCCGCCATCACACCAGGCTAATTTTTTTGTAGTTTTAGTAGAGACGGGGTTTCACCGCGTTAGCTAGGATGGTCTCGATCTCCTGACCTCGTGATCCGCCCGCCTCAGCCTTCCAAAGTGCTGGGATTACAGGCGTGAGCCACCGCGCCCGGCCCTCTTTAAGATCTTTTAAGTAAATCTTTAGAATATTCCTTCTTTAGAGTTTCAATAGGATGTTTTTGGATTGCTGCAGACAACCTTCACAAAAGAGGCTTCTGTAGCCCCCCTACCCCCTGCATCGACCTCATTCCTTTTGAATTTTTTTTTTTTTTTTTTTGAGACGGAGTTTCACTCTTGTTGCCCAGGCTGGAGTGCAATAGCGCAATCTCGGCTCACTGCAACTTCCACCTCCCAGGTTCAAGCAATTTTCTTGCCTCAGCATCCCGAGTAGCTGGGGTTACAGACATGCGTCACCACGCCTGCCTAATTTTTGTATTTTTAGTAGAGATGAGTTTTCACCATGTTGGCCAGGCTGGCCTCGAACTCCTGATCTCAAGTGATGTGCCCACCTCAGCCTCCCAAAGTGCTGGGATTACAGGCGTGAGCCAACCACGCCCGGCCTATCTTTCTAATTTTTAACTCAGTTTTGATTTTCTTCTTTCTGGGCCCAATAATGAATAACTAGAACTCTTGGGATGTAAAACCTTTGTTTAGCTTTTTTTAAAACCTTGTTGGCATAGCCAACTAAGCATATCTCATACCTGGCCATAGTACAGAGGATTATATAGATTTAGTCATGAGGAATGTGTCATCAGGTTTAAGTCTGCAGTCAGACTTGCCTGAGTTCAAATCCTGATTTTATCATTTGCTAGCTGTGACCTGGGGCACATTTTAAACCTTTCTATGACTCAGTATCTTTGTCTACAGAGTCAGTCCAATAGTGCCCTCCCAACACGTTGCTGTGAGGATGGATTAAATGATCGGATCTATGTAGTACATTGTAAAGGCTCAATGAGCATTGACAAGAGTCTTTATGCCAAAGCTTGTGAAGTCTGCTGGTTACCTTTTTACTAGTATCTCATGCCTGTCTTCCTTACAAACATAAGTGTGTAGCTTTAAGCTTGGGATTTACTATCTCTCGACATTCTTTTCTTCTTTGCAAAAATCTTCATTACAAAACTCTCTACTCCAGTTCCACCACATACTTTACCTTCCTCTCCTATTTCCAGTTCTCATGTTCCCCTCTTCTCATTACTGCCAAGAGGACTGACTCAGCACTCTCTTATATGGAACTGAAATTCTTGAAGTTGCTAAAAAAGCAACGTAAAAGAAATCCTTATGAACAAAATTTTGGTGAGGTCAACTCAAGATGGGAGAATTTGTTCTATTATATATTTAGTTCTTAGATTTCACAAACAGATCTTGACTGCTTTACATGTGTGTCGATAAGACAGTTTGAAAGATTCATTGGGAGATAGAAAGCTAAATGATGCATTGCGTCTGCCCTTAAGGAGAGGAAAATTTTGAATCTGTTTTCCATTTTTATGCACTTGACTTTAAGATGAATTAAAACTGTTATAAAATGATCTGATTTTGAACATCTTTTAAAAGTAATTTGTTGTTACTTTCTCTGCATCTAATGAATCCACTGAAGAAGATGTAAAGGATGAAGATCACAATTTTAACTGATAATTATTGTGTGCTTACTGTATGTCAAGTCCTGTTCTAGGTGCTTTATTAACACTAAATCATTTAACTTATCATTCCCATGTTGCAGATGAAGAAATCGAGTCTCAGCTTAAGTCTCATGTCTAAGGTCGTGCAATTTATACATCTGGATTTTTTGAAATGCACAGGTATTTGCTTGTTAGGCATATACTTAAAGGAAAATCAGAAAATGTAGTAAATAATGATGTGGGGTTATGATAGCTCTTTGACTTTATGAATCATTAGAGTCATCCTAAAAGATTCTTCAGTTTGAAAATTCAGTTACTTCTTATCGTCTCATAATGTATTTCTATTTTGCTTCTGTCTATCCTCTTATTCATTTGTTTATTTGCTGACTTATTCAATAAATATTTAAGTGTCTACTCTGTTGCAAATCACATAAGACTCAGGTAAATAAAAGACTCATAGTTTCTCCAGAAGAGCGTGTTTTCAATCTAGGGGTGGTCACCTTTGGGAATTGAAAGTCATCCTCTATTAAATATTTTTTTTAAATTCCATTTTTGGGTGCTATTGACAGGGAAATCTGGGGTAAGTTAAGAAGGAGCCAAAATTTTCACTAGTGATAATACTGGCAAAGTTTTCTGGGGAGAAGAAAATGTCCTTTTTTGGAGCTTTTGCTTCTTTCTCCCCACACTTTGCCCACATGCTTTAGCTATAATTTCCTGTCAAACTTACTGATGTACTAATAAATAATGAAAAGGCTGATGCTGTTAGCCATTTCAGAATTACAAAAGCTTCTTTTTCTCAATACTATTGCCAATATTTATTTCTTAGGATTGTATATTACATTCAGAAAAACAAATATCCAAAAATGTAGATCTACTTGATAATGTAAACTGTCTTATTTTTATCAATACTGTTGTATTCCTGGTTTTGACTGTTTCCATCTCACTGCTGATGGAATTCCTAGTAAAACAAAAGAAAAAGCCTTATGTTCTTAATATAATAGTAGAGGGAGCATTTCATAATTCTTTAGAAAGGCCTACAGACCTAAAAGTGAGGATGCTTTCTAATGAGGAATCTGCATCACCTGGCCCAAGATCTGGTGAACTAAAGAGTTTGGGATCTAGATAGAAGTGAAAAATATGAACTCCAGAAAAGAAAGACTCTTAAATTCTCATGATAGAACATCAGATTTTCAACTACTGCAAGACAAATTTTTACTTATTTCTGGTTTCTGGAAGCTATGTTAAATTAGTTTGTGTTCTAAAATTTGAAAAGAATAGTCTGATTAAATTTCAAGATTACAAAATCCTCCCCAATGATATATTAAAATATGTATTTGATGTAAAATATAAATCTTTAAAATACATATTTGATTTTTTTCCCCTATAGGTAAAACACAAAAACCTAAGATGGAGAAAGGTATAATATATTCAACCTCAATTTCATGCTTCCATCTTCGTCTTTGACTGGAGGCCAGAGATTCTGAACATACTTTTTGGTTATTTCATAAGACTCACAAACCTAGTTGCAGGTGATGAAAAACTTAACACTGTTTGGCATAAGCCACTCAACTGCCTTGGGAGAGTTGGAAATTTTCCCTTTCCCAAAGCAGCAGAGCTAGTCGTTGAGAAGGAAATGAAGCACTGCTGCATATAATGTGTAAATTCTACTTCTTAGGCTTAAAAAGAATGCTTACCAATTGAAAACAGAGGCCACGTGGGGTATGACCAATGACCTTGTTCACATAAAGGTGTTAGAACTAGCAAGATTTTTCTGGCTTTTCCCCCTCTCTATATATTCATGGAGGTATGTGTGGTCAGTGATTTGGGCATCTTCAGAATTCAGGTTTCTGAGTTTCCATAGACAACCTAGTAGAGAAAATTTTGGTTCTTGATCCAGGTGTTGTTGACTTTTAGTCTAAGATATTTATGTCTCAAATAAGTAGAGCGTTTTAAAGATTTCTTCAAGGTTTTGAGAACAGGAAAGACAGAGTGCTTTTTAGCATTGAAAGATATCTTTAATTTTCTCATTTCCTGTGTCTGGTGTATTCACCTTCAATATTTCTTTCCTATCAACAAATTTCTAAACAGCTCTCCAATAGCATTCCATTTGAAATGAAATTGATTTTGTCTTGATGTAGCTAACATTAGGAGCTAAGTGCATATTTCCTGTTTAATCATTTCAACTTCATTTCCTAAAAAATGAACATACTGAGTATTTAACCTCTTTGGTGGTAGGAAAAAAAAAGTGCAGTCTTGTTGGCCCAGAGCCTAAAAACACCCAATAAGAGCTTTAAAGGCAGCAGTGTAGGAAGCAGTTAAGTATGTAATTAGAAACAAATCTAGAATCCTAAGATTTTCATTGGATAAAAACTCAGAATTTCTGGGAGTCAATCTTAAAAGGCACCTAATCCAATCACACATCTGGAGTTTAAGTCCCATCACACCCTTGCCAAGCAGTCACCCTAACATATAATGTCTTATCATGGCAGGGACGGGGAACTTAGCATACCCCAAAACAGCTCTTCCAATCATAAGGAAGGTTTTCATTATGTGGACTCAGCATCTATGTCATGGTAATTTTTACTCATTGGCTCTGGAGAAATCAATGGGGGGCACACAAAACAACATCAACATTCTATTCCACAGCTCAGTAAAATTTTAGACAGTCTGACACCTCCAATTCTATCAACAGTACCTGCATTTCAGCTCTGTACTGCACAGACTCTGATTTGTTTATGAGAGTTTGCTACTATGACACCTGATCTCAAGCCCTTGTTCAAGTTGTAGCCCGAGCAGGGCAGAGTAAATCATGACTTTCATCAGTCTTATTCACAGCAGTGAGATTCTATTAAAGTCTCAACAACAACAAAACAACCTGATTCAAAAAGTGCCAAGACATTTATCCAAAAAAGATGTACAAATGGCTAAAAAGCCATGAAAAAATGCTCAAAATCACTGGGGAAATGCAAATCAAAACTATAATGAGAAACCATCTCATACCCATTAGTATGGCTACTATCAGAAAACCCCCCAGAAAAATACCAAGTGTTGAAGATGTGGAATAATTGGAACCCTTTTGCACTGCTGATGGGAATGCAAAATGGAATAGTCACTGTGGAAACAATACAGTAGTTCCTCAAAAAATCAAATAGAATTACCATATGATTCAGCATTTCTATTTTGGGGTATATACTCAAAAGAATTAAAGCAGGATTTCAAAGATATTTGTACATCTATATTCATAATAGCTAAAATATGGAACCAGCCCAGGTGCTCGATAAACGAGTGGATAAGCAAAATGTGTATTTATATCTGAAATATCATTCAGCTTTAAAAAGGAAAAAAACTCAATATTTGCTATAACATGGATGAATCTTGAGGACGTTATGCTTAGTGAAATAAGCCAGTCACAAAAAATATACTTTATGGTTTCATTTCTATGAGATACTTAGAGTAGTCAAAATCAGAGGTACAGAAAGTAAAATGATGGTTATCAGAGGCTAGGGGGAGTAGAAATGGGGGTTCTTTAATGGATATAGAGTTTAACTTTTTCAAAATGAAGAGAACTCCAGAGATGGAGGATGGTAATGTAACACAATGTGAATGTACTTAGTGCTACTGAAGTGTATGCTTAAAAGTGGTTAAGATGGTAAATTTTGTTATGTGCATTTTACCACAATAAAAAATTGAGCAAAATAGTCTTGTGTCATAGACTACTAACTCTGTCCCACAACTGAAATCTATTGAATGTATTATCAATCTTTTTTATCCTATCTAGTAGATACTATAGCCATCAGCCCTCTTCTACACACATCACTAATAAGAAGCAACATTTCTTGTTATCTGGGCCACGGACTATTCAACTGCTTTGATGTATATGAACTCTCTTAAGCTACTGTGGAGTAGATATTACTATTGTTTCTGTTTACCAGTGTGACAATGGAGGCACTTAATGAGAGATAAAGTTACCTTGCTGAAGTTTATACAGGTCATTAGTGGAAGAACTAGAGAATGAACTAAAGCTGTCTAGTTCTATGTACCAGACATGTTATGCTTAGTTGGTTTTTCTGGATCCAGATGAAAGACTGGTCACATATTTCTATTAGAAACCAATTTATATTTGTTCATCACTCTGATCCAAATCTTTACGGATCCTCAGCTGGCATTCACTCTCACTCTAGGTTTCATGCTATTAGCAATTATGATCTTGTTTTCTAAATCTCATCCAAGACATTGATAAATGTGTAAAACTGACAGGGCCAAACTAAAAAACACCCTCTGGTGCATTATGAGAAGCCTCCCTCCAGGCTGACATCTTTGCATTAGTCAACTACTTTGGGTAGTAGTTGGGTAGTATGAAACCATGTGTGTGGCTTTATAATTATACTATTTTTCTAGCTGAAGGTTTCTCAACTTTAATGTCACAACACACTGGTGTTTTGCAATGGACTGTGAGGTATTTCATAACTAGTTTCTTTAAAAAATAGAACAGACTAAAGATTACCACCAAGTTAAAGCCATTCTCATTAACTTCCATTTTATCAAACTTTTTTGCATGTGGTATACAGGGTTAGGTGTTATAGCTGGCATGGGAATAATAGTGGGTATGTCCCTGGGAGAGTGAAATTAAAAAAATCAACTATCAAAAGTGTAGTGGTAGAAAAAAATGATAAATGCTGCCCTGGCTCACATTTTTTTTTTCATCTTGGTTATAAGAATTTAATAAGAAACTTTGTCAAATTCAATTTTAGTATTTCCTCTATTTTCATGGCCATGACCTCGTATCAGGTTCCTAACTTCTCTTTCATAGAGTATCAGAATGGATTTTTCACCTACTTTTTATTGTGAAAAACTTCAAACATATAGAAAAACTGAAATATAACAAACATCTATATGCCCACCTAGATTCCACATTTTACCAAAGTTCTTTTATCTGTATGTATATGTATGTACATATTTTGTTCCCTGGACCATTCGAAAATAGGTTGCAAGTATGACAATTTTTCTGGGGCCAGTAATTTGCCTTTGATCCATTCCCTGCTCTTCACCCTACACTGTGAAGGTACCTCTGGGAGCCATTTACTGCAAACTGCATTTCCCAGACTCCCTTGCAACTGGGTTTTGTAGGTTTTGGCCAATGTAAAGCATGGGCTGGAGATTGGATGAGAAGACAGGGTGTTTCTACCACTCTCTGTGTTTTGGGAAATGACTTCGTTTACTTCTGTCAGCCCCTTTTTCCACAATCCAGGCTTCCACTGGGGAGTCCTGGCTAGTTCCCACTGGACAGCCTTGGCTCCTGGACTCTGGTAATACAACCTCCTTCCATTGTCTCTTCAATCCCAGGGTGGTAGTGGTTTCCTGCTTTAGCTAATCTCTGGGTTGCCTTTTTGTCCCATTAGCCCTTTCACTTCTGACACTTTTTAGGCCAGTTCCCTGTATTGAATCCCATCTTTTGAACACCCTTTTGTGTGTGTGTGTGAGTTCTGTTTTCCTGATTCTGATTAACACGGCCTTTAAATTCTTCCCATTTCTCCTAAAAATAAGAACATTCTTTTATTAACCTCGATACCATTATCACTTAAGAAAATTAAGAATACCTCCCTAATAACATATAACACTCCAGCCCATATTAACATTTCTCAACTTGCTCCCCAAATGCAGTTTATAGTGACTGTTTCAAACTAAATCCAAAGTTTATTCATTGCATTTGATTGTTAAGTCTTTTCAGTCTCTTAATCTAGAACAATTTCACTAATTCCTTCACCTGCCCCCTGACCCATGCCCCACCATGATATTGACTTCTTAAAGAGACTAGGTCAGTGGTCTTCTAGAACATCCCTGAATTTTTCTGACTTTTCTTCTTGGTGCTATGGGACTTGTTCCTAACTCTAGTTTCTATAACCCAGAAGTTAGGTTATACAGGCTTGATTAAAGTCAAGATAAATATTTTTGGCAAGAATACTTAATAGATGCTGCTGTTGATTTCATATTGCATCACACTAGGAAATATACCACATCAGGATGTCCAGCTTCCAGTGATAATACATTTGATCATTTAGATAAGGCCATGGCTACTAGATCTCCCTGAATATAAATACATTTTTTACTTTTGCATTTTGTTTTTGGCATTCTTGTAGCCCTGTATGATAACTAATTGAATGTTAGTATTTGTTACATATAGTTTAGTTATCTTTACAGTTTCTATAGAATACTACCTTGGGGATTGTACATGTTCTATAAATATTTAGGAAATGAATGACCTGCCATGAATTTTATAGCAGCATGATTGCTTGCTCATATATCCTAGTTCCGTTTTCACTCATCTCTTTTTTTGTTCATCTCCTTTACTCTTAGTTTTTACCTCCACTGAAGAATGAATGAAATATAAATGGATTGGCACTAAAATCAACTTGCTTTCTGTCCATTCAAATCAGCCAACTCAACATGTCTGAAAACTCATCAACCTTCCTACCAAACTTGCTCTTCTCCCTGCATTGCTTAACTCAGTGCGTCACTCAGTAGCACCAGCCACCCACTAGACTGGAGGTTCATCTCTGATCCCTGACTGTCAATCACACCACTCATTCAGTTATTTCCCAAGCTATGTCCATTCTGGCTCCCTGTACGTCAAATCACTCAAATCTTATTACCATTACTCAAGGTTAGTTTTTCACTAATTTTCAGGTAGACTACTTCAAAGACTCACTTTCTCGCTTCCAGATGACCTCCCTCAAATCTCTCCTCCCTGGTTCATACTGATGGCCCAGGTTTCTTCATCTCAACCTCCTACTTAAACTCTTGTCAATCAACCTCCATTGTTAGCAGGATTCAAGCCTCGCTCTATCAAGGGCTGCTTGCTCTCCAGTCTTGCATCTTGATGCCGTGCCTTCTGCACCCACTACACGAGCCCCCATGTGTTACAGTCACAACGGACTGTACTCTCACGTTTACACACTTGTGCCCCTGCTGCTGCTCCTTGCTGTGGCACTCCACGTTGTATTCCCCTGGTTATCCTTTACTCATGCCTCAAGTCTTAGCTGAACAGGCATCTCTATGTGAATCCTTCCCTGATTCTCTCAGTGTATCCTTGCATCCAAGCACCTAGCACAGTGCTGACACAAGTAGGTGACCAATACATGTCTACCCACCCCACTGAAGGGGGTATCCAGCCATACTTCTCTCTGCAACCCTGAAAAGGCTTTCCCTGGTTCTTCCTTCCATCTGAATCAAACCCGAGCCCCGTTAGTCTCTCTTAGCAAAAATTTCCTCTATTGCCTAGACTTATGGCTAGATATAAATAGATATCAAAAATATAAAAATGTAGGAAAAAAGGAAAGAGTCAAGGCTGGAGGCAGAGTTTCCCAGAGCAGCAGCAGGGCCACTCTGTAGGTCTGTAGAGAAAGCCTGGGGACAAGAAGTCTAGTGAGGTACAGCTAACATCAGGCTGGATTATGTTATTGCCAGGAGTAAAGGGCCAACTCCAAATCAGAATGTGGGAATCACAGCAGGGCCAAATCGTGAAAGTCACAGCCAGAAGAATTCCGTGGTGCCCCTTCTTTCCATCTCATCACTGCGGTTGTGCAGACCAATGATGAATCTAGAAGTTCATGGTTTGCACCAGCCCTGTGAAATCACAAAACAGGGCTGATAATAGTTTCAGAAGAAAGACCAGGGATTGGTCCTAAATTGCAGTATTTTAAATAACCATTTCTTTTTCCTCAATGAATTCCCCTATGTTTTTCTACCTCTTTTGGAGAATAGCAAATGATAAACAGGGACCTAAGAAGGAATAAAAATAAACCAATGATGAATTTTAACAAGGCCAATTCAAAAGAATGCAAATACTACTGCATGAATCTGAATAGAAGGAGGAAAAATGTTCAAAGAAAAATGATTATACAAAGAATGATAAAAATAGGAGGTTGATGTATGGAAAAATGTAACACATGAAAAATAAGAAACCAGTTTCTAACTTCCTCATTTGCTTAGTGTTTGGTAATCATGTCACTCTTCCTAGAATCCTCCCAGTCCCTTAGTGTGGCCTGCAAAGCCTGGGATCTGGCCTCTGCCTAGATTTCCGGCTGCATCTCACACCTCCCTTCTTCTGTGCACTAGGTCCAACCACATGACTGTCCTTCTGTTTTTCAAATACACCAAGCTCCTTCTTGCCCCAGGGCCTTTGCAGATATTTCCCCCTCTTCCTGGAACAGTCCCCGCACCACCCCTGCTGCACTATTGATCCTTGTGCCAGCCTCCCCAGCCATGCTTCCCCCACAACCCTTAACAGGTTCTCCTTGATCCCTCCTTCCGTCTGAATTAGCTCTGTCATTTTTTTTTTTTTTTTTTTTGAGACAGAGTTTCACTCCTGTTGCCCAGGCTGGAGTGCAATGGCGCAATCTTGGCTCACTGCAACCTCCGCCTCCCAGGTTCAAGCAATTCTCCTGCCTTAGTCTACCGAGTAGCTGGGATTACAGGCATGCACAACCATGCCCGGCTAATTTTGTATTTTTAGTAGAGACCAGGTTTCTCCATGTTGATGCTGGTCTCAGACTCCTGACCTCAGGTGATCCACCCGCCTTGGCCTCCCAAAGTGCTGGGATTATAGGCGTGAGCCACCACGCCTGGCCGTGAAATTTTTCTTTATTGTGCTAATCAGAATTTGCAATCATGTATTCATCTGGGTGGTTACTTGTTTAAGGATTGGAGGTTTCATAAATGCAGGGAACATGCCTGTCTTGTTTTCTTCTAGACAGTAGGAACTCAATAGACAAGTTTTGATTGAGTGAAGACTGAAAGGGAGGATGAAGCAATGGACTGCCGTGTTCATCTTTGCAGCAGAGACTGTTTATACCTCAGTATCCCTCAGCATTATCTCTTCTTCATTAGTACTATAATAGAGCCTCAATATTGACCTGAATATATGCCTTCCCAGAAAAAGGCTACATTTTCTCAGACTCCCTTGCAGCAGAGTATAGCTGTATGACCAGGTTCTGGTTAATGGGATGTAAGTAGAAATATTTGCAACTAATCAAAAAGGTATTTCAAGGGGAGGAGTTGTGTGCTGGTCTTTGACTATTCATCCTTCCTATGTGCTGGGTTAAAGGTATGATGGTTGGAATTTAAGCAGCCAAATTGGATATGATATGGCAATCAAAGAGTTACATTGTGCAAAGTAGAAGGACACTGGATCCCTGATGATTTTGGGAAGCAGAGCTGCCACACTAGGTCAAGATCTGGAACCACTACAGCTGTACATAATCCTAAATGGCAAGCACAGATAAGGTGCTGTGAGACAGGCACAAGGCATGGGGCTTAAGGACATCTGAGCCCAGTCTTGAGAACATGGAAGATAAATGGGGAAAGACACTTCAGGGAATGCAAACCCCATTAATAAATATACTAAGTAATGAAGTAGCATAGTGTATTTAGGTAATGACAATTAAACCCTTAGTATCATTGATACACAAAAGGTAGAGCAAAAGCAGGTTACAAATAACACATAGACAATTGAGATTGTGGCAGGGATTGCTTCTTATCGAAACATCTATTCTCCCTTTCCTCCTTTACTGTGATAAGTCATCACTCATATTCTCTAAACATTTCTGTTTCTCCCCCTTTTGATAAATGGTAGAATTATACTTCCTGACGCCTTGCAGTTAGATGTAGCCAGGTGACTTGCTTTGGCTAATACATTGTGAACTTTAAAGAATAAAGTAGGAATTACCATGTTCTTTGGCCACGTTCCTGATCATGGTTCTGGGTTTCAGAGTGAAGACACGCAGAGCCAAGCCCTAACTAATCCAGGATGGTCATGTAACAAAAGAGGAAAATAAGACTTTGTTGTGGTTAAGCCTCTGAGACTTGAGGGTTTTTTGTTACTGCAGCATAATCTAGTTTATTCAGATAGATGGGACCCTGGTTTTATTCAGGGCAGCCATGCACCCAGATGAGATATTTTTCAGACTCCCTTGCAGCTAGGTATTGTCAGGTAACTAAGTGCTAGCTTTAAGACATAAGTTAAAGTGTTGTCTAAAACTCCTGGGAAGTCTGCATAAAGAGAAGTTACTTAATTGGAGATGTACTATTTTACCCTTTTACTTCTTTCTGTCATCTGAAATTCAGGTAATTATGGTTCACTCAAAGAACTGTCTTGGACCATGAGGCAATACAGTCTCTTATAAAACTGAACATGCAACTATTAATACCATACAACCTAGAAACTACTTGTGATGGTTAATATTGAGTGTCAACTTGATTGAATTGAAGTATGCAAAGTATTGTTCCTGGGTGCATCTGTGAGGGTGTTGCCAAAGGAGATTAACATTTGAGTCAGTAGACTGGGAGGGGCAGATCAACCCTTGATCTGGTGGCCACCATCTAATCAGCTGCAAGCATGGCTAGAATAAAGCAGGCAGAAGTTGGAAGAACGTGACTGACTGAGTCTCCTGGCCTTCATCTTTCTCCCATGCTGGATGCTTCCCATCCTCAAACATCAGACTCCAAGTTCTTCAGCTTTTGGACTCTTGGACCTACACTAGTGATTTGCCATGGGCTCTTAGGCCTTTGGCCACAGGCTGAAGGCTGCACTGCTGGCTTCCCTACTTTTGAGGTTTTGGAACTCAGACTGGCTTCCTTGTTCCTCACCTTGCAGATGGCCTATTGTGGGACTTTACCTTGTGATCGTGTGAGTCAATACTCCTTAATAAACTCCTCTTCATATATACATCTATCCTGTTAGTTCTGTCTCTCTAGAGAACCCTGACTAATACAGTACTCTTAGGCATTTATCCTAGAAGAATGAGAACTTATATTCACCCAAACATCTGTACCCAAATGTTCATAATAGTTTTATTCATAAGTCAAAAACTGTAAACAACCTAGAAGTCCTTCAACAGGCAAATGGCTAAACAAATTATGGTACATCATACTGTGGAATACTACTCAGGAATAAAAAGGAGCAAAATATTGGTGCATTATAAACACAATAACATGGAAGAATCTCTAGAGAATCATACTGAGTGATAAAATCCAAAATATTATATGCTGTATAATGCCATTTATGTAACATTATTAAATTGGAAAAATTATGGAATAGATTAGTGGCTGCAACTTGTGTTGATAAAAAGGGTAATTTGTATTGATAAAAATATTCTGCATCTTGACTGTATCATTGTCAATATCTTACTTGTGACATTGTACTAAACTTTTGCAAGATGTTACCATTGGGGAAAACTGGGTAAAGTGTCTATGGAATTGCTCTGTATTATTTCCTACAATTGCATGTGAATGTACAATTATATACAACAAATGAATGAAAAAAGCCATAAAGTTATAAAAGGGAAAAAAAATCACAAAAATCTGAGATATACCATAGACCAATTGAACAAAAGCTTCCTGGAGCTTGGATCTAGGGGCATTGGTATTTTTAATTAAGGTTTCTCAGGTGAATCTAATTTTCAGCTAGACTCGAACTCAAGACAGCTGCTAAAAAATGATGCTACACACTGCTCCAGGGCTTATTACAAGGCCTCGAAAGAGCCTTATCCTCAGCTCCAAGTCAGGCGACATATGCATGATACCGTAGAGGAGAGGAGAGAATGAAAGTAGGACTGCAGTGTTCGTCGTCATAGCTTATCCCCACTGCCCAACCAAAAGGTGGACATTGTTGGTGTTTCCTACCCAAATTTTGCCAAGCTAAGTGGGTAGTCAGGATTTTAATATGAGTGTAGAAATCAGAATGTTTTAGGGAGAGCCCAGCTGGATATTGGGCTTAGGCAGAGGACTTGTTGGTTTATCCGTCCTTTGCGTGAGCAGGACAAAAGAGGATGAGAAAGGGATAGCAGGGAAAAGAGAGAAGGTGAAATGGAGAAACCCATGTGTCCACTGTTTGTCTTGAATTTCCTCTGTGCCAAGGAATATCACTGTGTCATCTGGCTAGAGTCTTCAGGCTATTGCTCTACCCACAAGAGAGGACCTCTGGTTGTGGGAATCTTAATAGTAAGAGGTATGAAATACTGGTCATGAGAACTGAGGAGGGTCAGCTGGGAGTGGCTTCTCATAGCAGAACTAAGAGCCTTCTGAAGAGTTCACAGGGTACCCTACAAAGAAGCCAGAGGATTTTGAGGTCAGTTCAGCATTGGTCAAAAAAGGAATGAAAGCCAGCAGAGAGCAGACCACAAGAGCAACTAGTTATGCAAGATGCCGCTATCCTTGTCAATTCCTTCTTCCTGCCTCAGCACAGCAGAATAGCAGGTGCAATGGTTCTCAATCCTGGCTGCATGTTAGCATCACCTGAAGTTTTTAAAAGTACTGCTACCCAGACTGCACTCCTAGACACTAGGATTTAATCACATCCAGTACTCCCAATTCCATTCATGCCAACTGCCTTAAATACCACCTCCCTCTGGATGACTCACCATCTTCTGAGATTGAGACTGACATCCTCAGCCTCCTACCCAACATGTTCATGAGAATGACTCAAAGGCACCTCAAACTCATGCCATTATCTTCCTAAACAGTTTCTTTCCAAAGTTCCCTCTCTCAAGTAGTGGCTCCTTAATCTACTTGCCTGTGCAAGCCTAGATCCTTGAAGTTATTCTTGAAATTTCCCTCTTCCTTATTATTTGTCAATGTCTCTTGATTTTACTTCTTTCCATCATCAAAACCAACAGCCTAAGCTACCATTATCCCTTGTTTCTTCTACTGCAATAGCCTGCTAAAAGGCCTTCCATGTTAATTTTAATACTCATCTTCAGTTAATTTTTTACATTGCTCCTGAAATAACTGACTTTTGAAATAAAAATATGATTCCATCATCCCCACCTTCCCACTATCTCCAGTTGAAAATATTTGAGTGCTTTTCCATGGCACTTGGGTTCAAGAGCCAAATCACAGACATCCCATACAGGCTTACTGGGCCTGACACCTGCTCATCTCTTATTTTTCAGTCACTCCACTTTCTGTACCAGCTACTCTGTTCTTCTTTCTGATATTCTTAATGAGCAAAGTTCCCTCTAACCACAGGTCTTTTGCATGTGCTGTCCTCTATGTTTGAAATTCTCTTTGTTGGGCCTACTTCCTCACCCCTTTACTTTCAGATCTCAGATTGGGCCTCACTTCCTTCAGGAAGCCTTCTCTAATATGTCCCAACTAGGGAGCAACTTATACTAGTCATGGTTTTAAATTTACCTATTACCATGTGCTAAGGACTATGCTAAGGGCACATGCATCATTTCATTTAATCCATACAACCACCTAATGATGTTAGTACTATTGTCAATTACATTTTACAAATGAGGAAACTGAAAGAATGAAAGTAGCTTGTCTTTGGCCACAAAACTGATAATGACCTCAGGTCTGTCTGGTTCTAAAACCCATGTTACATGCGCTACATTGTACCACTCCCCAAAGACATGGTTCAGGGCATCTCCCTTATGGAGCCCCTTTCCCATCTGATATACCAGTCACCCATTAAAGGTAGACCAGAACTCAAGGCCTGCCCTCTAGACCAAGCCACCATCCACTAGCTTCTGTGGCTTCTCTGTGCTGGGTACAAACATATGACAGCACAGGCAGAGGCAAGCTGGAGAGATGACAAAGTAAATTCATGACAGTATAAGGAAAACATGATAAATGAAAGTCATGCAATGGGAGGATGGGAGGATCACTGAGAGGCTTGTAGGGCTTATTTTGCATGTGTACAAGGAATGAGTGACTAGTGATAGCAACAATAGGGCTTTCTCAGAGATGGAAGAGCCGTTTTACTAAAGGAGAAAGTAAACATTACTTAGGACAAATCTCATATCATACTTTAGTGTTTACAAAGGAGACAGAGGGAGACAGGCCAGGAAAGAACAGATTTCCCAGGGGAGGAAATTGCAATGAAAATAAGTAATCTGGATCAAGTCAGAGCATGTTTGAACAAAAAGAATACCCAAGGACAGAGGAAACTCTAAGGATAAGATAGGATTTTATTCAGCAGGAACCCCTGCTAGCTTTATTTTAGACTGTTTTTAAAATGGTGAGTAGTCAAATGCAAGGGAAGAAGCTCTATGAACTAACACCATTTCCTATAGGTTTTGATGCTTGAAAGTTTCCCCCAGGTTCAGAATACATATTTTAAAATTTAGAACGGCTTTAACATCTAACAATCGGAAAATGTTTAAGTAAATCACAGCCCATGCCATGAGATGGAATAATATGCACCCCTTAAAATGATGCAGATGACAAAATGCAATGACTCAGGATAACATTTGTTATGTTAAAAGTCTGGCTCTCTTCCTGGCCCCCTTCCTTACACTATATACAAAAATTAATTCAAGATGGATTAAAGAATTAAATGTAAAACCTCAAACTATAAAAACCTTGGACATAGGAAAAGGGAAAGATTTCATGACAGAGATGCCAAAAGCAATTTCAGCAATAGCAAAAATTGTCAAATGGGATCTCTTTAAACTGAAGAGCTTCTGCACAGCAAAAGAAACTATCAACAGAGTAAACAGACAACCTATAGAATGGGGGAAAACATTGCAGACTATTCATCTGACAAAGGCCTAATATCCAGCATCTCTAAGGAACTTAAATTTACAAGAAAACAAACTCATTAAAAAGTGGGCAAAAGACATGACATACTTTTCAAAAGAAGACGTGTGGCCAATAAGCATACCAAAAAAAGCTCAACATCACTGATCATTAGAGAAATGCAAATTGAAACCACAATGAGACAACATCTCACACCAGTCAGAATGGCTATTATTAAGTCACAAAATGACAGATGCTGGTGAGGTTACAGAGAAAAAGGAATGTTTTTACACTGTTGGTGGGAGTGTGAATTAGTTCAACCATTGTGGAACCATTGTGGAAAAACAGTGTGGTGATTCCTCAAAGACCTAAAAACAGAAATACCATTCAACCCAGCAATGTCATTACTGAGTACATATCCAAAGGCATATAAATCATTCTGTCACAAAGACACAGATACTCATATGTTTAGTGCAGCACTATTCACAGTAGCAAAGTTATGGAATAAATCTACATGCCCATCAGTGGCAGATTGGATAAAGAAAATGTGGTACGTATACACCATGGAGCACTATGCAGTCATAAAAAAGAATGAGATCATGTCCTTTACAGGGACATGGATGGAGCTGGAGGCCATTAATCTTAGCACACTAATGCAGGAACAGAAAACCAAATACCACATGTTCTCACTTATAAGTAGGAGCTAAATTATGATGAGACATGGACGCATGTGGGGGAATAACACACAGTGGGGGGGGTCAGGGGGAGAGGCGGCAGAAGATCAGGAAAAACAACTAATGGGTACTAGGCTTAATACCTGGGTGATGAAATAATCTGTACAACAAATCCCCATGACCCAAATTTACCTATATAACAAACCTGCACATGTACTGCTGAACTTAAAAAAAAAGCAAAATACAAAATATACAAAATACATGTGATTACAACAACATCAAAATATTTTCTTTTTATATCTTAATTTTTAAACTTCAATAAGTGTGTATTTTAGGAATTGGTATAAAACACAAATGTTATTTATAATGTTGTAGCCCTCTTTCATGTCTTATATTCATTTTTTCTCCATGTGTGCACAGAAGGTATTTTCAACACCTCCATTAGGTCCGTGGCCACTCGTTTTTTTCCTGGGCTATAAACACTGCTGTTAGTTCCTTGGGCTTCCTTCTCTCATGGATGACTTTACGAGGGTTTTAATTTTGCTTTTCTGAGTAGTGGCTTTTTTTCTGAGATACCCATATTAACTTCAAGAAAGTCTCCTAGGATACCCTGACTACTAGCTGGGCATTCTCTAATATTGAGCACATACTGTCTTCTGTAGAGATCATATTCATTTTCTATTGGTAAACAATAAATTATCACAACTTGGTGGCATAAAATGACATCCATTTATTAGCTCACAATTTCTGTGGGTCAGGAGTCCTAGTAACTAGGTCCTCTGCTCAGCAGTCCCCCAAGGCTGAAATTCAAGTGTTGGCCAGAGCTTTGATCTCATCTGAGGCTCAGGATCCTTTCCCAGCTCAAGGATTTTTGCCAGAATTCAGTCCTTTGTGGTTGTAGGACTGAGGTCGCCATTTCTTGTTGTCTTTTGGCTGGAAGTGTTCCTTGCTTCCCTAGGGGCTTCCCTTAGGTCCTAGCCATGTAGTCCTCTCACAGCCTGGCAGCTTTCTTCTTCAAGGATAGTGGAGACTATCCACTGTTGCTTTGAGTCTCTTTTTGGTGCTTACCTAATTAGGTCAGGCCCACCCAAGGAAACCTCTTTTTGAGTACGGTTGATTGAGTAGGGTCATGATTTGCATCTGCAAAATCGCTTCATCTTTGCCACATAACAGCCTACTGATGAGAGTGATATACCATCATATTCACATATGATGTGGTCCTGCCCACACTCAAGGGGAGGCGATTACAAATAGAGTGTATATATCAGGGGTTACAAACCTTGGGGACTATCTTAGAATTTTGCCAACCACAAGGTTACAGGCTATAAATTAAGGGTGTTGAAATATTGGGTTAGAATTTACCTAAAGTATACTTTAATTAGATTAAAATTTATATTTAAAAATACACATTTTTAACTATATTATATACCAGTTTTGCCAGAGTTTGTTGCCATCTTTATTTACTTGAAGTTTCCCAAGAATGCAAGGTAAGATGTTAAATTTAAAAAAGTACTGTTTGCAATTGTTATCTCTGAGAATCTGGATTTTCTTGGTACTATAAAACCAATGAATGAATGAAATAATCAAAACCAACCAACCAAACCCAGTTTGGAAATAAATGGGGTGCTGAGGAGAATAAAAGAATGCTTATTGTTTTTTACATTGGGGAGATGACATTTCAGATTTTCTTTCAAACAAAAACGTTGCACTGTTGAAAAGTATAAAATTGTTTGCAGAAATAACCATTGAAGAGGGATGGGAGAGTACGATATGTATTGAGACAGGAGGAGTGAGGCAATGAAAGGATGTGCCTGATATTCCCTGGATCTGTCCAGGGTTAAGCTGCTCTCTGAACACATAATGCCACAAGAAGCTGCTCTTCTGGGAAAGAATTTTAAAATCTGTCCTGCTGTCCTACCTCATAGCCACGTAGCAGTCAATTATTTCCAACTCAGCTGGGATTGTAACAATACTTGCCAGCACTTTTATGGCCCTTACCTAGCACTTACCATATATCAGGTATTGTTCAAATCTCTTTATGCATAGTAACTCATTTAGTCCTTACAATAGCTCTCTCTCTAAGGTATGCATACTATTGCTCTCCCCATTTTACAGGTGAGGATGCTGAGACACAAAGAGGCCATACAACCTGCTCAAGATTGTATCAGTGGGAGGTAGAGCCCAGGTTTGGATTTGGGCTGCCTGCCCTCAGAGGCTGTGTCCTTCTCCAGTTAGCTGTCTGCCTTGCAGGGAGGTGTTTAAAGGCATTATCCTGAGGTCAGTGAACACCATCAGGGACAACCCTACCATTCCCTCTCCCTCTAAGTGAGTTCCTTATCTACACAGCCCTCCCATCAGCATCTAAGCTCCTTCAAATAGAATTAACTATATTTTGATTATCTTTCTGTTTGCTGCAAGCCAAGAATGTTTCCTTGCTCCACTAATAATTTTTTTTAAATTAAGAAACATTTCCAAAATGAAATGGCCAACATAAAGCCAAAGATTGGGGGCCTCCAAATGTCTGGTTTAATTGTGGGAGTACCTGGGAGGAGAGTGGCTGAGGTGATCTGATCGGTGGGCTGTTAGACACAGTCTGCACCTCATGGTCCCCCTGGAACAGCCTACAGGACCGAGGTCCTGGAGCCACGTTGTGGTTGGCCTGGCTCTGGCCATGGTGGTATTGCCTTGGAATGTAAGCATGTCATCCCCCTATTTTCCCTTTAAAACCTACATTTGAAAACACATTTCTGGATGTAATTTGGTCAGACGTATTTGCAATGAGGTGACATTTCTTGTCTTCTGTGGTTAAACCTATAGCTGTTTTTTATCTTCATCTTTTCTATTTGGCTGCTTTCTCTGTTTTTGTTTTTCAATACTGTAGCTCCTGCCTCTTATTCCTTTTTTGCATCAGCCATTTTATGCTATCACTGATCTTGTGGCTCACTTCCTTACCTGGAAGCTTTCTAATACCTTTGCCATAGACCTTCCCACGATGTCTACTAGTACTCACCCTATTCTGTGCTCACCCTAATTAGGCAAGGACTGGCATTATCTTATGTTTCTTGGAATTTCCTTGGAACAATGCAGTCTCTAGTACATTTCCATCATTCCCAAGGGAAGAGGTTTTAGACAAAGTGTTTTTGGTTGCAATGACTGAAACCCAAGATGAATGATCTTAAGCATAAAATAATGAATTAGCTCTGATTTTAAGATACTGAAGACTCACAGAAGTGAGCTCACAGAAAATGCTCAAGAAGATATAGTGGCTCACAGAAGAGCTTTAAGTGCTGGAGCCTTAGGGATAAGAACCGTGGACTCATTTCTTGTCTCTTGCCTCCGCTGAGCCTCATTTTGCAGCGTGGCCCTCTCTACCCTCTCCATGTGGCAGAGAAGATGGCCATCATTAGCTCCAGAGCTGCACCAACCCATTGTATCCAAACCTACATCTAGCATCTGAGTATCATTCTCAGGGAAAGATTCTGACTCACATGGCTTGTGGGGAGATGACGTCTTGTGACTGGCCTGACCCAGCCCATGTGAGCCTCCCCCTGTGATTTAGTGGTAAAGCTCTGTCTCTAGCTTCACAGGGGCAAGCATAGGAGCTCCTCAAAGGAAAGAGGGCTGTGTTTCAAAGGGGATGGAAAATCATGCTATGTGACAAAATCCCTGGCTGCCACAGCCTGATGTAGTAGGGAGATCCTCCAATATAACAGCCTCCAACGGAGTGTCTAAATAATTCCCTCCAACTATTCAGTTTCCGTTTATGTGATATGATTTAAGGGTATCATTGAGGTTGAATGTGAGCTGTGGAATACAAGTCAGTAAGAAAATTATAGCCCAAGCCATGTGGGACATCATGACCATGTAAACCAACAAGTTAAAAATCACTGGTAGCGGGAGCTAGGGCAAGAATGAGCCAGAGGAGGGCCCTGGTGAGCCCCAAGTAAGATTACTATTCAGGATGACACAGACAGCTCATATAGAGAACGATTGCCTTGAGTGTGCACCAGGGCTCAACGGAAAACCTCAGAAAGCCACTTGAATAGAAAATCGAAGGGGTCCCAATATGTGGACAGGGGTACTTTTCATCCTGCTGAGGAATCAGCAAAAAGAGCCAGTCAATTCTTTGCTCCAATACTGATTTTTTAAAAAAAGTTTAAAAAATGGAAAAATAATAATTAGAGATATTCATGGGATACACAGTGATGTTTCAACACACAGAATGTATAGTGATCAGATCAGAATAATTACCACATCCATCATCCCAAATGTTTACCATTTATTTGTGTTGGGAACATCTAATATCCTGCTTCTAGCTATTTGAGAGTATATAATATATTAATGTTAACTACAGTCATCCTACAGTGGTATAGAACACTGGAAATTATTCCTCATCCAGCTCCAAGACTAGTTTGTGCTACAAGGGTCTGGAGATAATTTAAGAAGGGGAGTGGAGTGGGGAAGGGGAAGGGAAAAGATGCATTTATGAAATACGTCACTAATCTAAATTTGTGGAGAGAGTTCTGGGATTTTCTCATAGGACCAGAACTCAAAAGCCTCCATCTGGGTAAAATCAAGATAAAATGTTTGCTGACTCCTTATACCCTAAGGGGTGAGATGCTCTTACTAAGAGCTTCTGAAAGCTTCTTTTCAAGCAAGCCCCTGTCATAAGAAAGACAATAGGATGTTTACAGTTTTCTTTCTTTCTTTTTTTTTTTGATAAATTCTGGCTGATGGTAATTCAGAACCATGCGTAACAATGTTTAGTTTTCTATGCAGACAGTGCAATGCTTGGACATGTCATGAACTTTGCAAAGAAAAAGAATATGCCTTGTAAAAAATTTAGTACCCAAATTTTGGGACCCAGAAAATTGAAATCTGTGAAGAATGCACATCTAAATCTTTAACATAGTGCCTCGGGGTTGGGGATGGGGGGGTAGCAGGAGGGAGGGGGATGTAATTCAAATACCAGCCTGGAGGAATCATTTCCATTATGCTGTAAGAAATGTAAGAAGTTATTATAATGAGGTCAGTTCTGGTCCTTATGTTATTAGCCGACCAGTGAGGACAGAGACAAGGTAGAACAGAAATTAATTAGTATTATGGGGGCTTTATAATCCAAGGTATTCAGAAATTTAGCAAAACTAGGTCTGTGTTCTTAAAAAAAAAAAGGATTATAGAGAGACCTTATTAAAGCACAGAAGGCTCAGCTATTTAAGATGGTGACATACATAGAGGCAGGAATGTGCAGAGAGAAGCTGAAAGGCAGCCAGGCCCTGAAGGAATTTCAGTGGAATTTCTTCACCGGAGGAGTAGTTAATAAATAGAGCAGATTTCTAAGGGCAGAAACTAGAGCAGTTACTACAAATAGTTTTATTTTTCCTCCTCCTTCTTCTTCTTCTTTAAAGAAGGGAGTGATAGGAAGTTGGAGAGGAAAATGTTGAAACAAAGAAAAACAAGCTTCTTACTAGCTCTCTAGGCCATCTCCCATGCAAAAATGTCTGTTCCCAGACATTCAGAATGTTGTATCATTTAGTAATCATAAAACATACTGTAGAGTTGACCTTGGGTGTTAGTTTTAGATTAATACTAGATATCATTAGGAACTGCATGTAATATAATACTTTTCAAGAGTCTGAAATACCATTTGTTTTGTCTTGCTGCCAACATTTCTGCTATTTTCCATTGCACAGGACAGAAATGAGGGCTTGAAAATCCTTTTGTGCTCTGCAGTCGTCCCCTCCTCCTGCCTTTGATGCAGGTCTTCCTCATAGTCTGATACACAAAGCCTTTTCTGGGACAGTGTTAATATACTAGATGTTTACAGATCTGAGGTTCTGAGTTATTTCTGCTTCCCCTTGATCAGGTAGGTTGGCTAACTCATTGTGCACATGCGTTTTTATTCTTCGTACTGTAAAATGATGACATAAAGAGAATGGGTGTAAATGTGTATATCTTTCCACCAACATATCTACAGTTTTATCAATATGCAGATTTTCTCTCACCTTGCCAGTCAAAAAATATTTGACCAGTAATCAGCTTGGCAAAAACTGTTAACTTTGAAATTTGCCAGTTGATTCCTGGGGCTGGAACTATTATCTGTTGTTCCTGTTACTATTTCTCTATTTGTGTCTCTCTCTGTCACTACCCATGAAAGTAAAAAGAATATTTACCCAAAGCCTTGCGATCTCACAAAAGAAGGGTTCGGTCAGGGCAACAGCTCAGGCAGCCCCAGTGAATAGCTCAGCTGACAGGCGTGTGGCGTGACTGGACTCACTGCACAGCAGCATTTCTCAGACCATGGGCTGTGTGGTCACCTGGGGTGTTTGTAGAGATGCAGATTCCTAGGCTCCACACCAGACCTACTGAAACAGCATTCCTGGGCTTGGGGCCTGTGAGTCTGCATTTAATTATGTCGCCCACGTGACTCTGAGATACATGGGCCTAGAGGAATGGAATGTGTACTTTGAAGGGGAAGACATGATGGGGGCTAAGAAGGCAACTGTAATGGATATTTGCTTTCATTTCAGCCCAAACCTCACAGGGAAGAGCAATAGCACAGGTTACAGTGTGCCCCAAGCAGCAGCCATTTGGAGGTGCCAGGCAAGCAGGGCACATGTGGTACTGCAGGGTCTGTGCAGGAGTGAACTGGGGCCAAGTGATCAGCAAGCATTCAGGGAGTGTATTAGAAAGTATCAAGCCGTAAGCAGAACGCTTTGATATCCTGTGTGTGTGAGAGATCATTGATTGCAAATCTAGTGGGCTCAAGCACAAAGCATTTCACTAAAAGGCTAGGGAGGCCTTTGAAGATTAAGGAAGGCTGAAAGGTGAGCTAGAAAGACAGGATAGTAGATCTGTTGTTAGAGGAGGGCATGGTACCTTGATCAACAACCCCCTAGTCTGTATCCAATGAGAGAGAGGGATTCCCTTAAAGGAACTCATGGTGCATTTTCTCAAAGTAAGGACATGGAATGGAGTGGATGTGAAACAGTCAAGACAATTGGCCCCTTGACCAAAAAAACAAGCAAACCAGTGAAAGCCAATCTCACTATGCAAAAAGCCATCTATCAGCTATCAGGGATGTCCAATAAGCAGAATGAGATGGTCAAAGGGCCAGAGAAGAATCAGGAATTTCACAGGAAGAGAGACAGGGACAGAGTTAGCAGGAAGGCAGGTACTCAGCAAGGGCAGGCCTGCAATAATGCTGTTTTGCTTATGAACGTTCAGAGGGCTGGCCTCTGCTTCTTTGCCCCTGGACTCCTCCCAGTCCAGTCTGCAATAGTCTCTACTTTGCAAACCCTCTCCAGGCAGGGTGCCCTCTGCTCTGCATCTTGAGTGCTTCATCTCTCCTTGGATGACCTATGGGATACTGCTCAATCTCTTCCTTGCCTTTTTTCCCACTGGAATTTCCCTCATTCCATGTTTCCATGGGAATTGTTAAGTTGCCAGGGGCCTCTACTCTCTTGCCTATTTCCCTCCATGTCACTCTCACTTAGGGGACCCTGTGGCTTAGAACAGCCATGCCAGCACCATGGTTGGTTAAATAGGCCTTTGTGGTTTGGCCTGGGAACCATACCACTATTTATCATGATTTTTTTCTATGAGGAAATTCTTTGAGTTCCAAACACCCCATTGACTGATGACCTTTCTGAACACAACTGTCCCATCTGGGATCAGCAATGGGGTGAGATCACTAGGAATTGTCAGAGCCAAGCTGGGAACAGCAAAACCAGGGCCAGGGCAGGCTAGGGTCAGAAGCAAGGCATAGGGAGGCATTTGTGAAGGGAATAGCAGGATCGGGGCGGTCAGGGGTTAGTTAGGGAGTTCATAGCAGGAAGGGGTCCAACTCAAGCACAGATGTGAATGTGTAGGTTTATGGATGAATCTAGAATCAAACTTGCTGGGAGAGGGATTGGGAGAGGAGAGAGTAAATGACATGACAAGCAGACAATGGATCCAGGGTAGGTAAAATGTGGAACTGTCAAAGGGCAGAAGACCTACTGGGGCAGTGCCTTTATTATCACTCCCCTTTTGGGCCTGACTGCCTAGAGCTGAGGAACTTGGCCACTAGTGTTTATATCTGTTCTCCCACTAAGGGAAGCACAGTACCCAGGGTCATGGGGACACCGCAGCCTTGCTAGGAGCCAGTCTTGGGTTGCTAGTCCCATTCCTCGCAGAGGCATTGTTCCCACCCAGATCCCTCAGGCCCACTGCGTGGATGCCTGGTTGCTACTTCTCTTCCTTTTTCTGGCTGCTCTTCCTTTCTCACCACTTTTCTTTGCAAGCTCCATGGAAGGAAGTCCTGGGTCATGACCTTCATTTCCTGCCTCATGTGGCCATAAACTTGAAGGAGATAGAGTGAAGAAGGAGAGACGAGGTAAAACTGGAGAGGGGCTAGTGAGAATGGTGATGCTGAAAAGGTATTTGCAAGAGAATTGGAGTTCTTCTTAAGAATTCTAGGGCTCCAGAAGCTTCCTTTCAAAAAGGGTTGGTCATAGAAGCATTATTCATAAGAGTGAAAAAGAACAATCCAATGTCTATCAAGTGATGAATGGATAAATGGGTAAGCAAAATGTCATATAATCATATAATGGAATATTAGTCGTAAAAAATGTAGTACTGATACATGCTACAACATGAATGAACCTTGAAAACGCTATGGTAAAGAAAGAAGCCAGGCACAAACGACTATATATTCTATGATTTTGCTTATATGACCAGAAATGACCAGAATGATCAAATTCATAGACACAGAAAATAGATGAGTAGTTGCCAGGTGTTGGGGGAAGTGAGGAATGGGGAATGTCTTCTGATGGGCATAGGATTTCCTTCTTTCTGGAGTCATGTTCTAGAATTAGTGGTGATGATCACAATCTTGTGAACGTACTAAAACCTGCTGAATTGTACACTTTAAGATGGTGACTTTTATGGTATGTGAATTGTGTCTCAATTTTAAAAAGGGATTGGCAATGGCTTGCTGAGGAGGAGTTAATTTTCACCTGCACTTGCTGTTTGCAGAGCCTGGGTCCCCTGCTGTTCTTTCCAGGCTGCTTCTAGTGCATGGAGCTTGTAGACCTCAGTCAGAGAATCTGGTGTAACCATCACCGAGTTAAGCATTTCATAGTTGAGAAATGCATTCAAGTGGTGACAGAGAGATGGGGTGAGTCTTTGGCCCTCAACAATCTCTATCAGCTTCCCCAAAGCTACTCCAAATAACGAGAATAACAAAAGTCAAATACAAATACATCATACTATAGAAACGCTCAAATAAAAAGTACTACTAAGCATTCATAGAAACTTGCCACTTTAATTGATCTATTTCATACAATGTAGGTAAAAAAAACAAAAACAAAAACAAAAAACCACACAGACACACATGGGTTTTCTGACCAAATACAGCTGCACCTGAAAGTCATCTTTTCACCTGATGACTACCCCGAAGCCCCTGTTGCATGGGATTCCTGACATGGCCATTTGTGCTGTGATCCTCTTTGTGCTTTGAATGCTTGATCTGGAGCTGATCTGTCTAAGATCCTGTTTCAAAGTCTTTTATTTATTTATTTATTTATTTATTTATTTATTTATTTATTTTTTATTTTTTTGGAGACAGAGTCTCACTCTGTCACCCAGGCTGGAGTGCAGTGGCACTATCTCGGTTCACTGCAACCTCCCCCTCTTGGGTTCAAGCAATTCTTCTGCCTTAGCCTCCTGAGTAGTTGGGACTACAGGCACATGCCACCATGCCTGGCTAACTTTTTTTTTTTTGTATTTTAGTAGAGACAGGATTTCACAATGTAGCCCAGGCTGGTCTCGAACTCCTGAGCTCAGGCAATCTGCCAGCCTCGGCCTCCCGAAGTGCTAGTATTACAGGTGCGAGCCACTGAATCCGGCCTCAAAGTCTTCCAAATGGTACAGTATGCCTAAGTAGGCATTGGTCCTTGTTGGTCCATCATTAGCAAAGATATTGGTTGGTTAACAAGGCTCACTTTGTGAACCAAATGCCTTGTTTAAGCAGAGTGCAAGAGGACAGAAGTGCTGGATTTCTGCTTGCTGTTTGATCAGCTAGCATTTGGAGGTCAGGCTTCAACCTCTAGCTCATAACCCCCTCTTCTAGTTCTGGCTGATAGGAGATTTTTGACTGAAGTTTTAAGAATATATAAGAAGAAATGCAGAAGAGAACAGACTGGGAAGTAGAAAGGGAGAGAGAAAATGAGTCCTATAATACAGTAAAGTAAGATCAGAAGCATGAGGAGTGAAAGATGGACTATGTTGACATTTGCAGCTATGGTTCTCTAGTTGAAAGCCTAGTTTCAAGTTGAAAGTCTTCTGAAACTTCTTTTAATGTTTTTTAAGTTGGTACCTAATTATCATACATACTTATGGGGCATGTGTGATATTTTGATACATGCATACACTGTGTAATGATCAAATCAGTAATTAGGATATACATCACTTCAAACATCTATCATGTCTTTGTGTTGGGAACATTTCAAATCTACCCTTCCAGCTATTTTAAAATATTCAGTAAATTATTTTTAACTATAGTCACTCTGTGGTGCTATCAAACATTAGAACTTATTCCTTCTATTAATATCTAATTGTTTTATGCATTAATCAACCCCTCTTTATCCCCTTTTCCCCCCAATCCTTCCCAACCTCTGGTATTTATCATTCTACTCTCTACCTCCATGAGATCCACTATTTTAGCTTCCACATATGAGTCAGAATATATGATATTTGTTTTCCTGTACCTGGCTTATTTCACTTAACATAATGACCTCCAGTTCCGTCCATGTTGCTGCAAGTGACAGGATTACATTCTCTTTTATGGTTAAATAATATTTCATTGTGTATGCACACCACATTTTCTTTAACCATTCATCCATTGATTGACACTTAGGTTGATTTCATGTCTTGGTTATTGTGAACTATGATACAAAAAACAGGCATGCAGATATCTCTTCAATAAACCAATTTTCTTTCTTTTGGATATATACCAAGCAGATTGCTGGGTCATATGTAGGTCTATTTTTAGTTGGTTGAGGAAACTCCATACTGGTTTCCATAGTGGCTGCACGAATTTACATTACCACCAGAAGTTTACTAGCATTTCCTGCTCTCCACATTCTTATTTTTTGTCTTTGATATTAGCCACTTTAGCTGGAATGAGATGATATCTCATTAATTTGATTTGCATTCCCCTGGTGATTAGTGATATTGAGCAGTTTTTCAAATGTTGGCCATTTGTGGGTCTTTGAAAAATGTATATTCAGGTCTTTTGACCATTTAAAAATCAGGTCATTTGTTTTCTTGCTATTGAGTTGTTTGAGTTCCTTATGTATCCTAATTATTAATCCCTTGTCATATGGATAGTTTGCAAATATTTTCTTGTATTCTGTAGGCTGTCTCTTCGCTGGGTTGACTGTATCCTTTGTTGTGCAGCAGTTTTTTTAGCTCGATATAATCCTATTTGTATATTTTTGCTTTTGTCATCTGTGCTTTTGAGGTCTTACCCCCCAAAATGTATGTCATGTCATTTTGGTTAAAGCACAGAACTATCTTTGGTATGCTTTTCAAATATAGATGGTATTAAATGACTAGTGTTTTCTTCTCATGAATAAAAACATTTTTAAGGATATCCAACAGTTGTACCTGGGATGCAAAAATACTGAGATGTATGAAGATAGCATCTATTGTATCATAACCTCCCCCATCATGGAGAACCAGACATTGGCTGCAAATGGAGGCTCATAATTTCAATGTTTACTTCCACCTGTTCATTTTTTTCCCCTCTCTTTTTAAAGTTTCTTTCTTTTCTTTTTCTTTCTTTTTTTTTTTTTGTTGAGATGGAGTCTCGCTCTGTTGCCCACGCTGGAGTGCAGTGGCGTGATCTCGGCTCACTGCAAGCTCTGCCTCCCGGGTTCATGCCATTCTGTTGCCTCAGCCTCCCCAGTAGCTGGGACTACAGGTGCCCGCCACCACACCTGGCTCATTTTTTAATTTTGTATTTTTAGTAGAGACAGGGTTTCACCATGTTAGCCAGGATGGTCTCGATCTCCTGACATTGCGATCTGCCCACCTCAGCCTCCCAAAGTGCTGGGATTACAGGCGCGAGCCACCACGCCCGGCCCTAAAGTTTCTTTGGTTAACTAATTGAACATAGATTAAGTAAGAAATTTAGTGATATGAGTGAATGGGCCTGTATCCGTGTATTTCCAGTAACGGGCTTCATTTATTTTCAACCTCTTCTCTGACTACTCCCTTTACGTTCTTGCTTTAATATATGAATTCTCAATGTGGGCAAAAATTAGTTCTTGTTGGGCAGGGGCAGTGAAAAAATCATACTCTTTACATACAAAACATAGATCTTTCACAATTTCACAGGGGACAATCGGGTAATACCTAAAAAGGCTCCTTAGGGGGGGTAATAATAAAGAACAAGTTAGGAAATACTCCTGTGACTGAAACCTGGCTGTCCTTGAGGTCTTTGTGTTTCTTGCACCTGTTTTCTCATTTAGGAACTGGAGGTGGGCAAGTCATCCTCTTAGTTCCTCTTTGTCATTTGCAAACCAATAAAATTTTAATAAAATTTCTTTCTAAAATTCCTAAAATAATTCTTTGCAAAGTGTCTCACCTCCCTTAAAGTGTCTTTAAAGCACACACTAATCTTCCTGGTTCAGATAACTATTGATTTTAGGTCACTGTCCTTCATTCTCTGAAGAATTTAGCACCCCTCCTCCCCCTTCCCCCTCCCCTCCTCCCCCTTCACCCTCCCCTCCCCCTCCCCCCTCCCCTCCCCCTTCTCCTTCCCCTCCTCTTCTCCTTCTCCTCCCCCTCCCCCTTCCTCTTCCCCCTTCCCCTTCTCCTCTCCCTCCCCCTTCCCCTTCTCCTCCCCCTTCTCCTCCCCCTTCTCCTCCCCCTTCTCCTCCCCCTCCCCCTTCCCCTCCTCCCTTCCCCTCCTCCCTTCCCCTTCCCCTCCTCCCTTCCCCTTCCCCTCCTCCCTTCCCCTTCCCCTCCTTTCCATTAAAGCAAACTAAATATGGCCTGATAAGGACTCTGTACTTCTCTATTTGAGTCCTTTGTGGACGAATTACAACATAAGTTAATAGGTAGACAAGATTGAGAACCTAACTTGGAAGTGTGTGCCTATAATAGTGGCTGGGTCCTGACCAATCCCAGCAGCCATATGTCAACCACTCATATACTGTCAAGTGTTCAAACTGTGTTCAAGTAAGGCAAATGCTGAACTATAACCAATCCAGTTGTTTCTGTACCTCACTTCTGATTTCTGTATGTCACTTTCCTTTTTTTGTTTGTAAATCTTCTTCCACCCCATGACTGCACTGGAGTTTCTCTGAATCTGTGATTCTGGGTGCTGCCTGATTTGCAAATCGTTCATTGTTCAATTAAACTCCTTTAAATTTAATTCAGCTGAAGTTTTTCTTTTAACACTGTCTTCTTTCCTTCTTTTCCTCCTTCCTCCCTGGGTCCTTCCTATTTTCCTCCCTCTCCTTCCCTCCAGTATCTTCCCTTTGACAAATCTCTCACCATTCCAGGACCTCTAATCCACTGGCTTAACTTTTTACTGTTTGTTACCCAGCCCACCAAGTATTCACCGATTACACCTTTGTAAAATTCAACCTTCCTTCCTACTCTTGGCACACCCCTAAGCCTCTGAAAGATAAATATATTCAGCTGTGCTGAGTGGTCTCACTTTAAACATGTAAGCACAAACTGTTAGGCTCTGAATGCTACCTGACAGTAATAGTATATTTCTGCACTTTATTCACTTTACGACTCTCTTATTCTTCTAAATGACTATTCTATACTTTCGTCTCTTCAAAACATCAACTCCCCCCTTTCCCTTTTCACAAAGAATTTCTCATGCCTACAGCACAAATCTGCCAACATTTCTGCATCTGTAACTGTACTTTCTGCCAGCCCTACTGCAATGGATGAGTTGAACTGCAAGTTATGGGGTTTGACTTAAGGCTACCTCCTCTACTTTGCAATAGCTCTCATCACTTCCTGCCTAATTGCAAGTGTGCTTTCTCTCTCTTTCATCATCATCCTTTAGAACATTAACTAAAATACGAACATATGTAATATCTTTCATTTAGAAACTAGTCATTCCTTGACCCCACATTTCTCTCAGGCTGCTGTCCCATTTCTCTGTCCCAATTAGAGCAAACTCGTTGAAAGAACTATTCTTCTCAATGTCCTAATTCTCTCGTTCTCTCTTTTTAGTTATAGCTTTATTGAAATATAATTCACATGACATTATAATTAATCCACTTAAATCGTGTAATTCAATATTTTTTGGTATATTCATGGACTTGCACAACCATTACCACAATCTTAGACCATTTTTATTATCTCAAAAAAAAAAATCTTACACCCATTAGCAGTTACTCTTATTTGTCCCCAACCATCACCCTTAGCTCTAGGCAACCACTAATCTACTTTCTGTCTCTATAGATTTGCCTATTGTGGACATGTCATATAAACAGAATGATACAATATGTGGTCTTTTGTAACTGGCTGTTTTTCACTTAGCATGATACTTTCAGGATTCATCCATTTTGAATCAGGTATCAGTATGTCATTTCTTTTTATTGCTGAATAATATTCCATTACATGGATATACCATATTTATCCATCATCAGCTAATGAACATGGTGTTTTTTTCTGCTTTTTGGCTACTGTGATTATTGCTGCAATGAACATTCATGTACAAGATTTTGTGCAGGCATAAATTTTTATTTTTCATTTCTCAAGTTTTTTGTGTGAATAAATGATTTGTGTATCTAGCAGTGGAAATGCTGAATCATACAGTAAATCTGTGTTTAACATTTTGAAGAATTGCCAGGCTGTTTTCAAAGTTTGCAACATTTTACATTCCCATCAGCAATGTTTGAGAGTTTCAATTTCTTCACATCTTAGTCAACATTGTTTTTGTCTTTTTATTGTATTCATCGTAGTGGGTATTAAATGGTATCTCATTATGGGTTAGATTTACATTTCCTTGATGGCTAATGATGTTGAACATCTTTTTATATGTGTATTGGTTGTATATCTTCTTTGCAGAAACATCTATTCATATAGTCTGCCCAGTTTTCAACTTGGTTATTTTCTTTTTATGTTTGAGTTGTAAAAGTTTATAAATATACATTCTAGATACAAATCTGTTATATATATGACTTGCAATTATTTGCTCCCATACTATGGGTTGCCTTTTCACTTATTTTATGGTGTTCTTTGAAGCACAAAAGTTTTTAATTTTGATGAAGTCCAGATTACCTATTTTTTCTTTTGTTGTTTATGCTTTTGGTGTCATCTTAAAGGAACCATTGCTTAATCTAATCCAATATACCTCCTGTTTTTCTTCTAAAGCTTTTATGGTTTTGATCCATTTTTTGTTAATTTTTATGGAGTGAGGTAAGGCTCCAAATTCATTATTTATTTATTTATTTATTTATTTATTTTTTGCATGTAGATTTCCAGTTTTCCCACCACCATTTGTTGAAAAGATTTGTCTGGAACTCTAGTCAAAACTCAGTTGGTCATTGATGTATGAATTATTTTTGGAGTCTCAATTCTATTCCATTTACCTACTTGTCCTCTTGCAAATACCACACTATCTTACAAGTTTTGAAATTGAGATGTGAAATTCCTGCAACTTTGTTATTTTTTCAAGATTGATAGGTCCCTTGAATTGTCATATGAATTTTGGTATCAGGTTACCAATTTCTCAAAAGATGTCAGCTGAGATTATAATAGAAAGCACATTGAAACTGTGGATCAATTTGGAGAGTATTGCCATCATAATATTAAGTTTTCTAGTCCATGAACATGAGATATCTCTCAATTTATTTATGTCTTTTCTAATATCTTTCAACATTGTTTTGTAGTTTTCAAAGTATAAGTTTTATACTTCTTTTGTTAGATTTATTTCTAAATTTTTTGGTGATATTGTAGGTGAAATTCTTTTTGGAATTTCACTTTTGGATTATTCAATGCTAGTGTATAGAAGTACAATTGACTTTTGTATATTGATGTTGTATCCTGCAACCTTGCTAGACTTATTAGTTCTAATAGCTTTTTGGTGAATTTGTATAATTTTCTACATACAAGATCCTTAAGGTCTATATGCAAGATTATGTTATGTGCAAATATAGGTAATTTTACTTCTCCCTTTCCAATCAGGATGACTTTTACTTAATTTTACCTAAAAATTACCCGACTGGCCTGGCTAGAATCTCTAGTATAGTATTGAATAGAAGTGGTAAGACTATACATCCTTGTTTTGTTCCTAATCTTGGGGGAAAAGTTTTCAGTCTTTCAAGTGTAAGTTATTAATTGTAATGTTAGCTGTGGGTTTTTGTAAATGCCCTTTATCAGGTTGAGGAATTTTTCTTCTGTTCCTAGTTTGTTGTGTGTTTTTATCATGAAGTAGTGTTGCATGTTGTCAAATGCCTTTTCTGAATCTATTCAGATGATCACATGGCTTTTGTTTTTCATTCTATTGGTATGGTGTAATGTATATATTAATTGATTTTTCAGATGTTAAACTAAACTTACATTTCTAGAATAAACCCTGCTTGGTTATGGTGTACAATACTTTTAATATGTTATTAGTTTGCTAGTATGTTTTCTTATATTCATAAGAGATATTGGTCTGCAGTTTTCTTGTGATGCCTTTGTCTGGTTTTGGTATCACAGTAATACAGGCCTCATGTAATGAGTTAGGAATAGTTGTTCTACAATTTCTTAGAAAAGTTTGTGAAGGCTTGATACTAATTCTTTAAACATTTGGTAGAGTTACCAATGAAGACATCTGGGCCTGCATTTTCCTTAGTGTTTTTTGATTACTGATTCAATCTTCTTACTTATTATAGGTCTATTTAGATTATCTATTTTTTCTTGAGTCAGTTTCTGTAGTTTATGTCTCTTTAGTAATTTGCTTGTTTCATCTAAGTTATCTAATTTATTGGCATACAGTTGTTCACAGGATTTCCTGTGGTCCTTTTAATTTCTGTAAGATTTGTAGTAATGTCTTATTTTTGTTCTTGATTATAGTAATTTGAATTGTCTTTTTGCTTCATCAGTCTTGATAAAGATCTGACAATTTTCTTGATCTTTTTGAAGAACCTACTTTTGTTTTTGTTTCTTGTCTCTATTTTCTATTATTTATGTCACTAACGTCTGCTCTAATTGTTATTATTTCTTTCCTTCTGCTTGGTTTTACTATTCCCCCACCCCAGTATTTTAAAGTTATAAGGCTAAATTATTGATTTGAGATCTTCTTTTATAATGTAAACAATGGGATACATATAATGTACAAATTTATGGGATGCAGATAAATCAGTGCTGAGAGGGAAATTTTTACTTGTAAATTTCCCTCTAAGCACTGATTTATCTACAGCCCATCTGTTTTAGTACATAGTATCCCAATTTTTTATTCATCTCAAGGTATTTTCTATGATTTCTTATGAAATTTCCTTTGTGATTTCTTCTTTGACCTATTGGTTATTTAGAACTATGTTGTTTAATTTCCACATTTGTGAATTTTCCCAATTTTTCATTATTAATTCCTCTAATTTTTTCCATAGTGGTTGGAGAACATAGTGGTTTGCATGATTTCGGCCCTTTTAAATATGTTGATGCTTATTTATAGCTTAATATATGGTCTATCTTGGAGAAAGTTTCATATATGTTTGAAAGGAATGTGTGTACTGCTCTTGTTGGGTGGAGTATTCTATACTATCTGTTGGGTTAAGTTGGCTTATAACATTATTTAAGTCTTCTATTGTTTTGTTGATCTTCTGTCTGATGGTTCTATACGTTATTGAAAACGGAGTATTGAAGTCTTCAGTTATTGTTGATTTGTCTATTTCTCTCTCCAATTCTGTCAGTTCTTGCCACGTATATTTTGTGTTTGTATATATAGAATGGGATCTGGAAGAATTTGGTCTAAGTTGTTTTAGTGGTGATCTCTTAAGTAGTGGGAATGTGATACTCTTTTTTTTTTTTTGAGATGGAGTCTCGCTCTGTCACCCAGGCTGGAGTGCAGTGGCGTGATCTCGGCTCACTGCAAGCTCCGCCTCCCAGGTTCATGCCGTTCTCCTGCCTCAGCCTCCTGAGTAGCTGGGGACTACAGGTGCCTGCCACCACCCCCGGCTAATTTTTTTGTATTTTTAGTAGAGACGGGGTTTCACCATGTTTGCCAGGATGGTCTCGATCTCCTGACCTTGTGATCTGCCTGCATCGGCCTCCCAAAGTGCTGGGATTATAGGCATGAGCCACCGCGCCCGGCCACTGTAATTTTTCTTATGTATGTGTGTCCGTATTTTTTCTTAATTTCATGCATGTACTACTTATGTTTTCATAAAATATTGTGGGTTTTGTGTTTGTTTATTTTTTAAACACTAGATTTAGAATGTCTTGTTTTCAGTCCACAGTTCTGGTCCTGGCTTAATAATGTGAACTTGGGCAAGTTATTGACTTCTATAAACCTTGCAAAAAATTCAACTCTGAAACAGCACTGGTAACAGCACATCTCTATACAGTTATGTGAAGATTAGAGAGATAATACAAACTGCTTAGTGCTTAGCAAAAGTCTGTTGTGTAGTCATAGCTTTATAAATGTTAACTATTATTACTGTGCTTCAGTGTTACCAGCAAACATTTGAACATAGCTTTCATCTGAAAAACTGAGCCAATGCTTTGCTTAAAATCATGGCTTTGGGTCAAATGGAAGCATATTATATAGTGGGAAGTTCATGAATAAGATTCCTTTGATTCATAAGCTAAGGGCCATTCATTATGGTTTAAATGTAAACCAAGTAAAGGCCTTGAACCAAAGCTCACTCTGTTCCTAATGATCTGTGGGATCCAAACACATGCCAATGCATGCAAAGCTCTGATGAACTTGGGGCTTTATCCAAAGCATGCTTTCCTCTAGTACTCTTAATCATCATTCAGAGGTATAAATTTCACAAAAGGAATCTTACCACTACAAGGGCACTACTATTTACTACTCACACTACAGAGCTGCACCATCTGTCTCAAAACCACAATTTTATAAATTGCTTTTGATGATATATTGTAGGATTGCCCTGTATATGACATTCATGATGAAACCCTCCAGTGAGGCCTCTTCGGTTGAATCAAAATCAACATGTTAATGACGCCCACCTACCCCTAAAAAAGAAAAGAAAATGCTAACATCCACATTCTGCTTGATGAATCAAAGAAGCAGGGTGCAGATTCCGTAAGATGAATGTTTCTTTCTGCCAGATTGATATCCAGAAACTGTTAGTATTCCAGATCACCTTGAATTAAGTAATCTTAATTATCCACATGTCAGTGGAAGCCAGCAAGACTTGAATCAAGTTCAGAAGAATCATTGGCTCCACATCCCACCATTTACCCACCCTCCTTCCCCTAAGATGTCCCGGGAAACATCAAGAAAATATAATGCAGGGATATGTAGAAAAAATATAAAGAGGGCCCATTAAAGGTGAAGAATTGATAGTAAAGAAACCTGGTCGATCAATCAATCAAAAAATATCAATACCGTAAAAGAGACAATAGAGGCAATTTAATACTCCAACCTTAAAGAGAAAATGGAACGGTGCTCTTCTCTGTTTAATTAACACCAGTTGCTGTAACAGATACACCCAGAAATCTCTGTAGTTTAACCCAATAAAAATGTAGTTTTTGCTCCTGTCATAGTCTTTTGAAAGATTTCTTGGTCAGTAGCCTTCTGTGGGAATTTTCAGGGACCCAGGTTCCTTCCACATTGTATGGTCCTCACGAGCACTTATTAAGCACTTTGGTTTGGAAGAGGCTTCCATCACCATGGCTCACGTTCTGTGGGGAAGAAGTATACATTAACCCTACCTATATGTAAGCAGCTGGGAAATATGGTTCCTGTCTGGGAAGGCATTTACCAGCTACATCTCTATGCTGGAGAAGGAGAGCACAAATGTTGGGTGGTTGGCTAAACATCACTGCATCTCTTTCCTTCTTTTGTCACCTTTTTGGAGTAGACACTCCAAGTATGTGGGTGGTAGTGATGGTAAAATCTTTTGTGACATATCAATAATATAACTTTACAAGGCCCCATTGGTGGCATGGTTATTGACATCACCAAGAAGTACCCAATTTAATAAACATTTGTTAACACTCTAGTGTGTGCCAGGTTCTACTCACTGCTAAGGAAAAGATGAATGGACGTGGTCTGAAGGAAAAGTGGTGAGACAGACATATATGCATAATTAACATTAATTGAAGGTGAGATAAAAGTGCCAAAATTGAAGTATAAATAAAAAAGGCCTTAGTGGACTGCCAAGCAGGAGGGTATTAAATCTTGTACAGTGAGCAGAGAAACCTGATCTCTAGGCAAGGTTCTTTGTTTTCCAGAAGGGACCTACTCATGTTAACTCAAGTAAAGGAGGGATTGTTGAAAGAATATGAAGATCGCAGAAAATCAAAATGCATCCAGGCCTCATGAGAAAGGGGGCCTGAGGCAGATAAACTGCTGCAGAAGCAATCTCTGGTCCCTCTTTGTACCCTCTCTGTTTCCTCTACTCTCACTCAGCCCTACATGTTGCTCATCCTAGTTTGACAGGACCTTTTGAGTCTTGTATTCAGCCCCACTTGGCCTCTATTTCTCCTTTAGACATAAAGTTAGCAATCTAATTGGTTGCTAACTAGCTGATGGACAGGCTAGCCTTGGGTCAGCTGTTGCTGAGGGGCGTCAGTGTGAAAATGAAGGCACCACATGGCCTATCAGGCTGCCCCTTGCAGGGGTTTTGATAGGGGCAGGTAAGTTAACTGTCTAATATAGGGGGGCAAGTTTTAATTGGCTGTTAAAAGAGGTCCTGGATTTCAACTGGGGTTAAAGGCTAGAGAACAGTTCTGACTTAGATAGAGCATGAGCAAAGACAAGAAATAAGGAAAGTTCAAGTATATTTGGGGAATGACTAGGCACCTAGAGTGTCTGGAGTATAAGATCCACAGGACTGGTGGAGTTTAGAGTGGATTATTAAGTTATGAGGCCAGAGCTAGGGAGTTTAGAGTCTGTAGACAATGGGAAGAGCTTGAAGATGCTTACCAGGGAGATATACAAAAGATAAAAACCTCAATGCACACACAGTAGATGTTGGGAGTGTTCAGCATGGTTTCTTCATGGATAGCCTTTCATCCAGCATCTTAATGGTGACAAAAATCCTCTTATTAAGGAACCGGTCACTTAACAAGAGGAAACATGTATGGTAACAAGAAGGGGATCTCAAGCTTTGGAATCAGGCAGATGTGCAAATCTCAACTCTTCCACTTTCTAGCAGTATATCTTGGACAGGTTACTCAGCCTCTCTAAGCCTCAGTTTTCTCACCTGCAAAATGTGATTAATCTTCAGCCAGTTATATACTGGTATGGCATAATAACTGGAGGGGTTATGGATAAGTTAAGTGTCCATTAAATTGGCTGGGCATGGTGGTTCACGCCTGTAATCCCAGCACTTTGGGACGCCAAGATGGGTGGATCACCTGAGGTCAGGAGTTCAAGACCAGCCTGACCAACATGGTGAAACCCCGTCTCTTCTAGAAATACAAAAATTAGCTGGGTGCAGTAGCACATGCCTGTGATCCCAGCTACTTGGGAAGCTGAGGCAGGAGAATCACTTGAACCTGGGAGGCGGAGGTTGCAGTGAGCCAAGATTGCACCACTGCACTCCAGCCTGGGTGACAGAGCAAAACCCCATCTGAAAAAAAAAAAAAAAAAAAGTGTCCATTAAATTAATTGGTCAGGGCCAGTGTTGTATTTGTTGTAGAGTATAATATTTTGCATGTCATTCCACTTTTTAGGTTTGTATTAAGTTTAATTGGCATAAAGTTCATAAAATGCTTAGCAAGTGCCTGGCACATGGTAAATAGTCATTCCACACATTTTGTTTTTTCTTATCTATTTTTCCTTGAAAATTTCAAATCTCTAATATGAAGAGAGTTTGAGTCAAGGAGCCCTTGAACTGTTTAGTCATACAATGACTTTCTAAGGCACCTAAGCAGCCCCAGGCTGGCCTTGGGTCAGCCTTTTCAGCAGACAGGGAAGGAAGCTCCTCACTGTGCTTTTAGGGATGTAAGTCTTTTCAGTAATGGCTCTTGCTCAAAATGGTGCATGTTAATGCTGTAGATGCCCAGTCATCACTCCTGCATCCTCTGATGCCTGAACCAGTTACTGCCTTCTAAAACTTGGACGTGTTCCGCATTTAGATTCCTTAGTTTTGCAGTTGACAGAGGGCAAACTCATGGTTAGGTTTTATATAGGCGCTCATCATTACGATAATTAGCTGCCAAAGAAAGATCAGGAACATCCAGTGTCTCCTTTGTAAAGTACTTAGTATTAATTCCAGCCAAGAAAGAGAAAATGTAATAATCTGTGATAGGCCCCGGCTGCAAATAAAACAAAAATGTGGTCCTTCTAGAGCTACTCAACTTTACAGATTGAAAGGAATCCAATAACTTTGGATTTCCAAGCATGAGGATCTTTCTAGAATATTAAATCCATTGGCTTTTGAATCCATGGTGTCGTAACCGTGACAGTTTTGGGTGAGAAATGACCTACTGGGAACACCTGAAGCCAGTTTTTATGGAGGGATGTCTATTATTAATAGTATTACTTAGAAAGTATTGTGGTGTACTTTTTTTTTTTTTTTTTTTTTTTAACCCAAAGGGGTTTGGATATTCCCATTGCTACAGCTTAAATAATGCTGCCTGTGATGGTTAATATTGAATGTCAACTTGATTGAAGTATGCAAAGTATTGTTCCTGGGTGTGTCTGTGAGGGTGTTGCCAAAGGAGATTAACATTTGAGTCAGCGGACTGGGAGAGGCAGACCCACCCTCAGTCTGGGTGGGCACCATCTAATCAGCTACCAGAGTGGCTAGAAGAAAGCAGGCAGGACAAAATCCTGCTGTGCTGGTTGCTTCCTGCCCTTGAGCATCAGACTCCAAGTTCTTCAGCTTTTGGACTCTTGGACTTACACCAGTGGTTTGCCAGGGGCTCTCAGGCCTTTGGCCACAGACTGAAGTCTGCACTGTCAGCTTCCCTACTTTTAAGGTTTTGGGACTCAGACTGATCCACCACTGGCTTCCCTGCTCCTCAACTTGCAGACAGCCCATCATGGGATCCAGTTAGTTCTGTCCCTCTACAGAACCCTGATTAATACACTGCCCTTGTGTGTGGCATGAGCAAGATAAAAAATTTGAAAGATACTGCAAAAATATAAGCTGCCTTTCTTGTCACCTGTGACTCTTCCTACTGCTCTTAGGGCAGAGATGAATTGAGTGAGAGAACAAAGTTCAAGGTCAGAGAGATGCAGACCTGAGGACTCCTGGTGTCCCATGCAGACCCATCATCTTCCCTTTTTTCCTCTTTGTTTCATCTATATTTATTCTAAGTAAGAATTCTTTTTCTACTCCTTATCCCAAGCACAGAGCTCTCAGGGTCCCAAAGATCTGTAGCATGACTTTGTTTTTCTCAAGAATTGACTCGACTGTCCCAGCACATATGAGAAAATGTAAGACAAGGGACATGCAAAGCTCTAAAGAGGATCCAGACTGGACCAGACTGTTCCTTTATCACTCCAGTTAAAGGTTATCAGTTCCATGGTGAGGGAACTGGAGAATCATTTTCTTTTTTACATTGTAGTTTATTGTGTACACATGTGTAAAGTAAATGGAATCAAATTCTCATTACTGAATGTAGTTTAGTCATTCTTAGTAAGTCCTCTGTCTTCTTCATACTATCTCAAGTTGAGAAACAATTCAAGGATTGTTATTTGTGATTCCTGAGTCATTTACCTACCTAAGTAATTCAATGTTTTGGTGTCAAGAGTGAGAAAACCAGGCAAGACTGGTTGACAGGCTGATTGATTTGCTGGGTATATTTTGACATGAGTTTATGATTAGTACATTGAGATGACCAAAACCCACCATTTCTTGTTTCTGATTCTTCACCTCAGTGTTGGGGTTGGGTATAGTCAAGTGCAAATGCAAGGAACATGGAAGCACTAATTCCTAATATTCAAGAACAGTGTAATCTGTAATGCAGAACTATGCCGAAATGGCTTACAAAGCCCTTGCTCTTGAGGAGTTCCACAATGACCATTAAAGGTGCCTCTAAAATTTGTGCTGTCTCCTTTAGCTTCTCTTCTAGAAAGAAACTAAACTTTTTAATTGTGGCCTTCTAAAAAAGTTTGGAATCTTTTGTCCAATCTCTACTACTATAGTCTTGTCTGTAAATCTGGAAGAACATCATCAAATGTCCTCTGTTTTTGCCTTTAGCTCTTTTTCCCTACAGATTCCAGATTATGTTGTTCCACTTCCACTGGAAATGTTAGTATTAGAATGCTTCCTTATTCCACCTGCTAAAGCTGATTAAACTCTGTGATTGATTAACTGTGTGAAGTCCCACATAGTAAACTTTTTTTTTTTTTTTTAAAGACAAGGCCTCACCCAGATTGGAGTGCAGTGGCATCATCATGGCTCACTGCAACCTTGAACTCCTGGACTGAAGTGATCCTCCCCCTCAGCCTTCCAGGTACTGGGACTATCGGTGTGCACCATCATGCTTGACTAATCTTTTTTTTTTTTTTAATTTTTAGTAGAGACGAGGTCTCACTATGTTGCCCAGAGTTGTCTCAAATCCTCATGCTCAAGCAAACCTCCCACCTCACAAATTTTAAGATAGATGTGGAGGAGGTACTATCCTGAGGAATTTGAGTCAGTCAACATGATTTGCCGTTCATAAAGAATCCCTTTTCTGGTAACAATAGTTATTCTGGAAAACAATCATTTCATATATATATGTGTGTGTGTGTGTGTGTGTATATATATATATATATTTTTTTTTTGTACAAGCCACACTACTCCCAATATATTCAGGAATTATTTGTGTGGAGACAGAAATGTTAGCTCTTAACAATGAATTTTGATTCTTACAGAATGGTAAGGAAGATTGTATGTAACACATCCTGAATTGGCAAAATATGCCAAAGACATTGGCTTTTCCATAAAAAAAGTGGGAATAAAGTCTTAATATTCTATTGATTATTGGTTGTCGCATAGTTTTTTCCAATGGCAGAATTTCTTGATTACGTTATTCTGTGTTTGGAAACAAACAGCATGTTTAAATTATATAATCCCAGGCCTCTCCATAACAATTGAGTATTATTTGCCACACACAGATTGCAAAACATTATGCTATCTGGAAAGGGTCTGTACTTACCCCATCAGCCCTAACGGGTGATATTGTATCATTCCTACAAGGGTTTCAGTGGTCATTGGTGGGGACTGCAGGGAAGGACAGCTCCGTTCTTTCTGGAGCATCATTGTTTGACAGAGAGTGGAGGGCCAGGTGTATAAGATCACCAAGTAGTAGAAGGAGCAGCAGGCATGGGAATCACCTTAAGGGACATAAAGGGACAGGCTCTTTCCCTGTGTTGAGACATTACATAAGTGTCTGGATTCTGTAATGCCTAAAGGAGAGGCTCCTAAAATATGACACACCGCACCATGAGAGGGGGAGCTGGTGCCAGAATTAATTTAAAGATCAGCAAATTATTGGGATACTTCTTATTCCCAAGTATTACTGAGCAAATTCATACTTACTATACAAATTAAAATTTCTTTTTTAGAGAAGCTATACAACCTCTTGTTAGGCTAAGTATCACTGGGCATTCTCTTCCTTTTAGTTGTAAGTTTGTGCTGAAGAGTTCTTTATAAAAGATTCATTATTTCATCGTCTGTTTTTATAATTCATGAACACACTTCCATTAATTCTTATTGTAGTTTTCCAACTTTGTTAGTTCTCTTTGGACTTCCCTTTTAAAGTCGGCTTTAACAGCCCAAATTTTTGTGTTAATCTTTGTCTGTTGTTCAATAACTGGGGTCATTAATTCACTAATAGCATTGGAGAGGTGCTAAAGTTTTTCAAAACTGCAGATTGACCTAATTAATGTCTTTTCTGAATTGTGCTAATTCCCCCATTAACCACTCTGGGGCCTCTTAAAACTCCCCAGTCTCTGCCTGACAGACATCTATTCACAAGTGTTACATGCTTCGAACAGGTTGTGATTGCCTTGATTATGAGTAAAGTAGCAGTGTTTTTAAAATGTTTGCAGAAGCATTTTTTTTGTCATTTCCTTTTCGGATTAATCATTTATAACTCTTTAACACTTTGCCAACTTTTGATTGTCTTCCACTCTGATTTCCTGTACTTCCCAAGGTCTGCCCTACTACCACCACCCAATGGCTTCTATTTGTTGGTGACTGACAGAAAAGAGGATTAAGCATAGGCCTAGATCAGAACTATTTATCCTCTTAACCACACAAATTAAAGATAGTAATTGTTTTACAATGAGGAAAGTCTAAAGATTGGCCCCAGATTCACTGTATAGACTCTATTGTTCATTATTTAGAACCATGTATAGTAAACTCTATATAACAATGAATTGTGCTGTCATCTCCATTCTATATCTCCATACAGCTATAGTTACATCCGGGTCCTGGAGTGGGGGTACTGACCTGACCATGAGATTATCATTTGAGTGTGCAGAATGTAAGCATCACATAAGCAGCTGTTCTGGAAGAATGATGACTTAGGCTTATTTCTGGCTAGGTGGCTTCCAAGCTACACAAGTACATAGACAAAAATGCAAACCACCATTTCTTATTTTTTAGTATTGAGCATAGTCACAAAATGTGAATTAGTTTTTATATATGACATGTTTCCCCCTACATGGGATAGTCAATTCTGCACTGACAGCTAAGGACTAAAATTAAAATGTAAAAGAAAACATACAAATCTAGTTCAACAAAAGTCAGATGCACATTTGGTGATCTATTTGATAAATCTTCTAAATTGGATGATGATCAGTAACTCCTTAGTCCCTGTTCCTTGCCCTCTTTTTCAGACCACTGTATTAATCATGAGTTTCTGGTCCTTTGACATCTGAAGCCTTCCTGACCCTGAAGAGTGATCCTTTCAGAGCTAGCCAATTCCTAGAACTAGTAAATGACTGGCTTGTGAGCATGTCTTTTGAATGCAAACAAACCAATCCAGAGCCCAAATGTCCAACCACTTCCTATATTGAACTCTCACATTCCAGGCCACTTTTCCCCTTCCTACTTTCATCCCAAGGCCAGGTACCTACACCCCAGGGCCTGCTGAAATTATTCAAACTCACCAATCCTAAACCTGCTTACCTTGCCTTATCCATTGCTTCCTGTAGATGCCACAGTAAAGGCTCTTGTCTGTACTTTTGTCTTGCTCCTGCCTCCTGATCCACTCTGGTGCTTCCCCTTGTGGCGCCTGTGGCCCCTGTGTGTCTTGTGTTGTTGAAAACCATGGAAGAAGCAAACAAAATGGTCTGAGGGGTGCCTTCTATTCAATTTCAGTTCAAGTACAGTAGTCGCCCTTGCCTGTGACTGCTTATGCATTATAAGCCTAAATCGGGACCTGTGAAAATAACAGTTGTCTTTACAATGGCAGTTGTCTCCTGATCTATTTGCCTCACCATATTTGAGTAATAATAAAGCCTACATTTTAAAATAAGCATTTATTACCTTTAAAAACAATATATAAATGATTTATCGTGTTAATTTTCACTGTCCAACTTCCTCCCTCTCTGCCCTACGTCTACTAGAATAAGTGTTTGGAGGGCAGGCATTTTTTTCTCTTTTGTTTACTGGAAAATTCTAAGGGCCTAGAATGGTGTCTGGCACATAGTATGTGCTCAGTAAGTATGTGTTGAATTGAATTAATTACTTACTTGATTTACTTTGCTATCTTTTTTCCAAAGCCACTCTGTAGAGACTTGCTGAGTAATGTCACTGTGAAGCCAGAATCAGAGCAAAAAAATGTGTAACTCGTGTTATTGACACACATGGAAGAAGCAAACAGAATGGTCTGAAGGGTGTCTTCTGTTTAATTTCAGTTCACAGTACAGTAGTCACCCTTGCCTGTGACTGCTTATCTGTTATAAGCCCAGATTCTGGCTCTGACAACAGGCTAGGTAGGAATTGTGAACAAGACATGTCACTTCTGTCTCTTGGTTTGTTCATTTGTAAATTGAGGGGATAGACTAGATCAGCAAACATTTACTGTGCTAAATAATTTTCATGAATGTTTCCATTCAGTAATACAAAGCCGATAATCACTATTATCTTCATTTTAAAAATGAAGAAACTGAGGCTCAGATAAATTACATAAATTGCCAAAGTCACAGTTTGCAAGTGAGAAATTAAGATTTCAGCACTTGAAATCTTGTATATATCCCCCCAAGCTATGTTCTCTTTCTCTCTCTCTCAACTATTTTTTAAATAATAATATATTCAGAAAAGTGCACAGATTATAAATGCATGCTGCAGTAAACTATCACAAAATGATTCCATGTGTGAAAACACCACTTTTATCAAGAAATTTAAAAATCACAGAAGCACTGTCTCCTGAATGCTGTCTCAATCACTCTCCCTTCCATCTTCCCCAAAGGTAACCACTAGCTTAAATTCTGAAATCAGTTTAGTTTTGCCTACTTTTGAAATTCATAAAATGTATTCCTACAGTTATATTCTTTTGTGTCTGGTTCTTTTGCTTTTTTTTTTGGTTTGTTTGTGAAATTCACTAGTTTTGTTGCCTGTAAATGTAGTTTGTCATTTGATTTCCCATTGTGTGACTATATTACAATATCTTTATACATTCTTCTATTGTTGAATGTCTGAGATGTTTCTAGTTTGGGTCTATTATGACTAATGCTACTGTGAGCATTCTTTTGTACATGTGCATGTTCACTTGGGTATATACCTAGGAATGAAATTGCTGGGTCCAACAGTATCTTCAACTTTAGTCTCCTACCAGCCGTGTATGAAAGTCCCAGTTGTTTCACATGTTTATTCCAGTTGGTATTGTCAACCATTTTCCCTTTTGTGTCTTCTACTGGGTAGTGGTATTTGCTTAGATTTGAATTTGCGTTTTCCTAATGACTAATGAGATAGAGCACTTTTTTTTATATTCATTAGCCATTAGAGATTCTCTTTTTCAAAGTGTATCTTCAAGTTCCTTCACCATTTTTCTACTGAATTGGCTGTATTTTTCCTACTGACTTGCAGACATCTTTGTAAATCCTGGATAGAGTTGGTTGTATGTATTATAAATATCTTTTCCCACTGCAGTACTGTTACCTTGTCACTTGGCTAGTGATGTCAATACTGAAACTAATTTTAGTGCCCCAATGTTGGGCAGACATAAGCTGACTTAATATTTACTATTTTGTATTTTTCTGGTATATAATTACTAGGTATATCAAACTTCTCAAAGTAATTCTGAGTTGATTTCCTCAAGGTTCTTTTTTTTGGGGGGTGGGGGGAGGTGTAAAGCTTTCTTAATATGCATATGGGCTTTACAGGGACTAAAAAACACTCCTTGGGATTCAAGTTTTGCTAAATGTAGTGAAAGAAAAGCATGTGAATTCAGTGCCTTTTAAATAGAAAGTCCTTAGCTACTAATACCAATGCTATTGCTGACCCCCATTTTACCTCTGATCTTCATCCTCATCCTGATCCTCTCTCTGTCTCTACCTCCTCAGATCCTCAAATTGTATTTAAATTGTATTTAAATTGTATTTAAGGATAAATTGAAGGTAGGGATTATAGTATCAAGGATGACATGAGTGCTTTAATGAAGGACGGTTTTAAATATATTGCATGGTACTTTTAAAAACTAAAAGAGCAGTTTGTTTAGGTGTAATGTCAAATGATTTGCTTTTATCTTTCAAAATGGTAGCAATAACTCCACAGCATAGACAAGATGTGGAGATGGAAAGCTGTGCACTGTAACACTGCTGCTAGACCCAGAGGCTCTGTGGCGTCACTCCAGAGTGACATCATGCCATAGGGCTTATTGAAGGCAATCTACTTGCACTTGCAGCGTTTGAAATTTTGGTCTATTCATACAGATGTCCCTTATTTTATGGTGGTACAGATTGGTATGTGGTATACCAGAATATGTGTTACTTAAAGCAAAGTCTCTTCCTGCCCATGCTGTGTAGAGGCAGCTGACACGAAGAAAGGGGTACACAGTTATCTTGGTCAGTCAAGAATAGACCTGGGAGGCTGAGGAGGGAGGATCACTTGAGCCTGGGAGGTAGAGGTTGCAGTGAGCTGAGTTTGAGCCACTGCACTCCAACCTGGCGATAGAGCCAGACCCCGTCACACACACTCACTCACTCACACACATTAGACTTGTCAATGCAACTAATGTCGTAATTTATTATCTCCATGCAGAAGCTGGTCGAAAAACCAAAATCACAGAAAGTTTTAAAGCTCAAATTACTTTAGATGATCTGCTTCAGAGATTTTAAACCTAGGATTCTTCAATAGGCTTCTGTTGATTTACTCCTGAAATTGATTCCCACAGGTCTTGTGTATGTGTGTACATGTATCTTTCTGAGGAGGGGGTCCACAGCTTTCAGAAGATTCCCAACATTTGTGATGAACTGATCAAGTTTAACACCTCCTCTTGTGCAGATGAGAAAGCTGACTGACTTAAGGTGCCACATTTAATGACTGGCAGAATCAGAACCAGATGCCATTGTTCCTGATTCCTGGACAAGCACTTCAGCCAGAACTAAAGATTACAAGGTTAAAAGTGGGAAATTGGATAGGGAGCTATCTGGCAGTCTCTATTAATGGGATTAGACTTTTTTCTATCAAAACTCACTTTCAATTATAATAAGAGGATTCAGTGGAAATATGGGATTCAATATACAAAACATTGCTTTATTTCCAAGGCATCCATTTATTTTGTAACTTGGGGGCAGTCTATAATTAGAGTTAACGGTAGTTCTGATTAATAAATTCTATCTGCTCTCATACTGTGCTAGAGTTCCTTCTGAGTGCTGGGACATGTTTTATTAACATGGAAAGGCTGTTGCAGCTCACCTCTTGTCACTTGAATCAGTTGCCTGCTGGCCTGGCACTCAGTTTTGTGTGGCAGAACCTTACTGAGCCTGAATGATAATGGACCTTTTAAATCCTAAGCAATAAACATTCATTTTACCACTCCACCCAGCACAGAAATGCTCTCTAACCTCAAATCAGCCACAAATAAGACTTGGAAATCAATTCATTGTGCATAGGCTTCCTGCCTGCTTCATGTTTTGCAGCAAATAATTTTAGCAAAGTGTCTGCTGAGCATGTGTGTTTTGAGTATGCAAAAGTTGAGATATTATGTATAATGGGGTATTCAACCCTTTTGTGACATTTCTGTTTTTATCCATAGAACACATTCTATTGAGCAAAGCTAATTTTTATGCGTTGGTAACTAGAATGAGAAAGGCTCTAAGTGGGTTTCAGGGGAGGAAAAATCCCTCAAATTCCCACTTTAGTGATTCTCCCTAAGTTTTGGGGGGAATTCTCAGCATCCCAAAGTCCTCTGGTTATTTCAAAAATTACATTTCATAGAAAATCAATTTATTATATTTGTGCTTGTCACATTCATTAGAATATTCTCATGCATAAGATATCAGTTGCTGGAAGAGCCTGTAGGAGTGCATTTAGCCCTGAAGAGGAATATCTTGTTAGGTTGAGACAGAAGATCAAATGGATATGTCTCAAATTCCCTTCTGCTGGGGTTTGAAGTTTGAGGCAGACTTTCTTCCTCATATCTCGTAGGTCAGAGTTCCTCTAGAGTTCCTCCAGAGTTCCATTATTTCATCATGCTCTGGTGCTCCTGGGAGCTTCCAATTTCTCAAAATTCATGAGAACTCAAGGCCAGAAGGAGCAAGTCACAAATGTTTTCAGTTAGAGGACCACTCAGGGAGGCAAAGAACCCTGTCCCAACTAATGCTACTGGAATCACTCCCCCTCTCCCTCCACCACCCCAAAAGTACTGCAATTAGTGGCAAAACTGATGCTGCTTTTGGGAATTTCAAGGAGCTGATGTGTGTTTTTCATTAACATAAAAAAATTAGTAACTGATGCCAGAAACTGAAGCACTGGCTCTCTTAAACTACAATATAAACCTGAATGTGCAGAAGACCAACCCAAGACAACATGAGGGTCCTCTTGGGCCACACTCAGATGGATGTCTTGAAGTAGGGATGTGTGGGGCAGCCACAGAAGATCAACTAAACTCTTCAATGATATTCATTTATTCTCTCTTTCTCTCCACACATTTGCTTTCCAGTAAGGTTTTCCCCTCATTTTAATCATACATTCTGATTAAAAATGGGGACCTCTCCAACTTCATTGTATGCCTTTTATTTTATGTTTCAAGCACTCATCTTGAAAAAAGAGAGAGCATGTGCCAAGGCTATTGTAAGGTACTGATTCTATTTTAAAATCACTGCAGTGTATTTGAGATAGAGGCATGATACGATGATCTCCCTTATTGCAGTCATGATTAAACATAATGAGTAGGATCAGCCTGCAAGCTTATCACTATTCTATGTTGTAAAATTGCCCAAGAGTAAAATGCAAATACAAACAAGGAGTTTTAATGAGCCAATGTAATAAAAGATCCAGGCAACAGGAAACTGGTGGCTGTGCTTTGTTTCGCCCCTTCCCAATGGGTGGCTTGAATCAGCCTCCTTTAGAGCAAGTCTGAGTTGGGTCAAGTCAGTTTCCAAATATAAAATTTAACATATTGCAGGTTAGCTCTAAACAGTATTATTCATTTACAAAGAACATTTTCTCATTTTCATTCACGTGAGAGAGATAACACTGAACTCTCCTGCAAGATACAAAAAGAAGCAAGGACAATTTCCTCAAAATACCTTTTCTTAGGTGAGTTAGTGTAAATATTTTGGCCATTTTAATTGACTATACCTGATAGTGCTGGGTTAAGAAAAAGGTCATTAGGGATCATTAGAACTAGAATTCTCTACCATTCTATAATCATGCTCTAATTGAGGTATATACTAAGTCATCATCACAAACTAAAGTTTATGTTTTAACAATAGAAATAATCTAATGGTCAGATTGCAATTCATTTCAACTGTATCTGTGCAGCACAGCAAAGGCCCTTTGGCTTTCTTCTCCTTGAATCTACATATTTCTGCCTGCATATAAATATTCTAAAAGTACCAAAGATAGACCCCCGTAAATAAAGCATTTAGGTTAATTCTAGCACACGATGAGTTTTCCTTTTTGATTTTTTGCACAAGAACTGGTTGTTAATTTTAGACTTTGGCAAGATGGAAGGTGGGGGTGATGTGAGTCTATTTCACCTTAAGTTATATCACTGAGGCACTATGCTGCTGATTAAGGTTCTGTGATGGGTAAGGATGAGTATTCACTTTTGCTGACAAGGGGATGTTCTGTGTGTAACATGTTTGCAAGGGTTTTGCAGTGCAGCACTGGATGTCCTCAATAGTGGGAAACCTTCATATGGCCTTTTCTGGTGAGCTTGTCAAAGGATGCACACATATTAGACATTCAGATTCCAGTGGGAAATAGGGAAGCCAGGATAGAAACTGTCTTGCCTCACTGTGACATTTTAACTTTTGGAAAAAGAAGTTGCTTTCTAGTGTTGTTCGTGATTTTTTGTTTGTTTGTTTAACTTGGGTGCACATCTTGAAATTTTTGGATTTTTACCACATCCTCTCTTGTGTCTACACTTTCTTCAGACAGAAACATGATTCAGTGAGGATGCATTTATCTTTGTGATTGCAGAGCCTCTGTCCAGGTTGACCAGAGCTCTTACCAAAAATAGATTCCAACATGTGAGAGCAGTAAAGTAAGTCACCATCTTTGTAGGTACCACTCATCTCACTACCACTCTTGGGGAACAAATATGTAATTTAGAAGGATTTTCTTCTTGTTATGAAGCCAATAATATAATTACCACTTGATAATTTAAGGAGTGCCAACTCTTTAATGACATTTAGTAAGCACTCAATTGCTTTAGAGGGCATAGACATTGTGTCACCTGCAATTCATTAGAAGGTCACAAGCTATTGTCAAAATCTGGGCCTGTTTGAGCTCCCTGCAGTGATTTGATAACATTGTGTTCTGTCTGTGGAGGTTCCAGGGTTTGAGGGTTTTCTGGAATCCCCACTTCCTGGGAACAGGGTGCTGAAGATCGACTATGAATTGGGAAATTTGAATGGAATAAAAAAGCGGCTTTTATTTTAAAGAGATGCCCTTTGAAGCTCTGGAGGGCCCAAACCGACTGGCTTTCAAAACATGTTGACTTGGCCTCCCTGTTCAAATTTGATAAATGATCTTCTGTTTCTAATTCTTGATTTAAAAAAATTTTTGTTGTTCAATGATCTTTCAACCTTATGAATGTGCCAGAAAGTTAAAAAATGTTAAAGGACTATTTTACCTGCTGAAAAGGTACATATTTTGAAGGGGAGGATGGTTAAAGGATATACAATACACATGAAGGAAGAAAAACATCTTTGTAATACTAAAAACAACTAAGAATCTGCAAAAATCTCACCGTTATCAAATTTAGATTAGATTAGATTTTCACAGGGCTTAGGTGGAGATGTAAAGGTCTTGTCAGAGAAAATGTGACACACCCATAAGAGTGACAGCTATTACCTTTTAGCTTATTTCACCTTCTCTCTCAGTTCCCTCAAAATGCACCACTGAAAGTTGTAAGGCACACACACACAGATAGCATATATAAAGAGTCACACATGTCCTAAAATGTTGACAGGTGTCTGCAATACTCATCATTGGAGATAGCTTACTGCTGAAGTTAAAGTACAATATTGAGATTGATAAAGACAGAGATGGGGGAGACTGAGCTAGTTCATGTAACAGCTGCAATCATTCCCAAATGTTTTTCTGCATAATCATGCAAGAAATTCATCATGCATTTCCTATTAAATATTCATGCAACTTGCTCCATAGGAGGGCTGTGGTATTTATTAATTCCCTGGTGTTGGTAGGTTTTGGTACATCTACTGCCAGAAATAAATGTGTCATGCCTAGCAAATTCAGTTCTTGGCAGAAAATATTAGAATATGGTACTTGCTTACAGGATATTGCAAGCTTTAATTATGTCTAAATGATTTTCAAGACTACCTTGGAATAAGTAATTGGTTCCTTTTGTTTTTAGATGAAAGCAAGGGTCTGGTGGAGAGAGGTGGAGATTGAATGGGTACATAGAAGCATTTCACTTTAAGTACCCTGTCTTTAAGAGAGGTGATCCACTTCTACCACATATTAGTAATTACCGAAAAAAGAAGTTGGGTCTAATCATCATCAGCAAGTGAAGTCATCTACTGTTTCATGCTGTTGAAATTTCTTTACCCTAAGACTTTATTAGTTTAAAGGATGAAAGAGAAAATAAAAACTAATTATCAAAATTGGTCCTCTAAATTTGTCAGCACGTAACATTACAAATCCCAAAGCTGTTGTTTACCAACATAGATTGACAGAAATCCAAATGAGGCTTTTCTTAGTCCATTTGGGCTGCTATAACACAATATCATAAGCTTGGTAGCTTATAAACAACAGAAATTTGTTTTTTGCCCTTCTAGAGGCTGGGAAGTCTGTTGAGTGCCTGCTTTCTGGTTCATAGTTGATGTCTTCTTGTTGTGTCTTCACAAGGTGGAAGTGGTGGGCTCGCTTTCTGGGTCTCATTTTTATAAGGGTGCTAATCCCAATCATAAGGTCTCTGTCCTCAAGTCCTAATCACTTCCCAAAGACCTCACCTCTCACTACCATCACTTTGGGGCTTGAGATTTCCATGCATAAATTTTAAAGGGACAGAAACATTCACACCATAGCAAGGCTGATAGCTTGCCTTCCAGAATACTTTAATATGGACAGACATGGGGTAAGGTGGCTTTTTAAAAGTAAAACACTTAAATGATGACTATTTTGTGAGTCACGCAAAGCTTGAAACCACAGGAAATAAGATGGAAGTAGAGGACACAGGCCCTCTCTTAAAGTGCTTACAATCTAACTAGGGGAGAAAGACATTCATCCAATGAACAGCTAGAGAAACAAACATTTGATATTGTAGGACTGACTGTATACATAACACATGTCATGTTTACCTTTCCAAAACTCTTAAATAAATATTTATTTTTCATGACAGTTCTGTCAAGAAGGGAAGATAATGTCCTCACTTTTTAAGCAGAAAAAATTCAATGGCTGGCCTATGTTTTTCAGCACTTAAATGAAGAGTCATGGTTACAACCAACTATACTGCCTCTTGGACACACTGAGGTAAAACATGACCCAGGAAACCCCCCAAAGGATGTATGTTCCAGCAGTCCTTTTTTTGTTCCTTAACAAGGGCTCCCCAGAACTCATTAAAAAAAATGATGGATTTTTGCTTCTGGTTATGTTGAAGTAGTAGCAACAAACCACTCTTTAGCCCAAAACAACTAGAAAAGCTAGATGAAACAAAAACAATTAATTTCATGGCATTGGAGAGCTACTGAAGCAACCAAGGCTGAGGGGAGGAGGAATATTCAAAAAAGGAGCAACCTCAGAGATTGCAGCCAATAGTCTGCATCTGTTTATTTTACCCTGGAGAATGGGGCAGAGGCTGAAAATCTGAAATTTGCCTCCAAGAGGGAAGGCCACTGCTGGGGGGACAGTAAAACCAGCAGAGAATTTTGCAGTGGTGAGAGGGAAAGTGGGGTGGCTAAGAAAGCATGGGGCAGAACACTGAGATGGACACATAGTCAATACATAGAGCTCAATGCATTTGCTAAAAATTTAAAGCTGTGGTTCAGAAGGGTAAGAAGCTAAGCAGAAAGCCTACAAAAAAACATAAAAGATTTCAGCAGTCCTGCCATGCTGAAACACAAGGATAAAAGTTCAGGACCTATCCAGGAGTGAAGTAAACCAGAGGCAGACTTAGTCATACAAAATTGCAGTCAGCCTTGATCAAATTAGGTTGATCAGTTTCTAACCTTTCCAGCACAGGAAAGACAAACTTTTTCTAGATGAAGTTAACATTATATGGTGCTTCTGTTCTGTGTGTGTGTGAGTGTGTGTACACCTGTATACACACATATATTGTCTAGTGTTCACTAAACTAGACAACTAGGTATGCCAAGAGATAGGATCATATGACCAACAATAAGAGAAAAAAATAGAGAATGTAAATACACCTATGGTTGATTCAGATATTGACATTAACACACAAGGATCTTAACTATCATTAGGATGCTAAAGAAAGTAGAGAAAGGGAAGGAAAATAGGAATCAAGATGGAAAATTTTACCAAAGAATTAGAATTTACTAAAAAAGAATTAAATGGAAATTTTAGAAATAAAAAATAAGACGCAATAGATGAGTTTCACAGCTGAATAGATTGAGCAGAAGACATGATTAGTGCACTGGAAGACAAGTCAATAGAAAAATAAATTGCAGCACAGAGAAAAAAAGAATTGGCCAGGTGTGGTGGCTTATACCTGTAATCTCAGCACTTTGGGAGGCTGAGTGAATTGCTTGAGTCCAGAAGTTTGAGACAAGCCTTGGCAACATAAGGAGACCCTGTCTCCACAAAAAAAATACAAAAATTAGCCTGGCATGGTAGTGTGTGCCTGTAATCCCAGCTACTAAGAAGGCTGAGGTGGGAGGATTATCTGATCCTGTGGAGGTCGAGGCTGCAGTGAGCTGTGGTGATGCCACTGTATCCCAGCTTGGTGACAGAGTGAGACCTTGTCTTAAAAAAAAAAAAGTATAGAAAAGAACATTAGAGATACATGGAAAACAGTTAACATTTTATATCACATATGTCAATTGAGTACATAGAAAAGGTGAGTGCACAAGCAACATTAGAAGATAATTAGTAAAATTTTTTCCTAAACTGATGAACCAAAAGGTTTAGGAAGTGCCTCAAACACAAACAGGATAAATAAAAGAAAAATAACCAAGTCATATCACATTAAAAGCTGTTGAAAACCAAAGACAATGAGATTAATTTTAAAGCAACAAAAATAAGTTAATTGTCTTCAAAGGAACAACAAAAAGAATTTGAACCTGACTTATCACAGAAATGATGAAAGCCATGAGACAATAGAATGGCATCTTAAAGTGATGGAAAAAAGTATCTGCTGTGAAAGGAAAATACAATCTTGGGACCCCAAATGCACTATGTAAACGGGAAAAAGTTAAGTTTGGGAACTGAGTCATGCAAACAAAACAAAAACAAAAAAACCCAACAAAAAACTGCCTGCTTTTGTTCCCAAACAGACAGCTGTAATTTCACATGCTTACTTGACCTTATGTAAAGTGTAGAGTTACTAAGCATGAGACAATGCATAATTGAATTTCCCCCCACTCCCGTATTTTCACATGTGAAATATAGATTCAGTTAGCACCAAAGCCTCACAAAAATGTAACCACTTGGGTCTTTGCCTACCCTCCCCTCTTTTTTTCTTTCCTCTCTCTCCTCTTGCCCACTCTTTCCCCTTTAAATACTGAAGTCCTCAAAACCATCTTGGAAAAAATTCACAGATTATAGATCTTGCATTTCTAAAGTAACTTGCGTTTCTAAAGTAACTGGCATTTCTTTTTCCCAGGTACATCCTCCACCTTGGCAAAATAAACCTCTAAATCGATTGAGATATGTCTCACTTTTTGGTTTATATTGCCAACATAGAATTCTATGCCCAGCAAAAACATTCTTCAAAAACAAATTGAAATAAAGATATATTTAGAGGAACACAAACTAAGAGAATTTTTTGCTAGAAGACCTTCACTAAAAATAATCTAAAGGAAGTACTTTAATCCAAAGAAAAATCACTGCAGATAGAAAAACAGAAACTCAAGAGGGAATGAAGAACATCAGAAGAGGTAAATATGCAAGTAAATCTAAACAAGTCTTGATTGTTAAAAACCATTAACATTAATATCTATTGGGCTTATAATATACAGAGAAATTTAAAAAAATCATGTAAAAGGTAGGAGGGGCTAGGTAGAGTTAGAGTGACCTAAAGTCTAGTGTTCTCTGGGAAGTGGTGAAAGAAATAATTTGATCTTATTATAGTAAGCCAAGGATGCATTCTGTAATCTCTAGGATAATCCTGAAAAAATATTTAGAAGAAAGTATAAATACAAGGTAATAGGGAGGAGAATGAAATAACAACAAAAATATTTAATTAATAAAAAAACAAGAATGAAGGAAAAAGTATAAAATAGGCAGGTCATATAGAAAACAAACAGAAAAATGGTAACTATAAAGCCCAATTTATCACAATTATATTAGATAAAAATGGATTAAGAATTACCATTGAACATTTAAGAATTTATGACTTGATTTAAAAAACCTCAATGTTCTAATTAAAAATGGTATGCCTAAAATGTAAGGACACGGAAAGTTTAAAAGAATGATAAAAGGTATACCATGTAAATACTAACCAGAGAAAAGGTACACGTTTCAGACACTTACCTGAAGGTAAGAAGTGTTAAAATCGATGGAAAGATATTTTGTAATGATAAAGGAGTAGGTACACCAGGAAAATATTATAATTCTAAATCTATAGCCACCCAATAATATAGTTTCAAAGTGTATAAAGCAAAAGATAATGGAAGTAAAAGAGGAATCAAATCCACAATCATACTTGGGGACTTTACTCACCTTTCTTAATAGGTGATGGGTTAGACAAAAGAATCAGTAAGGTTACAGAAGATCTGAAAAATAAAATTAACCTACTCTAGTTAATGTTTATGTATAAAACAATGCACCCAGCAATGTCAGAATACTAATTTTTTCAAGTACTAATGGAACATTTGCCAAAATTGTCCATATGCTAGGTCATAAAGCAAGCCTCAATGGATTTTAAAAATTCAGTCCTTCAGAGTATGTTCCCTGACCATGGTGGAATTGCCCTAGAAACCAATTAACTAGAAAATTCCCAACTTTTTGAAAATTAAACAATGTACTTCTAAGTCACATGCAGAAATTAGAAAATACTGTATACTGGATGATGAAGTAGATACAATTTGTTAAAACTGATGTGATACAACTAAAGTGCTTAAAGGCATGTAGTAGGAAGGAAGACAGAAAAGGAATAAGCTAAGCTTTCATTTCAAGAAACTAGAAAAAGAACAGCAATCACAAATAAAACAGAAGAAAAATTACAAAGATAAAACAAGTAGTCAACAAAATAGAAAACAGTTACAATAGAAAAAAATTTCAACAAAGCTAAAATTTGAAAAGATTAATAAAACTGATAAAACTCTAGCAAGACCATTCATGAAAAAGGAAAGATACAAATTAATATCAAGAATGAAAAGTGGGCACTGCTACAGGTCATATAGATATTAAAGAAAACTGGATTATTATAGACAACTTTATGCCAATGAATTTGGCAACTTAGAGGAAATCGACAAATTTCTAAAAAACCTTTAATTCACTTTGTTATTAAGGATCTTTTTATTTTATCAAAGAAATCAGATCCATTATTAAAAACCTTTTCACAAAGAAAACCCTAGGGTCATGTTACTTCACTGATGAATTATTCTAAACATTTTAGGAATAAATAATACCCACCTTACATAAACGCTTCTAGAGTGCACAAAAAGAGATACTTTTCAACTTGTTTGATGGGGTCAGTGTAAACCTGCTACTAAAGCCTAAAAAGGAGTTTACAAGACAAATTACAAGTCAATCTCTTTAATGAACTTAGAAGCAAAAATCCTAAACAAAACTGTAAATCAAATCCAGTAATATATAAAATGAATAGTCAGTAGAAGCAAGTAGAGTTTATTCCAAGAATTTCGGAGTTTATTTGAGAAAAATGCAGGCAGCCCAATAGAAAATGGAGATTTACATGGACACTTCATAAAGGTAGATGCCTGAATTATCCTAAAGATATAGAAAGGTGCTTAACTTCATTGAACTTCAGGGAAATGCAAATGGATTAAAACCATAATAATATATAGTATGCACCCAGATTTGAAGTAATTGTTGTGTGACTGTAAATTGGTATAATTATCTTGGAAAATTATTTGGCAATATCTACTAAAGATAATCCAGCAGTTCTAGTCCTGGCTCTATATATAACAGAAGTGCAATTACATGTTCACCAAAAAATATACACAAGATTGTTCATAGCCCACAGTTTATCATAGCACCAAATGAGAAATAAACCAAATATCCATCAAAAGTAGACTAGATAAATTATGGTGTATTTGTAAAATGGCATGGCATATAGCAATGAAAATGAATAAACTCCTGCCACAGCAACACGAATGAATCTCATAAACAAAATGTTGAACTAAAGAAGAGAGTCAAAGAAGAGTACATAATACATGAATTCATTTACATGAATTTCAAAAACAAGCAAAACTAATATATGGTATTAGAAGTAATGAGAGTGGTTTTCCGTTAGAGTTAGTGACTAAAAGTGGACATGAGATGTTTCTAGGGTGGTGGTAATTTTCTGTTTCTTGATGTGCTGAATATATGGGTGTCTTCACCCTTCATGCTTGAGATTTGTGCGCTGTTTTGTATTATATTTGTTATACTTTATCAGAAAGTTTACTTTTGTATAAGGAACCTCTTAGGTAAATTGTTGAATGTGCTTCAGCCAAGGTACTGAAGAGCAATTCCTTCATCTGACTTAGGAGACTCTTTGCCAATAAGGACAACAACGGAAGATGGGTGGCAAACGTTCTTTTTCTTTACACAGATCTCCTGTGCATCCACAGGCATATGAAAAGGAGGGAGTGTGAAGCAGGTGAGAAAGAAAATTCCAGATAAATGGAAGATTGGTGTTATTGGGAAGAAAAGGTTTAAAATAGAGGCCTTCTGGATGAGGTTAGGGCTCTGCTCAAAGAGGTAGTAAGAATTTATCCTGTTTGCTGTTAGAGCTTGTGACAGATAGAGATGCCCCTGAGGTGTGGGGGATGGGAACATTTCTTCAAAGCTGTCATGGGAGTTGGTTGAAATCACCCACCACATGGTGGATGGGAGATGGGCAGATAATCTTCACTCAGATCTAAACATGGATTATTTGTGCATATCCCATCCACCTTCCACTAGGGAGATTGTGTCTTCCCTAGGAGATGGAGAGCTAATTTAGTTGTTCTGCTATTTCGGCTTTCCAAGTACTCTTGTTTTTCAGGCCTGGCAGGAAGTGCTCATCAGATTCTAAAGGAAAGCCCAAATTCCACCTTGAAGAATAACAAGCTTTTGTAACATTTAAGCATCAGGTGAATTTTCACTGTTTACTTATGTTTTTCTCTAATTAGAATTCTGATGTTTTTTGGATGTGTGTGATTTTGGAGTGCATGTGTATGTGTGTGTGTTCATATATACTCTGCTAACAAGATACTAATTTTCTAGTCCTTTGATCATAAAAAGTTCTTAATGTATATAAGGTACAAAGTCTAAGTTTCCTTGATTTTTAAATCAATTTGTTTATTTATTTAGTGAGACGGAGTCTTGCTCTGTCACCAGGCTGGAGTGCAGTGGCGCCATCTCAGCTCACTGCAATGTCTGCCTCCTGGGTTCAAACAATTCTCCTGCCTCAGCCTCCTGAGTAGCTGGGATTACAGGCATGGACCACCACACCCAGCTAATTTTTGTATTTTTAGTAGAGATGGGGTTTCACCATGTTGGCCAGGACTGTCTCCATCTACTGACCTCGTGATCTGCCCACCTCGGCCTCCCAAAATGCTGGAATTACAGGTGTGAGCCACCGTGCCCGGCCTTTTTTGTCAATTTAAATCTTGTTTCTACTTATGTAAGTCTAATGAAAGTCATTGTTAGCCTCCTATAGAAACAAATAATGAAATGAATAAGCATGTTTTCCTGTAGCAAACAAATATAAGCTTATCTAGGTCTGATACTGATGGTTATATGTTGCTAATACACACTTAAATGACCTGCATCACTGTATTAGAAAAATCAATTAAAAAATATAACCAAAGATGAAAGGCAAACCGCTCAAGACAGTTTATGGTTTAGCTCTCAGAAAATTGTCAATGCTTGGCTGCATTAGATTAGAAAAATCTCTTTTGTAATGTTTAGCTGAAAAAATAATGCATTGTAACAATGTATACAGCAATTTACCACTCAGAGGTCTTGTGTAAGTAAAACAATAAATTGGAGCTCAACAATATTCAACCTAAAATCCTTTCAGAAAGGTCCTCTGCAATAACAGTACATTATTTTCAGGAGCATTAAGTGCTGTACTAGTAATGGTTTCTTAATGCATGTAGCCTCTTAAAAGGAAATAAGTGACTAATGAAATCCTCATGGATACTCATGAACTCTTTGTGACTAGGATCAGCAGCAGCTCAATCCAGGCTTCTGGGGCCCCTCCTTGGAATACCGAGTGGTGGATGGTTAGAGCTGGATGAGACCTCCAAGCAAAGTCTCTCAAAGTGCAGTCTACTACTGCACTGGCATCACCTGGGCTGTTGTTAAAATAAACACACGCTAACAACAACAGACTTGGATTTGACTCAGAATCTGGATGTGGAGTCTGGAAATCTACATTTGTTCTTTTTTTTTTTTTTTCTTTTAACCAAGTTTCTCCCTGTAACACTGATGCTCACTGAAGTTTGAGACCTGTACCCTTAGAGGCCATCTAGTCAAACCCCTCATTTTCAGATGAGGAAGTTGAGGCTTAGAGTCACCGAGCCATTTAATGGCAATGCTGAAATAGACACAGATCTTCTTACTACCCCCAGGCCAAGATCCTTTCTACCACATATAGTTGCTTCTGAAGTTCATTGAACGGTATGAGCATTCTAAGAACCAATGCTATATAGTCACAAATATGACTCCAGATAATTATGAATTTCTCTAAACCCACATTTTATTTGACTTTCAAAAATACACTTAAAGGAAAGTCCAAAGAATATGGAGGATTGAAAACTAACTCCTTCCAGCTGTTTAGAAAGTGGTAAGGCTAAGAGACCAGGAAATACTCCTTTCACCACTCATGGAAGTGTGGTTGAGATGCAAATACAGTCATATGCCGAACAACATTTTGGTCAATGACAGGCTGCTTATACCATAGTGGTCCCATAACATTACACTACCATATTTTTTTTACTATACATTTTCTATGTTTAGATACACAGATACTTACCACTGTGTGACAGTTGCCTAGATTTTCAGTACAGTAATATGCTGTAAATGTTTGTACCCTAGGAGCAATAAGCTTACACTGTGTAGCCTCGGAGTGTAGTAGGCTGTACCATAAGTTTATATAAGTACACTCCATGATGTTTGCACAGTGATGAAATTGCCTAATGACAACATTTCTCAGAATGTATCTCTGTGGTTAAGTGATGCATGCCTGTAATTTCTATTTTGTGAAAACAGATAATTCCAAAGGTTACAGTTTATTAACCTGTAGGACATTAACCAGTTTTGTATATAACCTAGCAGTCTTATCCTAACCTTACTTTATTAAGTTGTCTACAAACACTTGTTCCTCAAATTCTCATTTGAACCAGGTTTAACATCTCACTGGTTTCTTCATTAATTAGTGAGTTGAATACAGTCTTTGATATGTAGTTATTAGATAGTCGAATGAGTATTATTCTCTAAACTTTAAAAAATTATACTTTAGTAATATACTGGAATAATTATACTGGAAGGAGTAATAATATATACTACTATTTAATGCATACATGATATTACTATTATGGAAACACAAGCACCTCTATATATATATACACACACACGTGTATATACACGTATATGTATACATACATGCACACATGTACATGTATGTATACATATGTATGGATATGTATGCATGTGTATGTATACATCTATGTATGTGTATGTATACATATATGTATGCATATGTATATGTATATATACATGTATATACACATATATGTATGTATACACGTATATACACGTATATGTATGTATACACGTATATACATGTATATATACGTATATGTATGTATACGTGTATATATACATATTTATGTGTGTATACGTATATATACATATACGTGTATATATGCATATATACACATACATGTATATACGCATATATACACACACATATACGTATATATATGCATATATATGCACGTATACATACATATATGTACGTATACAATGAGAACACAGGGACACAGGGAGGGGAACATCACACACTAGGGCCTGTGGGGGATGGGGGGCTAGGGGAGGGATAACATTAGGAGAAATACCTAATGTGGGTGACAGGTTGATGGGTGCGGCAAACAAACATGGCACGTGTATACTTATGTAACAAAACTGCACGTTCTGCACATGTAACCCAGAACTTAAAGTCTAATAAAAAAAGTATGTAAACATTTCATTATATATTAATGTTTTTAATATATTTTTAAAAAAATATATAATTTTGTCAGAATATTCCCTCTCTCAGCTTCAGTTTGTGCCACTGGAAAATGAGGATAAGACTTATTTAGCTTCTAGAGTATTGTGAGGTACAACCTCACACTGTCTTCCACAAGGGTTGAACTAATTTACACTCCCACAGCAGTGTAAAAGTGTTTCTATTTTTCCACGTCCTCTCCAGCATCTGTTGTTTCCTGACTTTTTAATGATCGCCATTCTAACTGTCATGAGATGGTATCTCATTGTGGTTTTGATTTGCATTTCTCTAATGACCAGTGATGATGAGTTTTTTTTTTCATATGTTTGTTGGCTGCATGAATGTCTTCTTTTGAGAAGTGTCTGTTCATATCCTTTGCCCACTTTCTGATGGGGTTGTTTTTTTTCTTGTAAATTTAAGTTCTTTGTAGATTCTGGATATTAGCCCTTTGTCAGATGGATAGATTGCAAAACTTTTCTCCCATTCTGTAGGTTGCCTGTTCACTCTGATGATAGTTTCTTTTGCCGTGCAGCAGCTCTTTAGTTTAATTAGATCCCATTTGCCAATTTTGGCTTTTGTTGCCATTGCTTCTGGTGTTTTAGACATGAAGTCTTTGCCCATGCCTATGTCCTGAATGCTATTGCCCAGGTTTTCTTCTAGGCTTTTTATGGTTTTAGGTCTTATGTTTAAGTCTTTAATCCATCTTGAGTTGATTTTTGTATAAGGTGTAAGGAAGGGGTCCAATTTCAGGTTTCTGCATATGGCTAGCCAGTTTTCCCAACACCATTTATTAAATAGGGAATCTTCCCCCCATTGCTTGTGAGTGTCAGGTTTGTCAAAGATCAGATGGTGGTAGATGAGTGGTGTTATTTCTGAGGCCTCTGTTCTGTTCCATTGGCCTATATATCTGTTTTGGTACCAGTACCATGCTGTTTTAGTTACTGTAGCCTTGTAGTATAGTTTGAAGTCATGTAGCGTGATGCCTCCAGCTTTGTTCTTCTTGCCCAGGATTGTCTTGGCAATGCAGGCTCTTTTTTGGTTCCAGATGAAGTTTAAAGTAGTTTTTTCCAATTCCATGAAGAAAGTCAGTGGTAGCTTGATGGAGATAGAATTGAACCTATAAATTACTTTAGGCAGTAGGCCATTTTCACGATATTGATTCTTCTATCCATGAGTGTGGAATGTTTTTCCATTTGTTTGTGTCCTCCCTTATTTCCTTGAGCAGTGGTTTGTAGTTCTCTTTGAAGAGGTCCTTTACATCCCTTGTAAGTTTGGTTCCTAGGTATTTTATTCTCTTAGTAGCAATTGTAAATGGGAGTTCACTCATGATTTGGCTCTCTGTTTGTCTGTTACTGGTATATAGGAATGCTTGTGATTTTTGCACATTGATTTTGTATCCTGAGACTTTGCTGAAGTTGCTTATCAGCTTAAGATTTTGGGCTGAGACGATGGCGTTTTCTAAATATACAATCATGTCATCTGCAAACAGAGACAATTTGACTTCCTCTCTTCCTATTTGAATACCTTTTATGTTTTTCTCCTGCCTGATTGCCCTGGCCAATACTATGTTGAATAGGAGTGGTGAGAGAGGACATCCTTGTCTTGTGCCAGTTTTCAAAGGGAATGCTTCCAGTTTTTGCTCATTCAGTATGATATTGGCTCTGGGTTTGTCATAAATAGCTCTTATTATTTTGAGATACATTCCATTAATACCTAGTTTATTGAGAATTTTTAGCATGAAAGGCTGTTGAATTTTATTGAAGGCCTATTCTGCATCTATTGAGATAACCATGTGGTTTTCGTCGTTGGTTCTCTTTATGTGATGGATTACGTTTATTGATTTGTGTATGTTGAACCAGCCTTGCATCCCAGGGATGAAGCCCACTTGATTGTGGTGGATAGGCTTTTTGATGTGTTGCTGAATTCAGTTTGCCAGTATTTTACTGAGGATTTTCACATTGATGTTCATCAGGAATATTGGCCTAAAATTCTCTTTGTTTTTGTTGTGTTTGCCAGGCTTTGGTATCAGGATGATGCTGGCCTCATAAAATGAGTTAGGGAGGATTCCTTCTTTTTCTTTTGATCAGAAAAGTTTCAGAAGGAATGGCACCAGCTCCTCCTTGTACCTCTGGTAGAATTCGACTGTGAATCCATCTGGTCCTGTACTTTTTTTGGCTGGTAGGCTATTATTGCCTCAATTTCAGAACCTGTTATTGGTCTATTCAGAGATTCAACTTCTTCCTGGTTTAGTCTTGGGAGGGTGTATGTGTCCAGGAATTTATCCATTTCTTCTAGATTTCCTAGTTTATTTGCGTAGAGGTGTTTATAGTATTCTCTGATGGTAGTTTGTATTTCTGTGGGATTGGTGGTGATATCCCCTTTATCATTTTTATTGTATCTATTTGATTCTTCTCTCTTTTCTTCTTTATTAGTCTTCCTGGCAGTCTATCAATTTTGTTGATCTTTTCAAGAAACCATCTCATGGATTCATTGATTTTTTTGAAGGATTTTTTATGTCTCTATCTCCTTCAGTTCTGCTCTGAGCTTAGTTATTTCTTGCCTTCTGCTAGCTTTTGAATTTGTTTGCTCTTGATTCTCTAGTTCTTTTAATTGTGATGTTAGGGTGTTGATTTTAGATCTCTCCTACTTTCTCTTGTGGGCATTTAGTGCTGTAAATTTCCCTCTACACACTGCTTTAAATGTGTCCCAGAGAGTCTGGTACGTTGTGTCTTGTGTTCTCATTGGTTTCAAAGAATTCTTTATTTCTGCCTTCACTTCGTTATGTACCCAGTAGTCATTCAGGAGCAGGTTGTTCAGTTTCCATGTAGTTGTGCAGTTTCGAGTGAGTTTCTTAATCCTGAGTTCTAATTTGATTGAACTGTGGTCTGAGGGACAGTTTGTTGTGATTTCTATTCTTTTACATTTGCTGAGTGTTTTACTGCCAATTATGAGGTCAATTTTAGAATAAGTGTGATGTGGTGCTGAGAAGAATGTATATTCTGTTGATTTGGGGTGGAGAGTTCTGTAGATGCCTATTAGGTCCACTTGGTCCAGAGCTGAGTTCAAGTTCTGGATATCCTTGTTAATTTTCTGTTTTGTTGATCTGTCTAATATTGACAGTGGGGTGTTAAAGTCTTTCATTATTGTGTGGGAGTATAAGTATCTTTGTAGGTCTCTAAGAAGTTTATGAATCTGGGTTCTCCTGTGTTGGGTGTATACATATTTAGGATAGTTAGTGCTTCTTGTTTAATTCATCCCTTTACCATTATATAATGGCCTTCTTTGTCTCTTTTGATCTTTGTTGGTTTAAAATCTGTTTTATGAGAGATCACAATTGCAACCCTGCTTTTTTTTTGTTTTCCACTTTGCTTGCTAGATCTTCCTCCATCCCTTTATTTTGAGCCTATGTGTGTCTTTGTCCGTGAGATGGGTCTCCTGAATATAGCACACCAATGGGTCTTGACTCTTTATCCAATTTGCCAGCCTGTGTCTTTTAATTGGGGCATTTAGCCCATTTACATTTAAGGCTAATATTGTTATGTACGAATTTGATCCTGTCATTATGATACTAGCTGGTTATTTCGCCTGGTAATTGATGCAGTTTCTTCATAGCATTGATGGTCTGTACAATTTGGCATGTTTTTGCAGTGGCTGGTACCAGTTGTTCCTTTCCATGTTCAGTGCTTCCTTCAGGAGCTCTTGTAAGGAAGGCCTGGTGGTGAGAAAATCTCTCAGCATTTGCTTGTCTGTAAAGGATTTTATTTCTCCTTCACTTATGAAGCTTAGTTTGGATGGATATGATATTCTGGGTTGAAAATCCTTTTCTTTAAGACTTTTGAATATTAGTCCCCACTCTCTTCTGGCTTGTAGGTTTTCTGCCAAGAAATCCACTGTTAGTCTGAGGGGCTTCCCTTTGTGGGTAACCTGACCTTTCTCTCTGGGTGCCCTTAACATTTTTTCCTTCATTTCAACCTTGATGAATCTGACAATTATGTGTCTTGGAGTTACTCTTCTTGAGGAATATCTTTGTGGTGCCCTCTGTATTTCCTGAATTTGAATGTTGGCCTGCCTTGCTAAGTTGGGGAAGTTCTCCTGGATAATACCCTGAAGAGTGTTTTCTAACTTGCTTCCATTCTCCCCATCACGTTCAGGTACACCAAACAAATGTAGATTTGGTCTTTTCACATAGTCCCATATTTCTTGGAGGCTTTGTTTGTTTCTCTTCACTCTTTTATATCTAATCTTGTCTTCTCACTTTATTTCATTAATTTGACCTTCAATCACTGATATCCTTTCTTCCGCTTGATCGAATCATCTACTGAAGCTTGTGTATGCTTCACAAAGTTCTCGTACTGTGGTTTTCAGCTTCATCAGGTCATTTAAGCTCTTCTCTACACTGGTTATTCTAGTTAGCCATTCGTCTAACCTTTTTTCAAGGTTTTTAGCTTCCTTGCAATGGGTTAGAACATGCTCCTTTAGCTTGGAGAAGTTTGTTATTACCCACCTTCTGAAGCCTACTTCTGTCAACTCGTCAAACTCATTCTCCATCCAGTTTTGTTCCCTTGCTGGCGAGGAGTTGTGTTCCTTTGGAGTAGAAGAGGTGTTCTGGTTTTTGGAATTTTCGGCCTTTGTGCTCTGGTTTCTCCCCATCTTTGTGGTTTTATCTATGTTTGGTCTTCGACGTTGGTGGCCTCCAGATGGGTTTTTGGTGTGGATGTCCTTTTTATTGATGTTGATGCTATTCCTTTCTGTTTGTTAGTTTTCCTTCTAACAGACCCCTCAGCTGCAGGTCTGTTGGAAGTCTACTCTAGACCCTGTTTGCCTGGCTATCACCAGTGGAGGCTGCAGAACAGCAAATATTGCTGCCTGATCCTTCCTCTGGAAGCTTTTTCCCAGAGGGGCACCCACCTGTATGAAGTATCTGTTGGCCCCTGCTGGCAGGTGTCTCCCAGTCAGGCTACAATGGGGTCAGGGACCCACTTGAGGAGGCAGTCTGTCCGTTATCGGAGCTCGAACACCATGCTGGGAGAACCACTGCTGTCTTCAGAGCTGTCAGGCAAGGACGTTTAAGTTTGGAGAAGCTGTCTGCTGCCTTTTGTTCAGATATGCCCTGCCCCCAGAGGTGGAATCTAGAGAGGCAGTAGGCCTTGCTGAGCTCTGTTGGACTCTGGCCAGTTCGAGCTTCCCTGCTGCTTTGTTTACACTGTGAGTATAAAACCCCCTACTCAAGCCTCAGCAATGGCAGACACCCCTTCTCCCGCCAAAATTCAGCATCCCAGGTTGATCTCAGACTGCTGCGCTAGCAGCGAGCAAGGCTCCATGGGCATGGGACCCACTGAGCCAGGCACGGGAGGGAATCTCCTGGTCTGCCAGTTGTGAAGACCATGGGAAAAGCATGGTATTTGGACGGAGTGTACTGCTTCTCCAGGTGCAGTCACTCACGGCTTCCCTTGGCTAGGAAAGGGAAATCCCCCAACTCCTTGTACTTCCCGGGTGAGGTGACACCCTGCCCTGCTTCAGTTCGCCCTCTGTGGGCTGCACCCACTGACCAACTAGTCCCAGTGAGATTAACCAAGTACCTCAGTTGGAAATGCAGAAATCGCCCATCTTCTGTGTCAGTCTCGCTGGGAGCTGTAGACTGGAGCTGTTCTTATTCGGCCATCTTGGAAGCGACCTCAACAAAATTATATTTCTAATAAGAAGTAGACAGAGGATTTGAGCTTGGATTTCTCTGATTCCAAAACTCAGGAGTGAATCCAGATTCAGTTACTTGCTGGCCTGAGCCTAGGGCAAGTTACCTAACCTCCCTGAGTTTCCGTTTCTTTATGATACCTGTGTTGCAGGGTTATTATGAAATCAGAAACAATGCATGGAAAGTAGTACAGTAGTGCCTGTCACACTGTCAGTGTTTCGTTAAAGCTGACTGTAACCACAATTACCACTGTTACCCTTTTGGCACCTATGCTTGCCTGTTCCAATGCCTAACGTCCCTCTCACCTCAGCTGAGACTGCTCCCAGGTAGCTGTCAGGGCTCCAAGCATGACACTCTGGCAGGGTTTATTCCTTGGAATTACTGCCTCCTGCCTTTGTGCAGTGCTTCTCAAGTTTTAACCTGTGCAGGAATCACCTGAGGGTCTTGTTAAAATACATGCCCTGATTCAGTGGGTCTGGGGAGAAGCCCAAGACTCTGCATTTCTGACAAGCTCCCAGGCAGTGCCTGCACCATTCTCCAGTTCTCTTTCCCTAGCACCTTCTCTTGCTGCTTGCCTTGCTCTCCCTCAACCCAGTTTCGCTAACTGAAGGGCTTGTTTTCTGCTATGTGATAACAGAACACTGGATATTAGTGATTTTCCCAGGCAACAAATTTGCTTTTTAACCATTGTTTTCTTGTTGTTTTTTCTTTTTCTTTCTTTCTTTTTTTCTTTTCTTTTCTTTTTTTTTTTTTTTTTTTTGAGACAGAGTCTTGCTCTGTCACCCAGGCTGGAGTACAGTGGTGCCATCTTGGCTCACTGCAGCCTCTACCTCCTGGGCTCAGGTGATCCTTCCGCTTCAGCCTCCTGAGTAGCTGGGACTACAGGCATGTACCACCACACCCAGCTAATTTTTGTAATTTTAGTAGACACGAGACCTTTTTATATTGCCCAGGCTGGTCTCAAATGCCTGAGCTCAAAGGATCCTCCCACCTTGGCCTCCCAAAGTGCTGGGAGTTCAGGCAGAAGCCACCATGCCTGGCCTTTAACCATTGTTTTCTGCAGCTTCTAGTTCCCTTTCCTCTACTGCCTCCATGCACATAGGGAAGAGTTCACTGATCATTTCAAACAGCTGTGAAGAGAGGGTACTGTTTGTGAGTAAGGACAGATGGGGGTGAGGTTGAGGGTGGGGAGCAAGTTTTTTGATATTGTCAAGTGACATGTCTCAATGGCCACTTATTTGTGTGGGCCTATTTATCAAGTACATAAAACAATTCACAGTAGAGTCAAAATTTCTAAAAAGAGCCTAATGAATTCTCCCCTCTTATGAACCTATGTTTCATCTTAAAAGTAGGTTATGAAAGCTAGCACAGTATTTCTGTAGCAAATGTTGATTAACTTTTTTGTGCAATTGAGCTGTTAATAGGCAGTACTGTAGCTTTGGGAAATCAAACAAATATTGACAGAACCTAGTGAAATGGTGTGGTGATTATTGTACCCTTTCTGCCACAGACCAACTGGGGCCCTCCCCTGATAACTAACCATCAGGCAAACTCTGCCCTTGGGGAGAGATGCAATAATTGACATCCTTATTTATACAAGTTTTTAAAAAATGTCAGAAAAATTCATTTTGTTAACAGTAAGTATATATATATAGCCCTCTCTACAATGTTATTCATGCTATACCCATTTTTACGTATGAGGATATTGTGCCATAGGGTTTAAGTATCTAGATAAGGTCTTGAAGAATTGTTATCTAAGAAAATATCAATCATGCGGAAATTTCCAGTTTTATTGATCATTACTTGGAAAAAATATTTTGCAAATGCCAATATTTTATGCATCTGTCCTCATTATCATCTAGAAGAGAGATATGCCCTTTCATTTATTAAGTGTGTGAAGCTAGCAATGCATGCTGGTAAGGAATGTTACATGGAGTTATAAAGGAGCACACTTTAAATGTTTATGCTTAAAAAGGGCTGCCGTTAAAGCTGTTAACTTTCTGTAAGTGACACTGTTGATCGCCTACCCAATTACACCCTGCAGCTGCTCCTGTTCTGTGCCCAGCTACCACCTTGATCTTGCTGTCAGACTTTGACAGGCAAGAATGCAAGATAAGAAAATGCCCAATATTGCTTTCCTCCTGTACAGCCAGAGCTTGAGTTTGTACCCAATCTGGTCTTAAGGGACCTGAAACGCAGCTGGCTGGGGCTGCTGGGAAGGCTCTTCCTCCCAGATAAAGAGACGCATGTAGAATGTGTCTTTCTTCTGCATTTCAGAGTGATTGTGTGAAGATACAATACCCTGGAACTGAGGCAGCCATTTTGTAATCACTAGAGCAAAATGCTGAGGACAAAAACAAAATTCTGAGTAGAGGAGACTGGAAAAAGGAAAGGAGCCCTGGTCCTTAGTGTCACTGTGAAGCTCTTGCTTCTGTTGTAGAACTGCCCTTGCTTCCAGACTTGTTGCTCTGTGAAATGATAAATGCCCTTTTTGCCCCAGTCACTCTCTGTTGGCCCTTCTGTTACATCCTACCTTGTGTTCCAACCCTTGAGAAGGTGACCCCTGGGATTGTGACTGAGTGCTTTCATGAGAGAGTAAGCTCTACTCTCCGAACTTTCCCTGATGTGGCAGAGAGCACAGCTGTGGTCAGCTGCACTTGGAAATTGGCTCTATCTGATGGAAGCTGGACGAATTCGCTCTGCCAGCCCTGATCAGCAGCCTGACCCTGCTTCCTCCCTGTGCCAAATTCCTGTGTCATTTGTAACAAAATCTCAGGTTTGGGGTCAACAGTGGTTTTTAAGCTTTTAGCTTTAGAGATAGACAGATGTTTAGGACAAGTTTATTTCTCTGAATATGGCCTATAAATTATAGTCTCTTCAGTCATGTGAGTGGCATAGAATTTAAAGGCAGATTTTCAACAGACAGAGCTATTTATGTCCTTTGAAAATGGTGCCATATATAAAAAGGTCTTTTACTTAAAAAGGAAAACTGTTTTCACTGCTACAATCATTATCAGAAATTGAGCCCAGACCTTCAGACTACACTATGATGGGAGGGATATGTATTTAGAAAAAAAGTGGTAACTATGAACTTATACAATACTATTTTTGGAAACTTGTAGGAGCCACTTGTAAAAAATAAATTAGAAGGTATATTGATCTTACCTGTCTACTTTCCTTTTGGTTTTTATAATACCAAAAGTTGCTTTTCAGTTTAGACTGATACTCCTTCACAGAGGTAACTTTTCACTTTCTATAATCATATATTATTGTAGTTACTGTTTGTGTATATGAACACTGAACATTAAAAAATGGAAAATTTTGGAATTAGAAACTTCTTTCCATTTTTGAATTAAAGCCTCATTGGCTCAAAGTTTTAAATGTTGAGATAAAAATTATAGCTAACCTCCTTGTTATCTTTTATTTCATCGTCATATTTTTCAAAACCTATTTTTATGTGCCTGTGAGATTTAACAAGCAAAATGCATTTTCTTCCACGTGCATATGAAAACAATAATAAATTTGGCACAGAAAAACTGTACTTGGAGATACTCATTAAATTTAGAAAATATAAGATCTAGGCCATTAAACAAGCAAGCAATATAAACAAAACCACTGAAAAAAGAAGGCAGTGTCACAGAGGACACTGTATGACAAAAGCTACAAAGATGTCATTCACGTCTGCTCTGGCTGCTTGGTTCTGTGTTCACTCTTCCAAAGATCGAGTGAGAAAAGAGATTCTAAGAGATGGAAGATCAGAGGATGATCAGGCCTCATCAGTCTGTGGTTTCAGCTCTGCCTAACCATTCTTCTCTCCACCTTTCACCTGTCACCTCTGTTGTCAATGCTGCCCTGTGTCCTGTGAATTTTTGTATTGTTTTCATAATGTGAGTCAAGTAAATATTTAATGTAGTCCTTCAAATGTGCAAACAAAATGCAAATAAGATCTGTGCAAACAAAATGCAAATAAGAAGGTCAATTCTCCCAAGATAGGGATCTTTTCAAGCCATTGAAAGGATTTTTTTTCCCCCAGGGGAGTAGCATGTTCGAAATTGTGCTTTAGGGAGATTTATCACGAAACTATGTGTAGGAAGGAAGGAAGTGGAGGAGTCTAATTGGGGAAACTGGTTAAAGAATCATGGCAGTAGTTTAGATAAGCTTGTGAGGTTTTGCTGGTATGGATTGGAGTAGTGTTCAGGAGAAGGGAGATGAGACGGGTACAAAAACATTAAGCCTGATATATGTTAAATATATCTTGCATTCCTCTCCACCTCACTCAAATTTGATCTGCAAGCCCAGCCATGCTTGAATATCCAGGGCAACTTCCAGCCAGAGACTGGAGATGCTTACCCACTAATGATACCATCTGATGGCTGTACCCTCAGCCATTCTCACTGCTAGTGCTATGGGTGTGAACACTTGGAGTTCTCTAGACAGCCCATCTGCAGCATTTTGCTATGCCCTCCATCTGAAGTTCTTTCCCCTCATTGCTGGGGCTTACTCATAATTCCAGAACATGGTTGAACATTGTCTCCTCTTTGCAGCCTCACATAATACCTCCATGTCGCAGAGCTTGACTATCTCCTCTTTTGGGTGCATCTGAATCTTATCTGGATTTGGCACTTATCACACGGAATTGCACTTATATTTAAACTCTCCACTGTGAGGACCCATAGTGGGTAGTTGGTAAATATTCCTTAAACGGTTAAATTCGGATCACTAAAGGTCCATTCTTTTTGTTTTTTTTGAGACGGAGTCTTGCTCTTTAGCCCAGGCTGGAGTGCAGTGGCGCCCCTCTCGGCACACTGCAAGCTCCGCCTCCCGGGTTCACGCCATTCTCCTGCCTCAGCCTCCCGAGTAGCTGGGACTACAGGTGCCCGCCACCTCGCCCGGCTAATTTTTTATGTTTTTAGTAGAGACGGTGTTTCACCGTGTTAGCCAGGATGGTCTCAATCTCCTGACCTTGTGATCTACCTGCCTCGGCCTCCCAAAGTGCTGGGATTACAGGCGTGAGCCACTGCGCCTGGCCAAATTCATTCTTATTCTTGGACTCTAACTTCCCTGCCTTATAACATGGTTCTTAAAACTGACCTGCCTTCACCCCTATTCCTGAGTTTCTCTTGTGCTAATTGCTGAGTAACACAATCATATCCAAAGGCTGTTGGTCTGCGCTGTCTTACTGCACCCTTCCCTTATGATTGTCGGGACCCTGGCTGAACTCTGCTGGTGTCAGCCCTGCCACTTGTCCACAGACCAACCATGAACCATGTGACCAACCATGTGACAACTCTCAAGTTTTGCCTGCTCTAGATAACTGATGGCTCAATTCCTAGTCCCTCCCTGCCAACCCACTCACTACCTGGTTTATAGCTGGAGTACCCTGCACCCCTTGATCTCATACTTGTTCAGCAGGCTGAACTTCTGCCACCAGCAGCTAGACCTCTTCTTGCCTTTGTTTCTCTCTCCAACCCTGCCTCTCTGGTATATTACTGATGGTGCCCTGCAGCATGTCAATATAGGCTTGATGGATTCCAATGGCTTTGGGAACAGCTTGGATTTTAAAGGAAGGCAGGCAATTGTGGGACCGGAGTCAAAAGCTAACTGAGGCTAACTGGGTGATCAAGAACATGGAGATGGCATAGAGGAAAGAAAGCACTAAGAGGAAATTTTTTAGGAAAGAAGAAAATAAATTCAGCTTTTAAGTGTGGATGATGAGTAGTTTGGGATATACCCAGGGGTGTTATTAAAATATTGAATGAGGTATAAAATGGCATCAACCAATCAACACAGATGCCAATGTTAGCTTATATAGGTACTTGTCAGTTCAGGATATATGATGTGGGCTGGAGGGAGCTGGCAGAACAAAGTACTGGAAGGTCACAGTGCTCTTTAGCCTGGGCCAGAGTCAATAAATGCCAGGTAAACTTCCCATCTGAACGTCAATCGTCTTTTTCCTTGCCCCTCCCTCCAATGGTCAGACTGTGTCTATATATGCCAGTGGGTGGTAGTCTTAACTTTTTTTCACTCCCTCATTAACCTGTAGATAGTTTATCTTAAGATTACCTCCAGACTCCTAGTTAAAGCACTCTGTTAAACTCATCCTTGTACCACTTTTTATCACTTTGTTAGAGCATGGCCAGCCCTCTTCCCTTTAGCACAGAAAGCCCTCTTTTATCCTCACAAGCAAGAGAGGGCTGACTGCTATGGATTTATGCAAATTCCGTTTTTAACCTGCCAGCCAAAGAATAGGAGACAGATTAATTCTTAAGATGTTTTTTAGCTTTTGAATTTTGCGTTCCGGGGAGGATGTTTTTGATTTTTTCTTTTTGGCACATTTGAGTTAGAAATAAAGATAGAAAGTTAATTGTTAGCTCTGGGCATTCAAAGAAGATGAGGATTTTTGCCCACCCTGCTTAGAAAAGACAAACTTATTGCCTAAGGATTTAACACTAGATTAGTAGCTTCTGATTCAAATTGAAAACATAATCAATGTCAAATAACCAAATTGGTTGCATTAGGGGTCACTCATTAGAGAGAGCAGAGAATTCGCACAGTTAATGGGAAAATCTCTTCTAGCAGGGCAAGAAAAAATGCTGGATTCTAGTTTCACTTCTGCTAGAGTCATACTGGGAACTTTGGAGTATGAAACTTTGATTTTCCCAGATTCCTTCACTTCTAGCATTGATCAAGGAGATATGCAAATTTGCTTCCTCTTTTACCCCCACAGGTGTGCAGGAGGTTTGTATAGTGGGAAAGCACTAGCTTGTGTAGCTATAAGCCTCTGTCCTTTTAGCTGGTTTAATGGGTATAAGAAGCATTGATAGTGGGGCTGTTTCTCATGCAAGGCAGTCTCTTGCTTATTCAGTTGAGACAGACTGCCACCTCAGAATCTCTGGGTCTTGACTCTGCCGTGAGATTTGCCAAGTGGTGACATAAACACCCACTCAAACGTCTGTGAAATGTCTGCCTCTGAGTGTTCCCTTTGATTCATCTCCCACCCCATCCCCTGACACTCATTTCCTGACTGACCTTGCTCCAATCCCAGGAGCAAGCTTTCTGGCCTTGATCCTGGGCTGGTAGAATCAGCCACCTCCTCTGAATGTCCAAAATGCTCCACTTGGCCAGCCTCTCACTCCTAGAGTGGCAGCAAGGAGTTGGAGGTGTATCACCTCTTAGTGATCTTCCTAAGAATGCACTTTACCTGGCATTAGACCCAGGGTTATCTGGAAGGAATGATATGTTGGCTAGTTACTGCATTTATATAGATAAGTTTAGTGTTTCTCAGTGTTTTGAGATATATTCTTTATGGTTAAAATTGACTTTCATGAGAAAAACCCTACCCATTCTCTGCCTTTAATGATGCCTAGGTTTTTCCCTACCTTGGAATGTAAATCTTTGCTTCACCTCATTGCCTTTTCAAGCCACTGCATTAACGCAGTCACCTTTCACTGCCAAATTCCTGAACAGGTGAAATGTCCTGGTTATGTTAATTTCTTCATCACCAATTCTCATATTAAGCCTTTGCAATCTGGTTTGCACTCCCACCAGACAACTGAAATGACTTTTTTTCCTGGCCTTTATGCCAGTCCCATGTCATTTTCTCAGTTATTACCCCATCAAATCTCTTGGAAGTACTTGATACTGTTGATTTTCTTTTTCTCCTTAAAAATTTGTCCAAGGCTCTGTCTCTATAATACTGAATTTTTGCTTCACCTCTTTAACTCTTCCTTCACTCTGTGGTGACACTGCTTTTCTCCTGTTGACCATCAACCTATGGCTTTTTCCTTTATTTTTCATTTATTTTTAATTTTTGTGGGTACATAATAGGTGTATATATTTATCGGTTACATGATATGTTTTGATACAGGAATGCAATGCATAATAATCATGCCATGGAGAATGGAGTGTCCATCCCCTTACGCATGTATTCTTTGTGTTACAAGCAATCCGATTACACTCTTATAGTTATTTTTAAATGTACAATTAAGTTATTTTTGACTACAGTCACCTAGTTGTGCTATCAAATACTAGGTCTTATTCATTCTTTCTAACTATTTTTTGTACCCATTAACCCTACTTGTCACAACTTCCCACTACCCTTCCCAGCCCCTGCTAACCATCCTTCTACTCTCTATCTCCATGAGTTCAATTATTTTGATTTTTGAGCTTTCACAAATAAGTAAGAACATGTGAAGTTTGTCTTTCTGACTTACTTAACTTAACATCATGACCTCCAGGTTCATCCATGTTGTTGCAAATGACAGGATCTCATTCTTTTTTATGGCTGAATAGTACTCCACGTATATATGTACCACATTTTCTTTATTCATTCATATGTTAATGGACGCTTAGGTTGCTTCCAAATCTTGGCTACTGTGAACAGTGCTGCAACAAACATGGGAGGGCAGATATCTCTTTAGTATACTGATTTCCTTTCTTTTGGGTATATATTCAACACTGGGATCACTGGATCATATGGTAGTTCTATTTTTAGTTTTTTGAAGAACCTCCAAACTGTTCTTCATAGTGGTTGTGCTAATTTATATTTCTACCAATAGTGTATGAGGGTTCCCTTTTTTCCGGTCCTTGCCAGCATCTGTTATTGCCTCTCTTTTGGATAAAAGCCATTTTAACTGGGGTGAGATATAGTTTTGATTTACATTTCTCTGATGATCAATGATGTTGAGCACCTTCTCATATGCCTGTTACCAAGGCTTTGTTCTTGACCCTGTGCCCATCCATTCTCAAAATTAAAGTCGTATCAAAATGGTGGTAACTCCCTATAAATGCTTTAAACTCTGACCTCTCACATAAAACCTTATTCCTTATAATGAGCTACCTACTAGTCATTTCCACTTGGATATCCAGTCTCCTTCCCAGGTTCTCTATTGCAGGAAACAAACTGACTGGGTTTAAATCTGGGATTTAATCAATCACTTATTGGTTGTGAGACTCTGGGGAAAGTGACTTTATATTGCCTCAGTTTCCTCAACTTGAGAATAGGATGGTGATGGTGGTAATAGAGTCTACCTAAGTGGATTTAATAAATAATATATGGGAAGTTGGTTTCGCACAACACCTGGGTGCCATATTAAGTATTAAAAAATATTATCATCTACAATTCTGCTTTCTTTTTAATTCTTACATCTAGTAATTCACCAAGTCATTTTTCTTTCTTTTTAGTAGTCGCTCTAGTTTCCATCTCTGCTTCATTTCTATTACCTTTTGAATTAATCTTTACAGGGCCTTAGTGCTACAACACCAGAACCTCTTTGCTGTGTGTTGTATCACTTATTAGGCTGCTTCACAGTTCAAAAAGTTTACCCACTATCAATGAATCACATTAGAATTCTTCAACTAGATATCTAAGGCTAAGCATCAATTGTTCTTGCTTTGGGGCTCACCTTGAACTCTTGCTACTTAATATATACTCCAGCTACTTAGTATGTAAACTTCTGCTCCATCAAGTCAATCAACTTTCCTGTCCTTGGAAATGCCATGCCATTTCCACTACCTGAGAATGCCATTTAAATGGCAATACTTGCCTAGGTAAGGGAGGTAGGGGAGAGGTGACATAAGCCCTGTGTATTTGCCATCCTTGATACTTCTTACAAGTAAATCTTAAATTCATTGATTTTGAAGAAAGAAAAGGAACCTTTTGAAAGTCTTGGAAACAGAAAACAAAGCTCAAGAGGGCATAAAATGTATAAAAACAAGAAGTACCCTGTTCATATTATGATTCACTACACTTGCTAATGGAAGATATTGTTTAATTAACTGACCACCTACAGTGTGCCAGATATTATACAGTGAATACAACTAGCCTGTTTTCCTCCAGATGCCATCCAACCACTCTTTTCAATATCAAGACAAAGGACTGCATAGCACACTATGACTTCTAGGTCCTCTTTAGTAGGAAAAAATTAGTTCCCAGATTATATACCATAAGATTCATTGCCAAACCCACTGAGCTAACATTTGGGTGGTAATTATTAAACACCATATGCTTATTGAGCTCGTAATATATTAAAAGCACTGTTTTAGTTCTGTGGGAAACCCCAAAGAAAAATAAAACATGTCACTGAACTCTATGTGTTCTTGACTTGGCAGTATTTTCAGTGCTGTATATATTTTTTCAAAAATTAATTTTTATGAAATACATCTACAAAGTTAAAAATGTGGAATACTCTTATAAGATAAAATAAAAATGGCATTTTCTTTTTTCATACCTCCCTGAGTTTCCTTACCCAAAGGCAACCACATTCAAGTCTTGTAGGTTTTTGTTGAGCTACTTAAGTCAATATTTTTAAATAATATTTCTTGACTTTTTGATTCTTGAAAAATGAAAATTTAGCCCTCTCTTATTACCCCCAAACTCTGCTACTTCCCACCTTCCTTTTTATAAGAAATTATATTGTAATTTTTGGTACAATTGTCAGAGTTTATATTACTGTACTTATATAAACATTGTTTGCCTTTACTAAATAGTATATTAAGATTACAATTCCTTATACAACTTTCGTTTTTTAAATAGTTAATAATTACCTCATTTTGTCATTTAGAAAATTGTCTACACTTCTAATTTTAAAAACTATAAAATCTTAATGCTGTTGAACATATTAAATAATCTATATAGTTTTGTCCCTGATCACACCTCTACCCTTGGGAACTCTCTCTTGTACTTTTTGATTCTTGTGTTCCAGTCTGGACTGGCAGCTCTCTAAGTTTTCTGAAGAGCTGCCATCTTTGAAAATCCCTTTATCTTTCTCTTGAGTTAGGTCCCATGTTTACATCTTTCTTGATTTACTCAATTGTTTTGGTTTGTTTATTTTTGTTTGTTTCTTTGAAGACATTCCTTATTACCTTCCTGGGAAGGGCTTCATGAGAATACATTTTTGAGATATCTTTTTTTTGTAGCTTCAAACTTGAGTGGTAGCTTGGCTGGGTATAAAACTTTAATTAGAAATCATTGTTTTTATAAAACTTTGAAAGCATTGCTCCATTGTCCTTCATCTTTCAATGTTGCTGATAATAATTCCAAAAATGTGTTGACAGCATTTCTCCATTGTTATTACTTCTTGCTTTTTCTTTAACTTTGTGACTTTTTGTTAACTTTGAAAAACATATTTAACTTTAGTTTTGGGGATGGTTGGAGATAATTGCATACATTCAAGATTGCATTTTTACCCAGGTGTCTTCAGTGTCATATTAATTTAGAAACACTGAACTATATCATTGTGTAGAGTTCATTTTTGAGTAAATCACAGAGAAACGCTCTGAGATGACCATGTACTGATTATTTACGGACTATTAATGTCACATGCTTCCTCTTCCTGCCTTGTATTTGAAATTAATTGTCCCTTTCTCAGTGCATTCTATGCCTTTTTCACGACTTTTTTTTTTTTTTGATACAGGATCTCACTTTGTCATTCAGGTTGGAGTGTGGTGGCATGATCATGGCTCATCACTGCAACCTCTGCTTCCCAAGCTCAAAAGATCCTCACACCTCAGCCTCCTGAGTAGCTGAGACTACAGGCACACACCATCACACCTGGCTAATTTTTGTATTTTTTGTAGCAATGGAGTCTTGCTTTGTTACCCAGGCTGGTCTTGAATTCCTGAACTCAAGTAATCTGCTGGCCTCGGTCTCCCAAAGTGCTGGGATTACAGGCATGCACCACCAAGCCCAGTCTCCTTTTTCATCACTTTCAGCATAAAGCTAATCATGCCATTTATGACATTTTAAGAATGTATCTGTATCTACTAATATTTTTAAGCATCTTTATTGAGATATAATTTAAATACCATATTTATCTAAATGTACAGTTACATTTTAAAAAATATGTCCACAGAAGTGGGCAACCATCGCCACAATCTGTTTTATTATCCTCAAACAAAACCATGTATATGTTAGCAGAAAGTTCCCATTTTCCCTTCCCTCTTGCTCCTACATCCATTAATCTGCTTTCAGTCACTATAGATTTGCCTATTCTGGAAATTTCACATAAATAAAAGCATATGATCTGTGGTCTTATGTGACTGGTTTCTTTTACTGTATATAGTGGTTTTCAAGGTCTATCTGTGTTGTAGTAGTTACCAGTAGTTCATTCTTTTTTATTGCTAAATTGGACTACATTTTAAGCTCTCTAAAGATAGGTCTCTTTTCATGTTTGAATGTTTAACACCTAGCATAATAACTAGGAGCTATATTGTCTTACATGTTTGTTTATTAAATAGATAGATGGCTAATTCTATTTTCAAATCTGCCCTCATGGTCCTACTTCCAAAACTTTTATTTGACCATGACCACATATTTTCTTAAAGTTTCATATTTCAAAAAAGTTTAATTAAGATTTGGACAGAAAAGGAAAGTATTCTAAATATAGATAATCCTTAATTCACAGTGGAATAACATACTAGCCCCAACTACCTTCTTTATACCTTATACCTTCATTAGTGATTTCCAGTCTCTAAATCAGTCATTTAATGAAGTTCACAGTCACTGACCAGGATAAGATTGGAGCAAATAACTGTTTTTTTTTAGCCTGTTTCTAGAATAAAGGAGATGCCCTTGGTCACCTAAACTAATATGATAATTTAGTTTTGTGGAACTCTACTCCGATTCAGCCCCGTCATGTTTTTCCCTGAGAGCACTAAGTATTTCTCCTTTCAATCCTTTGGTTACTCTGAAACCAAACAGAATTTGGTCAAGGCTGGGACATAGGCATTTTTTCCAGTGTTCTGCCAAAAATAGGGTCAAATGTTTGTGGGCTCCTCTAATTCTATCTCATTGTCCAGTCAACATTTGAAAGGCAGAGAACTGTGCTGAGACTCGTAAACTGTGCTTTTCTGGTTCCCCCCAAGCCTTGCACACTCAAAAGAAAATACCCACACACAATGGTTTGGGAAACCCTCCAACTTCAATATCTAAGAACGATTTAAGAGTTCAGGTGGAAGAAGGAGGGATAGAATACCTCAAACTTATCTTTCTGTGATTCTACTCTTTTTTTTTTTTGAGGCAGAGTTTCACTCTTGTTGTCCAGGCTGGAGTGCAGTGGCGTGATCTCGGCTCACCACACCCTCCACCTCCTGGGTTCAAGCAATTCTCCTTCCTCAGCCTCCCGAGTAGCTGGGATTACAGGCATGTGCCACCATGCCCAGCTAATTTTTGTATTTTTTTTTATTATTATACTTTAAGTTTTAGGATACATGTGCACAACGTGCAGGTTTAATTTTTGTATTTTTAATAGAGACGGGGTTTCTCCACGTTGATTAGGCTGGTCTCGAACTCAGGTGATCCGCCCACCTCGGCCTCCCAAAGTGCTGGGATTACAGGCGTGAGCCACCGTGCCCGGCCCTGTGATTCTAGTCTTACAAGTCCTAACATATAATACTAAAACATGCGGAAAGAAGTGGTAGGATGGATATGAATTGAACAGATACTAAAAATTAAACTCATATCTATTTGTGGGTTATAGCTTCTATCTTTGACTTATATATTTATGATTTCAGAAACAAGAATTTAATTTTTAAAACTAGTTTCATGGGCTCGAATTGTTTTTGAACAGCTGGACATCTTTTATAGTAGCACTAAAGATGATGTTTCTCCTTCACAGCCAGAGACTGGGGGTGTGTGTCTTTCAGATTGATGTTAACTCAAACATTTTTTTCTGAACACATACATACATATATGCACACACATGCATGCATGCACACAGTATTTTTATTTTTATTTATTATACTTTAAGTTCTAGGGTACATGTGCACAACATGCAGGTTTGTTACATAGGTATATATGTGCCATGTTGGTTTGCTGCACCCATCAAATCATCATTTACATTAGGTATTTCTCCTAATGCCATCCCTCCCCCTGCCCCCCACTCCACGACAGGCCTGGGGATGTGATGTACCCCACCCTGTGTCCAAGTGTTGTCATTGTTCAATTCCCACCTATGAGTGAGAACATGCAGTGTTTGGTTTTCTGTCCTTGTGATAGTTTGCTCAGAATGATGGTTCCCAGCTGCATCCATGTCCCTGCAAAAGGACATGAACTCATCCTTTTTTATGGCCATGTAGTAGTCCATGGTGTATATGTGTCACATTTTCTTAATCCAGTCTATCATTGATGGACATTTGGGTTGGTTCCAAGTCGTTGTTATTGTGAATAATGCCACAGTAAACATACGCGTGCATGTGTCTTTATAGTAGCATGATTTATAACCCTTTGGGTATATACCCAGTAATGGGATTGCTGGGTCAAATGGTATTTCTAGTTCTAGATCCTTGAGGAATCACCACTCTGTCTTCCATTATGGTTGAACTAGTTTGCACTCCCACCAACAGTGTAAAAGCGTTCCTATTTCTCCACATCCTCTCCAGCATCTGTTGTTTCCTGACTTTTTAATGGTCGCCATTCTAACTGGTGCACACAGTATTTTTTTTAAAGCTAAATCTTTTTTTCTGACTTCAAGAGCTGTGAAAAAGCTGTAAATGCCCCCTGTAGGGAAGCTCAAACCCAACAATGCAAACATCTGACTTTATCCTTATGTTTCTTCCTCAAAAAGATGAGAACACAGGGGAAAGTTTACCTATTTTTATCCATGAAACAAGGTCACTAAATATGTTATGTCAGTCAAATCAAAGCCCCATCTTTAAAAATGTTTCTGTGTAATCTATAACGTGCTTTTGCTAGAACTTAAGAGTGACATGAGTTCTGTAACTTATTTCCCTAGTTGGTGATAAGGGTCTGAATTTTTGGTTGACATTTCTGAAATACAGCTGCTGGAGCACTAGCATTCTGATTCAGAAATCTGACTACATTAGAAGAAAATTAACCTTTCAAAAAGCCACTGTTCTAAGGAATGATTTTAATCAAATGAGCTTTAAATGTTGTACCTGCATTTAGAATTTTTGGAGAGATTGCAACTCCCCAGTGATCTATCTACTTTTTGAAGACGAAGAAAAAAAACAAATTTATGATAAAAATAACTATGAAAGTTGTAAAGAGCATCATAAATGAAACTAGGTTGCTTTAACTGAAATGGTTTTTATAGTAGCACCAGATTCAGAAATGAAAGAAACTGACTTTATTTTAAATAGTTTGATACCTTCAAAGAAAAATAGCAGGTTGTATTAATATCTTGTCAATTGTATGTTTTCTGTTGAAATATCTCATGAAACACTTACTTATTGATTTATTTGCTATTTGACAGGTACTTCCACTGTGCTAAACATAAACATGGAGGGTGGGGATAGGGAGCTGTTGCAGGAAGTATCAGATCTATTGCACACAATAGATTGTTAAAATATTAAGTACCTCTGGCTGGGCGCACTGGCTCATGCCTGTAATCCCAGCAGTTTGGGAGGCCAAGGCGGGTTGATCACTTGAGGTCAGGTGTTCGAGACCAACCTGATTAACATGGTGAAACCCCATCTCTACTAAAAATACAAAAATTAGCCGGGTGTGGTAGCATGCTCCTGTAGTCCCAGCTACTCGAGAGGCTGAGGCAGGAGAATCGCTTGAACCTGGGAGGTGGAGGTTGCAGTGAGCCTAGATTGTGCCACTGCACTCCAGCCTGGGTGACAGAGCAAGACTCCATCTCAAAAAAAAAAAAAAAAAAAATTAAGCACCTCATAGACTATTAAATATTCAAATGAACATTATAGTGCACTTTCAGTCTACAAACTCAAGTATGCAAGATATATTTTTTTACTCCCCCTTTTACTTTCTCTCATTTAACTTAATATGATATCCAAGTCTTGATCTTACCAATTTGTGGGAAATTTCACCTCAGGAATTCTTGGTGATCCTTCTCATTCTGGGGTCGGGTTGAGATTTAAGGGCTTGTTATGGGTTGAATTATCTCCCCCATGAAGATATGTTGAAGTCCTCACCTGCAGTACCTTACAATGTGACCTTACTTGGAAATAGGGTCATTACAGACATAACTATTTAAGATAAGATTATAATGGAGTAGTGTGGGCCTTTAATCCATATGACTGGTGTCCTTATAAGAGGAGGAATGGGACGTAGAGAAGACAGCCTTACGACAATGGGGACAGAGATTGCTGTGATGCATCTACAAACCAAGGAATACCAAGAATTGCCAGCATCACCAGAAGCTAGGAAGAGGCAAGGAAGGATTCTCCTTGTAGGTTTCAGAGGGAACATGGCCCTGCCAACCTGCTGATCTCAGACTGCTGGCTTCCAGAACTGTGATACAATAATTGTCTGTCATAAGCCAGCCAGTTTGTGGTACTTTGTAATGGCAGCCATAGCAAACTAATTCAGAGCCTTATACCATGTAAGAAACAAGGGGTGGGGGTGGCAGTGTGTCTGAGCTGTCAACTTCTGGCCACATAGATAATGCTAAATAGGCCATTGTCCCTGTTCACATGCTTGGGACTCAGGTAGTTTTTAGAAGCAAGAACATCCAGAACCTCTGATCTTTTTGCCTGGAATATCAAGTGGCCAGCTTCAGGCTCTTACACATCCTGGAGTACTGGCTTATGCCTTCCTTACTTCCTTTCCTAGCCCAGGGATGATTTTTAATATTTGGGGAATGGGGGTAGCCCCTTTCTTCTGTCTGCTTTTGTAGATTACCCTTTTTTTTTTCCTTTTAAAATTTATGTCCCTTCTTAACTTTGGCTTTCTAGTCTTATACATTCTCCTGAGGGATTAGGCTTTTGAAAAACAGCAGGAGGAAGCCTTTCTCTGTTTTCTATCCCTGAGATAATGAAGCTACAATCAAGGGAGGAAAGCCTGATACAGACAGACTGGAGAAGGAGGAAGTGGAAACACAAGGAGGAAAAGCCTTGGAGCAATTATCAAACTAATATCCAGCCACAAAATTATTGTTTTTATTATTTTTTAGAGACAGGGTATCACCATGTTGCCCAGGCTGGTGTTGAACTCCTGAGCTCAAGCAATCGCCCACCTCAGCCTCCTGAAGTGCTGGGATTGCAGGTGTGAGCCCCCACACCTGGCCTGAGACACAAAATTATTAACAGGACTACATTAAATTTTCCAATGGCTTTTTAAACTATTGACCCAGCTTTCTTACGTCCTGACAATAAATTAAATTTATCAGATTGGGGATGATCAAGAGAGTGGTCTTTAATGCAGTTTCAGGGATGAGGAAACATTGATGGATCTCTCCAAGATTCTATTTTAGGAAAAATTTTTGCATGAATATTGACTGACTCAACCATATATATTACTGATGACCAGATGATGCATCTGTTGATTTCTAAGACAAGCAATGTAACCAGACCCAACAAATGAAGAGCCAATTATCTTGACCTTCTAAGTCAGTGATCCAAACCTAGCTCAGAATCATTAAGGCTCTTATAAAAAATAAAAACCCAGACTCACTCCTGGACATTGCCATCTGGAGGAACGCCAGGCAATCTGTAGTTTTTAAAAGTTCCTGGGTGACTTTGGCCAATCTGGAGAAGCACCAATCTAAAAGATGAAATTTATTTAATAATCTGAGCCATGATTGCTATATATGTATGGTTCAGGCGAATATGAATATTTAGTGCTGTTTGGATACTGTCTACTATCATCTGCATAACAGCTGCCTTAGCAGAATTAGTTCAATAGGTTATACTTCTGTACCTTTGTTTTTAAAATACATAATTGTATTTAAAAGAAATGTATTAGCCTCTTGTATATAAACCTTTACTACTGTCCCATCAGTCTGGTAGGAAGATTTCTTGCCATTTGATAAAAGGAAAAACTGACACTGTTTCTAAGAAGCACCAAAAGTTAGTCAATTATGAGGACATTCCCAGATATTTTTTAGCAGAATAAACTTAGATGTACCCTTCCATATTACCTCAGGTCTTTGAGTGTCTATTTAGTCGTCAATTGGCAGTATCTAGTCCTCTTAATTTAACACAATTAGCATTTCTGAAATTAATCACCAAAGCATTCTAAATTACGCTGTTTGCTAATAGGAAGGACTCATTTTCCATGGAGGGCTATTTTTAAAATACCTGCTTCGGTGCAAGAATTTCATCTGCTTCAGCAAGTATTGTGGGTGTGCCTATGAGTGTGTGTGTGCTGTAGTGAGCTATACCTATCACTGCCTTTTTGCATTCTTGGCCAAGATACCATGCCAATCAGGCACAATAATGCACAATACAATAACAAAACTCAGACAAGACTGGGTGAATTGCTTAACCGCATGTGTCTGGTACATTTAGAACAGACAGTTGATCTGGTAGATTCAGGAGACATAGAACAGTCTTTCCAGGTGCTAAAATTCACTGGATATTTCAGTTAAGACAATAATATACATATTAAGAAGCACCTAACAAAAAGACACTGTCTAGTTAATTGTATAACAAAAGAGAGTCTTTGTTAAGGGACTTAATGCAGAGCCCAGCCCAGAAAGCCCAAGAGCTGGTGGAAAAGGATTTCAGGAAAGAAAGGAGAGGAATGTTAACCAAGCTAACCAGCTGAAGCTTATCACTTCCCCAGAAGTTGCGGTCTTTAGACCTGTTTGTGTAAGAGGTAATAAAACCTGGCAGGCTGGTACCTGTTAAGATGCCAACATAGGTGGTTTGTTCATGCAACCTGAAAGTCGGCTCTGCGCTCCTCCATGTGGGGGCTGGAGTAGCTACCTGGCCCTTGTCCTGGCCCTGGGGCTAGAGTCAGGGAGGCAGGGAGCAAAGTAAAGTTTGAGAAAAAAAAATCAGCTTTGGCCCCAGTGCCACCCTCTTTTCTCTCAGTCTCTGCTTGCAGTGTTGCAACTGTGTTTGGGGGTGTATGCTAACTTTGGGAAGACGTTGGCAGAGTGCTTTGAATGGCTATGTCATTTTTCATACAGCTGTTTTCTACCCAAGTTTTCTGGTTAAGTAGCATTTTTGCTTTGGTTTGCTTCCCCATTTTGACATCAATCTGTGTCCAGTGTTCTTCAGTGGTTCTCAGAGACTTGGCATCTGGCTACACTGATGTGATTCAGGTGCAAACACAGACGGTTGGAGAGAAAGTGCCTCTACTGGAAAATGCCTCTAGAAAGCACTTCTGAGAAGCTTGCTCTTTGCCACAGATACTGCTTTGCTCCATTCTAGCTTGGTTTGGCATACCCATAAATGTCTCCATACGGTTTATTAGGTTTTTGGTAGTAAGCTTATTCTAAAATAATTGGCTAAATGAAATGAAAACAGTCACAACTTGTTCCATAAAGAGATGATCTAATTTCAGCAAATCAGTGCCACTCGTTCTGGATTTTATCTTATAGTTTGTAAACATGGAGCAGGTAAGAAGTATGAGGCAGGTTGACAGCATTGTCTAGGTTGTGCACTGAACATCCTGGGGTACACCATTTAAATAGGCTTCTTTGAGTACTGACAAAATGACTCACCTTGCTGATGGCAGCGGCAGGCCATCCGGAGGGGCCGCTGCTATCATGTGGGCTGCAGTGGGGAGGCGCAAGAGGCGGCAGCAGGAGCAGCTGTGAGAGCAGCAGTGGTGGCGGTGGGTCCCCTGTACCCCGCGTCCCCGAGGCAGCCGACTGCACCACCCCCACCCTCGCACGGCCGGGCAGCACCTGCTCTCGCGCCCGGCCTCCACCGCGGCCTCAACCTCACTTCCCACTGCATGCTGGGGGAGGTGAATACCTGGCCGACAGCGCAGCTGGTACACGCAGGGCCGGCCCTAGGAGCGTCAGGTTCATTTGTGCCGGGTTGGCCCGAGTGCTGCGCCACCTGCACCTCACCCACTGCCCTGGGAGCTGAGCCAGTCTCCCACCGGTGGGGGAGCAGCGCGGTCAGGCACAGAGGGGCGGGCAGAGAGAGGCCCCAAGGTGGAGCTGGGTCTGGGGCAGTGCCACATTCCACAGAGCTGGCAGGAGCAGGCAGGATCCCTACCCTCCCAGGCGTGGCTGCAGCTGTCCAAGTTGCTGCTGGGGACCCAGGCACAACTGTACTCTCCCGGGCCCGGGAAAGCTTTCCCTTCCCCCTACAGGCTCGGAGGTGTCTGCTCCCACTGCCTGGCTTCTCCCCTCTGTTAGCGCCTGCTCTGATCACAGAGAAAAGTTGAAGACAAGCCCAGGTGCTGTCACAACCTGGCTAGGTGTGCTCACGCTCAGGGCAATGCTAACAAGCCAGCCCCCTGCCACCTAGGCCCCCTCTGGACTTTGGATGCCAACAAGCTTGGGAGGGAGACTGAGGGGGCACTGAGGGCAGCTTGGCACTGGTCTGCAGGCGCCCCTTGGCACAAACAGCCTGGGCGCCATGAACAGTGGCAAGAAGCAGACAGACTACTGTGGGGAGGGGGACAGGTCCCCCGTGAAGCCAGGGAGGTCCTGAAGCCTGGGGGCCAGGCTTCTAGTCCTGCGGACAAGAGTGGGAACTTGTGGTGCCTTTTTCCAGGCCTTCCCATGGCCATGGACCAATCAGCGTACACTTCCTCCCCTCTGAGGCCCGTGAAAGCCCGGACTCAGCCAGACTAGAGGAGACAATGGGAAGACTTAGCTGCAGAGAGAAGCTGCCCACGCCAGAGTCTCCTCTCTGCTGAGAGCTGGGGAGACAATGGGACGACCCTCTCTGCTGAGAGCTAAAGAAATGATAGGACGACCAGCTGTAGAGAAGAGCTACCCTGTGCTGAGAGCTGAACACTCGTCGGGACACTGGCTACGGAGAGGAGCTGCCCATTGCGGGTCTCCTCTGAGCTCTCCTATTGCTCAAAAAAGCTCCTCTTCATCTTCCTTACCCTCCACTTGTCTGTGTACCTAATTCTTCCTGGAGGCAGGATAAGAACTCAGGACCCACTGAATGGCAGGGCTGAAGGAGCAGTAGCACAAACAGGGCTGAAACACGACCTTTGCCCACCATGTTGCGGGCAACAAGAAGGAGAGAAGGAGAAAAGAGCTGCAGCCCTTTGGGGACCCCAGACCTAGGAGATCCCTGAGCCAGGGCTGTGATACCCGCTTTAGGACTCTGTGGTTCTGGGCATCTCCAAGGTTCTGGGTGCCACACTATGTTCCCCAGTGTCAGCCGTGGAAGCTGCTTATGGTACGTCTCGTCAAGCCACAGCCTCGCAGGGAGCTAGCGCCCATGCTGGTGCCTAGAGGTGCCTGTCCTGCTGCAGCTGGTATGCCTGGCTGTGCACAGTGGCCGGATCCCACGCTCTCTCACACACCCCTCACTTCTCCACACCTGGCTCGCCCTTGGCAGGCATGGGATCCAAGCTGGTAGAGGGAGCCAAGCGCAGCCTGACAGGCCAAGTGGGCAAAATGAGCTCAGTGGGCCACAGCAAAACTCGGGCAGAGGCGCCGCTGGCCACAGAGGTTTCTGGCTGGTGAAGCAACACTGCAAGGGTCCTGTAACATTGCTATTCAAGAAATTTAATCTTACAGGAATGGTTTTACAAAATTAGATTCAAAGATGGGGAAAAATATCCTATGAAAATCAGAGAATCTGGTCACCATTAAACTATAGTTCTGGGAAATTATTTTTTTGCATTAGAGCTGAATGTTTCATTTGACTCTCAACTTTATACGCCAAATTGCATATTTCACATAAATAACAGAGTTACCTCTTCTCCAACCTCCATTCTCAGTCTCTAGGAATAACCACTTTCAACTCTTGAGAGTTATTCTTTAGGTATTTCCTCTATATTTCAAAATCCCATATTTAAACTGCTTTTACTTGATTTTCCTGTTTTAGATATTATCTTTGGACTTCCTGTATACCATGGAAGATGAGAATTGAGCTTTCTTAAATATCTGCCCTCTTCAGTTCCACCCTAACTTTCTACAGAACTATATAATTTCAAGGTAGATCACACTTCAGTGTTTGTATTGTTCTGAATGTGATTTTTAGTCACAGCTGAGTCATGTGGTATAGTATTATTATATTTCCTTTCTTGTTGACCTTCTTGTTTTCCCTGTTAATAATTGTTTGTTCTTTTGTTAGCTTGGTTATCTATACACACTCACTAATTCATTCCTAACTCTCCATGTTCATGTTCCAACGCAGTCTGATTATTCTCAAGGCCTGCTACCTATTCCAGGTTGGAAATCATTTTTGCTCCACATTTTGAAGTAATTGCCCCATTGTTTTCTAGCTTCCACTGCTGGAGTTGAATAATCCAATGGCATTCTGATTCTGGATCTTTTGTCTGTGACACTTCTCCTTTTTCATTTCATGAGTCCCTTTGAGGACCCATGTGACTAGGGGCGGATTTCTTCCTATTCTCTGCATTGGTTTTGTTCCCTGCAAGTTCCTTTTTTTTTTTTTTTTTTTTTTTTTTTTTTGCTGTTTTTAAATTTTGGTTTCCTACTCCTCTGTTAGAGACTTTCCTCACCTGTCTAGTGATCTCTGGCTTTCCATTCACATTTAAACAAGCTATGAGAAGCTTTCTATATGGAGGAAGGGTTTTGTCAACTGCTAGACTCCATCCTGGGGCTGGAGTTGGTAAACTGAGGCCCATAGGCCAAACCAGTGGGTCAAAAATGACCCACTGCTCATTTTTATATGGCTCTAAGTGTGGTTTTTATATTGTTAAATGTTGAAGAAAATAATGAGAATAATATTTTCTGACACATGAAACTTCTTTATATTTTTATTCCAGTTAATTTTCTATAAAGAACAGGGTGAATGAATCCTAGTAGCTGGAATTCCGGTGGGAAGAGAACTATCTGGCATTCCTCACCCCCAAGAACCTGTATTCCTCATTAAAATGTTTCTGACCTTTTCATAGTTCTGATCCCAACTAGTAGACAGCTTTGCTATTGATAGAACCCGGAAAATTCAGTCATCATCCCCCTCAAGCCTGCTTCCATCTGACTGCTTGACAGACAATGGTGGTGATAGAGCTGCTCTGGAAAAAGTAACACTATGCCCACACTGTAATTGTGCTGTATCAAGCTTGCAAGTCCCAGATGGGAGTCGTGGGATGTTCTGCTTAACAGTTTAGTATGTGACTAATAGAGGATGTGCTCTTTGGGGCTGGATATTTCAGCAGAACCAGACAAATATCCTGTATGAGGAGTTTAGGGCCATAATTGTAAGAGTTTCCAGGGAAGTGGCTAAGGTAGGAGGGCTTTGGACATTGAATTACAAGTTTCTTACAACCTACACAGAATCTTTTTAAAAGACTTTTTTCTTTTTCTTGATAGGGCAGTCTGGACCCCTGGCTGATGTAGTGAACTTAGTTCCGCCTTCCTGACTAGTGTCAGGAATCATCTCTCAGAGATGTGGTCTTGCTACACAGAGACTGTCAGAGGTTATCTTTCTCTCACTACAACCAGTCATTTCCAAAGATAAGGGCACACTCAGGAGCATTTTCCTTGGGCTCTGAGAAGAGGCCTTGAACCCTGGCTCTGCAGGGCTGCTGTGATAGCACCAGAGGGGCAGGATGGGAGGCAGAACGACACAGATTCACAGGAACAAGTGTGTGCTCAGCAACTGAGGTACTTGTATTTTCAATAGGAACATAATCTTTTAAAAATGTTGATCAGTTCACATCACTATATTATGCAAAATATTCTCGTGGTTTCTCATCACATTTGTCACTAACTCCAAGTTCCTGGCCGTGGTGGCCTAGAAGGCCCTGCATGCTCTGGCCTCTTCCATCTCTCTGATCTCCTTTCCTGCTGTTTTATCCTTTGCTCATTCTGCGCCACCCACATCCGCCTCCTGTCTGCTCCTTGAACGTGCCAAGCTAGTTCCTTTCTCAGAGTCTGCATTGGCTCCTCCCTCTGCCCAGTGTGGTTTCCTCACATCTTTAGATGACTTACTCTCTTACTTCATTCAGGTGTCTGCTGAAATGTCAGCTCCTCACAGATCTTTCCTAACCATCCTCTCTAAAATAGTCCCCTCCCATCATCTGTCACCACTGGCAATCCCTCTATCAGCAAACTGGGATTTTGTCTGTCTCATCTCAGACCCATGCCCCACCTTCCTCCACTTTCTCTCTACTGCGGAGGCTGATCTCTGCAAATCACATCTCCTAGCCTCCTTTGCCAGTTGGCTTCAAGTTAACTTTGGTCATTACTCTTTTGGGGGAGAGGAGAAAGAAGGAAGTGGAAACGCCCAGGAGATTTCTCACCTTTTCTCTCCTTTGGGTGGCATCTCCAGATATGGCTGCATCTCCCCCATGATTCTAGCATCTGCGAAGTGGCCTTGGCCTCTGGGCTTCAATAATACCATTTCTTTCCTTTATTCTCCAGCCCAATAGGCAATTGCAAATTCCCAGTTTGCCTTATTGTCATGTTTGCTCTTTAAGCATTTCTGACACTGTTCTAATTTCCCATATTAAATCCTGGAATACTCTTTATTGGACTGTTTTCCTGGCTGGATCCTGATTGGTCTATCCTGCTGTATGTTTTTCATAGCACTTGTCACTACCTGTTATTATATTATTATCGGTTTATGTGTTTATTTTCTGTCTCCTGCATTAGAATGTAATTTCCATGAGGCCTACATGCTTGGGAACTCTGGGCAGACATTGGAACCTGAAATTAGAGGGCTGTGCATTTCTACTTCCTGACCATTTCTCAGAGAGCTGGAAAGAAGGCCCTCCTGTGTTTCTGTCGAGAAGGCAACAAGCACAGTTAGAAAGGAGGAGCTGGGCCAAGTGCTATGTGGGAAGCTCTAGCTGCTCTAAGACGTTCTCTGGTGTATTTCCAGCTTCAGGGAGACATGTCCAAATTCCAGCTCCAGGAATTGGGAGTAATGGGAACTGGCCCTATAGGGAGAAAAAGGCACCATGGGAGACTTTGGAGCACATTAGGGGAGGAACCTACAGGTTGGTTGGGGCTGGGGAGGGAGGACTTTCTACTCAGCTGAGGAGATAGGGACTGAGGTATGAACACAATAACTAATGTTGCATGTGGGACACACTGCTGTGCCCTGCCCTAAGTGTTTCACATTATTAACTTCAATGCATAAAACTACATTAAACTACATATTTGAAAATACCAAAACTAACCACATGCTTTATTTGATTTTAAAAAGTTGACAGTTTAATTTGTTCTTGAATTACTGGTTTATTTTTAACAGAACAAATCAGTGATATAAATAAATAAACAAGTAAATATCAATCCCAGACAGACACCAGGAGATAAGATGAATAGGTGTGGATGCTTTGCTAAAGATAAAAATGACCGATGAGAATGAAGGATGACTTCTTATCTCTCAGGGAGGGCTGTGTACATGCAAGGTGCGGGTCTCTTCTACTGCATACCATTTTTAGCAACCACTTTTGTTTTCAAGGATTATTTAGGAGTATGGGTCTTAATTTCCAAGTAGGTGCAATTGTTTGGGTATTTTTATGATTTATTCTGATATTATTGGATTATGATTACAGAATATGGCCTGTAAAAGCCTCTGTTTTAAAACTTTTGCTAAGGGCAATTGTTTTCTGGCCAGTACAAAATTGATTTTGTAAATGTGCTATGTGCATGTAGGAAGAAAAAGGATATTGTCTAGTTAAAGAATCTCTACTTATATTATTATGAGCTCATTCAGTGTACTGTTTAATTCCTTTTTCTTATTCTTTTTTTTTTTTGAGATGGAGTTTCGCTCTTGTTACCCAGGCTGGAGTGCAATGGCATGATCTCGGCTCACCACAACCTCTGCCTCCTGGGTTCATGCAATTCTCCTGCCTCAGCCTCCTGAGTAGCTGGGATTATAGGCATGCAACACCACGCCCAGCAAATTTTGTATTTTTAGTAGAGACAGGGTTTATCCATGTTGGTCAGGCTGGTCTTGAACTCCCGAATTCAGGTGATCCACCCACCTTGGCCTCCCAAAGTGCTGGGATTACAGGTGTGAGCCACCACGTCTGGCCTATTCTTATTCTTATTCTTACTAATCAAACCACTTGGAAAGAGGGATTTTAAAGTCTCCTGCTGTAATTGCACTTTTAAATATTTTTCTGTTTGCATTTCTAAAGATTTTTCTTGTTCATATGCTGTTTTGTGCATGTAGATCTATATGTTATCTTCTTTGGAAGATGTGACTTTTTAAATAATTAATTATTTATTAAGCCTATAGCACCCAGTATTCCCAGGCAGGCTCCCACATATGACTTATATAACTTTTGTGACTTTAGTCATCATATTCTGTCTTTATCCTGCTTAGTGCTTTGAATCATAAATTTAACTTTTATGAAATTAATATTTCTCCTGCTGTTTATTTTATTTATTTATTTTATTTTATTGAGACAGAATCTGACTTTGTCACTCAGGCTGGAGTACAGTGGCACTATCTCGGCTCACTGCAACCTCTGCTGCCAGGGATCAAGCAATTCTCCTGCCTCAGCCTCCCGAGTAGCTGGGATTAAAGGCATGCACCACCACACCTGGCTAATTTTTGTGTTTTTGGTAGAGATGGGGTTTCACCATGTTGGCCAGGTTGGTCTTGAACTCCTGATCTCAAGTGATCCACCTGCCCCGGCCTCCCAAAGTGCTGGAATTACAGGCATGAGCCGCGGCACCTGGCCTATGCTGTTTATTTTTGTTTGTGATTGCCTAATATTATTTTGCCCTCCATTTTGTTTTCAGTTCGTTAAAAAATTATTATTACTGAAAATGTGTTTCTGATAAACAACATATAGCTCAGACTTCTATTTTTAAATACCAAAGTAAAAATATCTGTCTTTAAATAGGAAAACCTGGTCACATTCCGTGTTACAATTGGTATACTTGATCTTATACCATCCATAGGAAGTAATTTGTTGTGCTCTTATTTCTTCTTATTTTTGTAAGTTTGATCAACTTTTCATTCTTTAATTGCCTTGTCAATTTACAAGTTTTCTTGTATATTTCTATTCTACCATTGGTATTTCCCATTCTTCACCCTTTTGATCAAACACACATTTATCTATCTATTGCATCAACCCCCTATTTTGAAGTATTGAAAACCTCAGGGCTTTAGTCAATTCATTAGTGACTGATGAGCCTCAGGAGGTGATATTATTTTCATTCCTACTAATAAGATTTTAGGGGCTTGAGCCACTAATGGAAAAAAGTGGATTCATAAAGAAGTTAGGATCAAGAAAACACAAATGAGAGATAATGCCCATTGTTGTATAGTCACAGAGGGCTTACAAGGCAAGCCACAGAGGTCAGAAAATGGGGTTAAGAGGCTTCTGCTACCAATGCAGTGAAGGATCAGCATGCAAGCATTTAGTCTGGTTTGACATGAACCTCCTCTCCAGGAGGTCTTCCAGGGTCTGCCTTAGGAGACCGTATCTGGTTGCATGTGGCCAGGAGGTCAGAGGAATGCTGATAAGTAAGGGGTGGGAAATGGAGATTGGTCAATCCCTCTTTGGGTGGGGAGCCTAGAGATCACTAGTAAGAAGGACCAGAATTTTATACAAATGTAGAATTGCAATTAAACCTGTTACTGTATCCTCATGCTCCCTAAGTTAAACATGACTGCAATGAACTCACCAATAGAACCCTATAATGTATCAATATCCATAAAAATATTAATACATTGTTAAATGAGGGAATCTAGTCCTTAACTATTTCGGAGGCAGTGCTGTGTTTTCTTAGATCTCTGAGATCAGCTTTTCTAGGCTTCTGTGAACTCGGACTTCTGTTTCTCAGAACTCTTCCTTTCTTTCAATGGACAGGATATAAGCGGGGTCTGAGAGGAGACTGCCACCCCACAGAGCCTCCCTGACTTATTTCCCCCTCATTCCACTTCTTTTTCCTTTTCTCATTTTTCAATTGACCCTGGAAAGCCTATCTCATCGAGAATATTTAGATTTTATCACTTTGCTCAAAGTTTTTCTCAAGATTCATCTATTCCAAGAATAATTTTATGACTTTCTTAGCTCATTTTATAATTTTGGCTTTGTCTCCCTCCCCCGACCCCCAACTTAAAAGATATACATACATATATTTTTCTCTCCACATCTATATCATAAATCTTTAAGATCATAAAACATGTCTTTTGCTTGATTTGTTCTTTCTTTGCTTTAGAATAGTTACATGCGAGCCTTAGATACTTAAGAAATGCTTGTTTAACTGATGTTTACACTGAAGTATAAAAATATGCAGATGTACAAATGGGATAAAGAATCTTTAAGACACAAGTAGAACAGCATTGAAAATTATTTTAGGAAAAGCTATTGAAATATCAGTGGATAATAAAAACTATTTTTGGAACCATAAAGAATCAGTGAAGCTAAATGATGCTGTTGAAACTGATGAAAGAACCAAAACACAATAAAAATGGATGAAGGATGTGAACACATTCACAGAGAAAGGCAGAAATATTAAAACCTCTTAAACACATGAAGAGATACTCAACCTCATTTATCATAAGAGAAATTCATATTAAAACTCATAGGAATTTCTGATTCTGGCCAAGACTGAGTAAGAGAGACCAGCTTCAATCTTTTGCCTTAACAGAGTAGGAAACTAGACACAATCTGAGACAATAGTTTTCCATCTTTGGACAACAAGCAGTCCAGGTCTGGGAACCCTGAGAAAAATGAAAAAAGCAAACAACAATAATGAAAGAAAGAATAATAGAAAGAAAAATAAAGACCTGAATAATTGCACTAGCTCCTTGTGCCTGGAGAATTTCCAGGTTTCAGTGAAGAAAGAGGAAACCCAACACAGCTAGGCTGGCTTACAGTGAGGAGGAGACAGACTGGAGTTCAGGGAGGACAAGGGCTAGTTATTGTGGAGTACACTGGAGCGGAGGGATTGGCTCCAGGAAAAGTCTCTAGGGGATGCAGAAGAATCCTCTGAGTCTTTCACTGATTGCTAATCTACAGATGAATGAGAGAAAACTGCTTCAGGCTAGGTTAAAAACCACTGGAAATCAGTGGACAGACAGATTCCAGGATCTCACACAGGGCTGGTAATAGTTTGTGTTCACATCAGCCCAAGTGGAAAGACCTAATACATGGGCATTAAGTAGAATCCTAAGTAGTAGGGCAAAGTTGATCCTAGGCTCATGTCCACCTGGACCTATCCTAACCCAGTTTAAAAGCAAGCCTTGAAATGATCCAAATGATTTCAAATTACTGAATTGTACATAAAAACAAAATTCAACATTATTTTAAGGAATACTGGAAATCCAGCAACAAACAACATATCATAATCCTCCCCAAAACTATCAGACATGCAAAAATGCAAAACTTATGATCCATAACCAGGAAAAAAAATCAATCTGTACAAACACACAGAAATGATATTAAAAGGACTATTACAAATATGCTTCACATGTTTAAGAAAACATGGTGATTACAAGGAGAGAAATGGGAGACATTAAAAAAAATAGTACTTGGGTAAAGTTTTCAAATACGTAGAAATTCAGTGTCTGAAATGAAAAATGTACTGGATGGGGTTAATAGCAAATTAGCATCTGTAGAATAAATGATTAGTAAATTTGAAGATACAGCAACACAATCTGTGAAGCACATAGAGAAAAAAAATACTAAAAAAATCCAGAGCAGCAGTGACCTATAGGAAACTATCAAGTGATCTAATATGCATTTAATTGGAGTCCAAAAATGGGGGTAGGGATAGAAAAATTATTGAAGAAATACTGTTCAAAAATTTTCCAAACTTGACGAAAACCATAAATCCAAGGAGCTCAATGAATTGAACAGATTAGACATAAAGAAAACCAGAACAAAGCACATCATAATCTAATTGTTGAAAACCACTAAAAAAGAAAAAAAATCTTAAAAGACCAGGAATATAGATACATTATATACAGAGAAACGAGGTTAGAAATGATAGGAGAATTTTTATTAGATACTCTACAGCCAGAAGACAGAAGAGAGATATCTTTAAAGTACTAAAAGAAAATAAATCTGTCAACCTAGACTTTTTTAACCAGTCAAAATGAAAAGTAGACAAAGACAGACATACAAAAGCTGAAAGAATTTATCATTAGCAGATCTTGACTTCAAGAAATATTTTAAGTTCATTAGGGAAGAGAGAAATTCGGGTCTATGCAAATGAATGAAGAACCCCAGAAATTGAAAGTATATGGATAATATAACAGGCATAGTTTTACTTTTAAAATCTCTTTAAACGCTAATTATCTATTTAAAGCAAAACTAACAATGTATTGTGGAGGGTATAGCACATATGGTAGTAAAATCAAAGCACAACAAAAGTAGTACAAAGGACAGGAGAGAGGAAATAGGAATCTATTTGAAAGTAGACTGTGATAAGCTAAAGATGTAAATTGCAAGCCCTGAGGCAATCACTGAAAGAATGAAATGGAGATATGGCCAATGTGAATAGTTAACAAAAAATGGGATAATAAAACCTCAACCTAAAGTAAGTTAAGAAAAGGGAAAAAAGGAACAAAGAGTGAATGGGACAAAAAGTTACAAGTAGAAATATGGTAGATTTTAAACTCAACTAAGTTGTTAATCACATTAAATAGTCTAAATGCCTCAATTAAAATGCAGATTGTCAGACTGTATAAAAATGCAGAATCCCATGATACTGTCTACAAGAAACCAATACAAAATGTAAAGACATAGGTTTAAGTAAAAAAAGGAAAAACTTATACCATGCAAACACATTAAATGAAAAAGCTAGAGTGGCTCTATTAATATCAAACAGAATAGATTTCAGAACAAGAAATAACAAGGAAAGAGGAGCATTTCTTTGAAAAGGTCATTTCATCAAGAGGACATAACAATTTTAAATGTGCACGCACCTTATAACAGATCTTCAAAATACAGAAAACAAAAACTGATAGAACTTAAAGGAGAAATAAAGATAAACCTGCAATTATAGGCAGAGATTCAACATTGCTCTTTCAGTTTTCAGTAATTGATAGAATGAGTAGACAGAAAATCAGAAATGATAGACTACTCAAACAATATCAGCCAACTTGACCTAATTGACATTTATAGAACACTGCATCCAGCAACAGCAAAATACAAATTCTTTTCAAATAAATACTGATAGAACACTTATCAAGATAGACCCCATATTCTGGATTGAAAAGCAAGTCTCAATAAATATAAAAGGATTAAAATCCTAAAATCTATTTTATCTACATAAAGCAAGATTAAGTTAGAAACTGGTAGCAGATCTCTGGAAAGTCTAAATATTTAAAAATTAGTCAACATACTTCTAAATAATTCATAGTTCAAATAAGAAATCACAATGAAATTAGAAAATATTTTAAGCTGAGTGAAAGTAGAAACACAACAAAACAAAATCTGTAAGATGCAGTTTATAAGAAGAAAATTTATATCAGTAAGTGCTTATTTAAAAAAAAGGACAAAAGTCTTAAATCAATGATCCTAGTGTATATCTTAAGAAACTAGAGAAAGAACAGTAAATTAAACCTAACATAAGCAGAAGGAATAAAATGATATAGACAAACCCACAATCAGTGTAACAGAAAACAAACAAACAAGAAAGACAATGAAACCAAAAGTTATATTTTTCAAAAAAGCAATAATATTGGTAAACTTATAGTCAGATTGTTCAGAAAAAAAGTAAAACACAAGCAGTTTTAGGAATGGAATGAGTGAAATTACAACAGATTCTAGAGGCATTAAAAGGACAACAAAGAAACATGTTTAATGGCATTAAATTTTATGTAAAGATAAAAGGAACAAATCCCCTAAAAGATGCAAGGTAAGTGCACATAAGGAGAAATAGGTAACATAGTCCCAAATCTATTGAAGATACTGAATTAGTGGTTAAAAGCTTTTCCAGAAAGAAAACGCTAGGTTCCAAAAGCTTCACTAGTAAATTAACCAAATAGTTAATAAAAATAATAATATCATTTCTATACAGTTTCTTACAGAAAACAAGTTAGGAAGGAATACTTCCCAAAATGAGGTCAGAGTTATACCAATACCAACCAGTAAAACTCAAACCCATAAAAGACAAGGAAATTAAACTACTGATCAGTAATCTTCAGGCATAGAAGCAATAATCTTTCACCAAATTTTGGTGAATCACCTCTAGCAACAAAAAGGATAATACATCGTGACCAGGTAGAGTTTATCACAGGAACATAAAGTTGTTTTAACATTTGAAAATCAATCATTGCAATTCACTGTATCAATAGACTATAAAAGAAAAAATGCATAATCATCTCAGTAGATCCACAAAAAACAGGAAATATTCAACGTTCATTCATGAAAAAAAAACTCTCTGCAAACTAAGGAGGGAACTTTCTCAATATAATAAAGGGTTTCCACAAAAACCCTACATTTTAAATCACAATGATGAAATACCAAAGCTTTCCCTCTCAGATTGGAAGAGGGCAAAGGAACTCGTCATTTTTTTCCAGTAATGTACTGAAGCTATTAGCTAGGGCAATATGATAGAACAAAGACAAAGAAAGAGGGAGAGAGAGAGAGAAAATTAAAATTCTATTTCCAGATAACATGATCATGTATGTAGAAAAATAATCAATTTATCAAAGATTCAGGATATAAGGTCATATACAAAAATCCAATGTATTCCTATGCTATCAACAAATATTTGGAAATGGAAATAGAAATATAATTTATAAGAACATCTGAAATATTTGGGATTAAGTTTTTTAAAATCCTCAATATTCGTACAGTGAAATGTCTAAAACATTGCCAAGAGAAATGAAAGCAGGCCTAAATAAATGAAGAGAAAGGTCATGTTTACAGATTAGAAGACTTAATATTAAAATGTCAGTTTTTCTCTAATTGATCTATGATTTCACCATGATACCAATCAATATTTCAGCACTATTCAGGAAATTGGCAAGTTGATTCTAAAATGTGCATGGAAATAAAAAAGACCCAGAATAACCAATATGATTTTGAAAAATAACAAAATTATAAGACTTCTACAATCTGAGTTAAGACTAATTATAAAGTCACTAGTGCAATGCAATATTGATGTCAAGGTAGACATATAGATTAACACAATAGAAAGCTCAGAAATAGACGTAGACACATATTACATGATTATGTGATTTTTGACAAAGGTTTCAAAGTAATTCAATTGGGTAAGTATGGTCTTGTCAACAAATAGGCATCCATAAGTCCTTACCTCACATCATGCTTAAAAATTAACTCAAAATGGATTATAGAATTATAAAAGTGAAACTATTAAACTTTTAGAAGAAAGTATGTGAAGAAATCTTTGTGACCTTGGTTAGCAAAGATTTGCTAGATAGAAAACCAAAAACACAAACTATAAACTAATAAGTTGTTATGCTAGATTTCATTAAAATACAAAATTAGAATCTTTTGCTTTTCAAAAGACTCTTTTATGAAAATGGAAGGTAAGCCATAGTCTGAAAGAAAATATTTGTAAAATATAGTTCTAAAATAGACCTTAACTGGAAGATATAAGAACACTTAAACTCAATAATTAAAAAAACTAATAAATATTTGAATAGACACTTCACCAAAGAAGATATATAAATGGCAAGTAAGCACATGAAAGGATGCTCAACATCATTAGTCTGAAGAAAAAGCAAATTAAAACCTCAATTACCATTACATACCCACTAAAGTGACTACAGTTGAAAACCGACAATACTTTGTATTGGCAAAGGTATGATGCAAACGCAACTCTCATATATTGCTGATGGAAATAAAAGAAAATGTCACAGCAATTTTGGAAAACAATTTGGAAGTTTCTCATAATGTTAAAAATACACATCATACAACTCAGCAATACCATTTATAGTGATTCATCCAAGAGAAATAAAACGTATTTTCTTTTTTTAATTTTTTTTTTTTTTTGAGACAAGGTCTTGCTCTGTTTCCCAGCCTAGAGTGCAGTGGCACTATCATGGCACATGGCAGCCTTGACCTCCTGGGCTCAAGCGATCCCCCACCTCAGCCTCCCAAGTAGCTGGGATTACAGGTGGGTGCTGTAATGACCAGCTAATTTTTGTATTTTTTGTGGAGACAGGGTTTAGCCATGTTGCCCAGGCTGGTCTTGAACTCTTGGATTTAAACTGTCGGCCCATCTCGGCCTCCCAAAGTGTTAGGATTACAGGTGTAAGCCACTGCACCTGGACTGCTTTTTTCTTTTTTTTTTTTAAATTAAAAAATTTGTTTTTGAAAACATATTTTCACACAAATACTTATTATAGAAAAACAACCTGTCGTATGGCAAGAGTGACACCATCTTGAAGCAATGATGACTTCTGCATACCAAGGTGTTTGGCAGCAAGGTCTTACAACAATACCTGTAGGATAAATAAGCCCTCATAAAGATGCTTAGGCAACCTCTCCAGTAGTCATGAGTTTTGGCAAGAAAATCTGAGATGTGACCAGCTGCACATGTTTTGCCCTAAAAGCTTGCTATAGAAAAGATATTTTCCAAAGGGCAGGTGTGGGTATCCACTGTCTCACAGCCACCTGAGACATCGTTTCTGCTTATAAGTCCCTATTAAATATTTATTTTTAAGAAACTGGATTTGTTAGCCTCTTTATTTGGCCTCTCAGCATCCTTAGGCTTTAGGGGGCAGGTTTGCATAGAACTGTCCATGTGGAATGCTTATACTCAATTATTCATGATGGTTTTATTCATAATAGGCCCAAACTGAAAATAACCAATATGTCTATTAACTGGTAAGTGGATAAACAAATTTTAATTTATCCCTACAATGCAGTACTATGCTACAACAGAGAAGAATGAAAGATTGGTACACACATCAGCACAGATGATGCTCAAAAACATTTTATTAATAGGAGGAGCCATACAGAAAAGAGTGCCTACTGTATAATTCCTCATGAAGTACTATAAAAGGCAAAACCATGGTGGCTAAAAGCAAATTAATGGTTGTCAGAGGCTTGGGATGGGGTTAGGGAATTTGCTGTAAAGGGGCATGAAGGATTTTGGGTGTGATGTTCTATACATGTTCTATATAATGTTTGTGGTTGTGATTACATTAATACCGTCATATATGTTTGTCGAAACTCAAAACATTATATACTTAAAACAAATTTTATTATATAAATTATACTGCAACAAAGGTAATTGTTAAAAACTACCCTTAATCGATTTTTCACCTATTAAACTGACAAAACCCCAAAAGTTTGAATAATGCACTGTGTTAGTCCCACTTTGGAGAAATGGGCACTCTTAGACATCATCTTTGTGGGAGGAAAATAGTTCATTCTATTATAAATAGCTATTTGATAGTATCTGTCAAAATTACAAAATCATATACTCTTAGACCCAGCAATTCTATTATTGGAGACTATCCTAGTCAATTGAAAAATGGGAGACTATATACATTCTACATTATGAGTTAAAATTCTAAAAACTGAATAACAGGTTTTAAAAAATGAGAATTGATAAAGTATATATGATACAAATACAATTGCAGGAAGAAATATCTCTGAGAAGAAGAAAATGTTTCTAAGGAGAAAAGAAAGAACATGGATGCTAAATAAGGATTTGGATAGAAGTTAATTATGATACAAATTGATTAGACATTTAATTAATGTTCTTAAATCTTTCAGACATGCATGAAAGATGAACAAATGTCTGTAAAAAGTTATGAAAATCTTGAAAACACACTCATTAAGATGTATATTCCACTCTGTACAACTTAGTAGCTATAGATGCCAGTATTAAGATAATTACCATCTTTATTCAAGAAATAATTATAGAAAAGCTATTGCAACTATATCATTGTGACTACAGTATACATGAACAAGACTTCTTCTGTTTAGAGGGCTAAGAATTCTTGAAGAGCACAAGACCCAAACTCATGAAGTCTTTGATAAACACAAGCTGAAATATGGCAGAAAGTGCCTATATGATCAGGAAAGGCTTCTGGGAGGAGGTGGTCAGTGAGGTGAGCCACGAAAGTGGGTAGGGGTAAAATGGGAAGGGTCATTTTTTCTAGAAGGGGGGGGCATCATTTGGGTGGTGGGAAGGCTCAAGGACAAGGAGTGAAACAGTGCAGAAAGAGAAGGACTTCAGGTGGGAGATGAGGAAAATAAGAATGTAAGAGGAGGTACCCTCCTGGAGAACCTGAACACTACACTGCCATGTCTGCACTTACAGGCACAGGATGTCACTGGAAGCTTTGAGCAGGGGTCAGCCATGACAGCGGAGTTTAAAATACAGCATATCTGGCTGCAGTGAGCAGGATGGGTTGCAGCACTGAGAGATTGCAGGCAGAGACTGATTAGGGAAGTGTTGGAATACATTAGGCATTAAGTGATAATAACCAAGGTTCTGGTCAAGGGTGTGGCTATGAGATCAGAAAAGAAGGCTTGGATATAGAATAGATTACTTTACAAGAGCCAACAAGCTTGGCGACTAATCCTGTGTGTAGGAGAAAGAAAGGAAAGGGAAGAATCAAAGACAGCTTCTTGGTTTGAGACTGTCTTGTGGAGAGAATGATTGTACCATTGACAGAGATAAAGAAGTCAGGAAGAGATGCTGGTTTAGAGGAGGAAAATGGGGAGTGTGATTTTTAAAATATTATGTTGGAGTGGAATATTGGATATCAGTAAAAATATTCAGAAGGTAATTAGGGAGAGAGGTCAGACTTGGATAATTTAAATATGGAAGTCAACAGAGGACTGAAGGATAAAGAGAATTAACATAGTTTGGTTAAGGGGGAAACTGATGAAGAAGAGTATTACAAACAAGGAGTGTCCCCAGTAAGGACTAACAGAGTTAGGGAGGCCTAAGGGAATCAGGGCTGGAAAGTCCACTAGGGCGGGCGATTAAGAGGTCAACAGTTCCGGTAAAGTGGGCAGTTGAGAATAGGTTTCTGGGGTGTGGGAGAAGAGGCTGTAACCCATTAGAGGTAGATGGTAATGACTATTTGCTTAAAGAGGTATCAAGAAGAACAGGGAGAAAAAATATAGGCAGAGTAGTACCAAATGGCCATATGTTTTGGGACGTAAAAGCAAAGAAACTGGAGGAGAACTACACACACACACACACACACACACACACACACATATACACATATATATGTATGTATGTATATATTAAGTATCAGGATTCTTAATATAGACATCTATATCAATAATAATTTTAAAAGTTTGAATGAATATTGACATTTTTATCAGTGGATATATTTAAAAGAAAGCCAGTCTTCAAATAAAAATGAAGAAGCATGTGTTTCTTGCCACTCAAGAACAGAGGTCCCGATCTAGTACCCTATAGGATGAATCTGGCTCACAGGTAAAATATTAAATACATTATGCAAAGCACAGCATTTTAAACTTTTTGACTGAATGCCATAGTCCCCATCACTCCCTGTTGTCCCATAGTCAGCCTGCATCACTAGTTTGTCACCAGCCAAGCTCAGACGGCTTCTGTGTGTGTAGCCCCTGCTGTAAGTCTTTCTAATGGTAAATCTTAAAAAAAAAAGGAAAACGTGAAAATAACTCAATAATTCCAGGCAAAATATCCTGAGTTTGTCTGAGTATATTATACTTTTTTCTTAGCAAATTGGGTCCAGTGAATGTTATTTGTAGTTGTTGTTGTCTTCTGAATTATCTCAATGGGTATTGCTCCCCCTCCCCAGGCCCTCTTAGAGGACTGATTGTGGTTTGAGTGCTCTCACCCTTGCATTTGCTATGTGCTCCTGTTTGCTTGAGTGTTTCTTTTATCCAGTTCTGTTTAATTACCATGCAAAACCCTCTGTTGAGCTTTTAATTAGCAAGTTATCTCCGTCTGAAGACTGGAAACCCTGGGCTCTTTCAGCATATATTAGACAGCTAAAATATGAAATTAAAGAAAACAGAGTTTTAGCCAACAGAAACAAGTGACTCATTTCCTTGTGAAAACACACAAGGTTTATGTTACTCTGGCAACGATATTCCAGAATAGCATCTCTCCCCTCCCCTGTCAGAGCTTTTATGTGTTTCTGTTACAGTCTGTGTTCCACAGTGACCTAATGTTGAACCAAGTCACTTAGTGATTCATCAGACACAAGAGAACTGTGCTTTCATTTAGATAGCTCGTCCTATGTCCTTTTGACCAAAGGAAGAAAAGTTTACTTTGTATGAAGAGAGGAACTGTAAAAGAGATATAAAGAACTCTTGACTGAGTGCTGTCTTAGGATGTAAGTGTGGTCCTGCTGTTACTTTAAAAACACCACAACTGGTTCCAGTGTGTTAGAATTCTAAGAGCCTATTTTTCTAGACAGCTGATTAAATCATAATGTGCAACCTGTATATGTACCACGTAGGGAAATGAAAATTCAGAGACCCATTGCAGAAGACTCCAGATGTTTCTTGGGACTCACATCGTGGGAGGGAATATCACAGTGCTTAGGGTCAAAATTTTAACCCAAACCACTACAACTCTCCAAAGCAAAAATGTGTAGAGCAAAAACAGTTGAACTAACTCTCTCTTCTAGGTTTTAAATTCTCTGAGGTACTTAAAAGGAAGTGAGGAGAACCTTCAATTTATTAAGCTCTTGCTGCTGATGTTATTTAAAAATTATGGTCTGAATGGAATGATGGTTTCAGGATTTTAAGTTTAGATACTCTCTGTGAACAGCTTTATACTTTCATTGAAAGGGCAGTAAATTTTGTAGCCATTAGAATGCAACGAACTAAAAATTATGGGTGTATGAAGATTTTTAGTTTCTCTCTCATACTTACCACCTGTCTGCAAAAGAGAATTTCAGGTTTGTTCAGTCATTGTTTTTTCTCTTTCAAAAAGTGTCTTTCCATTTCTCCTGACTTTGAAGAGAAAGAATAGAATAACAGGCAGAGAGATTCATTGGAATAGTAGGAGGATGAGGGAGAATGATTTAGTGTCAATATACATTTTATTTCCCATTTATATATAATGTCAATTTGTATAATGAGGGGCTAGAAGAAGAAAAGTAAGTGGAAAAATAATAGAAAAAGTCATGTAGGTTGAAGGTAGAGGAGATTTTTTGGAGATTTGAGAAAGGTCCAGGAACAGACATTATATATGATAGTGTTGGGTGGAGGGGAGAAAAAAGAGGATTTTAAGAATTGCTGAAACTCATGTGTCTTCATCATAGTGTTCAGTACATACAAGAAAAGGGCTTCATTTATTTTGAAATTAAATTTGTTTGCAAGGACTGTATACTTTTAGCCATAATACTGCTCTGAGACTGAACCACGTGGATTATGGTATTATAAACCACAAAAAGTATTATTATTTGAAAATTGCTTGACAAAATTCTGAAATTATTCCTAATAGAAAAATAATCTCAAATTGGGAAATGTTGAGTGGAAATTCCTTTTTTTATTTTTCTTCTTAATTTTTCTGTGTGTGATACCCAAGTATTAAGACAGAAAGCAAAAGTAACTACAAATCACTTACTAAGCACTGTCATCATGAAGGTATCTCTGATATGAGTAGCCTTCCTTTTCAACATAAATAAACAAAAAGCATTAAGGAACAATTTAAATTCTAAAATTAGTTCTCATTATAATTTCTTCTTCTTCTTTTTTTTTTTTTTTTTTTTTTGAGATGGAGTCTCACTCTATTGCCAGGCTGGAGTGCATTGGTGTGATCTTGGCTTACTGCAACCTCCACCTCCCTGGTTTAAATGATTTTCCTGCCTCAGCCTCCTGAGTAACTGGGTCTACAGGCATGCACCACCATGTCTAGCTAATTTTTGTATTTTTAGTAGAGATGGGGTTTCACCATGTTGGCCATGATGGTCTCGATCTATTGACCTCATGATCCGCCTGCCTCCCAAAGTGCTGGGATTACAAGCATGAGCCACCGCGCCTGACCTCGTTATAGTTTCTTACATGATTTTTTTTCATTTTAATAAAAAACTATATACTATTTTTTTAACTATGATTTTTCTCTTTGTTTTCAAACTTCAACCCTGCTTTTGGGTATCTTTAAAAAAAAACAGTCCATCCGTTGGGCGTGTGGCTTCTGAAATTACAATTACAAATCCCTCATAGAAATACTGATAGAATTTTTTTTTGAAATTAATAACCGAAGTAATTGCAAAATATTTTCAACTCGTTCAGCAATGTAAAATGAGAAAGCTGAACTATTTGCCACACAGGGCAAATAAAGCAGGTTTTATAGTTTTGTAAATTGTAATCCTCTACCATAAACATCAATGAAATCACATCTAGAAATATAACTGTATGAGAATCAGATAGTTTGTATGTATTTCAAACTTGAAATATAAAATGTGAATGAATTATAATAGATCACAAGATTTGAACTTTGATAGAAATAAACACTGACCAAGACCTTGATCATCAGCCTTAAAAAAGATGTTACATGCCACCATATATTGGTTATAGAATGCATTATTAACGAACCAATGAGATAAGTGTCTGATTCCCAAACTGTTTATTGGCCTAAACATTGTTAAATTTCATGAGCCATTTTGCTTCTGCAAATCTAGAAGGAAATCTGGTGATTTTATTGGATAATAAATATTAGCTATGCCTATATGATGAGAGAATGACTAAGAGTAGGGTGAACTCTGGAATCATTGAGATCAAAAACATCTTGATTAATTAAAAAAACATTTAGTTGTGGTAAAATATACACAACATGAAATTTACTATTTTAAGCATACAGTTTAGTAGTGTTTGTACACAAAGTGCTGTGCCACCAATCTACAGAAGTCTTTTTATCTCGTAAAACTGTGAAACTCTATATCCATTAAACAACTACTCCTTATTCCCCCTGCCCTCAGCTCCTGGCAACCATTATTCTACTTTCTATCATGATGAGTTGAGTACTCTAGATACTTGATATAAATGAAATCATATAGTATTTGTCTTTTTGTGACCAGTTTATTTCATTTAGCATAATGTCCTCAGGGTTTACCTGTGTTGTAGCATGTGACAGCATTTCCTTCCTTTTTAAGACTGAATAATATTCCATTGTGTGTATGTTCTACATTTTGCTTATCCATTCATCTGTTGATGGACACTTGGGTTGCTTTCAACTTTTGGCTATTGTGAATAATGCTGCTATGAACATGGATATCTGTTAGAGACTCTGCTTTCAATTCTTTTGGGTATATACCCAGAAGTGGGATTGCTATATCATATGGTAATTCTATCTTTTAGTTTTTGAGCAACCACCATACTGTTTTCCACAGCAGCTAAACCTTGTCCACCAACAATGCACAAGGGTATCAATTCCTTCACATTCTGGTTGACATTTATTATTTACTGTTTTTCTTAATAGTAGTCATCTTAATGGTTGTGAGGTAGTACTTAAATTGTTTTTTTTTTTGTTTTTGTTTTTGAGATGGAGTCTTGCTCTGTTGCCCAGGCTGGAGTGCAGTGGCATGTTCCTGGTTCACCTCAACCTCTGCCTCCCGGGTTCAGCAATTCTCCTGCCCTAAACTCCTGAGTAACTGGGATTACAGGCACACACCACCATGCTCGGATAATCTGTTATATTTTTAGTAGAGACGGGGTTTCACCATGTTGGCCAGGCTGGTTTTGAACTCCTGACCTCAAGTGATTTGCCCACTCAGCCTCCCAAAGTGTTGAGATTACAGGCACGAGCCACTGTGCCCAGACTTAATTAATTTTAACTACATTCAAACATTAAAATTATTAAATAGAATTATGCCTCCTGTACATGTAGAAAAAGCCATAATTCAGTTTTTGCTTAAGTTGCCTGTCCCTTTTTGAAGTTCATTTAAAAAACATGAGGCATGTGTTACATAATAACACTTTTTAAAATAAAATTATTTTACACTTAAGATTCAATTTATCTATTGCTGAATAGTAGATAAATGGCATCCCAAACTTAGTGGCTTAAAACAACCATCAGTTATTTAACTCATGATCCAGTGATTTGTGCAGGGTTGGAGGGGACTGTACATCTCTGTTCCATGTGATATAAACCAGGGTTGGATGTGTGGAGGCCAGGATATTGGGAAGCCTTGTTTACTCACATGTATGGTAGGTGCTGTTGGCTAAGACTTCAGCTAAAAATGTGGGCAGGAATGCCTGCGCCTTGTCTCTCCATGTAAGTTCTTGGCTTCCTCATAGCGTGGTGACTGGGTTCGAAAAGCAAGTGACCTGAAAGGGAGCTAGGAGGAAGCTGTATTGTCTTTTATAACTTATGTTCAAAAATTACATGGTGATGCTTTTGCTGTGAACCGTTAATTGAGGAAACCACAAAAGCTGACTTGGGTTCAAGAAAGGAGATATAGAAGGCTCTGGAAGAACATACGGGATGAAAAGAATTGTTGTGGCCATTTTTGGAAACCACAATCTGCCACACTTAGTAACTTACTAAATCAGGTAACTATATGTGAAAGCATCTTTCTCCAACACTTAAAATAGTCACATTTATTTTATGTTTCAAGGTATACTGTAGATCTACTTAACTATACTATGTTACATAGAAGTACTAATGATGTTTTCTTTTTTAAAAAATTCTCTTTCATATAGATACACATAAAGTCTGTCTGTCCTGCCCTTATTTTATGAGCTTTGCAGGCCTGGAGCAAGAGTGCAGCTGGAGAACCACATATCGTATATTTAAATATTTAATAGTTTCAAATCAAATTAGCAACATAAGTGAAGTCATTTATATTCCTTTTACCTTGACAAATATTCCTTTATAATAACCTGGGAGGTCAGATTTCAATTTAGAATTTTGGAATTATAGAAGTTCTATGCCAAATGTGATGGGAGAGGCTGCTCCTGACTGCTGCCTCCTGTCTCCCTTTCTCTTCCCCTCCCCAGATCCATCCAATATTGAAGGGCTTTATTTACACACATGTGAACAACCCACTCCTTATCCAAATTCCAGCTGTAAGACAATGCCGTACTAGAAGTGACTGTTCTTGGGCCACCCCTCAGGCCTAGAAATACAAACATCAGAGGTGCAGACCACCTTCTGGGAGATGGCGCAGGGAAGAGGCCCGTGTAGACCATGGGTGCCTGCATAGCTTCCGGGAGCCATTTGTGTAGGCAGTTACAGGGTCTAAAGTACACAGAATGAGATCTAGAAGTGAGGACGATGACCACATCCACTTGGCCCTGTCTCCTTTAGTCTGGAGCACAGCTAGGGGAGGAGCAGTTCAGGGCTCTGGAATATTCAGAATCCAGAGCAGGGAGCCTCTTGCCCGGGTAAGAGTGCAGTACTTGAGGGAAGGTGGGAGAGAGGGCATAGTGCCGCTCCCACGCTCCCATCCTGAGCTTGCCCTGGGCCTACTTTACATGCCAGGTGCATTTGTTTTCTTGCCCTTTCATTCCTCTTCCCTTTTCCTTTCTGTCTTTTCTCTTTCTCTTCTTTCATTTTCCCCTTTTCTTTTTCGATTTATTTTCCAGATCTTTCTGGGCCCTCTTTGTTCATCTTGGTAAGCCCCATCTTGGTAAGAGCAAAAGGTGCCAGGGCTTGAGTGAAGGTCTTCCTTTGGCAATGGCACCATCCACCAGGAATGAGGGCATTGGACCCTGACAGTGATTTCACAGCCTTTCTCTATCTGCCCTCTATCTGCCTCAGTTTTCCAGAATCAGAGTTGGAGTCTGAGCCTGCATTTTGGTGCTGCTTATACCCAGATTTATAGTTCCAGGCTTTAGAAACCAAGCTTTATAATAGAGGAGCTGTTTTTATTTCAAGGTAGCCAGCAAATGATTTGCCCTATTGACCTCCAACCAGGCAGGAACAAACAACTTTTATGAGAATTGGTGTTACTTGGAAAGGATATTTGGAACGAGTGAATCAAAACTGTTTTTATCTTGTGAAAAACATTATTTTCCCCTGGATTTTGGTTCATTTTTAATTCAAGTACCTTACCAGATGCTTTGGGTCCAGTCCCAACTGCTCTCCAAAACCAATATGACAGAATTGAATAGCCCAACATGCACCTCCTTTGTCTTCTATCCTGTTTCATGTTCTCCTTCAAACCACTTTGACTTAAAAATTTTTGCATTAGTTTATTTCCTGTACCTCAACTAAAGATCATTTTAGTTCCTACAGGATTTATACAACCTCCATGTCCAGATGGGTGATGTTAAGATGTAACTAAACTATTCTCCAATCAATTACCTTTATATCATTATCTCTGCTGGCTCTTGTCTCTGGCAAAATTTTAAGGCTTAAATACTAACATATATCTTTCTTTACAAAAATAAACAACAAAGAAATAAGAAAATTACATCATGACAAAAATCTCTTCATATAATTAAAAGTATTAATTACCTAGAGAACAAAAAGTGTGTTAGTTTCAGCTTTTTTTATATTTAGACTTTAAATAGGGTAGAAGCTTCTGGACATTGTATGTCAAGAGCTCTAAGTATACATTACATACACAGGTTTTAAGACACTAAAAGCTAGAACTAAAATGGATGTAAAAATGGATCTGTCAACCTCTAATATTCAAAGGTATAATATGAGATTTGAGAAGTTAAGCATGGAAGGCATGGGCCATTACAAAACATTTCAATTTTTCTGACATGACCTGCCTGATGAATTTTTACTTTCTGATGATTTTTGAGAGCTGTAAGTTTTCTTTTTAAATAATTCTCAGTTTTCCGTATAGAAAATCTGAAAGACCACAAAAGAAAAATATCATTAATAATTTCCTAAACAAAAGATACCTTTTATTTCCATACATATCCTTTTTTAAAATTAAAAAAGCATTTCCCATATAACAAAAAACTTTTTCTACAGCAATATTTACAAATATTTGATAACAATATATAAAAAAGTTGTAAAAGTAACATGTACAACAAACAAAATTTCAAACCATATGAGAGTTCAAAATATAAAATGATATTTGTCTCTGGAAAATATGACATGTATTTTTATGTCATTAAGTCTGTGTCATCCAAAGAAAATATTACTAAAACAAATTAGGAGGAGAAAGAGGGAAAGGGATAGTTTAATTTTCATTCTCTTCATCTCTCTCATTAGAGCATGATTATATATTTTTTACAAAGATAATTTAGATATTTAATCATATATTATGAATATTTTTCCCCTTGAAGATATTCTTGTTGGAGGCTGTGACTATTACAAGTTTTAGCTGTTGTTGTATAGACTTGCTGACTGCTGTCCATTTGAGATTGTATTGCATCTTTGGGTTTGTATCACTGTTTCTTGGATTTCATATCTTTTTGAAATTACCTTTTCAGTTTGCTGTATTATATCCTGAAGTATTTTCAGAGATAGTCTGTGGGTTGTGAAAAACTTTCTGATTATTTTCATGCCCAAAACTATATCTTTTCTGCACTCATATCTGGTTGATGTTTTGCCCAGTTATAGAATTATATATTCAAAATAGTTTTTTTTCTCAGTAGTATAAAGGCATTGCTCAACTGAAATATAGTATCTAATGCCCCTTATAAAAAGTCTGATACCATTCTGATTCTCAATCTTTTATACATAACTATTCTTTCTGGAACCTTGTAGAATCTTATCTTTATCATCAGAGTTCTGAAAAAATGCTGGATATGTTCAAGTAAGGACCTTAAAAAAATATTAACAGCATTATATCATGCCACCCAAAAAGTTAATGCTTTAAAACAATAGGAAGTTACTATTTCTTATTATTCTATTGGCCAGGAAATAGTGCTGAACTTGGCTGAGCAATTGCTTTGCTACATTGGGGTTAACTGCGATCACTCATTTAGCTATGTTCAGCTGACTGCTGGGATGGGCTGGAAGGACCAAGAAAGCTTCATTCATATCTTTGTTGCCTTGGTGCTCTTCCACATGGCCGCTTTCTCCAGATGGTGTTCTTTATTTGACTTTCTAACCTGAGCTTTCTTGCAGCATGACAGCTGGCTTCCCCAAAGAAGGCTAAGCAGAAGGTACAATGGTTCATCCTGCCTAGTCTCAGGAGCTACCCAGTGCCACTGCTGCCACATTCTGTTGGTAAAAGCAAGTCTCAGGAGAAGTGCAAGTTTAAGGGTAGGGGAAGTACAGTTTGATGAAAAGAGTGACAAAATCTCAGTGCAACAGTCATGTGGGATAAGAGATACTGTAACCATCTTTAGAAACACTCTACCAGATTTATTTAGTAAGAATTTTCAGTTCAAAAACATTATTCTTAGTTTTAGAAAATTCCCTTTTATTACCTTTTCTCCCTCTCTGTTATATTCTTTGTTTTATCATTTAGGATCTCCTGTTAGATGAGATCTAACTAACAGGGACATGATCTTCTCTGTCTTAACTTTTCTTCCTAGCTCTATTTTTTATCTTTTAGAGGATTTCTTTAGTTTTTTTCCTCAAAGTCTATTGAATTTCTTGTATTTTCAAAGACATTTTAAAATTTCCATGAACTCTTTGGTATTCTTTGATTGCATATTCTTCTTAGCAGTGTGTTCTTGTTTTCTGTAGGCAACTTGTTCTCTAATATTTTTAAAGTTGAAAGTTATTTTTTATTCCCTCAATTATCACTGTTTCTTTCGAGGTCATTGTTTTATTTCCTCATTATATTTATGAACAATGGACAAAAAGACAAGCTGTTTAACAGGGAGCATGTTTGAGTTTCCTCACAAGTGTCTAGTCTTGTTGAACCAACAAGTTTCTCCCATTCATTGAAAGCTGAGTGTGAATATGGTCACTAAAAAGCTTTACTTAAGGGAGTAAGATCTGAAAGCAAGCAGGCAAACAGACCAACTCTATCCTGTTTTATACCAATAAGGACAGCTTTGCTCTGAAGTGCTTCTGGCATACTGGTCAGTTTCTTTAGATATTAGTTCTTTGGTTTTATTGTGGAGGCAAACATTGTGGCCATCTTATAGAGGGTGGGATGGGGTTGGGAAGGGGCCAAGTAGTACAATTGCTCTGTAAATAATCCCTGACTAAATCATCTTGATTTCTGTCCCTCTTTTTAGCCCAGCTCACTCCAAGCTTAGAGCCTCTCTTTTACTTTGTTGCTGAGAAAATGGCTCCTACCCCTCTTGCAGCCTTTTCAGTATCCATTCTACATTCTCTCTTCCAGAAATTTATCAAAAGCCCTGGTTACCTGATACTTTCTCCTCTCCTTTGCAATACTGTTATCCACTTATTTTTTTTTTCAGCTTAAAGTAATAAAAATTTGTTGTGAATTCCTAGGTTAGTGGTTATCTCCTCTCAGCCTCAAGGGAGGGAACAACACTGCAAAAAATCACTGAGAAAGCTCACACTGTTCCAACAGCCCTGGCCAACACAGGAAGGAGGAAGGTAATTCCCCAGAAAAAGGGTTGGTCTTGTCTTTCTTAATCCAACAGGGGTTAGGAGGACAGGTGCAGGGGACCAGTCCACTTATCTTTTTGTACTTCTTCACTGTTCTTACTTTGAGATGTTTTCAGTTGGCCACATTGAAATGGAAGATTACAACATGATATTAACGGTTACTTGGTATTCCACTATATAAATGGACTACAACTGCTTAGATGAGCAGTTAGATTGTTTTCATTGTTTGGTTACTATTCTTGTAAATGTGTAAAAAGAAAAAATATGTTTTTCTTTTTTTTGAGACAGGGTCTCACTCTGTCACCCAGGCTCAAATGCAGTGGTGCCATCATAGCTCATCATAACCTCAAACTCTTGGGCTTAAGCCATCTTCCCACTTAGCTGGGACTACAGGTGTGTGCCACCATGCCTGGTTAATTTTTAAATTTTTTTTTTTTTGTAGAGATGGGGTCTCCCTATATTTCCCAGGCTGATCTTGAACTCGTGGCCTCAAGCGATCCTCCCTCTTTGGCCTCCCAAAGTGTTGGGATTACAGACGTGAGCCAGTAAGCCCAGCCAAATATGTTATTTTAAAGATAGTTAAGTCTTTATGGGCATAGCTGGAATAGGCTGGATGAGTTGATGAAACGGTTAAAATGTTCCTCATAAGAAATAAGATTTTTTTAAAGGGAGTAAATGGGTTTGGGAAAACAAGGTTAAAAGATCGAGGAGAATCAGCAATATAGCAATAAATTGAAGCCCAGGTAGAAGAGAAAGCCAGAAATAAGGGGGACTTTGTGAGGAGATGGGTGTCTATGATTAGTGTTAAGTTGTTGGCTGTGCTTTGCTCCCCTGTAACATCCTCTGTAGCCTCACATCTGCAGTAGAGTCTGCTATACACAGTCTTTGGGGAGAGAAGGGATTGGGCAGTGCTCAGAAACAAAAAGAAGATGCAGAAAAAAGACATTGGGGATGATAAATGCAGCAGTAATACATACTTGAACCCAGAAGGTACTAGCAGAATATAAACAAGGCCCACTCTGCCTACCCATATACATATAGTGTTTTATTTTATTTTTTGAGACATATTCTCACTGAGTTGCCCAGGCTGGTCTCAAATTCATGGGCTCAAGTGATCCTCCTGCTTCAGCCTTCCAAAGTGCTAGGATTACAGGCATGAGCCACTGCACACAGCCTGGAAGTCATTTTGGAACCCATTTTACATGAAACTTGAATGCTAATTCTTTATATCAAGTCTCTTCCACTCCATCTCAGTCTCTTTTTACCTAGGCTACACAGTGTCAGGTGAAGTCCTCTTCCTTTTAATCAGAAGTAGTTTCCAGAAGGCCTTAGGGGAGTGAGGATGGATTGCTTGAACTTACCCCCATTCTACTGTGTAAGGGCTAGGCATGCCCAAGTTGTCTTGAAGGGCTAGCTTGCCTCTCTCACAGTATCCTCTGTATCACTTAAGAGAACTTACTGTTGTGAAAGAAAGCCTAACTCACACTACCTTATAAATAAGAGAGGGAAATGATTCACTGACTTAAAGTCCTAGAGTAGGGTAGGCTTTAAGTTTGGCTTAGTCCTGTCTCCCTCTTTTATTGTTGTTACTCTTCAAGTGGCCAGAAAATGGCTATAGATTTTTTCCTGGCTTCCCATGCATACAAAAACAGCACCCAGAGCAGGGAGAAAGGATGTCTTCCAGGAATTTCTCTTAAGGGGACATTTTTCCCAGGGGCCCTCAGCAAACCTTCCCTCACTTCTCACTGGTAACATGTCCATTCTTTAACCAATCCTAGTTCTCAATGGATCCTGAACCAGTTAAGAGAGATGAGATCACGACGATTAAATGAAACTGGGAGAGGAGGGAGTTAGACAGCTTTAATGTCCAGTGTGTGCTCTTCATAGTAAGGGGTCTCCTCCTCCATCTCTGATGCCCATATGAAAGAATCTCACCAATTAAACACAATTTTCTTCATGTCCTCTCTCTGATTCCAGGCCTCTGCTAAGGAGAGGTGGCATTTAATCTTGGTTTCCCATTACTCTCCAAGCCCATGACTATTTTCTGATCTGTCCCAATAAGCTTTAGCTTTTGCCTCTCCTTAGTTGGATTTTCAGCATCCAAGTGGTTGTTAAGAAATTCCCATTTTCTCTACACCCTACCAAATATTTTACTCCATGAGTACTACCCTTCTACCCTTTGTACAAATCTTGGTGTCCTCAGCTGTCTCTGGAATATTGCCATGACAATCCTTTGCCTCCTCCTGTATCTGCTCCATGAAGTTTGTAGTTTGCTAGACACTAGAGGATATACTCATTTCAAATGTTGTTAAATATTTTCAATTGCTTTTGAAAGAGATGGCACCAAATTATACTCTGAATAAGAAATGAGTACCTATGTCCCATTACATGCTTGCCAACACTGTGTGCCATCAAGCTTTTTGATCATTGCTCATTTTATAGGTTAAAAGCTGGAATTGTTAATCTCATTAATTTCTTTGTCAGCTGGAGTACATCTTCAAGTAATTATTTTTTCTTGAAAACGAAGAGGCACTCGGGTGTGGTGGCTCACACCTGTAATCCTAGCACTTTGAAAGGCCAAGGTGGGTGCATCACTTGAGCCCAGGAGTTTGAGATCAGCCTGGGCAACATGGCAAAACCCTCATCTCTACAAAAAATGCAAAACTTAGCCGGGCATGGTGGTGTATACCTGTAGTCCCAGCTACTCAGGAAGCTGAGGTGGGAGGATCTCTTGAGCCTGGGAGGTGGAGGTTGTAGTGAGCTGTGATTGCCCACTACACGCCAGCCTGGGTGACAGAGTGATACCCTGTCTCAAACAAACACACAAAAAAAGGCAAGAAAAAGAGAGAGAAAGAGAAAGAAAGAAAAAGAAAAGAAAGAAAAGGAAAGGAAAGAAAGAAAAATAGAAAAGGAAAGAATTCCTGCATGAAATATTTTCTGAGCCCTCATGTACAACTATCTATTGCCTACCCACACGAATGACACATCTGAGAGTTCTAGGGTCACAGTACAATCGTATCCTGGTTGTTGAACAGTTATGCGGCTAGTCTGATAATTTGCTCTTGTTTTGCATTCTTGAAAATTATGTTTCTTCTTTTTGTCATGTAGATATTTTTTCCAGGATTTATTTAGTTATAAGTTTAGTTTTGTTTTTTTTTGTGTGTGTGAACATATCAGTTTCTCTCAGAAACATTTTCTTATAGCTTTACAATTGTCATTATTCATTAGTTATAGTTTCTTTTTCAGGAAACCCAATTTTTTAAAATTTAATTTTATTATTTTTTTGAGACAAAGTCTCGCTCTGTCACCCAGGCTGGAGTGCAGTGGTGTGATCTTGGCTCACTACAACCTCCCTGGTTCAAGCAATTCCCCTGCCTCAGACTCCTGAGTAGCTTTTATTTTTATTTTTTTATTTAAAAAAATTTTAAGTTCTGGGATACATGTACAGAACATGCAGGTTTGGTTTTTTAAATCTTTTAAAATAATTTTTTATTTTATTTTGTTTTAAGTTCCAGGATGCATGTGCAGGATGTGCAGGTTTGGTTTGTTACATAGGTATATGTGTGCCATGGTGGTTTGCTGCACCTATCAACCCATCATCTAGGTTTTAGGCCCCTGCATGCATTAGCTATTTGTCCTAATGCTCTCCCTCCCCGTGCCCCCCACCCCCCGACAGGCCCCAGTATGTGTGGAAACCCCAATTTTTAGGAATTTTTTCTTGGCTCCTTATTTCCTGTGTCTATTTGTCATTTTATATCTGGCCCATTTTTTTCTTCACTAACTCTCCTGGGATAACACACATCTTTCTTGCACATCTTTAAACATCAATAAAACACCAACACATTTTGATTCTTTATTCACATATTTCATTTCTAAGGCATTTAAAAATGTTACTCTTCTTACAAAGATAGGGCTCTTGCAAAAGAATTCCATTGTCCATAACCACATGGAATTTGCGGACCACATAAGCAGAATTTGCCAAAGCCCATCCCTGTGACCATCTCAGTTGCATGCACATTTCTTATATAAACATACCTATGTAAGAAATCAAATGCCAAAATGGGCGACATGTGTTTATCATCATACGCTGCACCAATCACGAACTTTACTTCAGGAAGACTGAGTAATTAAATGTTAGATAACCACATGACTCCTGCAAACAATCATTCTCTATTTCTTATATGCCAGTGTCGACATCTATAAATAAAAAACTGGGCTTTACGAATCACTGTAAATAATTGTAGACGAATTGGCTGGAGCAATTATATGAAAACCACATCCAGTTGAATCTTCATGTGTTTTATAATGAGAACAACATAGAAGATCGCCTAGAAGAGTGGTTCTTCATCTTGATTGCACATTAGAACCATCTGGGGATGCATGGATGAACCCAAGCACACTGAGCTCCCCAGATGTGGTGCCCACTTTATGCATACTGACTACTTCAAGTGCCTTGAACCATCTGGAAATACTGACAATCCTAATACCTACACTGCATATGCCCTTTGATGCAGCTTTTCTATCTCCAAGAATTCATCTTACAGAAATACTTGCCTATAAGCACTAAGATTCATTTTCAAGATATGTATTCATCCAACAAATATTCATGAAGCCAACACTCTTTTAAACATAGATCAGTGAAGGAAGATTACAAGAAGATTATAGTCTTGTGGGAAGGGCCAGATAACAAACCCACAAATAGATAAACTAGAAAGGGAACACACAGCTATGAATGTTGTGGAGAGAATTCAAATACAGCACCCAATGAGGCCCTTTGAAACTGTAGGCTTCTTTTTGCTTTGATTTTCCCTATATCCACTCTACTGTGGAAGTCTATGTTAGAGAAGAATCTCTGTGAGGTATCTTCACCCAGTGGGGAGTGGAACCACATTCTGACAAGTAAAGCTCAAATCTTTTCTTTTCCAAGATGCCACCAACCTTATCTATGGTTTCTTTCTCTTTTTAAATTTGTTTTTTTTATTGTGGTCAAATACACCTAACGTAAAATCTATCATTTTAGCCATTTAAAAATGTATAGATCAGTGGCAGTAGCTCCACCATCTGTCTCCAGAACTTTTTCATTATCCCAAATGGAAACTCTGCTCATTAAACAATAACTCACCATTATTCCCTTCCCCAACCCCTGATAGCCACAATTCTACTTTCTATCTATGAATTTTAGTATTCTAGTACCTCATATAAGTGAAATCATGCAGTATTTGCCCTTCTGTGACTGACTTATTTTTCTTAGCATAATGTCCTCAAGGTTCATTCACATTGTAGTATGTGTCAGAATTTCCTTCTTTTTAAAAGCTGAGTAATATTCCATTGTATGGATATACCACACTTTGTTTACCTATTCATCTGTCAGTGAACATGTGGGTTGCTTCCACCTCTTGACTATTGCGAATAATGTTGCAATGAGCACAGGTGAGCACATGTTTGTTCAAGAACTTGCCTTTAATTCTTTTGTATATACCCAGAAGCGGAGTTGCTGGATCATACATGAATTATGTTTTTGATTTTTTGAGAAATTGCAATACTATTTTCCACAGTAGCTGCTCCATTGCTCCATTTACCTTCCCACTGGCAATGTACAGGGTTCCAATTTATTCACATCCTTGCCAACACTGGTTATTCTCTCTGTCTCTGTGTGTGTGTGTGTGTGTGTGTGGGTGTGTGTGTTTTAAAAGCAGTCTTTCTAAAGGGATGAGGTGATAGCTTACTGTGGTTTTAGTTTGTATTTCTCTAATGATTGGTAATGCTGAGAATTTTTTTCGTCGTTTGTTGGCCATCTTCTTTGGAGAAATGCTCTTTGTCCTTTTTTAAATTAGGTGATTTGTTTGTTGTTGAGTTGGATAAGTTCTTTATTCTGGATATTAACCCCTTATCAGATATATGATTTGCAAATATTCTCTCCCATTCTGTAGGTTGTCTTTTTACTCTGTTGATTGTGTCCTTTGATGCACAATCTAATTGCTATTTTGATTTGTGAGAGAGATATGTTAGAGTCTCCTATGATGATGGAGTATTTACCGGTTTCTCCTTATAATCCTATCCTATTTTGTGTTATATAGTTTTGTTTGCTGTGTGAAGTTTCTTGATTGATTATACCTTTAATCAACAGAAGATATAACTCTATTTTCCCATTCTAAAAATGTGTTTTTCCTAGAATTCTATTTTGTCTGGTGTTGCCTGGTATTTTAAAATACCACAGTTGCCTTTAAAACATAAGATTTTAGATTACAAATATTTTTTCTCTTTAACTTTGATAAATCTCTCCACTATTTTCTTACACTTGGTATTGCCAATAAGAAAACTGCTGCCAATCTGATTGTCTTTTTAATATGATTATATGATTTTTTTCTTCTTGGAAACTTTGAGGATTTTCTCTGCAGCTTTGAGAGTTCACTGTGACATTTCTAAGTGTTATATTTCTGTAATTGAGCTCTTAAATCTGAGAAACCAAGTTTTTCTTCAGCTAAAATTTTATTTGATTGTTTTATTGATCACTGGCTCTACTCTACTCTCCATCCTGTTTGTTCTTTTCCTGGATTTCTTGCTGCATAGAGGTTGGACTCCTGAGTCTATCATTTATGTCTCCTATTTAGCTCTCATGCTTTCCACCGTTTTGTCCTTTTTAGCTTACTGTGACAGACTCTTTGGAATGATCTTCTAGTTTAGCAAGTTATTTTTTACCTGTAAATGTTCTGTTGTTCAAATTAAGGTTTTATTTTTAATATTATTGACAAAACATTAATTAATGGGAAATTTTTCAGATTTTTTTCACAGGGGCATTATCCTTTCAAATCTCCTTGCAGACATTAATTTTACTTATTTCAAAGTCCTCTCTTGCTGTTTTAATTTCTTTTTCTTGGGGATAAATTCTTCTTTTGTAAATGGAGTTTCAGGCCTCTCTTTCATGGCATTTACTGGCTTCCTACAAATATTTAAAGAATTCTTCTCACGCCTGTAATCCCAGCACTTTGGGAGGCCGAGGCGGGCGGATCACGAGGTCAGGAGATCGAGACCATCCGGGCTAACACGGTGAAACCCCGTCTCTACTAAAAAATACAAAAAATTAGCCGGGCGTGGTGGCGGGCGCCTGTAGTCCCAGCTACTTGGGAGGCTGAGGCAGGAGAATGGCGTGAACCCGGGAGGCGGAGCTTGCAGTGAGCCGAGATCGCACCACTGCACTCCGGTCTGGGCGACAGAGCAAGACTCCGTCTCAAAAAAAAAAAAAAGACTTCTTGTTTGTTCACTCATCTTTGTAGTTGTAAATCCTTGTTTAGTGCTCTGTGAATATCATCTGTGCTTATTACATATTTCCACTGACAATTGTAGGCAAGGGACAGGACAAGTTGACATCAGGGTGTTCTGGTAGCTTGTCTTCCTTTCAGCCACCTTTCTACTTCCTCCTGGTGCCAAACAGCTATCTTGGGTAGTAAGACTGTGCCCCTTTATTTCCATGCTCTTCCTGGCTGCTTTGACCTGAAATTGTCTACTACTCTTCACTGCTTTAGCACAGGCAGGAGACCAAGGATAGACTGATTGATAAGCAGTAACAAGTCCAGTCCATTAATCGCCCTGATAAATGTGCCATGTACTCTCTCACTCCCTGTTTCCAGTGGTTCTAAATTTGGACTACCCGCCCTGTGCCAGTCCCACCTTCACAACAGTTTTCTCATGCACGTTTTTAAAATGATGGCTTTCTTCAGTTTTGTTTTTCTATAGATCTGATTCCATCTGCTTGCCTTATTTCAAGCATAACTTAAATTTTCTGGTCTGTTGATGGCACATTGTATGTTTAATACTATTTTAAAGTATGTTGCCTGTCATTTCAAGGAATTTGGGGCAGTGTACCAGTCAATGTCTAGTCTCTAAAGCAGAGAGCCTTTTAGGAATTTCGAAGAAGAAAGCACAGGAAATTGGGTGCTTGAAAAGCCATTGGAAGGGCCAGAGAACCGAAGGCCCAGGAAGGTGAGGGAAGGGATTCAGCTTGCCCCAAGGTTCTTCACCAGCTTTGGAGGAATCTGAGCTTCTACTGAACATGGATCAGAGCTACAGAAAACTGTCACTGAGCTCACAGGTTCTGGCACAGTCAGAGCACCAAAGCCGGTGAATCTCTGGAGAAAGCCTGGGACTGCTGCAAATATCACCTCCACTGAGCTCAGGGCTCTTCCCTTCAGCCTTCTGAAGCATGAGATGTAACTCATTAGGAGAAATTACACTTATCAAGACCCCTGGAGGAAAGGGAGTCTGGGACATACAGGAAGGGAGAGAAAATGAGTGCTGGTTGATGTCAAGAGCAATGCCCAAAACTTGCATGAAGGGAAGGAGTCCATGTGTTCAATCTATGATCTTGATTCTGCTTCTCTCTGCACAATGCCCAAGCTTCTAGTTGTTCATGAGTGACCTTCTTTTTTACCCAAGCCTCTCTTTCATATTCATCTTTATCTTATTTCACCAGTAGAAACCTTGTGGGGCTGGGAGCAGACCAGGCATTGAGCCCAACATTTACCCAGACATGATCCTTGACCTGCGTCTTCGGGGATTTGTCTTATGCCCACCACTGTGCATGGTACTCAGTGGTCATTTGCTGGATATTTGTGACTAAGTGAATAAAATAGAAACAGACAGCCAAAAGGAAAAAAAAATAGGTTTTAACAGTAAAAAACAGAGCTGCTAAATTAAGGAGTAAGTTAAAATAAAAGGGACCTGAAAGAAATACAAGCCTTTTTAAAAAAATCAGGGACAAAAATGTTGAGAAATATGTTGTTTCTATAACTGATGAAAAGAGAGTAGTAGAAAAAATACACATACAAACCTACACACATACATGCACACATGTGTAACAGCACATGTACATGCACACATTCAAGATGAAGATGAATATAAAAGATAAACTTGGGTAAAAAATAAGGTCACACATGAACAACTAGAAGCTTGGGCATTGTGCATTCATTTTTTACTTAATCTAGGAGATCAGGATATCAGCAAGGACAAGGAACAGAGAATCTGGAGAATGGATAGGGATGAGGAATTAACTGATGATGAATTTCAAAATAAATTAGATATGATAAATATTCACAGGAATTTGTTGAAATCACTACATATACAGCTGCTATCACTTTTTAGAATTTGAGAGGAGTGAGAGTGTTGGGAAGGTAATACTATATTATTCTAAAAGATAACTCTGAAGAGCATAAAAGAATATGTTTAATTTTCACATCTACAAAATATATTGAGAAGTATTATTTTAAAATTTCATTTTTAAGTCCCTGGAAAAAATATATTGATGAATCACCATCAAAATTTTGGCATGACAAACTTTAGGGTGGGTTAATCTGACAGATTTCTTTTAACAGACACTAATCAAAGTGATATATGGAATACATTAAAGAACTATTACTATTAGTTCATTGTCTACTTGGAGGAATATATACATGATTTAAAGTTTGAAAGCCAGCTTCCTACATGTCTCATATATAAAATGCTATGGGGGCAGTCAAGGGCCCCAAGAAGTTGCGGTGATATTGGGAGGATGACGCTTTTGTGAAACTTGTCTCTACTGAATGACTTAACAAGGAGAGAATAAACTTTATCTGCAGCAGGAGGAATTTAGGTTAAAAATTAGTAAAATCCTTTTTTCTAGGAGTTTCTAGGTATGAAACATTGGGATATGTAACCATCAGAGATCATGGAGGCTTATTCTTTGGAACATTGTCAGGATATGGGGAATTCTCCTTCCTGAATAATTTACCTACATAGGAATGAATTATCTGAAAGACAGTACTACTGATGGTTAAGTTCTAGACTTGGTATTTCACTTTCATTAATAATCTAGCTCACAAAATAGATTTGAAAACACAGATTGTATTCTCAGACTTCTGTACAATTACGGAGGTTGTAAGAGGCAAGTGGTTCCGCAGTCAGAACTTGGGGCTATGTGATGAGTTACCTTGTTTTATATTTAACAGGACAAGTAAGAGTGCCAGGACATTAAAAGACTGAATAGAGTGAGATCACTGACAGAAACATTTTTGCCTAGAAACTCCAACTTCAAAATTGCTTTAGTAAAGTTAACACTAGTCAGAAGCCAATAGAATACAGCTCAATAGAAATAAGTAGAAAGTGATAACAAAAGCTAAACACTTGTATGGCATTCACCAGATACCAGTCAGGTTTTTAGACTCTTTCATATGTTAACACTGGGGGGAAATAAAAAGCACATGTGTAATGTAGGATGTTAAGTTCTCAGCTTATATGGGGGGAAAAACCTGAGATTTCATTTTAAAAAAAATTGTTTTTATTTTTATGCCATTCTACTGATTAACTAGAAGTTGGCAAAATTTTTGTATTTTTAAAGCAATTATAACACCAATAAAGTAATAGGTATGAAGCCTACACAGGAAAAGGAAGCCATTTCCAGAAATCTGCTATGTGTCAAGCATCATGTGATTTATCTCATTTGATCCTCCCAACAATCCCAATAGGTAAATGTTAGTATTACCAGTGATAGATGAAGAAACGGAAACTTGGAACAAATAAGTAGTTATCTCTCAGCTGCCTGAGATATCCAGATAGCCAGGACTTTGTGACTCTAAAGCCTGTACTCTTTCCATGTTATTTAAACTGTCCTTTAGATGACAATAAGCATATTGGTGATTAATAAAAGCCTGAGTGGAAAAAAGCCTAAAATCACACATTCTATGAAAAAGCAAATATGTATTTTATTCTAGTTACCTATTGCTAAGTAGCAAACATTTTAGAGGTATGAAACAATAATCACATTAATATGCCCATAGATTTTTTTTCTGGTCAGGAGTTAGGTAGGTGGAAATTTCTTGTCTCTGTGTCACAATGTCTGGGATCTCAGCTGGGAAAACTTGAATGGTTGGAGGTGACTGGATCAGCTGGGTCTAGAATCATCTGGAGGCTTCTCTCCATTTTCTGGCTTCTGGATTGGGAGGACTCAAAGGGGTGGGCTAAGCTAGGACTACTGACTGCAAGCTGTATGCGTGGCCTCACCATGTGGCTTCGGTTTTTCCCAGCATGGTTGCTGTGTTCTAAGAGGGACACCCTAAATGAGGCTTTCTTTAGTCACCAATATGCTGACCCTGTCTGGAGGGTCAGCATTTCAAGAGAGCCAGATGGACATTGCATGACCTTTTCTGGTCAACCTGTGGAAGTCATTTGGCATCACTTCTGCCTCATCCTATAGGCCATCAGCTCACCAGGGCCAGTCAGATTCAAGAGAGAGTAATGAGATTTCACTTCTTGATGAGGGAGTGGCAAAGACACTTGCAGAAGAGCCCGCAGAATGGGAGATATTTTACAACCACCTTCAGATGGAACCATCTGCCACATATATGGCCAGTGATTGAATGAGAACACACAAAAAAGTGTAAACCATTTATTTGTAAGAATTAGAGTCTGCATGTGTGTGCATGCAGGTATGTATTTGTGTATGTGTGTATCTTTCAAAAATTTCTCTTACAAAAACATTTGTAAATGATAAGCATGACCCTTGTAGGTATGAACAGCTGCATTCTGAGCAGAGATGTTGGCTCCACTTTCTGGTCTGCTTACCATGCCCTCCTGATAGGAGTAGAAAGAGTAGGAATTATTTTCTAAGCTAAAGCAAACCTAAGAGGAAAAAGATAAAGGAGGGGTCTGTGTCTCAAAGATTTAGTTTAGATTCAAAGAAGAATCTCTCTAGTAAAGCTTGTTAAAAACTCCAGTGAGTTTTCTGCAGGAAGATTGTGAAACCCCCTCTCTTTCAGCTATCAGCCTCACTTGGAGGTTTGCAGAAGTGTAATTTACACAGGACAAATGATAGCCTATTAGTAGTCAGGCAGGTGTTCCTCCTCGACCTTGAGAGGCCTAATTTTTCAGAGGTGGGCGGTGCATGGGAAGTGTTCTGAATTCACATAGATTGTTTCTCTGTGTGCTTTGAGTTTATAATTTTCCTGAATCTTGTAATAGGCATGGTGAGATTTTGTGGTGTCAGCAAAAGGATTCCCTTTGCCTGTGTTTGGAAAATATCAGCTTACAAACTGAAGCATTTTCGAAGTCTTAGTTGGTAATTTTTGTGTGGATTTCTGTTGTTAAGTTATGGCAAACTAACGTAAATGTGAAATTAAATCCATAGAACGAAATGCGCGTGATGAATAGAACTTTTGTCTGTGTTGAGTAGTCTCAGAGTATTACTGACCTTGAAGTAACATGGAACAGCCATCAGTGAAAAAACTCTGTGCTCTGCAGAAACCAGGCTACATAAATATTTTATTTAGCGGAGATAGTGACAGATCCTTAGAATAACTATTTTTTTTTTTTACTATTGCATCAAATATGATTTGATCCATAAAATCCCAGCTGTAAATTTACCTCCAGTGAAGTTGAGCAGCTATTTAGACTAACTGAAAAATTAATATTGCCTGTTTACAACAGTACATGGAATCTAGTTAGGTGGGATCTATAGCGCTATTTTTTTGAAAATGACCATTTTGCCAGTGACAGTATGTATAATTTACATGTCATTTTCAAAAAGCATACTTTTAGAGTTGACGCATACAATGTTATTGATTTCTAATATTCAGATAATTAAAAATTAAAATAATTTTTACAAAATCAAGAGAAGCATATGTTGAAGCATATGATGAAAAGGCACTATGATTTGAGGTTTCTAAGAGTATAAAATATAAAGGGTGGACTGTCATTATGACGTGCTGTGTCCCCCTCACTCTCCATGATGCCTGCCTATATTTCTGCCATCTGTCTCTACTTGAGGAAAGAACACAGGAAAATAGTTTAATCTTTGAGAAAGTCAAGTTAAGGCGGAGGAACCCATCCTTAAGAGCTCTTAAACAACAACTCCTGATGCTTGGGATATCCTTTTCATATTTTAAAGTTGGATCATCTCCAAGGTCCAACCTGGAAAGATGGGCTGTAAATCTCTTGCTCTGCTTGGCAAGAACTATTGAAGGGCTTCTCTATCAGTGTCATCCTCTCTAGTCCTGATCAGCAGAGACTGAGAAATCTTAGCTGAACTGAAATGACCCCTAAAAGCATTTTGGCCACAAGTGCAGAGACAGGGTTGGCTTGTTCTCTGGATTTGTACCCAGCCCCCTGATCCTTGTGCTGTCTCTCTAAAGATGGTAGTGCAAGCACAAAACACTACCAAGCACAGTGGCAGCCACCACAACAACAGCAAAGACTGCTGAACCCACTCATGGAAATGGCACCACCTGATCCATAAAATGTCAGATAGATTGACAATCTTACATTTTATTCATATACTATTTTGAAAAATAAATTTTCCATTTTGATGATTTACTCATATATATTTGAAGTGATTAAATCATTTGAAGCTACTGAAGTCTTTAGTTTGAGGGCTAAGACAGCCATACTTCTTTTTGGTAGGACTGACCCCATAACTCGATTAGTTTTGTTTCTTTCAGCTGCTCTTTCACTTAGGTGGATAAAACAACATGAGTTATACTGATGAAAAAATAATAAACATTTGTAATTAGCTAACATTTTCTGAGTGCTGACTATGTGTGCTGTGTGTATACATTTTTTCTTGTATAATATATTTCTTGATAGTCATCATAAGTCTATGAGGTAGGCACTCTTACTATCCCGTTTTAGAGATGAGTACCCTGAGGCCTACAGAGATTGCTTTAAATCACAAGCCAGTAAGAAGCATAGCCAGAATTAGACATTACCTCCATCTGACTCCCAAACACAACCTGGTAACCACCCTGGTAACTGCCTTCCTTCCCACAGGATTATGAAGAATGACAACTGAATAGAGTGTCATGCTGATACAGCAAATTCAGAAATTGCTTGGTTCCAGTGATTGGCAAAAACAGCTCAAGAAAATTATTATCCACCCTAAATTCCAACTTAAGGCACACTGAAGTGAAGTAATAAATCCAAGGACATTAATTTGACAAATGAGGAGTATAAATTGTCCCTCCCAGGCAAGGAAGTATGCTTTCAGAATAAAGTTGCCTGTTTCTCCAAAAGTTTGTGAATCTCAAGCTTTCTGTATTCCAAGGTTGAAATAAAAGCCCAGGTGGGCATTTTAGAATCAGACCTAGACTACTGAAATGAGTCACACCAATTCAAGTATTCTGCCAATCCAGCAAAGGATATGCTCCCAGGGTGGAAAATCCTTACTAGAATTTACAACTTATAATGGAAATATCACCTGAAATGTTTCCTGTTCAGAAGGTAACCCTCAGCAAATATTCATTTCCCCAGATGCTAGTGATAATAAGAACTAACTTTTATTGAACATTTACTATGTACCAGATACCTTGCTGAGCTTTGTATGTGTAGACTCACTTAATTCTAACACCAACCTTATGAATGAAGGACTATTTTTATCACCTTTTTCTAGTTGCCGAAGATCATATGGTAGATAGACGAGCCAGATCTGTGTAACTCCAAAGCTAGTGCTCATGGTGCAATTGTTCATATGATTCTGGTGTAAGAGGAGGACATGCAAAAACAAAGAGAAAGCCACCTGAAGTCAGAAAAGGAAGAGAATTGGCTACCTCTTCCTTTTTCTTTCTTTATGAAGATAAATCCTTCAAGAGCAGCCCTTCGGTTGCTAGGAATTAGACATTCTTTGATCACTAATTTTTTTCCCAGCCTACTAGCGCTTTCCTGGCTCCTATTTCTCCCTCTAAATGTAGCCTAGGTTCTACATTTTGTGTCTTCACCTATCCTCTCCCCAGCACTGTCATTTCTCTTTCCCCTTTGTTTTCTCATGACACCCATCATACGAATCTGCAGCCCTGGGCAGATCCAGCCAATATGACTTTCTGAACTAAGCCAAAGTTGCTCATGAAAACTTCTAGAGAGACTCTCCCAGTTCTGTGATGGCCCCCACTCCTCAGTGCTTGAGTAGTACTTTGACAATGTAGTATACACTCTTGGCCAGGTGCTTCTCCAATTCTCAGTCTCTACTCCACATCTTTACCTCTCTCCTCATTATTCCACATATGCCACACTCAGTCCCAGGAGAAGACCTCCTATCTTCCTCACCAAGAATTAGAGGCCACCAGGCAAACTCCTAAGCCTCTACCCTCCAAACTTACCTACATCTAAGCTGGACCTTTTCCGTCTCATCCCCCACAATCCCCCTGTGTGGACCTATATTTCACAGAAAGAAGTGGAATTTCCTCTTCCTGTGAAATATAGGTCCATACAGGAGCATCATGGGGGATTTTGGTGGCACCCCAAATTGTGACTTGATTACTAGTGAGATTAGTTCAGTGTACAAGGAAAAGCTAAGGGGACTAAGGACAGAACCTGGCATTTATCAGATAGTCAAAAACAAAGACAGTGAACGAATGGAGAAGAAATTATCAGTGGGGGTGGGAGGTGGAGGGACAGGGTCCAGGAAAAGGTAGTGTTAGAGAAGCCATCAAAGAAACAGAAAGGCAACGGTGTTAAATGCTGCGGGGGTGGGGGGGGTGGGGTCAGCTTAATAATTGAAATTCAACCATTATATTTCACAATGATAAGTTCAATAGGCACATTTGCCCAAGCAGAATTAGTGGAGGGATAGGAATTTAAAGTGGTGGTGTGTGCCTGTAACTCCACCTACTTGGGAGGCTAAGGCATGAGAATCACTTGAACCTAGGAGGCAGAGGTTGCAGTGAGCTTAGATCATGCCATTGCACTCCTTTCTGGATGCTAGAGTGAGACTCTGTCTCAAAAAAAAAAAAAAGTAATTTTAACTGAGGTGATATGATATCTCATTATAGTTTTGAGTTGCATTTCTGTGATTATCAATGATGTTGAACACCTTTTTATATTTCTATTTGCCATTGTATGTCTTCATTTGAGAAATGTCTATTCAAATCTCTTGCCCGTTCTTTAATTGGATTATTGGATTTCTTTTTCCTGTGGAGTTGTTTAAGCTTCTTATATATTCTGGTTATTAATCCCTTGTCAGATGGTAGTTTGCAAATATTTTCTCCCATTTCGTGTGTTGTCTCTTCACTTTGTTGCTTGTTTGCTTCACTGTGCAGAAGCTTTTTAACTTGATATCCCATTTGTCCGCTTTTGCTTTGGATTGCCTGAGCTTGTGGGGTATTATTCAAGAAATTTTTGTGCAGACCGGTGTCCTAGAGTTTCCTCAATGTTTTCTTGTAGTAGTTTCATAGTTTGAGGTCTTAGCTTTAAGTCTAATCCATTTTGATCTGATTTTTGAATGTGGAGAAAGATAGGAGTCAAGTTTCATCCTTCTGCATTTGGATACCCAGTTTTTCCAGCATCATTTATTGAAGAGACTGTCCTTTGCCAATATGTTCTTGGCAGTTTTGTTGAAAATGAGTTCACTATAGCTATATGGATTTGTTTCTGGACTCTCTGTTCCATTGGTCTATGTGTCTGTTTTTATGCTAGTAACATGGTGTTTTGATTACTATAGCTCTGTAGTATAATTTGAAGTCAGAGAATGTGATTGCTCCAGGTTTTTTTTTTTGGCTCAGGATAGCTTTGGCTATACTGGGTCTTTTATAATTCCATATAAATTTTAGAATTTTTTTTCTATTTTTGCAAAAAAAGTCATTGGTATTTTGGCAGGGATTGCATTGAATCTGTATATTGCTTTGGGTAGTATGGACATTTTAACAGTATTGATTCTTCCAATTCATGAACATGGAATATTTTTTTTTTTGGCATTTTCAATTTCCTCCATCAGAGTATTGTAGTTTTTATTGTAGAGATGTCTAATTTCTTTGGTTAAGCTAATTCCTAGATATTTAATTTTATCTGTGGCTCTTCTGAATGGGATTACTTTTTTGACTTCTTTTTCAGGTTGTTCACTGTTGGCATATAGAAATGCTACTGATTTTTGTATGTTGATTTTATATCCTGCAACTTAACTGAATTTGTTTATCAGTTCTAATAGTTTTTTGGTGGAGTATTTAGGTTTTTCCAAACATAAGATTATATCATCTACAAATAAAGATAATTTGACTTTTTCTTTTCCAATTTGGATGCCCTTTCTTTCTCTTGTCTGATTGCTCTAGCTAGGACTTCTAGTACTATGTTGAATAACAGTGGTGAAAATGAACAACCTTGTTGTGTTCCAGATATTAGAGGAAAGGTTTTCAGTTTTTCCCCATTCAGTATGATACTAGCTGTGGGTCTGTCATATATGGCTTTTATTATGTTGAGGTATGTTTCTTCTATACCCAGTTTTTTGAGGATTTTTATCCTAAGGAATATGGAATTTTATCAAATACTGTTTCTTTTTTTTTTTTTTTTTTTTTTGAGACAGAGTCTCACTGTCTCCCAGGCTGGAGTGCAGTGGCATGATCTTGGCTCACTGCAAGCTCCACTTCCCGGGTTCATGCCATTCTCCTGCCACAGCCTCCCGATTAGCTGGGACTACAGGCACCTGCCACCACGACTGACTAATTTTTTGTATTTTTAGTAGAGACGGGGTTTCACCGTGTTAGCCAGGATGGTCTCGATCTCCTGACCTCGTGATCCGCCCACCTTGGCCTCCCATAAGTGCTGGGATTACAGGTGTGAGCCACCGTGCCCGGCCTCAAATACTTTTTCAGCATCAATTGAAATGATCATATGGTTTTTGTCCTTCATTCTGTTGATATGATGTATCACAAAAATTGATTTGCATATGTTGAACCATCTTTGCATCCCTGGGATAAATCCCACTTAGTCATGATAAGTGATATTTTTAATGTAGACTTCAGTTTGCTACTAATTTGTTGAGGAGTTTTACATCAATATTCATCAGAGATACTGGCCTGTAGTTTTCTTTTATGTGTCTTTGTCTGGTTTTGGTATCAGGGTAATACTGGCCTTAAATAATGAATTTGAAAGTATTTCCTCCTCCTCTATTTTTTGGAATAGTTTGAGTAGGATTGGTATTAATTCTTCTTATATGTTTGGTAGAGTTCAGCAGTGAAGCCATTGGGTCCTAGGCTTTCCTTTACTGGGAGAGTTTTTATTACAGCTTCGATCTTGTTGTTATTGGTCTGTTCAGGTTTTGGATTTCTTCATGGTTAAATCTTGGTAGGTCGTATGTGTCTAAGAATTTATCCATATCCTCTAGATTTCCAATTTATTGGTATATAGTTGCTCATAGTAGCCACTAATGACCCTTTGAATTTCTGCAGTATCAGTTGTAATGCTTCTTTTCATCTTTGATTTTATTTATTTGGGTCTTCTCTCTTTTTTTCTTGGTTAGTTTGGCTAAAAATTTGTCAATTTTATTTATGTTTTCAAAAAACAATTTTTTGTTTTGTGGATATTTTGTATAGTTTTCTTCATTTCATTTATTTCTGCTCTGATTCTTATTCCTTTTCTTCTACTAATTTTGGGTTTCGTTTGCTTTTGCTTTTCTAATTCTTTAAGATGCATTGTTAGGTCATTTATTTGAAGTTTTTCTTCGTTTTTGATGTAGGCGCTTACAGCTATCCTACTGTGGCTGAGCTGGTATTCAAGATGCAAGACAAAGTCCTCTTTACTCTTCACTTTCTTCTCCTCAAGCAGAAGGAAGAAGTCACTTCTGTTGCTCCCAGCTGCACTGCCTGGGGTTGGGGGAGGAGTTGTTCAAGCACTCCTTTAGCTGTTCCATCTGTCCATCTGTTGTCTTTCTAGGTCACTTGCCACCCTAGTCCACTGGCTCTAAGCCTAGCCCAGCACTAGGAGTTGCTAGCAATTACAGTCCTTTTTCAACTTTACCTAGGACCCCAGAACACTTTGGCCCATGCTGGCAAGGCCTTCCAAGAAGCTCAAGTTCTGCCCACTGGGATGGGTGATTCTCCTCTGGCTGTCTGGTCCAAATGCTCCCTCCATGTGTAGGCTTCAGCTGAGCCCAGCATGGCTTTGCTCTCCACTGTGACAGGGCAGCAGTGAGTTCAATGTGAAGTCCACCAGTCACTGCACTCTCCCTCCCCGACATGCACAGACTCTCTCTCTGTGCTACTGGTGACTGCCAGCAGATTAAGGAGGGGTGGCGTTGGTGATTCAGGACTGTCTCCTACCCTCTTCAATGCCTCTTTCAGCAATATGAAACTAAAACTAGGTACTGTGATAGCTCATGTGGGTTTATTTTTTGTTCTTATGATGATGCTTTTCTTGTGTGTGGTTACTTGTTAAAATTTGGTGTTCCTGTGGGGGAAATGAATGGTGTAGGCTTCTATTTGTCCATCTTGCTCCCCTCCTATTTTCATTTTAAAGATGATAAAAACTTGTGTATCATCAGTTAGCAAAAGTCTACTGAGTGCTTTAGCTAAACTCTGTGTAAGGGAGGGCCCTTACCCTTATGGAGCAGAAGTCCATCATGAACGACAGGCGTTAAACAAGTAATTATAAATAATTAAGTAAAACATTATAATCAGACAAAAATGACATGAAATATCAGGTGCTCTGGGAATATAAAACAAAGGTTGGCTATGGGTTTTGGTAGGGGTGGATAGGTGTTAGCTAGGTGAAAGGAAGGAAGTAGAAGAAAGAGAGCATTTAGGCATAGTGTGAAAGCAATGCAAAGGCCCTGAAGTAGGAGAGAGCATGGCACATACCCGGAACCAATAGGAAGTACAGTGTGGCTGGAGCTCAGAGAATGAAGGTAGGAAGTGGTTGAGGTGGAGATGGAGATGGAGATGGGGATGGGAGTCATATGAGGAACATGGCAGGCTATAGGAAAGGAGATCCCAGAGGAGGTGAAATTGAAAATGAAGATGGGAGAAGGGATAATTGCCGCAGGAGGTTCCTGGAGAAGTTAGAAGGAAATGGAATTCTGACTGCCTCTAGGCAACTTCACATGGGTGTTGCAGAGTTGTTTCCAATATGTCAAAAATGGAAATCATCTCTCCCCTTTTCAGTACCCCTCTCCTGAAATTTCCTCCCCAGCCTCCTCGCTCCCAGCTCTTTACCCTGTATCCTCTCTTCTGGTAAATGATATCAACCTATGACTCAGAAGCCTCATTTAGAACATAATAAATCTGAGGATAGGGTTACACTAAACTTCTAGTAACAATCACCTGCTCCACGTGATCAGTCATCATGCCCTAACAAGTTTCTAATCCTAACAGCTTTCAAAACAGCTCTCCCCTTTCCTCTACCTCCAGAGACACTGTCCTGGCTCAGTCTTTCAGTTTCTCTTGCCTGGGTTGTTACAGCAGCCTCCTGACATTTCTTCCTGTCTCCAATACATGCAGTGCACAGCTGCCAAGGTACCCTTTTTAATACTCAGATACATGGACATGATTCTTCTCCACATGAGAAAAAACTTTTGCTGCTTTTTCCATTGTCTGGAATATAAAATCCAGACTCCTTAGCTCAGTGTACATGCATTTTACTGTCTGGAACTCTTTGATATTATCTCTTGCTTGCCATCTCAGGCATATTTCAGGGCTATTTGCAACCTCTCCACTTACGTACATCAGGCTATAAATCCCCTTTTCATCACATCCACGTGATAATCCCAACTCATCCTCAAGGTCAAGTGTTCTCTCCTCCAGAAGGTCTCCTCTGCCCTTCCCACCCCAGGCAGGTTACAGCCTCTTCTCCATGCTCCCATGGTGCCATGGACATGTACTTATCACACTATCACAATTGTGGGTCTGCTCTCTGTTGCTTATACTTAACTGAGCTTCTTCGGGCTGGGAATTAACTGAACCTGGTTAATTTTCAAAGTCCCTGAATCCAGCATAGTGCCTGGCATAAGGCAGATATTCAATGGGAATGAGGAGTGGGATCTCTTTCTTTGGCAGTCTACTTCGATTTTGTTTGAGTACCCCCAAATTCTCACCATGGAACAACTTTGAGATTTTGAATTAGAGCCCAGGTTAGTCAGGAATTATACTTCACATATTTGAGTTGTAATTACATCATATCAGAAACCACTTGCGAACTTTTTGCAGTAGCCCATTGTAATCTGATGTATTTAATTTGTTATTATGACACCCTCCCAAAAGGACTCAAAGTAGCTTATAAAGGTAACAAAGTTTCAGAAGATAATTTTGGTGGTCACTGTAGGTTGTGATTTTCCTCCTTTTTCTGTCAATCAACCCCTGATTTTGTCCAGGTGGTCATAGGCCCAGCAAAAAAATATTACATTTCCCAGGGTACCTTCCAGCTGGGGTTGGTCATATGAAGAAGTTCTGGCTAATGAAAATAAGCAGAAATGGCACATGCCTTTTGATATCTGTGCTGCTTCTCTTCATCCCTGGAATTGAGGATTCAGCCCTGGAGTAGAACCGCCATCTTGAGAGCACAAGACAATTGTGAAGGAGAAAGTCTCCTCTCCGGTTATGTGAAAAAATAAAACTCTACTTTTTAAGCACCCATCTGAGGAGTGTCTCATGCTTACAACCAAACCTAATACCTGACAGAATAACAGTCAGTGAGAAATATGAAACAAAAGAAAAACATAGGCAGGAACATAACGCAAAACCAGGAATCTATCTACAGTGTGTACTAAAATATGTACCGTGAAGTGCTATATGCTCTCTATGGGCAGGTCAGATATTCATTTCCAAGATGTCTAGAGGACAATAAGAGGAGACAGATGTGGTCAGTTATTTGTCCATAAGAAAAAAGCATACTTACCCAGAAAAAGAAAATGAATTTTGATGGCAAGACAAGACAGATATTTCTCTCCACTGTTGTTTACAGCATGAAAAACAGTGTTCTTGTCAGTAGCCCTACAGCAGCAAATGTCTCTGGGTAGTTCTAGTAACTGATGGTCTCATCCAAAGTGCAGTGAAGAAAACAGTTAGGGTATTTAGACAAATAAATGGACCACACATCTCTCAGGCAATCCTTCATAGCTAGGCTTCCTCTACTGTTTTCTAGGTGAACTACATTAAAAATCTTACGAAAACTGCAGACCTCTGAACAGAAAATTGCACATACACACCAAATTTTACCAACCATTTAAACTCAAATTAACCAATCAAACCCAGAGTTAAGGGTTTGAAAATTCCAGGTTAAGAACCCAGTCCCAATCTGTATTCTCGGGGGGACTTATTTTACAAGATGTTTGTTTTCATGTAAGTATGATGAGCCACTGTCCCAGTTTTCTTGAGAGGGAACAGTTTCTTGGGATGCAGAATAAGTAGAAAATCATACACCTTAACCGTTTGCCAAGCTTTGGTGTGTGGGGATGTGTGTACGTGTGTGTGTGTGTATGCGTATGCATTGTGGAGGTAGGTAGGCCTCTAGCTGTGAAAATTAAGGGTTTCACAAGGATATGTGCTTGAATGCGTGGATACCTACAAGTCTAAGAGGCTCACACTGGCAGGACTGGACTCTCACTTCATCAAAATCAATTTTAAACCGTCACCAAAGTGCAAACAAATGAAAAAACACAATTCCAAAATCTGATGCCTTTTTCCAAAGCTACAGTGATTTGTATGTACTAGTCATCTTGACTGTATTTTTATATCCCTGACACTTCTTGGTATATCTTCTGAAGTAATTATTTGCAAAATATAACCCAAAGTTACCAAATGGAGAGATTTATCATGTGAAAATAATTATCCATAAACTAGTTACAAGTTGGAGAGAATCATACAAATTTATTAATTTGGTTGCAGAATGGTTGACTTTAGGTTTTAGAATCATCAAGGTCCTTCTTTGTGGTAATATTTAAATAGTAGGACCGTTTTCTGTTTTTAAATTAAAGTCACCCCTAGACTCTCTTATTAAAACTATATTAATTATGTGTAAGGGAATTGTTGATTTTCTAATCTTTTTAGGTTGGTTGGTTGAAGGAAGGTTGGCCCTTGATAGCTGGATAAGTAATGAAAAATGGTTATCAGACTAGGAGAAAAGGCAAAATCTGTCTTTGTTTTAATTGTTTGGCAATTGTTAACTGCCCAGTCAAGAGATCTTTCCTACCGTCCTTTTCTCTTATGCTAGGTAGTACTCTCATAAAATTCTGAAGAGACATCAATGCCATTTTTTAAAAATTTATTATTTTTTTTTGTGTGTGTGGAGATGAGGGTCTCCCTATGTTGGCCAGGCTGGTCTTGAACTCCTGGCCTCAACCAATCCTCCCAAATCAGCTCCCAAAGTCCTGGGATTATAGGCATGAGCCACCACACCCAACCTAACATCAGTCTTCTAAATTCAAATAGTTTGACTCAGCCCCATTCAAAGGCTTGTAAAAGTCAGTAAGAACTGCAAAAGTCTTACTTTATTCTTGAACACTTTTTCATAAGATAAAGGGCCCCTCACTTGCAGCAGCCCTGGTGATGTGGGAGCTGCTGGTTGCATTCTAAGTGGGCAGGGAAAGTCAGGTTGCAATCTGGAAACATTTTATTAAGCATTTCTGATGGGAGGTCTCAGAAGAAATCTCCAAGACTGAAAATTTCTTGTGATTCCCTTTCTCATTCTAAAATGCACCTAATTTGTGCCTAGTTTTGTGTTTGTAATTTTATATTCTTTTTCCTAAAGGTGGATCTCCAAGTTGTATAAGCTTTAGATTCCACAAAACATGAAACTACCCATGTATGAAGTCCACTAGATGATTATTTCCCTGAGAAGCTCAAATTTACTATTTGCCAAGAGGCTGGCATAAGGTTTATACAGGACAGCCACTAAACTAACTAGAATCATTTACCAAATCCCAGATTGTATCCCAACAGAGTTTGAAAAAAAAGATGGGGATGGAGGCTTATCAGTTAGTCAAGTACATTAGCAACGTGAATGATTAAGTAAGTTCTTTGTTGTTCATTTGTTATGTCATGCCTCTCCTTGTATGCTTGTAGATTACAGATACTTCCCCTCAAAGGAATAAACCACTGGACTAAGAAAAATGTGCACATATCATTTTGAGGGCACCAGGTATAGATTGCAGAGTCAATGAATTTTGACATTTGAGCTATCCAAAATGAGAAAGGGAAAATGGGAGCAGGGAAATGATTAAAAAAAAAAAGCATTGTACACTGAATATGAAGAGTTTGATGGCTTTGGGAAAAAAGTTTTGTTCATCCAGCTAAAAATGATGTTATTTCTGTCTCTATGAATTTCTGCCATATGATATAACTTTGGGTTTGTAAGTAGTATTTTTTTTTAAATTAAAGAATACCTTATGTTGCCTTGCAAAATAGTTTTTTGCTATTTGTGAAGAGTTTTCTTTGGTTAGGGGATATATTAATTGGTCTCAATAATATAACAACTAATCTTGAGCCAAATATCAACCAACTTTATTAATACAAACCAAATATCTTCTATGTGTCCTCATTTTACAACAGCATGTTCTGAAATATAAGAAAAGCTATCCTTGAAGTATTTCCAGACAAATTAAAGACAGGAAATACCAGAGAATTCATGTGCTGAACTCTCATTAGATTTACTGCCCAATTTAGCTGTTTCAGCATGAGCCTGGGATATGCCTCCATACATTTTGATGTGAATTCCAAGTGGACTGAACTTGTAGAGCTTTAGAATTTCATCTATCACTTTGCATTTCTCTGATTTTGGGTTATATGTCACCATTAATCATAAAAATGCAAGATCCCTTGAAGTGTGGCTACTTGGGCTCCTCTGTGGAGTTAAAAGGGCAAAAATGAACAAACCAATAAACACATCAAATTGATATCTGAGCAAAATGATCGAGATTTATGTCTCAGAATTATTTAGAATTTTATATTTTCAAATATTTTCTGGGTGGTTTAAGTACAGCATTTTCTGAGGAGTGTGATGTGACTTTCTGGATTACTTTACTCTGCCTCCATGAGGAAATTTAGCAGTGTATGTGGAATCTGAAGCCCACATCTGATCTCCCTTGGGTTTGCTGCCCTCAATATAGCTGTCACCACATGCTTAATGCTCCTTTGACATCCTGGTCTCCATATTGTTAAGACAATGAAATAGGCAATTATATAAAATAGAAATATTTGTGGAACACATAGCTAATGGTCCAAATGGAATGTGAGTTATTTTTATTTGTAAAAAAAAAGTTTCTGTAATTCTCTTACTTGATATTTTTTATTGGTTCCTCATTGGCTACATCTGAGGTTCTCAGATTCAGGTTCATGGAATGAGAACCATTCTGTGATAAAAGTTTCAATGTATCGAAACTTAAAAAAAAATTGTTGGGGCTTTTCTGTTCATAGAAATAAATTGACTACTTTTAAGGGACTGTTTTTTTCTGCGACTTACGTCCTTCCTACTTTCTGGTATTTTTTAAAAACCATGTTCTAAAATGAAATGCTGATGTTTGCAAATGTATGTTTGAAAAAAATGATTTAATTTGGCAACATAAAAACTTGGCCATCTTAAAATGTCTTTGAAATTCACTGGTCTGTAAAATCCAAAAGTCTAGGAATGACTGCCTCATGAGATGATGATTAACTTCTTCTTGTGGCATCTAAGCCTCTTCGCAGTCTGGTCCATGCCTATTTTCCAGCATCATTCTTCACCATTTTAAACCCAAGAATTCTGGGATGGAGACACACTTAAAGAGTTGTATTACATACTTCCACACCTTGTCCTTCTAAAAATCTCCTAATTAGCTTTCAAACTCGGGAAAAAAAGTCACCTCTTCTGTGAAGCCTTCCCTGATAACCCCATCTAGACTTTCTGTGAAGAGATTGGTTACCCTGTTTTCAGCTTTCACTGCTTCTAGGTATGGCACTAGCCAATGATATAAAGATGTGTTTGCTTGACTGCCTCACATAGGGTGAAATTCTTTTTTTTTTTTTTTCCTGGTTTATTTCTTTATCCCCTGCATCTATGCCAATAGTTTATACGTAATAGGTGCACAATAAATATATGATTGGATTTTGGGTGGATAATCAAATAATATCTTGCAAAAGTCCTGCTATTAATTTATTTGGTAATTTATAAAGAAATACTGTAAGTGCCTATTATTAAACAGGTTCATTAGGCATCATGATGGTTGCATTGTGTAAAATATAGCCTTTGTTTATAAACTGCTTATAATCTAATTGAGGAAGGCAATCCACAGAGCAAATGTTATCTAACCAATACACAAAATGATCAAAGACTAGGGCAGTATGTATTATGTGCAATCAATGGAGATGATGTAAAGGAAGTACTGGGGTGAATGTTTTCTACTTTTTCTCCTTGAATCCTCCAGAGGCTTCGAGGAGGATGTACAAATATTCTGAACGCTCTTTGCCACATAGCCAAAGCCACACAAAATTGGGACTCCCATTCTCTTTCCCAAAGCTGTTTCCTGCATTCACTGTGCAACCTCTTGACTTGTTTGCCTATTTATAGTCTTGCTTCATCCCTCATGCTTGACACTCAGAACTGCTTTTCTGTCTCTGATGCTTCAGTTTTCCCCTGCCACCATCTGTAATTGATACTTGCTGGTTGGTTTTGTAGCCTCCCGTAAAGACCTAGAGTAAATAACCCACTTGGCATTTTCTTTCTTTCTTTCTTTTTGACAAAAAGTTTTTAATAAAGTACTTCTTTATTAGCAAAAAATAACCAACTTTTTTTTACACAAAAGTAGTGTTTTTCATAAGAATTAAAGATTTCTCATAAGCATAAAAGAATAAAAGGTGCTCATTTGTATACATGTGGAGCATCTTTAAGATGTTCAAAGTAAATTAAAATGTGAGTCTTTCTGAAGTGAGCTTTGTTGCTTACATGAATGCTTGATCACTGACATGTTCACCTGAGGGCAAAGGATCTACAATTTACAGCAATCATGCAGAAATGGGTTTTCTTTCATATGGATTCTACTTGGTTCTGCTCTTATACTTTGTTTTTTATTAAAAAAATTAAAATGTTAAGTGGAAACAAACAAAAACTAGGAAGGCCCTGAGAAGACTGCACCATGAAAATAGCATCATGAAGAGGCTGCCTGAATTCTACACCATAGATTGAATGAGAACCGCTTGCTGCCTCTGGGTCTTCACTGGCTTATGGGTAAATTTAGGGGAGGAAGAGATAATTACTAAGATGTCTTCTCAATTCTCAAATGATTTGCAGAGATGTTATATTAATTTTTTTCATTTTGCCTACATATATGCTTGATTTCAAAACTTCAAACTCTACAGAAGTAAATAAAATCTTAAAGTGTTTTTATTTATGTACACCTACCCCTCACATAAATGCATACACTTACACACACTCCACCCACATTCATATTCAGAAATGTAAAACACTGATCCTCCTTTACTTGAACTCACTCGTGGAGTATCTCTCAGACTGTGTTCTCTAAGTCCATGGAAAAACACAAAAATAACTTTCATTCTTCCTACTTTAGTCTATGATAAGCAACATACAAATATTACTTGCAGAATTAAACTTCATAGAATCTCAGTAATTATTTGCAAGTAAATAACTAGTTTTTTTGAGGTGGAGTTTTTCACTCTTGTTGCCCAAGCTGGAGTGCAATGTCGTGATCTTAGCTCACTGCAACCTCTGCCTCCTAGGTTTAAGCAATTCTCCTGCCTCAGCCTCCAGAGTAGCTGGGATTACAGGCGCATGCCACCATGCTCAGCTAATTTTTTTTTCTATATTTTTAGCAGAAATGGGCTTTCACCATGTTAGCCAGGTGGGTCTCGAACTCCTGACCTCAGGTGATCTGCCTGCCTCAGTCTCCCAAAGTGCTGGGATTACAGGCGTGAGCCACCGTGCCGGGCCAATAACTAGTTTTAATTCTATTTGCAATAAAGTAAAAATAATTTAAAGGTCATTTTCATCTTTATTCAAGTCTTTAGGTTTACTTTGTTTTTTAAATCAACTTCCAAGCAACATTTAAATATTATTTTCTTTAACTTAAACCAATTTTTACCCTGCTTTCATTTGCTTAGATGCGACATAAGCCCCAGTTTTCTACTGTTTTGTTTTTGTTTTTGGATGAAATCTTAGTTGTTTAATGAACTTCAATATTTATATTTAGTTAAAACTCTGCTATCATTTATAACCAGATGAGACAGCCATGGAAAGATAAATTGATAATTTATGCCTCTTGCATTAGGGAAACAGTTCTTGTATTTACAATATGCTGAGCACAGCAATTCCCTGCCTAGCCTCCTAATATTTGTGTACATTTTTATGGAGGAGTGTGACTTTCAAATTAAAAATGATTTGTTGCAAGAATATTGACTAGGAAATGCATCCTGAGAGAAGACAGCAGAGAAGAAGTAATGAGATTTTTTTGCTACCCCTAGCCCTGGGCTATTCAATAATTTTTCTTCTTTAAAGCTAAGAGGAAGAAAGAGAGCCTCAAACTGAGTGGCAGATGTTAAGTCAGGAAATGGGAAACTCCGCCTTCGCAAGAGCTTGAGTCGTCTCCGTGACCTCTGTGGCCTCGTTGAAAGGCTTTCTCTGAATTGAATGACAACACGGAGGCTGAGGGTAAGATTGCAAATCAGAGAACGTGGGTATGAATGGGAAGCTTTGACCCCTGCCCCTTGGGTGGTAGTTCAGACCTGGGTTAGGGTGAGGTGTGGAATTGCACTTCCAGATTGCAGCCCTGCCAGGAAGGTTTTTGCAATGCTGGGTGGTCTGGTAGGGTTTGAGGTCCCCCCACCAAGAGAAGAACCTAAGAAACTTTGCCTGCTCTTACCCTGGTTTCTGCTTGGCATCTCTACTTCTATGTTTCAGTTCTTCTTTCAGTACATCCAAATTGGCATCCGGGACTTGAGCACCATATGGCCCAGATGTTTTCTAGAATCACTGTGGGCATGCAAACAGAGACCACTGCCAGGGAGCCACTCCTACCTCATACTTCAGAGCATTTACACAATGATGTGGCTCAGAACAGATATAAGGCCCCTGCAGAAAGAGGACACCAACTGGTATGAACATGAGAGGGACAAAGAAAACAGTTCTGAACACGGTCTTTTAAGGTGGGGCTTTTTATGCCATTTTTTGTTTAAGTATTGCAAAAATTAACAAAACAGAACTGTAATGATTTAAACTTTTTAGCGGGAAATTCAAGAAATGTTTTGTTTTTATGTATTTTTTTTAAAGATGAGAGTTACCAAATCTAAACAACTTTTAAAATCTTCTTTAATAAAGTTGGTCCATTTTTCTCAAAACCTGCATCTTTGACAATTTATCATACATTGAGCTCTTCTCTCTCTCTTTACTGCATTTATCCAATTCATTTGATCTCTTCTTCCCTTATCGTTGCTTGTTAGCCAGGTAACCCTGGGAATATGTGCCTTTTAGCAACTTTCTGTGCACTTCCTTGTGTGTAACCTGCTGCCAAGCAGACAAAAATTATATTTATCACATTGGGGCAGGTTTTCACTACTGATAAGTATCAGCTGTCTAGAGAGCAGGTATGGAGAAGTTATAGGAGCAGCCTACGGAGACCAAAAACACACGGAGAAACAAGGGCTGCTAAACGGACATTTCCCTCAGAGGGACCAGCATGTGTTCCCAGCCAAGATGAAGAAGACACAGAGGGTGGGGGGAACTCTAAGAAAGAAAGGGGTTTTCAAGGGAGGGTGAGGGAGAAAAGGAGACAAAGTTAGCAGAGAAGGGAAATACTTTAGGTCTCAGAATGTGGCATCATAATTTTATCTGAAGTGATTGGGCTTAGAACAATAACACTGGCAAAGCCATCAGCTACTAGGAGGTTTCTTGAGGGATAACAAATCCTTTTGCTTTGATCAGGTTCTGTTGATTTTGGAAAGGGGGTGAAGTACGTTCTCACCCGGCGGGATGGGGTTTACTCCAGGGAGGCCCTTGATCACTTACTGGTATGCGTTTATCAGAATCATTGTCATCATTGTCATCATTTTCACCTTGTTTATTTGTCCATCACTAGGGATATAATACCCAGCATCATTCCTTTGTGTGTGTATTTATGTGTGTATGCAGAAGAAGCATTGATAGACTGGAAAAAAGAGATGAGAGGGCTCAGGAGGTTGAAAAAGCAATGAAGTAGGCACAGTTAGTGATGAGACACTGGGATGAAAGTACTTCAGATTTCAAAGGGTACAATTTCTTGTGATGTCCCCTTTTGGGGTGTAGCCAGGGCAATGCGAAAGCAAGAGTGGAGGAAAGACAAAAATTATTGAGAATCAGCTGGTAAAAAAGCTTCAAGATGGCTATTAGTATATCTTCTTTGGAGAAATATTTATCAAGTCCTTTGCTAATTTTTAAATTGGGCCATTTGCATTTTTATTATTGAACTGTAAGAGTTCTTTTTATATATTCTGGATACTAGACCCTTATCTGATTTGCATATTAGTTTATCCTGTTCTGTGGGTTGCCATTTCACTTTCTTAAAAGTATCCTTTCATGTACAAAAGTTTTAAATTTTAAACAAGTTCAATTTACCCATTTTATTTTTTGTTTCTTATGCTTTCAGTGTCATATCTAAGAAGGCTTTACCTCATCCATGGTCATGAAGATGTACTCCCATACTTTCTTTTCTCCTTTGTTTTTTATTGACACATAATAATTGTACATATTTATGGGGTACAGTTTTGATACATTTAAACAATGTGTGAGAACCAAAGCAGAGTATTTAACATGACCATAATCTTATACATTTATCATTTCTTTATGGTGAAAACATTCAACATCCCTTCGTCTAGCGATTTTGGAATATAAAATGCAATATTGTTAACTGTAGCCACACTTATTCTCATACTTTAATAATTTTATGGTTTTAGCCCTTATATTTAGGTATATGATGCATTTTTTAAAGCTAAAATTCAATTCATTTATCTTTTTTTTATAATTTCAACTTCTGTCTTAGATTCAGAGGGTACACGTGCAGGTTTGTTACATGGGTATACTGCATGATGCTGAGGTTTGGAGTACAAATGATCCCATCATCCAGGCAGTGAGTATAACACCCAGTAGGTACTTTTTCAGCCCCTCTACCTCTCTTCCCATTCTAGTAGTCCTCAGTGCCTATTGTTTCTATCTTTATGTCCATGTGTACCCAATGCTTAGCTCCCTTACAAGTGACAATATATGGTGTTTGGTTTTCTGTTCCTGAGTAAATTCACTTGGGATAATGGCCTCCAGCTGCATTCACGTTGCCACAAATAACTTGATTTCATTCTTTTTTATGGCTGTGTAGTATTCCATGGTGGATATATACCACATTTTCTTTATCTAATCCACTGTTGATGGACACCTAGGTTGATTCCATGTCTTTGCTATTGTGAATAGCACTGTCTTTTTGGTAGAACATATGAGTGCATGTATCTTTTTGGATTTATTTTCCTTTGGGTATACACCCAGTAATGGGATTGTTGGGTCAAATGGTAGTTCTGTTTTATGTTCTTTGAGAAATCTCCATGCTGCCTTCCACAGTGTTAAATTAATTTACATTCCTACCAACAGCGTATATGTGTTCTCTTTTTCTCACTGTCTTGCTTGTTATTTTTTGACTTTTTCATTATAGCCATTCTGACAGGTGTGAGATAGTATTTCATTGTGGTTTTGATTTGCATTTCTCTAATGATTAGTGATGTTGAGCATTTTTCATATGTTTGTTGGTCATTTATATGTCTTCTTTGAAGAAGTGTCTGTTCATGTCTTTTGCCTACTTTTTAATGGGGTTATTTGTTTTTTGCTTGTTGAATTAAGTTCCTCATAGATCGTGGATATTAAACCTTTGTCAGATGCATAGTTTGTGAATACTTTCTTCTATTCTGTAGGTTGTCAGTGTACTCTATTCATAGTTTCTTTTGCTGTACAGAAGCTCTTTAATTAGTTCTCAATTGTCAGTTTTTCTTTTTGTTGCAGTTGCTTTTAAGGACTTAGTTATAAATTATTTCCCAAGGCTGATGTTCAGAATGGTATTTCCTAGAGTTTCTTCTAGGGTTTTTATAGTTTGAAGTCCTACATTTAAGCCTTTAATCCACCTGGAGTTAAGTTTTGTATATAGTAAAAGGTAGGGGTCGAGTTTCATTTTTCTGCATAAGCCTAGCCAGCTATCCCAGAACCATTTATTGAATAGGGAGTCCTTTTCTCATTGCTAATTCTTGTGCACTTTGTCAAAGATCAGGCTGCAGCTGTGCAGCTTTATTTCTGGATTCTCTATTCTGTTCCATTGGTCTATGTGTCTGATTTTTTATAGATACCATGCTGTTTTTGTTACTATAGCCTTGCAGTATAGTTTTAAGTTGAGAAATGTGATGCCTCTAGCTTTGTTCTTTTTGCTTAGGATTGCTTTGGCTAGTCACACTCTTTTTTTGGTTTCTATGAATTTTATAGTAGTTTTTCCTAATGCTGTGAAAAATGATGTTGGTAATTTGATAGGAATAGCATCGAATCTGTAGTTTGCTTTGGACAGTATGGCCATTTGAACATTGATTCTTCCAATCCAGAAGCATGGAAGTTTTTTCCATTTGTTTGTGTCACCTGTGATTTCTTTCAGTAGTATTTTATAGTTCTCCTATAGAGATCATTCACCTCCTTGATTAAGAGGTATTCCTAGGTATTTTTTTTTGTGGCTATTGTAAATAGGATTGCATTTTTTTATTTAGCTCTCACTTTGAACATTATTGCTGTATAGGAATTCTACTGATTTTTCTACATTGGTTTTGTTTCCTAAAACTTTACCAAAGTCATTGATCAGTTACAGGCACATTTTGGCAGAGTTCTTAGGGTTTTCTAGGGATAGAATCTCTCTCTCTTTTTTTTTTTTTTTTAACTGATTGGTATGGAATCATATCATCAGTGTAGAGAGTTAACTTGACTTTCTCTTTTCCTGTTTGGATGCTCTTTATTTATTTCTTTTGCCTGACTTCTCTGACTAGTACTTTTAGTACTACATAGAATAGGAGTGGTGAGAGTAGACATCCTTTTCTTGTTCCAGTTCTCAAGGGAAATGCTTCTAGCTTTTGCCCGTTCAGTATGATGTTGGCTGTGGGTTTGTCATAGATGGCTTTTATTATTTTGAGACATGTTCCTTTGATGCCAAGTTGTTGAGAGTTTTTGTCATAAGGGTATGTTGCATTTTATTGAAAGCTTTTTCTATGTCATATAATTTTCGTTTTTAATTCTGTTTATGTGGTGAATCACATTTATTGATTTGCATATGTTGAACCATCCTTGCATCCCAGGAATGAAGCCTACTTGATTGTGGTGAATTTCCTTTTTTTTTTTTTTTTTTTTTTCTGAGACAGAGTCTGGCTCAGTCGCTCAGGCTAGAATGCAGTGGCATGATCTCGGCTCACTGCAAGCTCCACCTCCCGGGTTCACACTATTCTCAGCGTGAGTAGCTGGGACTACAGGTGCCTGCCACCATGCCCAGCTAATTTTTTGTATTTTTTTTTAGTAGAGACGGGGTTTCATTGTGTTAGCCAGGATGGTCTCGATCTCCTGACCTTGTGATCTGCCCACCTTGGCCTCCCAAAGTGCTGGGATTACAGGCATGAGCCACCGCACCCAGACATTAATTTACTTTTTGATGTGCTGCCAGACTCAGTTTGCCAGTATTTTGTTGAGGATTTTTACATCTGTGTTCATTAGGAATATTGGCCTGCAGTTTTCATTTTTCATTGTGTCTCTGCTGTGTTTTGGTATCAGCGTGATGCTAGCTTCATAGAATGAGTTAGGGAGGAGTCCCTCCTCCTCGTTTTTTTGGAATAATTTCATTAGGATTGGTACCAGCTCTTCTTTGTATGTCTGGTAGAATTTGTGAATTCATCTGGTCTGGGGCTTTTTTGGGTTGGTAAGTTTTTTATTACTGAGTCAACTTCAGAACTTGATATTGATCTGGTCAGTTTCTTTCTGGTTCAACCTTAGAAGGTTATATGTTGCCAGAAATTTATTTCCTCTAGATAGTCTAATTTGCGTACATGGAGGTGTTTATAAGAGTCTCTGAGGATCTTTTGTATTTCTGTGGCATCGGTTGTAATGTTACCTTTGTTGCTTCTGATTGTGCTTATTTGGATCTTCTGTCCTTTTTTCTTTGTTAATCTAGCTACTGATCTATGAATTTTGTTTATCCTTTCAAAGAGCAAACTTTTGGTTTTGATAATTTCTAAGAATTTTGATATCAGTTTTGTTCAATTCTCTTTTAATTTTACTTGTTTTTTCTGCTAGATTTTTGGTTAGTTTATTCTTGTTTTTCTAGTTCCTTTAGGAGTGATGTTAGATATGATCTATTTTGAATTAATTTTTGTGTATAATATGAAGAAGGGATTCAACTTTATGTTTTGCATATGACTCTCCAGTTGTCCTAGTATCATTTGTTGAAAAGACTATTCTTTCACCATTGAATTGTCTTGGCACTCTTGATGAAAATCATTTCACTACCCTTGTGTCAGTGCCATTCAGTTTTGATTACTGTGGCTTTGTATGACATTTGGAAATTGGAAAATCAGAGTTCTCCAATTTTGTTTATTCTTTTCTAGATTGTTTTTGGCTATTCCAGGTTCTTTGAGTTTCCATATGATTTTCAAGATCAGCTTGTCTATATCTGTAAAAGCCTAGCTGAAAATTTGATATGAATTGCATGGAATCTGTAGATTAATTTGGGGCATATTACCATCTTAACAATATTAAATCTTCTTATCCATGAACTTGGAGTGTCTTCCACTTACATTTTCTCAAGTAACATTCAGCAATGCTTTATATTTCTTTGTTAAATTTATTTCTATTTCTATTTTATTTTATTTATTTATTTATTTTGAGACAGGATTTCACTATGTTGCCCAGGCTAGAGTGCAGTGGTGTGATCATAGCTTGCCGCAGCCTTAACCTCCCGGGTTCAAGAGATCCTTCAATCTCAGCATCCCAAGTAGCTGGGACAACAGGTACACGGCATCACAGCTGACTAATTTTTGTATTTTTTGTAGAGATAGGGTCTCACCATGTTGCCCAGGCTCGTCTCAAAGTCCTGAGCTCAAGCAGTCCTCCCACCTTGGCCTCCCAAAGTGCTGAGATTACAGGCATGAGCCACCATACCCAGTCTCCATTTTATTCTTTTTGATGCCATTATAAATGTAATATTTTTCTTAGTTTTGTATTTTGAGTTTTCATAGCTAGTGCCTAAATACAGTAGATTTTTGTATATTGTTCTTATATCCCACAACTTTGATGAGCTCATTTATTAGTTCTAATAGATTTTTAGTGGATTCCTTAGGATTTTCTTTTTACGATATTATGTCATCTGCAAATAGAAATAGTTTTATTTCCTCCCTTCCAATCTAGATATGTTTTGTTTCATTTCCTTACCTAATTGCCCTGGCCCTACCTCTGGTACAAAGTTGAATAGAAATTGCGAGAATGGACATCCTTGACTTGTTCCAGATTTTAGGGGCTAATTCCATTTATTTCTGCTTGAATATTTATTATTTTCTTCTTTCTGTTTTGTTTAGATTTAACTTATTTTTTCTAGTTTCTTAAGTTTGAAGCTTAGGCTATCACTTTAAATATTTTTACTTTCCAACATATGCATTTAATGCTACAAATTTTCCTCTAAGCACTGCTTAGCTGTATCCCCCCCAATTTTGATATCTGTAATTTTATTTCGTTCAAAAATTTAAAAAATTTCCTTTGAGGTTTCTCTTGAACTCATGTTATTTAGAAGCGTTTTATTTAACTTCCAAATATTTGGAAAATTTTCAGATATCTTTCTATTATTGTGTTCTGGTTTAATTTTGCTGTGGTCAGAGGATATTCATTATATGATTTCTATTTTCAATGTGTTAAGGTTTTGTTATAGCTGAGAATATGGTGTGTGTTAGGAATGTCCATATGTACTTGAGAAGAATATGTCTTCTGTTGTTGTTGGGTGAAGTGCTCTCTAAATATTACCTGCACCAAGTTGGTTGATTGCACTGTTCAGGTTGTATACAGTCTTACTGATTGCCTGCTTACTTGTTCTATCAATTCCCAAGAGAAAGGTGTTGAAATCTCAAATTGTAATTGTGGGCATGTCTATTTCTCCTTTCAGATATGTCAGGTTTTTACTTCATGTTTTATGAAGATCTGTTGTTAAATAAATATTTAAGATTTTCTTGTCTTCTGGGAGAATTGTTTTGTTTATCATTACGTTGTGTCCATCTTTATCCCTGATAATCTCCCTTGCCCTGAAATCTACTTGGACTGAAATTAATATAACTATTCCAGTTTTCTTTTGATTAGTGGCTTGCATGGTATATCTTTCTCCATCATTTTGCTTTTAATGTATCTTGTTTTTCTCTTCAACGTGAATTTGTTATAGATAGCACATATATACATTTTTCAATGTATATATGTGACTGTGTTATCTGTATCTATATCTATATCTAATACAACTAATTTATTTTCTTGACAGTTTTCTTAATGTAGTCAAGGTTGTTTTCTCCCCTAAATGCATACAATCATTGGACTATAACAGAACTTTATAAACAATTTTCTTAGGTTTTTCCAGAGTCACAATATTTGTTTCCTAAGGTTACTTACTTCAGGAATACTTATGTAATATTGGACATCACAGCCATATTGATTATGTGGCTAAGGGGCCATAGGAGTCCAGGTGGATGAAACTACTAAATGGAAGAATTTTGTTTCAGGAAACTTTTCTTAAATCCAGAAAACATTACTTCATTATCCGGAGTGATTTAACATAAGAATTAGACTGAGTACAAGCATAGAGTTGATGAGATAAAGTTCAACTCTGTCAATTCACAGATGAGAAATCTAAGACCAAGAGCTACTTGGCTAACTTCCATACATCAGGTCCTATTTTCCTCCTACTTTCAGCGGAATGGAGTGAGTTACATTATTATATTGTTGCTATGATTATTTTAACAGTGAGATCCACTCCAATAGCTGTCTATATTGATACTCATGAGTGGCCATGGGAAGTAGACAGAAACTGCTTTCTGTGCAAGGACCTAACCTTGAGGTGTGCAGTATATGTCCAATCTTTTATTCAGCTACTTCTCAACATTCTTGTATTAACTTTCAGATCTTACCATTTTTAATCTTGGATTCAAATTCCCAAATTGTGTTTAGAACTTTCTACTTAGATTGCTTTACAAAAAACACTAGAATTATCTTTGTTTCTGAGAATTTATCGGCCAGCTCGGATAATTTACTTCTATAAATTAGTATTACTTAGCAACACAAAACTAAGCCAAAAGAACGAAACTGGAGGCATCACACTACCTGACTTCAAACTATACTACAAGGCTACAGTAACCAAAACAGCATGGTACTGGTACCAAAACAGAGATATAGATCAATGGAACAGAAGAGAGCCCTCAGAAATAACGCCGCATATCTACAACTATCTGATCTTTGAGAAACCTGAGAAAAACAAGCAATGGGGAAAGGATTCCCTATTTAATAAATGGTGCTGAGAAAACTAGCTAGCCATATGTAGAAAGCTGAAACTGGATCCCTTCCTTACACCTTATACAAAAATTAATTCAAGATGGGTTAAAGACTTAAATGTTAGACCTAAAACCATAAAAACCCTAGAAGAAAACCTAGGCATCACCATTCAGGACATAGGCATGGGCAAGGACTTCATGTCCAAAACACCAAAAGCAATGGCAACAAAAGCCAAAATTGACAAATGGGATCTAATTAAACCAAAGAGCTTCTGCACAGCAAAAGAAACTACCATCAGAGTGAACAGGCAACCTACAAAATGGGAGAAAATTTTCGCAACCTACTCATCTGACAAAGGGCTAATATACAGAACCTACAATGAACTCAAACAAATTTACAAGAAAAAAACAAACAACCCCATCAAAAAGTGGGCAAAGGACATGAACAGACACTTCTCAAAAGAAGACATTTATGCAGCCAAAAAACACATGAAAAAATGCTCACCATCACTGGCCATCAGAGAAATGCAAATCAAAACCACAATGAGATAGCATCTCACACCAGTTAGAATGGCAATCATTAAAAAGTCAGGAAACAACAGGTGCTGGAGAGGATGTGGAGAAATAGGAACACTTTTACACTGTTGGTGGGACTGTAAACTAGTTCAACCCTTGTGGAAGTCAGTGTGGCGACTCCTCAGGGATCTAGAACTAGAAATACCATTTGACCCAGCCATCCCATTACTGGGTATATACCCAAAGGACTATAAATCATGCTGCTATAAAGACACATGCACACATATGTTTATTGCGGCACTATTCACAATAGCAAAGACTTGGAACCAACCCAAATGTCCAACAATGATAGACTGGATTACGAAAATGTGGCACATATACACCATGGAATACTATGCAGCCATAAAAAATGATGAGTTCATGTCCTTTGTAGGGACATGGATGAAATTGGAAATCATCATTCTCAGTAAACTATCGCAAGAACAAAAAACCAAACACCGCATATTCTCACTCATAGGTGGGAATTGAACAATGAGATCACATGGACACAGGAAGGGGAATATCACACTCTGGGGACTGTGGTGGGGTGGGGGGAGGGGGAGGGATAGCATTGGGAGATATACCTAATGCTAGATGATGAGTTAGTGGGTGCAGTACACCAGCATGGCACATGTATACATATGTAACTAACCTGCACAATGTGCACATGTACCCTAAAACTTAAAGTATAATAAAATAAATAAATAAATAAATAAACTAATTTTTCAGATTTTCCTTCTCGGAGCAAAGGTTAGTGACAAGGCCTAAGAACTTTTGAGTCAATTTTATTTGGCTAAAAAATATCCAAAATTTAAAAAAGGAAGATTAGAAATTTGCAAGCTCAAATGTCTTCCTAAATATATCTTGAGGTTTAAAACAATAACTCTTCTTCAGATATTTTAAATTTTTTATTCTAATCATCTATAATGCCAGCAAATTTAAAAGGTCTTTAGAGAAAATAATCACCAAATATTTGTAGCATTTTTCTTTCAAATGTTTGAATTTTTTCTTTCAAATGTTTGAATTGTTGGTTTTATTTCAGAGTGGTTCTTAATTTATCCCAAAAGAGTTGTCAGCCTGTGCTGTTTCAGGATCTCCCCACAGTGGAAGTATAATGACAGTGTTAGTATGTCTTTCCATTATTGCAGAAACTCTATTTTTTAAAGTGCCTTTAGCAGGATTCTGGGAATTCACTGTAGGTTAACAGTGGGGCTCTCACCACTTAGAATTCTTTTCTCCTAATGAAAGGAATCTGAACCCTTGAACTCTGTCAGGGTCTTAGGCATGTTCCCTGGGCCTGATTTTCATCCTCAGAAAATGGAGGTCAGATACATGTCAAGAATAAAAGAAAGGTCAAATGAGAGTAGTCAAAGACTTTGCACACATCCAGATGACGTTAATGTTTGACCATGGTGTCTAGAACCTGCTAGGCAGTTGGTGAGTGAGTGGATGAACAAATGAATGAATGAGTAAATAGTGAGTAAATATAATAGTAAATATTCAGGGAAGCTATTGATTATATGCATGGTAATACCTTACTTTCAACGTGTTCACCTGAGGAAAACGGTGATTGATATAAAAAGTGTAACAATTCTCAGCCTGCTCCTTTCCCAAGTGATTAGGGCAATATAATTTGTTAATGTATTGTTCATAAAGAATGATTATTGGAAACAATTTAGGATTTTAAGAATTTCCTGGTTTATTGTAGAAATATGGCTTTGATTATCACCCCCTTGACTGATGATAACACTTATGCACCTCATAGCCACTCTCATTTATACATTTTGATTAACATGTGAAACAACATGAGTTGGGGAGGGAAATTATGTTTGCATTCTTCCTCTGTAATTATAGCTATAGTGAGTTCACAAGCTCAGGTGTGCAAGACATATCTCTAATTGAACTTAATTTATGACTCTAAGCATTAATTCTGTCAGATTGGCAGAAAAGGGAGAAAATCTAGGGTTTTTTTGTTGTTGTTGTTGTTCTCTCCCCTGTTCCTTCAGTTCCTGGAATTTTGCCAAGTTTCTGAGAACTTACACAATGCCCAAATTTGGGAGAGAGGGTGCTGCTGTTCTTACATCAGTCAGTAGGACCCACAAAATGCTGTTGAAATATACTTAATTTCTGTCTGTACAGTCTCATCAGGTCCCAGTGTCCCGCAGCTCCCTGCTCATGCTTGAGGTACAGGCGTTTTTGGGACAGGTTGCTGAAAGTCCATTTTGCTAGATGTGTGTCTTGCTCCCTTTCCTCTCGGGGTCTCCTTTGTGGGGTTGTGCCACTATGCTGGTGTCCTCGTCAGGATGTACTTTTCTCACTCATCCCAGCCTCCTCTGCACCACCTTCCACTCCTTCTACCACCTCCTCCCCCAAGAAGGACTTCTAGCAGAGGGGAGATCTGTTTCTCTTTGCATTTCTTCCAAGAAACTCAGCCTGCAGCTTTTAGTGAAATAAATGCAAAAAAAGACTTATAGGGAGCTTTAGTGTTCTTCTTCTGCCACTTATTTCCTTTATGGCTAAGTCCCTGATGGAAAGAGAGAAAAGGAAAGAGAAACAAAAGAAGCAAACCAAAACCAAAAATAAAAATATAAATCCCAAATGAGTAAAAACAAATTTAAATCCATAAAGTAATACTCAAAAGAGCTATACCATCAGATCAAGAGCGTAAGTATTAATAGGAGCTAATGTTATTAAGTATTTTTTACCTTCCAGGAGCTCTGATTCCTGCAGATGTATTACCATAATTCATCAGAAGATGGTGAATAGACATTCTGATCCCTTTACAATTGGGAAACTGAGTGGTAAAGGGATTAAGTAACTGTTGAGTATTAAATTTGAATTCAGGTTGTTTAAAATTCCAAATTCCGTACTTTCCTCTATTTACTTTGTTTTATTTCACAACCCAACAAAAATAATGATCAATAAAAGCTAACTAGAAAATGAGAAATTTGGAAAGATAGTTATTTAAAATTATATTAGATCAGCTAAAATCTATATGAGAACATTTGGGCTGAGAATCAGGGACTGAAAGTTATGGTCCAAATGACATGGAGTTGACACCTTGAGGAAGGCATAAAACAAAGTGGCTCAAACCAGTGTCCCTCAGCTGGAGAAATGAGAAACAAACTGTGGTGCATTGCAATAGAATAATACTCAGCAATAAAAAGGCATGAACTACTGATACACTCAACAATGTGGATGAATTTTGAATGGCATATTGTAAGTGGGCAGAGTCAAATTTAAAAGACTACATAGTGTGTGATTCCACTTATATGACACTCTGGAAAAGGCAAAACTGTAAGGATTGTCTTCCATTTTTACTGAGATGGTAGTTACATGACTGTATGCATTTGTCAAAAATTGCAGAACTGTACCCTAACTGGGTGAATAGTACTGTATGTAAATTATATCTTCATTTTTAAAATGGAAGGAAAAATGCAAAGATGATTAGGATTACTTTAGTTGCTTTACTAAACTCATTAGAAATATCCTAACTTACAATTTTTTGGTGTAATTTGAAAAACAGAATGGATTCAGTCCCTTAATAACCAACTTCCTCTTAATATTGTACATGTGACCCACAGAAACCCTAGAGTATCCCACATACCATATTTCTTCAAATTTATAACATAACCATTCTGAAATTCAGATATTTCTTACAACCAATGATAAGAGAAAATCACAGTTGCATGTAGAACAGTTAAGTCTTGGTGTAGTTATTATCTACAAATGTACAAAATGTACAGAATTAGCCTTTGAACAATTAATATTGAGCCTTAGTTAAACTTAGATTTGTTGAGTGTTGCTTAAAATGCTCTCAAAATGATTATGCTTGGGTACATGTCATTATGATTGACCGACACCTGCCAGGTGATCAAATTTAAGACAGAAGAAATTGCTAAATTCTGAACAAACAAAATATTTCAAAGCTAGGAGAGTTTGGGAGTCATCTATTGATGTACGTGAAGAATCATTACTCAAGCCCCAAATATCTACCCTTGATAGGACAATATCAGGTCACTGGTGAGGAGAAGACAAAGCCAGCTTGGCGATTCACACTGAGAAGGAGAGAGGGTTTCTTAGGAAGAGAAAAAGAAATCCTAAATCAGAATAGAAGGGAGAGGAGAACAGTCAACTGAAGGGATGGGCTTTAGAAACTATTAGGGAGCTGTTTGTTTTATTTCTGTTTGGGTCAGAGTAGAGGGAGAAGAGTGAGAGAGAGATGGAGAAAGAGTATTTAAAATGTTTTTGTATGTCATATAAATAAAATATTTCAGGGGCATTTTTTAAAGATTACACTAAATTTAAATTGCTTTTTGATTACTTCTGGACTTTAAGATTGGTTTTTCTTGGGAAGGTGACACCATGCCAAGATGGGCTGTGAAGAGACTCAACTTTTATGAGTAACATATCTGTCAAAAGCTTTGGACTGACTTTCAAGAAAAGCTGTTTAATTTCCAGTGATATGGAATTTAATGAAAGAAAAATATGAAACTATTAGTTTAACAAAATGGAAAATGCAGAAGAAATGCTGATATGTTTCAATATCCCTCAGAATTATACTGTCAATCTTCAAGAGCAAAAGGAACCAAAATGATGGGCACTGGTTATGAAAAACAGCCTGTCACCATAATGCCATGCATATCTGTCAGTGGCTCAAAGTGAATCCCAAGGTTCTTTAGACTATATATCTGAACAGATCTTTGACTTAAACTTTACCCATTACACTGAAGAGAAGGTTAGTCTATAATTATAGAGTATATGAATACTTTCGTCAGTTATTAAAAGTATATGTTTGCACAATTATCTTGTGGGTTTTTTCCCCCCTGCTCTGTCACGGCTGGAGTGCAGTGGCGCAATCTCAGCTCACTGCAACCTCCACCTCCCGGGTTCAAGCAATTCTCCAGTCTCAGCCTCCCGAGTAGCTGGGACTACAGGCACACACCACCATGCCCAGCTAATTTTTGTATTTTTAGTAGAGACGGGGTTTCACCATGTCGGCCAGGATGGTCTCGATCTCTTGACGTCATGATCCACCCGCCTCAGCCTCCCAAAGTGCTGGGATTACAGGCGTGAGCCACCACGCCCAGGCTGTGGATTTTTTTTTTCTTCTGAGAAGCTTGTATGAAATCTATGGCACATCTTAACAATTTGTGGCATCTTAGAATTGAGTTCTAAAGATATTCCAAAAATAACTTTTCAGTTACCATATTTTTCCTTCAAGACCTTCAGAGATATTTGACTATTATATTTCTTTGGTGCCACTCCAAATATTGTTCTCATGACCTCCAAACATCCCGAACTCTTCCAATTTTGTATATCCTAAAACTTTGACTAGGAGCCCCTATAAGAAACGTTTGGCCTGGTTTTGCATGCTTAAGTGTGTGTGTGTGTGTGTGTGTGTGTGTGTGTGTGTGTGTGTGTGTGTGTGTAGCTGGTAGTGGGGAAAGAGAGGTAGGAAGAGAAGAGGAAGGGCAAAAAATACTGACAGGTGTGTCCTGCTTTCCCCAGAATATCCTGGGCACCTGCCTTCAAGTGCAACATGTGTGAGGCAAGAGACGTGATAATGAGAGAATCACATTCATTGATGTGGTTGGTGCAGTGGCTCTTTCCTTTTCATTCACACCCATAGGTTTTTGCAGGATTTGCTGCCTGTAGTCTTGGAATCTGCTTCCTTCCCCGCTGGTGTGGTTTGTGAGTAATCCACAAGTGATCACAGTCAGAGCAACATCTACTCCAGCGAATTCAGGGATGTCTGTCCCCTGCCCCAGTGACTAATGGCATTTCAACTGTCAGATTAGGGTTATGGGAAGGTAGTGGCTCAGCAGAGCCTTGGAAAATTCTCTTTTGCAGGAAGACTGTCTCTATACTGCCTGTATGCTTGCTTTTAGGCACCTTTGACCTGTACCTTGCACTCTTACTGGCCAGACTCATGTGTATTTGAAGGGAGCAATAAGGACTAAATTAGCTCTGTAATTTGGAAAAATCATTGATTATTTTCTGAGTTATAAATTATAAGACTTGTATCTGTTTCCTTGAATGTTAACAATTCATCAGTGTTTAATTACTTGCTGAGTACACATCTATGCAGGAAAATCAAGATTCAAGCAAGAACTTAAAAACCCAGAAAATCTGAATCTCTGGGTTAAGGCAAGTGTCATGTGTTCTACTTGATATCAATGGGAGATAAACTAAAGACTGACTGTCGGCTTAAATGAGAGGATTCTACCATTTGTTTATCATTTATTCAGCAAATGTCTGTGGCAGGCATTGTTCTGGGTGCCAGGTTTACAACAGGCACAGAGCACCCAAGTCTTGGTTCACATGCTGCCTACCTTCTAGGGTAGGAATAACTCATGGCCACAGTCAGTAGAGTGCTTTATGCAGAGCACGTTTCACAATGAACTTCTCTAAGTTCATTTCTTGAGGAATTTCATTCATTACCTTTTGCCAGTTGCTCATTATTTTTCTTGATAAATGAATTTGTAAGTGCCATGAATTAGATACATAATATTTTTAAACCTCATGAAACTTATTTCTGTTAAACATAAGCATTTCCATTGAACAGAGAAAATCATAATAGCAAACTGAAGTTGTTATAGCAACAATGAGAACACTTCAGTATTCAGGAATCATCTCTTTTTTTCAAGAGTAAATGATACAATTAATGCTTGATACTATATTGTTTACAGACTTCCTTGTGACTCATGGCTCTTCACATGTCAGTCTTAAACAGATGGGAAGGTATTCTGAAATAATAATTCAAATATTGGTATATGGAGCTGCTTTGAAAACCATGACAGGCTTTTTTATCCATGATGGATTTACACCTCTTTTATCGTAGCAAAATTTCAAAAATTACATCTAAAGAATGAAAAAATTTTCTTTTATAAAGTGGACAGCTGGAACATGCTCATAGAAATGAGGATTTGTGCACATACTGAACAAGAGCACAGAGCAATTGAAAAGCGCAGCCTCTGTGGACTATGGAGCTAAGCAGGCTGGATTTGAGTCCTGGCTCTGCAGCTGACAGCTGGGGGACCATGGGCATCCCCGCTCCCTGCCTCAGTTTCCCCACCTGTAAAATGGAGATGGTAAAGTACCTACTTCATGGGGTTGTTGTGAGGCTTAAAGGAGTTAATATATATCAAATAAAGGATTTTTAACCCAGAATAAATGTTACACAACTATTTTGCTCTTCTTGTATCTTTGAAAGATCATCCGGTTCAGGTTTTGGCATTTGAGCAGTATTTGGTGTTGCCAAGGCAAGAATGTTATTTGCCCCTTTTCTTCAAACTCTCTATGAAACCAAGAAACAAAATATATATGAATATCTGTTTTATCTAGATTTTTTTTCATAGAGCCTCATGTCATTTATATTGCCTTCGGTGTCCCCTCAGTTCTCAGCGTGTTTAGGGGTGAAATGATGAGAAGTAGCATTGATTTGTGGAGGAAACAAAGTCTTTGGAGTGAGGCAGATGTATTGTAAATCTAGGCTCTGTCATAGACAGTGCCTTAACCACTTCTACCATCTGCAAATGGGAGCAATGATACCTACCTCTTAGGGATGTGAGATTAAATGAAATGCATGTACTTAGCACATTCTAAAGATCAACAAATGTTTGGATCCTATCTGGCTGAATAGTAAAAGGAATGGTTTACATTCCTTGAGCAGAAGTGGCCAACTTCTGACCCACATAGGCCTGCCCTGCTTCTCACATACCCTCTCATCCCCACAAATCTCACAAACCTCTATAGATATACAGCCAATTCAAGCAAGAGTCAGACATTTAACAGGCTGCCCTACAACTTTTAAAGTAAATTGGCACAAAAATCTCACTCCAAATAGGGATCAGTTTGGCCAATCAGAATCTGCTTCACTAAAAGTTTGAAATAAGATTTATAAAGGAATGAAAAGAAGCTAACAAGTCAAGGTTTGAGGTGGTCAGGCCCACAGATATGCTGAAATGAGGAGGCAGAAGCTATGAGCCAGTCCAAACTCTGAGACAGTAAATTGGACTGAATGTCTGTGTTCCCCACAAATATGCATTTTGAAATCCTAACCCCCAATGGGATGGTATTAGGAAGCAGGGCCTTTGAAAGGTGATTAAGGCTTGGGGGTATGGGATTAGTGCCTTATAAAAGGGACCCAAGAGAGCTCATTTGCCCTCTTCCCACCATGTGAGACTACAACAAGAAGCCAGCATCTGCAGCCTAGAAGAGAGCCCTTGCCAGAACCTGACCATGCTGGTACCCTTATCTCAGACTTCCAATCTCCAGGACTGTAAGAAATAAATTTCTGTTGTTTATAAGCTACCCAGTTTATGGTAATTTTTCATAGCATCTCAAAGTGACTAAGACAGGGAGAGAATTATGGAAGAAAGGGTGAATTGGTTGGCTGGCAGCTCTAGGATCAGGAAAAACAAAGACGAGAGTCAAGTCATTTTGATGACAGAGGCTCAATCAACAAATCAACTCTTGCTATCAAGAGGGTTCGAAAGCCAACCTGGATATGAACTCCCTAACTTATTCATCTCTCTGAGGCTGATCCTCCATAGTTCCTATTTTTCCCATGAGGTTAGGGGATTTATTTTTCTATTTTAATTTAATTTCTTTTTGAAGATTTGAGAAAATTTTGAGTAAAATGCACAAGTTGTGCATGGATTTTGTAACATCTGTTTTGACTGGTTGTGTGTGTGTGTGTGTGTGTGTATGTTTTCTTATTTCTTATTTCTTTTTTTATTTGCTTTAAGTTCTGGGATATAAGTGCAGAACATGTAGGTTTGTTACATAGGTATAAGTGTGCCATGGTGGTTTGCTGCACCTATCACCCCATCATCTAGGTTTTAAGCCCCACATGCATTAGCCATTTCTCCTAATGCTCTCCCTCCCTTAGACCCCCACCCCCTGACTGGCCCCAGTGTGTGTTGTTCCCCTCTCTGTGTCCATGTGTTCTCATTGTTCAACTCCCACTTGCGAGTGAGAACATGTGGTGTTTGGTTTTTTTTTCCTGTGTCAGTTTGCCAAGGATGATGGCTTTCAGCTTGATCCATGTCCTTGCAAAGGACATGATCTCATGCCTTTTTGTGGCTGCATAGTATTCCACAGTGTATATGTACCACATTTTCTTTATCCAGTCTATCAATGATGGGCATTTGGGTTGGTTCCATGTCTTTGCTATTGTAAGTAGTACTGCAATAAACATATGTGTGCATGTGTCTTTATAGTAGGATGATTTATATTCCTTGGCATATATATCCAGTAATGGGATTGCTGGGTCAAATAGTGTTTTTCTGGTTCTAGATCCTTGAGGAATCACCACACTGTCTTCCACAATGATTGAACTAATTTACATTCCCACCAGTAGTGTGAAAGCCTTCCTATTTCTCTACAGCCTCGCCAGCATCTATTGTTTCTTGACTTTTTTTTTTTTTTTTTGAGACAGAGTCTTGCTCTGTCACCCAGGCTGGAGTGTAGTGGTGTGATCTTGGTCCACTGCAACCTCTGCCTGCCGGGTTCGAGCAATTCTCCTGCCTCAGCCTCCTGTCTGGGACTACAGGCACATGCTACCATACCTGGCTAATTTTTTGTATTTTTAGTAGAGATGGGGTTTCACCATGTTAGCCAGGCTAGTCTCAAACTCCTGACCTCATGATCCACCCACCTCAGCATCCCAAAGCTTTGGGATTACAGGTGTGAGCCACTGCACCTGGCCTGTTTCTTGACTTTTTAATAATCGCCATTCTGACTGGCGTGAGATGGCATCTCATTGTGGTTTTGATTTGCATTTCTCTAATGATCAGTGATGTTAAGCTTTTTTTCATATGTTTGTTAGATGCATAAATGTCTTCTTTTGAGAAGTGTCTGTTCATATCCTTTGCCCACTTTTGATGGGGTTGTTTGTTTTTTCTTGTAAATTTGTTTAAGTTCCTTGTAGATTCTGGATATTAGACCTTTGTCAGATAAGTAGATTGCAAAATTTTTCTCCCATTCTGTAGGTTGCCTGTTCACTCTGATGATAGTTTCTTTTACTGTGAAGAAGCCCTTTCATCTAATAAGAACCCATTTGTCAATTTTGGCTTTTGTTGCAGTTGCTTTTGGCATTTTTGTCATGAAGTCTTTGCCCATGCCTATGTCTTGAATGGTAAATGGTATTGCCTAGATTTTCTTCTAGGGTTTTTATGGTTTTGAATTTTACCTTTAAGTCTCTAATCCATCTTGAGTTAATTTTTGTATAAGGTGTAAGGAAGGGGTCCAGTTTCAGTTTTCTGCATATGGATAGCCAATTTTCCCAGCGCCCGCCATTTATTAAACAGGGGGTCCTTTCCCCATTGCTTGTTTTTGTCCAGTTTATCAACAATCAGATGGTTGTAGATGTGTAGTGTTATCTTTGAGGTCTCTGTCCTGTTCCATTGGTCTATATATCTGTTTTGATACCAGTACCATGCTGTTTTGGTTACTGTAGCCTTGTAGTATAGTTTGAAGTGAGGCAGTGTGATGCCTCCAGCTTTGTTCTTTTTGCTTAGGATTGTCTTGGATATATAGGCTCTTTTTTGGTTCCATATGAAATTTAAAGTAGTTTTTTCCAATTCTGTAAAGAATGTCAATGGTAGTTTAATGGGAATAGCACTGAATCTATAAATTACTTTGGCCAGTATGGCCATTTTCATGATATTGAGTCTTCCTATCCATGAGGATGAAATGTTTTTCTATTTGTGTCCTCTCTTATTTCCTTGAGCAGTGGTTTGTAGCTCTCCTTGAAGAGGTCCTTCACATCCCTTGTTAGCTGTATTTCTATGTATTTTATTATCTTTGTAGCAATTGTGAATGGGAGTTCATTCATGATTTGGCTCTCTGCTTGGCTATTGTTGGTATATAGGAATGCTTGTGATTTTTGGACGTTGATTTTGTATCCTGAGACTTTGCTGAAGTTGCTTATCAGCTTATGGAGGTTTGGGGCTGAGATAATTAGGTTTTCTAAATATAGAATCATGTTGTCTGCAAACAGAGACAATTTGACTTCCTCTCTTCCTATTTGAATACCTTTTATATTTTTCTCTTGCCTGATTGCCCTGGCCAGAACTTCCAATACTATGTTGAATAGGAGTGGTGAGAGAGGGCATCCTTGTCCTGTGCCAGTTTTCAAAGGGAATGCTTCCAGTTTTTGCCCATTCAGTATGATATTGGCTCTGGGTTTGTCATAAATAGCTCTTATTATTTTGAGATATGTTCCATCAATACCTAGTTTATTGAGAATTTTTACCATGAAAGGCTGTTGAATTTTATCGAAGGCCTTCTCTGTATCTGTTGAGATAATCATGTGGTTTTTGTCATTGGTTCTGTTTATGTGATGGATTATGTTTATTGATTTGCCTATGTTGAACCAGCCTTGCATCCCAGGGATGAAGCCCACTTGATTGTGGTGGATAAGCTTTTTGATGTGCTGCTGGATTTGACTTGCCAGTATTCTATTGAGGATTTTCGCATCAATATTCGTTAGAGATATTAGCATGAAGTTTTCTTTTTTTATGTTATGCCTCTGCCAGGTTTTGATACCAAGATGATTCTGGCCTCATAAAATGAGTTAGGGAGGAGTCTTTCCTGCTCAATTGTTTGGAATAGTTTCAGAAGGAATGGTACCAGCTCCTCTTTGTATCTCTGGTAGAATTTGGCTGTGAAACCATCCGGTCCTGGGCTTTTTTTTTGGTTGGTAGGCTATTAATTACTGTTTCAATTTCAGACTTGTTATTAGTCTATTCAGGTATTCAACTTCTTCCTGGTTTAGTCTTGGCAAGGTATATGTCTCCAGGAATTTATCCATTTCATCTGGATTTTCTAGTTTATTTGCATAGTGTTTATAATATTCTCTGATGGTAGTTTGTATTTCTGTGGGGTCAGTGGTGATATGGGGGTTTATTTTTCTATGTGTTCTCAAAAAATATTCTCCTGGCTGGTGGAGGTTCTTTAACCCATTTCTTTTTTTTTTCCTTTACTCATTTCTATTTCCACTCTTAGAATAAACTCTTACTTTACTTGGGTTCACTTAGGTAAGTTCCTGTTCCTCTCTCCTCCAAAATTCTTATTATACTAAGAAAGAGAATGTATCCAATACTGAAAGATGATGGCCTCTGAGTGTGGATTTCCATGTTGCCTGTGGAATTTGCCTTTTAAGTTAAGGATCCCAGCTTTGCTAGCTTTTTGGTATAGGAGTCAGTAGAAATTGGCTTTCTAAGCTTGACCATTAGATGTTAGACCTTGGTAGTCACTAATGCACCATCTTTACAACCTTTAATTTTTATTCCCTTACACAACGCAGGGGGTGGGGGCAGTGTATACAGAGCTTGGGAGCATGGATAATTAAAATCATAGCAGAAATAAACAAGAAAGAGACCAAGAAAATCATACAGAAAATCAATGAAGTGAACAGTTCATTGCTTGACAGGATAAACAAGATCAATAGACTGCTAACTAGGTTAACATAAAGAAGATACAAATAAGCACAATAAGAAATGACAAAAGTGACATTACAGCCAATCCCACAGAAACACAAATGATCCCCAGAGACTATGAACATTTCTACAGACACAAACTACAAAATTTAGAGGAAATGAATATATTCCGGGAAAAACACCACTTCCCCAGATTGAACCACAAAGAAATTGAAACCCTGCACAGACCAATAATGAGTTACAAAATTCAATCAGTAATAAGAAAAAACCCTACCAACCACAAAAATCCCTGGATCAAATGGATTCAAAGCCAAATTCTACCAGACATACAGAGAAAAGCTGGTACCAATCCTATTGAAACTATTCCAAAATATCAAGGAGGAGAGATTCCTCTCTTACTCTTTCTGTGAAACCAGTATCATGCTAATACCACAACCTGGCAAAGACACACAAAAAAAGAAAACTACAGGCCAATATCTCTGAGGAACATAGATACAAAAAATTCTCAGCAAAGTACTAGCAAACTGAATCCAGAAGCACATCAAAAAGAGAATCCATTATGATCAAGTGGGTTTCATTCCTGGTATGCAAGGATGGTTAAACATATGCAAATCAATAAAGGTGATTCACCACATAAATAGAATTAAAACCTATATGATTATCTCAATAGACACAGAAAAAGCATTTGGTAAAACCCAATATTCCTTCATGATAAAAACTCTTAACCCACTAGGCATCAAGGAAACAAACCTCAAAAAAAAAAAAAGCCATTTATGACAAACAAATGGCCAATATCATACTGAACAGGCAAAATTTGGAAGCATTTTCCCTATGAATTGGAAAAAGACAAGAATGTCCACTATGATTAATTCTACATAGTACTGGTAGTTCTAGTCAGAGACAACTGGCAAGAGAAAGAAAAAAAGGCACCCAATTAGGAAAAGAGGACATTAAATTATCTCTCTTTGCTGATGATATGGCTGTAGACCTAGTAAACCCTAAAGATTCCACCAAAGGACTTGTAGACCTAATATACGACTTCAGTAGAGTTTCTACTTACAAAAACCAACATAGCAAAAATCAGTAGCATTTCTGTATACAAATACCATTCAAGTTGAAAACCAAATCAAGAATGCAATCCTATTTACAACGACCACAAAAAGAATAAAATATCTAGGAATACCACTAACCAAGGAGGTAAAAGATCTCTACAAGAAGAACTACAAAACATTACTGAAAGAAATGATAGATGACACAAACAAATGGAAAAACCTGCTATGCTTATGTATTGGAAGAATCAATACTGTTAAAATGGCTATATTGCCCAAAGCAAACTGTAAATTCACTGCTATTCCTATCCAGTTATCAATGTTATTCTTCACAGAATTAGAAAAAAACTATTTTAAAATTTATATAGAATCAAAAAAGAGCCTGAACAGACAAAGAAACCCAAAGCAAAAAGAACAAAGCTGGAGGGACCACATTACTCAACTTCACACTATACTGTGAGGCTATAGTAACCAAACCAGCATGGAACTGGTACAAAAATAGACACATAGGCCAATGGAACAGAATAAAGAACAAAGAAATAAAGCTGCACATCTACAACCAACTGATCTTTGACTCAGTTGACAAAAATAAGCAATGTGGAGAGGACACCCTATTCAATAAACAGTTTTGGGAAAGTTGGCCAACCATAAGCAAAAGAATGAAACCAGCCCCTACCTTGCACCATATAAAAAATTAACTCAAGATGGATTAATGACTTAAATGTAAGACCTCAAACTATAAAAATCCTAGAAGTAAACCTAGAAAATATTCTTCTGAACATTGGCGTAGGCAAAGAATGTCCTGAAAAACAAATACAACAAAAACAAAAATTAACAATTGGGACCTAATTACACTAAAGAGACCCTGCACAGTAAAAGAAACTATCAACAGAGTAAACAGCCTACTGAATGAGAGGCAATATCTGCAAACAATGTATCCAACAAACAACTGATACCCAGAACTAATACCCAGAATCTATAAGGAACTTAAATCAACAAGCATAAACAACCCCATTAAAAAGTGGGCAAAGGACATGAATGGACACTTCTTAAAAGAAGACATAGAAGCAGCCAACAAACACATAAAAAATGTTCCATATCATCATCATTAGAGAAATGCAAATCAAAACCATAATGAGATACCATCTCAAAATCAGAATGTGCTAAAAGTTAAAAAACAACAACAACAAAAAACAGTTGTTGGCAAGGTGGTGGAGAAAACAGGATGCTCACGCACTGTTGGTAGGATTGTAAATCAGTCTAACCACTAACCACTGTGGAAACTAGTTGGAGATTTCTTAAAAAACTAAAAATAGGTTACAATTTGACCTAGCAACCCCATTACTGGGTATATATACCCAAAGGAAAATACATTGTAATACTCAAAAGACACCTGCATGCACATGTTTATTATAGCAATAGCAAAGCAATAGCAAAGACATGGAATCAACCTAGGTGCCAATCAGTGGTTGATTGGGTAAAGAAAATGTAGTACACATACACCATGGAGTACTACACAGCGATAAAAAGAATAAAAACATGTCCTTTGCAGCTGCATGGATGACCCTGGAGGCCATTATCCTAAACAAATTAATGAAGAACAGAAAACCAAATACTGGATGTTCTCACTTACAAGTGGGAGCTAAACATCGGGTACATGTGGACATTAAGAGGAAACAATAGATACTGGGGACTCCAAAAGGGGGAAGGAGAGAGGGAGACAAGTGTTGAAAAACTAAGTATTAGGTATTATGTTCACTGTTTGGGTGACTGGTTCAACTGAAGCCTAGACCTCAGCATCATGCAGTATATTCATGTAACAAACCTGCACATGTATGTACCCCTTGAATGTAAAATTCGATAAAAAAGAGCATGGCTCTGGAGTCAGATTTCTTGGGTTGAATTTCTGCCTCTACTGCTTACCAACTTAAGGCAGCATTCTTAATCTCTCTTTGCATTAGTTGCCTCATTACTGTTATTATAATGTATGCTTAAAGGTTATTGCTAAAATCGTATTAGTCTTTTATCAAAACATCTATATGTTGCATTTGTTTGCTTACTTATATGTCTTTTATGAGACTCTAGGCTCCTTAAAGACCAAATGGGAATACACTGTTGTATTTCCATTTCTTAACACATAGTAGACACTGAATAAATTAATATTCCCTTTTCTAAAACAATCTTTCTATGAGACTTTCATCCTGCTAATTTTCATTCTCTGAACTTATAGAGATTTTTATCTCACTTTAACTCTTCTTCTACATGTGGACATAAATCTGTAGTACATATTATGCTTACTTTATTCATTTACTCTATTAATTGTTCTATTTAATTAGCTTCAGCTCAACAACTTTTGGGTCCTTTACAGCCCACCTTTTCTTACCCTGTTTATCCCCTTTTTTCTGCTTTTTTTTCTCTATTCTTATTGTAAAGTAATTATTGTGCTTATCATTCTTAGTGTCTTTCTGACTGGACCTATCTGCTTGTCTGACTTAGCAAGGTCATTTAGAATTCCAGTCCCATCTGTTAAGGAGTTTACTTTCTCTCCAGGTGACTATGTCAGCTAAATCAATGAGTTTCCTATTTCTTTAGCCAGGTCATTGATGAAAGTTAAAACATACACCTTCTACCTATTTACAGATACAAGATGTTATTCTCCAAGTTATAAGATCATGAGCAGATATGTGAAAAGCCAAGTTTAATAAGAAGATTGTTTTGTAGAAGAAATATTTTTGTAAAAAAAACTTTTCAGTATGAGAATGAATAACTTTTGGCTCAATAATTATTTGCTTAATTGTTCAGTAGCCTACAACCCAATATTTCAGCTTATTAAACTATTATTTAGTTTCATGTAATTTTTTTTTGGTTGTCTTAAAGTCTCCCCAAGCCTGTCTCACATCTGAGTTTATCCAACAGATATACATTGTGTCCTCTATGCAGGTGCAAATCAAAATCTAGCAAACTAGCAATTAAGTATAAATCCTAGTTTTAGTGCAATTTGGATGAGCAACTCTTTAGGCTGGGTTAGAACAGGTTGTAAGATTTGTAGCAATAATTGGTAGAATCTTGACTTTAATAAGGTGGAATTATAACATATATGTTGCACTAAAGAAAAAGATAAACCAACAGATCAAAATCTCATTCCTTCATTTGATGACAGTAATAAATCTACATGATGTGCTTGCAGATGAAAGGAAGTCATTGTGATTTTTTATCTTGGAAAAATACATCCTTGTTAGGAATCAAAGATAACCTCTTGAGTAAAGTCTTGTTCCGAAACATTTTGCCATGTTGAAAGGTATGTTCAACTTTCTTGGTGTTTACCCAGGCAGTTCAAGCAGCTTTACAGGTCACAGAAAGTGACCTGAGCTCTTTACCATTGGCATCCAAAGGTTTCCATCAAGTCCTCAGGAGAATGCCATTTCATTGCTTTTTCAGCCCAACAGACCTACAGCAGTTTGTTTGTAAGATCACCTCCTGAACAGTAGAAAGAATCATGACAAAGGTAGAGATTTGCAGTCATAGTTACCACTGAGGCTGAATTTTAGTGGATTAACTTGCTTCATTGAAAAACATCTTTTACAGAGATATGAAGACTTTTTGTAAGCAAAACTGAAAAGGTCTTATAGGATGTTCAGCCTGATGTTTTGTTTTTCCCTACTGGGGCTTTCCCTTAGGTTGTAAATTCCAGCTTTCTAATGTCAGATTCCTCCTTTGTTGAGCTCTAAGGCATTTCTGGAATTACTCAGTAAAGGGACTTTGACAATCCCCTGCCCTGTTCTTAGGTCATAGAGCTGATTTATGGCTGGAGGAGGTTCTCTAAACAGTAGGTGAAATTGGTGAAATGTTATTCATTTATTAAAGTGGGCTTAGGAGTTCCTCCTGCTGATCAGTGGGGGTTGTCCTAAATCTAATCAGCCCTGGGTGCATCAACTTATTACTATTTTGTAAGTTTTCCTGCAGGAAAATGAACTTCACCATTACAGAATTTTAAGGGTAAAATCTGAAGAGTACATTGATGGTGTTATGGCAATTCTAAATCTGCAGTTTCAGGTTGATAGTATAGAAGCAGCTTCAGAAATGAATACTCCTATTAAGGTAAACTCATGAATTCAATATTCTTTCAACAGACATTTATTGACACGTGTCCATTCTGTTCATGTACTGCACTAGGTACCATGGATACAACAGAGAATGAGGCAGACAAACTGTCTTTTGTAACTTACTGGGGACAGACATTAATATTAAATAATAGCAAATATATGGTAAAATGGCAAGTAGTGTTCAGAGTTATGAAGAAAAATAAAGCACAGGCAGGGTACAGAGAATTGGGGTTGTCATTTTGGGTATGTACTACTTTTCTATTGCTGCTTTAGCAAATTACCACAAATTTAGTGATTTAAAATAACTTGAACTGTTGTCTTACTGGTCTGCAGGTTAGAAGTTTTACCCTGGTCTCAATGGACCAGCATCAAGGCATCAGCAGGCTCTAGGGGAGAATCCCTTTCCTTGCTTTTCCAGATTCTAGAAGCTTCTCACATTCCTTGGCTTGCTATCCCCTTCTTCTACTGATGTGAAGCAGCATCATCACATTTTTCTGACCCTTCATTCACTGTCACCTCTTCTTCTGACCACAGCCAGGAAAGGCTTTCCTATTTTAAAAGCTATGTGATTATATTGGGTCCTCCCAGATAATCCAAGACAATCTGTTTATTTTAAGGTCAGTTAATTAGCAACTTAAATTTCATCTACAACCTTAATTCCTTTTTGCCACATAAAATAACTTATTCACAGTTTCCATGGGATTAGGGTGTGAACATCTTTAGGAGTCCATTATTCTGTCTTCCAACAGGTACTTTAAATAAGTCTCATTCAAGTGGTAATTTCTTAATTAAGATTTGAATGGATGAGGACTCAACCCAAGTGAATATGTGGAGGAATAGTATTGCAGGCAAAGGCAAGGTATTGTAAGTTCCCTCTTTGAAAGGGAAAGGATGCAGGAGGCTGGCCCAGAGTAAGGAAGACAAAAGGTGATTGACAAGGTCAGAGAAATAGGAAGGGATCAAATCAAGTAAGACACCAGAGGCCTCAATGAGAAGCTGGGTTTTATTCTCTATATGACAGGAAACCATCAGAGTATTTAGAACAGAAGAGTGACATGATCTAATATATAATTTTAAAATGTCATTCTGGACAATGCCTTTGGAAAACAGTTTGACATTATCTTGTAAATTTGAAGATGCACATATTCCATTACCTAGGAATTCTATTCGTGTATTTGTGCCACAGAGAAAAGCTTATATATGTATACTGGGAATATATCCAATTATACCTGTATCTACAGTTAGTAATAATCTAAGCAAACAAAGAAAAAACTTGCATAAAACCCAATATCCATCAAAATTGTTAGTAAACTGTGGGAAATGCATACGATAGACTACTGTATAATAGTGAGAAATGAATAAATTCTAACTATATATCACGACATGATAAATCCCAGGTACCACCTAATGTTTAGCAAAAAAAAAGCAAGACTGTGAGAAGCACACAGTCATTAATTTATTCTAGAAATATTTCTTAATTTTAAGAAATATTTAAGCATTTACTTTGTACAAACATTGTATTGGGATATATTTGTAGACAAAATTGACAGAGATCTCTCTGCTCATGGAACTTACCTTCTAATAGTTGGACATAGAAAATCTATAGTAGACGGAATAAATAGGCAAATCATATGGTACGATAGAAGGTTAAAAAAATGATGAAAATAGAAAATAGAGCAAAGTAATGGAGATGGAACTGCTGTCATTTAAAATAGGATGATAGAGTAAGCACCACTGAGAAATATTTAAGACTGAAGGAAACCTTTTGGTTATCTTGATGAAGAACTTTGATCAGCTTGATGAAGACACTTGAAACTGCCAGTGCAAAGGCCTTAAAGATTAGAGGAAGAAGGCCAGTATGACTGGAGAGGAGAGAGTGAGATGAGATGGAAGACAGAAGAGATCAGCAGATGGAAAGTCATGTTTGGGGTCGGGGAGTCTTTTGAGCGTTGGTAGGGGCTCTGTGCTTTGGGAGTGACGAGAAGCAACTAAAGAGCACAGAGTAGAGGGTCTTCGTGGTCTGATATATATTCTAAAAGAACCACCCTGGCCAATGTGTTCAAAACAGACTGCAAGAGACAAGGGCAGAAACAGTGAGACCAGTGAGGAGGTTACTTTGGTGAGTAGGGTGAAAGATGATGGTGGCTGCGATGAGAGTGGCAGCAGCAAGGATTTTGAGAAGAAAGAATCTGGATTTATACATTTTTTCTAAAAAAATTAAATTGTTTTTATTTTGACATAATTTTAAGGTCATAGAAAACTTTCAAGAATAATACAAGTTCCCAGGTACATTTGCGTACTCTCTCTCGCTCGCTCCACACGCGCGCACGCGCAGACCCACACATGAGCGCATGCACACACACACACACACACACACACACACACACACACACACACACACACACACACACGTTCTCTCATATAACCCCGGAACAATTATCCAAATCAGGAGATCACCATTGATACAATAATGTTATTTAACCTACAGAACTTATTCAGATCTCACTATGTGTCCGAATTATATCCATTAAAGCAAAGGAAAATTTTGGATCATATTTGTGTTGCTATTTCTCTTTAGTTTCCTTTAATCTGGAATAGTTCCAGTCTTTTTGTCCCTAGTAACATTGACATTTTTTAAGTATGCTGGCCAGTTTTCTGTTTGTTTGTCTTTAGAATGTCCCTGAATTTGAGTTTGTCTGGTGTTTTCTCATGATTAGGTGTAGGTTCTGCATTTTTGGCAGGAATACATTCTTGGCACAGAGGTGATGCTATGTCTTTCACAGTGCATCATACAACGGGAGGCACAGACATGTGCCATTGATTTATCCCACTTCTATTAAGGTTACTTAGTTAAGGTGGTGTCTGTCAGGTTTATCCAATGTAAAGTCACTAATTTTTCTTTTTAATTAAAAAATAACTTGTGGGGAGATACTTTGAAACTATGCAGTAAATATCCCGCCACTTATCAAACTTTCACCACTGGTTTTGGCATGCATTGATGATTCTTCCATGAACTGATAATTATCACAATGCTGAATGATGACTTTTCTAATTCTGTCATTTCTTCTAAATTTACTATTGGCTTTCTACTGAAACAGAACATTTTCCCTTCTCCCTCTATTAATTAACAACATGTATTCTTCGTTCAATGAATCTTAACCTATTAATATCATTATTTGTTTAAGTACTCAAATATCTCAGATTTGGTCAATGGGAGCCCTTTAAAATGGTTCCTGTGTCCTTTTGACATGTCCCTGTCCTAATTTGAGTACTTTCTCATTTGTAGCACACTAAGATGGTCCAGGTTTATTTTGTACTTTTCCAGCCCTGGCCCAAGAATCAACCATGTCTCCAAGAATTACTGGTTCCTTTCAATTAAATATTGGTAGGTAGTTGCCAGGTATGTTCATTGTTTTTGATATCTGTGTATGTTTTGAAGGTGGGAGTAAAAAGAAAAGGAGTCAAGGATGATTCCAAGATTTCTAACCTGAGCAAATGGGGGGATGGGGGTATCACAAAATGAGATGGAGAAGGCCAAGGTAGAGTACATTTGGAGAGAGGACCTGGAGTTCAGTCTGGCCACGTTGAGATGTTTATTAGACATTCCAGTAGAAATGGCAATTAGGCATTTGGATATCTGGGTCTGTAGTTCTACAGAGAATCCTTCTCTGGGGATAAAATTTGGAAATCATCAGTGTGTAGGTGGTATTTAAATCCATGAGAAGGAATGAGATCATCAAGGGGATGAGCATAGATAGCAAAGAGAAGATAACCAAAGTCTGAGACCTGGGGCATGGCAACATAAGAGGTCAGGGATAAGAAGGAAAAACAACAAAGAAGACTGAGGAAGAAGGAAAGAAGAAAGAACTTGATGTTCCAGCTGTCAGGGGAAAAAAGGGCACCAAGGAGGAGACAGTGATCAACCATGTCAAATGCTGCTGCTAAGTCAGGTCAGATGAAGTCTGAGAATTGAGTAACACGAGGATTGAGAATTGACCATTAAAAGGGGGCAGTTAGCCTAATTGGAGTGGGCTTAAGTGAGTCTAGGAAATATGGAATTAAACAGAACAAGTATAGAATAATACTTTTAAAGGGCTTGTTGTACAGAGGAGCAAAAGAATGGAGTAGTAACTATAGGGAGTTGGAGGTCACAAGAAGGTTTTTGAGTTCATTTTTTATAAGATGGAAGAACTAACAGCAAGGTTATGTGTTACTGATGGAAGTGATGGAGAAGCTAGTGAAAAAAGTGATGAATGGAAGAAGCTTGAATAGGTGGAGTCTGTTTTCTTGCTATTTCCAGTTTCCCTTTCTAGAGGCTACCCATGTTTCTTGCCCCCTGACTCCCTTCTTCCGTTGTCAAAACTAGCAATAGCAGGGGGTGTCTCTTTCCATCTCTCTGACACCTCCTTTCATCCTCCTCCTTTCTCTCATTGCACCCAAGAAATGTTCTACAATTTTAAGGACTCATGTGTTTTGATTGAGCCTACCCAGATAATCTAGGGTAAACTATCAAAGTCCTCAACCTTGATCACATCTGAAAAATCTTTCTTTTTTTTTTTTTTTTTGCCATGTAAAGTAACATGCACAGATTGTGAGGATTAGGACTTGTATATGTAAATTTGGGAGGGTCAGTCTGCCAACCACATCATTATTCTGCCAACCACAGCATCCCAGAGATACCAGAATCCTTGAAATAGTTGGCTTCTTAGGTGGTTTTGTTTATTACTTTAACTTGCCTAGCTTACTCTTTAGTTATTTAGACTACAGTAAACTTCTTGTGAGTGGTCATGAATTCTAGATGACTGGAGCATATTCTATGTGCACTGTATATGGATTTGTCATTTAAGTGTTGCTGATTAAATGCTCTGTATTCACTCAACTATCACTGCAAAAGAAGATGGATACAACTTCCAGACTCATCTCTCATCCTTCTTCAAATAAGATTTTCCAGATTTTTTTGCACCTGGTTTCTAGCTAAATTCCATCCGTGGGGGCCTACTGAGAGATTAGACTGCAGGAAGAAGGAAGCAGCCAAGGTATTTCTGCCTTTCTAGTTTGGCTTCATGGGGTAGTTTCCTGCAGTGATTGCATTTCTTTTTGGTTCCACCTCCCCTGAGAAGCCACCTCCATGATTCTAGCTTGAGCTGGAAGGACTGGCTTCTTGGTTCTAGGACTAATGAGTCCTCCCTGTGGGTACTTGTGGCTTCCTGCTGTTGCTAATCTCTGGGTTGCCTCCATTTCCTAATTGGTTTCTTAGCTCTTCCATCATGGTGCAACCAATTCACTATATTACATTTTCACTGTTTGAAATAGCTAGAGTAGTTTCTGTTTTCCTGACTTAACTTTCACTGATAGCATGGAGAATAAAGCTGTGCTAACTTCATTCTTGCATTCACAAAAATTTTTTTCCTCGTCAATCTGAAAGGGCTCTTGTACTCTTAAAAAAATGCACAAAGTTTGACAGAAAACCCATTCAGTTTGTTCAGAAGTATATAAAAAATTAGCACCCTTGTGGCATTTCTGACATGAGATATGTGGCTCATTGTTTGCTTACGGAGACTGATGTCATAGGGTAAGCTCTATGGGTACATAAGAAAAGAATTTCAGGAAGCCACTCTGTGAACTGCTTGGGATTAGATTTCTGAATGATGAGCCCAGTGGTGTTGGTGGAGCAGAGGACAGCACCATATCCCACTGCCAGTGTCAATCAAGAATACTCAATCATGGCTTTGGGGCACAAAGGGCAGGATAAAGAGAATTCCACATGTCTAAGAAGTAGTTTTCTCTGCCTCAAGGAGGGAAAAAACTAGGACAAGGATGCAATCTGGGGTGGTGGGTGGCTGGCTGTCACTCATTTCTTCTCACACACACACAGTGGAAAAGGGATGAAGGGAAGCCTGTTTTCCTCTGAATAGTAACGCTATTAGCCAGAAGGAAAAGATTTTAAAATAATTTGCATACATGATTATTAGAACGGAAAAGGATGACTCTAACACTGCAGTTCTTGACACAACTTTGTGGCTTTCTGTGGTTGAGATAATGTACATAAAGCAGAGACCCTGCCATCTGACTAATTAACTCGGCAGCAGGGAGGGAATGGATGAAAGGATAATTAATAGGTCAAAGACCCAATGCTGTGTTATGATTATTTGAATAATATTATGATAATTTGAATAAAGTACAAGAGTTTGTGAAAATTGGTTGCTGGCTAGAACTCCAGCTGACAAAACATTTGAATCACGCTCATTTTCTACCTCCTGGGTAGCTTTCCTTCCTTCCTGAAAGTACTGAGCATATGTTTGAATATCGGGGGGCTGAGGGAAGATGGGTAGAAAACGACTGTGAAAAAAATACTGTTTTAAATGCCCATGGCAGAATTATACTTTCTTAAATGTCCATAGCAGAATTCCTCCCCTTTCTGTTCACATTGAAGTGACCTTAACCGGCAAACACAGTTGCAGGCTGAGACAATAGATCCTGCGGCATTTGAGTTTTCAGGGACTGTCCAGTGAAATGAGAAACCCAGTGCCTATCTCCTGGTATTTTGTTTTTAGTGAATTACTTAATTATATCACGTCTATGGTTGATGGATTTCCATCTTTAATTGTAAGAATCATTCTTATTTTGAAAACTTTGGGGTTTTAAACCAAGACTATATTTAGAATTTTTAAAACACATTGAATGGGTCCTACACAAAAATTAGTTTGGAAACTATTATGTAGATTATTAACTAATGGACCAGAGCTCATAGTATTCCCATACTTGACAATTATGGGGCACCATATCATATAACATTTCAGCGGCTTTATTTAAAAAAAAAACACTGGAAAAATAGACTTCACTGTCAACATTCAAATAATGATCTAGAATGTGGCTTGAGGAAGTTTAGGGCAACTAATAAAAAAGCCAACCTGTTTTCGACTGCATGAGTTTATTTCCAGCAGGAATTCTGTGTAAGTTTTATTACTTTTGTGAACAAAGTAGCTCCCTTCCACCTTACAGTTAATCCAGTGACTCTCAACTAAGGGTATTTTACTCCCCAGAAGACACTTTGCAATACCTGGAGACATTTTTGATTGTCACAACTTGGAGAAGCTACTGGAATCAAGGCAGAGCCCAGGGATGCTGCTAAGCATCCTACAATGCACAGAACAATTCCCACAGCAAAGAATTATCTGGCCCAAAATGCCAATAGTATTGAAGTTGAGAATCCCGAATTAATCCAAGTGTGGCCTTCAGTGAATTCAAGAATGGAAATAAGGTTGCCTTGTCTAAGATCCTCTTTAAATTTACTGTACTCCTTTGTTCTCCACTTATCAGTTTTAGCTTCTAAAAATAGAGGAAATAGGGCACCTCCCTGCATATGACTAAATGTCTAACTTCCTTTGGTAGCATCTTAGGTACATCTGCTATATGGTTACAATTTGGTTGTTAATGATTAACATTAATTAATGCATAAGGAAAAGTAATTCTTAGTCTTAAGAAGGTAGAAGATGAACCTAGGAGGTAGAAAGATAATATTTTTTTCTAAAGGACAGTTCAGATCAGCAGTGGTCCTCCAGGAGCTATCAGGCTCCTGACAGACTTCTGCAGTTGAGTATAGTAGAGCTGTGAGCACTAAGCTAGCTGAGTATGGCTTCAGAACAAAGCTGGGCTCTGTATCTTCTAAAGAGGCAATCTGGATGCCCACCTGTATGGGGCTTGCAATTCCATATATTCTCACCAGCTAATTTAAAGGATTTTCATTTAGCTTGAAGATTAAACCAAGAGTGTGCCACATATTATTTATTATGACTGGTAGATAAATTAAAGGCATAGCTTTATTTCTGAAGCAGGACCACAAACAGGTACTGTAAGGTCTAGGGGACAGCATTGATAGTAAAGAATATACTATTTGATATTTAAGAATGCTTATCATAAAACTTTAAGAATTTGATTTGTGACCAGGTGTAGTGGCTCACGCCTGTCATCCCAGCCCTTTGGGAGGCTGAGGTGGGCAGATCACTTAAGGCCAGGAGTTTGAGACCAGCCTGGCCAACATGGTAAAACCCCATTTCTACTAAAAATACAAACATTAGCCGGGCATGGTGGCGTGGGCCTGTAACCCCAGCTACTTGGGAGGCTGAGGGAGGAGAATTGCTTGAACCTGGGAGGCTAAGGTTGCGGTGAGCCGAGATCATGCCACTGCACTCTAGCCTGGGCAACAGAATGAGGCTCCATGTCAGAAAAAAAAAAAAAAAAAAGAATTTGATTTGTATTTTGAAAGTAGTGAGCTTTTAACTAGATCAGAATTTCAGTTTTCCAGCTTAAGCATTCTCTCCTTTATTTCACTCCCTAAACATTATTAATATTTAGGTTGCCAAGCAGCCCACAGGAAGCAACTGTATCCACTACTCAGTTTCTGTAAATAACAGTAAATATAGAAAATAGAATATATATCATTCTTATACAGTCAAATTGCTTGATGTAGAACAAGAGATTATATACATGTTAATAACTTGAATGTAACTCTTGAACTACAGATATGTGTAGTTATGTATCACTATGTCATATTCAAACTACAAACATTTATACAGTAGTCATATTGTTATCACTTTGAGAAATAACAGGAGTCACTTAGATGCAGAAATTTTCTTCAGCTATTTATAGTGAGAATGGGGAATAATGGTTTCTCCTATTTTCTTTAGCTTATTAAGCTTTGTATTGTAAATGTGTGTTTGTTACTTTCATGGCCTTAACAGAAATGAAAATTTAATAAAGCCTTCCTGTGATAAACACCACACACACACACACACACACACACACACACACACACACACACATATGTATATAAATAGTTTTGCTGTTGAGGAAAGGGCTTTGAAATAGGTGATAAATGTAAATCCATTGACATCTATCAATGCAGTTGGAGCCTGCATTTCACCAAAGTATGTGGTATTATACTTTACATTTTCATTAAATAAACTATTTACATAATAAGCATACACACATACACATAATGTGGTGTTAAAATATGAAGAAATGATTTGATGCTTAGTTTGTGAATTTTGGACAGATATATCTGGTAGCATTTTCGTAAATTAAAAACACAGTATTTCAAAAACAATTATGTTGGGATTTATATATGAAATCCCAATTTATAAATAGTACATTGAAGAACATGACACCTTCGTAACTTGGGGACTGTCATTATACACTAGTAGAATATTAAAAGCTATTGTCTTGAATTAATGGCTTAAAACTGAAAATGGTAAGAAAACAAAGAATAATAAATAGACACTAAAATAGAGAGACATACAGTTCTATAAGGCTCTTTCCTCAAAGCAGAGATCAACTCCACAAACACAGAAGCAACCAAGAGCAAGCTGTGGAATCTTTTCTTAATTCAGAAAGGGTTTGGGAGACACAGAAGAAGTGGTTAAGTGAGGGGCTCCCTCTGTGATGTTCCTCAATGAGAGGTACCTTCTCCCTGGGTCTGAGTCCCAACACAGGAGAGTGATCAAGCAGAGTTAAGGCCAGGAGGATGAGCCTTAACAGGGAAGCTGGTGCTCCTAAAGCCATCTTGTTCTTGATAGCTCTGAGAAGGGCAACTCTACTGAGTTGTTAACATCAATTAATGTCTGTTGACTGTACAGCAATGGTGAGCCGAGCACTTAGTGACTTAATGACACACTATTATAAAAGCATATGAGCCAAAACCGTGGAATTTATCTGCCAAATAAACTTGTGCTCTAATCCTTGTTTCAGGATCTACATCAAGTGGAACACAACTTAAGAGAATAACTTCAAAGTCCATACAGACAGCTCCTCTTTGCCTTACAGTCCAGTTACTTTTGTCTTCAAGGACATATACTAGCTTTTGTTCCTTGGGACTGTTCCACATGTGAAATCTTAAACTTTAGAATTCCATCCTTCGAACAAACTACATAACCACTTTTTCCCCACTTGACTATCCCAAACCTACTCTTTGAACTTATTAAAACCTGCAGTTGTGAGTTTCTCATTTGATGTCACTTTTCCCCATATCTATACCCACTGTTGGTGTGTTTAGTTATGCTCACCTGCATCCTCACAGATTCTGTTCACCCCTTGATCACTTTCTGTTCTGACCCTGAAAATCCTCAAACATAGGCTAACTAAACCATCTTATTAAAATTCAACTTCCCATCTCCAATCTTGCCCATGTGCTCATTACATTCCAGCAACATGAACTTTCTTGTTTTCACCAAAAAGTGCTGCATTATTTCATGCCACTGAATTCATGTTTCTGGTATGTTCTGGTCTTTGGCACTCCTTCTCTTTCCCTGCTTAAAAGTCACCCTCTCAGTGGTGCCTTCCTTGACACTCTCAGGCAGAATTAACTGCTGTCTGCTGTAGTTTTCATACAATTTTATGTATAACTGTTAGAACAATCATCACACAAAATTGTAATTATTTGTATGTCTGCCTTCTCAACCAGAGTATGAGCTTGAGGACAAGGATAGTCTTTAATCATCAATTTCCTGAGCTCCTGAGGCTAGAATGGCTGGGTGATAACAGGTAGTAATTTAATGTGTGATGAATGAATATAAGCTACTCATTAAAGTCCCAGCCCCCTTTCCCCAATACTCCTGATTTTCACAGAAAACAAATTTGTTGCCTACTATTTCTGTGGGACCCAGTTGTTGCAGAGTCCTTCACAATAGCTTATCTTAATAGGTTGGAATGTGTTATTCTCAATTCTGACATGATCTGCCTGCTGGTTGCTTCTGCCCACACATCTTCCACTTCAGCTAGGTGTTTTCAATTACCATGCCAGCCCAGACTGACAGTAATCGGATTGGTTTCTGCCACCACAGAAACCATAAAACAGCTTTGAGTCTAATTTGATCTCCTGTCTTCCAGGCACAGTCTTAACTTCAGACTTCTGTTTATGTAAACAGTAGATGGCCTTATGTTTTAAGCCACTGTTAGTTTGGCATTTAATTTTTTTAAATGTCATTTTATTTTAGACTCGGGGTACCTGTGCATGTTTGTTACATGGGCATATTGCATACTGGTGGGATTCTAGTGTACCCATTCTAACGTACCCATTACCCAAATAGTGAACGTTGTACCTGAAGGATAATTTTTCAACCCTTGCCTCCCTGACATTTAATTAATTGCAGTGAAAAGAAACCTAGCTGATAAACATATGAAAAAACAGTTTTAAATTGCATTAAGAGAAGGACACATGACATTTAGGGAGGCAGAAAAGGAATGAGGGGAAGAGCAAGGAAGCATTGAAGTGAGGAGTGAGGAAGAATTAACCTAGTGAGGCTTTATGTTATCAACAAGTCATACACAGAGTATTAAATAAGACAGAGGCATGGTTTGGTGAAAAGGAGACAAAGGCATTCTTGAGTAGGCATATTTAATGACTTTGAGATAGGAGAAAGTAAGGGAATGCATTTTCCCACAGAAAGCAACAAACTACTTACAAATAAACATTTGGAACACAAGGATACATGAGATAGCAGACCTCACTATCCTAAATAATGGAAGACATTATTTATACAAATAACAGACATTATTTCTGAATAATGGAGGGACAATTGTACTGGGTTGCATAATGGTGACATCAGGGGAGCAGAGTTCCAGTGCTACTGTGGACAATGACTCAGGAACATCCTAGCACCACCGAGATCACATGTGCAGGGTGTCGAAAGCAGATCTGTATTGTCCCAGTTACACCATCAAATCAGAGCATGGCTTAGAGCTGGCCACTTAATACTTCTCAGTTTCTTCATTTTCAGAAAAAGGGATATGAACCTGAAGACTCAGGGTGCTTTCAACTCTCCATTCATGGCTCAATGATCCCAAAGTTGAAAGCCTTTCCTCCTACAAGTTCTGTCTTAATGACCTTATGTTTTCTGAATCTTTGTTTAAAACATGTTAATTAAAGTTCCTAAAAATTACAAAATAAAAGTGTAAGAGTGGGGCATTGGGGAAGGTTATCGAGAAAAAATTATGTTTCCTACCATAAATTTTCCAAATTAAATTGCTTCTCACTCAGTTTTTTGCCTTTACTACTTTGACTGCTTGTTGCTTTTAGCCCATTAGATAGGAGAATAATTTTCTAAGTTATATTTCAAGCTCTAAGTTTCATCTATAATAAATAATGACAATATTTCCTTTCTACTTCTGGGCTTATGGACAATAATCATAATATTTTTTAATTTTCAGAAGAGTGAAAACATTTTCCTTTCTCAGAGAACAGGCAGTTTCAAGGATAACATTTGCAGTGTGCAGTACACCCCTATTAGAAAAATAGCTTCTTTATAATAGAGAAAAAAATGGTGGCCTATGATATGCTGGATAAAGTTCTGGTTCCCGTGGAAACCGCACATGGCCACCTGATGATCTTGGATCAAACAGCCGCACACAGCATCTCAGTTTACATTGTAAAATGGAAAGTAATCAAAAACTCACAAGTGAAAATTCATGAGGCAATTCGCCAAATGTCAACAATGGCTTTGGACACACTTAGACATGCAGGACATGACTTAGAACCACCTACGAACATTAGGAGAGAATCTTAAGAAGTTAATTTCATCAAATCTACCTGCCTCCAAAATTAAATTTGTGAGAATGAATAAACTATATATTTCTTTTTAAAAAATTATATATGTTAAAATTTATTTGACTAGGGGGATGTATTAAGGATGCCCTTTTAAAAGCAGGACATATGTTTCTCCGAATGCCAAATGTCTTCCTAAATACTGTCTTACATGCTCTTTAGTAGTATTTAGCTTTGTAATATATATGAATGATAAATGTTTCTTAAGCTACACAATAATGTGAATGATTAATTACAATATCACTTAAAAGCTTTTGTTTTTAACCTGGGGAAACATACGGATACGGAGAGTTATGTTTAGTTGTTGTTGTTTTTTGGGTTTGGTTTTTTTTGTTGTTGTCTGAACTTCATCTCATTTTTTACCCTTTTGGCCATGTCGTGAAGGATAATTAAATTTGTATTGAGTTTTGTGAACCCCGTGGAGAAAAGATTTATATCCACCTAGGAAATCTTGGAAGCATGAAGTTTTGTACACAAATTCTGGGATTTCTGTTGTTAGCTTGTTAGAAATCTTGAGATTTAGCCAAGAAGCAGAAATATAGAGCATATCTAGAGAATCTGGAGGAAGAAAAACTGGGTAAAGATTGAGATATTCAAATTGTTCAGTCTTTTTCAGAACTTAAAGGAAAATATCTAAAGTAAAATTATCTAAATAAGATTGGGTATAGAATAGAGGCACTCTAAGAACTGATATTTGAAATCAGATATATTAATATAAAGACTGATGGTATTCAACCATAAATGGCTGGGTTTATGCATAATTACTTTAAGTATAGAGTCATGAACAACATTTCTGTCAATAATTGTTATCATAGGAGAATTTCAAGGTAGATGCACAACCACATTCAATAGGAAAAATATATAAACTGATATTATAATAAATCCCTTAAGCCTTTTCTTGTGTGTGAATGGGAATGCATATTTAGATATGACATTTGATGGTAAAATCATGCACTGAGTACTGAATATACACAGAAACCATGTTTTCAGAACATTTAAAGAGCACTAAAACTGTACGTAAAAAAAATTTTTATAGATGCTATTAGTGAAGCATTTTTAAGAGTGAAATGATTCATAAGAAACATTACTGTTAATTATTAATAAACAATATCAGCTGGGAAAACACCAAGTTTTCTGTGGTATGCCAAATGTATGGCGCATAACACTGGGGACAGCCATTGTCAGCACAGCCATGTGTTAAGTCAGAGGGCAGGGAAAAGGGTACAGGTTAAAAAATGAAAGCTCTTCTTTTCTGAAAATGTCCACATGCAACTTCCAGCCAGCTAGCCAAGAAGACCTAGAGACTGTTTCTTCTGATCTGTATTTTGGGAAGCCTCTCCAAGTTTTCACTGGTTTATTAAAGGCCAGTTCTATATAAATTACCTTGATTGATATTTTCACAGGTACACCTTTCTGGTGATCAGTTAAGCCTTGGGAAACATTCCCTTCCATTTAAAACAAAACAAAACAAAGCAAATTAGAGAGTCAGCGTGGACCATATTCTCACAAAAGCTGCCCTTGGCTGAAATCTTTATTGAGTAAAAAATTATTTCCATATTCATTACACCATGCTCATGAATTGGAAGACTTGGTGTCAGTTTTCCCCAAAATTGATCTCCATGCAATCACAATAAAAATTCCAGCAGGTGTGTGTGTATGCGTGTGTGTGTAAATTGACAGTCTCACTCCAAAATGTGTATGAAAAGCAAAGAGCCAAGAATAACCAAGACAGTCTCAAAAAAGAAGATCTAAGCTGGAAGCTTTCCACTCCCAGATACCACGATTTATTGTAAAGTTACCATAATTAAGACAGTGTGGTATTGCAGCAAGAATAAACAGTCTGTAGGACAGAATGGAGCTTCCAGAAACAGAACTACATTTATGAACACCTGATTCATGACAAAAGTGACACTACAGTGCAGAGGGAAAAGGATTGTCTTTTCAATAAGTGATGCTAGGTCAACTGACGATCCATATGGGAAAAAAAGTTTATCTTGCCCCCTGTCTCACATATTCACAAAAATAAGTGCCAGATGGATTTTAAATCTTAATGTGAAAGGCAAAACTATAAAGCTCCTAGAAGAAAACACGGGAATGTTTTCAAGACCTTGGTAGGCAAGTAAAGCTTGGTGGTATTTATTAAAATTATAATATATTTATAGCCATCATTTAAGAATTTCATGTTTAGGAAATTACCCTATTGAACGACTTGCACAGAGGCACAGAAATGTGTTGATTATTCTATTGGTCATTTTCTTCTACTAGCGTACTGTTATTGCCCAGCTTTCACGGCATTCTACTCTTCTAGTTTGTTCCTACCTTGCCAGCTATTTCTTCTTGGTCTTATTCACGGTTCTGCCCTGTGCCTTCATTCCTTCTAAGTTCTTTTCCCACATGATCCCCTGCAGTCTAATGGCTTGAAGCACCATCTAGATGCAGTGGCTCCCAATTTTTTATTTCTCTAGCTCATATCTCTCCCCTAAGCTTATATGTCTAACTTGCCATTACTACTTGGCTACCTAACAGGCATAGCTGATTTAATACATTAAAAATGGCACTCTTCATCCTCAGCTTGACCAAAATTCATCGTTGCCCACTCTTCCCATCTTGGTAAGTGGCACCATCAGCCTCCCAGTTTGGGACCCAGACCTAGGAGTCACCCATTACACTTTCTTTTTCTTGCCTGTCCACTCAATCCTTCTCCAAGATGACTGTTGCACTTTAATCCATTTACTTCTGTTTATTTCCACTGCCCTTATTGGAATCATTCTATCATTAAATCCCAATTAGGCAATTTAAATAGGCCCTTAGCTGCTTTTTCTAATTCAATTTTTCCCTTTTAATAGTTCATTTTCTCACCAGAATAATTTTTTAAATCATAAACAGGATCATGCCACTCTTCTTAAAACCTTAAATGGCTTCCCAATGCTTTCAGAATAAAATGTAGACTCTTCCCTATGATAGCCTATAAAGCCCTGCCTTTTCCACTTCCTGCCGTATATGACCCACCTCACATCTCTCTACTTTCATCCTTGCCTTCTGTGCTCCAGCCACACTGGCCTCCCTTCTGTTCCTCAAGTACCCCAAGCCCTTTCTCCCTGCTGGGTCTCTGCATTTGCTTTTCCCTTTGCTCAGACTGGTCTAGCTCTTCAGACAGCTGCCTCGTTCTCATCCTTTAGGTCTATATTCAAATGTCGCCTAACAAGAGAAGTCTTCCCCGACCACCCTATCTAAAGCGATGTCATCAGTTGCTCTTTTCTCATCTCTTTATTTCCTTCATGGAAGTTAGCACTAACTGAATTATATAGTTATGCATATTTTTAGAATTAGTAATTACTTTATTTAGTTATTAATGTATTTTCTTCCTGCTAAAATGTAAGCTGAATGAGGGCAAAGTCCATGCTTATGTGTCCTTTTTACCAGCACCTAATACGATTACTGGAAATGGAGGACACAAAAATTTTTTTGTTGAATTAAGGGATACGCAAATTAAAACATTATATGTAATTATAAGAAACTGGAAATAATACAATGAACTGGATAAATAAATTATGGCATCTTCCCATAATTAAATAGTATAAAGCCATTAAAAAGAATGATATCTGTATTTACTGAAATAAAGAATACACTTATGGGTTATCTTACATCATATAGCTGAGAAATTAAAAAAGCAATAGCCCTAAAAAGAATTGAAATACATTTGGTTAAAAACATATTCTACAACAGAGAATATGCACATAGGCAGGTTCCAGGACCTCAAGTGGTGAGTCCAAAGTTTTTCCCTGCCAGGGCTGTCATCTGGGGTAATTTTGCCCCAAGGAGATATTTGACCATGACTGCAGACATTTTTTATTGTCACAACTCGGGGCTTGTGGGGAGGTGCTATTGGCATCTAGTGAGTAGACACCAGGGTTGCTATTAAGCATCCTACAGTGCATGGGATAGCTCCTTTTCAAAAGAATTATCCAGTTTCCAGTAGTGCTGAGGTAGAGAAACTCTGGGTGGGAGGGAAGGGGGGGATGCAGCATATCTATCTGTCTATCACTGTCTCATATCTGCGTGGAGATCTGAGCTACATGGAGTGGGGGTGCCACTTCAAGTCTTCACTTTAAAAAAACTGTGCCCACATCTGGCAGCTGTCATGAGTCATAGTAATTGGCATGTTTACCAGCAACTATTAGAATAGCCGAAATATTTCCTAAGTCACTCAGCCTGAGTAATTTGCTAATTTTTAGTTGTTTTCTGCATAGTTCAGGCTTGAGATGCATCTCTAAAATATTGTAGGAGGTATCTGCTTTGCGACTACTTTTCTGCTTCTCTTCTCTGTGGATAATTAGAAGGATTTATTCCCTGGAGATGTCAAGTAGGCACCTTTCTCATTACCTAAATTCACTTAGAGAAAAATAAATCAGTATACAGATGAAAGTACAGGAAGTGACCATGGGAGTTGTTTTAATCCAGAGAAAATAAGTTCTCCTATGTATAATCAGAGAACTGCTGAAGAATTCTTCACCTCTCTTTTTTTTTTGGAATAACCTTCCTACATCCCCAAAACTGTGTTGAGGCAGAATTTATAACTTGCTTAATTTATATACAAAGAAGAGCCTCTCCTCTCTAGGTTTTTTTGTTTGTTTGCTTTTTTAATCAGTACAGCCTAAGTTCCAGGGTCGTGTGAGGTGAAAGGGGATCATACGTTTCCCAGGATAGAGTGAAAATATCAGTTTGAGTAGAAATAGTGTTATTATCCATCTTTTAGAAAGATCCAATGAAAGAAAATCAGATATGTGCCAAGGAACAGCACAATCTGGAAGTTGCTGCATAAGGAGAAGGAAAATATTGCCAGAAGGCTGGGTATAAGCCTAGAATGGTGTTTCTCCAATTCAAAGTCATGGCTCTTGAGTTGAAACAGGACAAGTCACAGAAAGCCACTTCATCCTTCCCTATCTTAAGCATGGCTAGGGAGGAGAGATGGCAGGAAGCTCTCAGATGAAATGACATTCAGGGCTCTGGCTTCAAATGTTGGGCCCTGAGTCAGGGAAGAAGCAGGAGAAAGATGCTTTTACAGTTTGCTAACACAAGGCAAAATTATAAAACTGCACTTTTCTATCTCCATTCCCACGAGACAATTTGGGACTTCTTTTTCCTCTTCTAAGATGGTGGCAAAACATCGGAGGTAGTGAATATAGGGTGAGGAGTCTCAGGACTAAAAGTCTCTTGGAACCACCCTGAGTCCTGCATTCCCCCCAGAGGATCATGGGAGCATTGTGCACCACACCTTCCGACCCATCCTCATTCAAATATGCCTAATCTCAACCACCTCAAAATAGTGTGAAGAAAGGCAAAAGGCCTAGACTGAATAGTCTCTGCAAGAGTAAATGAGTGCAGGCTCTGGCACCAGGCTACCTGTGTTCAAATATCAGCTCCAGCACTCATACCTGCAAGATCTGGGGGGAAGTTACTGCCTCATCTTCCATTGATACAGGGCCAATGATGGTATCTACCTCTCAGAGTTTAGGGAAGGATTAAATAAGCGAATGCATGAAAAGCATCTAGCACAGTGTCTGGCCTATAATAAATGCTCAATAACTGTTCTTGGCTACTATTATCTCTATTAATAATGCCAAAGAAAACAATGTATCCACTCCCAGGTGATAGCAGGAAGTCAAGAAGTGAAGATGTGTCAATTCTACAATCCTGGTGGTCAAGACTGAAGGGGGGATGATAATGATAGAGAACAGCCCTTCCTCTGTCACAAGGGCTCCTTGGCAAATTTATACTGATCCCATCTTAGGGAGGACTCAGGCCACACCCACCTCACTGCTAGGCCAAACAGTATACTGTCCCCGCAAGGTACCCTGCCCTCTGGAGACTGTGAGCCTTCCCTGGCTGTCAGCCTGGCACAGGCTTCCTCTCTCTTCTTTCTCTGAAAGAAGAGAAAGTCTAAGGGCTTTCTTTGACAGCCAGTGCCTGCTCTGCCAGATCCCACTCTGCCTGTGCACATGGCAGGCCAGAAATACCAGGAGATTGACACCCACCACCAAGGAGCAGCCCTCAACCAGTAAGTGCCTCAACCAAGTGCTCAACCATTGGTAAAATAATTCTAACGTGTGTTCTACACCGACTACCAGAAAGCCTAGCAAGATTCCACTCCAGTCACCTAAAGGGGCAACTTGATATTGCATACTTTCTTCACTCCCCACCCTTCCCTGTCTCTTCTATGAGTTCTAGGTTCACCTTCCAAATAAACTATTCGCACTGAATCCTTCAAAATCAGGATCTGCTTCTAGGGGAACCTAGGTTAAAATAGGTATGGAGAGAAGTGTGTAAGAATCCTGCCTTTCAGGCTAGTAGGTTGATTACACCGAGGACTACAAAAAACAGATGGAGCTGCTCTTCCATGGGAATAACTGTCTGTCTGTCTGTCTGTCTGTCTGTCTATCTATCTACCTACCTACCTATCTATCTTAGGCAAAGAGATGAGAGCTGGGATCAGGAGCTGGGTCTACATGCACATAATGGTAAGGTCTGAGGATGTAGGAACAGAGCCCTGGTGGCATCTGTACGATATATACACATTTGCTCCAGAAAAGCCATGGAGAGAGGAGATGAGTGGCACAGAGCTGTGTACCAGAATGATGGAAAGAGAAGCCTAGGGGAGGTACAAGGACTAAGGAGAAGAATTATGTTAAACAAGGTATACGAGATGTTGAGGGCTATGGTAGATGCAATATAAACTTTTTCTCTGCCTCCCTGATGGAATCTTCAATAAAATCAGCATTGCCCAGTAAGGAGCTCAGTGGGAGTGGATTCTATTTGCTGATGGTCAGAGATGCCCTGTCCTTTATAATGCTGGGTGTGGCACAGCCAGAAAAATCACCTGTGGGGACATCTGACTTATATTTGTATCATTCACAACACCTGCTTCAGGGCTAAAGCACACAGTAACTTCCCACTGAATTCTTACTGAATGACTGAATAAATAAATGCACCTTTCCGTCTTTTGATAGGCACATCCATTAATAATCAATGATAATCACTTTCTGTGCTCTCTGGTTGAAATTACTTCAGTTGCAAAGCCTACCTATTCATATTTATTTCCCCACTCATGCCACTTCTATGTCAGTACAAACACACACACACAAACACACAAAATATGCACAGCTCTTCTAATATAGTCACTTGAACACACATAGAATTTAGTATTGGTGCTATTTAGCAAAGCTCAGAATAAAAACTCATTCAATCATCATTAAACAAATATTTATACAACAAATATTTATAAGTTATTGGAGAGTCAAAGATGAAAAAATAGGTTTCTTGTCTTCAAAGAGACCTCAGTATGAATTATGGTCATGAGTCTCTCTCCAACCCTTTTCCTTCGGTGTGAACCACTGGTGAATCATTCCATGGAAAATACCCAGGTCTCATTCACTTCCACTCTTTGGGGACAGACTTGCTGCACCATTAGCGTATTACCAGTCTTCTTTAAAGAAAACTCCCAAACTTGTCTTTGTCCTGGGAAGGTAGGAGTATGTACCAGAATGTGAGCACATTTTTTATTATCTCTTTCATCTCCAGGCTTCCTTTCAACCACCTGCCTTCCCTGACATCCTGCCCAAAAGGCAAAACAGAGTTTCTGGACATTTTGTTAAAAAAAAACCCAAAAAGTTGGAAAGCCCATTATTTGGACAGCACAGCCAATGTGTGTTGAAAGGCTATTCCAATGTAAGGCAGTTACAGATCAAAACTGAGCCAAGAGCTCTATGCAGGGGTGAAGGAAAAGAAATAGAGGGCAAAATGGGACGGAGGTGGCTTGACGTACAAGGTGAGGGCTTTGTAAGAATCTATAAGCTTTCTACAAACAAACATAATTTTACAATTTAATTTATTACTGGCTTTAGGGACTGTCAGTGTTGTTCTTTGGAAATTACCCATTTGAACACCTCAGAAAATCTGATGGATAAAACAAAAAGTCGAGTCTCTCTCCAACCCTTTTCCTTCGGTGTGAAACACTGGTGAATCATTCCATGGAAAATAGGAAAAATAGTAAAGAGGCTTAAGTTGTAAGTTACAAATCTGACTTTAACCTTCAAAGAGAAAGAAAAATAGTTTCTGGCTTGAAAAAGAACAATTATGCACACTTGCCTGTTTTCAGGCTCAATTCCACAAGCCCTTAGAAGATAAATCCAACTATAAATTACTATGTTAATGGACTTAGAATCCGAGTGGCACTGCATTGTTTGCTTTTTGTTTCTTTCTGCACTTGATTTGTGTTTAAAGAAGGCTTATTCCACCCTAACAAATTTATATAACGGATTTCAATGTATGTCTCCCTAATGTAAAATGATTTTTTAAAAGTACGACATTTAACAAGTAGTTTTATCTTCAAATAGCAAATATATATGTGATACATAAAACAGCAAACCAGTAAGTATTAAAGCAGGTACCGGGTTCTTCGTCACATTGTCTGGGATGCCCTTTGCGGCTTTTATTTTTTCTCTTTCTTGTTTGAGTCTTTTCAATGCTATTTTTTTAAAAACATGCAACATTGTTCCTACCTTGAAAGAGTTTGCAGAAGAAATAATGTTTTATTTTCATGTAACAAATGGAAAATAATCTAGGGCTCTTGTTTTTTAAACTGAAAACTGTAGAAATTTAGAGAGGGGCAAGGTCATTTTAGGTTATAGATATTTAATAAAGATTAACTAATTAATTAATACCCGTTTGTGAATGACCACTAGATAATGGTGAGGTTGGAACTAAGCATCGGAAAGCTGTAAAAAAGGCACTAAACAGGCATTCACTACAAGGATATGTAGGAGATGGGTGAGGGATGGGGGCAGGGTAGGCTGTGGTTGAAAAGAGCAAGTCCAAAGAATGTGATAAGATCAGAGAGGGGAGGTAGAATCTGGTGACAGAGAGACTGGAAGGAGTAAAGTGATGGTAATTTTCCTTGCCATATCTGGGGCAAGTAATAATTTGTGTCTTCAAAGGAGCTATTATTATTTTTATTGACAAGTGATTAAATCAGTAAAATCTCCAGTCTTTAGTAAAAAATAAAATCTGGGTTTCTCCAATTGAAAGAAAAAAAGATTTCCTGAGGTTTAAGCAAACACTGAGGTGAAAACTCCAGTTCTCTTTTTGGTCATGACTAAGTGATGAATCATTCTCTTCAAACATCACAATATGTATTAAATAGCATAAAAATATAATTTTCAGGCATCTTAAATATATGAAGAGCCAGTATTTCCAGCTCTTAGGAACTAAAATATGTATGGAAAGAGAATTTAAAAAAATACAAGCCTAGACAAATACTTTTTTCTCCTGCTTTCTAAGCCAATATAAAATTAGTGTAACTTTGGCTGAAAGTGGGGATTATGGGAAAGTGTAATACACACAAGATTAATTGGGTCACATTGCAAAATCCGATGACTGATTTGAACTTTCATGTTACCCAAACCAGTTTTGCTTGATTATTGAGAATCTTGAAGGTAGAAAAATCCAACTAAATAAACACTCAAAGATATTTTAGCATTTCTCAGTTTTTACTCTTACCTCAAGTTTTTCCTATGTATGAATTTAAGACCTTTAAACTTAGTTAATTATTATCTTGAAACTTATGTAAATGTGTGACTTCAGTTAAAAATACATTGCTAACTCATTAAAGGGAAATGACAAGAAACAGCATCATTTAAGTCAAGGGTTGGCAAACTTTTTCTTAAAAGGCTAGGTAGTAAATATTTTAGGCTTATAATCATTAATAACTCCACTGTTATAGAGTCAAAGAAGCTACAGACAATATATAAACAAATAAGTATACTGTGTATCAATAAAATTTTATTTATAAAAACAGGTGGTTGTCCCAGGGTCATAGTTTGACAATCTTTGATCTAAATATTGCCATCATTAAGGTAACTGGTAAGCCTCTTCCAAGCTGAATACCAGTATGAGCCCCCTCACTTCTATTTTATTACTATTTCCTGGGATGGGGAGTTGGTCCATGGAAATGGGACAATAGATGTTTTTGTGATAAACACTATTTTATTGATAAATGTTACTCCTTTTCAACTTTTCGTATTTTAATTTTTAACTCTGAAACATGTCAAACAGGTAAAAGAGTAAGAAAATAATATAACAGACACCATTATACTTACCACACTTATTTTACAGTCATGTTTTCATATTTGCTCCAGATTATTTTTTGAAGGAATAAAATATTACAGATACAACTAAATGCTTATTCCCATTCCATTCTCCTTTCTCTATGCCAAGAAATTAATCCTTCCTTTGTAGGTAGTCTTTTCTCTCTGTTTGCTTTTAGGATTTTCCTATTGTCTTTGATGTTCTGCTATCTGAGGATTCATATCTTTCATCAACTCTGAAAAATTATCAACAAATATCCCTTTGAATATTATATTTCCCCCATCTTCTGTGTTTTCTCTCCTTCTATAACTCCTACTTCAGCATATGTTTGATCTTCTATACTCTGTGCTTAAGCCTTTGTTTTGTCCTGTTTCTTTATCTCTTTGTGCTGCAATTGGGGTAATTTCCTTGTCTGCCTTCCATTTGTTAATTCCCTCTTAAATTGTCTAAGCTTTATGTCAACTAGCTTTTTTTTTTTTTTTTTTTTTTTTTTTGAGACAGAGTCTTGCTCTGTCGCCAGGCTGGAGTGCAGTGGCGCAATCTTGGCTCATTGCAACCTCCACCTCCTGGGTTCAAGCAATTCTCCTGCTTCAGCCTCCCAAGTAGCTGGGACTACAGGCACATGCCACCATGCCTGGCTAATTTTTGTATTCTTAGTAGAGACAGAGTTTCACCACGTTGATTGAGCAGGATGGTCTCAATCTCCTGACCTGGTGATCCGCCCACCTCGGCCTCCCAAAGTGCTGGGATTACAGGCATGAGCCACCATGCCCGGCCTCAACTAACTTTTATTCAAGGACTTTTTCTTCCTATCTAAAGGTCATTTTTCTTTTTCAAATTGATCATATATTTTTATAGTGTCATATGTTTTGATATTTATTTTTCCCTTTTTTACTCTAATCATTTGGTTTTATAGATGATTTCACATTGTTTGATTTGATTATATCATATTTGACAGTAAGGAGGAGTACATAATTCTTATATTTGTTGTGTGTGCTCACTTTCCACCATGGCTTAGAATTTATTTGTGTGTGAGAGTTTATTTAAACAGAAAAGTGTTCTTGTCTTAGCTTCATTTTTTTCCTATTGGAGTTCTTGCATACATAGAAGTTCTGGTTGGGAATGTTTTCATTTTTGTTTTTGCTGGATGCTCCAAGGATTTCACCAAACTTAGATAAGTCTTATTGTTAATTTTTCAAACTAGGAATGTCCATGCCCATAGATGACATAAATTTGGTCAGGCTTGGAGTTTTTAGTTTTCACAGGTGACTTTTTTTTCCTCTCCTCAGAATCCCAACAAAGACAAGTTTCCTTTTTGCTTTCTGTATCAGTGGGTAGAATTGTTCTTATCCCCTTTTCACTGAGGCAGCAGCTCTTCTCTTATCCCAGCTTTATGGTGGGCATGATGCTTTAGCTCCCCCACCTTTCCTGAGCCCAAAGCCATGTCTTCTGTACCTACATGGGCATTAAAAACACCTTTAGGTATACCTGAAGACTTAAATGTTGGGCAATTTGCCTCTTGTTGCTGAAGTCCTAGGTCCTGAATTTAAAGTACCTCCTATTTATCTGTCATTTTCTTGTTTTTGAATTCAGGTATGCCATTAAACATTGTTTTATTGAATATATCTAGCATTTATATATCTTCATAAATAAATGACAAAGCTCTGAGTTATCTTTGTCATATTGCTGAAACAACTCTTTAAGTTAGCATGGCATCATTCCAAGGATTTGTATAGTTATAGTATATATTTTTTAATTATAAAGCCATTTTGGGGGTGTTCTTTAACATCCTAAAGTATGCTTTCGTTCTTGACTACAAGTTATATGCACTCTTACAGAATTTGGGCTTTGTCTGAACAAAAAGCTTTGCTTGCTAACTATTTGATAATAGAGGAACCGTACAGAAGATTCTTGCACTTAAGACTCTATTTCCCATGAGTGTATAATATATAGTATTAAAGGTGTTATAAATACAACTCTCTTTAAAAATCTAATAGATTTTACAAATTTCTCTTGATACATAATTGGAAGTGTCATTTATCATTATGCCAAAAGAAAGCCAGCACACTCCATGATCAAGGATATTTTTGCAAGTATATTTGGAAATTTATTTTTTGCATTGTAGGAAAATGCATGGCATTTACACATTCACGAATAGCATACAACCACACTGCCAGAAATCTAAGTAGTTAATATGGCTTGAAAACAGATTTTGCATATTATATCTATAATTTTGCTAATTCCATCCCAAATAAGGATCAGTATTGCAGCTGAATTTCTGCTTCAGTTCATATTAAGGTGCTTTTTCCCAGTGTCTGAGCCACTATACCATAATCCTCTGAAGTTGTAAGCATATGTAAAAATTGCAAGGTGGTAGCCAGCAAATGTCCTTAATATCTCTTCTTCATAGTCATCCTACAAAAATAGGAGTTTTAGGAAATGCTACTGAATTCAATTTTCTTTACATGAGGGACTGTGATTAGTGAGGCACCATGTGCTGAAATGCTAAGCCTAAATAAATGTTGATGCTAGTGTCTTCCTGGAGGATGTAACAGAAAGAGTATAGTCCAGCCCCTTCCTCCACTCCCTATCAAGAGTTTATAGCATCTAATAAATATCACAAGTGTTAGCATTTTCACAATGGAAATTTAAAGATCACATGACAGCTTGAGTCATTTTGTTAATACCTTTATGTGCTCATTTTTGTCTGATTATGGCATGATAAAGCTGGCCACCAATCTGGAAAATTCAAGCCAACAGCCAGCTTTTCTGGCAAAGAGATTGGCCTAATCCTCACTTAGGAACATTTATTTTCAACTCAGCTCATTAGCTTTCCTTTTCCTCCTGAGCTTATCCTTTTGTGTTTTCTTGATCATTGAAATACTTCCCATGGAAATTCAGATTTCAGATTGTTCTACACAGAGTTGCAGAAGAAGCAGTGGATCTTTTATCATTTTATTTATTTATTTTATTTTATATTATTATTATACTTTAAGTTTTAGGGTACATGTGCACAATGTGCAGGTTAGTTACATATGTATACATGTGCCATGTTGGTGTCCTGCACCCATTAACTCGTCATTTAGCATTAGGTATATCTCCTAAAGCTATCCCTCCCCCCTCCTCCCACCCCACAACAGTCCCCAGAGTGTGATGTTCCCCTTCCTGTGTCCATGTGTTCTCATTGTTCAATTCCCATCTATGAGTGAGAATATTCGGTGTTTGGTTTTTTGTTTTTGTGATAGTTTACTGAGAATGATGATTTCCAATTTCATCCATGTCCCTACAAAGGACATGAACTCATCATTTTTTATGGCTGCATAGTATTCCATGGTGTATATGTGCCACATTTTCTTAATCCAGTCTATCATTGTTGGACATTTGGGTTGGTTCCAAGTCTTTGCTATTGTGAATAGTGCCGCAATAAACATATGTGTGCATGTGTCTTTATAGCAGCATGATTTATAGTCCTTTGGGTATATACCCAGTAATGGGATGGCTGGGTCAAACGGTATTTCTAGTTCTAGATCCCTGAGGAATGGCCACACTGACTTCCACAAGGGTTGAACTAGTTTACAGTCCCACCAACAGTGTAAAAGTGTTCCTATTTCTCCACATCCTCTCCAGCACCTGTTGTTTCCTGACTTTTTAATGATTGCCATTCTAACTGGTGTGAGATGCTATCTCATTGTGGTTTTGATTTGCATTTCTCTGATGGCCAGTGATGGTGAGCATTTTTTCATGTGTTTTTTGGCTGCATAAATGTCTTCTTTTGAGAAGTGTCTGTTCATGTCCTTTGCCCACTTTTTGATGGGGTTGTTTGTTTTTTTCTTGTAAATTTGTTTGAGTTCATTGTAGGTTCTGGATATTAGCCCTTTGTCAGATGAGTAGGTTGTGAAAATTTTCTCCCATTTTGTAGGTTGCCTGTTCACTCTGATGGTAGTTTCTTTTGCTGTGCAGAAGCTCTTTAGTTTAATTAGATCCCATTTGTCAGTTTTGGCTTTTGTTGCCATTGCTTTTGGTGTTTTAGATATGAAGTCCTTGCCCACGCCTATGTCCTGAATGGTAATGCCTAGGTTTTCTTCTAGGGTTTTTATGGTTTTAGGTCTAACGTTTAAGTCTTTAATCCACCTTGAATTAATTTTTGTATAAGGTGTAAGGAAGGGATCCAGTTTCAGCTTTCTACATATGGCTAGCCAGTTTTCCCAGCACCATTTATTAAATAGGGAATCCTTTCCCCATTGCTTGTTTTTCTCAGGTTTCTCAAAGATCAGATAGTTGTAGTTATGTGGCATTATTTCTGAGGGCTCTGTTCTGTTCCATTGATCTATATCTCTGTTTTGGTACCAGTACCATGCTGTTTTAGTTACTGTAGTCTTGTAGTATAGTTTGAAGTCAGGTAGGGTGATGCCTCCAGCTTTGTTCTTTTGGCTTAGGATTGATTTGGCAATGAGGGCTCTTTTTTGGTTCCATATGAACTTTAAAGTAGTTTTTTCCAATTCTGTGAAGAAAGTCATTGGTAGCTTGATGGGGATGGCATTGAATCTATAAATTACCTTGGGCAGTATGGCCATTTTCACGATATTGATTCTTCCTACCCATGAGCATGGAATGTTCTTCCATTTGTTTGTATCCTCTTTTATTTCATTGAGCAGTGGTTTGTAGTTCTCCTTGAAGAGGTCCTTCACATCCCTTGTAAGTTGGATTCCTAGGTATTTTATTCTCTTTGAAGCAATTGTGAATGGGAGTTCACTCATGATTTGGCTATTTGTCTGTTATTAGTGTATAAGAATGCTTGTGATTTTTGTACATTGATTTTGTATCCTGAGACTTTGCTGAAGTTGCTTATCAGCTTGAGGAGATTTTGGGCTGAGATGATGGGGTTTTCCAGATATACAATCATGTCATCTGCAAACAGGGACAATTTGACTTCCTCTTTTCCTAATTGAATGCCCTTTATTTATTTCCTTCTCCTACCTAATTGCCCTGGCCAGAACTTCCAACACTATGTTGAATAGGAGTGGTGAGAGAGGGCATCCCTGTCTTGTGCCAGTTTTCAAAAGGAATGCTTCCAGTTTTTGCCCATTCAGTATGATATTGGCTGTGGGTTTGTCATAGATAGCTCTTATTATTTTGAGATACATCCCATCAATACCTAATTTATTGAGAGTTTTTAGCATGAAGCGTTGTTGAATTTTGTCAAAGGCCTTTTCTGCATCTATTGAGATAATCATGTGGTTTTTGTCTTTGGTTCTGTTTATATGCTGGATTACATTTATTGATTTGCATATATTGAACCAGCCTTGCATCCCAGGGATGAAGCCCACTTGATCATGGTGGATAAGCTTTTTGATGTGCTGCTGGATTTGGTTTGCCAGTATTTTATTGAGGATTTTTGCATCAATGTTCATCAAGGATATTGGTCTAAAATTCTCTTTTTTTGTTGTGTCTCTGCCAGGCTTTGGTATCAGGATGATGCTGGCCTCATAAAATGAGTTAGGGAGGATTCCCTCTTTTTCTATTGATTGGAATAGTTTCAGAAGGAATGGTACCAGTTCCTCCTTGTACCTCTGGTAGAATTCAGCTGTGCATCCATCTGGTCCTGGACTCTTTTTAGTTGGTAAGCTATTGATTATTGCCACAATTTCAGAGCCTGTTATTAGTCTATTCAGAGATTCAACTTCTTCCTGGTTTAGTCTTGGGAGGGTGTATATGTCGAGGAATTTATCCATTTCTTCTAGATTTTCTAGTTTATTTGTGTAGAGGTGTTTGTAGTATACTCTGATGGTAGTTTGTATTTCTGTGGGATCAGTGGTGATATACCCTTTATCATTTTTTATTGCGTCTATTTGATTCTTCTTTTTTTCTTCTTTATTAGTCTTGCTGGTGGTCTATCAATTTTGCTGATCCTTTCAAAAAACCAGCTCCTGGATTTATTAATTTTTTGAAGGGTTTTTTGTGTCTCTATTTCCTTCAGTTCTGCTCTGATTTTAGTTATTTCTTGCCTTCTGCTAGCTTTTGAATGTGTTTGCTCTTGCTTTTCTAGTTCTTTTAATTGTGATGTTAGGATGTCAATTTTGGATCTTTCCTGCTTTCTCTTGTGGGCATTCAGTGCTATAAATTTCCCTCTACACACTGCTTTGAATGTGTCCCAGAGATTCTGGTATGTTGTGTCTTTGTTCTCATTGGTTTCAAAGAACATCTTTATTTCTGCCTTCATTTCGTTATGTACCCAGTAGTCATTCAGGAGCAGGTTGTTCAGTTTCCATGTAGTTGCGCGATTTTGAGTGAGTTTCTTAATCCTCAGTTCTAGTTTGATTGCACTGTGGTCTGAGAGACAGTTTGTTATAATTTCTGTTCTTTTACATTTGCTGAGGAGAGCTTTACTTCCAACTATGTGGTCAGTTTTGGAATAGGTGTGGTGTGGTGCTGAAAAAAATGTATATTCTGTTGATTTGGGGCGGAGAGTTCTGTAGATGTCTATTAGGTCTGCTTGGTGCAGAGCTGAGTTCAATTCCTGGGTATCCTTGTTAACTTTCTGTCTCGTTGATCTGTCTAGTGTTGACAGTGGGGTGTTAAAGTCTCCCATTATGATTGTGTGGGAGTCTAAGTCTCTTTGTGGGTCACTCAGGACTTGCTTTATGAATCTGGGTGCTCCTGTATTGGGTACATATATATTTAGGATAGTTAGTTCTTCTTGTTGAATTGATCCCTTTACCATTATGTAATGGCCTTCTTTGTCTCTTTTGATCTTTGTTGGTTTAAAGTCTGTTTTATCAGAGACTGGGATTGCAACCCCTGCCTTTTTTTGTTTTCCATTTGCTTGGTAGATCTTCCTCCATCCTTTTATTTTGAGCCTATGTGTGTCTCTGCCCATGAGATGGGTTTCCTGAATACAGCACACTGATGGGTCTTGACTCTTTATCCAATTTGCCAGTCTGTGTCTTTTGATTGGAGCATTTAGTCCATTTACATTTAAAGTTAATACTGTTATGTTTGAATTTGATCCTGTCATTATGATGTTAGCTGGTTATTTTGCTCGTTAGTTGATGCAGTTTCTTCCTAGCTTTGATGGTCTTTACAATTTGGCATGATTTTGCAGTGGCTGGTACCAGTTGTTCCTTTCCATGTTTAGTGCTACCTTCAGGAGCTCTTTTAGGGCAGGCCTGGTGGTGACAAAATCTCTCAGCATTTGCTTGTCTGTAAAGTATTTTATTTCTCCTTCACTTATGAAGCTTAGTTTGGCTGGATATGAAATTCTGGGTTGAAAATTCTTTTCTTTAAGAATGTTGAATATTGGCCCCCACTCTCTTCTGGCTTGTAGAGTTTCTGCTGAGAGATCTGCTGTTAGTCTGATGGGCTTCCCTTTGTGGGTAACCCGACCTTTCTCTCTGGCTGCCCTTAACATTTTTTCCTTCATTTCAACTTTGGTGAATCTGACAATTATGTGTCTTGGAGTTGCTCTTCTTGAGGAGTCTCTTTGTGGTGTTCTCTGTATTTCCTGAATCTGAATGTTGGCCTGCCTTGCTAGATTGGGGAAGTTCTCCTGGATAATATCCTGCAGAGTGTTTTCCAACTTGGTTCCATTCTCCCCGTCACTTTCAGGTACACCAATCAGACGTACATTTGGTCTTTTCACATAGTCCCATATTTCTTGGAGGCTTTGTTCGTTTCTTTTTATTCTTTTTCTTTAAACTTCCCTTATCGCTTCATTTCATTCATTTCATCTTCCATCACTGACACCCTTTCTTCCAGTTGATCACATCAGCTCCTGAGTCTTCTGCATTCTTCACATAGTTCTTGAGCATTGGCTTTCAGCTCCATCAGCTCCTTTAAGCACTTCTCTGTATTGGTTATTTTAGTTATCCATTCGTCTAAATTTTTTTCAAAGTTTTCAACTTCTTTGCCTTTGGTTTGAATTTCTTCCTGTAGCTCGGAGTAGTTTGATCGTCTGAAGCCTTCTTCTCTCAACTCATCAAAATCATTCTCCATCCAGCTTTGTTCCGTTGCTGGTGAGGAGCTGTGTTCCTTTGGAGGAGGAGAGGCGCTCTGCTTTTCAGAGTTTCCAGTTTTTCTGCTCTGTGTTTTCCCCATCTTTGTGCTTTTATCTACTTTTGGTCTTTGATGATGGTGATGTACAGATGGGTTTTTGGTGTGGATGTCCTTTCTGTTTGTTAGTTTTCCTTCTAACAGACAGGCCCCTCACCTGCAGGTCTGTTGGAGTTTGCTAGAGGTCCACTCCAGACCCTGTTTGCCTGGGTACCAGCAGTGGTGGCTGCAGAACAGTGGATTTTCATGAAACGCGAATGCTGCTGTCTGATCGTGCCTCTGGAAGTTTTGTCTCAGAGGAGTACCCGGCCGTGTGAGGTGTCAGTCTGCCCCTACTGGGGGGTGCCTCCCAGTTAGGCTGCTCAGGGGTCAGGGGTCAGGGACCCACTTGAGGAGGCAGTCTGCCCGTTCTCAGATCTCCAGCTGTGTGCTGGGAGAACCACTGCTCTCTTCAAAGCTGTCAGACAGGGACATTTAAGTCTGCAGAGGTTACTGCTGTCTTTTTGTTTGTCTGTGCCCTGCCCCCAGAGATGGAGCCTACAGAGGCAGGCAGGCCTCGTTGAGCTGTGGTGGGCTCCACCCAGTTCGAGCTTCCCGGCTGCTTTGTTTACCTAAGCAAGTCTGGGCAATGGCGGGCGCCTCTCCCCCAGCCTCGCTGCCGCCTTGCAGTTTGATCTCAGACTGCTGTGCTAGCAGTCAGCGAGACTCCGTGGGCGTAGGATGCTCTGAGCCATGTGCGGGATATAATCTCCTGGTGCTCCGTTTTTTAAGCCCATCGGAAAAGCGCAGCATTGGGGTGGGAGTGACCCGATTTTGCAGGTGCCATCTGTCACCCCTTTCTTTGACTAGGAAAGGGAACTCCCTGACCCCTCGTGCTTCCCTGACCCCTTGCCTCGCCCTGCTCCTTGCCTCGCCCTGCTTTGGCTCACGTATGGTGCGCTGCACCCACTGTGCCGCACCCACTGTCTGGCACTCCCTAGTGAGATGAACCCGATACCTCAGATGGAAATGCAGAAATCGCCCGTCTTCTGCGTCGCTGATGCTGGGAGCTGTAGGCCAGAGATGTTCCTATTCAGCCATGTTGGCTCCACCCCATTATCATTTTCTTTAATCACTGGGTGAGGCCCCATTTTTCTCCCCCTCTTGATCTAATTTGTGTTGTTTTCTCCAAGAGGTGCTTTAAGAGGAACTCTTCTTGATTTCTCATAAAACTCACTCTAACTCGGATATCTGTTAGATGCTTAATAAATATTTTGTGATCACTTTGTGACCAATCATTCATTGTCCCAAGGTCAACATATTGCTGCAATCTGGCTTAGGGCAACATGCTTTCATTCCTTTTCAAGTGGTCTTTAGTTCCTTCCACTGAAATGTGTCTTTTCGAGCTCTGCAATGTTAGGAAGTTACAGAGGTGAGTGATTTGTCAATTTAAAATGCATTTGAGTAATTACTATTAGTTTTTGCTTTATGGGTGCTTCCTGATGCATTTCTGCAAGTGAACTTTTCTTTTCCATTCCTCTTTAGGCTCTCCAAACTCACATTACAGCTCCGTCTCTATAAAACATCGAACTGACCTACTTCTTTTTTTTTTTTTGCATGTATAAAGGTCTGAGCTTGACTTTAACATAAAGAGTAATAAACTGTCTATAAGCTGGCTATTTGAGGTAGCCCATGAAATAATTTATTTACCAAATAGATTATATGGCAATATATGACAACTATGACAAATAATTATAGAATGACTTTCTATATGACAAATAATTATAGAATGACTTTACCCAACTATAAGCATCAATATTTAACTTAGGTATTTTTGTTCCTAAATCCTGAGAAGGGTGTAGTAAAATAAAAAGGAAATACAAACTCTCTTAAACTTATCAAGACTGGTAGCTATATACAACGGTATGTATCACTTTTCCTATAAGACAATTTCAACTCAAAGGTTCACTTCCTGTTGATCCCAGATTTCTTCTAGTAATCTCCCTTCTGAAAAAGTTACCCACATTTGCAGTTATACCTTTTCAAATGTTGACTTATAAATCAAAGAAACCAAAATGAATCACAAATACTTGAAGACAGTGAAAACAGCAAAGCAAGAAAATTACTTGATATATGTGGATCTGAGCATCTGAACACTTGAGTTTATGGTTTCTCAAGCACAGGGAGAGAATATGTCAAACCAGAATCATATTTAGCACTTAGTCTGGAGGGAACTTGCCACAAGGAATGAAGATGTTTTCAGTGTCTCCTGCAATTCTAGCAAAAGTATTAGGATTACAACTGTCCTCAGACGGATGGACTATTGTTTATTTGGTAGCAGAATATTCACGCAACAGTGCAGTATGATTTCTGTAAATGAATTTCATTAAGCAGGAAAACCTTAACTCTTGAAAATGTAATTTACAGCTTTAAAAAAAAAACTAATCTCACATTTATTAGGGATTATTAGGATACATTTTTTCTGAGTCTAGTCTAAGCCTAGTCTTTTTCTTCTTTCTTTCTTTTTCTTTTCCTTTCTTTTCTTTCTCTTTCTCTCTCTCTCTCTCTCTCTTTTTTTTTTTTAATGGAGTCTCACTCTGTCACCTGGGTTGGAGTGCAGTGGCATGATCTCGGCTCACTGCAACCTCCTGGGTTCAAGTGATTCTCCTGCCTCAGCCTCCCCAGTGGCTGAGATTACAGGTGCCCACCACTATGCCCAGCTAATTTTTTGTATTTTTAGTAGAGACGAGGTTTCACCATGTTTGCCAGGCTGGTCTCGAACTCCTGACTTGTGATTCACCCACCTTGGCCTCCCAAAGTGCTAGGATTACAGGTGTGAGCCATCACGCCCAGCATTTTTTTTTTTTTTTTAAGAATCATGTGTTGGAGTGTCAATGCAGTATTTCCTGCACATTTACATGAAATTTGAGGTAGTGACTATATATTTTTACCCTTGTAGGCATGACCATATCTGATATTTTTGTAATTCATCACTCTTAGTACATATACAAGAGATGCTTAATAAATACTTTGCGATCACTTTGTGATCAATCATTCGTTGTTGCAAAACAAATTAATGTTAGAGCTGAGTATTCCATGTTCCAGTTTAGGGTTTTTGTTAAACCATGGGATCACCAATAAAAATAATTTGCTTATGAAAAAGCAAGTTGTATTAACCTGAAGAGTTTGTATGAGAATTGTGAATGTTAACATTTTAAAAACTTTTTAATACCTAAAAATCAACCATCTTTCTGCTAGAATTAAATGTGTCTCTAAACAGTCTTGGTAGCTTCTATTCAAATGATGGTTTGACTGTTTTCCTGACTCACTTTAATGAGCCTTTGGCTAGAAGTTGGTGAAAAACTATGACATCCATTAATTGCTATTGCTGCTTTCTCTATGGATTCTGAAATATGAGTATTAAATTTTGTTATAGTGGAATGTAAGAGATTGGGATTTTAGTCTAAGATAGTGATTTATATATAATTGGGCCTAAAGACAAAATAAGGTATATTTTTCCAATGATATCTAGTGTAACTGCATTGAAATCTTCAGGAATACTTGACATGTATGAATAAAAAAAATCATTATAGGCTCATAGTATCATTTAAAACAAATAAGATCATACCATCCCCCTGCATAAAACCTTCTGATGGTTTTCCAAAGGACTTAGAATAAATTGCAAACTCCTTACCATGGCCTTAGAGGCTCTCTCCTCTCAGTAGGTCTCAGTCAGTTGCTCCTCACACATGCACAATCATTCCATTTTAGGGCCTTTACCCTTGCCCTTCCCTGCCCAGAATCCTCTTCCTCTGCATCCATCCTGCTTACTTTAAATGCTTCAGCTATTAGCTCAAATGCCACCTCCCCAGAGGGTTCTTCCCAAATCACTCAATCTGAACTTACCCCTTCCCCATTCACACACACACACTTTACACACTTTCACTCTATTTTATTGCTAACTTTTATATGGTATTTATAGTTGTGAGAGAATATCTGTACGTAGTCTAATATTTCCACCTGTGGCAGCTGCCTGTGGGGTCACAGGTGGAAATCTTGTCACATCCCCTTGGCCTACTATGATTTCCTTGGCCTACTATGATTTCAACTGCAGCTACAACAGACAATTCCCTGAAAACTCAGACTTATCTCCAGAACAGTGACCCTCCTCGAGCACACTCCACTTCTTATCTTTCTACTTTTTGCTCCAGGACTTTCTCTGGTGCCACAGGGGAGTTGTTGTTCCCAGCACAAGCACAACCAACAGGAGATGGGAATAAGTAGATAAATGTTGAGGTTTCCCCATCCTCAGGTGGACAAGGCTGGGAGGACCATTATAGTTTCTTAGGAGATTGCAGCAGATGTCAAGCTCCTAGTTCCTAGAGCAGCAACCTTAATATTGTCAGTTTCCCCCTTTTCAACTCATTCTACTCTTCCTCATCCCCAAATTTATCAATAATCAGTACTTAAGACTTTTTCTCATGCCCTGCTTATAGGAGAACCTAATTAAGACATATCTGGGGGGGGGGTGGAGCCAAGATGGACGAATAGGAACGGCTCCAGTCTACAGCCCCCAGCGTAAGCGACGCAGAAGACGGGTGATTTCTGCATTTCCAACTGAGGTACCGGGTTCATCTCACTGGGGAGTGCCGGATAGTGGGTGTGGGACAGTGGGTACACCGCACCGTGCATGAGCCGTAGCAGGGTGAGGCATCGCCTCACCCAGGAAGCACAAGGGGTCAGGGAATTCCCCTTCCTAGTCAAAGAAAGGGGTGACAGATGGAACCTGGAAAATCGGGTCACTCCTACCTTAATACTGCACTTTTCCAACGGGCTTAACAAACGGCACACCAGGAGATTATATCCCACACCTTGCTCGGAGGGTCCTACACCCACGGAGCCTTGCTCATTGCTAGCACAGCAGTCCAAGATCAAACTGCAAGGTGGCAGAGAGGCTGGGGGAGGGGCGAGGCTTGAGTAGGTAAAGCAGCCAGGAAGCTCGAACTGGGTGGAGCCCACCACAGCTCAAGGAGGCCTGCCTGCCTCTGTAGGCTCCACCTCTGGGGCCAGGGCACAGACAAACAAAAGGCAGCAGTAACCTCTGCAGACTTAAATGTCCCTGTCTGACAGCTTTGAAGAGAGTAGTGGTTCTCCCAGCACACAGCTTGAGATCTGAGAATGGGCAGACTGCCTCCTCAAGTGGGTCCCTGACCCCCGAGTAGCCTAACTGGGAGGCACCCACCAGTAGGGGCGGACTGACAGCTCACATGGCCGGGTACTCCTTTGAGACAAAACTTCCAGAAGAATGATCAGGCAGCAGCATTTGCAGTTCACCAATATCCGCTGTTCTGTAGGCACCACTGCTGATACCCAGGCAAACAGGGTCTGGAGTGGACCTCCAGCAAACTCCAACAGACCTGCAGCTGAGGGTCCTGACTGTTAGAAGGAAAACTAACAAACAGAAAGGACATGCACACCAAAAACTCATCTGTACGTCACCATCATCAAAGACCAAAGGTAGATAAAACCACAAAGAAAGATGGGAAAAAACAGAGCAGAAAAACCGGAAACTCTAAAAAGCAGAGTGCCTCTCCTCCTCCAAAGGAACGCAGCTCCTCACCAACAACAGAACAAAGCTGGATAGAGAATGACTTTGACGAGTTGAGAGAAGAAGGCTTCAGAAGATCAAACTACTCCGAGCTAAAGAAGGAAGTTCGAGCCAATGGCAACAAAGTTAAAAACCTTGAAAAAAAATTAGACTAATGGATAACTAGAATAACCAATGCAGAGAAGTCCTTAAAGGACCTGATGGAGCTGAAAACCATGGCATGAGAACTATGTGATGAATGCACAAGCCTCAGTAGCCAATGCAATCAACTGGAAGAAAGGGTATCAGCAATGGAAGACGAAATGAATGAAATGAAGAGAGAAGAGAAGTTTATAGAAAAAAGAATAAAAAGAAACGAACAAAGCCTCCAAGAAATGTGGGACTATATGAAAAGACCAAATCTACGTCTGATTGGTGTACCTGAAAGTAATGGGGAGAATGGAACCAAGTTGGAAAACACTCTGCAGGATATTATTCAGGAGAACTTCCCCAATCTAGCAAGGCAGGCCAACATTCAAATTCAGGAAATACAGAGAATGCCACAAAGATACTCCTCAAGAAGAGCAACTCCAAGACACATAATTGTCAGACTCACCAAAGTTGAAATGAAGAAAAAATGTTAAGGGCAGCCAGAGAGAAAGGTCGGGTTACCCTCAAAGGGAAGCCCATCAGACTAACAGCAGATCTCTCGGCAGAAACTCTACAAGCCAGAAGAGAGTGGGGGCCAATATTCAACATTCTTAAAGAAAAGAATTTTCAACCCAGAATTTCATATCCAGCCAAACTAAGCTTCATAAGTGAAGGAGAAATAAAATACTTTACAGACAAGCAAATGCTGAGAGATTTTGTCACCACCAGGCCTGCCCTAAAAGAGCTCCTGAAGGAAGCACTAAACATGGAGAGGAACAACTGGTACCAGCCACTGCAAAAACATGCCAAATTGTAAAGACCATCGAAGCTAGGAAGAAACTGCATCAAGTAACAAGCAAAATAACCAGCTAACATCATAATGACAGGATCAAATTCACACATAACAATATTAACCTTAAAGGTAAATGGGCTGAATGCTCTAATTAAAAGACACAGATTGGGAAATTGGATAAAGAGTCAAGACCCATCAGTGTGCTGTATTCAGGAAACCCATCACACGTGCAGAGACACACATAGGCTCAAAATAAAGGGATGGAGGAAGATCTACCAAAAAAAAAAAAAAAAAAAAAAAAAAAAACCAAAAAAAGGCAGGGGTTGCAATCATAGTCTCTGATAAAACAGACTTTAAACCAACAAAGATCAAAAGAGACAAGGCCATTACATAATGGTAAAGGGATCAACTCAACAAGAAGAGCTAACTATCCTAAATATATATGTATCTAATACAGGAGCACCCAGATTCATAAAGCAAGTCCTTAGTGACCTACAAAGAGACTTAGACTCCCACACAATAATAATGGGAGACTTTAATACCCCACTGTCAACATTAGACAGATCAACGAGACAGAAAGTTAACAAGGATACCCAGGAATTGAACTGAGCTCTGCACCAAGTGGACCTAATAGACATCTACAGAACTCTCCACCCCAAATCAAGAGAATATACATTTTTTAAGAACCACAGCACACCTATTCCAAAATTGACCACACAGATGGAAGTAAAGCACTCCTCAGCAAATGTAAAAGAACAGAAATAATAACAAACTGTCCCTCAGACCACAGTGCAATCAAACTAGAACTCAGGATTAAGAAACTCAAAACCACTCAACTACATGGAAACTGAACAACCTGCTCCTGAATGACTACTGGGTACATAACGAAATGAAGACAGAAATAAAGATGTTCTTTGAAACCAATGAGAACAAAGACACAACATACCAGAATCTCTGGGACACATTCAAAGCAGTGTGTAGAGGGAAATTTATAGCACCAAATGCCCACAAGGGAAAGCAGGAAAGATCTAAAATCGACACCCTAACATCACAACCAAAAGAACTAGAAAAGCAAGAGCAAACACATTCAAAAGCTAGCAGAAGGCAAGAAATAACTAAGATCAGAGCGGAATTGAAGGAAGTAGAGACACAAAAATCCCTTCAAAAAATCAATGAATCCAGGAGCTGGTTTTTTGAAAGGATCAACAAAATTGATAGACCACTAGCAAGACTAATCAAATGGATGCAATAAAAAATGATAAAGGGGATATTACCACTGATCCCACAGAAATACAAACTACCGTCAGAGAATACTATAAACAACTCTATGCAAATAAACTAGAAAATCTAGAAGAAATGGATAAATTCCTCGACACATACACCCTCACAAGACTAAACCAGGAAGAAGCTGAATCTCTGAAGAGACCAATAACAGGCTCTGAAATTGAGGTAATAATTAATAGCTTACCAACCAAAAAAAGTCTAGGACCAGATGGATTCATAGCCGAATTCTACCAGAGGTACAAGGAGGAACTGGTACCATTCCTTCTGAAACTATTCCAATCAATAGAAAAAGAGGGAATCCTCCCTAACTCATTTTATGAGGCCAGCATCATCCTGATACCAAAGCCTGGCAGAGACACAACAAAAAAAGAGAATTTTAGACCAATATCCTTGATGAACATTGATGCAAAAATCCTCAATAAAATACTGGCAAACCAAATCCAGCAGCACATCAAAAAGCTTATCCACCATGATCAAGTGGGCTTCATCCCTGGGATGCAAGGCTGGTTCAATATATGCAAATCAATAAATGTAATCCAGCATATAAACAGAACCAAAGACAAAAACCACATGATTATCTCAATAGATGCAGAAAAGGCCTTTGACAAAATTCAACAACGCTTCATGCTAAAAACTCTCAATAAATTAGGTATTGATGGGATGTATCTCAAAATAATAAGAGCTATCTATGACAAACCCACAGCCAATATCATACTGAATGGGCAAAAACTGGAAGCATTCCTTTTGAAAACTGGCACAAGACAGGGATGCCCTCTCTCACCACTCCTATTCAACATAGTGTTGGAAGTTCTGGCCAGGGCAATTAGGTAGGAGAAGGAAATAAATAAAGGGCATTCAATTAGGAAAAGAGGAAGTCAAATTGTCCCTGTTTGCAGATGACATGATTGTATATCTGGAAAACCCCATCATCTCAGCCCAAAATCTCCTCAAGCTGATAAGCAACTTCAGCAAAGTCTCAGGATACAAAATCAATGTACAAAAATCACAAGCATTCTTATACACTAATAACAGACAAATAGCCAAATCATGAGTGAACTCCCATTCACAATTGCTTCAAAGAGAATAAAATACCTAGGAATCCAACTTACAAGGGATGTGAAGGACCTCTTCAAGGAGAACTACAAACCACTGCTCAATGAAATAAAAGAGGATACAAACAAATGGAAGAACATTCCATGCTCATGGGTAGGAAGAATCAATATCGTGAAAATGGCCATACTGCCCAAGGTAATTTATAGATTCAATGCCATCCCCATCAAGCTACCAATGACTTTCTTCACAGAATTGGAAAAAACTACTTTAAAGTTCATATGGAACCAAAAAAGAGCCCTCATTGCCAAATCAATCCTAAGCCAAAAGAACAAAGCTGGAGGCATCACACTACCTGACTTCAAACTATACTACAAGACTACAGTAACTAAAACAGCATGGTACTGGTACCAAAACAGAGATATAGATCAATGGAACAGAACAGAGCCCTCAGAAATAATGCCACATAACTACAACTATCTGATCTTTGAGAAACCTGAGAAAAACAAGCAATGGGGAAAGGATTCCCTATTTAATAAATGGTGCTGGGAAAACTGGCTAGCCATATGTAGAAAGCTGAAACTGGATCCCTTCCTTACACCTTATACAAAAATTAATTCAAGGTGGATTAAAGACTTAAACGTTAGACCTAAAACCATAAAAACCCTAGAAGAAAACCTAGGCATTACCATTCAGGACATAGGCATGGGCAAGGACTTCATGTCTAAAACACCAAAAGCAATGGCAACAAAAGCCAAAACTGACAAATGGGATCTAATTAAACTAAAGAGCTTCTGCACAGCAAAAGAAACTACCATCAGAGTGAACAGGCAACCTACGGAATGGGAGAAAATTTTTGCAACCTACTCATCTGACAAAGGGCCAGTATCCAGAATCTACAATGAACTCAAACAAATTTACAAGAAAAAAACAACCCCATCAAAAAGTAGGCAAAGGATATGAACAGACACTTCTCAAAAGAAGACATTTATGCAGCCAAAAAACACATGTAAAAGTGCTCATCATCACTGGCCATCAGAGAAATGCAAATCAAAACCACAATGAGATACCATCTCACACCAATTAGAATGGCAATCATTAAAAAGTCAGGAAACAACAGGTACTGGAGAGGATGTGGAGAAATAGGAACACGTTTACACTGTTGGTGGGACTGTAAACTAGTTCAACCCTTGTGGAAGTCAGTGTGGCCATTCCTCAGGGATCTAGAACTAGAAATACCATTTGACCCAGCCATCCCATTACTGGGTATATACCGAAAAGATTATAAATCATGCTGCTATAAAGACACATGCACATGTATGTTTATTGCGGCACTATTCACAATAGCAAAGACTTGGAACCAACCCAAATGTCCAACAGTGATAGACTTGATTAAGAAAATGTGGCACATATACACCACGGAATACTATGCAGCCATAAAAATGATGAATTCATGTCCTTTGTAGGGACATGGATGTATCTGGAAACCATCATTCTCAGCAAACTATGCCAAGGACAAAAAACCAAACACCGCATGTTCTCACTGATAGGTGGGAATTGAACAATGAGAACACATGGACACAGGAAGGGGAACATCCCACACCGGGGACTGTTGTGGGGTGGGAGGAGGGGGGAGGGATATCATTAGGAGATATACCTAATGGTAAATGATGAGTTAATGGGTGCAGCACACCAACATGGCACGTGTATACATATGTAACAAACCTGCACGATGTGCACATGTACCCTAAAACTTAGAGTATAATAATAATAAAATTTTTAAAAAAGACATATCCTATAGAACTATAAAATATATAACTCATAACAGCTAGGGATCTTATCTTTTTTTGTAGTTTGCTTTATTTATAAATTTATAATACCTAACACAGTCTTGGCTTACAGTGAGTGTTGTGTGTGTGTGTGTGTGTGTGTGTATGTATGCGTATATATATATATTTGCGTGTGTGTGTGTGTGTATGCACACTAAAATAGAAAGTAGAGGTTATGAATGAGTTCGGGGAGGAAATAAAATGGTATTCAAAAGAAAGGGACGATCAAAGGAAGCAACTGCAGACGTTATAGAATAATATGAGCATAAATAATACTAACTAACTGAACAGAAAAAAGATGTGAAACAGGCACAGAAATTGCTGAAAAGTTCTAAGTCATTCAATCAAATACAAGAGGGTTCAGGGTTTTAAAAAATCCGAGAGTCCTTACGAGTTGAGCGTGCTATCAGAGAAGTTAAGTGATGGTATTGTTTCAGCACTAAAAATTTCACTTTCTTAGAATCTCAAAGCTTGATTCATGTGATAAAATGGGTTGATGTTAAATCCAGAAGTATAATTAATTAAATAGTATTTTTTTAAAAAGATGTGCTGGGACTTCTACTTATGGCAACACCAGAGTAACTGGTACCAGACTTGTTCTGCCATTAACAATGAGACAAGTCATCTGAGGCATTATTCTCAGTAATTGGACGCAGGAATGGCAAGGTCGTAAACATTGAGAGAAGGAAAACACATAAGTTGAGCCTGATATCTGCCTGGGCTTTCTCCCTGAAGACACTTATCATCAACTGACACAAGCTTCTGGAAGCAAAGCAGAGGGCAGCTTTGCTGAATGAAAGAGGCTGAGGTCAGATTTAGGGGCTGCTGTATTGATGAGAATTAGCAGGAAAGGGTACCAGACAGCTGGGAGCTGCATGGGGAGGAAGAGTATCCAGGAGAAGCTCCTGAATGGCTGATGGCTGAAAGAAGACACCAGAAGTCATGCAATTAAATTGCAATGCTAGATAATGTTGGAGTTCTAATCTAGCTATAATGGAGAGATCTCACTGAGTATCTCATATATTCACTTTAAATCCCAAAAGGCCAAACCTTATGGTATACACCATACTCTAGAGTAACAGCCACATTCTAGGACTAAGGCAAAACCAAAATAGACCCAAACTACCAAAGAAAAAAATCCAGCTTGACATGGTTAAAAGGATCCATAAGTTGCTGGAACAAATCTGGACCCCCTTAGAAAACATAATCTGGACTCTCAACAACGTATGTAACATAATGTCAACATTCAATAAAAATGTACTAGATAAGTGATGAAGCAAGAAAATATGACACATTATTAGGGGGGAAAACATGCTGAGATAGCATTGATGTTGGAGTTAGCAGACCTAAAAATGAGAACGTATAAATATGTTCAAAGACCTAAAGTAAAAGATGAGCATAATAAATAAGTCAATGAGGAATCTGAGCAAGAGATTATCAGATTAGATTTTCCAAAAAGACATCACTCTGTGCTATAAGAAAGACAATTTAAATATAAAGATATAAATAGGTAGAAAGTAAGAGCATTAAAATATATAACACGCAAATGCTAATCATTAGAAAGCTGTTGTGATTATAGTAATAAGAAAAAGTAGACTTCAAGACATAAAGTGGAAATTTCAGCATGAGAAAAGTTCTAGTTTATTAGGAAGATATAACAATTCTAAATACATATGCATCTAATAACATAACTTAAAAATTATGAAGCAAAAACAGAAATAGGGAAGTAGCCAAATGCAGAACCATAGTCTTAGTCCCTTTGTGCTCCTAAAACAAAATACCTGAGACTGGGTAATTTATAAAAAACCAGAAATTTATTTCCTCACAGTTTTGAAGGCTGGGAAGTCTAAGATCAAGGCACCAGCAGATTTGGTAACTGGTGAGGCTTCCAAGATGGTGCCTTCAATGTTGTGTCCTCAGGTGTCAGAAGAGTGGAAGAGAGCAAATTCACTCCATTGAGCCCTTTTATAAGGACCTTATCCCCATCTATAATGGCTCTGCCTTAATAACTTAATCATCTCCTATAGGATCCACATCTTAATACTATCACATTGATGACTAAGTTTCAACATATAAATTTGCAGGGCAGGTAGCATTTAGACCATAGCAATAATTAAATATTTTAACATTCTTCTCTCAGTGATTGATAAAATTAGACCAAAAAATCAAAAAAAGTTATAGAAGATCTGAACAACAATATCAACCAATATAACTTAGTAGAAATTTATAGATGAGTACACCAAATAATAGAATACACTTTTTTGTCAAGTATACATTGGATATTCACCAAGATAGGCCATATTTTGGGCTACAAAGTAAATCTCAATACATTTCAAAAGATTGAATTATATAGAGTATGTTGTCTGACTACAATAGAACTGAATTAGAAATGAGTAGCCAAAGATAATTAGAAAATCACTGAATGGGAATTTAACGACAGACTTCTAAGTAGTCTAGTGTTTGAAGAAATTGAAAAATATTTGGAATTAAAAAGTAATGAAATTAAAATTTGTGGAATTTAGCTAAAATGAGGGATAGAGGAAATTTTATCTTTAAAGGCTTCTATTAGAAAAAAAGAAATATATAAAATTATGATCTAAGTTTCTACCTTATAAACTAGAAATTAATATCAAGTTAAATTTAAGTAGAAATAGGTAAGGACATGCCAGCCTGAGTGACAGAAAGACCTTGTCGCAAAAAAAAAAAAAAAAAAAAAAAGATAAATCTGTGAAAGAGATAATAGATACACAATGGAAAAAACTAACAAAGTCAATAACATTGAGAAAACACTAGCTAGACAGATTAAGAAAAAAAGAAAAATAACAACCAATAGCAAGAAGGAAACGAGAGACATTCTAGAGTTGCCACTGACATTAGAGGAACAAGCAGGGAATGCTATAAACAACTTTATGCTAATACATTTGACAACTTAAGCAAATGAACAAATTCCTTAACACAACTTACAAAAATGGGTACAAGAAGAAAAAGACAATCTAAAATAGTATTACATCTATTAAAGGAACTGAATTTGTTGTCGAAAACTTTCTCACAAAGAAAATTCCAGACCCAGGTATTTCACTGATGAATTCTAAAATCCTTTAATGGCAATTCTGAAGCTACAATACTTAAGACAATTTTAGGGACCTGCAACATCAAAATTATGCCTTTTGCACTTTTATTATTTCATAAGTAAAATTTTCATTGGCCACGTAATTTACAATATTGTCATAGATTGGATACAGAAACAGATGTAAAAATATAGCTGTCTTCTATGACACTACACATTAAAAAGATTGATAAAAATGTAAAACTATGCCTCTCCACAAATTTTTTGAAAAATGTACTTATTTTATGCATATGTTAACATATACTATAATAACTATTTTAAATAAAATCAACTTCAAAATTTTTCTGTTTTAAAAAGTTTTTAATATATAGATAAACATAACCCATGTAAGCAAAAGCCCTTTGGAAGCCTAAATAATTTTTAAAAATTTAAAGAGGTTGAAGCAAAAATGTTTGCAAACCACTGATTTAATAAATCTGACTAAGCTTTTTCAGAAAATAGAGGTGGAGGAAAACTCCCCAACTTGTTCTGGGAGCTCAGCATAATATTGATATCAAAACAAAGTAAACTTGTTACAGAGGGTTTAGAGCCAAGATGGCTGACTAGATGCAGCCAGGAAGAGCTTCTTCCACTGAGAGAGCAGACTATCAAGAAGATTGGCACCCTCTGACCAGATCTTCAGAAGGAAAGCATGAGAGTGAACAGAGGGAGGTCACAGAGCCTGGGCTGAAGTGGGAGGAAGCTGGGAACCCTGCATGGGGTTGCTGAGCAACCAGGACTTGTTCCTAGCCCCAAGAGGCTCCTGGTGAAGGGATGAGTTTAATAGTCATGAAGCGGCCTAGTCTCTGCATGGACCTCTGGAATTCAAGCTGCAGGAGACCCCACTGCCCACATGGACATTTGAGCTGGCAGAAAGGACTTTCTGGAGAGAGTTGGCAGGGCCAAGACTCCATTCAGTATGGAGCCCAGAGGGTTTGGCACAGTAATGGCTACAGTAGAGCATGGCCAGGGATGCCCACACTCAAGGCTCCCCATGTTCCTCTAGGTGGCTTTGGCCTTTGTTGATTGTTAGACATGGACAGAACAGGGCTATCTTGCTCATGAGATGAGAACAATTTGATCTTAGTAACCCCTTGTCTGCTGATCTCTCCCAGGGTCCCTGCTTGGCCTTACCCACTTGCAGTGCAGCCTCAGGTTCCCAACCAAGGTGCTTCCCAGCAACCACCATCATAGCTTTTTTGCTGGCAGACCCTTCCTGTCAGAGAGCTTTGGTAGATGGGCCCCCACCAGCTGCACCTACCAGCAGCCTCCCCCCACCACTTTACTGGTGCCCACTCGCCCATAATCTCCCTCCACCACTTTGCCAGCACACATATGTGGACCGCAGCACCCTGCTGCTGGCACATGTACACACACATATCCCACTACCCTGCCACCATTTGTGTACATGTGTGGAACCTACTGCCACTGCCTCAGTGAAGTGCTTTTGCTGGAACCCTCCATTGGAGTGTTGTTGCCAGTGGACCAGGAACACCTCAGCCCCTGCAGTGCCTCAGGTGCTTGACCTCAAGGGGCCAGAGAACAAAGCTGTGGGCCTGGTCCCAGCCCCTCAAGGTAAGAGCACACAGCCCAGGAGGGCTGAGGTGAGCCGTGGCCTCCTGAAATCATCCAGAAATGAAGCCAGTTGACTAAACTCAACTTATGCCATATTTAAATCCTCAAGGTCATCAAAAAATGTAAAAGCAAAAAGCCCCAACCAAAGGATAACAACATCAAAAATTAAAGGAATATCAGTCCACACGCACACAAAAGCCAGCATAAGACTGCTGGCAACTCTGAAGGCCAGAGTGTCTCCTTTCCTCCAAATGACCATATTCACTTTCCAGCAATGGTTTTTAATGATACCAAAATGACAGACATAGAATTCACAGTTTGGATGGCAACTAAGATCATTTAGATTCGAGAGAAAGTTGAAACTCAATCCAAGGAATCTGAGGAATCCAGTAAAACCATTCAAGAGTTGAAAGATGAAATTTTAAGAAGCAAACTAACTGATCTGATGGAGCTGAAAAACTGACTACAAGAATTTCAGAATACAATCGGAAGTATCAACAGCAGAATAGACCAAACTGAGAAAATCTCAGCTCAAAATCCAGTTCTTTAAATCAACTCAATCACACAAAACTAAAGAAAAAAGAACTCAAAATAATAACCAAATCCTACAAGAAAGATGGGATTATTTCTTGTAAAGAGGCCAAACCTGTGACTCATTAGCATCCCTAAAAGGGAGGGAGAGAGAGCAAGCAACTTGTAAAACATATTTGAGAATATTGTCCATGAAAATTTCCAAACCTTGCTAGAGAGGTCAACATACAAATCCAGGAAATTCAGAGAACCCCTGTAAAATACAAGACAACAATTCACAAGACACACAGTCATCTGATTCCCCAAGGTTAACATGAAAGTAAAAATGTTAAAGACAACTAGAGAGAAGAAGCATGTCACCTACAAAGGGATCCCCATCAGGCTAACAGTGGACTTTCAGCTGAAACCTTACAAGCTGGAAAAGATTGGTGGTGCGGGGGCTATATTTAGCATCTTCAAAGAAAATAAATTCCAATCAAGAATTATATATCCAGCCAAGCTAAGCTTTGTAAGCCAAGGAGAAATAAAATCCTTTCCAGAGAAACACATGCTAAGGGAATTTGTTACCACCAGACCTGCCTTACAAGAGGTCCTTAAGGGAGTGTTGAACGTGGGAACAAAAGACTGTTACCAGCCACCACAAAAACACACTTAAGTACTTAGACCATTGACACTATAAAGCAACTACACAATCAAGTCTATATAAAAACCAGCTAACAACATGATAACAGGGTCAAATCCACACATAAATATTACTGTAAGTGTAAACAGGCTAAATATCTCACTTAAAAGCCACAAGGTGGGAATTTGGATAAAGAAGCAAGACTCAACTCTATGTATGCTGCCTTCAAGAGACCCATCTCACATGCAATGACACCCATTGGCTCAAAGTAAAAGGAAGGAGAAATATCTATCAAACAAACAGAAAACAAAAAAAGAGCAGGGGTTGCTATTCTTATTTTAGACAAAACAAACATTAAACCAAGAATAAAAAGGACAAAGAAGGGCATTACAGAATGATAAAGGATTCAATTCAACAAGTCTTACTAATCCTAAATATAAATGCACCCAACACTGGAGCACCCAGGTTCATAAAACAAGTTCTTAGAGAACTACAAAGTGACTTAGAAAATCACAAATTAATAGTGGGAGATTTAAACACCCTACTGGCAGTATTAGATCATTGAGGCAGAAAACTAACAAAGATATTCAGGACCTAAATCAACACTTGAGCAAATAGAGCTAACAGACATCTACAGAATACTCCACCCAACAACAACAACAGAATATACATACTTCTTATCTGCACATGGCACATACTCTAAAATAGACCACATAGCCATAAAGCAATTTTTTAAAAATTCAAAAAAATCAAATTCATACCAACCATACTCTCAAACTATAGCACAATAAAAATAGAAATTAATACCAAGAATATCTCTCAAAACCATAGAATTACATATAAATTAAATAATCTGCTCTTGAATGACTTTTGAGTAAACAACGAAATTAAGGCAGAAATCAAGAAATTCTTTGAAACTAATGAAAACAAAGATATACCAGATTTGCTGGAACACAGATAAGTCAGTGTTAAGAAGGAAATTTATTACACTGGATGCCAAATCAAAAAGTTAGATCTCAATTTAACTCATGTCATGACTAAAAGAACTAGAGAAATAAGAGCAAACCAACTTAAAGCTAGCAGGAGACAAAAAATAATGAAAATCAGAGCTGAACTGAATGAAATTTAGATGCAAAAAACTATACAAAAGATCGATAAAGCCAAAAGTTGACTCTTTGAAAGAATAAATAAGATTGATAGACCACTAGCTAGACCAATAAAGAAAAAAGAAGATCCTAATAAACATAATCAGAAATGACAGGGGGACATTACCACCAACCCCACAGAAATACAAAAAAAACCCCAGAGACAATTACAAACACCTGTATGCACGCAAACTAGAAAACTTAGAAGATATGTATGAATTTTTGGAAATACACAATCTCCCAAGATTAAACCCAGAAGAAATAGAAACCCCAAACAGACCAATAATGGGTTCTGAGATTGAATCAGTAATTTAGAAAACCTACCACCAACAACCAAAAAAGCCCTGGAACAGAGAGATTCACAGCCAAATTCTACCAGACATATAAAGAACTGGTACCAATCCTACTGTAACAGTTCCAAAAAATCAAGGAGAAGGGACTCCTCTCTAACTCATCCTGATACCAAAACCTAGCAGAGACACAACAAAAAAAGATGACTTCAGGCCAATATCCCTGATGAATGTAGAAGCAAAAATCCTCAATACCATCAAACCAAATACAGCAGCACATCAAAAAGCTAACCACCATGATTAAGTAGGTTTTATTTCTGAGATTCAAGGTTGATTCAACATATGCAAATCAGTAAATGTAATTCATCACATAAACAGAACTAAAAATAAAAACCACACGATCATCTCAATAGACACAGAAAAGGTTTTCAATAAAATAAACATTTCTTCATGTTAAAACCTCAACAAATGAGGCATTGAAGGAGCACACCTCAAAACAGTAAGAGCCATCTATGACAAACCCACAGCCAACATCACACTGAATGGGAAAAAACTGGAAGAACCCCTTGAGAACTAGAACAACACAAGGATCACCACTACTACTAAACATAGTTCTGAAAGCCCTAGTCAGAGCAATCAGGCAAAAGTAAGAAAGAAAAGGCACGCAAATAGGAAGAGAGGAAGTCAAACTATCTCTCTGTGCAGATGATATTATTCTACACCTAGAAAACTCCAGAGTCTCTGCTCAAGAGCTCCTAGGTCTGATAAGCAACTTCAGAGTTTCGGGATGCAAAATCAACATACAAAAATCACCAGCATTCCTATACACCAATAACATCCAGGCTGAAAGCCAAATCAAGAATGCAATCCCGTTTATGACAGCCACAAAAAGAATAAAATACCTAGGAATACAGGTAACTAGGGAGGTGAAAGATCCTTACAATAAGAATTATAAAACACTGCTGAAAGAATTCAGAGGTGACACAAACAAATGGAAAAACATTCCATGCTCATGCATAGGAAGCATCAATACTGTTAAAATGGCCATACTGCCCACAGCAATTTACAGACTCAATGCTATTCCTATCAAACTACAAACAACATTTTTCACAGAATTAGAAAAAACTATTCTAAAATTCAACTGGAACCAAGAAAAATCCCCAATAGCCAAAGCAATCAGAAGCAAAAAGAACAAAGCTAGAGGCATCGTACTACCTGTCTTCAAACTATACTACAAATGTACAGTTACCCAAACAGCATGGTACTGGTACTAAAACAGACATATAGACAAACGAAACAAGTTATAGAACCCAGAAATAAACCTGTACTCCTACAACCAACTTATCTTCAACTAAGTAAACAATAGCAAGCAACAGGGGAAAAACTTCCTATTCAATAAATGGTGCTGGGATAACTAGCTAGACATAGGCAAAAGATTGAAACTAAACACCTTGCTTTCACTGCATACAAAAATCAACTCAAGATGGATTAAAGACTTAAATATAAAACCTAAAACTATAAAGATCCTAGAAAAAAAGCTAGGAAATACCATTCTGGACATCAGCCCTGGCAAAAATTTTGTGAAGACTCCAAAAGGAATTGCAACAAAAACAAAAATTAGCAAGTGGGGCCTAATTAGACCAAAGAGCTTTTGCACAACAAAATAAACTATCAACAGAGTAAACAGACAATCTACTGAATGAGAGACAATATTTGTGAACTATACATCCAATGAAGAACTAATATCGAGAATCTATAGGGAACTTAAAAAAATCAACAAGAAACAAACAACCCTGTTAAAAAATGGGCAGAGGACATGAACAGACACTTTCCTAAAGAAAACATACACAAGGCCAACAAGCATATGAAAAAATGCTAAATGTCACTAATTATCAGAGAAATACAAACCAAAACCATAATGACATACCATCTCAAACCAGTTAGAATTGCTATTATTGAAAAGTCAAAAAATAATAGATACTAGTGAGGTTGCAGAGAAAAAGGAATGCTTATACACTGTTGGTGGGAATTTAAGTTAGTTCAGCCACTGTGGAAAGTAGTTTGGAGATTTCTCAAAGAATTGAAAGTAGAACTACCATTTGACTCAGCAATCCCAGAAATGCATACATACCCAAAGGAATATAAAGCATTATACCATAGAGACATGTGTGCATATGTTCATCACAGCACTATTCACAATAGCAAAGACATGGACTCAATCTTGATGCCCACCAATGGTGGACCAGATACAGAAAATACGGTACATATACACTGTTGAATACAATGCAGCCACAAAAAAGACAAAATTATATACTTTGCAGCAATATGAATGGAGCTGGAGGCCATTATCCTAAGTGAATTAATGCAGGAACAGAAAACCAAATACTACATGTTCTCACAAGTGGGAGATAAACATTGAGTACACATGGACACAAAGAAGGGAACAACAGACACCAAGGGCTACTTGAGGATGGAGGGGTGGGAGGAGGGTGAGGATTGAAAAAACTACCTGTTGGGTACTATGCTTACTACCTGGGTGATAAAATAATTTGTACACCAAACCCCAATAACACACAATTTACCCATGTAACAAACCTGCACCTGTACCTGCTGAACCTAAAATAAAACTTGAAAAAAACACAGTTGCCTATTGATGGTTTACAGCTGACTTTTTGCCCAGAAATTGCATTCAGGTGAAGAGTGTTTTCCACCCAAGCTTGTACCCCTGCTTGGAGATCAACTTGCATATAATGACTAGATGCTACGAATGTACAAGTCTTGTCCCCATGTCTCCATTTGGGACAACTTTCAGCACACAATTCTCCATCTCAGATCAGTTTTCTAGGAAATCTGATCGAAAAAAGTTGATGCCACTAGTTGTAAGCAAATTCTGAAATAGAATTTTGATGGTGGATCATCCACCTGAAGACTGTCGTGAAAATCCCATTACTAATTATAGATGAAGTATGGATGTGTTTTGGTATGCTGAAACAACGCCATTGTTAGAAAGTTTCCTGATTGTGAACTGCAATGTAATACTCTTGGGAAAAAATGCACTAAGAAGTGGGCAGGGGTACAGTAAGATGGTCATTTGAGAGGTTGGAGGGAAGTAGTAATTATAAGGATAATAGCATTTGATGGATATTGCTCAGGGCATTAATTTATTGGGGAAAGAGAATGAATGGTTGAGTGTGATTAATCACTAATTTAAAAGACAGGCCTACTTGGAAGCACATAAAGCAATTTTTATTTATTGAAGCCGGAAGTAAAAAATGCTGAAGAACAGTTACATAAATGAATTATAAGTATAGTAGAGTTCCAGAGGTGACGAACAGCTCAACTTAGGCAAGACTTGAGTGTCATCCAAACTCATGGAACTACTGTCAAGAAATGGAACCCTGAGACATAGAATACAACATTCAGGTCTATACACTGAAGTATCTTGGAATCCCAAATTTCCCTAAACCCTCTGGGCCTGCAGAAGTGAGTCCTCCTTTGAAATACTAGTGCTCTTAATTGCTTAAAGACAATACAAAAGCCTGTCTTGTGCAACACAAGAGGTATTGCTTCCTCTTCCCTCCCATTATTTTCCATCTCCTCTCCTGAGAGACTAATAACTAGGATGAGTCACAACACAGCACCCCCTGAGAAAGCAGTGAGTCTGCTAAGAGAGGAAGGGGATGATATGCTGAGGGGACTGCACATCTAGCCAATATGTACCAGCAAGAATTAATTAGAAGAGTATATACAGTAACTATTGCATCATGAAGATGCTGGATCAAGGGAGACAGGATATAAAGTTTCACAAGAGTATTGATATAGCAGCACTGCCTCATGATACAGGAGTTGGCATCTTGGCAAAAATCCTGGGAGACAGTGCTAATATTATAGGTTGGCTCTTGGAAGCTTTAAAAAAAGTGATGTTATATATTAAGTAATGTAGAAGTGCTTGACAAATTATGAGAAGGGATCACAAGGTGTAGAGAAATAGGAATGCTAGAGTGGATATACTTTTTCAGGTTATGAAGTTACCAACTGACTGCTGGGTAGGAGGACCTGGAGGACACTTGTTTACTCAAGAGGCACTGGCATCATTGAGGAGTTCAGTGGTTGCTGCTTTATGTTGACCAGGGCCAGCCAATCGTAGAAGATGATGTTACAGAACTGGGGTCCTTGATATTAACAGGGAAGACAGGATCAGGAAGTAATAAAGACAAATAAGTTACATTCCGCATTCAGAAACAAGGTGGCATACTTCTTGTAATGAGAGAGCTATGGAGATGAATATGGCACCCCCAGTGGTAAGATAGCAGTTGATAAGAATACTGCTCAAATCTATACCTTCATTATCAAATACAGTAGCCACTAGCCACATGTGGATATTCACATTTAAATTTTAATTAGTTAAACTTGAATAGAATTTAAAAACTAGTTTCACTAACCACACTTCAAGTGCTCAATAATCACGTGTGGTTAGTGGCCCATACTGGACAGTACAGATACAGAACATTTATATCTCTACAAGAAGTTCTAAAAAACAAATTTGGATGATCAGGAGGTTAAGTCAGCTGTTCTAATTTTTAAAATTACAATTCCTTTCCTGAAATGAGCCAGTTTTAGGTCCAGAATCTATTGGCTAAAGGATGGACTATGTCTCTAAAAGGAAGGACAGAGCAACATCAAAACAAGGTATAACATAATGATTTCCCTAGTCCTTCCTTGAAGGAACATTGTAACCATTACTCAGATAACTAAACATTAAGAAAAAAAATAATTAGCTGGGCACGGTGGCTCATGACTATAATCCTAGCACTTTGAGGGGCCGAGGTGAGAGGGTCACTTGAGGTCAGGAATTCAAGATCAGCCTGGGCAACACAGGGAGACCCTGTCTCTACAGATTTTTTTTTTTTTTAATTAGCTGAGCAAGGTGGTGCATGCATGTAGTCCCAGCTACTCAGGAGGCTGAGGTGGGGGATCGATTGAGTTTGAGGTTACAGTAAGCTACCACTGCACCATTGCACTCCAGCCTGAGCAACAGAGAAAGACCCTGTCTCTAAAAATAGAAATAATTACACATTTCTGATATTTTGAGGGTTATGAGAAAGAGTCTAAGTTAAAAATGAAATCTAGGACTCAAAGCATCTTATATAGTCTTGCTAGAGTGTGAGCATTTGAGGGTGAGGCATAAATAAATGGCTTGATCCAGGTCTGGCTCACAGTGGATCTCCTGGATCTATGGGCCTCACCCTCCAACTTTATACTTGAAATGAAGATATTTTACAGAACTCCCCCATCAGTTGACTGACTCACCACCTTGGTTCCTTGGCCTGTTGAGAAGGAGCTTTATTATGTAGGAGGCCAAGTAGAAACTACTGAAACTTCCCTCAGACAAGATACTAAATTAAAAAACAATATCGTATCACATGGGTAATGGCAGAGATCAGTACCACCTTAAAGACCTATGGGATTTGGGGGCATAAAATGGTGCCCATTATTCCACCATTTAATTTACCTATATGCTCCCTACCCAAATCAGATAGATCCTGGAGGATGACAATGGACTAAATAAGCTTAATAATAGCCTCAATTTCAGCTGATGTACCAAATGAAGGATATTTTCTAAAGACTGAGACTCAGGTACATTGTATGAGGCCATTGATATGGCAAATGCATTTTTTTCCCATTCCTATCAGAAAGAGGACCAGAAAAAGCTGGCATTCATATGGGGTGGACAACAGTGTTCCTTATGGTATTACTATGGGGCTCTACTAACTCTCCTGACATCTGTCATATGATAGTACCAAAGTATCTGGACCATATGGACTTTTTGCAGAAAATCACACCAGTCTACCATATGGATAATATCATGTTAATCAGACCAGATGGGCAAGAAATGGAAAGTATATTGGAAACCTTGGTAAGTCCCATGTACTGCAGAGGATTGGCTATAAACGTCATAGGGATATAAATGACTACCACATCAATGACAATTTTAGAGTTCCTGTAGCTTGTGCCATACTGTAGCATTCTTTCCAAAGCAGAGAACAAATTATGTCATCTTGATCCTACCACCACTGAAAAAGAAAGCATAGTACCTATTAGAATTTTTAGATTTTCTGAATACAGCATATATCATGCTTTGGAATGCTCCTCCAACTCAACTACCAAGCGACTTCAAAGACCAGCAGCTTTCAGTGGGCCTCACAGCAAAAAGATTTCTGGAGTAGTGCAAAAAAATTATATGTACTAGAGTTATCTGTAATAGTAAAAAAAATTCATGAGGAGCTTATGGCAAGACCCCAAATGAGAATTACAACCTAGACTCTTATGTGTCTGAAGCAAAGCTATGCCATCTATAATGGGTAATTTGATTCCATTAGAAAAATAGGTCCTGGCATGCTATTGAGGTCTAGTAGAGATAGAAAACCTAATCATGAGACATCAAGTGACTACAAAACTAGAATGACCATCCTGAGCTGTGTTCTGTGAGAACCTCAAACTCATCAGATTAAGCAGATCCAACAGTAATCCATTGTATTCTTACAATACGGTTGGCCACAAGTAGGGTCAGAGGACACATGTTAGCTGCACAGCAAAAAGTGGCACAGATTGTAATGTCACATCATCACACTCTCTGCTCATACCTGTAGCTTTTTTGAGAATTCCTTATGACCAACTGACAGAGGAGGAAAAATGCCAAGCATGGTTCACAAATAGGTCAGTTTGCTGTATAGATGCAGGTCACAAATCGACAACAGCTCAACTATAGCCCCATTCAAAGTGCACCAAAGACAGCAGTGAGGGAAAATCTTACCAATGGGCAAAGCTTGGGTGTTTAACCTCATCATTCATTTTGTGAGGAAGGAGATGTAGCCCAAGGTAGGAATATATATGAAATCATGGGTTGTGGTGAATGGCTTGTTTGGTTGGTCAGTTTCTTGAAATGAGAAATATTACAAGACTGGGGAAAAGGAAGTCTGGGGAAGAGGCATGTGGATAGACTTTTAGGATTGGTCACAAAATGTGAAGATCTTTGTATCAAATGCATGCACTCCAACTTACCTTGCTCACTCTAGCTACTGCCACTGGAGAATGTCCAACTTGTATTGACAGAAACCAACACTGAGCCCCTGACATGACACTATTCCTTGAGAAGATCAGCCACTTAGTAGCAAGTTGATATTCCCAGGTTTGCCTTTCCTGTCTGCCTTCCTCAGCCAGCACCAATATCTGAAGGTTTACAAGTGTTATTCCCTATTATATAAAATATATGGATCCAAGCTATGCAAGGGGTAGACAACAGAGAGTGCTGAAGTGTGTGTATCCCAATAAATCTCTTACACGGAAATCTCCATTTCAGAGTCAAATGACCGAATAAAATCAACAAAAATTAATGTAAGATGATTATATATCTAAATGTAAAAACTAAAACCATAAGTTTCTAGGGGGAAAAAAAACAAAAGAAAATGTCATTTCTCTGTGATTGTGGGGTAGGTAAATATGTATTAGGACACAATGGCACTAACTGTAAAGGCAAACAGAATTTGATAAACTGGATTAAATGAAAATTAAATACCTCTGCTCATCAAAAGATTCACTGTGACAATGACAAAGCAAGCCAAAGACTGGAAGACTATCATTGGAACACAGGTATCTACCAAAGGGCTTATATCCAAAATATATAAATCTAGACTACATAAAGAACTCTTAACAAGTCAATAATAAACAGAAAAACATATTATTAATAAAACAGGAAAAAGTCTTAAAGGTACATTTTCCAAAAGAAAATATACAAATGGCATCTGAAAAGGTGCTCAGTATCTTTTATATCACAGAAATATAAATTAAAACCACAATGAGCTATTACTTTGCTCTAAAATTAAAAAGACTAGCAAACGTGGAGCAATAGGAACTCATACACCACTGATGAGAATGTAAAATGGTACAACCATATTGAAAAACCGGCAGTTTATCTGAATAAACCTTCATATACTAGGAATTCCACTCCTAAGTATTTACTTATAAGAAATGAAAACATATGCATCCACAAAAAAGCTTTACTTGTAAGAGCCAAACCTGTACACATCTCATGTACATGTTGCTATAATCTGAATGTTTGTGTCCCTCCAAAATTTATGTTGAAACCTAACCCCCATTGTGGCGGTATCAAGATGTGGGGGCCTTAAGAAGGTCACTAGGTCATGATGGTGCTGCCCTCATGAATGGGATTAGTAACAGTATCAGAAAGGCTTAAGGAAGCGTTCTGCCTACTTCTGCCATGTGAGGACTCAGTGAGAAAGTACCGTCTTTGAAGCAGAGAGCACTTATCACCAGACACCAAATCTGCGGGTGCCTTGATCTTGGACACCTCAGCTTCCAAAACTGTAACCAATAAATTTTTGTTGTTTATTAATTACCCAGCCCGTGGTATTTTGTTATAGCAGCTTGAACAGACTAAGACATACGCCAACATGAGAAAGGATAAACAAGCTGTAATATATTCATACAATAGAACACTTCTCTGCAATAAAAACGAAAGGATAAATTTCTGATACACAGGATGAATCTCAAAATTATGATGAACAAAAGAAGCCAGACAGAAAAGAAAATGTATATAGCTTTGCTTATATGAAGTTCTAGAAAAGTCAAAATTAATGTATGGTGGTAAAAATGAAAACTCTGATTTCCTTTGAATAGTGTTGATTGACAGGAAGAGAGTATGATAACACATTTTGTGGTAATAAAAATGTTCTATATATTGATTGCAGTGATATTTACATAGATATAAACACTTGTCAAAACTTATTGAATCATATACTTAAAATTTGTGCATTTTACTCACTGTATATAAATTATTTCTCAATTTTAACAAATTAAAAAATTTTAGAATCCAAAATAAATAACCAAACTTTTTTGGGGTTTTTCACACATTATGTGCAACACATTGCTCTAGATGTTGGGTATGACATTGGTAAGAAAAAAATATAGATGCATGGAGACTGCATTTATGTAGTCTGCAATTTAAAATAATAGGGGTAATTTTGTATAAAAGTTAACAATTAGGAAAATCTTGTGGTAGAAATAAGTAAACATCACACTTTAATATTAGCACAACTCTCCTAAGAATATTCTTAATGCTACTTTAAAAAGTTAATTGAGCCATATATAATTATAGACTTCAGTTCTCCATGTCTCTTTGATATGTTTTGGCTTGATACCCCAAAGTAGTTTGGTATATAAGGAATTCTACAACAGTAGCCAGTAACTCTTTATAAATCGTAATTTGTGGATTGTTAAAAACATCTTTATGTTCTCCAAGTATTATACTAATCACTTTTTCACATTGCACTGACACCCATAAATTCTCAATTGCCCTGATTAATAATAGGTATAGCAGTGTAGTTTTTAAATGATAAGGGCTAGTTCAAAACTTGGTTCTGTATGTTTGTGCAATATATTATGTGACTATTTCAGGAATAAGAGAGCAAATCCTTCCTCACAATGTTATGTTTTAAAGATTATTATTAAAATTCACTGACATTTCTTGAATCTAGGGTAAGAGGGATGACCCAAAAATGCCCTGGAAAATGACATCCAAAGTTTGATGTGACATCAAATCTAAATGCTTAGATAATTAGCGGTTGACTATATTATCACCTTGATAGGTGGAAGGCAAATGTCCTGACTGGTCACTTAGGCCACATTGTTGCAACAAATTTTCCATGCTTTGAAGTTTCTATAACTCATTATTAAACAGTTTACGAACATTATCAGTTAAATTTCATGCTTTGAAACAGTACTCTTAGAAATAGCAGAAAGATTATGCTAAAATGTAACTGGCACACCTGAACTGCAGTGCCATTTATGTAATGGCAAAGCGTTGCTTTTAAGAATGAGGAGAGACCTAGAAAAGGTCAAATGATAGAGGTCTGTTCATAATTGGAGTGGTTTTTCTGTAAGATAACTAAAAACCCAATGATACATATAAATTTTTTTAAATAACATTTTTCATTATATATGTACTAGCAGATAAGGGTCAAGGAAAGTAGAAAGAGGTATTTTCCTACCTTCCATTAGATTTGTAGACTAGCTAGATAAATGTAAGGGGAGGTATAGCAGGGATGATCCAATTATGATTACCATAAGAAAGTGGTATTAGATGATTTCCTTGTAAGTGGAATTAAATTTATGACGCAAACATGTAAAAAATGTAGTTTATAATACATAATGTTATTCTTTCACCCACCATCAGCTGGCTTAATAGAGAAGCCATGACTACTGAGTGAATACAAATAGGATCAACCAAGATATCAACATTTTAAAAAGTTAACATCTTGTTAGCATGAAGTTCATGTTGGCCTTTTTATGACGTGCACAAAAATATCATCCTAATATACTTCACATATTTAACATAGTGGTATTTTTCTAAGTCAAGCTTTGGTGAAAACATCACTTTGAAAATTGATGAAGAAGAAGGAATCTTGGGCATGACAGCTTGAGGAGCTCAGTGAATCTACTCTCTAGAGAAAGTGGAGGAAATTGGACATTAAAACCGCAACCATTTAAATGGTTCCAAGGACTTACAGCAAATGAAGCATTTATTTAAGAAAATCTATTATAATTCAGCAAGAACAGCATGAATCTGTGATATCTGAAACAAGACCCAATCCCTATCTTTTACCTTCTAACTTAGCAAGATGGAAACTCAAAACAGGACAGGTGCACTCAAGAATACAATGCTTTCTCTCTCCTCAGCTCTCATTCAGAGGGCTTTCTCCCCAGAGGGGCAGGACATCAGCATTTCTCATTCTGCCGTAGCTGCATGCTGTCAAAGCTAGATTTAGGATAAATGTGGTGAAAGGTGGGGGCTCCCTTCTTCAACCCAGCACCCACTCATAAAATGGAGGCTCTTCCTTGGTCATGGTGCTGCTGAGAATACTGGAATCTGAGTTGCCCTGGCCCCAGCTCATAAAGTGGTGATTGTGTGCCAGGAGAGGCAAGCTGAAAATACCTGAGGTTGCTAGACACTCCCTACCCACACTGAGCTCTCAGCAGCTAAAGCAGGAGTGTCATTCATCGAGAAGCCTGCTGTTTTCCCCACATTCACTGCCACAGCTGAGTTTCAGAAATGTTTCCTTAAGGAAAAGTGGCCATAAAAAAGATAGTTCATAATTTGTTTCAGAAGGAACTCACTTTATCTTCAAGAGTTTGGAGAAGTTCAAGATTAAGGGCAGTCTCAAAAACAGTGAAGGTTGTGGTGAAAGTGAATTATGATATTGGTAGAATTATTAGACATATATAGGTTAATCATGGGCCAGCTAGTTTGTGCCTGAAAGAACTGGGGATAGCTAGAAGAAGCCTGCTGGAGTCAGAACAAATGTCAAACACTGACTTCTTCAAGAATAATCTTTTTAAAGAACCCCAAATTTGATTAATTTTTTAGTCATGGAGCAAATTGCTAAATCCCCAGGGAATTTTTTAAAAAATAATAGATCAATCACTGGAGCTTAAAATGTGTTTGGTGGTGGTTGGGAGGGGGCAAGGAGCTATGGAATGGGGGGCGGTCAGGGAAAGAGACAGTCAAAGAGAGTCCTGCCAAAACCACTGTCATCCAAGGATGACTCCAGGCATACCCGAGGCTACAGCCCCTGCAACAGTAAAGGCTTTACACTTAGCGGGAGGATAAAGAGTTCACTAAAATAACCCAGTAAGTCACTAAACAAATTAAAAATCTAGTAACAATAACAAGTCCCAGAAGGACGTGACCAGTACCCAGAGCTACTATATTACCTAAAATGTCTAGTTTTTGACAAAATCTATGACACATACACACAGAGAGAGGGAGAGGGAAAAAGAAAAATATAACCCATACATTAGAAAAACAAAAAAATGAAAAGCAACAGAAACTGTCCGTGGGAGTGACCCATGTCAGATTTAACAGACAAAGCCTTCAAAGCAATTATACATATGGTTTAAAAAAAAAACAAACACTATTAAAGGAGTAAAGAAACAACCTGTGAATTGGTAGAAAATACTTGCAATGCATACATCTCATAAAGGGTTAATATCCAAAATACGTGGGAAACTTGAACAACTCAATAGCAAGAAAACAAATAGCCCAGTTAAAAGTGGGCAAAGGAGCTGAGTAGACATTTTGCAAAAGAGGGCATACAAATGGCCAACACGTATATGAAAAAGTGCTCAGCATCACCATTCATCAGGAAAATGCAAATTAAAACAGCAACGGGATATCACCTCACACCTGTTAGAATGGCTATTATCAATAAGAAAAAAGTTACCAAGTGTTAACAAGAATATGGAGAAAAAGAAACTCTTGCATAGTCCTGATGAGACTGTAAATTAGTACAGTGTTTGTGGAAAATAGTATTGAGGTTCTTCAAAAAATTAAAAATAGAACTGCCATGTGATCCAGCAATCCAACTTCTGGATATACATCTAAAGGAATTGTACTCAGTATGTAAAAGAGACGGCTGCACTCTTATGTTTATTGCAGCACTCTTCACTATAGCCAAGATACAGAATCAACCTAAGTTTCTATCAACAGGTGAATGAATAATGAAAATGTGCTATATATATATACAATGACATATTCAGTTTTTAAAAAGGAATTTTTTTCATTTACAACAAATGGATGAACCTGGAGAACATTTTGTTGAGTGAAATAAGGCAGGCACAGAAAAGCAAAGCATCTAGTTTATGATCTCACTTACATGTAGAATCTTTTAGATAATAGAAGCTGAAATCATAGAGACTAGAATGGCGGTTACCGGAGGCTGGAGAGGGAGGGGAGGATGGTCATATGTTGGCCAAAGAACTCAAAGTTTCAATAAAACAGGAGACAAATGTTTTTTGGATCTATCACACAACATGGTGATCATAATTAATAATAATGTATTGTTGCCTTAGTGTGTGCTGCTAAAACAAAATGTCTGAGACTGGTAGTTTAAAACAACAAATTTCTCTCTCACTGTTCTGGAGACTGGGAGTTCAAGATCAAGGTACTGACAAGTTCATCGTCTGCTGAAGTCCCGCTTCCAAGAAGGTGCCTTGCTGTGGCATTCTCTGGAGGGGTGGAACACTGTGTTCTCACATGGCAGAGGTGAAATGCTATGTAAAGTCTCCTTTACAAGGGCCTTAGTCCCACTTACGAGTCAGGAGCCCTCATGACCTACTTACCTCTTAAATTCTCCATCTCTTAGCACCATCACATTTGGCCATTAAATTTCAACACCTGAATTTTGAAAGGGACACATTCGAACCATAGCAATTATATATTTCAAAATTGCTAAGATAGTAAATTTTTAAAGTTCTCACCACCAAAAAAAAAAATGTTAAGTGATATGTTAATTAGCTTGATTTAATCATTCCACACATATATCAAAATATATATTCCATAAATATATGTAATTATTTTTTAAAAATAAGTGAAGATAAGTATAATGACAATGTTGCATCAAATAAAGCATATCTGTAACAAGACAGAAATTCTGGAGTAAATCTGAAGATACATTGATTGAGATTATGTAATTCAAAGAACAAGGAGAAAAAAGAATGAAGATAAATGAAGAGTCTCAGAGGAATATGGGCCACTATTAAACGCACCAACTTACATATAATGTGAGTACCAGACAGAAAAGAAACACACAAAGGGAGCATAAAAATGTTCAAAGAACGAATAGCTGGAAAATTCCCAAGTGTATTAAAAAATAACCTGTTCCTCCAGGAAATTCAACAAGCACCAGGCAGGATAAACACAAAGAGATCAACAAACAGACAAAACATAACAAAAATGCTGAAAGCCAAAGAGAAAAATTGAATCTTGAAAGTAGCATGAGAAAAATGATTCATCACTTAAAAGGGAACCTCCAAAAGATTAGCAGCTAGCTTTGCAACAGAAACATATTTTAAGTGCTCAAAGAAAAAAACTGTCAGCCAAGAACCCTATATTAGCAAAACCCTCTCAAAAAATGAAGATTAAATCATTTCTAGATAAACAAAACTGAAATTATATGTTGAAAGCTGACCCACCTCACAAGAAATACTAAAAGAAATTATTCAGGTTCAAAGCAGGTGATCCCATATTTGAATTCACATTAATAGACAAAGAACACTAGTAAAGGTAATTTTGTCATTATAAAAGATGGTACAGATGTTATTCATCCTTTCTTAACTGATTTATAAAGCAATTGTATAAAACCACGTGTATAATGAATTATTGGGTCCATACATATATAAATGTAATATACTTGCTAGTAACAGCACAAAGGGGGTAACTCAGAGCAAAGCAGTATTGGGCTAAGGAAATTACTCGATGGTAACTCAGAAATGATAAATCGGAGTATTAATATATTTTTTAAAACTATAAATATAAAATTTTCTTTCCTTTGGCTTTTTAAAAACATAATATTTTATAAATGATCATAACAATGTATTGTGAGGTTTGTAACACTTAGAGATTATATATAGATAGATAGATGTATCAACAATTTCACAAAATGGGGAAAGGGATATAGAGCTATATAGAGTGTGTATATATATATATAGATATAGATATAGATATATCACACTGGAATTAATTTAGAATAAATCTGAAGCTGATTCTGATAAATTGAGACATATATGGTAAGCTCTAAAGCAATCGGTAGGGAAATAACTAGAAATATATATGTACACAAATACCTTGATTTATTGTACTTGCCTTTATTGCACTTTGCAGATACTGTGTTTTTTTACAAATGGAAGGTTGTGGCAACCCTGTCAAGCAAGTCTATTGGCACCATTTTTCCAATGGCGTGTGCTCACTTTGTGTCTGTGTGTCATACTTTGGTAATCTCCAAATATTTCAAACTTCCTTATACCTTTATGGTGATCTGTGATCTTTGTATTACTATTGTAATTGTTATGGGGTACCACAAACCCACACCCATATAAAAAGGCAAACTTAATCAACAAATGTTGTGTGTGCTCTGACAGCTCCACTGACCAGCCATTCCTCCATCTCTCTCTCTCTCTCCCCGAAGGCCCCCCTATTCCCTGAGGTACAACACTATTGAAATTAGGCCAGTTAATATTCCTACATTGGCCTCTAAGTAGTCAAGTGAAAGGAAATCATATATATCTCTAAACCACAAAATAGAAATGTTTAAGCTTAGTGAGGAAGTTATGTCAAAAGCCAAGATAAGCTGAAAGCTAGACCTCTTGCATCAGTTAGTCAAGTTGTGAATGCAAAGGAAAAATTATTGAAAGAAATAAAAAGTGCTACTCCAGCAAACACATGAATGATAAGAAAACAAAAAAGTCTACTGCTAATATGGGAAAAGTTGGAGTGGTCCGGATAGAAGTTCAAACCGGCCACAAGTATCCCCTTAAGCCAACACCTAATCCAGAGTAAGGTATTAACACTCTTTAATTCTATGGAGAGAAGTGAGAAAGTTGCACAAGAATAGTTTGAAGGAGCAAAGGTTGGTTCATGAGGTTTAAGGAAAGAAATCCTCTCCAGAAGATAAAAGTGCAGTCAGGCATGGTGGCTCACGCCTGTAATCCCAGCACTTTGGGAGGCCGAAGCGGGTGGATCACCTGAGGTCAGGGGTTTGAAACCAGCCTGGCCAACATGGCAAAACCCCATCTCTACTAAAAATACAAAATTAGCCAGGCATGGTGACATGCGTCTGTAATTCCAGCTACTTGGGAGGCTGAGGCAGGAGAATTGCTTGAACCTGGGAGGCGGAGGTTGCAGTGAGGTGGAGGTTGCAGTGAGTCAATATTGTGCTTATTGCACTCCAGCCTGGGCAACAAGAGTGAAGCTGCATCTCGAAAGAAGAAAAAAAAAGATAAAAGTGCAAGATGAAGCAGCAAGTGCTGATATAGAAGCTGCAGCAAGTTATCCAGAAAATCTAGCTAAGATCATTGAATGAGGGTGGCTACACTAAACAATAAATTTTCAATGTAGATGACACAGCCTTATATTGGAAAATGTTATATAGGAAGTCAATGCCTGATTGTGAAGCTTCAAAAAACAGGCTGTCATAAAAAAGGATGAGTTCATGTCCTTTGTAGCGACATGCGTGAAGCTGGAAAGCATCATTCTGAGCAAACTATCGCAAGGACAGAAAACCAAACACCACAGTTCTCACTCATAGGTGGAAATTGAACAATGAGAACACTTGGACACAAGGCGGGGAACATCACACACCAGGGCCTGTCATGGGGTTGGGGGATGGGGGAGGGATAGCATTAGGAGAAATACCTAATGTAAATGACGAGTTAATGGGTGCAGCAAAACAACACGGCACATATATACATATGCAACCTGCACGTTGTGCACATGTACCTAGAACTTAAAGTATAATAAAAAAATAAAACAGGCTGTAAGGGTTTGGGGGGAAGTGGGGAGGGTTAATGGGTACAAAAAAAATATAAAGTTTAAAGAAAACCTAGTATTTGATAGCACAATAGGGTGACTATAGTCAAAAATAACTTAATTGTACATTTTAAAATAACTAAGAGTATAATTGATTTGTAACATGAAGAAGGATAAATGCTTGAGGTGATGGATACCACATTTACCCTGATGTGATGATTATGCATTGCATGCCCGTATCAAAATATTATATGTAACTTATATATACCTATTATGTACCCACAAAAATTAAAAAGAAAGTTTAAGAAAACAGCCTGAATCTCTTGTTAGGGGGTAATGCAGCCGGTGACTTTAGGTGGAAGCCCATGCTCATTTACTATTTTGAAAATTGAACGGCACTTAAAAATTATGCTGAATGTACTCTACTTGTGTTGTATAAGTGCAACAACAAAGCCTGGATTACAACACAACTGTTTACAGCATGATTTACTCAATTTTATTTTTGAGATAGGGTCTTGCTCTGCTGCCCAGGCTAGAGTGCAGTGGTGTGATTACAGTTCACAGCAGCCTTGACTTCCTGGGCCTAAGTGATAATCAGCCTCCCAAGAATCTTGGACTACAGGTACCTGCCACCACACCCAGCTAATTTTTGTATTTTTTTTAACAGGTGGGGTTTTGCCTTGTTGCCCAGGCTGGTCTCCAACTCCTAGGCTCAAACAAACTGCCCACCTCGGCCTCCCAAAATGCCGGGATTACAGGTGTGAATCACTGCACCCAGCCTTACTATTTTAAGCCCACTATTGAGACCTATTGCTCACAAAAACAAAAAAAATTCCTTTCAACATAAAACTGCTCATTGGCAATGCACCTAGTCATCCAAGAGCTTGATGAAGATGTACAGATTAATGTAGTTTTCATGCCTGCTAACAGCATTCATTCTGCAGCCCATGAATCAAGGAGTCATTTTGACTTTCAGATCTTATTACTTAAGAAATACATTTTGTTAGGAAGGGCAGCCAAGATGGCCGAATAGGAACAGCTACGGTCTACAGCTCCCAGCATGAGCGACGCAGAAGACGAGTGATTTCTACATTTCCATCTGAGGTACCGGGTTCATCTCACTAGGGAGTGCCTCAGACAGTGGGCGCAGGACAGTGGGTGCAGCGCATTGTGCGCGAGCCAAAGCAGGGCGAGGCATTGCCTCACTCGGGAAGCGCAAGGGGTCAGGGAGTTCCCTTTCCTAGTCAAAGAAAGGGGTGACAGACGGCACCTGGAAAATCAGGTCACTCCCACCCTAATACTGCGCTTTTCTGACGGGCTTAAAAAACGGCGCACCAGGAGATTATATCCTGCACCTGGCTCGGAGGGTCCTAGGCCCATGGAGTCTCGCTGATTGCTAGCACAGCAGTCTGAGATCAAACTGCAAGGCGGCAGCGAGGCTGGGGGAGGGGTGCCCCCCATTGCCCAGGCTTGCTTAGGTAAACAAAGCAGCCAGGAAGCTCGAACTGGGTGGAGCCCACCACAGCTCAAGGAGGCCTGCCTGCCTCTGTAGGCTCCACCTCTGGGGGCAGGGCACAGACAAACAAAAAGACAGCAGTAACCTCTGCAGACTTAAATGTCCCTGTCTGACAGCTTTGAAGAGAACAGTGGTTCTCCCAGCACGCAGCCGGAGATCTGAGAATGGGCAGACTGCCTCCTCAAGTGGGTCCCTGACCCTGACCCCCGAGCAGCCTAACTGGGAGGCATCCCTCAGTAGGGGCAGACTGACACCTCACACGGCCGGGTACTCCTCTGAGACAAAACTTCCAGAGGAACGATCAGACAGCAGCATTCATGGTTCATGAAAATCCGCTGTTCTGCAGCCACCGCTGCTGTTACCCAGGCAAACAGGGTCTGGAGTGGACCTCTAGCAAACTCCAACAGACCTGCAGCTGAGGGTCCTGTCTGTTAAAAGGAAAACTAACAAACAGAAAGGACATCCACACCAAAAACCCATCTGTACATCACTATCATCAAAGACCAAAAGTAGATAAAAGCACAAAGATGGGGAAAACACAGAGCAGAAAAACTGGAAACTCTGAAAAGCAGAGCGCCTCTCCTCCTCCAAAGGAACACAGCTCCTCACCAGCAACGGAACAAAGCTGGACGGAGAATGATTTTGATGAGTTGAGAGAAGAAGGCTTCAGACAATCAAACTACTCCGAGCTACAGGAGGAAATTCAAACCAAAGGCAAAAAAGTTGAAAACTTTGAAAAAAATTTAGACGAATGTATAACTAGAATAACCAATACAGAGAAGTGCTTAAAGGAGCTGATGGAGCTGAAAGCCAAGGCTCGAGAACTACGTGAAGAATGCAGAAGACTCAGGAGGCGATGCGATCAACTGGAAGAAAGGGTATCAGTGATGGAAGATGAAATGAATGAAATGAATCGAGAAGGGAAGTTTAGAGAAAAAACAATAAAAAGAAATGAACAAAGCCTCCAAGAAATATGAGACAATGTGAAACGACCACGTCTACATCTGATTGGTGTACCTGAAAGTGACAGGGAGAATGGAACCAAGTTGGAAAACACTCTGCAGGATATTATCCAGGAGAACTTCCCCAAACTAGCAAGGCAGGCCAACATTCAGATTCAGGAAATACAGAGAACGCCACAAAGATACACCTCCAGAAGAGCAACTCTAAGACACATAATTGTCAGATTCACCAAAGTTGAAATGAAGGAAAAAATGTTAAGGGCAGCCAGAGAGAAAGGTCGGGTTACCCTCAAAGGGAAGCCCATCAGACTAACAGCGGATCTCTCGGCAGAAACTCTACAAGCCAGAAGAGAGTGGGGGCCAATATTCAACATTCTTAAAGCAAAGAATTTTCAACCCAGAATTTCATATCCAGCCAAACTAAGCTTCAAAAGTGAAGGAGAAATAAAATACTTTACAGACAAGCAAATGCTGAGAGATTTTGTCACCACCAGGCCTGCCCTAAAAGAGCTCCTGAAGGAAGCACTAAACATGGAAAGGAACAACTGGTACCAGCCACTGCAAAATCATGCCAAATTGTAAAGACCATTGATGCTAGGACGAAACTGCATCAACTAACGAGCAAAATAACCAGCTAACATCATAATGACAGGATCAAATTCACACATAACAATATTAACTTTAAATATTAATGGACTAAATACTCCAATTAAAAGACACAGACTGGCAAATTGGATAAAGAGTCAAGACCCATCAGCGTGCTGTATTCAGGAAACCCATCTCACGTGCAGAGACACACATAGGCTCAAAGTAAAAGGATGGAGGAAGATCTACCAAGCAAATGGAAAACAAAAAAAGGCAGGGGTTGCAATCCTAGTCTCTGATAAAACAGACTTTAAACCAACAAAAATCAAAAGAGACAAAGAAGGCCATTACATAATGGTAAAGGGATCAACTCAACAAGAAGAGCTAACTAACCTAAATATATATGCACCCAATACAGGAGCACCCAGATTCATAAAGCAAGTCCTAAGTGACCTACAAAGAGACTTAGACTCCCACACAATCATAATGGGAGACTTTAACACCCCACTGTCAACATTAGACAGATCAACGAGACAGAAAGTTAACAAGGATACCCAGGAATTGAACTCAGCTCTGCACCAAGCAGACCTAATAGACATCTACAGAACTCCCCGCCCCAAATCAACAGAATATACATTTTTTTTTAGCACCACACCACACCTATTCCAAAATTGACCACATAGTTGGAAGTAAAGCACTCCTCAGCAAATGTAAAAGAACAGAAATTATAACAAACTGTCTCTCAGACCACAGTGCAATCAAACTAGAACTGAGGATTAAGAAACTCACTCAAAATCGCGCAACTACATGGAAACTGAACAACCTGCTCCTGAATGACTACTGGGTACATAACGAAATGAAGGCAGAAATAAAGATGTTCTTTGAAACCAATGAGAACAAAGACACAACATACCAGAATCTCTGGGACACATTCAAAGCACTGTGTAGAGGGAAATTTATAGCACTGAATGCCCACAAGTGAAAGCAGGAAAGATCCAAAATTGACACCCTAACATCACAATTAAAAGAACTAGAAAAGCAAGAGCAAACACATTCAAAAGCTAGCAGAAGGCAAGAAATAACTAAAATCAAAGCAGAACTGAAGGAAATAGAGACATAAAAAACCCTTCAAAAAATTAATGAATCCAGGAGCTGGTTTTTTGAAAGGATCAACAAAATTGATAGACCACTAGCAAGACTAATAAAGAAGAAAAGAGAGAAGAATCAAATAGGTGCAATAAAAAATGATAAAGGGGATATCACCACCGATCCCACAGAAATACAAATTACCATCAGAGAATACTACAAACACCTCTACACAAATAAACTAGAAAATCTAGAAGAAATGGATAAATTCCTCGACACATACACCCTCCCAAGACTAAACCAGGAAGAAGTTGAATCTCTGAATAGACCAATAACAGGCTCTGAAATTGTGGCAATAATCAATAGCTTACCAACCAAAAAGAGTCCAGGACCAGATGGATTCACAGCTGAATTCTACCAGAGGTACAAGGAGGAACTGGTACCATTCCTTCTGAAACTATTCCAATCAATAGAAAAAGAGGGAATCCTCCCTAACTCATTTTATGAGGCCAGCATCATCCTGATACCAAAGCCTGGCAGAGACACAACCAAAAAAGAGAATTTTAGACCAATATCCTTGATGAACATTGATGCAAAAATCCTCAATAAAATACTGGCAAACCAAATCCAGCAGCACATCAAAAAGCTTATCCACCATGATCAAGTGGGCTTCATCCCTGGGATGCAAGGCTGGTTCAATATATGCAAATCAATAAATGTAATCCAGCATATAAACAGAACCAAAGACAAAAACCACATGATTATCTCAATAGATGCAGAAAAGGCCTTTGACAAAATTCAACAACGCTTCATGCTAAAAACTCTCAATAAATTAGGTATTGATGGGACGTATCTCAAAATAATAAGAGCTATCTATGACAAACCCACAGCCAATATCGTACTGAATGGACAAAAACTGGAAGCATTCCCTTTGAAAACTGGCACAAGACAGGGATGCCCTCTCTCACCACTCCTATTCAACATAGTGTTGGAAGTTCTGGCCAGGGCAATTAGGTAGGAGAAGGAAATAAAGGGTATTCAATTAGGAAAACAGGAAGTCAAATTGTCCCTGTTTGCAGATGACATGATTGTACATCTAGAAAACCCCATCATCTCAGCCGAAAATCTCCTTCAGCTGATAAGCAACTTCAGCAAAGTCTCAGGATACAAAATCAATGTACAAAAATCATAAGCATTCTTATACACCAATAACAGACAAACAGAGAGCCAAATCATGAGTGAACTCCCATTCACAATTGCTTCAAAGAGAATAAAATACCTAGGAATCCAACTTACAAGGGATGTGAAGGATCTCTTCAAGGAGAACTACAAACCACTGCTCAATGAAATAAAAGAGGATACAAGCAAATGGAAGAACATTCCATGCTTATGGGTAGGAAGAGTCAATATCGTGAAAATGGCCATACTGCCCAAGGTAATTTATAGATTCAATGCCATCCCCATCAAGCTACCAATGACTTTCTTCACAGAATTGGAAAAAACTACTTTAAAGTTCATATGGAACCAAAAAAAGAGCCCGCATCGCCAAGTCAATCCTAAGCCAAAAGAACAAAGCTGGAGGCATCACACTACCTGACTTCAAACTATACTACAAGACTACAGTAACCAAAACAGCATGGTACTGGTACCAAAACAGAGATATAGATCAATGGAACAGAACAGAGCCCTCAGAAATAACGCCGCATATCTACAACTATCTGATCTTTGACAAACCTGAGGAAAACAAGCAATGGGGAAAGGATTCCCTATTTAATAAATGGTGCTGGGAAAACTGGCTAGCCATATGTAGAAAGCTGAAACTGGATCCCTTCCTTACACCTTATACAAAAATTAATTCAAGATGTATTAAAGACTTAAACGTTAGACCTAAAACCATAAAAACCCTAGAAGAAAACCTAGGTGTTACCATTCAGGACATAGGCATGGGCTAGGACTTCATGTCTAAAACGTCAAAAGCAATGGCAACAAAAGCCAAAATTGACAAATGGGATCTAATTAAACTAAAGAGCTTCTGCACAGCAAAAGAAACTACCATCAGGGTGAACAGGCAACCTGTAAAATGGGAGAAAATTTTCGCAACCTGCTCATCTGACAAAGGGCTAATATCCAGAATCTACAATGAACTCAAACAAATTTACAAGAAATAAACAACCCCATCAAAAAGTGGGCGAAGGACATGAACAGACACTTCTCAAAAGAAGACATTTATGCAGCCAAAAAACACATAAAAAAATGCTCACCATCACTGGCCATCAGAGAAATGCAAATCAAAATCACAATGAGATAACATCTCACAGCAGTTAGAATGGCAATCATTAAAAAGTCAGGAAACAACAGGTGCTGGAGAGGATGTGGAGAAATAGGAACACTTTTACACTGTTGGTGGGACTGTAAACTAGTTCAACCATTGTGGAAGTCAGTGTGGCCATTCCTCAGGGATCTAGACCTAGAAATACCATTTGACCCAGCCATCCCATTACTGGGTATATACCCAAAGGACTATAAATCATGCTGCTATAAAGACACATGCACACGTATGTTTATTGCGGCACTATTCACAATAGCAAAGACTTGGAACCAACCCAAATGTCCAACAATGATAGACTGGATTAAGAAAATGTGGCACATATACACCATGGAATACTACGCAGCCATAAAAATGATGAGTTCATGTCCTTTGTAGGGACATGGATGAAATTGGAAATCATCATTCTCAGTAAACTATTGCAAGGACAAGAAACCAAACACCGCATGTTCTCACTGATAGGTGGGAATTGAACAATGAGAACACATGGACACAGGAAGGGGAGCATCACACTCTGGGGCCTGTTGTGGGGTGGGAGGATGGGGGAGGGATGACATTAGGAGATACACCTAATGCTAAATGACGAGTTAATGGGTGCAGCACACCAGCATGGCACATGTGTACAGATGTAACTAACCTGCACATTGTGCACATGTACCCTAAAACTTAAAGTATAATAATAATAATAATAATAATAATAATAATAATAATAATAAAGAAATACATTTTGTAAGGCTACAGCTGCCATAAATAGTGATTCCTCTGATGGATCTGAGCCAAGTAAATTGAAAACCTTTTGGAAAGGATTCATTCTAGATGCCATTAAGAACATTTGTGATTCATGGCAGGAGGTAAAAATATCAACATTACCAGAAGTTTAGAAGAAGTTGATTCCAACCCTAATGGATGACTTTGAGAGGTTCAAGTCTTTAGTGGAGGAAGTCACTGCAGATGTGGTAGAAATAGCAAGAGAACTAGAATTAGAAGTAGAGCCTGGAGATGTGACTGAATTGCTGTAATCTCATGATAAAATTTGAATGGCTGAAGAGTTCCTTCTTATAGATTATCAAAGAAAGTAGTGTTTTGAGATGGAATCTACTCCTGGTGAAGATGCTGTGAACATTGATGAAATGACAACAAAGGATTTAGAATATTACCCCATCTTAGTTGATAAAGCAGTGAAAAGGTTTGAAAAGATTGGCTGCAATTTTGACAGAAGTTCTACTGTGGGTAAAATGCTGTCAAACAGCATCTTTCATGAAAGGAAGAGTCTATTGATGTGGTAAACTTCATTGTCTTACTTTAAGAAATTGACACAGCCACCTCAATTTTCAGCAACTACCACCTTGATGAGTGAACAGCCATCAACATTGAGAATCAGCAAAAAGATCACAATTCTCCACCAGCAAAAGGTGGTGAGTTTCAACTCTGAAAGCTCAGATAATTATTAGCATTTGTTAGTAATAAAGTATTTTAAAATTAAGTTATGTACATTTTTTTAGACATAATGCTATTACACACTTAATAGACTATAATATAAACATAACTTTTTGTTTGTTTGTTTATTTGAGATGGAGTTTTGCTCTTGTTGCCTAGGCTGGAGTGCAATGGCACGATCTCAGCTCACTGCAACATCTGCCTCCTGGGTTCAAGTGATTCTCATGCCTCAGCCTCCCGAGTAGCTGGGATTACAGGCATGCACCACCACACCCAACTAATTTTGTATTTGTAGTAGAGGCGGGGTTTCTCCGTATTGGTCAGGCTGGTCTCAAACTCCCGACCTCAGGTGATCTGCCCACCTTGGCCTCCCAAAGTGTTGGGATTACAGGCATGAGCCACCACACCCAGCCAAACATAAATTTTATATGCACTGGGAAACAAAAAAAAATGTGTTACTTGCATTATTGCAATACTTGATTTCTTGTGGTGGGCTGGAACAAAAAATGCAATATTTCAGAGGTATGCCTGAAGTGAGAAGATAATTAAATTAAAATGCTACTTTAGAACATATCCACTTAATGTAAATACCCCTTCTTAATATAAAGTGAAAATAAAGAAAAAGGACACAAAACAGAAAATAAAAAGTAAAACGGTACTCTTAAATCCCATTTCATCAATAAGAACATTACATGTGAATGGATTAAGCAATCAATTGAAAGGCAAAATTGTCATGCTAAATAAAAAGAAGATCAACTACATATTCTCTATAGAAGATATATTTTAGATGCAAAGATACACAAATTGAAAGTAAAAGGATGAAAAAAGATAATGATGCAAACAGCAACCACTAAACAGATAAAGTGGCTCTACTAATATCAGACATAATAGACTTTAAAACAAAAAAAAATTACTAGAGATAGTGACTTTTTAAAATGATAAATGGTTCAGTACATCAGAAAAATTTAACAATTACAAATATATATGTACCTTATAACAGAACACCAAATACATGAAGTCAAAACCAACAGCAATAAAGAGAGAAACAAATAATAATAATAGTTGGAGACTTCAATATCCACTTTCAGTACTGGATAAAGCAACTAGACCATAGATCAACAAGGAAATAAAAGTCTTAAACGACAGTATACATGACCTAGAACTAACAGACATCTACAGAACATTCTAACCCACCATAGCAGAATATACATTCTTCTCAAGTGCATATGGGAGAATTTTCAGGATAGATCATATGGCAGACTGTAAAATAAACCTTAATAAATTAAAAAAGATTAAAATAATATAAAGTATGTTCATGAATCCCAAAATGAAAAAAATTAGGAATGTATAACAAAGAAATTTGGAAAATGCACAAATAACATGAAAATTAAACAAGATGGTTTGAAATAACAGCGAGTCACAGGAGATACCAAAAGAGAAATTAGAAGATATTTTGCAGTACAGCTGGGAGTGGTGGCTCACACCTGTAATCCCAGCACTTTGGGAGGCTGAGCCAGAGGGATTGTTTGAGCCCAGGAGTTTGAGACCAGCCTAGGCAACATGGTGAAACCCTATCTGTATTAGTCCATTTTCATGCTGCTGATACGAGACTGGGAAGAAAAATAGATTTAATGGACTTATGGTTCCATGTGGCTGGGAAGGCCTCACAATCATGGCAGAAGGCAAAAGGCACTTCTTACATGGCGGTGGCAAGAGAGAATGTGAGAGAAGCAAAAGCAGAAACCCCTTATTAAACCATCAGATTTTATGAGACTTATTCACTACCATGACAACAGTATGGGGGAAACCATCCCCATGATTCAGTTATCACCTACCAGGTCCCTCCCACAACATGTGGGAATTATGGGAACTACAGGATGAGATTTGGGTGGCGACACAGAGCCAAACCATATCATTCTGCCCCTGCCTCCTCCCAAATCTCATATCTTCACATTTCAAAACCAATCATGTCTTCCCAACAGACCCCCAAAGTCTTACCTCATTTCTACATTAACTCGAAAGTCCACAGTCCAAAGTCTCATCTGAGACAAGGCAAGTCCCTTCCACCTATGAGCCTGTAAAATCAAAAGCAAGTTAGTTACTTCCTAGATACAACAAGGGTACAGGCATTGGGTAGATACTACCCTTCCAAATGGGAGAAATTGGCAAAAACAATGGGGCTACAGGCCCCATGCAAGTCCATAATCCAGCAGGGCACTCAGATCTTAAGCTCCAAAATGATCTTCGACTCCATGTCTCACATCCAGATCATGCTGATGCGAGAGGTGGGTTCCCATGGTCTTGGGCAGCTCCACCCCTGTGGCTTTGCAGGGTACAGCCAGTCTCCCAGCTGCTTTCACAGGCTGGCATTGAGTGTCTGCACCCTTTCCAGGCACGTGAAGCAAGCTGTCAGTGGATCTACCATTCTAGGGTCTGAAGGATGTTGGCACTCTTCTCACAGCTCCACTAGGCAGTGCCCCAGTGGGGACTCTGTGTGGGGGTGTGCACCCCACATTTTCCTTCTGTACTGCCCTAGCAGAGGTTCTCCTTGAGCACCCTGCCTCTGCAGCAAACTTTTGTCTGGACATTCAGGCATTTCCATACATCCTCTGAAATCTAGACAGAGGTTCCCAAATCTCAATTTCTGACTGCACCTGCAGGCTCAACACAACATGGAAGCTACCAAGGCTTGGGGCTTGTACCCTCTGAAGCAACAGTATGAGCTGTACCTTGTCCCCTTTTAGTCATGGCTGGAGTGGCTGGGATGCAGGGCACCAAGTCCCTAGACTGCACACAGCAGAGGGGCCCTGGGCCCAGGTCACTAAACCATTTTTTCCTCCTAGGCCTCCAGGTCTAAGATGGAAGGGGCTGCTGCAAAGGTCTCTGACATATACTGGAGACATTTTCTCCATTATCTTGGTGATTAACATTCAGCTCCTCATTACTTATGCAAATTTTTGCAACTGGCTTGAATTTCTCTTCAGAAAATGGGATTTTCTTTTCTATCACACTGTCAGACTGCAAATTTTCCAAACTTTTATGCTCTGTTTCCCTTTTAAAACTGAATACCTTAATAGTACTCAAGTCACATCTTGAATGCTTTGCTGCTTAGAAATTTCTTCCACCAGATACCCTAAATCATCCCTCTCGAGATATTCTCGAGACTGGGAAGAAAAATAGGTTTCATGGACTTATAGTTCCATGTGGCTGGCGAGTCCTCACAATTATGGTGGGAGGCAAAAGGCACTTCTTACATGGCAGTGGCAACAGAGAATGAAAGAGAAACGATATGGGTTTCCCCTTATAAAACCATCAGATCTCATGAGACTTATTCACTACCCTGAGAACAGTATGGTGAAACTGCCCCCATGATTCAATTATCTTCTCATGGGTCCTTCCCACAACATGTGGGAATTATGGGAGCTACAAGATGAGATTTTGATGGGGACACAGAGCCAAACTGTATCACTATCTCTATAAAAAAAAAATTAAAATTAGCCAGGCATATTGGCATTGGCATGCACATGTGATCCCAGCTATTGGCAGGCTGAGGTGGGAGGACTGCTTGAGCCCGTGATGTTAAGGCTGCAGTGAGCTGTATTTGCCTCACTACACAGATCTTGATCTGAGAATTGAAATCTCCTCCTAGGCCTCTGGGTCTGAGATGGCAGGGGCTGCTGCAAAGGGCAGTACAGAAGGAAAATGTGGGGTGCACACCCCCGCACAGAGTCCCCACTGGGGCGCTGCCTAGTGGAGCTGTGAGAAGAGGGCCAACGTCCTTCAGACCCTAGAAATTGAAATTTATTTTTTAAATATTTTGTTTCATTTTAAGTTCCGGGTTACATGTGCAGGACGTGCAGGTTTGTTATATAGGTAAATGTGTGCCATGGTGGTTTCCTGCACCTGTCAACCCATCACGTAGGTATTAAGCCCAGCATGCATTAGCTATTTATCCTGATGCTCTCCATCCTCCCACCCCTTGACGGACAGGCCCCAGTATCTGTTTTTCCCCTCCAATGTGTCCACGTGTTTTCATTGTTTAGCTCCCACTTGTAAGTGAGAACATGTGGTGTTTGGCTTTCTGTTCCCGTGTTAGTTTGCTGAGGATAATGGCTTCCAGCTCCATCCATGTCCCTGCAAAGGACATGATCTCATTTATTTTTATGACTATAGTATTCCATGGTATATATGTACGACATTTTCTTTATCCAGTCTATCATTGATGGGCATTTGGGTTGATTCCATGTCTTTGCAATTGTGAATAGTGTGGCAATGAACATACCTGTGTGTGTATCTTTATAATAGAATGATTTATATTCCTTTGGGTATGTACCCAGTAATGGGATTGCTGGGTCAAATGATATTTCTGATTCTAGGTCTTTCAGGAATCACCACACTGTCTTCCACAATGGTTTAATCTACATTCCCACCAAAAGTGTAAAAGTGTTCCTATTTCTCCATTTCCTATTTCTCATCAGCATCTGTTTTTTCTTGAATTTTTAGCAATCACCATTCTGACTGGCATGAGATGGTATCTCATTGTGGTTTTGATTTGCGTTTCTCTAATGATCAGTGGTGTTGAGCTTTTTTTCACGTTTGTTGGCTGCATAAATGTCTTCTTTTGAGAAGTATCTGTTTCTGTTCTTTGCCCACTTTTTAATGGGGTTGCTTTTTTCTTGTAAATTTGTTTAAGTTCCTTGTAGACTCTGGGTATTAGACCTTAGATAGATAGATTGCAAAAATTTTCTCCCCATCTGTAGGTTGTCTGTTCACACTGATGACAGTTTCTTTTGCTGTGCAGAAACTCTTTAGTTTAATGAGATCTCATTTGTCAATTTTTGCTTTTGTTGCAATTGCTTTTGATGTTTTTGTAATAAAATCTTTTCCCATGCCTATGTCCTGAATGGTATTGCCTCTAGGGTCTTTATAGTTCAGGGTTTTACATTTAAGTCTTTAATCCATCTTGAGTTAATTTTTGTATAAGGTGTAAGGAAGGGGTTCAGTTTCAATTTTCTGCATATGTCTAGCCAGTTTTTCCAGCAGTATTTATTAAATAGGGAATCCTTCTCCCATTGCTTGTTTTTGTCAGGTTTGTGAAAGATCAGATGGCTATAAATGTGCAGTCTTATTTCTGAGATCTCTATTCTATTCCATTGGTCTATGTGTCTGTTTTTGTATCAGTAACATGCTGTTTTGGTTACTGTAGCCTTGTAATAGAGTTTGAAGTTGGGAAGTGTGATAACTCCAGTTTTGTTCTTTTTGCTTAGGATTGTCTTGGCTATATGGGTTCTTTTTTGGTTCCATATTAATTTTAAAGTAGTTTTTTTCTAATTCTGTAAAGAATGTCAATGGTAGTTTAATGGGAATAGCATTGAATCTATAAATTACTTTGGCCTTATAACTATTTTTATGATATTGATTCTTCCTATCCAGGAGCATGACATATTTTTCTATTTATTTGTGTCCTCTCTGATTTCCTTGAGCAGTGGTTTCTAGTTCTCCTTGAAGAGGTCCTTCACTTTTCTTGTTAGCTATATTCCTGGGTATTTTGTTCTTTTTGTAGCAATTGTGAAAGGGAGTTCATTCATGATTTGGCTCTCTGCTTATCTGTTGTTATAGGAATGCTTGTGATTTTTGCACATTGATTGTGTATCCTGAGACTTTGCTGAAGTTGCTTATCAGCTTAAGGAGCTTTTGGGCTCAGATGATGGGGTTTTCTAGATATAGGATCATGTCATCTGCAAACAGAGACAGTTTGACTTCCTCTCTTCCTATTTGAATATTCTTTATTTCCTTTTCTTGCCTGATTGCCCTGGCCAGAACTTCCAATATTATGTTGAATAAGAGTAGTGAGAGAGGGCATCCTTGTTCATGCCAGTTTTCATTATTAAGAAAACTTCTAAGACCTAAAATCTGAAAAGGAGACATAAGAATAAGAAAGAACTTTTCATTCTATACTAGACAAGTTGTTTCCAGATTCAGAGTATGTGAAAGTCATCTGCATTTATTCTAGAACACCAACCCCTGTGTGACAAGTAGTTGGGAAGCTGGGGAGGGCTACCTGCTGAAGCAGAAACAAATGAATGTCAGAATCCTCTGTTTCATGGAACCCACTGTATTAGAATGTGCTGTCCACCAGGTAGAGGTTGATTTGATAAATTCTTCTTTCTAAGGCCAAAATACCCCTTGGAATAAGAAAATATTCCTTGGTTCTGTCTATCTGAGAAAAAGAAATGCTTCTACCTTATGATAAATTCCTGCATTGCACAGTGCTTTATAAAGTCAGCCAATATCTGGTCTCTAAAGACTTTGTCCAATAACTTTCTAAGTCCGTTCCCTTGAATATGTAGATTTGCCTGACTCAGTCAAAAATGTCATCAATCAGCATTTTCAGTAAATAATAGTGTAGAGCTTGTTCCCTGAGCCGCAGTGAATGATTGTCCCAACACATGGTGTTCTGAATTATTAGATGAGTAGGAAAGAGTCACTGCAGGATGAATTCTGCCTACAGTTGCAGGCAAGTGAGTCCTGCTTTACAACTGGCAGGAAGCATGTTGTCGGGACATGGCTAAAATAATATGAAGTTCACACTAATTTTATTCAACAAATATGGGTGAACATAAAGACAACCAACACCTGGTCCTTGCCTTTGAAAAGGCTCAACATTTTCCCATCAAAGGAGCCAGGTCTCATAAAAGATAAAGAAGTATTCTCTCTAAATTTTTTTTGACTTTGGAGTTAACTTGGCATGATTTTTTCCCCTAATTTGTAAAAAATTTATTAACATGTTTATATATCACTTTTGAAGTGCCTTTAAATAAATTAGGTCTGTAAAGTTCTGGTTATAACAGTGTTGTTCTCTGTCCCTGAATAATGTCTTGTTCCCTTGGCGAAACTCTAATCAATTTAAGTCAACATTTTTGTCACTTTCCTTGATTTTGTTTCTTTTCCTCTATCCAGCTGGGGGAATTCTTCCCCCAGCTCTGTGCCTGTAATAATAGCAGTAACAATAATAGTGCTTCCCATGAGCCAGGAGTATTACATCCTTTAATTTTCACAAAATTATATGAGATGGGTACTGTTATAATGAAAATGAGGCACAAGAGTTTACATATGTTGCTCACAGACACCCAGTAAGTGCCAAAGCTGTGATATAAACCCAGGATATTGCACACTTAACTACTTTGCAGTTCCTCTCATTAGCACTCATATATACCCATCATATAATATGTTAGTGTTTGATAGTCTCTGTAAGAGTTGTACCTCATTGGGTGGCCAGGGCATAACACAGCCACAGAAAAATTGTTGTTTGGGCCAAAGTATAGATTTGTCATTTGCTATTCTTGGCCATGTTCTAGCTCCTGAATTTTTTCCTAAGTGGTACTTTATTAACACAAAATTTTTTTTATACAACCAGCATTCAAGGTTCATGTTGAATCAAACAGTGTTTCACTGAAAATTTATTGCTATTCTTCAAAGTGGTGCCATTGCAGGAAAAAGGCCATGTAACTCCCTTACTTTTGGAGCTTGAGCCACCATGTCAATTTCAACTATCTTGAGGCTGCTGTGCTGGAGGTGTCTGCAGGCTTTCTAGGCTACAGTTCCAGCTGAGCCCAGCTTTTCAGCCCTCCCACCAGACAAATGAGTGAAAGGTTCTTGGGCCTTCCAGACTCTTTCATCTACTAGTTGAGCAGCATCAAATGACTGGATTTAATGCTCTTCTGTCACCGACTTGAAATTCTTAATTTTTGGACAAAGTGCCCCTCATTTTCATTTTGCATTGGATCCCATTAATCATTTAGCCAGTCTTAATTATGTCATTGGATTATACTCATATATATATATATATATATATATATATATATATATATATATATGAAATTGAGATATCTCTTGTTCATTACTCTCATCTCACTTTGATTATAAGTGTCTTAAAGATCGGCCACATAGACTTTCTTGGTCTCCCACAACTCCTCCTTAGTCCTGGGCACAGGAACCCAGTCAATATATTTTGAGAGACTTGACAAAGAAGAAAAAATGGCACGCTTAGTGTGTTTAGCCCTTGATGGAGTGCATGTAGAGGAGCCTGAGAGTAGTCAGTAAATGTATCCATCTGCTTTTCTCCATGGCACACCTTCTACTTGGGTCTCCTGGTGGTTCTTTGGTGTCAGGTGTGGCAGAGTAGTTTTAGGTAAAAGCTATGGATACACCTCAATGTACAAAAACAGTATTTTCCTTTATACCCAATTGACATGTTGTATGATTAAGCTAGTTAATTTATAATAGCTCTCCATAAAGTGATGGTAAAAGACTAGGTAGAGTAGTATTACAACGTGAATTAGCAAGAATTATTAACCTAAAAGGCACTGAAGTGACTCCATTGTTAATTATCTTACCTTAACAACAAAACTTTTAAGGCATTTCTTATGAAAAAGATGATCAGTAAAGTGAATAGAACAGTTGTCACAAGTGCTAACAGAAAGGACTGAGAAAAATGTAAACTGAATGTACAGAACTAGAGAAAGAAGCAGGGAAAGAAGGGAAACTATATTCGTTTATAAGTGAAACAACCATCCAGGTTTCAATATTCCTTTGAAATAAGTTTGCCTAAAACCGTGTTATAAATGGTACCTGTCTCATTTAACTACTTGGCAACATATATAGACAGCAAGTGAGTTTCTTGCTCTAGAGATCAGTTTTTGACACAGTGTAAAACATTTTCCGGTAGGTAAGGTTGTAAAAGTTTTGGAGGTCATTGGATACTATTTCCTGGTATACTACAAACATTTGTGAATGAATTGGGCTTGCATAACCTTCAGAGAACCAAGACATGTTACTAAAGCACTTAGTATCTAAAAGAGTTGATTATGAGCCAAAAGAATTCATTCTGTGCTTCAGTTATTCCTTCACCAAATATTCAGGAGCCTGCTCTGTACCTGGAAATAGTCTAGGTACCGAGAGAAGTGCTGAAACATAAATACAGTCCTATGCCTTTCATACACTTCAGATGATGAAGAGAATTTTCATATTCACAGACATTTTGTAGAGGACAGTTAAACCCAGCCAGCAATGATAATTGAGTAACATCGGTTGCTCATGTTTTTACTTATTCACAAGTCACTGTTTACCAAAATTATTCAATGGCCCTCCCATCCTGGACCAGACAAAAATCACTCTTTGTCCTAGCTAAAGGAAAGATCCACTCCAGGATTTTAAAAACAATACACCATTTTACTCCAGAGATTACGAGTTACGTTTTAATGGCAAAGGAAGCACTTTATGTGACTATTTGAACAGTACCACCTGTTGAAACTTGTAATGTTATTGCCTGAGACTCTTCAGAATTCAAGATTTAAACTTTCCTCTAGTCGTGTGAGAGCTGATGTGAGCACTGCCAAAGATACACCAATGAGATCCTCTGTCCTCAAAACTCAGATATTTCGAGCCCTGCTTCGGGGAGGAACAGCTCTGGACACTGGCAGCTTCCCGACACCAGCAGCTGAGGCACGTTATGTCAACAAGATGGAACCTGCCTGATCTCACTTTGCCAGGTACACTGGAACCCAAACCACAGCAGGATGACCATTTGATGTGTGTGGTTACTTGGGAGTAATAGCAGCATCCTTGCAGTGTGTCTGGATGGAAAACAGCTGTCAGATTTGAAGGCACTTGTAGATAAGGTCATTCTAGGTGTGTGTGTAGTGACTGCTTTTGTTCATTTCTTGTTGGTTACGTAGAGCAAGGGTTGAAATTGTTTCCCCCCACCCCCCCACCCCCACCCAAAATTACATGTATAAGAGACTTTTCTGAGTGGGACAAATTCAAGGGGGGAAAAATCATGTTACTCCCTGTTATTCAGGGAAATCTAATAATTTGGCCCTAGAAAAGTGGTATTCACTATATAAGTCTACAGTGATCCTGATGGAGATTGCCCTGGAATTTTTATTTTTCTAGGATAGGGCGGGCCACTGACTGTGGTTTGTTCCTTTATTTAATCTATTCATCCTGCTCCTACCAGGTGGCTCAGAAAACATAGATACCACTAATTTTAAGGGAAGTGACTTGTATTCTTTAAGTTCATAATTGACAATTTCATGGGAAATAAAGAGGAGATAATGGAAAATGATAGAGCCAATCACAATGATAAAAATGGAGAGGGTAAAAAGACATTTAATTTATCTTAAATAAATGAGAAAATGAATAGGAAAAACAGATGCCATTAATTCTTCTTTCAGGTCCCTTATGGTAATAGAAATAAGAAGGAGAGGAAACCCAAAACATAATGTTGTTTATCTATCTAGTTATCTATCTATCTATCTATCCATCTATCTATCTATCTATCTATCTTTGATTCTGTTCATAATTCACCTTGTCAAGTGCCAAGGACTCTCTTGCCTTCAAATTTAGACAAGAGCAAGTTTTCATCCTTTTTTTCATGTTTTTGAGCATTTTTAAATGATAACTGAATTATGAGTCATTGCCGAGTTTTTGGCATGATTGTACCAAAAGCGCATAACATGTTTTCTACCTGTTGATGAAGTTATTGCCTGCATGTAGAACTCCAGGAACAATTTGGCTTCCTGCCCATGAAATTACTTCTCATCATTCAGGTTTCAATTTAATGCCAGTGTGTGTACTATAAGATGTATTTTTAATCCTACAAATGAGTTGCATATGCATTTCAATTTCCGAAAACCTGGGCTGAATTTTAAAAGAAAGCATTTGGGATCTATTGTATTAAAGGTGCTTCTGAGCTAAGTGCATTCTAAATACACTGTACAATCAAAAATAATGCTGGACTTTGGACACTATGCTAAATTTTTTAAAAAAGGAAAAAAATACACAAATGATACCTTTTTGAACTTGCTTTTCCTGAGAACTGAAAAGATATATCATGGACTTTTTTTTTTTCAGTTACCCTTTGTTTTTTCCCCTTCCAATTTGCCTTCTGTCATCTTCTGCCCACTAGCCTAGTAAGTCAAAACAACTCTAAAAGGAAAGTGTCTTGAATAGGAAGCTTATTCAGAAAGCATTTGTAGTAGAGGCAGAATCTACTCCAAGAAGAAACCAGTAAGGTACTTTTAAAACTTCATTTCTTGGTGTAAAGATTCTGTTGCTGGATGAAGATCTATATAAAATATATTACAATGTACTCCAAATTTAACAAATTAAAACTACTGCCACACAAAATTTTTTTTAAGTGTGACAAGAAGCATTAATTTCTGTATATCCTTGCTAATAAAAAGATCAATAAACATAATTTTTTAAAAAATGAAGAAAAACACATATAATTCCCCCATTAAAAAGCATCAAAATATAGGATAAGTTGGGAAAAGGAGTGTTCTGAAGTGACTGGAAACAAGAATTGTTTCCTGTTGCTTTACATTAGCAAAAATAGAGTAATATAGTTTGGATGTTGGTCCCCTTCAACTCTCATGTTGAAATGTGGCTCCAGTGTTGGAGGTGGGCCTGCTGGGAGATGTTTGGGTCACGGGGGAGGATCTCTCATGAATGGCTTGGTGCTGTCCTCGTGGGAGTGTGTTCCTACTCTATGAGTTCACATGAGATCTGGTTGTTTAAAAAAGCCTGGCACCTCCTCCCTCTCTCTCTTGCTCTCTCTCTTGCCATGTGACACACTAGCTCCCCCTTCACCTTCTGCCATGACTGGAAGCTCTCTGAGGCCCTCACCGGGAGTAGATGCCAGCACTGTGCTTCATGTACAGCCTGCAGAACCATGAGCCAAATAAACTTCTTTTATTTTTAAATTACCCAGTCTCAGGTATTTCTTTATAGCAATGCAAACTAACACATAGATTACAGCAATCTACCGAACAAAAGTACAGTAGTGACCAGAAATAAGTCATTCCACTTCATTAGAATTCATGCATCTTCTGTAAAAGCCGTTATCTACTTCTGCTATGTAATCACACAGGTAATAAATATCACGTCATGCCTATTAAGGCCAAGACTATTTTAATGGCTTCTCATACACTCAACTGTAGAACAGAACCAATGAAGCAAAATAGTGTTTATAAGTCATTTTCAATATATGAAACTAAAATAGAGAACAAAAGAAAACATTAGCATAACATAAAAAAAATCCTTATTTAAAATTGTTTTTTATTTTAGTAGAACGCTAGTATCACATTTGATTGAGGATGTAGAACACAGTGAATTGTCACTGAATACTGAGTTGTAATTTTTTCTACTTACCATGATTCTCTTTGGTTACTGAGAATCAGTTGTTCCACTTTATACTTTGGTATATGGTTTTGTGGGCAAAGAAAGACATATTGGGGAAAAGACAGTTTATTTAATTGTAACTATTAGTTGTCATTTATAATCTGAGTTCATTCCTCTGGCACTTAGAACTTAGGTATTTTTTTTTACATTTCATTATATATTGCCATTATATATTGCTATTTATTTGTTTATGTTTACTTTATGGCCCAAGCTGGATAAGTTTATTGAAGACAACCATTTTCATCATTACTTTTTACTATAGTATTAGACTTTGATACATGATGAAGGCATAATTTTGGCTTTAACTTTCCATGTTTATACCAAGTTTTTGAGTCAAGTCCCGTGCCAGTGATATCAATAATCTCTCCCTTCACTAGCAATCATATGTCCACAGAATTGTAGAATTCAATTGAATTCACAGAATTGAAACTTACAGCCCATGTAATCAACCTTTTTATTTCACAGACAAAAAAATCCCAAAGACTAAAAGACATTAAACATTTGGCCCAAAGTCAAAGGAAGGATTCATAGCTTTCAAACATTGGAAAAGGGTTCATCTTATATTTGAGTAAACTCTGGCCCAGACACCTGGTGTTTCTTGGCAGCTTGCCTTAACAAGGATCATAACTGATGAATGGACATTTATGGTTTATTCAAATTAAGATAAATCTCACTTATCAGTTGGCATAAGGCAAATTAATCCCTAAGCATAATTTTTAGAAACCAAATGCTTTGGTGCAAATAGGAAAGCAAGATCAGTAGCCTAAGTAAAGATGCCAAGTTTTCTAACGAAGTCTCTCTGTAACGGTTTAGCAAACTACCTAAGGATCATTTAATTACTTTATTCACTCATGCATGCACATATGTGAACACAGCAATACATCTGGCAGCCTCTTTCTAAAGAGTTTAAAAGAGTCATCAAATTCTCTAAAACATGGCTGTCAGGATTTTTCAGGTTAGAGGAATTTGATTGAAATGTCATTGAATATATTACAGAAATAATTACTTTTCCTTGTTATTTGACAAAAATGTTGCTGAATTAATTGATGTATGAATTAGTAAAAGGACTTTTAGATAAGGGCCTCCTGAGCAAAAAAAAAAAAAAAAGAAAAGAACAAGATTAAGGACAGAAGAGGTTACTTATAATGAATATTGCTTTCTTTTCCTAGGCTGTAGCAATCTAAGAATCTTTTTGACATTCCACTGGGTAAGGGTAGAAACAGAAATTTGAGCTTGGAATTTCTTTCTTAATAGATGGTCCAAGAGAAGGCAACGAGGTAGGAAATTCGGAACAGAAAACAAGCTAAAAATTAATGGCACTTTTGTGAAATAATGTTATCCATTTTTATTTCTGCAATATGTATAGAGAATATTTATGCTGTATCGTTTTTGAAAATTCAAAGCTATATCTTGATGTGAACTGAGGTAAAATTGTCCAGTCAGTTTTTTTGACTTTCTATTTTCAAAATCAAAACTTGATATACATAAACTAATACCCTGTCAACACTGTGCCCATCAGATAATTCACTTCGATTCCTTTCTGTAAAAAAATAGAATACTTGAGAATGGATAAGCCTCTTTTTTTTGTCAAAATGTCAGGATAACTGAGAACTTCATTTTTCTTTTTTAATAAAGTAAAAATATCCTTTCCTCCCACCCATACTCTTTTATGGAACTATGATTTGCATATTAGGCATATAAGTCAATGATGTTTGAAATAATTACACCAGTGTAATCTACAACCCATAAAGTTCTGTTTGACACTACTTTCTGGTTTACTCCCTTTTTCCAAGGAACAAACTACAGTTCTGATCGTAAATTTGTTTTGTCTATTTAGAATTTTATATAAATTGGATTATACAGTACTTTTTATGTCTGGCTTTTGTTCAACATAATGTTTTTGAGATTCACCCATGCTATTACTGGTTTTAGAAACTTATTATTTTGTATTTCTAAGTGGTATTCCATTGAGTGAATATACCACAATTTGCTTATTCAGTCTCATTTTGATGGTCATTTGGGTTGCTTGCAGTTTGTGGCAATTATTTTTAAGAATCTACTACAAATATTTTTGTACAGGACTTTTTGCAAACACATTTCTATTTCTCTTGGGGCTATGATTATCCTTAAAATAAACTGCCAAACTGCTTCCCACCAATAATGGCGAGGGTTTCATTCTACTTGCTTGTCAACATCTGCTATTACCAGACTTTCTAATTTTTGCTATTCTAGTGTATGTAAACTGATATCACCCTAAGTCCATAATTCACATTAGCATTCACATTCACTCTTACTGCCATATATTCTACAGGTATTGACAACTGTATTATGACATGCATTCACCATTATAATGTCATACAGCATAGTTTCATTGCCCCAAAAATCTTCTGTGCTGTCTATTCATCCCTCCCTTCCCCCAACCTCTAGCAACCACTGATGTCTTTACTTTCTCCATAGTTTTGCCTTTTCCAGAATGTCTTATAGTTGAGATCAGATAGTATGTAGTATTTTGGTATGTAGCATGTTCAGATTGATTACTTTCACTTGGTAAAATGCAGTTAAGGTTTCTTCATGTCTTTTCATGACTTGATAGCTCATTTCTTCTTAGCACTGAATAACAGTTCACTGTCTGGATCTACCACAGCTTATTTATCCATTCACCTACTGAGGACATCTTGGTTTTTTCCAGGTTTTGGTCATTATAAATCAAGCTTCTATAAACATTCATGTCCAGGTTTTTATCTGGATCTAAGTTTTCAACTCATTTGGGTAAATAACAAGAAGCATGATTGCTGTATTGTACGGTAAGAGAATGTTTTGTTTTCTAAGACATTACCAAACTGTCTTCCAAAGTAGCTGTGCCATTTTGCATTCCCACCAAGAACAAACAAGAGTTCCTGTTACTCCACACCTTCACAGCATTTGACATTGTCAGTGTTTTGGATTGTGGCCATTCTGATAGGTGTGTAGTGGTATCTTGCCCTTTTAATTTGCAGTTTCCTAATGGTATGTGATGTTCAACATCTTTTCATATGCTTTTCGCCACCTGTATATCTTCTTTAGTGAAGTGTCTGTTCAGGTCTTTTGTCCATTTTTAAAATTGATTTATTAGTTTTCTTGCTGTTGAGTTTTAATATTTATATTTTTGATAAGAACCCTTAACCAAATGTGTCTTTTGCAAATATCTTCTCCCATTCTGTGGTTTCTGTTCTCATTCTCTTGACAGTGTCTTTTCCAGAGTAGAAGTTTTTAGTTCTAGTGAAGTCTAGCTTATTATTTTTTTCATAGATCATGTCTTGGTGGTATATCTAAAACATCATTGCCATACTCAAGGTTACCTCAATTTTCTCCCATTTTATTTCAAGGAGTTTTATAGTGTTGCATTTTACATTTAGATTTATAATCACTTTGAGCTAATTTTTGTGAAGGGCATAAAATCTCATATGGATTCAATTGTTTGCATGTGGATGTCCAGTTGTTCCAGAACCATTTGTTGAAAAGACTATCTCTGTTCCATTCTATTGCCTTTGCTTCTTTGTCAAATATCAGTTCACTATACTTGTCTGGGTCCATTCTGGATTCTCTATTCAGTTCCACTCATCTTTTTGTTTATTCTTCTACCAATACCACACTGTCTTGATTACTGTAGCTATATAGTATGTCTTTAAGTTTGGTAGTGTCCAACTTTCTTATTTTCCTACAATATCATGTTGGTTATTCTGGGTCATTGCTTCTCTATTTAAACTTCAGATTTAGTTTGCCAATATCCTTAAAATAACTGCTGAGAATTTAAGTGGGACTGCATTGAATCTATAGGTCAAGTTGAGAAGAATTGATGTCTTGACAATATTGAGTCTTCCTGTCTCTGAACACAGACTATCTCTTCATTTATTTCGTTTTTTTTTTTTTTGACATCTTTCATCGGGTTTTTTTTTTTTAGGTTTCCTCATATAGATTTTGTACATATTTTGCTAGATATATACCTAAGTATTTCATTTTGCGGGCTCCTCATATAATTGTTATTGTGTTTTTACTTCAAATTCTACTTGTTCCTTGTTAATATAGAGAAAAATGATTGACTTTTTAATATAACCTTGTTTCCTGCAAACTTGCTAAAATGATTTAATAGTTCCAGAAGTTCTTTTGTCAACTCTCTTATATTTTCTCCATAAACAATTATGCAATCTGAGAACAAAGAAAGTTTTATTTATTCCTTCCCAAACCGTGCACCTTTTATTTCCTTTCTCGTCTTACTGCATGTCTTAGTCCATTTTTTGCGGCTATAACAGGATATCTGAGACTGGGTAATTATTTTTTAAAATAGGTTCATTTGGCTCATGATTCTGGTGGCTAGAAAGTTCACGATGGGGCAAACCATCTGGTGAGGATCTTGTGATGCTTCAACTCTTGGTGAAAAGCAGAAGTGAAGGCGGGCACTTGCAAAGAGACATGCAAGAAGGCTTTCTCAGGAATGAATCCATTCCTGCTAGAGTGAGAACTCACTCACTTCCACGAGGCAGCATTAATCTATTTATGAGGACAGTATCTCTGTGATCTGAACACCTCCCACTAGGCCTAGCTTCTAACACTGCCGTACTGGGAATCAAATTTCAACACAAGTTTTGGCAGATGGCATTCAAACCTTAATATTGCATTAGCTAGGACTTCCAGTATGATGCTAAAAAGAAGTGCTTAGAGGGAGTATCCTTGCGTTGTTCCTAATTTTAGTGAGAAAGCTTATATTTTCTCATTGTTAAGTATGATATTAGCAGTAGATTTTATGCAGATTTTTTTAAATCCAGTTCAGTATGCTCCCTCTATTCCTAGTTTGTTGAGTGTTTTTACATGAGTGGGTGGTGGATTTTGTCAAATGCTTTCTCTGCATCTGTTGACATGATCAAGTAATTTTTATTCTTTAGCTTGTTGATGTGATGGATTAGATTAATCTATTTTCTGGTGTTGAACCAACTTTGAATTCCTGGAAATAATCCCACATAAACACACTGTATAATTCCTTTTATACATTGTTGGATTCAATTTGCCAATATTGAGTTGAAGATTTTTGCATCTATGTTCATGGAGATATTGCTCTGTAGTTTTCTTTTATGGTAACGTCTTTGTCTTGTCTTGGTATTAGGGTAATGCTGGTCTCATAGAATGAGTTTGAAAGTATTCTTTCTGCTTCCATCTTCTAAAAGAGATTAAGAAAACTGGTATAATTTCTTGCTTAAATGTTTGGTAGAATTCATCAGTGAACCTGTGTGGGCCTGGTGGTTTCTGCTTTGAAAGGTTATTAATTTTGGATTCAATTTCTTTAATAGACAATTTTAATAGAAAATTCAGATGGTGTATTTCTTCTTAGGTAAATTTTGACAGACTCTGCCTTTCAAATAATTTGTCTATTTCATCTGGGTTATTGAACTCGTGAGCAAAAAGTTTTTCATAATATTCCTTTATTATCCATTTGATGTCCATGGGATTTGTACTTACGTCCCTTGTTCATTTCATGTTTTAATTATTATTTTTATTTAACTCATAATTGTACATATTTATAGAGTACAGAGGGATATTTCAATACATTTATACAATGTCTAATAATCAAATCAGGGTAATTAGCATACCTAGGACCTCAATCATTTATAATTTCTTTGTGTTGGGAACATTCAAAATTTGCTCTTCTAGCTGTTTGACAATATACAATAAATTTTGTTGATTATAGTCACCCTGTGGTGCTACAGAACACTAGAAATAATTCCTCCTATCTAGCTGTACTTTTATAACCCTTAAACAACCTCTCCTTATCCCCCTTCCCCCACTTCCCCACCTCTAGTAACCACTATTCTACTCTCTGCTTCTATGAGATCAATGTTTTTAGCTTCCACATATGCATAAGAACATGTGATATTTCTCATTCTGTGCCTGGCTTATTTTGCTTAACATAATGTCCTCCAGGTTTATGATGTTTTACTGACATTATAGTTTTGATTTGCATTTCCCTGATGATTAGTGACATTGAGCATTTTTTCATAAACCTGTTGACCATTTGTATGTCTTCTTTTAAGAGATGTCTATTCAGCTCATTTGCCCTTGTTAAAATCAGATTTTTTGTTTTAACCAAAGTTGTTTGAGTTCCTTGTATATTACAGACATTAATCCTTTATCAGATGAATAGTTTGCAAATATTTTCTCTCATTCTGCAGGTTGTTTCTTCCTTCTGTTGATTGTTCCATTTGCTGTGCAGAAGCTTTTTAGTTTGATATTATTCCACTTGTCCATTTTTGCTTTTGACTTTCTTCTTTCCAGTTTGAACCCCCTTTATTTCTTTCTCTTGTCTAATTGCTTTGGCTAAGACATCCAGGGTGAATAAGAGTGGTGAGAGTGGGCTCTGATCCTTGTCTTGTTTCAGTTCATAGAAGTAAACCTATTCAGTATGATATTAGCTATAGATTTGTCATATACAGCTAACGTTGCCTTGAGGTACAGTCCTTCTGTACCTAATTTGTTCAGAGTTTTTTCTATCATGAAGGGATGTTGAATTCTATAAAATGCTTTTTCTGTGTCTATTGAGATGATGATATGGTTTTTGTCCTTTATTCTGTTTATGTGATATATCACATTTATTGATTTGCATGCGTTGAATAATCCTTCCATTCTTAGCATAAATCCCACTTGATCATGGTGAATAATCTTTTTAATGTGCTGCTGGATATGGGTTACTAGTTTTTTTTAGGGTTTTTTTTTTCATCTATGTTTATTAGGGATATTGGTCTATAGTATTTTTTTATGTTGTATCTTTGCATGGTTTTGATATAAGTGTAATTCTTGCCTCGTAGAATGAGTTTGGAAGAATTTCCTCCCTTTTGATTTTCTGGAAGAGTTTGAGAAAAATTGGTATCAATTCTTTAAATATTTGGTAGAATTCAGCAGTGAAGCCATCAGCTCCTGAGTTTTTCTTTGATGAGAGATATTTTATTGCTGATTCATTCTTGTTACTCATAATTGGTCTGTTCATTTTTTTCTATTTCTTCTTGGTTCAATCTTCATAGTTTGTATGTGTCCAGGAATTTAGACATTTTCTCTAGGCTTTCCTAATTATTGGTATATTGCTGTTCATAGTAGTCTTTAACGATTCTTCATATTTTTGTGATATCAGTGGTAATGTCGCCTTTTCAATTTCTGATTTTATTTATTTGGGTCTTTTCTCATTTTTTCTTGGTTAATGTAGCTAATAGTTTGTTAATTTCATTTATTTTTTTCAAAAAACCAACTTTTTGTTATGTTGATCTTTTTATGTTTTAGTCTCAATTTTGTTTATTTGTACTCTGGCCTTTATGATATCTTTTCTTGTACTAATTTGGGTTTTTGTTTGTTCTTGATTTTCTAGTTCCTTGAGATGTATTAAGTTATTTAATTAAAAATTTTCTACTTTTTAAATATAGATGTTTATTACTATAAATTTCCTCTGAATACTAATTTTGTTGTGTTCCACAGATTTTGGCATATTGTGCTTCTATTTTCACTTATTTTTAATTTTTTAAATTTTCTTTTTAATTTCTTTATTGACTGTTCATTCAGGAGAATGTTGTTTAATTTTCATGTATTCACAGAGTTTTGAGAGTTCCGCTTGTTACTGATATTCAGTTTTATTTCACTGTGGTCAGAAAAGGTACTTGATATAATTTCAATTTTTAAAAATTTGTAGAGAACTTGTTTTGTGGCCTAACATATGATATATTCTGGAGAATGTTCCATGTGCTGATAAAAAGACTGTGTATTCTGCAGATGTTGAATGAAATGTTCTATAAATGTCCATTAGGTCCATTTTGTCTTAAGTGCAGTTTTAATCAAATGTTTCTTTGTTGCTTTTCTGTACAGATGATCTTTCCAATGCTGAGATTGAGCCATTGAAGTCCCCAAATATTATTGCATTGGAATCTATCTCTCCCCTTATATCTAATAATATTTGCTTTATATATTTGGATGCTCCAGTGTTGGATGCATATATATTTATAAATTATATCTTCTTGCTGAATTATTCCCTTTATCATTATATAATGACCTTCTTTGTATCTTTTTACAATTTTTTACATACAGTCTGTTTTATCTAAGTATAGTTACTCCTGCTCACTGTTGCTTTTTATTTGAATGGAATATCTTTCCGGCCCTTCACATTCATTCTGTCTTTACATGTGAAGTGAGTTTCTTGTAGGCAGAATACAATTGGATATTGTTTTTATATCCATTCCACCAATTGATATCTTTTAATTGGGGAATTTAATCTATTTACATTCAATGTTATTATTCATAGGTGAGGACTTACTCCTGTCATTTTGTTCATTGTTTTCTAGTTGCTTTATGTATCTGTTATTCCTTTCTTCATCTCTTATTGTTTATCATAGAGGGTTGGTAGATTTCTGTAATGATAAATTTTTTCTTTTTCCTTTCCTTATCAGTATTCCTTTCCTTAACTGTGTTTTATACTTTTGCATGTTTCCATGGTGGTGATTATTGCCCTTTTGCTTCCAGTTGTTGGATTTCCATAAGCATTTCTTGTAAGACCAGTCTAGTGGTGATAAAGTCCCTCATTTTCCCTTATTTTCCCTTGTCTGGGAAAGACTGTTTCTCCCTCATATCTAAAGATTAGCTTTGCTGGGTGTAGTATTCTTGATTGGCAATTTCTTTCAGCACTTTGAATACATCATCTTATTCTTTCCTGGTTTGTAAAGTTTCTGCTGAGAATCTGTTAGTGTAATGGGGATTCCCTTGTGTGTGACTTGACACTTTTCTCTTGCTGTTTTTAGAGTTCTCTTTGTTACTCTGACTTTTGACAAGTTGGCTATAATGTGTCTCAGAAAGGCCCTTTTTGGGTTGAATATGTTTGGGAAATTTTGAGCTTCCTGAATCTAAATATCCATATTTCCCCAAGACTTGGAGAGCTTCAACTATTGTTTTATTAAGTAGGTTTTCTGTGCCTTTTCCCATCTTTTCTCTTGATATTACTATAATGTAAATATTTGTTTGCTTAGTAGTGTCTCGTAAGTCCTCTAGGCTTTTTTCACTCTTTTTATCTTGATTTTTTTTAAGTGAACTGTCTTTAAGTTTAGAGCTTCTTCTGTTTTTTTCTAATCTGTTGTTGAAGCTCTCTATTGTATTTTTTATTTCATTCACTGAATTTTTTGGCTGCAGAATTTCTGTTTGGTTCTTTTTTCTTTTTTATACTATCTCTTTTTAAATTTTTCTTTTATATCATGAATTGCTTTCCTGATTTTGTTGAATTATCTGTCTGTAATATCTTGTATCTCACTGAGTTTCCTTAGGATCATTATTTTGAATTCCTTTTCTGGCAATTCATAAACTTCCCTTTCTCTGGGGTCTGTTACTGGAAACTTACTGTATTCTTTTTGTGGTGTCATATTTTCTTTCCTTTTCATATTTTTTGTGTCCCTGAATTGATATCTATGCATCTATTGGAACAATTGCCTCTTCCAAACTTTCTAGAGTAGCTTTAATAGAGAAAAACTTTCAACTGTAGATGGGTTTTGGTGTGGCAGTTGGAAGTGGTATGGTGATTCTGGTTCTAAGTAGATGCAGTGGTATAGTCTCCATGCAGCTTCTTTAGCTGCAGTTAATGCCAGTGATAACTGTGAATGCCTCAGTGACCTAAGCTGTAGAAATTAGTGGCAGTGGCATTGGTAGTGTAGGTTGTTAAGGTTCTCAGTGTCAAGGGTTTTTTTGGGTCCTCCTATTCTCATTTTTCTCTGTAATGGGGAGTCTTAGGGATTCACGACAGTCTGACATGGCCTACTAACATCTGCAGCAGTGCCAGGCTCCAGCTGCAGGTGCTCAGACTAGCTGTGGAGACAGAATCTTAGGCTGAGTCTCATAAACCATTTTGGCACCTGGGCCTTGAGGTGCCTGTTCACTCTCTGTGATAGGGTTGGATGTAGACTGCTCAGAGAGCCAGGATCTGTGACTATGAGATATTCTCTAGCAGCTCAGGGCCAGGAGGCTGAGCTGCGGCTATGATTCTGACCCTGGGGGAGCAGAGAACTGGCCCAGCTCCAGGGAAGAAAGGATGCTCCAGAAGTTTGGACCCAGGGAGCATTGTATGGCTGCAATTTGAGGGCCAGGACCAGAGCCAATAGGGCTCAATGGTAACTTGAATCTCAGTGGATGAGGTATCATATAGTGGTGACTCTAGACCTTTGAATGGTGGAACTTGGCAATATCCCAAATTCTGTGAGGCCAGGAAGAGTAGCAGCAAAGCCCAGAATGACAAAGTACAGCTGTCATTTGGGCCTTGGGAAACAGGGAGCAGCACAGCTATCATTCCACTCCTCAGGGAGAGGGGTGTCTTAGCAGCTCATACTCAAAGAGGCTAGTCCAGCACTATGGAAGCAGGGTACTAGAGTTGTTTAGCCTGTAAGGTGCAGACTTTCAGCATGGCCCACACTCTTTCCCTGGGATGTATTGTATTATTCAGCTCAGCCCTGGTTGTGCAGCTGCCCAGCTCAGCCAAGGCACTAATTCCCCAGGGGCAATGAACTGCTTTAGCTCATGCCCAGGCACCATTTCCCTGGGGTCCAAGGTGCCTCTTCAGCTTAGATGCTGAAGCTTGTGTCCACTCTGGGCAGCCAAGCCTCTGTATCCTAGGATGCAGAGTACTGCTTCCACTTAGGCACTGGGGAGGCATCACTGTTCTGGGCAGCCAAGGTACTGTTTTCTCAGGAGGCAGCGTGCCTCTTCAGCTCAGGCACAGGAGGGTATGGCTGTTCTGGGTGGCCAAAGCACCATATCCCCCGGATTTCAGGCATGGTTTTAGCTCCAGAACAGGGGGATAGGGTTCAGTAGTGACTGAGAGAGTTATGTAGAGCAGCTGCAACATCCCTGGAAAGCAGCACACAGCTTCATCTTGAATCCCATAGAACCAGACACAGCAGCAACTGGGAAGGGTGTATTGAGCAGTTCTGCGAAGGAACTATTTCGCTGGGATGCAGAGCATGGCTTCAGCTCAGGCACAGAGGGGCAGGGCACAGCACTGACTGAGAGGCATAGACAGAACAGCTCCACTAAGGCACCATTTCTGCAGGAGGGAGTGTGCAGCTTTAGCTATGGTTCCAAAAGTGCAGGGTGCAGCAGCCACTGAGAGAGGTCTAGAGAGTGGCTCTGCAAAGGCACTGTTTTCTTAGAAGGTAGTGTGCGCATCAGCTCTGGCCCCTAAGGGCAGGTTGCTCCAGAGACTAGAAGGGGTAGGTGGAGGGGCTCCATTACTGCTTGGCCCCACATAAAACAGAGTAACAGCTGCTTGCAAGGTGCCTTGTGTGGGCCACAGGGCTGGGGTGGTTTGGTGGCAGCTTAGGCTCAGGGATGAAAAGGAACCATGGCTACTTGCCCCTGGAGCAAGAAACACTCCAGCAATAGTTCTAGATCCAAGGTGGCATAGCACATTAACTATGCAGCCACAGGGGATGGGTTACAGTGTTGGCTCCTTCTCCGGAGGGAACACAGTCATGTGAACTCTGGGAAGCTCCCTCAATTGAGCTTACTGCCTGTGAGGACAGCAGGAGTCCCCAGTGATAAGTCGTACTTGTCAAAGGTGTTGATGGGGGTTTCTAGAATCCTCCTACTTACCTTTACCTTCCCAGGAGAAGTTCCTCCTGGTTCTCATTTGAGCCCAGCTGGCGAAATCGGGGTGGTGGAGGCCAGTTGTGCTACGTGGCTTCCCTGGGTTTCTGAACTGACTAGGGTTTCTGTTACTCCTTTGATGTACTGACACTCTCCTTCAGTTATTTTCATCAAAACATAGTTGTTTATTCATTGTTTTGGCTGTCTTAGAGGAAGTGAGAAAGCACTAGGGGCTTCTAGTCAGCTATCTTGCTGATGTCAGAATCCCCTTGTCCACTTCTGACTTTAGTAATTTGTGTCTTTTCTTTTTTTCCTTTAATTAGCTTGTCTACAGGTTTATCAATTTGATTGATCATTTCAATGAAGCAATTTTGGTTTCACTGTTTTTTTTTTTCTCAATTGATTTCCTGTTTTCAATTTTACTGATTTCTGCTCTAACATTTTTTACCTTGCGCTTGCTTTGAACTTAATTTCCCCTTCTTTAGCTAGTTTCCTAAGGTGGAATCTTAGATTATTGATTTAGATTTTTCTTCTTTTTAAATATATGCACTCAGTGCTATAAATTTCCTTTAGGCACTGCTTTCACTGCATCCCACAAATTTTGTTGTTTTATTTTCATTTTCAATTATTTCAAAGTATTTTTTTAATATCTCTTTGGATTTATTTTTGACCTACGTGTTGTTTGGAATTGTGTTGTTTAATCTCCAATGTTTTGGGACTTCCCAGCTATACTTCTGTTATTGATTTCTAGTATAATTTCATTATGTTCTGAGACCAGACATTGTATGATTTCTTTTAAGTTTTTAAAGGCATGTTTATGGCTCAGAATGTGATATATCTTGGTGAATATTTCTAATGAGCTTGAGAAAAATGTGTATTTTGCTTATGAACATCACAAGTGCATCTTAGTGTTTTCTTTTTTTTCACCCCCTTAGGTGATACGATAGCTAGAGTAAGCTGGATTTGGGTATCTGATGTATTTCTCTTCTTCCACATGGAAGACTAGAGGGGAATAGGGTTGAGTATATCCCTTCATTCAGGTCAATTAGGCTTTGATAAAACCTGGCAGGTTAGGCTCTGATATAACAATTTCTCTTAAGGGAAGATCCTATTAAGAATAAAATGCTCTGGTGTATTTCAAAACAATTTCCACTCCTTCTGCAAGAAGCCTGTGGGGACTTTTCTCTGATCTTCATTGTGAGAACTTTTTAGAGTTTCTGAAGATAAAACTCACAAGTGGGAGGGCCCATCTATTATTGCCTTCACCCAGTGTTTCATATTTTAAATTTTCCCACACTGAGCCTCCAGAAATTTATCAGTTACAGTTCAGATTTTCCTACCTGGTATTGGTTCCCATACAGTGTGTTTCTACTCTGGTAAATTGTGGTTCTCTGTATCCATCTGTCTGTCTTTCCAACATGGGGGATAGCAATGAAGCATCCTTCATTGAAGGCATGACTTCATTGAAGGAATGACTTCACTCCTCTGATGGATCTAAGAAGAATGGTCGATTTTTCAGCTTGTTCAGCTTTACTTTTTTAATGGGGTGACAACTTCCAATGCCAGATGTCATCACATGCCAGACCAGAAACCAGAACTATCTTTTTATTTTAATCCATCTGTGTCTTTACCTTTAAAATGTATTTCTTATAAGCAGTATCTACTGGGTTTTGCCTTTTTATCCAGTCTGTAATCTCTGCCTTTTAATTGGAGGGTTTGGTCTTTGTATATTTAATGTAATTATTGCGAAGGTTAAGTTTAAATCTAGCATCTTACTATTTGTTTAATATTTGGCCTCTCTGTTCTTTGTTCTTTTGATCATTTTTCTATTCTTTTGTATTTAGTATTGTATTTGTCTCCACTGTTTTTTTTTTATTCATACTTCTTTATGTTATTTTGTTTTAATGGCTGCTCTAGGGATTGTAACATACATCCTTAAATTGTCCTAGTATACCTTAAATTCATATCACTTCACATATAATGTAAGAATCTGACCATAGTGTATTCTATTTACCCCAATGTCACTTGTGCTATTATAAACCTACATTTTATTGTTATGCATATTATAAACCCCACAATACATTGTTGTTATTTTGCTTTAAACCTTTAATAGTCATTTTTCTGAATTTAAGAAAAAAAAAACAAAAGGTGTATTAACCTTTTTGCTATTTCCAATAACTTTCAGTCCTTTCTGTTGATCGGAACTCATATCTGATGTCATTTCCCTTAGCCTAAAGAATTTAGCTTAGAATTTCTTGTAGTACGCGTCTGCTGGCTATGAATTTTCTCATCTTTCATTTATTTGGAAATACCTTGATTTCACCTCCTATTTTTGCTAGATATAAAATTCTAGATTGACAATTATTTTTTCTGTCATTTTGAAGAGGTTCTTTCATTATAAACTTGCTTCTTGTTTTTTATTGAAAGTTCACTGTCATGTCTAAGATTTTCCCATCAGGGATATTCTTTTCCTTGCTGCTTTTAAGGAGTTTTCTCTTCGACTTTTATTTTTAGCAGTTTGATTGTGACGTGCCTAGAAGTTTTTTTTTAATTTTAATGTTTATTAAGTCTGTTGGATGTGAGGTTGATGTTTTCAATTAAATTCGAAAAACTCTTAGCCAATATTCTTTCAACTTTTTTTGCTATGTATTCTTTTCCTCTAGAACTCCATTTGCAGGTATATCAAATTACCTGGTATTATCCTAGGGTCATTAAGATGCTTTACATTTTTTCAATCTTTCTTCCCTCAGCCTGTCAGTTTGAATAATTTTCCTTAACATGTCTTTAAGTTCACTGATCCTTTCTATCTTCATGTCTAATCTTCTGACAAGCCTATTTAGTGATTTTTTTAAAAGTCTCAAATACTGCATTTTTCAGTTTAATTCCCATTTGTTTTTTCTTAGACATTTCTCCTAAAATGTCATATCTTATTCTATTATATCTATTTTTCCTATATATTTGTTAACATATTAATAATTTTTGTTTTAAAGTCGTTAATTCCAGCAACTGAGCCATCTGTGGATCTGTTTCTGTTAGCTTTTTTCTCTTGCTTAGAAGCCACACTTTCCTGCTTCTTTCATGCCTAGTAATTTCTGATTATATACTGAGCATTATGAATGAGAAGTTTTAGATACTCTGGATTCATTATCTTCCTCCAAACAATGCTGATTTTTGCCCTATCAGGCAGTAAATTGCTAGAGCATATCCTTGTTCCTTTGGAATCTTGAGTTTTTGGCTTTATTCGAACAAGTATATTTCAGTTTTGCTTTTAGTTCTATAGCATAGACCCTAGTCCTAAAACTTGATCCTTACTCATAAACTACAGCCTTTCTGAGGTTTTAATAAAAAGCCCCAGGTTTTACAAGCCTAGACTGTAATTTGGCAGAACTTGAACCCCAAACTCTATCTTCCTAGAAGCAAGCATTTTCTGAATTTTTCCCTGGGATTTTAGTCTTCTAACTATCACTTTCTGCAAGGATTCTTACAGTCTTTATTCACACATGTACAGTTCAAGAGTCAGTGAAGGATATATATCCTGGTGTCTGACCAAACAACTGGGCATCATGGCCTAGCCAAGTTGACACATAAAACTAACCATCACATATGTTTTGACAAATTCATAGCTAAAGATAATAACTAGCTGAAAAATGGTCTGCAGAATGACAGCAGAACACAAAAACCTTAAAAATTATACTTTTTTCTATTTTTCTTTTTTCTTTGATGTCCAGAGACACTTACTTAGTAATATACTTGTTATATATATTTGTTTTATCTTTTGACTGTAAGCTCCTTGAGGGTGGAATCACCTTCTATTATATCATTGTACATAGTGATATACAACATACATAGTGATATATTTATAATAAATAGTGATATACATTGTACATACTGATATATTTACCACTTACTATATATCGATGTACATTACTATACATAGTACAATGATATACAGTAAGTGGTAAATGGATGTTAGTTCAGATAAATTACAGCTGCTGAGTTTTCCTCCTATTATATTATTATATTAAATAAAAGATAGCAATAATAGGCTGGGTGTGGTGGCTCACACTTGTAATCCCAGCACTTTGGAAGGCTGAGGCAGGATGACTTGAGCCGAGGTGTTTGAGACTAGCCTGAGCATATAGGGAGATCTTATCTCTAAAAAAAAATTTTGGCCAGGCACAGTGGTTCATGCCTGTAATCCTAGCACTTTGGGAGGCTGAGGTGGGCAGATCACTTGAGGTCAGGAGTTTGAGACCAGCCTGGCCAACATGGTGAAACCCTGACTCTATTAAAAGTACAAAAAAATTAGCCAGGCGTGGTGGCGCACACCTGTAGTCCCAGCTACTCAGGAGGCTGAGGCATGAGAATCGCTTGAACCTGGGAGGCAGAGGTTGCAGTGAGTCAAGATTGTGCCACTACACTCCAGCGTGGATGACAGAGTGAGACTGTCTCAATAATAATAATCATCATCATCATCATCATCATCATCATCATCATCATCATCATCTCTGGAGCTCTGTTAATGGTTGAAGACTTTTGAACACATATTCCCAATTATAAAAATTAAAACAAATTAGCATTCACTATCTCCTCTTCTGTAATTTGTATCGTGATCTGAAATTAACTATGAAATGATGACTTGAAAATATCCTAATACTTTAATGAAGGTTCCACAGTCATTTTAGGTGTAGAACTGGGCCTGCTTCACAAGAATCGCTTGAACCCAGGAGGCGGAGGTTGCAGTGAGCTGAGATTGCGCCACTGCACTCCAGCCTGGCTGGCAGAGAGAGACTCTGTCTCAAAACAAACAAACAAACAAAAAACTTGACCCACCTAGAGACCTATATGCTCCTTTCTCATTAAGAAGTGTTGGAGGCTCCACAAGGTTCTTTTCTAATGAAACGTTCTTAGAGATATAAACTAACAAGTCATTTTATCTGTCTTTCATTTAAAACTGTTGTCATTTTTACCTCTTAATAACTTTTGGTAAATTATTTAAATGTTGAAACAACAAAAAGAATATTGAAAAGTACAGGGGATGATTTAGAGAGTATTTATAAGTAATCTCCTTATATAGTTTCCTTGAACTCTAAGTAGGAAATGTAAAAAAGTGATGACATCCAAAGTCGGCTTCTTTTAGCTACTGCGTAAGAGTGAAAGGATACACTGCTGATTTTCAACATTAGAGTTTACCCTAACTCCATTTTGACTTTAAACTCCATGTTTAAAGCCAAACTGAAATCTCATCTAAAAACCTGAAGATGTTGTTACTGACCCACATGTTCCACGTGAGTGTAATTAGACTGTTAGTGATTTAAATTAGGATGTACATATTTTAAGGATTTTGGTGAGACTGGCTATTTTGGGAGAGAATATTGCTATGTGTATAAAGAGTTGGTTAAACAGTGCCTACTGATGGGAGTGTATAAATCTGTATAAATCCTTGACACTTCATAGTTCAATCTCAGAATTTATTCTGCAACACATCTGCAGTCATACCTATGGGCCAGCATGGCAACTTGTCCCTGCATCAAGCACTGAAGTGTAGCTTTGGCTGGTATACCACAACTCCAGTCCAGGAAGTAGTAGAGGGCATATACAGTTTGGGTGGCTGCAGATTTCTCTGAGAACAGCTTTCCTGATCCAGCATTGCAATGAGCCAATAATGCATCTTTTGAAGAAAAAAGCTTCCCCTTTGCCATCCCTCGCGGAGACAGGTCATATATGACATTGCAAATAGAACCACCTGAGGGCTTTCCTCCACTTTCTAATGGTTGCTTGACTCACAGAATTTTATCTGTAATTAAATCTATTCCAGCTAACTTAGGAACAGACTCTGATAAAGATTATGGCTTTAGTGTAAAAGCCAGATAGAGTTGTTTTTTTTTCCCAGTTATAGACATTTCAGACCTGTATAATCTTTTACTCTCACTTTGTTTAGGTTTTCCAACTAGACTTTTGGCACTTGCTTGAATTTGTTTTTCAATTTTTTAATTTCCCAAAGGGCAGGCAATTTCAAAATCTTTGAAAATGGATACATGTATATTTTAAAATAAATATTTTATAACGTATCTTTTATAAAGTATTTAAAATTGACTGAATTATAATGAAATGGATTGGCTTAATATCAGTGCCATAACATTTAGTTAACCTCAAATTCACTAAATATGATGTATAAAAAGTTAGCATAATTCTACACAAAAAATTGTGTTTTACACCTCATTAGATTTCATTGATCTCAATCATAGTTATATATGCTACAGATGAGCTTAAACAGGATTTAGACCTTTAGGTGTTTCAAGCTTTATATTCCTTAGACTCTTAGAATATCTTTATAATTACTTGCTTCCAGATAGATTAAAAATCATTATACATTGAAGAGATTAAACATTACTGTGTTTTGAAGAGATTAGTTTCTGAGAGAGAGAAAATGGTGTGATTGAAAAATGAAATCTTATCATCCTGCCTGAAATGTAATCCTGTGCACAAAAGAGTGAGGCAGAGAGGGCAGAGTTTAATGAATGTGCCCCGATGGTATTTTCTTGCATTCTATCATGTTGGAAAATAGAACTTACAGTTAATTTTTTTAACAGTCACATCTAGTTTTAGTGAGTTAGAGTCTGATATGGAGGGAATCTCAGAATCTACCTCCACATCAGATTTCGCTAGCTCAGAACTCACGGACTGAAAGTCAACCAGCCGTTCCATGTTGCACCCCAACCTCAAGGCAGCCAGAGAAGTCTCTTTTCACAGGACACTACAGTAGCAATGACTTAGTCACCACTTGCCTTTGGTGTCTTCACAGTCCAGGATCTTAATAAAATCATTTATATTCTTGTAGTACACTGGATGTCTTCTCCTTAAGAGTGGTGGACATCCCAAAATGCATATTCATACAATTGATATATTTTCTTGTGTTAGTCTTTCTCAAACCTAGACCTGTGGCCCCTTTCAGAAAACCCATTAAAAGAGCATTCTGGGTTAAAAGTTTTTAAAAGAAAAGAGAGGCTGTCCATTAGAATCCTAATTACCATACCATTTTTTATTTCTATAACCTCCTTTGAAGACTTTATTCTTTCCATTTCTTATCCCTTTCTCCCGATATATAAACAAAACAAATTCCAAAAATTGGTAGAAGTTCCAAAATAAATAAATAAATATTCTAAACCATGGAAGAATGCAGAAAATGCTGTTAGTGGTCCACCAATATAAATTTTTCTCTTTTTCCATGGTAACAGAATCCCTGAATATGGCTACTCCAGAACAAGGACTCCTCTCCCCAGCCTTGCTTGCATCAAAACATGACTGTGTAACTAAGTTCTGGCCAATAAGAGGTATGCGACAATGTCACATGGAAGCATCTGAGACACTCTTTAAAAGAAGCATGCTCTTTCTTTGTTTCTTACTGTCTTCTGGCTAGAATTCAGATATGGTGGCTGCAGCTCCTGCAGCTAAGGAAGAACCTTGGTAATGACACCTATTTCCCTAAGGGTCCCTCTTTAGTCTACCTGCTTCAGAAATGTTATGTAAAAGAAAAATTCACTTTTGTGTTGTTTCAACTACTATTTTGAGGGGAGCTTATCACTTTCAGCCATACCTAACCCTAACTTATATATTTAGTATTTGTCATCTTTATTGGAAAGATTTCTCCCCAAAATATTCATGACAACTATATATTGCAATTGCTATAATTTGCAAGTAAAAAGATTAACAAACATTTTAAGTGTTGGCCTTTTTTATATTCATGTACCAAAAAGAAAATTTGTGCATCCTGTATGCCAAACATAGTCGTATAAGAATTTTCATCTTTAAAATAATCATGACAAATAATCAATTCTCTCATTTTCTCAGATATCACTATTGATTTAAGAATAATCACGCTGATATAAATAATCATTGTGTAACTAATAATACCTTACCCCAACTTTGTAGTTCAATTCTTTTGTGCCAGGTTTATTATTTTTTGAAACATCCAAAAAATGATGGTGAAGATGGAGGTAGGGTAGGATGAGTAGAAGGTTTTGGAACAAGCAATATTATGGGATATCTCTGGCTGTAGTAACACTTTTATCCAGATGGTATCTGTAAAATTTTGGATCAAGACAGACCCAAAGCCTAAAACATCAATTAGTGTGTATTAGTGATGTAGGGAAGAATTATAGTCAAGGACAGCAAACTGTCAGAAGTAGATAAACTCAAGATAAAGGTTGGAAGGAATGTATAGGTTGGCAGCAGTGACCATGTTTTAGTTCAGCTCTTTCAACTATTGCAGACCTCCCCGTCCTCTACTCCTTCAAAAACAAGACTCCAGTGGCTATCTCAATCTACTAATCCCTATGGGTTTCTTGGAATATTAAGTAGGTCCCCATACAGTTCAAATTCTTAACATTGGCATGTCTACTCCTTTTTCATCTCTGCCATTTGTCTTCCGTTTCCCTCTGGATAACCCCAACAGGCAGGCTATACTGTCCCCAGAATATTCTAAGCTTTTTCACATCTTGAGTCTTTGTGGGCATTGTTCCCTTCAGCCTGGAATGTCCCCCTCTCCCTTTTCTTTCCATCAATGACAGTTCAGACATCACTTTGTGGAGGAATGCTTCCTTCAGTCTCCCTGTGTCCTCCCCAGGCAGAGTAAAAGACTCCCTTCTCTGTGCTCCCACAGCACCTGATATAGATCTCTATTATAGCACTTATCACATTTTATTGTGATAAAGTGTGTTTGGCTTTCTCTCCCACTACACTGAATTCCTTGGAAGCTGAGGCAGTCTTATTCCAGTGCCTACAGGTTTCCTGGGATTATCTCTGTGGGCCTCATTGCTGCAGAATGTGAAACATGACCCAGCAGCAGAAACATACCACAGCAACCACATCATTTAATACTACATTCCTGAAACGATCTGACTCTGGGCAGAATGTATTTGAGAATAGGCCAGATGATCTGGAAATGCTCTCCCAGATGTATGTTGACTCTTCTTAGAGTATAACATCACAAATCAGGGGCTTTGAGGGTTGGATGTGACCAGATTCCTACCTCATATATTTTGTTGCAAATGCAAAAGCGTGTAGAGGAATAAGTTTTGTGTGTGTGTATCTTTCATGTCGCTCTAGTATCTCCCAAGTATAACTCTGGAGGTGGTTATCTCCCCAGTTCCTTCCATTTTGGCAGCATTTTTGTCTTTAATATTCAAATACAGAAACTTAAACATTTCTCTTTCTCCCACATGTCTCCACGGATTCTTGTATGTCTGACATTTCCCCCAGTTATCTCTGGTTCCAATATCTTGTATTGAATTTTGATCTCTAATCTGAAACTCACCTTCTATACCCCATCCTCCTTCCTCTGACCCCCATCCCCCCTGCCATGGAAGTAAGACTTGGATACTTTTATTTTCCTGGTGAACCACTAGTGTGTAAATCAGGTTTTACTAAAGTTGAAGGGAAATAGCATAGGATCTTCTAGGAAATAACTTCAAAATTAGTAGTAGGCCTCACTCATAAAATGCCAGTATCATTTCCCTGCCAAGGGAATTCCTTACTGGCCAGAATTCCTTAGGCCAGAGCTTGCCATCCTCTTCTCTGGTCTCTATCTCTCCCATTAAGATTCTTCACTTTTCCTCTCCTGCTTCAATCTGACAGTTTTCTAATAGACTTATATTTTGTACAGAGAAATTTCACTTTCCCTGTACTCACTCAACCTCTAATAAGTCTAATAAGTTCTTAGTCTATATTTACATCACCAAAAGCAACTGGGAAACTCTGATAAACAAAGTGTGATCACCTCTAGCCTTCAACAGCGCAATGAACCAGCAAAAGCATTGAAAATCCAATTTGTATTCTAATATAATTGAATTCTTAGACAAGACTCCTTCCCTTTCAGTATGCAAAAGAAAAACAGGCTCACAAAGTAAGCTCCCAGAGTTCATGAATAACACACACACACACACACACACACACACACACACACACACACAAAATACTGTAGGTACCTAAATTTTTGATCAGGTTCTTGTGTACGTGGTTTTTGAATGTTTGGTGAAGTGATTCATAATCCACATTCTGTTCATATGTAACAAACAGATAGTCTCAGATTGGAGGTATGGTTTCCTCAGCCAGAAATCAGGGGCTGAGAATTTTCCTTAGCTTTCCAGGAAAGGTGTATACAGCAAACCATTCATGAGGGTATACAGAATCCATCTCTTTGTGTGGGCTTTTCAATAGCCTTGAGAATAATGTGTACATTCCAAAGGCTTCCCAGAGCAGCCTAGGATTGAGCACAAAGTCAACATTGTGCCCTGCTTTTTTGTGCTAACATGGTAGTCTTGTCTAAGCACCAAGGTACTAGAGGACAAGCCCGTGACATTTAGCTGCTGCAGTAGAGAAACACATGAGTATTATGTGACTCTTTGTTCCCAATGTCATTGTCTACACAGTACAAGGAAAGTGCAATCAAAGAGAAAAACCATGTTTTTGTAAACCTCATCATCTTACTAACACAGCTAACTTGACTGGGTATACTGGTAGGAATGTAGACAGTGTAACCCAGGATTAATGAAGACAAGCCTGAGACCTTTTTCTCTTCATGAGCCCTGTATCTAACACATAAACGTCAGCTCTTTATTTAACACCTGTGAGCCAGCATTATAAAGAAGACCAAGCACGCATGTATGTACTAACACAAATCACATCATTATCAAATAGAAAAACAAGCTAGTGAGTAAACGAAGAGTAGGGAGTGAGCATATTCATACACGCTCAATATTTGCATCAGCAGTGTCCTATCACCTCTATAAGTTAATAAGTTATACTGAAACAGGAAGCAAGGAGAAAGTGGGAGAGAGGGCAACATACACTAACCTGTTGTTTCACATTTACACAGTAGCAGTATGGAACTTAAAACTTAATCACTATAATGTAAATTATTTCATTTAGTCTATGTTATCTGCAATTCATAGTTGAGAAAACTAAGGTTCAGAGAAGTTGGGTAGCATGATTAAGACCACATAGCTACCAAAGGATAGAGTATGAACTCAAAGGTGTTATAATGTCTATATAGATTTTCTTCTATGAGCTTTACTGGAAACAGGTTTACCCTGCACATTACACAGAAAATTCTGCTGTCATATCATATAATACCAGCTGTCTCCATAAACTTCTCTGCTGAACCATATGCTCAGCTCCTGGGTAAACTTCCCATCTTTTTTGTCATTTTCTTATATTTTTCAGATGTTTACAAATCATTACAAAGTGTTAGAGGATATTAAACAGACAAAGAATATTGAGGTTTAAAAGAAGGTAAATATTTATCGATTCAGAACTAAGTTAGAATCACCCTAAAGTCAGAGTTTAAATGTAAGTCCATGCTAAAAAAAAAAAAAAAGTTATCTCTCGCTTTTAAGGCTTCCGATGGAAGTGAAAAGACACTCAAAGGACAAGAGGTACAGCCTTTATCAGAGCCCAGGTTCTCTACTTTGTGAATAAACGGGAGAGAAATTGTCCTCTTTTGCACTCAAATCTAGGAACACTTGAAGATCTTCTATATGTGGATAGGGTGGGAGGAAAAACGGAATTCAGCTGTCTTCTAAATCTCATCTTTTTAAATGAAATTTTTACAAAAGCAGTCATTTCATAGATAATATTCTTTTAACTTTGCATATATTCAGGATGGGGAGTACCATTCTTTTATTGCATAATTCCGGTTATTTTTTAAACATAGTTCGATGGAGGAAAAAATAGTTCTCTGAAACCTAGAATCAACATGGCAAGAAGTTTGTCTCCATTATTGTCTTCTGACCACATTTATTTTAAAATAAGTTAAATGTGGCACAGTGGGGCTTCCTATCTATTTTATTTAGCCTTGAGAGTTACAGCCCCACAGCAGTGAAGCACTAGGAAGAGAGTGTAAGGGACAGTAGGGAAAGAGAGGGAGAGAGAGGGAGGGAAGGAAAGACAGGTTCTACTCTGAAAAGCGGAGACGGGAGGGGTTAGGGCAAATAGGATGTACTACCTTGACCACAAGTCACAGAAACAAATTAAAGCCTAATTCCTCACCCTATTCTGTCCAAGAGAATAGTAGAAAGGAAAAAGTAGAGGAATTTTTCTGGAATTTGTGTAATAGACTGAAAGCCTATTTGAGGCTAATAGTGAAGAACTGATCTTAACTATCTTTTGGACATAGAGTGCATTCAAAATCAGCTCCAGCATCAAGGAAGATGAGGTTCTTTCAGGTGATGGGCTGAGCTTGTGCATTTTCCTAGTCTTTGTCTCCCTGTTTGATAGCAGGATTATATGAATATAATGTATTTATTATTTAAGGTACTTGTTAAACATTTATCTTCAAAGAGGCATTTGAACATAACAGACTTGTCATTTTAGTAAAATGGTAAGAACCTGGATTATGGAGGAAAAGCACCTGCCATATGGTGATGTTTCAGTTTCTCTCCCTTCCCTAGTGGTAAACTGAGTGCTGGTTTGCCCCAGTAGAACAATAAACAGGTACTTAGGGCACAGAAAAACCAGTGGAAATTTATTGGCTAGACTCATATATTTGATATGTTTTTTAAAGCATTAAAGGCCAATAATCACGCAAAAAGGTACTTAAGTCACCAATTATTAGGAAAAGGAAAAATCAAAACCATTAGAAGGATAATAGAGGAAGACCATGAACAACTCTGTGCCCACAAATTTTAGAAGTTAGATGAAATGGGTAAATTCCTCGAAAGACAATATCTGCCAAAACTCACACAAGAAGAAATAGACAGTCTGGATAGGTCTTTATTAAAGATATTTAATCAATGACTAAAAACCTTCCAAAACAGAAAGCACCAGGCCAAGATGTGTTAACTGGTGACTGGTGAACTCTTTCAAATATTTAAGAAAGAAATTATGTATATTCTCTTCCATCTCTTCCAGAAGATAGAAGCAGAGAAAATACTTCCTAACTCATTCTATGAGGTTGTCATTACCCTAATACCAAATCAAATGAAAACATTATAAGAAAAGAAAACTACAGACCAATATCTCATATGAACCTAGAAGCAAAAATCCTCAACAAAATATTGGCAAATTGAATCTAACAATGTATAAAAAGAATTATGTGCCATGACCAAGTGGGATTATTCCGAGGCATGCAAAGAGTGGTTCAAAACTTGAACATCAATTAATGTAACCCATCAACAGTCTAAATAATACAAATCCCATAATCATATCAATAAATGCAAAATAAAGCATCTGGCAACTCTCATTCACAATAAAACTCTTAGCAAACTATGAATAGAGGGAAAAATGCTCAACTTGATAAAGAACATCTACAGAAAACCTAGAGCTAACACCATACTTAACAGTGAGAAAACTTTTCTGTTACGATCAGGAACAAGTAATGAATGTTCCTCCTCAGGCTCAGCACTTCTTTTTAATCTCATACTAGAAGCCCTGGCTAAAGCAACATAGCAAGAAAAGAAAAAGTAGACCAATTGAGAATGCAGAAATAAAACTTTGTTCTCAGATTACATAATTGCTTATGTAGAAAATCTGAAAGAATGAACAAAAAACTTCTGGAATTATAGGCTGGAAGGATGGGAGAATGGGAAGTTAGTGTTTAATGGGTATAGAGTTCCAGCTGGGGAAGATGAAAAAGTTCTGAAAATAGATGGTAGTAGGGGTTGGACAACAATGTGACTGTATTTAATAGAGCAGAACTGTGCACTTAAAAATGGTTAAAATGGGAGAGAGAGGAAGATGGTGGATGGGAGACATTGCTAATGTGTAGCTCTCATTTAGAAGAACAGAACCATGTGTGGAGACACACATCATGGACTTTTGCTCCAAGAATCACCACAGGAACATATTAGGAAAAATGAAAGAATTCACAGATCCTTTGAAAGACATGGCATGCTGCTGCAAATTCCATGAGACAGGCAAAAAACTGTGAGTTCCCAAAACGTGAGAAGGAAAACCTGCCTCCAAACACACATCCCCACTGGAGAACCTGAAAATCCAGATTACAGGAGAAGGGTTTAACCATACCTAGAGCTGAAACGAATTTAGAGTGAAATATAAAAGAGGCAACAGCAAGAAGAGCCTTGTAGGTGCCCCCATTCTCCAGCTTGAGCCCAGGGAAGCCGTCCCTGACTATATCTCACAGGGACCCTTGGGGAAGGCAACCAGCAGAATTTAAGTGGGGTCACAGGGTGAAAGAAGCTTTCAACTGAACTTTATAACAATTTTAACTGGGCACAAACTCTCCAGCAGAATCTGGGGGACAAACGGGAACTGCTGCAGAAAGGAGAGCAGGAGCCACAGCTGAAAGTGTAGGCAGATGGAGAGGGGCGTGGCCTGAAAGCCATGCTTGCTTTTTCAATGGGGAAGCTTATAGCCTGGGGCAAGGTCTGAGTACATCCCCTTCCATCCCCCGGACCTCCCACCCACCCCCGCCCCTCCACATAGGTTGCCTGGAGATAAACATGCTATTAGCAGGCCATGGCTAACAGTGAATGGCTAACAGTGAGACTGGCCTTGCCAACTGCATGGGAGCTGGCTGAGGCCTATTGCCACTGGCTTTCCCCTACCTCCCTAGCAACATAATACCCTCTGGAACATAACCCCACTGACCTGAGAACCACCCCTGATCCCCTACAGTGGCCGTGGCAAGCCCTGGAGCCAAGCTCCAGACCTGCCTAACCCTGCCCCCACCTGATGGTATTTCTCTACTCACCCCCATAGGTGATCAGAAAAGACATAAACTCTTGGGAGCTTTATGGCCCACCCATCGCCTGAGAAACCAGAATACTTATCCTGGCCAACTTACAGCAAGCTTATATCCCCCTTCTACTATCATAGCTAGTGCTCTCTTGAAAGCACCACCTCTGAGCAGGAGGCCAAACAACTCAGGACATTAAAGCAACTCATGACAGAATAACCCTGCTCCAAGGGAGGATAAAACAACAGCTAATTCCACTGCTTGCAACATCCTGGCTAACCAGAGGTCCTGAGTCTGTTCATGTGACAACTTCACTGCTAGTGTAACTAACATTTGAGAAAGCCAGTGCACTAAACATGTCTGCTACCAAGGACTCTCACAGAGTCTACTTCACTTTCCTGCTACCTCCACCAAAGCAGGTGCTGGTATCCACAGGTGGAAGACCTGAAGACAGATCACATCAGAGGACTTTTTGCAGATATTCCCTAGCAGCAGCCCAGAGCCTGGTGACCCTGCCAAGGGGCTAGACCCAGAAGAGCAATATCAATCACTACAGTCTGGCTCTCAGGAAACCCCATCCATAGGAGAAAGGGGAGTGCACCACATCAAGGGACCACCTTATGGGACAAAGGAATCTCAGCAGCCTTTGAGTTCCAGATTTTTCCACTGAAATAGTCTACCCAAATGAGAACGAATCAGAAAAATGATATAGAACTACAAAACATAGTTCTATAGTACCCCCAAAAGACCACACTAGCTTCCCAGCAATGGATCTAAACCAAGAAGAAATCTCTGAATTGCCAGATGAAGATTCAGAAGGCTGATGATTCAGCTACTTAAGGAGATACCAGAGAAAAGTGAAAACCAACTTGAAGGAATTTAAAAAAACAATGCAGGATATGAATAAAAAATACTCCAGAGTAATAGTTATTATAAAGAAAAAATGATCACAACTTCTGGAAATGAAAGACACACTTAGAGAAATACAAAATGCACTGGAAAGTTTCAACAATAGAATCAAATAAGTAGAAGGAAGAACTTCAGAGCTCTAAGACAAAGCTTTTGAATTAATCCAAACAGACAAAGACAAAAAGGAATTTTAAAAAAATGAACAAAGCCTCCAAGAAATTTGGGATTATATTAAATGGCCAAACCTAAGAATAATTGGTGTTCTTGAGAAGGAAGAGAAATCTAAAAGTTTGGAAAACATATTTGAGGGAATAATTGAGGAAACTTCCCTGGCCTTGCTAGAGATCTAGACATCTAAATAAGAGAAGCTCAAAGACCACCTGGGAAATTCATTGCAAAAAGATCATTACCCAGGCACATAGTCATCAGGTTATCTAAAGTTAAGATGAAGGAAAGAATCTTAAGACCTGTGAGGCAAAAGCAGCAGGTAACCTATAAGGGAAAAATCTATCAGATTAACAGCAGATTTCTCAGCAGAAACCTTATAAGACAGAAGGGATTGAGGTCCTACCTTTAGCCTCCACAAATAAAATAGTTGCTAGCCAAGAATTTTGTATCCAGCAAAACTAAACTTCATAAATGAAGGAGAGAAATAAAGTCTTTTTCAGACGAACGCATGCTGAGAGAATTTGCCACTACCGAGCCATCATTACAAGAAATGCTAGGCTGGGTGCAGTGGCTCATGCCTGTAATCCCAGCATTTTGGGAGGCCTAGGTGGGTGGATCATGAGGTCAGGAGATCGAGACCATCCTGGCTAACACAGTGAAACCCCTTCTGTACTAAAAATACAAAAATTAGCGGGGCTTGGTGGTGGGTGCCTATAGTCCCAGCTACTCGGGAAGCTGAGGCAGGAGAATGGTGTGAACCTGGGAGGTAGAGCTTGCAGTGAGCCGAGATCGCACCACTGCACTCCAGCCTCGGCAACAAAGTGAGACTCCATCTCAAAAATAAATAAATAAATAACAAATGCTAAAATGAGTTCCTAATCTTGAAACAAAACCTTGAAATACAACAAAATAGATCCTCCTTAAAGCATAAATCTCACAGGGCCTATAAAACAATAACACAATGGGAAAAAAATGCAGTGTATTCAGGCAACAACTAGCATGATGAATAAAAGAGTACCTCACATTTCAACACTAATGTTTAATGTAAATGGCCTAAATGCTCCATTTGAAAGATACAGAATGGCAGAATGGATAAAAATCTACCAATCAAGTATCTGCTGTCTTCAAGAGACTCACCTAATGCATAGGGACTCACATAAACTTAAGGTAAAGGGATGGGAAAAGAGAATTCATGCAAATGGACACCAAAAGCAAAAAGGAGTAGCTATTCCTATATCAGACAAAACACATTAAAGAAACAACAGTTAAAAAAAGACAAAGAGGGATGTTATATAAGAGGATCAGTCCAGCAGGAAAATATTATCATCCTAAATATATATGCACCTAACACTGGAGCTCCCAATTTATGAAACAATATTATTAGACCTAAGAAATGAGATAGACAGCAACAAAATAATACTGGGGGACTTCTGTACTCTACTGACAGCACTAGACAGGTCATCAAGATAGAAAGGCAACAAATAAAAAATGGCCTCAAACTATACCCTATAACAAATGAACTTAACAGATAGTTACAGAGCATTCTACCCAACAACTGCAGAATATATATTTTTCCATCAGCACATGGAACATTCTCCCAGATAGGCCATATGATAGGCCACAAAACAAATCTCAATAAATTTAAGAACATTGAAATTATGTCACATACCCTCTCAGACCACAGTGGAATAAAACAGAATTAACTCCAAAAGGAACTCTCAAAACTATACAAATACATGGAAATGAAATAACCTGCTCCTGAATGATTCTTGGGTTAACAATGAAATCAAGATGGAAATTTAAAAATTCTTTAAACTGAACAATAATAATGACAGAATCTATCAAAACCTCTGGAATACAGCAAAAGCAGTGCTAAGAGGAAAGTTCATAGCATTAAATGCCTACATCAAAAAAGCCTGAAAGAGCACAAATAGACAATCTAAGGTCATACCTCAAGGAACTAGTGAAACAAGAACAAACCAAGCCAAACCCAGCAGAGAAAAGAAACAACAAAGATCAGAGCAGAACTAAATGGAATTGAAACAAATAAAAAATACAAAAGATAAATGAAGCAAAAAGCTAGTTCTTTGAAAAGATAAACAAAATTGATGAACAATTAGTCAGATTAACCAAGAAAAGGAGAAGATTCAAATAAGCTCAAGTAGAAATGAAATGGGAGATATTACAGCCAATACCACAGAAATACAAAAGATCATTCAAGACTACTATGAATGCCTTTATGTGCACAAACTAGAAAATCTAGAAGAGATGAATAAGTTCCTGTAAGTATACAACCCTCCTAGATTAAATCAGGAAGAAATAGAGACTCTGAACAGACCAATAACAACCAGTGAGATTAAAACAGTAATTTAAAAGTTGCCAAAAAAAGGTCCAGAACCAAATGGAATTACAGCTGAATTCCATCAGGTAGTCAAAGAAGAATTGGTACCAATCTTACTGAAACTATACCAAAAGATAGAGAAAGGGAATCCTTTTTAAGTCATTCAATGAAGCTATTATCACCCTAATATCAAAACCAGGAAAGGGCACAACAAAAAAAGAAAACTATAGACCAATGTCCCTGATGAACATAGATGCAAAAATCCTCAACAAAATACTAGCTAACCAAATCCACCAGCATATCAAAAAGATAATATATCATTGTCAAGTGGGTTTCATACCAGAGATGCAGAGATGGCGTAATATATCCAAGTCAATAAATGTGATACATTATATAAATAGAATTTTTAAAAAATCATATGATCTCCTCAATAGATGCAAAAAAAGCATTTGACAAGATCCACCATCCCTTTATGATTAAAACCCTCAGCAAAATCAGCATAGAAGGGACATACTTCAAGGTAATAAAAGCCATCTATGACAAACCCACAGCCAACATTACATTGAACAGGGAAAAGTTGAAAGCATTCCCCTGAGAACTGGAACTAGATAAGGATGCCCACTTTCACCACGGTCATTCAACATTGTACCGGAAGTCCTAGCCAGAGCAATCAGACAAAAAGAAAGAAAGGGCATCCAAATCGGTAAAAAGGAAGTCAAACTGTTGCTGTTCACCAGTGATATGATCATATACCTAGAAAACCCTAAAGACTCATCCAAATGCTCCTAGAACTGGTAAATGAATTCAGCAAAGTTTCAGGATACAAAATTAATGTACACAAATCAGTAGCGGCGCTACACTCCAAAAACAACCAAGCTCAGAATCAAATCAAGAATTCAACCACTTTTACTACAGCTGCAAAAAACATAAAATAGTTAGGAATATACTTAACCAAGGAGGCAATAGAGTCTTACAAGGAAAACTGCAAAGCTAGCACTGCTGAAAGAAATCATAGACAACACAAACAAATGGAAACACATCCCATGATTATGGATGGGTAGAATCAATATCGTAAAAATGACTATACTTGCCAAAAGCGATCTACAAATTCAACACAATTCCCATCAAAATACCATCATCATTCTTCACAGAATTAGAAAAAAAAATCCTAAAATTCTTATGGAACAAAAAAGAGCCCACATAGCCAAAGCAAGACTGAGAAAAAAGAACAAATTTGAAGGCATCATATTACCAAACTTCAAAATATACTACAAGGCTACAGTTACCAAAACATCATGGTACTGGTATAAAAATAGGCATGTAGACCAATGGAACAGAATAGAGAACCCAGAAATAAAGCCAAATATTTACAGCCAACTGATCTTTGACAAAGCAAACAAAAACATAGAGTGGAAAAGGACAACCTCTTCAACAAATGGCGCTGGGATAATTGGCAAGCCACATGTAGAAGAATGAAACTGGATTCTCATGTCTCACCTTCTACAAAAATCAAGAAGGATCAAAGACTTCAATCTAAGACCTGAAACCATAAAAAATCTAGAAGATAACACTGGAAAAACTCTTCTAGACATTGGCTTAGGCAAAGACTTTATGACCAAGAACCCAAAAGCAAATGCAACAAAAACAAGGATGGGAGGGACCTAATTAAACTAAAAACCTTCTGCACAGCAAAAGAAATAATCAGCAGAGTAAATAGACAACCCACAGAGTGTGAGAAAATTTTGACAACCTATGCATCTGACAAAGGACTAATATCCAGAATCTACAAAGAACCCAAATCAGCAAGAAAAAAAACAAACAATCTCATCAAAAATTGGGCAAAGGACAGGAACAGACAATTCTCAAAAGAAGATATACAAATGGCCAAAATATGAAACATATGAAAAAAATGCTTAACATCACTAATTATCAAGGGATGCAAATAAAAACCACAATGCAATACCACCTTACTCCTGCAAGAATGGCCATAATTACAAAATTAAAAAATTATAAAATAACAGATGTTGGTGTGGATGTGGTGAAAAGGGAACACTTATACACTGCTAGTGGGAATGTAAACTGGTACAACCATTATGAAAATCATTATGGAGATTCCTTAAAGAACTAAAAGTAGAACTTCCAATTGATCCAGCAATCCTACTTGTGGGTATCTACCCAGAGAAAAAGAAGTCATTATATGAAAAAGATACTTGCATACACATGCATATAGTAGCACAATTTGCAATTGGATATATATACATACAATTTGCAACTAGGATATATATATATATATATATATTATATATACATACATATATATAATATATATATCACAAGTTATTTTTACATATACACACCATAGAATACTACTCAGCCATAAAAAGGAATGAAATAATGGCATTCGCGCAACCTAGATGGAGTTGGAGACCATTATTCTAAGTGAAGTCACTTAGGAATGGAAAACCAAACATTGTATGTTCCACTTGTAAGTGGGAAATCAAGCTATGAGGACACAAAAGCATAAGAATGATATAATGGACTTTGGGGATTCACAGGGAAGGGTGGAAGGAGGGTGAGGGATAAAAGACTACACATATTCGGTACAGTGTACACTGCTTGGGTGATGGGTGCACCAAAATCTCAATAATCAGCACTAAAGAACTTTTCCATGCAGCCAAACATGCCCTGTGCCCCAAAAACTATTGAAATAAATAATTTAAATAAATAAATAATGGTTAAAATGGTAATATTTATGTATATTTTACCACAATAAAAAAGGAAAGACAGCCTTAAAATACTCAAGATGGTTTAAAAAACAGAAATTCATTGAACTTCCTTGCTCTTATTTTATAGTGTAAGAGCAAGCAATAGTCTCATTATTGTTATTATTTTGTTTAAACATGGGTGGGTAGGATACCAAATATTTTCTCAGCTTAGGGCTCCAGATTTTAATTTAGTCCTGAGTAAATCCGTTTTCTGGGCCTACACAAGAATGTTAATAGGTTATTCAGAATAACTAGTTTTGTGGGAATTCATGTTCTCTCTCTCAAAGAGTCACAATAAGAGCAGCATCTAGATATCACTGGAGGTTTTTTACAAGCTTTGATATATTGGGAACAGTGGAACACTGTGTCAGGACACTTCCTGTACTATTTTTCCAGTTTACAGAGATACCATGAGAAAGAAGGCTTGGTATCAGGGCATATGGTAAACATGCGTGGTGAGGAGTTCAGGAAAATAAATTGTTGCTATGCCCAACAAAGTATTTAATATAGAAAGGCAGAAATGCAAATATTATTCAATTGACTTTATAACTGACTTGTGCATTCAACTAATATTTATTGAGCTGCTAGACACTGAGAATAAAATTGAACAAAATGCTGTTCTAATTTTCAAAAGTTTACAGACCAGGAGGGGTGAGTATCTTTGGAGAGGTATCTGTGTCTTCATGTAGAAACATGGTCTCATCTCCTAATCCCAGAATTACTGTGAAGAGATTGTTAACTCCTTCTCATAAAGATGTGGATCTTTATGAGTTTGCATTTGCAACTACTTGTCATTTAAAAGAAATGTATTATTTTCTATCTCAAGTGTACTTGGAATAAGAGAAATACTGTCCCTTTCAATTGCAGGGTAGTGTCTTGTTTGTTTGCCATGGAGGGGGCACCAAATATTCTGTCCTCTTCCACAGTAACTCAGGTTGGGCCTCTGACTTCTGGGGTTGTGGCCAGAACAGAGAAACAAAGGCTTAGAAAATCTTTTCCCTTTTTCCATACTTCTTCATTTGATGACACATACTTATTCACCTTCAGGCCTCAGCTTTGTATGCCACTTTCCCTAGTGTGCCATGGGGCATTTTACAAAAAGTTAACATCCCAAAAAGAAGTGTTTGGAGAATGTTCCAGACGAACAGAGATGATAAAGATAAAATGAATGCAATGAGATATCTTGACTAGATTGTAATTTGAGGAAAAAAATTATAAAAGACATTTTGAGACACACATTTCAAAATTTAGAAAATGGACTAGGTATTAGATACATTAAGGAATTATTTTTAGTTATTTTTATAATGGTATTGTGGGTATATAAAAGAATATCCTGATCTTAGGAAATATATGCTGAAATCTTTAGAGATGAATTGTCACAAGGTGTACAAATTACGTTTAAATGGTTTTGCAAATACAGTCAGCAAATATGACAAAATGTTAATCATTGAATCAATGTAGTGGTGGGTATAGGGTGTTCATTGTATCATCATTTTCACTGAATGTTTGAAATTGGTGACGAAGGAAAACTGAGTTCTAATCCCGAATGTAACATGAATACACTCCTCCCAGTCCTCAGTATCCTCATGTGTGAAGTAAGAGAATTGGACTTGACTACATCTGTGGTGCTTCTTGTCACATTGGTAAGTCAGGAGAAGTCCGCTTCCTTCGTGACTGATTTCATTACCAGATACTGTTTTCTTTTTTTTTTTTTTTTTTTGGTTTGGTCTTTTTTTTTTCTTTTTTTTTTTTTTTTATTATACTTTAAGTCTTAGGGTACATGTGCACATTGTGCAGGTTAGTTACATATGTATACATGTGCCATGCTGGTGCGCTGCACCCACTAACTCATCATCTAGCCTTAGGTATATCTCCCAATGCTATCCCTCCCCGCTCCCCCCACCCCACCACAGTCCCCAGAGTGTGATATTCCCCTTCATGTGTCCATGTGATCTCATTGTTCAATTCCCACCTATGAGTGAGAATATGTGGTGTTTGGTTTTTTGTTCTTGCGATAGTTTACTGAGAATGATGATTTCCAATTTCATCCATGTCCCTACAAAGGACGTGAACTCATCATTTTTTATGGCTGCATAGTATTCCATGGTGTATATGTGCCACGTTTTCTTAATCCAGTCTATCATTGTTGGACATTTGGGTTGGTTCCAAGTCTTTGCTATTGTGAATAATGCCTCAATAAACATACGTGTGTATGTGTCTTTATAGCAGCATGATTTATAGTCCTTTGGGTATATACCCAGTAATGGGATGGCTGGGTCAAATGGTATTTCTAGTTCTAGATCCCTGAGGAATTGCCACACTGACTTCCACAATGGTTGAACTAGTTTACAGTCCCACCAACAGTGTAAAAGTGTTCCTATTTCTCCACATCCTCTCCAGCACCTGTGGTTTCCTGACTTTTTAATGATTGCCATTCTAACTGGTGTGAGATGATATCTCATAGTGGTTTTGATTTGCATTTCTCTGATGGCCAGTGATGATGAGCATTTTTTCATGTGTTTTTTGGCTGCATAAATGTCTTCTTTTGAGAAGTGTCTGTTCATGTCCTTCGCCCACTTTTTGATGGGGTTGTTTGTTTTTTTCTTGTAAATTTGTTTGAGTTCATTGTAGATTCTGGATATTAGCCCTTTGTCAGATGAGTAGGTTGCGAAAATTTTCTCCCATGTTGTAGGTTGCCTGTTCACTCTGATGGTAGTTTCTTTTGCTATGCAGAAGCTCTTTAGTTTAATTAGATCCCATTTGTCAATTTTGGCTTTTGTTGCCATTGCTTTTGGTGTTTTGGACATGAAGTTCTTGCCCATGCCTATGTCCTGAATGGTAATGCCTAGGTTTTCTTCTAGGGTTTTTATGGTTTTAGGTCTAATGTTTAAATCTTTAATCCATCTTGAATTGATTTTTGTATAAGGTGTAAGGAAGGGATCCACTTTCAGCTTTCTACATATGGCTAGCCAGTTTTCCCAGCACCATTTATTAAATAGGGAATCCTTTCCCCATTGCTTGTTTTTGTGAGGTTTGTCAAAGATCAGATAGTTGTAGGTATGCGGCGTTATTTCTGAGGGCTCTGTTCTGTTCCATTGATCTATATCTCTGTTTTGGTACCAGTACCATGCTGTTTTGGTTACTGTAGCCTTGTAGTATAGTTTGAAGTCAGGTAGTGTGATGCCTCCAGCTTTGTTCTTTTGGCTTAGGATTGACTTGGCGATGCGGGCTCTTTTTTGGTTCCATATGAACTTTAAAGTAGTTTTTTCCAATTCCGTGAAGAAAGTCATTGGTAGCTTGATGGGGATGGCATTGAATCTGTAAATTACCTTGGGCAGTATGGCCATTTTCACAATATTGATTCTTCCTACCCATGAGCATGGAATGTTCTTCCATTTGTTTGTATCCTTTTTTATTTCCTTGAGCAGTGGTTTGTAGTTCTCCTTGAAGAGGTCCTTCACATCCCTTGTAAGTTGGATTCCTAGATATTTTATTCTCTTTGAAGCAATTGTGAATGGGAGTTCACTCATGATTTGGCTCTCTGTTTGTCTGTTGCTGGTGTATAAGAATGCTTGTGATTTTTGTACATTGATTTTGTATCCTGAGACTTTGCTGAAGTTGCTTATCAGCTTAAGGAGATTTTGGGCTGAGATGATGGGTTTTTCTAGATATACAATCATGTCGTCTGCAAACAGGGACAATTTGACTTCCTGTTTTCCTAATTGAATACCCTTTATTTCCTTCTCCTGCCTAATTGCCCTGGCCAGAACTTCCAACACTATGTTGAATAGGAGTGGTGAGAGAGGGCATCCCTGTCTTGTGCCAGTTTTCAAAGGGAATGTTTCCAGTTTTTGCCCATTCAGTATGATATTGGCTGTGGGTTTGTCATAGATAGCTCTTATTATTTTGAATACGTCCCATCAATACCTAATTTATTGAGAGTTTTTAGCATGAAGGGTTGTTGAATTTTGTCAAAGGCTTTTTCTGCATCTATTGAGATAATCATGTGGTTTTTGTCTTTGGCTCTGTTTATATGCTGGATTACATTTATTGATTTGCGTATATTGAACCAGCCTTGCATCCCAGGGATGAAGCCCACTTGATCATGGTGGATAAGCTTTTTGATGTGCTGCTGGATTCGGTTTGCCAGTATTTTATTGAGGATTTTTGCATCAGTGTTCATCAAGGATATTGGTCTAAAATTCTCTTTTTTGGTTGTGTCTCTGCCCAGCTTTGGTATCAGAATGATGCTGGCCTCATAAAATGAGTTAGGGAGGATTCCCTCTTTTTCTATTGATTGGAATAGTTTCAGAAGGAATGGTAGCAGTTCCTCCTTGTACCTCTGGTAGAATTTGGCTGTGAATCCATCTGGTCCTGGACTCTTTTTGGTTGGTAAACTATTGATTATTGCCACAATTTCAGCTCCTGTTATTGGTCTATTCAGAGATTCAACTTCTTCCTGGTTTAGTCTTGGGAGAGTGTATGTGTCAAGGAATGTATCCATTTCTTCTAGATTTTCTAGTTTATCTGCGTAGAGGTGTTTGTAGTATTCCCTGATGGTAGTTTGTATTTCTGTGGGATCAGTGGTGATATCCCCTTTATCATTTTTTATTGTGTCTATTTGATTCTTCTCTCTTTTTTTCTTTATTAGTCTTGCTAGTGGTCTATCAATTTTGTTGATCCTTTCAAAAAACCAGCTCCTGGATTCATTGATTTTTTGAAGGGTTTTTTGTGTCTCTATTTCCTTCAGTTCTGCTCTGATTTTAGTTATTTCTTGCCTTCTGCTAGCTTTTGAATGTGTTTGCTCTTGCTTTTCTAGTTCTTTTAATTGTGATGTTAGGGTGTCAATTTTGGATCTTTCCTGCTTTCTCTTGTGGGCATTCAGTGCTATAAATTTCCCTCTACACACTGCTTTGAATGCGTCCCAGAGATTCTGGTATGTTGTGTCTTTGTTCTCGTTGGTTTCAAAGAACATCTTTATTTCTGCCTTCATTTCGTTATGTACCCAGTAGTCATTCAGGAGCAGGTTGTTCAGTTTCCATGTAGTTGAGCGGCTTTGAGTGAGATTCTTAATCCTGAGTTCTAGTTTGATTGCACTGTGGTCTGAGAGATAGTTTGTTATAATTTCTGTTCTTTTACATTTGCTGAGGAGAGCTTTACTTCCAACTATGTGGTCAATTTTGGAATAGGTGTGGTGTGGTGCTGAAAAGAATGTATATTCTGTTGATTTGGGGTGGAGAGTTCTGTAGATGTCTATTAGGTCCGATTGGTACAGAGCTGAGTTCAATTCCTGGGTATCCTTGTTGACTTTCTGTCTCGTTGATCTGTCTAATGTTGACAGTGGGGTGTTAAAGTCTCCCATTATTAATGTGTGGGAGTCTAAGTCTCTTTGTAGGTCACTCAGGACTTGCTTTATGAATCTGGGTGCTCCTGTATTGGGTGCATATATATTTAGGATAGTTAGCTCCTCTTGTTGAATTGATCCCTTTACCATTATGTAATGGCCTTCTTTGTCTCTTTTGATCTTTGTTGGTTTAAAGTCTGTTTTATCAGAGACTAGGATTGCAACCCGTGCCCTTTTTTGTTTTCCATTTGCTTGGTAGATCTTCCTCCATCCTTTTATTTTGAGCCTATGTGTGTCTCTGCACGTGAGATGGGTTTCCTGAATACAGCACACTGATGGGTCTTGACTCTTTATCCAACTTGCCAGTCTGTGTCTTTTAATTGGTGCATTTAGTCCATTTACATTTAAAGTTAATATTGTTATGTGTGAATTTGATCCTGTCATTATGATGTTAGCTGGTGATTTTGCTCGTTAGTTGATGCAGTTTCTTCCTAGTCTCGATGGTCTTTACATTTTGGCATGATATTGCAGCGGCTGGTACGTGTTGTTCCTTTCCATGTTTAGCGCTTCCTTCAGGAGCTCTTTTAGGGCAGGCCTGGTGGTGACAAAATCTCTCAGCATTTGCTTGTCTGTAAAGTATTTTATTTCTCCTTCACTTATGAGGCTTAGTTTGGCTGGATATGAAATTCTGGGTTGAAAATTCTTTTCTTTAAGAATGTTGAATATTGGCCCCCACTCTCTTCTGGCTTGTAGGGTTTCTGCCAAGAGATCCGCTGTCAGTCTGATGGGCTTCCCTTTGAGGGTAACCTGACCTTTCTCTCTGGCTGCCCTTAACATTTTTTCCTTCATTTCAACTTTGGTGAATCTGACAATTATGTGTCTTGGTGTTGCTCTTCTCGAGGAGTATCTTTGTGGCGTTCTCTGTATTTCCTGAAGCTGAACCTTGGCCTGCCTTGCTAGATTGGGGAAGTTCTCCTGGATAATATCCTGTAGAGTATTTTCCAACTTGGTTCCATTCTCCGCATCACTTTCAGGTACACCAATCAGACGTAGATTTGGTCTTTTCACATAGTCCCATATTTCTTGGAGGCTTTGCTCATTTCTTTTTATTCTTTTTTCTCTAACCTTCCCTTCTCGCTTCATTTCATTCATTTCATCTTCCATTGCTGATACCCTTTCTTCCAGTTGATCACATCGGCTCCTGAGGCTTCTGCATTCTTCACGTAGTTCTCGAGCCTTGGTTTTCAGCTCCATCAGCTCCTTTAAGCACTTCTCTGTATTGGTTATTCTAGTTATACATTCTTCTAAATTTTTTTCAAAGTTTTCAACTTCTTTGCCTTTGGTTTGAATGTCCTCCCGTAGCTCAGAGTAATTTGATCATCTGAAGCCTTCTTCTCTCAGCTCGTCAAAGTCATTCTCCATCCAGCTTTGTTCCGTTGCTGGTGAGGAACTGCGTCCTTTGGAGGAGGAGAGGCGCTCTGCGTTTTAGAGTTTCCAGTTTTTCTGTTCTGTTTTTTCCCCATCTTTGTGGTTTTATCTACTTTTGGTCTTTGATGATGGTGATGTACAGATGGGTTTTCGGTGTGGATGTCCTTTCTGTTTGTTAGTTTTCCTTCTAACAGACAGCACCCTCAGCTGCAGGTCTGTTGGAATACCCTGCCGTGTGAGGTGTCAGTGTGCCCCTGCTGGGGTGTGCCTCCCAGTTAGGCTGCTCGGGGGTCAGGGGTCAGGGACCCACTTCAGGAGGCAGTCCGACCATTCTCAGATCTCCCGCTGCGTGCTGGGGGAACCACTGCTCTCTTCAAAGCTGTCAGACAGGGACATTTAAGTCTGCAGAGGTTACTGCTGTCTTTTTGTTTGTCTGTGCCCTGCCCCCAGAGGTGGAGCCTACAGAGGCAGGCAGACCTCCTTGAGCTGTGGTGGGCTCCACCCAGTTCGAGTTTCCTGGCTGCTTTGTTTACCTAAGCAAGCCTGGGCAATGGCGGGTGCCCCTCCCCCAGCCTCGCTGCCGCCTTGCAGTTTGATCTCAGACTGCTGTGCTAGCAATCAGCTAGATTCTGTGGGCATAGGACCCTCCGAGCCAGGTGTGGGATATAGTCTCGTGGTGCGCCGTTTTTTAAGCCGGTCTGAAAAGCGCAATATCCGGGTGGGAGTGACCCGATTTTCCAGGTGTGTCCGTCACCCCTTTCTTTGACTCAGAAAGGGAACTCCCTGACCCCTTGCGCTTCCCAGGTGAGGCAATGCCTCGCCCTGCTTTGGCTCGCGCCCGGTGCGCGCACCCACTGGCCTGCGCCCACTGTCTGGCACTCCCTAGTGAGATGAACCCGGTACCTCAGATGGAAATGCAGAAATCACCCGTCTTCTGCGTCGCTCACGCTGGGAGCTGTAGACCGGAGCTGTTCCTATTCGGCCATCTTGGCTCCTCCCCTGCCAGATACTGTTTTCTACTGTGAAATCTGTCACTGCAGAATATTAAGGGCCAATTCCTCAATCTGGGTGACCACACTGGGGGCCACTTTCTCCCTCACAACTCCTTGGCATCTCACCCAAGTTCAGAAGTCAAAGAGGAGGCCTTCAGAGACAAAGAACTATTCTTAGGGCTTAACCAATTTCGCTTACTGACATAGATATTTCCCAAGGTGCTGTGAACTTCAGAAGTTATTTCAAAACCCAGTTCAATCTTATTTACATTTTCATCCATTGCTTTTTGAATAGTTTCAGATTTACAGAAGAGTTAGAAAAATAGAATTGAGAGTTTGAATGTACCTTACACCTAATTTCTCCTATTATTAGCAACTTACATTAGTATGGTACTTTTTTTTTTAACAATAAATGAACCAATATCGAAGCATTATGATTAACTAAAGTCCATACTTTATTCAGACTTCTTTAGTTTTTAACCTACTGTCTTTTTCTATTCCAGGATACCACATTACATTTAGTCATCATGTCTCCTTAGGCTCCTTATGGCTGTGACAGTTTCTCAAAGTCCCATTGTACTTGATGAGAGCTTTGAGGGGTACTGGTCAGCTATTTTGTAGACATTTCTCAAATGGGAACTGTCCAGTGTTTTTCTCATGATTAAACTGGGGTTATGAGTTTTGGGGAGCAAGAGCACAGAGGGATAATGCCATTCTCATCATGTCATATGAAGGATACATACTATCAGCTTGACTTACCTAGTTACTTTTCCCAAGGTGTATTTCAATATGGTTTCATGTACCCTCCCCCTGTGAAAATTACAAGGGGATTTATCTCTAATTTTCACAGTGAGAACCCTGCTAGGGTTTCTGGAGGTAAAATCCACAAATTCATAGGCCCCCAAAGGCGGAGCCCCCAGGAGTTTCTAAGTCTTTGCTGGTCCACACTAAGCCTCCAGCAATCCAACAAAGTCCTCATTAAATATTCTTACCAGTTTATGGCTCCAGGAGCATCTGCTCCCAGTAAACAGATGACAGCTATATCTCTCTGGATGCCCCTGTTTCTTCACATTTTGGGGTGACTGTTTGACCTGCAACTTAAGTTCTCTGATAGGTTCAAGAAAGACAATTAATTTTTAATTCATCTAGCTTTTTCTTGTAAGACTGAGAGTCATGTCTTCCAAGCTCGTTACATGTCAAAGCTGAAAAATTCACTGTTTTAATGCAAGCTTATGCAGCATCACTCATAAGGAAGTAAAATCAGTGGCCTAAAAACCTTGCTTTAATAGGCAGGTGATCTTTGAATTGAGTTATCTGCTACGCTGGTTTCACTGTATGAAATTTAGAGTGCCTTGGAAACCAGCTTTCAACAAAAATGTATTTCTCTCTTGGCTAATTTGGCTTTATTCCATTCAGAGGTACCATCGTAAAAGGATAAAAGCATTGGAACTTGCATCCAAAGATACAGACTTTTGGTATCTACAGCAAAAAATCTTACTGGACCATCTCTCTCTCTCTCTCGCTCTCTCTCTGAGACTCAGTTTCCTCTTTTGTCAAATTTATTGGCCACAGGGATGTCCTCTAATTTATGTGTCTAGCACAAAACCTGGTACAGTATAGGCTTCATTGAAAACTGAACTGAAATGCCTGCACAATCCATCTCATGGTGTTATTATGACAATTAAACAAAATAATGTACATGTAAGCTCTTTGCAAACTTCAAAGAGCCTTATAAACACTGCTCCTTTATTTATCAGTCATCAATCATGAATGCATGTCTGCATGCAAACATTTCTATGGAGGATTTTCATTTGTTTGTTTGCTTGCTTGTTCATGTTGGGTTTTTTTTGTTTTGTTTTGGTTTGGTTTTTATTTTGACGTTGTGCAGGTAAGAAGGAAGGCAGTATTAAAGAGTTAATTTTTATTCAAATTATAGATTGATTTCAGTTATAGCAACACTATACATTCCTCAGCTTGTCCAATTAAAAATCCTGGCAAGTGTTTTGATATTTGACAGCTCTGCTGTCAAGCAATTCTGTTCTACAATTAATCATGGCACAGCCATTTCTTCAACTACTGCCACAATATAAAGGCATCATTGTACACGCAGACATAGTACACTTGTATACTGTTTAAAAGGAGGCAGAACTAATGAACATTAAAAATTTACTACTCTGTAGATTGCAGTTGCATGGCCAAGATTTATTATTAAACCCATTCTATTTTAATACTATCACTGCTCCTATCTGAGCTTAGATACAAGTGTTCAGATATTGCAGTTTTCCATTTCCTAGTTTGAGAAATTAAGATTCTGCTTTCTTTGAGTTCTTTTGAGGGTTGGCCAGATAGGTGCACTGTACAACGACTGGGATCCTTTAATGATTGAGTGTCAGCTCCTGGGTTTTGGTTGTTGTTTTGTCTGGATCAGTGTTTGTTAGACACAACTATAGCACCTACCTCCTTTCCTCCCCCACTGTCAGTGACTTCCTGAGGCAAACAAGTTTGCCACAAATCAAAATGCTTGCAACATACATCTCTATGAACCTGTTCCATCTCTCCTTGGCAACTTGCCACTTTGCTTCACTCTTAGCACTGAACACCCTGCATTTACCAAATGGCTTGGTATCTTTAGTAAATTAACCATTTCATGGGAATTCTACCCTTCCACCAGAATCATGTGTTTCTCATAGAGAGGCATGTTACATTTAAAGCAGTCTCAGGCAGCTTTGAACAAATACATTACCACTGTTTTTCGTTACTATCAGTTCCTGTTTACCTGTCTCATTTGTCAAGCAATCCCATCACAAATTACATAAATGGTCATCTAGAAACTACAGATACATTGGTTAAAAAATTTGTGTAAAAAATAGATATAAGCTTTTACCTTTAGAGGTAATTACAACTACTTACTCTGGTGACAGTTTGTGATTTTTCTGATTTTCATCTTTACAGACTTCCATGTTGAACTCCATTACTAATACTTTATGCAACTTCATAATCACCCCTGCTACAACAATACTGTGAGTTGCTATTAAATTGCCCTCCCAAAAAATGTGATACAAACACAATCTCAAAACTTCATTTTAATTTTTTTAAAAATCAACTGAAAAGTGTGCTTTTTATATATGTTGATAAATACCATAATAAAGTTCTGCTGTCACTTAGGGAAGCAAGTGAATGTAATTGGTGAATAAATTAAGTTCAGACTATATTAACTATGTGTGTAAGGAAGGAGTGGGTGCCTGAGCCTAAGATTGATATGAAGTAAATGGAAATTTTCAAGCTCTGAATTTTTTTTCCCACTGCCTTATGATCTGATCTTAAATCTGTTCTATGCTTTTTTTAAAAAAATAAAACTGATCATTTCTTATTCTAGAAATGCCAGAAATAATGCAACACCACAGTTTCACACTTAGAGATTGCTCACTCTGCACTTGTCAAGATCAAAGTGAGTGCAGTTTCACATGCTAGTCTGGTTGTGTAGCATGGTTGTGTGGCATGGGACAGTTTGTGTGGCATGGTAGCCTCACAGGAAAATAGTAATTCTGGATAAGATTAGTCTTGCTATGGTTCCTGGTCCTGATGTCCTGTCTCTTCATACATGTGTGTACAACTGCTCCTAAACCAGTGCTCCTAAAATCAATGCTTGTCTGTCTTCACTAGGGAAGGGAAGGGGAGGGGAGGGAGAAATTGTCCCTACTTTCAGTTTTGCATTCCAGTAGAGAAGATTAATTTTTTTTTTTAATGTAACTTCAACTTTTATTTTAGATTCGGGGGTACATATGCAGGTTCATTACACAAGTATATTGTGTGATGCTGAGGTTTGGGGTATGATTAAACCACCATGAGATATCATCTCACACCAGTTAGAATGGCAGTCATTAAAAAGTCAGGAAACAACAGGTGCTGGAGAGGATGTGGAGAAATAGGAACACTCTTACACTGTTGGTGGGACTGTAAACTAGTTCAACCATTGTGGAAGTCAGTGTGGCAATTCCTCAGGGATCTAGAACTAGAAATACCATTTGACCCAGCCATCCCATTACTGGGTATATACCCAAATGACTATAAATCATGCTGCTATAAAGACACATGCACACGTATGTTTATTGCGGCATTATTCACAATAGCAAAGACTTGGAACCAACCCAAATGTCCAACAATGATAGACTGGATTAAGAAAATGTGGCACATATACACCATGGAATACTATGCAGCCATAAAAAATGATGAGTTCATGTCCTTTGTAGGGACATGGATGAAATTGGAAACCATCATTCTCAGTAAACTATCGCAAGAACAAAAAACCAAACACCGCATATTCTCACTCAGGTGGGAATTGAACAATGAGAAGATTAATTTTTATCATCATATCCTCTCATTCAGTCCCTCTTGTCACCAACAGCATTTAGTTTAGTGATAACTACACTCTGCAGTCACAAAACAGTGCAGTTATAAAGAATCTCTCAAGAACCAAGTTTACACACATGGCATCATCAACACTGATACCCATCTAGCTAAAGTAACTAGCAATTTATTAAAATCATGCACCAAATCAGCAATAGAGCCAGTCTTTACATATACCTTCCCAGCTACTCATCAGGAATGTGATGAAATATGGCTTTTGAAATTTAACTCAATGCTCAAGAAATGATTGCACCCGAAGTAGGTAATACTTAACTTTATAGTAGTCACATAGTTTCTCTGAGTCTGAATTTTCTCCTCTGTAAAATGAGAAGTCTGATACCTACCTTTTCTGATAATAATAGGCACCACTTTTTGAACCTCTGCCTTGTGCTAGACACTGTGAAGTAGTTTACATTCATTATCTCCATGAACCACTCCATTCTGTAAGCTAAAGTTACCTCTATTTTAAGATGAAAAGCTTGGGCAGAAGTTAAATAACTTGCTCCAAGGCTGTATATAAAGCATCAGAAACATTCTATAAGGCAGTATTTATGAGATTTTAGACATTTGCCCTCCACCTTCAGGACTTTTCCTGCATCTGCTTACCACATATGTGTTGTATATTTAATATTTTCTGTAAGTTGACTCAATTTGTTACTTAATTTTTTTTATTTTGAAAGGAAACTTTAATGACCTGGAAATGGAAAACCAGCATTAGTACTATGAATAAAAAGTAAATTATAAAAATGAATACAATAAGATCAAAAGAATATTACTAAAGTTTAACTCACTTCCATTGGCCACCTGCTGAACATTCTGAGCCTGAGTGAAATTTGCTTTTTTTGTTGTTAAAAAGGATATCAACAAGGGGGAGAAAAATTAAAAGCACTGGCATAAATACTGAACTTTGTCCTAATATAATCAGGACTGAAAGATTATTGAAAACAGAATACAGTCCTCAATATGGGTTCAAGGCTACATAATGCCATAATCCTGTACTACCTAAGCCATTTTGAAGGCTGGCAGAGAAAAGTGTCCCATCTTTAGGAAACGATGCTTTAAACAAAGTAAGGGAGAAAAAAATCCAGAATTGTTCTCATGTTTTCATATCTAGCAATTCCCAACACTATTTCCTATGTATATTCACAAACTGAAAGCAATTCATATTCCTCCTCCACTAAAATTTAAGAATGAACCCTGGGCAAAAGGAATATTGATCATAACGGAATCTAGATTCCCCTATGCTATTCTCTAGCATGAATAGTGCCAAATGGTAGATGTAGGATGCTGTGATATGCCTACTCTGAAGCTTTTGTTAAAATGGTTTCCTCTCTGGCTGTTCCAAAGATTTCTGTAAGTGATCTGATAATCCTTAACAGATCCCTTTCTGCTTAAACCAGTTCTAGTGGGTTCTGTAATTGAAAAGTAAGAATCTTGCAGACACGAGTAAGTAGAGTGAACTATCCCTTGTATTTCTGGAGAGATTTATCTTTTTCTTTATACCCTAGGATGCCAAGAAAAGCACACAAATCCTGGAAACCAAAATATTATTTCCTAAATCAGATGGAATGGGAGTGACCCATGAAATCACTTAATAATTTTTTCACAAGACCACTTATAAACAGCAGACCTTTACCATCTGTGGAGCAGTGAGTTCATGGAATAGATTAAGAGGAGGAAGGTATGTAGAAAATTTTTGCTTTAGGTGGCCCTGATTCAAATCATGAATAGCAAGGGAGAAAGGCAAATTTCTATGCACAAAATAATGTGCCTAATGATTGGGTCTTTCCAGTAGATTTATAAGAAAAAAATGATGACAAGTATGTCATGTGTAAGATTACATAAGAAGAAACAATAATGTGGAAACAAAGTAGCTAAATTCATATACTGTAATGTACCTAGGTTGACTTTCATATTAACATCTTTGAGATTAGTTTAAACCAGATAGAGGGAAAGTTTCCTCTCTTATATATGGTGTCTTCTAGAGAAAGAAACTAAGGGAAGGGGAAAAAGATCTTTTCTTTCAATACATACCAGTGAGACACAGGACCATATTTTTCCAATCTACTAAAATTTTGGAAGAAATTAACAAATTTAAATTATCTCACTTTTCGCTCTGTTTAGACTTGTGTTTTTTTCTGGCTTGTTCTTTTCTTTTAAGCAATAATTCTTTTGGAAAACTTCTGCAAACTGCAATCTCTATGGCTGAGAAGTTATAAGCAATCTCCTTCAAGTTTATAGATCAATTTCTGTAGGTTGAAAGACCTACATGCAGAAGGAAGATTGAAACCAACAATTCTCATCTACATCTTTCTCCCTAAAACTCTCTTCCCCTTAACAGGTCAATATTCTAACAATTTCTGACTCTGCTATGTCATATGTGGTAGTCTGAAGTATTAATCTAATGCCCTGTCTACTACAAATATGTTCAGAAAGTCCTTGCCCCAGTAGATCTTCCTTTGTAGGACATTCATTTCTCCATTAGTAAATACCTTAAGCTGCACAGGCCTTTGTACTTTTCAGCATATTTTATATTTGTAGGCTCATTAGATTTTCACAATTGTGCTAGGAGACCAAATAAAGACATGACTGTCTCCACTTTACAGATGAGCTACTTGAGGTAGCTTGCCCCAATTCACAGAGCAACTGCTGACTGAACCGAGTCTAAATTCAGTTCTAGCTCTAAGCCCACTCTCTTCCTACTGAACTACATTGGGTGGTCTAGAAATAAAAATAAATTATTATTTTCTGTTACTTGTGTTACCTTTTTCCCCTCAAGGCTTTTTATAAGAACTGAGGTCAGTATAAACATTGCATATGTCTTCCTGATAGCTCTAGTCTTTGGGGCAAAAAGATATTCTCTCCTTAGTGCTTTGACCCAGTGAGTAAAATTTCACATTTCTATGAATTTAAATAGCCTAGGATTCTTAGCATGCTGAAGGAACTAACTTGGTATTTCAGTTGGCTAGTTATTTCTCTCTAGAAAATCCAGTCATTAGTAAAGAACAGAATAGAGACCTGAAACAGTTAATATCATTTCCAAAGGTGAAGTTATAACCTAGAAGTAATTTAGGCAGCAAGAGAAAATGTCTCACTTCAAAGACGGGAATGCTGAACCATGCATACAAATGTGACTGCTAACTCATGTGTGACTCAAAATCAGCAACCATGGGTTCCAGGGGCTAAAAAGGACCTCAAGAAGCCATCTGGTCCACACCCACTTTCCCATGAAGTCTTCTCTTCACATTAAAAAATGTGGCACTTCAGCCCAGAGATACTAGGTGGCCTGGTGGTTAAAAGGAAGGTTGACAGACTGGTGGTTAAAAAGGCACCTAGAATCCAGTTCTCTGGTTCCCTGGTTGGAATGCATTGGTTTACTGTGTACTGTGTCTCTTGGGCAGCCTAATTTGTTTGAAGAATAAGGGAGTGAACAACATATCAAATGGGTTAAATGGTCAAGGAAGATAAGACCCCAAGCATCCATTAGATTTAGCCTTATGGAATTTCTCAGTGACCTTAGTGAACACAGTTTTAGTGATATAGTGGGAAACAGAAGCCAGAAGAGATAATTATAGAGAAATCCTTAAAAACATTGGTTCTAAAGGGAAAAGAAGGGAAATAGCAGCAGCTGGAGATGGATGTGGGGTCCAGAAGGGTTCCTGTGAGTGGGGTGTGTGTGTGTGTGTGTGCATGTGTGTGTGTGTGTGTGTGTGTGTGTGTGTTTAAGGGATAAAAGGGGGAAGATTTCCTTTAAGACTGAAGAGACTATAGTATTTTTAAATGCTATTGGGAAGAATCTGGTAAAGATAAAAATTTAGATGTTGAAGATATGAGTGAGAGACAGGATGAACTAAGAGTTCCAGAGAAAGTAGCTATGTGTAAGGTCAGAGAGCACAAGGAGGTGCAGAGGGAAGGATGCCTCCTGCATTACAACAGGAGGGAAGAAAGTGGATGCAAAATCCTTAATGAGCAGAGCTGTAGGTCTGCTAAGTAGTAAATGAAGGAGCTCAGTGTCTAAAGGCTTCCATGTTTTCCATGATGTAGAAGAGAGAGTCATATGCTGAGAATAGGGAGGCGCATATTGTCAGAGATTGATCAAAGATTTGAGGAGAGTAGAAAAGCTTTGAGGTGATTGTTAAAAAGAATGGTAGAGGCCGGGCCTAGTGGCTCACGCCTGTAAACCCAGCACTTTGGGAGGCTTAGGCGGGTGGATCACCTGAGGTCAGGAGTTTGAGACCAGCCTGGCCAACATGGTGAAACCCCGTCTCTACTAAAAATACAGAAATTAGCCAGGCATGGTGGCATACACCTGTAATCCCAGCTACTCAGGAGGCTGAGGCGGGAGAATCACTTGAACCCGGGAGGCAGAGGTTGCAGTGAGCCAAGATTGCACCATTGGACTCCAGCCTGGGCAACAAGAGCAAAAACTTCATCTCAAAAAAGTAAATAAAATAAAAATAAAGAGAATGGTAGAATAGTGTAACCAGGTAGTGTTGGGAGCCCAGTTTAGTCTGGAGACCATGAATGTATAGTGATACCTGTACCCTGTACCCTTAATTGCTGGGAAAATCTATGAAGACGATGTAGGTGGAATTCCTCAAATTGCTTTTTTATTAAAGGTGAGTGTGGAAGATGGACAAGGTATGGGAATTTATATGACATAGAAAAGGAGTGTTTGAAATAGTAAAACATGGAATCTGAGCTGGAGAGAATGGGAAGTGAAGATAGCAGGGCTTTAATAGATTAAGAAGGAGGATAGTTATCAATCTTGATCAAGGAAGTCCTGATGAGGTGAGAGAACACTTGAAGAGGAGGTACTTTACAAAGCAAGTTGGAAAGTTAGAAAGTTGTTGTCAGAGAGGGAAATGCTTAAATTAATAACTTCAGAGGTAGAGTCACAGCAATGACAAGTTCCACAGTGAAACTTTGAAAGAAGTGGCTACAGTAGAATAGAGGAGACAGACATTGGAGATGAGAAGGTCAAGGGACTCAGAAACAAGGAGGCTGAGTAAGTTGCCTACATGTAGGAGTCTCTGAGGAGAGGAGGACTGACTGTAGGTGTTCATTGAATAAGGAGATAGAAGGAGACAGAAACAAAGACTGTGATGGAGAGTGTTATGGTCAAGTGATCTGAGTCTCATGGGGAGATACACATTTGTTCATTAACAAAAGTATGGAAATCTAGTCTGGAGCAGGAAACACTGGTGTAGTAAAGGCAATGAGAAAGAGAAGAGAGCACTGACTCTACCTCTTAAAGCTGATGAATGTGAATTGTGAGTAGATGAGCAGCCTCAATCTGAGAGTTCTGCAGGAGGAGAAATCTCTTAGGGACAGAAAGGCAAGTTCTAGAGAAGACATAAGATAGGTCAAGGAGACAGTAAAGACATGGGAGAACTTGCTGATCATCAGGGACTACTTTAGAAGAAACAGTGGAAGGGTTTCAGATGGAGAAGAGGAGAGGCTGTGTCAGAGGGGAGATCCGTCAAGGTCCAGTGCAGATCCGGTTCCCTCATGGCTGGAGCAGTTCACCAAGCTCTCCTCTAGTGCTCTGCCTTCATGGGACTCAGCATTTCTGTGTCTCTGCTTCCTTCTGCATATATTTTCATCAAGCACTTTATTCCTTCTTTATATCAAATTTACCAGAGAGAGGATCCCCAATTGATTTCTGTCAGTCCTCATGGGCAGAGCTTTCCTGGCAGAGCACCTATCAGCCAAGGGCCCATCCCTGATTCAGTTTTCCAGAGTAAAAGGCCACATGTACTAGCATGGTAGTTATTTGACTTGAATCTTGTTGAAGAAAACTGTAGAGAAACCGGAACCCTCATATTTTGTTGATGAAAATATAAAATAGAACAGCCACTTTGAAAAAAGAGTTCGGTCATTTCTTAAAAAGTTAAGCATATACTTATGCACCCCAATAATTCTATTCCTAGGTACCTACCTAAGAGAAATGAAAATATATGTCCCACAAAGATATGCACATGAGTGTTTGTAGTAACATTATTCACAGTATTTGAAAACTAGAAACTATTTATGTCCATCAATTGGCAAATAGATAAAGTGTTATATATGCATATAATTGAATACATACAATTGAATACTACTCAGGAATAAAAAGGAACAAATGACTGATACATACTACAGCACAGATAAACCTCAAAGATATTATGATAAGTGAAAAAAGCCAGATACAAAAGACTACATCTTTTCTTATTCCATTTATATGAAATTTCTAGAAAACGCAAATATGTAGAGACAGAAAGCAGATCTAGGGTTGTCTAGGGCTGGGAGTGGGAGTGAAGATTCACTGCAAATGTGTAGGAGATAACGTTTTGATGGGATGAACATTTTGTAAAAGTAGATTGTGCTATTTGTTGCACAACTATATGAATTTACTAGAAATCATTGATCTGTATACTTAAAGGGGGTGAATTTTATTGTACGTGAATTATGCCTAAGTAAAGCTATTTTAAAACTTTTTAGAATTTTTTAAATGAGTAAAAGATTTGAACAATTAATCAAATAATACATAAGGATGGCATATAAGCTCATGAAAAATGCTCAACATTGTCAGAAGTTTAAAAAATGCAAATTAAAACCATACAAACCCATTAGAATGGCTCAACTAAGAGACAGGCAATACCAAATGCTGATGGGGATTGGTAGCAACTAGAACTTTTAAACAATGCTTATAATCACTTAGGAAAAGAGTTCTGTAATTTCTTAAAAAGGTAAACGTAACATTTACTATACAAGCTAGCAATCCTATTCCTACTACATATATACCCAAGAGAAATGAAAAGGTGTATCTAAAAACTTATACACTAATGTTCACAGCAACTTCATTTTTGGTAGCCACAACTGGAAATAATTCAAATGTCCTGCAACAGGTGAAAGGATAAACAAATTGTGGTATATCCATGCAATGCAATACTCTCAGCAATAAAAAAAAAAGTGGGGGGAGAGAGAGCACTATGGATACAAAAACATGGATGAATCAAAAAATAATTATCCTACGTGAAAGAATCCATATTCTAAATAAATAATGTCCTAAATAAGAGTACATACACTGTGATTCCATTTATACGGACCATTGTTTGCCTGGGGATTGGGGTGGGAAGTTAATATGTGGAGGAAGATATTACAAAAGGTCACAAGGAAACTTTTGCAAGTGATGGGTGTGTTCATTCTCCTGAGTTTGGTGATGATTTCATTGGTGCATTAATATATCAAAACTCATCAAATTGTACATGTCAATATATGCATTTGTTTTGCATCAATTTTCCCTCAATGGATCTATATTTTCTTAAAAAACTACCCAGTGTTCCCTTTCCCTTCGGCAACTATGACAGTAGGTCACAAAGGAAAGCTGCTCTAAATGTCCTCTGTCCAAGTGTTACAACATCTAAAAACCCACCATTGACTTTTTCACTCCCTTTGGGATCATTACTGTCTCTCAAGGCAAGACTCTTGGCTGCATCTTTCCATCTCAAATTGAAACCTAACTTGAACTATTTTAAATTAAAAAAGGTTTTTATTGACCAAACCAGAGACAGAGTGGGCTTGGAAATGGCTTCAGGGGTACGGTCACTTCCTGTTGGTTACGCTCTCCTCCAACTTTCCTGAGTGCTCTTCCTTTCATGGTCTCCCTCTCACACCTTCCTCTCTGGATTTTTGGAATGTTCTTGTTGGGCCTTATTCTCTCAAACTGGCCATCCACAAGAGGCCAGAGCAATGGCTTCAGTTAGCTCTAGCATACATTCATAAAGTTTGACAGCCAGGGAAGGAAGGGGGCTCTCTCCACAGCCCCAGGTCAAAAAAAAAGCCTGGGTCCCAGGCTTGCAGTCATCTAATAAGCGGGCAAACTCACTGGGATTAGGAGAGTCATACTGGAAACTCCACAGTGTATATATGAGTCGGGGCTGGGGAGGTAAGGGGAGAGCAAGCTAAAGTAAACAGCTGTACACAACACATTTTTTACTTCAAGATATTGCCTAGCACCAGCCTGGATCCCAAACCCTGCAAGATCCAGACACTGTTTTTGCTTCTTTATTTTGTTGTTTTTACTGGCTGTGGCATACCCCAGGCATGTGTTCCTTTCCCAGAACTGCCTGATCGAGCAGGTAACACCACCCATAGATCACCTCACCTTCTTGCCTATCTAGAACAGTCTTTTCCCAGTCTCTTTTTCTCTCCCATAAAACAGAAAACTAAGGTAATGCTCATCCTTCCCAGCTTGCTACAAAATAGTGGTTGTGATTTTTTTCTTTATCATCTCTTTACCCTGTTTATTTGACAAATAGATTTCTCATCCTCTGTCCATCAGATGAAGCCAAGGATGTTTGCATCCAAAATGACTCAGGAAGGAAGTGGGTCTTGGCAGAAGCTGCATGCTTTTTTGTCTTAGGAACAGGCTCCCTCACCCACAGAGAACAAGGTCAGTTCAGTCTATTCCTGTGGGTAGTTCAGTCTATTCCTGTGGGTAAAGAGCTAGTCAACGAATAGTGATTGAATGTACCCAAGCTGCATTGACCAATAACAGTAAAAATGATGCAATCTAGTAGTATTGTATTCCTAACACACGCTGTGTTAGGAATGGGGAACTTTTTAGGATCATGCAAAAGTACAATGATTCTTCATTTTGCAAATGTCAAAACATCTACATTTCAAATTCTATTTGGTTTGGACAAAAGTCAAGTTGAAAGTTGCTGTTTATTATTATTACTTATTGTGTTCCCCATTACCATTAGAAGCACAAAAACTCCAACTGTAATCTTTTTTGTATTTTGTTTATATGTTTGTTTACCTCCGAAAACAGTCATATCAGAAAGATGGCAACAATGGACACTGGAGACTACTAGTTGGGGAAGAAGGGGGGGAAGAAGGGTTGAAAAACTAACTGTTGGGTCCTATGCTCACTACCTGAGTGACAGGATCTTTCATGTTCCAAACCTCAGCATCACACAATGTACCCATGTAACAAACTTGCACATGTGCCCCTGAATCTAAAATAAAATTTTTCAAATTTTATTTTTAAAGTTATAAAACTGAAAGTCATTCCTGCTCCTGTCCAACTCACCACTTCCAAAAGAACATTCTTTGTGAATTGTGTTTTAGTATTTCTGAATTCACTTCAAAGAGTCTGGCTAATATTCGAAAGGTTTTTTCCAAAGTCTTAAGACATTACCACATGCACAATCTTGATCTTCCCATAAGCATTACCATTGCAGGCCAATTGGGAATTCTATCAGAAGAATGCAAGTTGCTCTTGTTCTGAACCAAATCTACTGACATTTCTCGAAAACATCACACGCACACACACACACACACACACACACACACACACACACACTATCCTGACATAGCTACATAATTTCTAAACCATGCAGCATTGAAAAGTTAATTGCACAATTTAGCTTTTAAATTTTTAAGGCTATCTAAAATAAACCACAGTGTCCCAAAGGAGTCAATGGGTGTCATCCACAAATGTAATACATCTCCAAGACAGTAATACATCTTTTCCCAAATCAGAGAATGAAGCCAGCAAAAGCCTGGATTGTTTATTTGTTGTTGCTGTTATCATCACTGTTACCAGAAGAAATTATGTTTTTTAAATGTTTACACGTCTTTCTTTTCATCAGTCATCTAACAGATAGTGCTGAAAATATGAAAAGGAAAGCAACAATCCCCTTGTTCAGTCCCCACACTTCCCAACTTCTCAGTTCGACTCACCAGAGGCAACTACCATTTAGCCTCTTAGCTATTTCATCAGATAGCTATGTTTTACTCCCCAAATAATACATGTATACTGCTACTACTCAATTTGTTGACTTTAGACATTAACTTCCTCTTACGATAAACCAGGATTTAGTTCTTTGAAGCCATTTTCCCAGTAGAATTATTCAGCTGTTTTCAGTTACATAGTTACGACTATGTAAATATTCTTCCTTTTTTCCAAAAGTGCCATAATATCTTCTACCTGCATATCTTGTTTTTGCTTTGTTTGCTCTTGTTTTCCCAAGGGACCTCTCTTATCAGATAGTTCTTTTCCTTGTGGCTCCCTCTGTCCCAACTCTTTTCTGGACCAGATGTTCCCTAGGACAGCTGTTCCACTGTCACCCTGAGGCATCTCCTTCCTGTGCTCAAGACGTTGATCTGCTGCCTTCTGGATCCCGTGTCTCCCCCTCCCTTGGTTTGGTAATTATTTTCATTGGAACCTACCCAGCTTCTCAAGAAAGGGATATAGAAAGCAAATTTTCTGAGTCCCAACATGTCAGAAAGTATCCTTTTCTGCTGTCACACTTGATTAATAATTTGGCTGAATATGACATTCCAAGTTGAAGATCATGTTCTCTTAGATTTTTGAAGTCATTCCCTCTTTTTTTTTTTTTTTTTTGAGGTACAGTGCTGCAATCTTGGCTCAATGCAACCTCCGCCTCCAGAGTTCAAGTGATTCTTCTGCCTCAGCCTCCCGAGTAGCTGGGATTACAGGTGTGCCACCATGCCCAGCTAATTTTTTTTTTGTTGTTGTTGTTGGTAGAGACAGGGTTTTGTCATGTTGATCAGCCTGGTCTCAAACTCCTGCCCTCAAGTGATCTGTCCACCTTGGCCTCTCAAGGTGCTGGGATTATAGGCATGAGCCACCGCCCTGCCTGCTGCTTCTTTATTAAATAATATCCAGTGATGTTGAAGAGAAGTTTAATTTGAATTTATTCTACAAATACATATTGGTTGGCTATAATGTAACAGGCACTGCTTGAAAATACAGCAGTATGAAAAGAATCACATCTTCCACCTTCACGGAGCTTACATTCCAGCATATAAAAGAGACCAAAAAAATATAATAATAAGCAAATGAGATAATTACAGATTACAAAAAGTTTATAAAGAAAATAAGACAGCATAAAGGCATAGAGTAGAGATGTTACTTACGGAGGTGCCACTGAGCTGAAACCTGAACAGCGCTAGAGAGGTCCAGGGGTCAGTCCGGGCAAGTGGAAACACAAGGTGTGAGGGTCAGAGGTGGAACTAGCTGACTTGTTTGAAGTGGCCTCAGCAACTGGAGCCTGTGACGAAGCGGTGAGAGATGAGCTCACACAGTGGGCCTGTCCTGCTTTCGTGTCATGAAGATTCTTATCGAGTGTGGACTTTTTTTTCTTCATTGCAATGGAAGACCACTGGAAGGTTTTAAAGTAGGGTAATGAAACAATCTGACTTCAATTTATGAAAGATCATTGTGTTGAGTGGAGAACTGACTCTAAGAATAGAAGCAAAAGGACTGCTTATGAGGCTCTTGCTCTCATCTCCAAGAGAGGTGAACTGCAGTGGCCTGGGCCTGGGATATGGGTAACAGCAGTGGAGGTAGGAGAAGTAACCAGATTTGGGATATATTTGAAAAGCAAATCTAACAAGAACTAAAATTCATGGGATAGGAGGGAAAGAGGAGGTTTTCACATGAGGCCTTCAACTATAAGTGTGTGTGTGTGTATGTATATATATATATATTTTTTTTTTTTTTGAGACAGGTTCTGACTCCGTCACCCAGGCTGGAGTGCAGTGGCATGATCTCAGCTCACTGCAACCTCCACCTCCCGGGGTCAAGTTATCCTCCTGCCTCAGCCTCCCAAGTAGCTGACACCAGACGTGTGCACAATGTTTGGCTTATTTTTTTATTTTTTGTAGAGACAGGGTTTCTCCATGTTGCCCAGGTTGGTCTCAAACTCTTGGACTCAAGCAATCTGCCCGCCTTTGCCTCCCAAAGTACTAAGATTACAGGCATGAGCCACCATGCTGGCCTGATATTTTATTTCTTTAAAAAATATATCCAAAGAGAATAGAAAAAAATGGCAATATATGTGATAAGTCTGTGTCACATGTGGTCATGGTATTCTCTGCAATTTTTTATGTTTCACTTTTCACAAAAGAAAAAAAAAAAACTTGGTATGAGAAAGCTAACCAGAGCTCTGCATTTGTGACTAAGGCATGTGAACTGGCAGCTTTGCTGTTGGATGACCAGGCAGAGGTCAGTGCAGAAAGACCGCCATCTTTCCATCTGCAGACATTCAGCTTTCAGCCCTGCAGCTCTTGTGAGCCCCAAGCCTGTCCCTTTCAGCATGTCTTGAGTAGGGACAGATACAGTTTTGTGGAACCTGATGCTTTTACAATGAGAGATCATTTTAGATGAAAGAGCACAAAATCATGAATCTGAATTCAGAATTTATTTACAATGGGAAAATAAGTTACAACCAATAGCACATTTAGCAAAGCCGACAAATTCCTCAAATGTCACAAAATCTAGGAAAATGACACTTTTTATTCACTCTATCGTGCTTTTTATGCTTTTTGGTTTTTGTTTTGTTTTGTTTTGTTTTTTGCTACAGACTCTTTGTCTCTTTATATTACAATCTTATAATATCATTTACTTTACAGAGGCCAGGAAAATAATTCAGTTTTTCCTCTAGCTTTATTAGATTTTTTTAACGTATTGGTAGTTTAGAGGTTTTTTACAGTTTCACAACTCATTGGTAATGTCATGTAAATTAGGATTGCTGCCAAATTTGGAGAGCCCTCTATTACATTTCTTCCATTATTAACAGAAAGATTTCTGGGCATTTCAAGGTGCCTTGTGTAATGACTAGTCTTAAAGAATCTTTAAATTGATGACATTCATTAACCAGCTTGTCATCAGTGTCTTCATCGTGGTGGCATATTGGGAGTTTTATGTTATCTTTATAATATCAATATTTCATGTAAAACAGCAAGAAATTAAATTTTTTTATTATGTTCATATGATTCTCACTTCTTCATTAATTGAATTGCCAAATTATCCAAAAGCCTACTCATTGTTTCTATTCAAAAATGTTCTTTTTCAGTATCTGCACTTCCATGTTTATTACACCATTATTATTGCAGCACACAGCCAAGATATGAAAACAACCTAAGTTCCATCAATGGATAAAAATAGATAAAGAAAATGTGTTATATTTGCACAATGGACTATTATTCAGCCATGAAAGGAAGGAAATCTTGTCATTTGCTGCAACATGAATGAAACTGGAAATCATTGTGTGAAGTGAGAGAAGGCAAACACAGAAATATTACAGGTTTTCACTCATATGCGGGAGCTTAAAAAGTGATTTCATGGAGGTAGACAGTAGAGTGGTGATTACCAGAAGACAGGAAAGGTATCAGGAGAGGTAAGAGAGGTTGGTTAATGGCTACAAAAATATAGTTAGATAGAAGAAAAAAGTTCTAGTGTTCAATAGCACTGTAGGGTAATGTTATTGTATATTTCAAAATAGCTCAAGAGAAGGTTAGAAGGAGATCAAGACCATCCTGGCTAACATGGTGAAACCCTGTCTCTACTAAAACTACAAAAAATTAGCCGGGCGCGGTGGCGGGCGCCTGTAATCCCAGCTACTCGGGAGGCTGAGGCAGGAGAATGGCGTGAACCCAGGAGGTGGAGCTTGCAGTGAGCCCAGATAGCGGCTCTGCAGTCCGGCCTGGGCGAAAGAGCGAGACTCCGTCTCAAAAAAGAAAATAAAAGGTTAGAAATGTCCCCAGCACAAGGAAATGATAAATGTTTGAGGTTATGAATATCCTAATTACCTTGATCACTACACATTTATGAAAGTAGCAAACTATTACAGGTATCCCACAAATATGTACAATTACTATGCACCAATTTAAAATAACAAAAATACATTTTTCTTTTTCTTAATAAATTATTGTTTTAATATGCCCCCAAGATTATTTGAGTTGCTTTTTTACCTTAAGATAATTTCTACCAATTTTAATTGTCATTATCACTTTTGTTTCATATTCCTGTAAGTTTTTACCTGAATTTTCTCTCAGTTTCTAAATAAATACTCATACTACATATTTCATCTTATTCTTGAATACATGTATGTATGAGTTTTGACACTAGAACACTTGTTCTAGGCCATTTTGCCTTGAAGGCAATCTGATCCATTGGGAGATATAAATCATGTGAATTTACATATATACTTATTAGCTGTATATGTGTTTGTGTTCCCCATAAACAGGAATTTTGATTTATTCTATTTGGTACAATTCTCATAAAAACATATATGATGCATTTGTAATTGTACACGCTGTATCATCAAGTATGTTTCCGACAAGAGAGAATTTCCATTTTGAGCAGACATTGATGGGAACCAAATTCTCTGTTTACTAATTATAAATCTGATGATTGGAAAATTTTTCTATAGATGAGCTTGTTTATCTTTCATTATCTACATATTCCCCAAGCTGGGCACCATGGGATACATTCACACCACTGTATAATTTTTTACCCTGCACCTTTGGGCCACAATGGATGATACTTGGTACAATAGGTAGTCCCTTTTGCACTGGGATGGTGAGCAACACTTTATACTTGGAAGTGACTACAAACCACACAGATGTATCCTGGTAAACCCAAATTAAATGTATCTCCAATTCAACTCTCCCATAGACATATCCCAAAAATGCCCATAGCCATGTAAAGCTGTTTGAAATGGGAGGGAGTATGATGGAGAGGAACTTGAATTGGAAGGAAATAGCAGTCTTAGATAATTGTGGTTAAGGTATTTTACCTTTACAAAGTTTATAAAAATATTTGCCATGTGAGCACGTTTTTAGGGCTCTTTCAGGCCTGCTGTCTTAGAAGGGGCCCATACAGATGAAGGACTTTGAGGTTTAAGCTTGATTACCTGCTCAGTAAGTCTCCCTCTGCTCTAGAGAATGAAGCTCTGGTCTCCTCCTTCTTGGAGAGGGTGCGAATGTGCAGGAATCAGGCATTTGTCTGAGGCTCTGTGCAGAGGGGTTGGTGGTGGAGGTGACAGTGTTCTAAGATAGTCTTTAATTTAGCTCCCATTTTCACCATTTGTTGACTGACTTCCACCTCTGGTTTCTCCAGGTTTTGAGCTTCCCACCAGTTCTGCTGTGCGAATTTGTTCTTTTCATCCAGACTTATTTTCTATAAGCACCATAAATCATGGCTTCATCCCCATGCTCAGTCAGTTATCAGGCCTCCATCTGCTCTCTGACTACTTTCTCACATATGCCCTAGGGGCCTTGGCAGGTCACAGGCTTGTGTAATAGGACCTGTGATCCTAGGCTCACCAAGCAGAATTGTTGATACCTTAGTCCTTGGAGTCAGCCTTTTTGTTCTATTATATATCATGGATTAGCTTAGTGTATGTTAGCTAGAGGAATAAAATAGTAATATGTATGTAGCCTCGCAAAGATTAAACCCATTCCCATTGCAAAGCAAATTAAAAACAAAAACCCATATTCACTAATGTTACATATTCCTTTCTCTTTGTTCTGATGGGTTTTATGCGTTTCTTATTTCTTCTTATTTTGGAAAGGTGCTGGAAAGAAGAAATTGTCTTCATTGGAATCATCTCTTCTATGAGTTCAAATAATGTTTTTTTAAGTCTCCAAAGCCATGTTTTCTCGTTTGCTCGGATCAAGAGAGAATTAATGCTAAATGCTTGTAAGAGTCAGTCTTACCCAGTAGAAACTTCTGCTTAAAAGTCCAAGTCCCCATGGGAAATTTGTTGGCTCTCAACTCTGGAGAGGCTTTCATTCAGTGTTCAGACATGTTCTCCTATGGCCAGATCTATGTTACTCTGCAGCCCACGTTCTGTCATGGTTTATTCTCCTACTACATACGCTTTTCTACAAATTGCCTATGGCACACACGGCTGGTCCTGACCACAAAATGGAACCTAAGAGAACTTTGTCTCTCAGAACTGGGTTCCCAAGCCTTAAGGAAAACCAGGAGCTAAGTTTCTGCTAAGCAATTAGTCATGAGTTAGATATCCAGCTTTTGGTAAGCACAATACTGAGAAGAAAGGGGGAGGTCATTTAGAAATTCAGAACCTGTACTGAATTGTCTCTCCCCTCCAAGATTCTTGGCTTTATCACTGAAAACTGAAAAGAAGCAGTGTTTGTTTATTCTTTGTGTTTACTGAACACTGTTGAGACTCTTGTCACATTTCTTAGCCACTATAAAAAGTATCAACCTCTCAATGTGCTTCTAAAAATCTGAGGATCCAATCAATTATTTGCCTACCTGGAATTTGTTTTCATGTTATTACTAGTCTGCAGGGTAAACCAAATAGCACAAAGTTTCATCTCTTCTGCCCAAGTATCGTCACTTTGAATCAACTGCCTTTGTAAACTGTATAGTGTTTGCCCTGGTGTATACATTTGATTTTTCAGAAACTGAAAAAACTAATAATAAAAATTTTGACTCCATGAATTCCTTCTTATTCAGAAACGGTGTAAAATTTGTTTTGGTATGAATTTGGGCATGGTCTTATCATCTCTGATGATTTACAGTAACACCATTTTCTGTAGAATTGTTATTTAAATAAAGGTTACTTGTGCTGGGCATAGTAAATAGCCCACAACCATAGTCCCAGCTACTTGGGCAGCTGAGGCAGGAGAATCACTTGAGCCCAGGAGTTCTAGGCTGTAGTACGCTATGCCAATCGGGAGTCTACACTAAGTTCAGCATCAATACTGTGATCTCTCAAGAGCAGGGGACCACTATGTTGCCTAAGAAGGGGTCAACTGGCCCAAGTTGGAAATGGAGCAGGTCAAAGCCTGCATGCTGATGAGTAGTGGGATTGTACCTGTAAAAAAAACACTGTACTCTAGCATGGGCAACATAGCAAGACCCTGTCTCTTAGCAAGAAACAATTACTTTTATCACTTTTATTTAAGTCCATAATTATAAAACTGTCTTGATTCATTCATTCAACAAACATTTTTTAAAGCCTCGTATGTGCCAGACATTGAGTTGTAATCTCCATAAGCTCAGTGACTTCGTTTGTTTCATACACTATTGGATTTCTAGCACCATGAACAGTACCAAGACCAAAGAAAGCCCTCAAGACTTAACTGTTGCTGTTGAATGGGTAACTGAATAGGTCATAACTAATTAGGGGGCTTAAATAAGTATAGTAACATATAAGAGAACATGAACAGAGGTATGCTTAGTGCATTCATTTCTTATTGCTGCTATAACAAATCACCACAAATTTGTTGCTCAAAACAACACAAACTTATTATCTTATAGTTCTGGAGGGCAGAAGTCCTAAAATCAAAGTGTTGGCAGGGCTATGGTCCTTCTAGAGGGTCTAGGGGAACATCCTTTCCTTGCCTTTTTCAGCTTCTACAGGCCACTGCCCTGCCCTGCTTGTGGTCCTTCCTCCATCTTCAAGCTCAGCACTCATTCACACTTGTGTGTACTCTCTCTTTCCCCCACCTCCTCTGCTTCTTCGGTCCCATCTCCTTCTGACCCTCCTGCTTCCCTCTTATAAAGACTCCATGTGTTTATATTGGGTATGCCAGATAATTCAAGATAAGACCCTTTCACCATATGAGATAATACATTCACAATTTCTGGAGATTAGCATGTGGACATCTTTTGGGGGGCATCATTCTGTCTAGCACACAAAGAGTGTAATGGACTGCAGAAGAAAGGGGCTTCATCTTAATCTGGAAAGACAAGAAAAGGTTTAGAGAGAAGGCTTTTGTTGAGCCAAGTCTGGAAGCATAAGTAGATAAGGAAGAAAGAGTTTTCCAGGCACAGGAAGCAGCATGAACACAAGAAGACAGGAAACAGCAGGCCTTGCATAATGATCTCCAGAGGTTTTGTAGGATTTAAGTGTAGAACAAAATGGTTACTGGGGTATCAGGCACTGAACAACAAAAAGTGCTGAAGATGCCTGTGGTGATCATTTCATGCTAAGGAGTTTGCACTTTGTTCCAAAGGCAAATTGAACCAATGAAGAATTTTAAGCAGCTTAAGATGTTTGAATGGTTTCTTATTGCACTTGGGATAAAGTTTAACATCCTTAACATGGTGGCATGTTGGTTTCCTTTGGGCATCTGTTAAAGCTTATGAACCATTTTTCAGAATAATATCTTTAAATACGTAAAGTAAAAAGGTAACGAAAGCGACCAATTTTACTGAAGTAAAGAGTTCTACTCATCAGCTTGGAGTCTGTGGATCCCGGGATAGAAACCACTCAAGGACCTGGCTTCTGTTCTTACTCTCTCCCTTCTCCCACCTTGAGCTCAGAGACCCAAGAACAATGGCTGTTCTTCTTCTCCATCAAAATGCCATGTTCTTTGGGAGGCTGAGGCAGGCGGATCACCTGAGGTTGGGAGTTTGAGACTAGCCTGACCAACATGGAGAAACCCCATCTCTACTAAAAATACAAAATTAGCTGGGCATGGTGGCACATGCCTGGAATCCCAGCTACTCAGGAGGCTGAGGCAGGAGAATCATTGAACCCGGGAGGCAGAGGTTGTGGTGAGCCGAGATCATGCCATTGCACTCCAGCCTGGGCAACAAGAGCGAAACTCCATCAAAAAAAAAAAAAAAAAAAAAAAAAAAAAAAGCCATGTTCCTCCTACCTTCGTTCTTTGTCACATGCCATTCCCTTTGTTTTTAGTGTTTTTCTTCTCCCCATCCACACCTGGACAACTTCTACTTGGTTTGAATGCCACTTTACTGGGAAAATTCAATGACCCTCAGACTAAGGTAATTACTGTATTAGAATATCACTGAATGATAATTTAGTAATTTTTATACAATTAATATTTATATAGTTATATATGTAATTATTTACTAATGCCTGTCTCACCAGTCAGACAATAATTTCCATGAAGGCAGAGCTCATTATCTATAGTCACAGTTCCAGGCACATAAGTAGACACTCAGTACATTCTTTTAAATATTTTTTTAAATTTTAAAACCGTTTTGGATTTACAGAAATCTTACAAAGATAGAATTACCATATACTCAACACCCAGTTTCCCATTATTAATATCTTATATTAGTATGGTTCACTGATCACAATAAATAAGTATTGATACATTATTCTTTAACTAAAGCCCATTCTTTATTCAAACTTCCTTAGTTTTTACCTAGTGTCAGTTTTCTGTTTTAGGATCCCATCCAGGATATCATCTTATGTTTAGTCATTACTTTTCCTTAGGCACCTCTGGGCTGTGACCACTTCTCAGACTTTCTTTATATTTGATAACCTTGACAGTCTTGCATACTGGCCACGTATTTTGTTGAATGCCCTCCATTTGGGATTTGTCTGGTATTGCTCTCACAATTAGACTAGGGTTATGGGTTTGGGGAAGGAAGACCACAAAAATAAAGTGTTGTTCTCATCACATCATATCAAGGGAACATACTGTCAACATGACTTATCACTGCTTATGTTAACCTTGACCACCTGGCTGAGGTAGTACTTTTCAGATTTCTCCACTGCAAAGTTATTCTTTTTTTGCCCTTTGCATACTATACTTTTTGGAAGGCAGTCACAATGCATAGCTCACACTTAAGGAGTAGTGAGTTATGCTCTACCTCCTTGATGGTGAAATATATACATAAATTATTTGGAGTTTTTTCTGCAAGAAACATTTGTCTATTTCCACCCACTTTTTAATTTATTGAGTCATTCATTTATATCAGTATGAATGCATGGTTATTTATCTTATATTTTATGTTATAATTCAATACTACCTTATTTATCTTATTGCTCAATTTGTTCCATCTTTGGCCATTGGAAGCTCTTTCAGTGGACACCAGTGTCCCTTTAATATAATCCCATCATCTCGTGTGTGTGTGTGTGTGTGTGTGTGTGTGTGTGTGTGTGTGTGTATTTCCCCCTGCACTTCCTTACCTTCTGGCATAAGAATATACTCCAAACTCATCATACATATTTCCTGCCCCAATTCTAGAATTGGCCATTTTCCAAGGAACCCTGGTTCCTTTTATTGGAGAAACATATTAAAAGCCAAGATCTGGGCACTGAGAGTGCTCATTGCTACTGGGAGTACAAGAGTCATTACTTTTAGGTCGTTTCAGCTGACAGAGCAAGTAACATGTTTACATATTAACCCATGTATATAGTCACATTCATAAATATTTTAATAGGTGACCTTTTGTACCTACATTAAGCTAAATAAGAGTCATACTGATGTCTCCAATTCTAATTCATCACTAAAGATCATTCTAGCCCCCTCCCTTTTGCCTATTGTAACTTACCACTGCAACATTGAGAAATCTGACTTCCACCATCTGCAATCACTTCTTTGTGCAATTCCATTATACATGTACAGATGCTCCTCAACTTAGAATGGGGTTATGTCCCAATAAATCCATCATAACTGGAAAATATCATAAGTAGAAAATGCAGTTAATACACCTAACCTACCAAACATCATGGCTTAGCCTAGCCTACCTTAAATGTCCTCAGAACACTTACATTAGCCTACAATTGGACAAAATTATCTAACACAAGGTCTATTTTATAATATAGCATTGGCCATTTTATACAATTTATTAAATACTGTACTGAAAGTAAAACACAATGACTGTATGGGTACTTGAAGTACAGTTTCTATTGAACACATATTGCTTTCACATAAAGTCAAAAAATCTTAAGTCAAACTTTGTAAATCAGGGACCATCTGTATAATGGTTTCAGAATTGTTTGCCCATAGGAAAAACTTTATTAACTGGATTACAGCTTTGTGTAGTTCTTTTGCCTTTAGTCCTACAAACTCCATTCATTTCTAAAGTTACTTGAGTCAGCACCTTTTTTTCTTCACACTCTTCAATGATGTTGTTTCATATATTTGTAATATAGTTAAATTATTTTGTCACATACTACATTTCATCCTGGGACCTCCTCGACCCCTAAATGATTTTTTTACGTGTTCATACACTAACATTTACTCACCGTAAAGTTTTAGAGGCTTTGACAAAAGCAAAGCATTATGTGTCCACTATTATAGCATCTTACAGAATGGTTTCACCATCCTAAAGCATACCCTGTGCTTCTCTTATTCAATTCTTCCTTCTTCCCATCCCCTAGATCCCTGACAAACACTATTAGCCATCTCTATGATCTTGCCTTTTTCAGAATGTCATAGAAATGAAATCAGACAATCTGTAACCTTTTCAGAGTGGCTTCTTTCACTTAACCACATGTGTTTGAAATTCATCCTGTCTTTGCATGGCTTAAGAATTCATTCCTGGCCAGGCACCGTGGCTCATGCCTGTTATCCCAACACTTGGGGAGACCAAGGCAGGCAGATCACTTCAGATCACTTAAGGCCAGGAGTTTGAGAGCAGCCTGGCCAATATAGCAAACCCCATCTCTACTGAAAATACAAAAATTAGCTGGGCATGGTGGTGTATGCCTGTAATCCAAGCTACTTGGAAGGTTAAAGCGGGAGAATCGCTTGAACCTGGGAGGTGGAGGTTGCAGTGAGTCAAGATTGTACCACTGCATTCCAGCCTGGGTGACAGAACAAGACCCTGTCTCCAAAAAAAAAAAAAAAAAAAAAAAAAAAAAAAAAAAAAAAAAAAAAATTCATTCCTTTTTATTGTTGAATAATACTTCGTTGTGTGAATGTACCACATTTTCTCTATTCACTGTTGAGGGATATCTTGGTTGCTTCCAGTTTTTGGTGATTGTGAATGAAACTATAAACATTTTTGTGCAGGTTTTTATGTTAACATATGTTTTCAAAGCAGTTGGATAAATACTAAGAGCACAGTTTTTGGATTATATGCTAACACTTATATTCAGCTTAGTAAGACACCACTAAACTGTCTCCAAAAAGGGACTGTATCAATGCATTTTAAAATGAATTATAAAAAGTTATTCAGGTGTCAATATGCAGATGGTAGAAGGGCTTAAATTTAATTAAGAGACTGCTGCAATGGTTCAGGCCAGAGATAATGAATTTCTGGAATAAGGAGCAGCTGGGGGTAGAGGGCCTCCCAGCTCCCAACTCTTAATGACCTTGAAGATAAAGACATAGAATCCGTAGGATATGACCACCAACTTGATGTGAGATTATGATGACGTATTGTGGCTCCCAGGCATCCAGTTAAGGTAATTTAGTAAGGGGAAATAGAGAAAAGGGAACTTTGGAAGGAGTGGAGGTTTTTGAAACATTTTGATCGCATGAATCTTAGGTGTCTTGTCAGATTTCTCCAAGTGTGGAACTTGGCAAGGGAAATGTCATTAAGCAATTGTACCATGAGTCCTGAGCTCAGAAAACAAACCTGCTTATCATGTTAGAAAGAAATAAAATTACTCACAGTTGTAAAGAGCCCTGTAGTAAATTCTAACATACTAAACTGTCAATTTTAGTTTAAGAAACACAGTTTTCATTAAATTTAAATCTTTGCCATGGATGTATTTGTCTAAGTGACAGTGGCTTCACAATGAAGATAGATATCAGCTTCTCCAACCTTGTAGGCCTGGTTGCTAAATTATTTCACCTGCCAGCCTGTATAATTCAACCTCCATTCACCATTTATATGCTGAATATTTTCTAAGATTACCAATATTGTATTTCAGAACCGAGAGAGAGCGTTTGAAGACCATCTAGTTGAGGCATTTATTCTTGAGGATGAGCTTAATCACATATGTAGTTGAACCTAATCAACTCAATTACTATCATCTTACTATATGTCTGTGCTTCTTATAAAATCAGCTTAGGCCCTTTTGAAGAAAAAGCAACATTTAATTGTTATTCACAATAATACGTTGTTCCAAAACCTGGGATGAAGGTAATGTTGCATTTCTTTGCTTTTCTAAATCTAATCAAATCTAACTCCAATTCTCTGCCTACCAAAATTGGCAAGAGATCCAGTTCCAGCATCAGTACTTTTTTGGGACTTCTTCCCACTCTCTTGGGCACATGAGGTCCTAGAAAATATAGGAGCAGGCCTGGACCTCAGGTTTTGAAGGTTGATGCTGCCATTGTGCTTTGCAGAGGCCACTGAGGGCTGGAAAAAGATGGCTGCTCTGTGGTGGCTTCAGTCCCTTATGGCAACCTCAGTCACTAGAGACTCTCACCAAGGCAGAGCAGTTGGTATCACAGGTCTCACAGGCTCCTACCCCTTCTACATCTTGCTGCCTTAGACGACCTTCCAGAAGACTTTTTGCTACCCTCCCTTTGTCGTTATTCCATTCCTGGCAGGGGCGGGGGGTACGGGGTGCCATTCCATTGGGGTTAAATCACTCCCTTCCTTACTCTGAAAGCACAAAACTTCCATTTCATCTGGCCTTCCAGACAATTCATCTTAATTATCTCTAGAGCAGGAGTTGTAATTTCTATTGAGCAAACAGGACAGCAGATGAGTGAAGCTAGCTAGGATTAAAACAGACAAGTTAGGAACTACATACCCTGTCTACACGGGCAGCACCCCCCCAACGATACCAGGTCTTTGGATTCAACAAGAAGCCAAGAATACACAGTTTAAGGGAATTTCCTCAAACTTCAAAATATTAACTGATTCAAAATATTTCAAAACGTTGTTCAAACCAAACAAAAAAATGCAATTACTCCCAACTGGAGTTAAGGGAAATTCACTATACTTCAGGAGTAAAGGCTGAATGGGCTGCAGATTCATTAAAAAACAACAAAAATAACCAACAACGTATGCTATGATGGGATACACAGCATGTTGTGTGTTGTTTTTTTTAATGAGTCTACAGCAGGAGAATTCATTTGAAAGTTAAATAGTCAACTTTGTTACATAATACCTTACAATGTTTCGCATGTATGACCTAATTTGGACAATCGAATGACAAATGTCTGTGTTAAAACATGAAGCCATTTTGGACGACGGCTGCATCCTTTGGTTTCTCTTCTACTGATTTTTCCCAGTGTTCTGCCCAATGAATATTCAATAACTACCACAATTATGGATGGATTAATAGAGAGGAGGAAGTGGACGATCTAGTTACTGTTTCCTGGTAATACAGCAAGTCAACTTAATAATGTATTTCTGTTTGAAGCAATGTACAGATGCTCCTTGACTTACGATGGGGTTATGTCCTGATAAACCCCTTATAAATGTAAAGTATCAAAAGTCAAAAATACATTTAATACACCTAACCTACTGAACATCACAGCTTAGCTTAGCCTACCTTACACGTACTCAGAACACTTACATTAGCCTACAGCTGGTCAAAGTCATCTGGCAACACAGTCCACTGCGGGGGTATTGGTTGTTTACTCTCATGGTATCGTGGCTGGATGGGAGATGTGGCTCGCTGCCCCTGCCCCCAGCATCACAAGATTGTATTGTACTGCATATTGCTAGCTCAGGAAAAGATCAAAATTCAAAATTTGAAGTATGGTTTCTACTAAATGAGTATCACTTAGCACCATTGTAAAGCTAAAAAAATCATAAGTCAAACCTCCATAGGTTGGAGACTAACGGTAACCCTTTGATAACAGTGTGTGGGTCATATGTGTGTGAAAAAGAAAAAAAAAGTCATGACTATTGAAGCATTTTATGAAAATCATCTGAAGGCAAAGGCATAAATCTAGTCACAGGACTCATATAGCAGAAAGGTCCCTGCAAAATAAAGGTGCCTCTCTTATTAAAGTAAGAAGTACAGGCTTTAAGTTATTGAAACGAATTAGTATCTCTGTGGCTTGAATTTTCAGAAAGTAAAAACTCATTTAAATTTATCATGATCATAGAGAGATTCACAGGAAATCACTATGCATGCTTTTCTCGTTGAAATGCAAAGAGTGCCATGCTTAGTATTCAATGCACTATGATTCTGAACAATGGCAAACACTGAGGACCCCCATGTACCACTGTGTCCCACATCAGAGGCCTCCTTAACTCAATGCATGATGCATTGAGTTATACGCTATCTATAATTATATGTTATCCATAATGCATATAATGCATGATGCATTGAGTTAATGCATCTCATCATATAATGAACTCTGTTAAAATATTGCCTTACTTCACCTCTGTGGCATTCTTCTCCAAAACCCATCATCTCACTCTAATCATGAGGAAAATATCAAACTCAAATTAAAGGGCATCCTGCAAAATACATAACCAGTATCTTTCAAAACTGTCAAGGTCATGAAAAACAAGAGATAGTGGAGAAACTGCCACAGATCAGAGGAGATTAAGTATATGTAACAATTAAATGCAATGTGATATCCTAGACGGGATACTGGAACCGGGAGATGACACACATTAGTGAGAAAAGTTGTGAAATCCAAATAAAATCTGTAGTTTAGTTAATAGAAATGTATCACTGTTTTGGCAAATGCGTCTTGGTTGTGTGGGACATTCACAGTAGAGGAAAACAGGAAAGGGTATCTGAAAACTCTGTAATGTCTTTGCAGCTTTTTGTAAATGTAGAATTATTCCAAAATTAAAAGTTTATTTTTAAAAATTGTTTTAATGCCCTAAAGTTAGTTTCCAGGGTACTCTCTCTAACTTCACTTCTTCAGTCAAGCAGCTAGTAATAGGCTCTGGACATTAAAGTTTCAAGTGAACACTTTTGTTTTTCATTACTTTGGCTTCTAGAGAGCCTTTCCTAAGTCAATATATTGGTCAGAAAGGAATCTCTTGGGTACAAGTGACAGACATTTTAACTCAAAATAGCGAACAAAAATGAGAATTTCTTGGTTCATATAATGGAAAATCCAAGGTAGCGCTTGCTCCAGAAAAAAGGGATGTATGTGACCTGTTCTTCCTAGTCTGTGGTTCTTGCCTTCAGCTCTGTTGGCCTCATCCTGAAGCCCTTTATCAAGACCTCTGCAACTCCAGGCTTATATCCTCTGAGTTCAAGTTCACCAGAAAAGAGAGTATGCTTCTCTTATATAGTTGTATCTACATTAAAGAAATGAAGACTCTTATAAATGATAAAAATAAGAGTATATATAAAAGATAATTTTGTTAATTTTAATATCTGTAAAAGGAAATTAAGATGGAGACTGAACAAGCTTTTCTGTAAATGGCCAGATAATATTTGAGCTTTGTGAGCCATATAATATCTCCATTATATATTCTTCCTTGTTCTTGTTGTTGTTTATACAACCATTTACAAATATAAAAGCCATTCTTAGCTCACAGACTGTATAAAAACAGGCCATGGGCAGGATTTGGCTTGCAGGTCATAGTTTTATGCCCCCTGATCTAAAGCAAAATACTAACTACATATGCTGGGGTTACATGCAGAAGTAAAACGTGTAGCAACAATAACATGGGAGGAGGAAATAAATGAGAGTGGGAAAAGCATATACAATGTTTCAAGGTTCTTACACTATAGGAGAAGTTGTATAATAATGTCTGGAAGTAGACTGTTGTAACTTAAAGGTGCTTATTTTAAACCCTAAAGCAATCACTAGAAAAATTAAAAAGTGGAGATAAAATGGAATTATTAAAATATTAAAATATTTTTAAAAGACACAAAAGGAAAAAGAAATGAGACAAATAACTTGAAAGATGGTAAACTTAAATCCAACCGTATCAATAATTAAGTTAAATATAAATAATCTAAATACCCCTATTGGAAGGTAGAGATTGTCAGATTGAATTAAAAACAATACCCAACTATATGCTGTCTTTAAGAAATCCACTTTAAATATGTAAAGACATATGTATGTTAAAAGTAAAAGGATGAAAAAAGATATACCATGCAAACCTAGTTTTAAAAAAACTGAAGTGGTTATGTTAATTAATATCAGATAAATTAGATTTTACAACAAGTAATACTACCAAAAGTAAAAAGGGACATTACATTATGATAAAGGGTCCATTACTCAAAAGCCATAAAAATACAAAAATGTTTATGTATCTGTCAACAAAAAGTCAAATACGTGAAGCAACAGATAGGATTGAAAGAAGAAATAAACAAATTCACAATACTAGTTGAAGACTTTAACATCCCTCTCTCAGCAAGCAGTAGAGCAAGGAGATAGGAAAATCAGTAAAGATATAAAAGAAAACACTATCAATCAACTTGACATCACTGACATATATAAGACCCTTCACCTAATAATAGCAGAATACACACTCATTTCAAGTGCACACGAAACATTCACCAAGAGAGAGCATAGTCTAGGCCATAAAGAAGGTCTCAAAATTTTTTTAAATTAAAATCATATAAATTATGTTCTATGACCACAACAGAGTTTAACAGAAATCAAAAGCAGAAAGCTATCTGGAAAACCCTACGTACTTGAAAATTGAACAACGCACTTCTACATAACTCATGGGTCAAAGAAGAGGACACAAAGTGAATCAGAAAATATTTTAGTTTAATAAAAATGAACCCAAAACATCAAAATTTGTGGGAGGCTAATATAACAAAACTTTTGAGTTGCTACTATGAACCAAGCACTCTTTTAGATACTGGCAACCTACTAGTGAAAAAACAAAGATCTTTACCTTTGAGGTGTTTATATTCTAGTGGGGCTGGGGTGGGAAGGTAGACCATAAACAATAAACAAATAAATAATCTAGAACGTTAGTATATGATGCATGTTTCCAGCAAGAAAAAGTGTGAGCAGAGGAAGGGAAATGGAGAGAGCTGGCAGGAAGAAAGGTTGCAGTTCAATTTGGATGGTCACAGTAGGCCTCATTTTGAAGGGGACTTTTGAGCAAAGACTTGAAGGAGTTGAAGAAGTTAGCCAAATAATTATGAGAAGGAAGAGCATTCTAAGACTGAGAACACTGGATCAAAGTTCCTAGAGTGAAAGCATGCCAAGCATGGTCTAGAACAGCAAACAAATCAATGTGGCTGGAACAGAGAGAGGAAGATAGGAGAAGGTCAGTGGTATATCAAGTTATCACCTCATGTATTGTCTTGTAGATGATTGGAAGAACTTCAGCTTTCACTCTGAGTGATACAGGATCCATCACAGGGTTTTGAGCAGAGGAGTGACATGCTGTGTTCTGGAATAAACTATAAGTAGTAAGGGTAAAGAAGGGAGACCAATAAGAAATCTCCACCAATAATGCAGTGGTTATTGCAATAAATGAAAGGAAGAAATATCAGCAGCTTGGGCCAAGGTGGTAGGAGTAGAGGCGGTGAGAATTGGTTAGATTCTAGATATATTTACAAGAAAGAGCCTTAAAAAGTTCCTGATGTATTATATGAGATGTTGAAAGAAAATAAGAGTCAAGGATGATTCAAGATGTTTAGTCTGTACAATTGAAAGATGGAGTTGTCATTGATTATTTAATCAATGACAAGGCTGTGAGTAGAACAGATTTGGAAGTAAAATGTAGGGTTTAGTTTTAAACATAACAAAGATGTGGAAGAGGCAGCCGAATATAAGAGTCTGCTGTTCATAAAAGTGAGATCTAAACTGGAGATATAAGTTTGGGAGTGTCAGCATATAGACTGTATTTCCATCAAAGTCCTGGCAGGAAATAAAGGGTATATTCAAATTGAGTAATTGAGAAGAGAAATATTTTCAAAGATGTGGATAGGACTTAAGGAAATCCACAAGGAATGGTAGAGTAGTCTAGAGCTATTAACGTCCCTAGTATAAAAAGGCAAGGTAAGGAACACTCATCAGATCTGAAGAGGGTGGCTTTATAAGGAGGGTGACCTGACAAGAAATGTAACCTTCAATAGAGGAATGCAGCCAATCTGTTGCAATTGACAGAGAATAAACACTCCAATCTGTCTTTCCTTCTACCCTCCTATCACATCCCAGGGCCCTTAAGGGCCAAGCCCAGATGAAAATTAAAGGCCAAGGAAATGTGTTGCTATGCCTTCCCAGAGAGCAGGGTGGAAAATGGTGGACAGCAAATTTAGAGAAGCCCGTGGAAAGTATGAAGCATAAAGATTATATAAAGTCATGAGTCTGGATGAGATCAGCAATGAATGATACATGGATAGAAAAGCAAGAAGACTTGACATTGAGCCCTGGGGCCTTCCAACATGAAGAGGAGCTGGGGAATAGTGGTGACTAGGGAAGTAGGAGGAAACACAAAAGTGTGGTTCTGGGAAAACAGTGATTCAAGAAGGAGGAAGTAGTTTTGTCAAAAGCTTCCAGTGGATGAGGTACTGAAAATTGGCCAGTGAATTTAGTAGCATGGCGGTTACTGGCTAACTGAATAAAAGCCACTTGGGCAAGGTAGCCGGGCAAACTTCTAATTGGAGATACTGAAGAAAAACAATGTATTGGCTGAGTAAGGATGCTCATGCCTATAATCCCAGCACTTTGGGAAGCTGAGGCCAGAGAATGAATAATACTAATTTTTAAAAAAAATCTTAGCTGGGTCTGGTGGTGCACACCTGTTTTCCCAGCTATTCAGGAGGCTGAGGAGGGAGGATTGCTTAAGCCCAGGATTTCGGGCTAGAGTGAGCCATAATTGCACCACTGCACTCCAGCTTGGGTGACACAGCGAGACCCCATTTCTAAAAAAAATAAAACAAAATGATCTTCTGACTGAAAAATGTACGCAAAAAAAAAAGTTTGAATGTAGGAGAACAATGTAGAAAGCTAAAATAGGTTCTGCTCAGTGAAGAACCAGCTCTGATAAATTTGCAATGAAAGGCAGATTTAGTAGAGAAATGTTGACTCTTTAAAAATTGTTACAGCCTGGGTGACAGAGTAAGACTCTGTCTCTTTAAAAAAGAATGCAAGGAAAGAAATTGAGCTAAGTGCTATTTCAAGATTTTTTTCTACAAAAAGGAACAAAAAAATGGGATAGTGGCCTGTATGGGAAGTAGAGTCAGGATAAGGCTTTGTTTTTTGATGTCATTTTGTTTTGTCTTTTTAAAGGGAAGAGATTACACAATGTTAGCCTTCTGATGGGCATGATCTAATAGACAGCTAAATCATTGCTGATGTAGGAGAGAGAGGGAAGAAATGCACACCAATGTCCTCCCATGGGGGAGACAGATATGGCACAAAAGCGCACTCTGAGGAAGATATTAGTACAGAACTCGCAGGCCTACTCTGAGGCCTGAAAGAAAAAATGCAGGAAAAAGCATTTGTTTCTAGGCTGCAGAAAGTACTCAGCAAATGCTAGCCATTACTACTACTATTATTATTTTACTAACTTTTCTTGGCCCCCTTTTTTCTCATCTATAGTAATAAGCTGGCATACATTTCAAATGAGCTGGCATACAGCTCTAACAAGCTTTTAGATGAGATTACTCAAGAAGCTGCACGTGATATCTAAAGAGGACCTAATCTCCAAGTCCAGATCACATGAGGTCACCTTGTAATATTTAAGATGAAGCCAAAACACAACCTAAATACATACAACCATAAGTGAAATTTAATGGTGTGCATTAGGAGGAATTATAGTGCCACTGGGCCTATTACTACAGGAGGAAAATGGTTAACAAAGAGAATTCTCATAACACCTGAGTTTCTAAGACTCTCTAAAAGCAAATGAGTCTGTACTCCAACTGTAGACTCAGTTGCTATGTAAACTGTTCTTCATAAGGCATTTAAAGACTTAGCGCAAGTGGCTTGAGGTTTAATCTTTTAATTCCATTGCGCCATACGTTCCTTGTAGGTTCAGTGAACAAGGAATTCAGATATAATATTAGAAACCCATTTTCAGGAAAGGGCTTAGGGATGGAAAAAAATGTGCCGAATTTTAGTGCACAAAAGAGACTCCAGACTAATCTCTAGATTTACTTGGTCTAACGGTAATTCTCGTGCAGGGATCCTGCTGCAGAGACACATGCTTACCCAGTAAATTGTCTAGGGTGCACCTCCCTACCATTCACCCTCCTCCCTGAACAGCACCACCAAAGGCTGTCTTTATTAAAGGGCTTGTATTGATGGAATCTGTTTACAGACATGCCAATTTGGGTCATTTCCTCCCTGATAAAAGGCCCAATTCACTGTGAAACAGTATGTGCCACTTATGAACTTGGGGACATTTGCACTTTAGAATAGTAGAAATAGTCAGATGTCCACATTATAAAACACAGGGTGCATGTTGGAACCACTTGTCACCTAGCCAAGCAGAATGAAGGCCACTGGCTCTCCAGAGGTGGCCCTGCCACCTCAGACACACATACAGGGCCCTGGCTGTGATGCTGCTCCATGCCTGGTGAAAACCAGACACACACACACACACACACACACACACACACACACACACACAGTTTAAGTAAGTATTTGATGGGATCTTGAAGACGAATGGCATGAGGACTAATTAAAGTCATAGATCCCATGAGAGCAAATAGGCATGTTTGGATGACATTTAGGAACCATCTCCCATATTGAATATATGTACATTAGCGGCCCTGTAAAAGATAGAGAAATACAGTGTTGGGAAAAACAAATCACGATTCATCCAGCCTGAATAACCAGAGCTCGTTTACATATATGAGATTTCATTTTATTTTTTACGAGTCACTTGAGGGCCAGGCACATTTTATATTCGCGCTTTGAGGAAGTGCTGAACATGCTCTTCTTCCTCTTTCCCTCCTCCCCTCAAGAACTTGATGAGTGGGCAAACATTTGGGATACTCCTTGGCACTTTTCTAAAATCACTTATCAGAATTCTCTTCAGTTTTTAATTATTGGTTCCTTTAACTCTTTCACGGCTCTTAGGCCAGGATTTCAGAAGCTGGGAGCCATGAGCAAAGTGGTTGGGACAGGGAGGCTGTATGGAGATTTTGGCCTACACACAGTGTCCCAAATTTCTAGTTTGGACAAAGAAGATAATTCTATGTACCTAAATTTTTCTATCTGTAAAACCCAGACAATGATCATCCCCTCAAAGGAGTATTGTAAGGATTAATAAAACATTCAAAAATCTCTTGGCATTTCTAGACAATAAATTTCACTATTATTTTACATTATCATAAATATTGTTTTATTTTGACCACGTCACTGTCAAGGACTTTTCTTCTTTACCATCTAGCTCTAGGTATAATAGGATTTTTTTTTTTTTTTTTTTTTTTTAAAGGAAAACTCATCTGAAATTTCAGTCAGAGAGAAAAGCACAAGAAAAACATTTTTGGTATATAGTAAAGCAATTTTACTATGAATGTCATCAGGATATAAAGGAGAAAGACAAATTGTGGCATGTTTCATCACATCAAGATAATTAAGCCAATTTTCACTGATGCTTATGAAAGTGTGACACTGAAGCAAGAAAACTCTTTTAAAGTTTTCTATTGGAACCTTTATTATATGTATTCCATTATGATAAGAAATTGGATTTTTCTTCTTCTTTTTTCCACACTGATGTTCAGACCTACATAATTTTGGTGAGTGAGCATGCTAGGGTTGCCAGGGTTAGCAAATGAAAATACAGGATGCCCAATTAAATTTGAATTTCAGGTAAATAATAAACAATTTTAGTATAAGTGTGTCCCACATAACAGTTGGGACATAAGCTGAAAAATCATTCTCATTTATGTGCAATTCGAACCTAACTAGGCATCTTGTATTTCATCTGCCAACCTAAGCATGCTGGCGTTTTCTAATAGATCTGTGGGAGAGATGGGTTAGATGGGTTTGTCAGACCTACAAGGACTGGGGCTGGATGCCTCCTGAGAAACACAATTCACAGCACCTAAGGGCTGTAGTTACCCCTAGTGAAGCCTGACCTCACATCAATACACAAAATATTGGAATCAGTCGGAGAGGGGGTGGTGGGGGCTGGGAGGAAGCGCAGGCCTGCTGGAGTTCCTGCCCCGGCTCTGCACTCACGCCCAATAAGGGACATCGCACAGCGTTCCAGGGGCCTGTGTGGGGCTGATGCTGGGGTCCAGGGAGCAGCAGCCCAGGGACTCACCTGGGAATTCTGGCCCTGGGCAGCAAACCAACCCAGACCTCACTTGCCAGATGGATTCTCACAGACATGGAAAGCTTAGCTCTTGCAGCTAGATGGAGCTAGGGCAGGCCAAGCGGGATGATGTTCAAATGTTCTCATACTTTAAACTTCATTGAGAGATTATGATTATCCCGATATTATGTTTCATATTTCTGCAGTATAAAACCAAGATTAAAAGCACTGGTTTTCAAGTCAAATTGACCTCGGTTTGAATCCCGGTTTCCTCTTCTAGCTACAAAACTGAGCAAGTTGTATGAACTCTGAATACGAGTTTCTCATCTGTAAATAAAGGTAATACTACTATTTCACAGAGATGCTAGAAGATTAAACAAAGTCATTTCTAAAATTCTTAATACAGTTGTCTGCCATAGAGTAAGCTCTCAGTAAATAGTGCCTATGTGCTATTCTAAGCTTTTATAAGGGTGAAATTCCTAATCTGAACTGAATATTACACAAGAAGCCCTGTTCTTGTTGGACTTAATGGTATTCATTGACAACCTTTGATGAAAAATCCATAGCAAGTGTTAGATTGACCTTTAATCATTACTGTCCTATTAGGCCAAAGAAGCCATTAGAGTGTGATGATTAAACTTCCTGTTACATAAGCTGTAACACCATCTTTATTGACAAGAGAAACTTTTCTCATTAACTGAATGCATAAGCTCTGAATGAAGAAAACCCTTCAGCTCAAAACAGGTATTTTCATTGATCAAACTGAGTTATTTCACTGATTCTTCAATAATATATTTCCATATGTGAATGCTTCCTGCCCATATTATTACTGTCACTTTCTCCACATTTATTGGGTTTTGAGTGTCAGCACATGTAGAGCAATGGTGCTCACCCAGCCTATATGTGAACATCATGTAAGGGACTTTGTAAAAAAAATACCTAGAAAGGGCTCCACCCCAGACCAATTGAATTAGAATCTTGAGGTAAGGCATGAACATCAGTATAACTGTAACAAGAGGCCACTTTGAAAATGTTAAGCGGAGGAGAGAAAATGGGCTTTGAGTCACATCAAGTTGAGTTTCAACCCAGATCTCTGTATTCACTAGCTGTGTTACATTATACAATTTACTAATTTATCACAGTATCAGTTCCCTTTATTAGAAAAATTGACATACTTATTCTCTTAAGGATCCATAGAAGTACTACAGAAATGGAAGTTATTTTTCTAGGGTATACGTAAAAGAAGATGGTCTTGTTTAGACATTCCTAGCCAACCAGAGCATTTCTTTTTTTTATGCAAGATTACCAAATCATAGCATGATAGTTTTAATCTTTTTCAGCATTTGTCTTTCTTGACTGTTCATTTATTTTATTTTATTATTTACTTATTTATTTTTGAGGCAGGATCTTGCTCTGTTGCCCAGGCTGGAGTGCAGTGGCATGATTATGGCTCACTGCAGCCTCGACCTCCTGGGCTCAAACAATCCTCCCGCCTTAGCCTCCTGAGTAGCTGGGACTACAGGGGCACATCACTATACCTCGTTAATTTTCAATTTTTTTTGTAGAGACAAGGGCCTCTCTATGTTGACCAAACTGGTCTTGAGCTCCTGGCCTGAAGCGATCCTCCTGCAATGGCCTCCCAAAGTACTGGGACTGCAAGCGTGAGCCACCATGCCTGACTGACTGTTCATTTTGTTGCATGCTTGGAATATGGTTCTTGCTGTAAAAAAAAAAATACATATATATATAATTATATATTTAATATATAAATATATATTATATGTATTTATAATATATATAAATTGTGGGTTTTTTAAGAAAAGTTTTTGACTTTGTCTCTATCTTAATTGTTTTTGTTGCTCTTGTTGCTATGTTTGTTATCTTGGCACTTTCCAGAACCATTTCTGAAACTTAGACCTGAAGAGCTGAAAATTTTGGTAACAAAATTTTAATAAAAGAAATTTAAATTGCTTTTACCACATTACTGTTACTGTTTCGTTACACTTACTGCCTATTTTTATAAGCAGAAGAATTTCTCCTGCTATGCCATGCTTACTGAAGAGCTTCCACTTTCTTCTCTTAATCCCAAATTCCCAAAATGAGGAGGTTGAGTCTCATACTTACTATTTTATCTCCCGCACCTCCATAATGGTCATTATTATTACCAGTTCAGCTTGTGCATTTTATACACACATAAATGGTCCTATGGCAATACGGAGTTTTGTGGTGTATGATTGAATTTTTTTTTAACAGAAATGTTAGATTGTATGAGTTTTCTTCACTCAAAAACATGTTGTGATTTTCCCTGGTAATATCCATTGCTTTGATGTCTACATTATCTGATATAGGTATGCTAGCTCTTTCTTCTGATTAGGATTACAATGATATAACTTGCTCCATCATTTTTATTTTTAGTGTATCTACACCTTTGTTTTCAAGGTATATTTATTGTAGACAGCATAGAGTTGGATCTTCCTTTAATATATAATCTGACAATCTCTGTCTTTAATTGGGATATTTAGACCATTTATAGTTAATGTCACTATGGATGTGATTGGATTTAAATCTGTAAACTTGTCAGTTATTTGTCTTATCTGTTCTTTGTTCATTTTTCTCTCTTTTCCTGCCTTCTTTTGGATAAAGATTTTTATGATTCCATTTTATTTACATTATTGACTTACAAACTATACCTCTTTTAATTTTTCTAGTAGTTATTGTGCAGTTTACAATATACATTTTTATGAATAACTTATCACAGTTTACCTTTAAATAATTTTATACAATTTCTTGTACAGTATTAGAAACTTAGAACAGCGTACATTCTTTTCCTCCTTTCCATCTTTCATACTATTTTGGTTATATATTTTATACAGGTTATAACCATATGATACATTGTTACAAATTTTGTTTAGAAAAGATGTTAGCAAATTATGTGAGCCAGTCACCTGTTTCTATAAATACATTTTATTGGTTTACAGCTCACCTACTTGTTTACATATTGTCTTTGTTTTCACGCTATAGCAGCAAAGAAGAGTAGTTACAACAGAGACTATATAGCCCTCAAGTATAAATTATTTATTATCTGGTCCTTTAAGAAAAATTGTGTTATGCATGCTTTAGACAATTATCTTCTAAGTTGATTAAAATTAAGAAATGTCTTTTATTTTCACTGATATTTTTACCCCGCCTTTTTTTTAACCCCTTATTTCTTTATGTATAGATCCAAATCCAAAACCTTTTTTGAGACTGGGTCTTGCTCTTTCGCCTAGCCTGGAGTGCAGTGACATAATCATAGCTCACTGCAGCGTGAATCTCCTAGACTCAAGTGATCCTCTGATTTGAGAAACTTGAGTAGCTGGAACCTCAGACATGTGCCACCACACCCAGCTAATTTTTAAACTTTTTTGTAGAAATGGGATCTCCCTATTGCCCAGGCTGGTCTTGAACTCCTGGGCTCAAGTGATCCTCCTGCTTTGGCCTCCCAAAGTGCTGGGATTATAAGAGTGAGCCACCATGCCCAACTCCCCAAGTTTTTTCACTCTCCACTTCTTTATGCAGATCCAGCTTTCCAACTAGTAAAATTCTCATTCTTTCTAAATAAATTCCTATGATATTTCTTGCTTCTGGCAGTGACTTTCCATCACTTTTGCCTATCTGAAAACAAATTATTATCTTACCTTCATTTTTGAAAGATATTTTTGCTAGCTATAGAACTTTGGGTTTGCAATTTTTCTTCAACATTTTATAGATGTTCCTCCATGTCTTCTGGCTTGCAGAGTTACTGACAAGACGTCTGATGTAATTCTTTGTTCCTCTGTATGTAATTTCTCCTTTTCTTTTTGGTTGCCCTAAAGATTTTTTTCTTTATCTTCGGTTTTCAGCAGTTTGACTATGATGTGTCTAGAGGGGTGTGGATGGATGCGTGTCTGTGTATATGTGTGTGTTTACTTTATCCTGCCATGGGTTCCAGGATCTGTGATTTGTTGTCTTATTATTATTTTGGAAAATTCGTAATTATTATCTCTTCAAATGCATCTGTTGGTCTGTTCTGTCTTTCTTCTTCTAGAATTCAAATTACATATATGTTAGACTATTTGGTATTATCCTTAAGCTCTTAAATGCTCTCATCTGTATTTTTTCACTCTTATATCTCTTCATATTTCATTTTTGATAATTTCTATTGACCTACCTTTAAGTTCAATAATACTTTCCTCAGCTGTGTTCAATCTATTTTCAAGCTAATTAAAGGAATTCTTCATCTCTGATATGCTTCTTATTTCTAGCATTTTCATTTAACATTTTATATAGTCTAATCTCTCTGCTGAAATTCTCCATCTGTATATGTATATTGTCCACCTTTTTCAATAGATCTCTTAATGTTAATTATAGTTATTTTAAGGTTCCTGTCTAATAAATAGCACAACATCTGGGCTCTCTCTGAATCTGGTTCTGTTAATCACTTTATCTGTTGACAATGAGTCTTTTTGTTGTTGTTGTTTTATGGGTCTTGTAATTGTTGATTGAATGCTGGATGTTGTTTGTAAAAGGACAATAGAGACGAAAGTAAATAGTATTTATTTCTAAAAGTGTCCACTTTTCATCCTGTCAGACTTTTAATGTGAGAATTAAATCAATCAAGTGACTGGTTGAGTTTGTTTGGGTCTTACTGTGACAATTGTTATTCTCAGTTTACCATAGGCTTCAAATACCTTCTGCAATGGGCCACCGATATCTTGTGCTTAGTGTGGGGCCTTGGCTGCTAGTGGGTTTTTCTCAATGTTTTTGCTCCACCCTTAGCTTTCAGCAGTCTTTGCATGACTGCACCACAGAAGAGGGTCCCTTTCCACGTTCTTGCCTCTCCCCCATAGACTGTTGCTGCTCATTACTCGATACTAGGCTTACAGTGTGGTCAATAGGGTAAATTTCAGCTTCTGTTGGTCAGCCTCTAAATTAAGGCCAGGCAGCCAGGGATTGAGGGGTTAAGCCTTCTCCGTGTTTCTACCACTCCCCCACTACACCCTTTGGCTGCCAAATCCTGCCTTGTGTCTGTAGTGTATCTTGGGAAACCGAGAGTTTCCTGCCTCGTTTCAAGCAGTAGAAGATTTCTGCTTTGTTTTATTCAGAATTTTGGGCTTTTAAAGGGGATTTGTTGGTTTGTTTCTTCACTCTGTCAGAAGCAAGAAACTCTTTCTTCTACCTTTTCTCCACAGCAATGGTTCTTTGCCTGGCTACTCAAGTTGAAAAGAAGAGTATCCTATCCTACCCCTAGAAGCAGATGGGTTTTATTTCTGTCTGTCCTGCAGAGGCCTTGGAGGTGAGAGATTTGGCTGCCTAGCCCCAGTGACTTAAGGCTTTTGCTTCACATGAAAGAAGGATACAGAGAAATGTGCAGTCCTTAATGAGTCTTTCCCAGTGGCAGTCACGCATATCCTGCAAACCTGTGTCCCTGAAGAGGGCTGTCTCCAGGCTCCTTCCTTACTCCCAGTCTTTCTCACAAGCTCCTGGAAAAGAGAAACTGTGAGCTCTTCTTGTGTCTGGGCTTTCAGGTACTTTAAATTGATACGTTGGGCCACATTCAGCTTTAGGGATTCCTAAAATTTTTAGCCAATTTCTTACTCACCTCTGTGTCAGTTACCTCTTCCTCCTATGCTTTACCAAAGATGAAATGATGCATGTGCCCTGCCTCCAAGATCTCAGCCCTTTGATAGCTTTCAGAAAAGTTATGATTTTGTAAATTATTTGACTTTCTTAGGCATTTCAAATATTTGGATGGAAGTAAAATTCTCTTGTGACTACTTTTTACATTGTAAGTGTAAACAATACCTTTGTCTTTGTGATTTTACTTTGATGGGATATTCATATATACCTTATTATTTTCAACTGTGGCACTGAATCCCAGAGTGAAATGTATCATGGCCCAGAAGAATTTACCTCAGTGGTTTAAATAAAGGGACTAAGGAAAGACTATTCACAGAGGTGTGGGTAGGCTTAAGAGAACTAGCAACTTCCTAGAGAATTCTCAGATTTGTATGTACTCAATCTCTAGATGTAGACAAAAGTTGGGACATCATCAGCTTAAAGCAAGTGGGTCTGCTATTGATTATATTTCTTTTATTTCAAGGCAGGTATATTAGGGTTCTCCAGAGAAACAGAACCAAGAGGACATGTGTGATGTGTGTTCTCTATAATCTCTTTTTTTTTGTTTGTTTGTTTGAGTTAGTTTACTTAGGATAATGGCCTCCAGCTTCATCCATGTTGCTACAAGTGACATGATTTTGCTCTTTTTTTTTGTGGCTGCACAGTACTCCATAGTGTACACATACCACATTTTCTTTTTTGTTCTTGTTGGAAATATTTTCTTTTTTTTTTAAATTATACTTTAAGTTCTGGGATACACGTGCAGAACATGCAGGTTTGTTACATAGGTATACACGTGCCATGGTGGTTTGCTGCACCCATCAACCTGCATCTACATTAGGTATTTCTCCTAATGCTATCCCTCCCCTACCCCCACCCCCTGACAGTCCCTGGTGTGTGATGTTCCCCTCCCTGTGTCCATATGTTCTCATTGTTCAACTCCCACCTATGAGTGAGAACATGTGGTGTTTGCTTTTCTGTTCTTGTGTTAGTTTCTATAATCTCTTTCTATATGTACATTGAAATAGAAGGGAATTGGCTAATGAAAATATGGAGGCTGGCAAGTCTCAAGGTCTGCAGGGTGAGTTGGCAAGGTAGAGACCCAGAAGAGCCGATGGTTTTGTTCCAGTCTAAAGGCCAGCAGGCTTAAGATCCAGGAAAACCTGATGTTTCAGTTTAAGTCCAAAGGCAAGATAAAAGCCAGTGTCTCAGTTTGAAGGCAGTCAAGCAGGAAAAACTCTCTTCTACTTAAAGGAGGGTCAGCAGTTTTGTTCAGTTCAGAGATTCAACTAATTGGAGGAGGCCCGCCCACATTAGAGAGGGCAATCTGCTTTACTCTGTCTACCAATTCAAATAAATGTTAATTTCACCCCCAAACACCCTCACAGACAGAACTAGAAGGGTGCTGATCAAATATCTTGGGTACCCCATCGCCCAGACATAAAATTAACCATCATAGCAGGGAATAAGCAATATGTTTATTTCAATTCATGAGACACTTTATCTTTGAGGGTTATTCTTTCAAATCTAAGAACTGTTGGTGATGTCCTATTTGGGTAATGTGTGTGTGAACACGTGTGTATGTACATATATATATATATTTTTTTGACAGGAAACACAAGATCTCTGGATCAGAGAAAAGACCATTTATTATTCATTGAGCATCTTAACCTTGTCCCCACAGGGCAACTCAATAAGGGCCTGATGTTTCCTTGCACATGCACCACATGCACACATATACACAGGATAGGAACCCTCAAATTATGAAGCTCAGAGCTTCTATAGACTGCTGACATATCTGCTCATTCTTCCCTCCAGAGAGGGAGAAAAACCTTTACTCTGGAATGTAAACAAATCTTCTCTGGGGAGGAGAATCATTTCTACTTTTCCTTCACCATCCTAGAATATAATCACAGGTGCCACAGGAGATAAATCCATAAATCTCTCCAGAGCAATATATTGTCTCTAACTTCTCTAACTTAATGTTTGCCTTTCAAACATTAAATGAATTTTTTTAAATTATTTCCTCACAGTGATTATTAATTACTAAAATTTCAGTTCATTATTATTAAAATTCAAGTTTATTAACAACTGTAAGGTACCAGAAAATCTTTATAAAATCATAAATAAAGATTACTTTTGTCTTTAGTAGTTTTTCTAATTCCTAATTCCTCTCCCCACTCTGAACAATGAAAGTAGATGGCATTACAGATTCATCTTCTTTCTTTCAATAATTTAGCTGAAAGCTGGGTTAGCTGGACTGAGCCAGTCTGTAGAGGGATAATAAAGCTTTTAGTTGATGTCAACATTCTTGATCGGCAAGGCTGTTCCCAGGGTCTAGTATGCATACTCCCTAGGGCTTTTCAAATGCCTTGAAGTTTCTTGATATATTTATTCCAACTTAGAAAAACTAGATGTTCCCAATCCCTTCTAAGCTGACCTATAACTAGGTACTACGGTATGGGGGCAGGGCTCACTTTTGTTCTTGGAGTGTTCTCTGACTGCTGGCCAATGCAGGGCTTTCTTTGCTGGAAATGTCTCCGTGATGGATACTGAATGTTTATGCTAGGAATGTGCTAGCATATTCAAATAATTGAAGGGTCGGCAAATTGCACACACTTTGCTACTTCCCTATTCTTATGTCTTTCCCTTAACAATACAAGTTTATAACTATATTGCATATTGCTAATAGTATACAGTCATGACCACTCTGCTTGACAGTAAACAGTGCGTATGTGTATATTTTGAAAGCCAAAGATAATTTTTTTCTTTAATCATTTTTCCCATTTCCTTTTCCCAAGAGACATGCAGTTTTCCTATGATCAGACAGCCCACATTCATTATCTTCAAGCTGAAACTGCCTCATTCCACTTATCCTAAATGGACATAATGAAATTACTGTTCTCAATATTCTCACTGAAATACTTTGTCACTTAGCTTTCATCAGTTTCTAGACGATTCTATGAGTGAGATTTTATCCTTTTGCTTGTCTAACTTTATGAGATCTAACTTTTTAAGTATAATTTTCTTCTTCATGATTACAATCATTGAAATAATTTATAAATATTTTAGCATATGATCAAATGCATTTTGATCAGACTCATAAGTAGAAACTATTAATTGGTTAGATATAGTAGCTTATGCCTGTAATCTCAACATTCTGGGAGGCCGAAGCAGGAGGATCACTTGAGCCCAGGAGTTCAAGACCAGCCTGGGCAACATAGCAAGACCCCATTTCTGACAACAACAGTAAAATTAGCCAGGCTTGGTGTGCACCTGTAGTTCCAGCTACTTGGGAGGCTGAGGGAGGAGGATCACTGAGCCTGGGAGGTCAAGGCTGCAATGAGTCATGATTGTGCCACTGCAGCCCAGCGTGGGTGACAGAGTGAGATCCTGTCTGAAAAAGAAAATAAACTATTAGTAAGCAAAATGAATTGCCCTTATAATCAATATCACAGCTATTTTTAAGGAATAAATATTCTTCCCAATTTTAACTTTCTTTGGTCAGAAGGATGTACATTATCAGAAAATCTGAATAGTGGTTTCTAACCTCAAGTTTCATATGACTGGCATCTCTTTCCCCACAGATGGACTGCACACTGGGGTGGGAGAGGGTGTCAGGGTAGAGTAGGGGAGAGGGAATGCTGTATTCTGGCACTGTTTTAGACACAAACTGTGGCTTCTGCTCTTTAAGATTAAAAACCTTCTTACCCTGCCCTGCCATCTGCCTTCTTCATGCTTATTCTCTTTTTTTCCTCTCTCTATCTTCTTTTTTTTCTGATACTCCTTTCTCTTGTCCTGGCCAAAGTTGTGGTGATAAATAGGTGTGTCTAGTATGGAAAGATGGGGCAAATTTCAATATCTATTTTTTCCCCAACCTTCAGAAACACCAGAAACATTCACTTTTGTTTTCTCATCTCACTTTTAAAGTAGTAATCTGAAGATTTGCTTGTTATCTTTTCTGCCAGTTCATAACTTACACAGTAGTTACATTGAGTCCCGTTACATTAAGCTTACGTGGGAGCTTTTTTGGCTACCACATAATTGTCTTGGGAAATAATCTGTAGTTCTTAACATGGACTGTAAAAATCTAGTAAAGCTGGTTATCCTTGAATTTGAGTTAAGGTTTCAGCATTATCAAAGAGTAATATTTGGCCCTTGAAGATACCACCAAGTATTTCATGGATTGATTCTCATTCGTCATTGTCAACTGCTTATTGAACACCCAGAGTTCATAATATTGTACAAGAGAGCCTAGCACAGGGTCTTGAGCAAAAGATACAATAAATCCTGACAGCTTTTAAAGAGTGACTCACAAGCTGCAATCTATTAGGAAATGGCAGAAATCTAAAATATTTTTCTCTCCAAATAAGTCCACAGTGACAGTCCCAAGTGGTAATATAATTATATCATTAATTTTTGATGATGCTGCTTTCAAGTTAAGTAGAATCTCATAAATTTCATCTTAATTTGTAGGTGTAGGGGTGGGGTAAGGGGGGTGATGTATGTGAGAAAAGCGTGAGAAAATCTTCTGAAGAAAGAAAAACTCAATCAGCACAGTTGAGAATAAAATTAAGACCCACGTTTACTTTTTAAAAGGTCATTAAACAGTCTTTTGAGACTGGTTGGAAACTAGTTAATTCTTCTAGCAGTTGAAGGTTTAAAGCCCTAAAGCCATTTGTTAATACATCTATTTAAAGTGGGGGATGGAAACTACGACCAGGTTTTAAATACCTCCCAGGTAGCTTGTGCTCTGTGTGCCTAGGGGATGGGGAAGGGAGATGGAGAGGTGAAGGTAGGTAGACACCCAAGATGTTTATTTTATAATTAACAAGGCTATAGGAAGTTTTTTGAATCACTAACTGGGGAACCAGGCATTACACTTAGGCCTCTGCAGGGTAGGGCTTTGCGGGATAGGAGATTTAGTTCATTAATGGACCAGTAATCAGAGTGTGAGTGGTGGACATCACATTGGAGGGTCACATGGCCTAGATGGTGCTGAGCTGCTTCGAGCCCTGTATGATGTTGAAATCTTAAAATTCTGTATTCTTTATACTATACATTATATAGTTGTCCCTCGGTATCTGTGGGAGATTGGTTCCAGGACCCCCATGGCTACCCAAATCCACAGATGCTCAAGTCCCTTATACAAAATGGTGTGTGTATGTGTGTGTGTGTGTATTATTTGCATATAACAAACACACATCCTCCTCTATACTTTAAATCATCTCTAGATTACTTATAATACTGAATACAAGATAAATTATATATAAATAATTTTTATACAGTTTTTAAATTCGTATTATTTTATTGTTTTATTTTTTCAAATATTTTTCATCTCAGTTGGTTGAATCTGAGAATGCAGAACCTAGGGATAGAGTTCAGGCCTAGACACTAAAGTTGGTGATTCGCAGGCCAATGTTCTTTCCAGTAACCCACTAAATAGATACAGAGGCACATGCAATTCTCGATTCCATGTTCACAAGACTCTCTCAATATCCAGTTTCAGCTTCATCCACTTCTTAGCACCTGCACTTTTTCCTAACTGTGAAATTTATATGCATACAAGAAAAATACCTATAACCGAAAAAAACAGAATTTCTTTTTAAAATCTGGCTTGAGGCATCTACCAGGGTAGAATTTTAATCTCATTATGAAGCTATAACTTGTTGTGATCGAAGTGTATCTTAATGTGGTTATAACAGAGTAATATTCCTGTGTGATGAGATAATCTTAATTCACTGTAAAACATCTGTCTGTGTGCAGTACATTGTCTGCTGCTCTTGAGTATGAATATTGCTTCTCTAGGTAGAAATTTCAGCATCTCAATTTTCTGTCTGGCTTTTAAATTGTGTCTAATTAAAGGATTTCACATTCCTTCATAATATTGCCTTCTCAAGCAGAAATAAAACGACAGAACCACATTTTGTGTTTTTCTTATGAAAGAGGTTTTGTTAATATTTGGGTGGGTTATTTTGTCTGAAATATGTTAATTACTTTAATTAGCCTTTCTTCAAGAACAGCAGCTAGGAGTTGGTGGAATGAATCTGAGCTAGATTATTGTCATTCCAAACCCCCCCTTCCCTTTCGACTTTCCCCATCCTGCCCCATCTTTCCCATTACAAAAAGACCAGAGCTCAGGATCTTAGAAAGCCCTACTCACACATAATTGCTATCACATGGGTTATTTTTGAGATGGAAGCATAGATGCTACAAAAATAATATCCAATCATTTTATTAATCTCATAAAAAATGGTGAGGCTCCCAGAACAAGAGTACCTAGGAATCGTGAACACATAATACAGGATTCTAATCTTAATGAGCAAGGCCAAGTTGTTCTCTCATTTTTCCCCCCTATATATTCTTTCAGTCACCTACTTGGAAAAGAAAAGAAAAAATAACATTCTCTGTGAGGGTAGCACTGAGCAGCCAGGGGACAGTCAGCTTTTCAACTACCTTTATTGAAGCAGAAAATACCATGGGCTAAACTCCCTCCCCAGACATCAATCACTATTTTATGGAAATTAAAAAGGACCAACAATTTGTTTTGCACCCTGACATCTCATGGAAACCATTACATACTCCCCCCCCCTAAAATAAAGAGCTTCCTGATATGAATTCTGTCATCATTTCCACAGCAGCCTGTGCCCTATCGACTCTGGCCCTGCCTCCCATAAAAGCAGGCAAGGAAAAATGCCCACAATGCCAGGTCTCTATTCAAACTTTCCAGAGGCAGCAGGTCATTGCCCTCATTCCAGCTCTCAATGAAATACAGAGTTTGTATCTTACCCTCTTACAGACTCAATAAGCTGTTCACTAGGACAGTGCTTTTCAGACTTGACTATAACGCACATCATCTGGGGATCCTGTTTCAAAATGCAGATTCTGATTTAATACTTCAAGGGTAGGACTTGAAGTTGCAACCTCTCAATGAGGCTGATGCTGTTGGTTCATACACTGGACTTTGAGTAGCAGGAGTCTAGGACAGTGACTTTCAAAATGTGTTTATCATGACCCACAGTAAGAAATGCATTTTATATTATATAATACATTCATATACATGCATGTAATATGTGTGTGAATATGGATGTAAATTAATGTAAAACTGGGCAGTTTCATGGAAAAATTCTTACCTTAACCTGTAATATTTTCTAGACTAATTTTATTTCAATAGTTACCTTGATTGTGCTGGTAGTTATATGAACACATAGGATAAAATTGCACAGATCCATACATATACCCACTCATGAGTGAATGCATTATGGGTGAAATCTGAATAAGCTCTCAGGAGTGTACCAAAGTCAAGTTTCTGGTTTTGATATTGTACTATAGTTATGCAAGATGTTGGCATTGGGGGAGGTGGGATAAAATGTACGTGAGGTCTGTGTATTTCTTTGCAACTTGCTGTGAATAATAATTTTGAAATAAAATAATAATTCAAAATAAATTTCAATAATAATTTCAAAATAGAAAGTAAAAAAAAAGATAATAAATGCATTGGGACTTACAAAATTGGTTCCAAGACCACTAATGTACTGGGACTCAGTGTGAAAAACACTTCTTCAGGACATTATGAAACTTGATGGATTGGTTTCACCAGAGCACCTGCTATAAGTGGTTGAGACTGAGATGAGTTTTTAACTGGGATTAAAAGGCAGTGTGGTATGAGTGGAATGTGGAGACAAAGGGAGGAACATGGAAAGGGACTTTCCAAGGGCTCCTGGGTGGAGGGCAATGTTGCCCACAAATAGCACATTGCAGTGTTCACCTGTAGCCCACACCAGAGAGGGGAAGAAACATTCACGGGTGTCCACTGGCTGTCATCTGCCTCCTGACATTTCTAAATTTTCAGAGAGGAGCCCATCCAGAGTTTCTTGTTTTGTTGCATGTATTTTTTTTTAATTTTGTTTGTTTGTTTTGAGATGGAGTCTTGCTCTGTTGCCCTGGCTGGAGTGCAGTGGCGCAATCTTAGCTCACCGCAACCTCTGCCTCCTGGGTTCAAGTGATTCTCCTGCCTCAGCCTCCCAAGTAGCTGGGATTACAGGCCTGCACCACCATGCTCAGCTAATTTTTGTACTTTCAGTGGAGACGAGGTTTCACCATGTTGGCCAAGCTGGTCTCAAACTCCTGACCTCAAGTGATCCACCCGCCTTGGCCTTCCAAAGTGCTGGGATTACAAGCGTGAGCCACCGCACCCGGCCGTGTGTATTTTTTAAAGTTTGTGGTAATGCAGTCTAAACACAAGGCCCCCCGGGACTTGAACGAGATGTCAGGGGAGCAGGGAATCCGGAGAAACCTTAAAGCATGAGGAGTGGGAAACATTTGGATAAAAGTGAGCCTAGAAAATGGTCCAGGGTTGGAAAGGGCCATGAGTTTTAGCCCTAAATTCAGACCAAGGAATCTAGGAGGCAATTATATGCATTTAACTCATGAGGCAACAGCACTATGCAAATAACACAACTGTACAGTCTCGTTTTCCTCAGAGTAATACAAATCACAAGAAAAGTATGGAGGAAGGAAAAGCATATTCCTTGGCCAGAGGCTCATGAATGTAGGATGAATAAGAGGTATATCTTAGTTTAATAAACCACTACTGTAATGTCATAATGCTGAAAATATGAATCTACAACTGTTTCAAATTAACACCTACTTGATTTGTCTATATATAAGAATGAACTTATACCATTTTCTTAAGGCTTCCTTTTTGTTATTCACTTCATTTTTGCTAAGATGCATATTCCTTTTCTAACTAGATAATTCCGAAGCATTATTTTTGCTCTTGTAATCCAATTGCAGGTAAATCAGAGATATCTGCAAAGTCTAATTTAGAAGAGAAGGCTTTCTCTGCATGGCATAATAATTCATTTCAATTAGCATGATGAAACAAACTGCAGAGCCATTTTTCACTGAAAATGTTGTGGTGGAGTTCAGGGAAATATTAAAGATGTTTCTAGAAGCACAAACAAGCTTACACATGCATTTAGTTGCCCTAAGGAAAAAGGGAAGATTACAAATTATCTCATCACACAGATAAGAATGCTCTGTCCTTTTCAGCACTTTAGGTGAAACGGGATCATATCTGGCTTATTTATAGTCACTCAATGTATGATCCCAGGACATGTCCCATAAAAATATCCCTTTTATTTGCATTATTCTTCTTTAATGCACTTATCTAAGAAAACGATGAAATAGAGACTATTGTGGGTTTTAATAAAAATATGATAGACAGAAAAATATCCATAGGAGCAAATATTGCTTCCAGGAACTGAAGGATGTTGAATAAAACTGATATAATTAAGGGTTACCAAGAAGTTCTGATACAAGCTTAAGGGGATTTCAAATTTTGCAAATAAGAATTGTAGGGGGAAAAATCAATCTATTTAAGATAGGGTTTGTTTTGTATGTGAATGTAGGCGTTTGTGGAGATTGAACGTGTACTGCCAACTGACTTGTGACAAACTAAAGAATGCAGTAGTGAGGGAGGAAAGAAGAGCTATAAAACTAATTGGGGTCCAACATGTTTTGGGCTGCATTTAATTTTCTTGAGGGGAAAAGAGGTCAAGAATGGAATGAAGTCAATGAGAACTGGAATAAGACTCACTGGAAAAAGTAAAAAAGCAAAATGGCCAACATTGAAAGGTCAGTGAATATCCTAGAGACAGGAAATGAATTTCAAACAAAATAGAAGGCAGTATTTCTATCTGTGTTTGAGAGTTGCTAAAATTGCTATTTAAAAGGGCGACTTAAATCACCAGGTGCTGTTTGCACAGAATCTAATTTTGGTGTATTTAATTCATTAGAAATATTAAGAACATAGATGTTTTGCACTGGGCAATAAAATAAATATTTAAACCCATATTAAAACTGTTACTATTTACCAATACTTAGTTACTGTTTTATTATAATGTCTTTTCTTGGGAGGAAAAAAAACCCTCAGTCTTCTCTCCCAAGAAGTCTTCATCATGACAGTGCTATTAATATAAAACTTTACCCAAAAGTGTGAAATCAAATAAATTCCTTCTTTTGTTAAAAAGGTGCAACTGTCAGTCAATATCATTGGGATTGATCATTTACATGTAGCATTTTAAACAGGCATAATTTGATTGCAAGGTTGTTAGATGCCCTTATGTATCCACTGTCTCAAGCTGTAGCTCTGACTGAATAAAGCAAATTCTGGATTAGCATCCAAATGCTTTCCAAAGTAAAATCAAAGCAAATAATTGCTACTTGGAACTGCCACACCTAAGCGCATCGTTTGAGTCTACAAAGCCTGATTTGTAGAAATAAATGTTCATGGTTTTACTGAAGGTTAATAATAATTAGAATGAACAACAATTGTTAGGAGAGTTTCTCTTCTCAAGGAGGCATTCATAACTGTGATGTATTGATGTCCTTGTCTCCTGGCTTCCTGTCTGATGCTGTGAGATTCTGGGAAAGACCATATGATGTGGCAGGATGATGCTGGGGCAACAGACAGAGTAGGCAGGCTTGTAAAACTCAAACAGGTCGCCAACAAACCCGCTGTTGTGCCTAGAGCTTCCAGTAACATGCACATTCTCTTTTTTCTCTAAGCATTCTGTTAAGCCTTTCCTCATATATCACCATTGCATGTAAATATTTAGACTGGCCCTTTTTGGCACTATACACCTATGTTATGCTTTTAAAACTGTGACTTGTCCTCTTCCACCCACTTGTGGGAAAGACTGTTTTGCCTACATTTTCCCCCAGTCACACGTATTCTGAATGTTTTTGGCATTTCTGCTTGGCTCTGCAATGGAGTATTACCAAGCCTTTCTTCCCCCTCCCTTTAAGTAAAGGAATGAATTGGAGTATGTGTTATACTTTGCTGTCTTGGCAAGAAAGGAGGAGGATCAGAAAGGAGCCCAATATGTTCTTTGTCCATGCATGTGGTGCTCCTAGCCCTGTTTCCAGAGGCTATATAGAAAGCTTGGATAGGCTATGGCTTCAATCATATACTGGCTCTGGTGGTATTCACTATAAAGATATATACCCCAAACCCTCTCAGGGAGCTTAAAGGCAGCAATCTGATTCTCCATGGGACTAAGGGGCTTGCCTTGAAGCTATATTTGTCCCACAAATGTGTTTCGCTTTGATTGTATGTTTATTTGGGAAAAATGATGGGGTTTAGAATTACAGACCCACAGATTTCCCCTCCCCACCATCACCACTACAAAATAGACTCCTTTCCCCCAAAATTTGGCCATCAGAAAAACCTGACATGTATTTCTCCATAAGGTAATTGAACTATGAAAGTGCAATATATGTTTACAAACTATATATATATTTTTTTCCCTTTGGTCTTTTGTTAAGCACATGAATAGCAACCAGAAAAAAAAAAAACCTTAAAAATCAGCAGGGTAGCACTAGCTGGAATGTAATTTTACAAAACCTGGCCATCTTTCAAAAAGAGTGGGTGGATTTTTAGCGCTACAAATGTTTGTGTATTATAAAGTATTTGCCATGGTGACAAAGCTGGGAGAAACATCCCATTAGCCACAGACGGGCTACAGACTGTTCTGATTATCCATGTCCAAAACTCAGTCTGGCTACAGCTTTGTGTTATTTTCAGCATTTATAAGTGCTCCATTTTTTCAACATACTAACCTACAACTTAGTAAATATGGATGTATGTAAGCCTTTAATATAAAGTTACATTGAAGCATGTTCTCAGGGCTTGTTCATGTAACCTATGTAAAGATTATGTGTTTATTATGTAAAATGGATGTGTTTACACTGTTAAAAGTAATAAGCTTTAAAAGAATGAAAGACTTGTGAAAAGTATCCTGGAGCACTTATTAAAAATAAAATGGTCATGCAGAGAAAACATGAAGCAGAGGTAATGAAGTGACTGCCCTAATTTATTTGCAGACATTTCTGACTATTGATTTCAGTTTTAAAAGTTATAGCCTCTGTTTTAAAAAGTGGCTTTCACCTCATGTGCATGAGCAGAAATGTGAAGGCATGGGGAGAAATGTGAATTATAAATAGCCAGGAGAAACTATGCCACTGCATGTAAAGAATCCACACTCTTCCTCTTCCTAACATTTCTCTGCCAAAGAAAACATGGGGAAAATGTTAATGACTCATTTTTGCCCCTTTTTTGGGGGAGAATGTTTATAAGCAAATGATGTTTTATGTAGTGGAATGAATAGCCCCACAATAACACCTAGTATCAGACAGAAAATTGCTTTGAAGTTACCCATGGCTGCACAAGGTAGAAGTCAGGCCGAAGAAAGAAAAAAAGACAAATAAATAAATAAATAAATAAAGCTTTAAGGTCATATAAAGGTTAAAGAAAATAGGCCACAGAAAATTAATTCTTATCATCTGAGTAGCAATGCTCCAAATTGAACCACAGTGGCAGCTAGAACTATCTGAAAATTTAGTGAAAAGACCTTACACAATTTATTCTGCAACTGCAACTCTTCAAACTTTTCCGTACTTTTCTGGGTGATTTTTAGTGGGGATGGCACTGATGTTTCTTTCTCGTATAAACAAGGAAGAAATTCTAATTTACCTGTTTATTGTTTGGTCTTTCAAGCCAGGTTATATAGCAGATCGCTTCACTAAACAGGACTGAAGAGAGAAACATTTTAATGAGGAGGTAAAATGCCTGCTACAGGTATTTTGAGCAAATAAAGTTTTGCTGACTCCTTCCAAAAATTGTGTTTTCTTGATGCATTTTGAAAAGTACTAAGTACTAATTCAAGTGCACATTTGTGTAAATGGAACAGTTGTTTCAATAAAATATAATGAGCTTTTCATATTCCCCAAATATGCTCATGTTCAAAAGATGATTTATCAATACATTACACAATTTTGGAAGAGGCAAATTAAAGAACCTTAGTTTTAAAGGACAAAGGATTCTAAGGTCTTATTTGTAGGGTACTGAATAGGATTGTATTAAACATTGCTACTCCTAATTCCAAGGTTAGTCTGTGTTTTGAGGACTGATTCTAATACTAGTTTAATTTGTTCTTGCCAATCAGCTAAGCAGTGGATTTCAGCACTTAAAGCAACCCCAGTTCCTAACACTGTTAAGCAATCTTCATGACCAAAGAGTCTGTCTATAGTCAGCATCGGGGTGGGCATCTGGGGCAGTCCTTTATTGAATATTTCACAATTGTCATTTGTTTCTACCCTGCATTTGCTTTAGAGTTCACATTTGGCATTTTCCCAAAGCTAATCTGGACCACTGTCTTTCAAACTTGAGCTGAGATGTTCATCGGGTCTTTCTCTATTATATTTTGCTCATGACTAAATAAAACAAGACAGACATAAAAGCCTAAATTCTTGACACATCTTTTATAATGGCAAATTTTCATATTTAAAGAATGCCTTGTACATATTTGTGTTTCAATGGAGCCCTATGCATCTGTTACTTATTTTGGAGCAGCAGCTATCACATATGCAAAAGTCTTTTGCAGATAAATTACTGTATTTCAATCTAAAATTACACATAAAGGATTTAATTCTTTAGAAGAAAATTCCTTACACAGTCATCACAAAAAGATCACAAAGGAAACAGCATCACACTGTGTGTACATAAATATGTGACCAGTTACTGTAGTCATTGGTACAGTAATAGTATGCATGCTTGCTTTATTTGAATGCACAAATGCAGAGCAATATCCATTAAGGGTATAGACAAACAAATGCTTCCTATTTGCTGTACAACTGAAGGCCTAGGATTTATATAGGTTCCAACTTGGAAAGTGCATATAGTACGCACTTCATCTCACAACTTCTCTCCCAAGGCTCTGTGAGCATCAACAGAAAGACACTTGCAGGAACTCTTCCTCTGCATTTGCATTTGTTGCCCGGCCTGCTTCTTTGCCCCTCCCTCCCACCCAATAAGTAGAGCACTATATGCATACCACCCAAAGGCCAACTTTTCAACCCAAAGAAAAAATGTTAATCCCTGGAAGGAATAGCACTGGAAGACCACTCCATCCCTTCTCGCTACTCCCATGAGAAGAGGAGGAAGGGTCTCATCAGCCTCTGATTGGTGGAACTGGGAGACAGGGTGATACTCCTCACTAGAGATCCATCCTCTTTGATGCTGTCTGGACCTGGCTGCCCACAAACAACCCACATTTTCCTTTTTACTTCCTGCCACCTTGTCTGAACCAGAGCAGCTGCTCTGCCCACCACCAGACAATGTCAATTCAAGGTGGGTGGAGAGGATGTAAAGCCTATTGGTCTTAGATCCAAGATATGTTCTCCAACCCATTACTAGCAAGAAAGGCCATTTTTTATTCCTGTCTGACCTCTATTATCTACTTCTCAAAGTAGTTCAGAACTCAGAGAAGAGTTAAGTTTTCTGGGGTCTTGAAAACACCAACTTCCCTTTAGCAATTATCTTACTGTAGTTTAATATTTGATTGGCCATACGCCTTTGTGCTAGAGCATAAGCAATTTGAGAGTAAAATCTAGTTCTTTTTATCTTTGTAAGCCCTGACCTAACACAGAGTAGCATTAATGTTGTTTCCACCCATCAATCATTACACTAATATCTAATAAAATAGTAATAAAATGATAACCTGGTTTTAAAAGACTTCACTCAAGCAATTACATAAGCTGCATTTGTAGGTATAAAATTATTACCTGGGGTAAAGTGCCATATTATTGACTGATTTGATCTAATGAATATTACAAGTAGACTGAAGTGTGAGTACTTAGTTCGGGCTGCTATCACCAAACACCAAAGACTGGGTGGCTTGTATGCAACATATTTATTTCTCACAGTTCTAGAGGCCGAAAGTCTGAGATCAGGGGATACCAGTCTGAGATCAAGGTCTAGTGAGGGCCCTCTTTCTTGTTGCAGACTGTCAACTTTTCATTGTATCCTCACATGGCAGAAAGATGACTCTCTGTGGCCTACTTTATAAGGGCACTAATCCCATTCATGAGGGCTCTATCCTCATGACCTAATTACCACCCAAAGTCCCCACCTCCTAATACTATTACCCTGGGGGGTTAGGACTTCAACATATGTATTTGCAGGAGGACCCAAACATTCAGTCCACAACTATCTCCCTCCTGCTGTTCTCCCTAATCTACATTAGAATACACAATTCTAATGTATTATGTGTGTATGAATGAGGGCATTGGATATTAGGGATGCCTTACTTTTCTTTTTTAAATTGTTTAAAATTTTACTTTAACTTCTGGGATACATGTACAGAATGTGCAGGTTTGTTACATAGGTATACATGTGCCATGGTGGTTTGCTGCACCTATCAATCCATCATCTAGGTTTTAAGCTCCGCATGCATTAGGTGTTTGTACTAATGCTCTTTCTCCCCTTAGCCCCCACCCACTGACAGGCCTCAGTGTGTGTTGTTCCCCTCCCTGTGTCCATGTGTTCTCCTTGTTCAACTCCCACTTATGAGTGAGAACTTGTGGTGTTTGGTTTTCTGTTCCCGTATTAGTTTGCTGAGAATGATGGCTTCCAGCTTCATCCATGTCCCTGCAAAGGACATGGTCTCATTCTTTTTTATGGCTGCATAGTATTCCATGGTGTTTATGTGCCACATTTTCTTTATCCAGTCTATCACTAATGGGCATTTGGGTTCATTCCAAGTCTTTGCTTTCATAAATAGTGCTGCAATAAACATATGTGTGCATGTATCTTTATAGTAGAATGATTTATAATCCTTTGGGTATATACCCAGCAATGGGATTGCTGGGTCAAATGGTATTTCTGGTTCTAGATCCTTGAGGAATCGCCACACTGTCTTCCCCAATGGTTGAATTAATTGACACTCCCACCAAGAATATAAAAGCGTTCCTATATCTCCACAGCCTTGTCAGCATCTGTTGTTTCCTGACTTTTTAATAATTGCTATTCTGACTGTCACGAGATGGTATCTCATTGTGGTTTTGATTTGCATTTCTCTAATGATCAGTGATGATGAGCTTTTTTTCATATGTTTGTTGGCCGCATATATGTCTTCTTTTGAGAAATGTCTGCTCATATACTTTGCCCACTTTTTGATGGGGTTTTTTTTTCTTGTAAATTTGTTTAAGTTCCTTGTAGATTCTGGATATTAGGCTTTTGTCAGATGTGTAGATTGCAAAAATTTTCTTCCATTCTGTAGGTTGCCTGTTCACTCTGATGCTAGTTTCTTTTGCTATGCTGAAGCTCTTTAGTTTAATTGGATCCCATTTGTCAATTTTGGCATTTGTGGAAATTGCTTTTGGTGTTTTAGTCATAAAGTCTTTGCCCGTGCCTATGTTGTAAATGGTATTGCCTAGGTTTTCTTCTAGGGTTTTTATGGTTTGGGGTTTTACATTTACATCTTTAATCCATCTTGAGTTAATTTTTGCATAAGGCGTAAGGAAGGGGTCCAGTTTCAATTTTCTTCATATGGCTAGCCAGTTTTTCCCAGCACCATTTATTAAATAGGGAGTCCTTTCCCCATTGCTTGTTTTTGTCAGGTTTGTTGAAGGTTTGCACAAAATCAATGTGCAAAAATCATAAGTGTTCCTAGATAGCAACAATAGACAAGTAAAGAGCCAAATCATTAATGAACTCCCATTCACAGTTGCTACAAGGAGAATAAGATACTTAGGATTACAACTTACAAAGGATGTGAAGGACGTCTTCAAGGAGAACTACAAACCACTGCTCAAGGAAATAAGAGAGGAAACAAATGGGAAAACATTCCATGCTCATGGATAAGAAGAATCAATATCGTGAAAATGGCCATACTGCCCAAAGTAATTTATGGATTCAATGCTATTCCCATCAAGCTACCATTGACTTTCTTCACAGAATTAGAAAAAAAAAAAAACTACTTTAAATTTCATATGGAACCAAAAAAGAGCCCGTATAGCCAAGACAATCCTAAGCAAAAAGAAGAAAGCTGGAGGCATCCCGCTACCTGACTTCAAACTATACTACAAGGCTACAGTAGCCTTACTTTTCAACTAGTCACTCTGAAGATTGAGTAAGGTATCAAGTATATAAATATCTCTTATATCAGGAATCTCCAATCTTTTCCTGAAGAATAATACTTGGTTATTTCCATAAAATGGTTGTGATGATTCAGAACCCAAGCACTGAGCTGGATGCTGCTTTCCTGTTTCCATCTTCACAAGAAGGGAAGCCCCAGGAGCAAGATGATGCATATCTCTGAAAGTCTTCATGATCCTGGTGGAATTTCCTGAAGTTATATACACAGCTTGAAAATTTTCTTGACACAAAATTTAAGTCATGCTAAATACTTTGTCTGTAAGTATATGTGGCATTGTGTATGGACCAATTCAAGCAAGTAGTTCTTAGTAATAAGCATTAAGTAGTCATAACCTAACTAGAAAACTTAATTTTAGAGTCATTATAAGACAAACAGGAGAGTGGTCCACATGAAAGAAATGAAACCAACATAGATTATAAGATCCAGAGATTGTTGAGCAACACAGTTCCCTTTTTGCTTCACCTAGCCATGGATGAATATCCATCTTCCAATTTGTTGTTGTTGTTTTCAGGGTTTACATGTTTCTGATAACAGGTGCTCGTCGTCATGTGCTTTTATCATTATGCATTCCCGTGATGCTCACATTTTCTTTCAGATAATTATAGCAATCAGCAATTAATTTTTTTCTTTCCAAGAGAGACTATGAAATAAACCTTAAAACCTATTAACACCAATACTTTATTTTATCCTATGGATTGTTTGCATAATCCACTAAACTAATCCACTAATCCACTAAACTAAGTCAAATCTCTTCAAATAACTTGTCTCTAGCCATCTTATTAGAAGCAAGAATAAATTTAGTTAGACAGCTTCTGGGTGGAAGAAAGGATGGGGAAAGTAGAGGTGTTTACCTAAAGTGAAACAGGATAAAGAAGGTTTAGGAGGAGGTGGGAGAAAGAGAATGAGAATCAAAGAAGAGGTAATAGTATATCAGTCTTTGGAGACAGGAAGATGAAAGAGGGAGGCAGAGGGTTGGGAGGCAGACCAGGGACAAGGACAGGGAACACTGAGAATATGACCCTATTGTGATTGGGGAGGGTTTTAGGATTGGCTGACACTGGTGTTCCAAATAGAATGAGCCATAGGTCACTTCAAAGCTGCATCAGCAAATGTCCCTCTTCACCCACCTCCATGTTGATGCAAGATACAACTCCAACTGAGGGAGAATATATAAACCAACTTCTTTGGATTTCAAACAAGATGTCCCTTTGCTGTCTGATATTGAAAGTATATACATCTGGTTTCAATATAAAACATATCTGCACCCTACACACTTGTCAGAGAGCTTAACCTGGCCCACTGTGTACAATTTTATTGTATTTCATTTCAAGGTAATTTCAGGAATAAGTAGGATATAAATTACCATAAATAACACAAACTTAAAACACAGATCCTCCCTCCTGCTTTAGGATTGGTGCACTATTAGATAACCCTGGATCAAATAGAAAATATTCCTTGTACTTTCTTTGCTCTGCTTAAGAAGGCAAAAAACTGTTGTATATTTTAGATTTTAATCCAGACACTTCACTTAAAATATAAAAGTATTGGCATGAAAAAGTGTCAGCTCTGGAAAACGTGTCTATGTGGGACACCTCATTCCCCAGCAATGTTAGCTAAATGATGTGCCGCTATAAGAAGCAATGATGCATGACATCAAAGAGAGTTGGACCCACCACATTTCATCACACTTTCTCTGGCATTCCAGAAGACCTCCTTGTTCTGCCTTCTTTACCACTGCTGCAAGAACTGAATCAAATATCCGGACCTTCCCCTGACAACTGAATTGATAACATTTTGATTTTTGAATTTCCATTAGAAATAATGCATGGCTACATGGCAAGAGAAAAGAAAGCAATAATGTGAAAAGCTTAGATACACCATGACATTATCATTTTATATAAATGTACTTACATTTTAAAATAGATAGTAATGAGTCATTAGAGGAAAGATATTGTATCTTTGTATTACAGTGCTACTGAGCTTAATGCTGAATGTCTCTTCAGCAGCCATAGATAGAAAGGGAGAGGGTAGGGTTGCTCCTCACTGACCTCTCAGGCATTATTCAGGACTATAGCCACATCATGCAAATATTTAATCAGTTCCTGAAAATTGTCAGCAAGAGGCAGTTAGAGAGAGGCAGCATTCTTCATTTATTACTGGCACTGCTGTAATAGTACTGAAGAAAGATAGAGGGGCACTCTAATCCCCTGTCCCTCAGCTAGACAACTGAAAATTCTTACTCTATCAGCAAAATGTGTCTATCAAAATCAAGACATAAGGTCTCGAAGACCATTTCATTTGAGAAAACATGAAATGGGACTAAATGGTGGGCACACGGTCTTGAAATAAAAGGTTACTTTTGATCCAGGGAGGGAGAAAAGATTGACCTCAAATGATCCTATGTCCAGGGAAGCCAATTTTAAACCCTGCAGTATTTATATTATAACTTCCAAAAAAATTTTAATCTGAATTTCTGCAAAATTAACATTAATGGAATACTGAATTTGTATGAGAATGAAACTAATCTCAAAGAAAATTATGTTTAAAAACCATTTTGAGAGAGAAATTATCATGTTTTGCTCTACAGGGAAAGGATTCGTGTTGACAAGTCAAACAAAAAGGAGGATGGGAACCAGTTGTCCAGGGAGTAGCAGGGCCAGGGCCTCTGAGCCCGCTGGCCGGCAGAGCAGGCAGTGCCCCCTGCAGGCCTGACTTCCTAAGAGTAGCTCATCAGAAATTAAGGACCTCACATAACTAATTGGGAAGCCAGCCAGCCCGGATTAGTCCACATCTAAGCATAGGCATCCCATCCAAGGTAGACTTCTGGAAGAGGCTCCAGAAAGGGCCAAAGATGGCTTACAAAGAGATTTTGCTGCCCACCTGGTTGTAAATGTCTTTTTGTTTTTTTTGTGGTGTTGACATAGCAAGGCTCCCAAACAGTACCCTCACAATGGTTTTTCCATACTGTCCAGGACACCTCCTTCAGACAAACATGGAAAACATGAGAGTATTCCAAATAATTACAGAGGCTCCATCCTCAGGGCCCCTCCCCATCATGGGCATCTTGCAGGTGTGGGCAACAGCACTGGATAACCCCTGTCAGGGAATGGAGGAGGAAGGCAGGGCTGTGCAAAAATGGAGTTTTGCAACCCAGAGATCCCTGTTGATTATAGATCCATAAACTCAGACAAGTCACTTAAGAATAAAGTCAGTGCCAGTTGATGACTGCTGCCCCAGAATAATTGTAAATAGTGCTTCCTTACTCTAAAATATCCCAGTTTGGGTTCTGTATTAATACATGGGTACTCTATGACAAACATCATTTACAAAAAAGTAATCTTCTGATTTTTTTTAATGTCTGTTTGTAGAAACACAATATAGATAGCCATAATATAGGCTCTGTTCAGTAAAGAATCAGTTCTGATAAATTGGCAATGAGAGATAGAGTATTATGAGAGGCAATGAGAGGCAGAGTATATGTTGACTCTTTAAAAATTGCTATCTTGATTTCTTCATTTTTGTGTGGGCAGTGGTGATGGCAGCAGGATGGGTGGTATGTGTGCGTGTGGAGGAAATTGTTAATACCTCTTAAAAGGCCTTTAGAAGGTCTTCTAAGTAAAGACGTCATACAATGTAGTATTATTATAACTTGTTGGAATTGATTTAAAAGGCTTAACAAGCAATAATATAGAGTCATTTGAAAAGTCTATGAGCAGAAGAACGACCAGGGACATGGGTGGAGTGGGTAAATTTCTGAATGGCAGTCAGATCACCTCTTCTGTCTAGGAAGAACATAGAACTGATCTGTGTGGGACAAAAAGCACTTGCATAATGAAGCCAAAACCCAATAGGAAAATCAGGACACCACAAGGAGCTCAAAGTTTTGTTTTGCTTTTGTTCTTTAATCAAGGGAGTGGCAGCTAGTTTGATGGAAGCATTTTTGTGTTAGAACATTGTGGCAAGGGAGAGAAACCTTAATTTCTGTAATTCTTTACCAAGAACTCCTTGCTTTGTCTTTAAAAGTGGGTTAAGCTAATTGTCTTGCCAGGGATTATTGGAGAGAGTCAATGGTGGGTGTGTTAAGAGCCTGGAAGCAAAATGTGAGTACTGTCCCCGGAAGGAGAGAGGTGGGATAACCACTGGGCTGCTTCAGGGTCTTGCTGCAATCTCTTTAACATCCACAGGTCATTCCGAAAATCAGAGTCAGCATGCAGCATGGAAACCACTTCACAACACTTGTTTTATTTCCCCTTTTTTTGGTCCATTGCTGAAAAATGCATGAAAATCTTGTAAACTATAATGTAAGAGGGCCCCAAATCATGGTGATTTTGTACCTCTTAATTCAAGAGGTAAGAGTGAGCCCAACAAGGGCAGCTCGAGAGTGGAAGGCGGGAGGCCCCATTTATTTTCTTGTAATGGCTCCAGCCTAAGTTGCCTTTTATCCACTTAGGCCCACACGATAAGTTCACTCTGGAAATCTCTTCAGCGTGGCTGCGTGCAGATGTAATCGGACCTGCTCTGGGTCGTCCTAATTGCAAACACATTTCTCTCCCTCTGCGGCCATTCCTAAGCAGGCAGTGGTCAGAGCCTTGCCAGGGTTTTCTGGCATCTTCTTCCTGCTTTGTTTCCAAATCTGCATTTTTCTTTGAGAAAAGACGTATGAGAGATTATAAACAGGATAATTATATGGCAATATGATTTTCAATGCACGCTTTCCTTGCAGATTATTTTGAATGTGTAGGGGTTTGTTTTGGTGTGTTTTTTTCCCTCTCTGCCTGTGAGTCAGGGAGATAAAATGTTGTTTTGAAAGTGCAGTATATGGATCCACTAGAAACCTCCTACAATGTTGTTTAGACAAATGGTGAAAGATTATTCAGGGATGAAGCAAACAAAAAGGAGAAAAGGGAGGAAAGAGTAGGCACACAGGTCTCTGTCATTTGGCTCCCATCACTGAGGGTGTGGGGTCTGTCCCTGTTCTCCATTCTAGAACAGCATGGAGAAGGAAAGAAAACTGTTCATAATTACAGCTACAAATTCAGAGTATTACTACAAAGCTATCGATTCTGAAAGGACAGTGTTCTGGTTGAGGAGGTTGAATGTGATTCTTTGAAAGAACACATCCTTCTGTGCTACCCCTATGCTTCATTAAATTTTCCACCGCAGTTTGTAAAATCAGATGGCCCTGAATCTGAAGATGGGATGGGGTAATGTTAAACACATGCTCATCCTTCAAGTCGCATGCATAGACACAGCACATTTATTTATTTTTGGTGCATAAAATCATATAATTTGTGTCTATTTGAGGTAAGGGGTACATCAGGGCCCACACTGATGGCCACACAGGTTGCTTGGCACAGCTCCAGGCATGCGGACTATGGTGTGTAATTGCTGCCCCTGGAGCTCCACAGCAAGAAAGCCCCAGGACAGTACTGTTTCTCATTGACATTTTGTCTCCTATGCCTAGCATGCTTCCTCCAGTGGCACATACCAGGTAGTCATTCAGTTTTGTTGGATATATTGCCAATGTGCTTCCAGAAGATTGAACTTGTTAATAATCAAAGTATAGCCAGGTGTGGTTACATGTGCCTGTAGTCTCAGCTACTAGGGATGCTGAGGTGGGAGGATCCCTTGAGCCCAGTAGTTCAAGGCTGCAGTGAGCTTTGATTGTGCCACTGTACTCCACCCTGAGTGACAGAACAAGACAAAAGAAAGAAATAAAATAAAGATCAAAGTACTACTGTAAAACAAACTATTGATTCCTTCTCCCAACAGCTAGAGATGCAGGGATAAAGAAAGCTCCATCCTGCTCTAGGAAGCTACAGTTTTGTGGGAGGAACATGTTTACAGGAAGTATATGAACAGCACAGAGGGGTCACAGAAGGAAAGTCAGGAATGCAAACTCTGCGTTCTATAGTCCCAAATATCAAAGAAAACAATGCCAGTGTCTGATCTGTGTCATTTCCCTCATTTTCAGTGGGAGAGGGGAATGAAATATTGGAGCATAAGGATTACTCCAGATATATTAGAATCTGTTTTAGTTTCAAGTATTGGAAACCACCATAACCTCTTAGGTCTCTCCTTCAAATATAACATATTCCCTTTCTGAAGAATTCTTCCTTCAGATATTGTGGAATGACTTCATGTTACAGTCAGGCAATCCTATGCCGATGCTTATTAGCTATGTGACCTTGAAAACATTACTTATTATGGTGATTTCTTCCCTATAAAATGGAAATAATATATATCAAATGACCACAGATGTCATTCCTTCTCCTACATCTCCCACCTGGAGGTACACTTTGCAAGGTGAAGTTTTTGTAAATAACCAACTTAATATGGAGAATGGTTAGTAACCATCAAGTATGAGCAAATGCTGCAAGGATCCTCAGATGGCTACTAGTTTGCCTCTTAATCATCTCAAGCCTAAACAATAGCACTACTGTTTCTCTTCCAAGACCTTCCTAAGGGAAAGACATAGAAGGTATGGAGTGAGACTCAAAAACTTGGAATATCAATGGTATAACCGTATCTTTTCCAAATGAGAAGAATACTGTCTCCAGCAGTATTCTTTATGCACTCCATTCATAACATTAGTAAGGCAAATCTTTCACAGGTTATTTTTAAAATTCAATATATTAAATGTTTATTTTTTTCAGGACTCCTCTCATTGTATCTTTATTTTAAAAGTTCTTGACTACTGTGTCTAATTTCAATCTAGAGGCAATTAAAGTCTTGCTGAAAAGAACATTTCAGGAAAGTGTATTTGAAAGAAACACATGAAAGATGGTCAGCAATCTCTCTATTAGTCCCACAGCTAGAACCAGTAAGAAAAATCAATGACATTTTAGTTGATTTCCAAGACTCATTTACAACAATTCAGTTGAACTTATAAATTTCTTCCTAGAAAATTTTACTGATGGCTGCTAAATAAGAAATTCCATTTCTTGGTCTTCTGGTTATGCTAGTAATTATCATCAATATGCACCCCCCATAAAACAGAGTAGGAAGAAAAATTAGAGCTTTATGTAATTAGATACTGGTTAATACAATGGCACAGTAGTTTAGCTGTGGCTAATTCTACAATTAATTCTAGATTATCCATCCATAGATAATGCATAAGGCAGTAATCATATAGCATCTATGGAGCGACATCTGCTTCAGTAAGTACTGAGAAACAAAGATAAATAAGATCATAACCTCATAACCTACCTGGACATTTTTCTCACTACTGTATCTGCAGTACTGAGAAGAGCATTTAGTGCATTACAGATTTTCAATAGATGTTTGTTGAGTGAATAAAGAAATGACAACATATATCTCTCTTTCCAGAAAACCACTGTCTAGGTGGGGAAACTGGTGTGTATACCATTAATTCAATGCTTCACTGACCGTGGTGGCCTCCCTCAGCCAGCCCCTCATCATGATCTCCAGACTTCCTTTCAACCACCTTATGAAGTTCTTTTTTGATTACAGAGTAAAGTGCAAGGAGATTCAAAGTAACAGAAATCCGGTTTTAATTTTTGGTTCCATTACTAGCTGTATAACTTTAGAAAAATTATTTGCCATATTTTATCTTTAGTGTTTGATGTATCAAATGAAGGTAATAATACTTGCCATGTAGGGCAGCTTGATAAGAAAAACACATCTATAGGAGGAGAATTAAATGTCATTGTATAAAACCTCCAGTCCAGAGCTGGGCGCAGTGGCACCCACCTATAGTCCCAGCTACTTGGGAGGCTGAGGCAGGAGGATCTCTTGAGTCCAGGAGTTCAAGGCCAGCCTAAGCAACATAGTGAAACCCTGTCTCTAAAAACAACAACAATTACAACTCAGCTCAGGGCTTGTTACATAGTAATCACTTAAGTAACTGTAAATTTATTTTTGATCCCTCCTCTTCTTCCTCCCCGGCATCCTCCATCAGACTGCATCAGCCTTGCCTCTGCATTACTGCCCTGCTAATCACTCTAAACCAGTGGTTGTCTAGCCTGGCTGATTTCAGAATCACCAGGGCCCAGCCCAGACCTATAGAATTAGCATCTCCTGAGGATGTCTAGAAACCTATAGAAGGCGCACTCTCACTCCAGGTGATTCTGATAATAAATTGTGCCTGGGAACCTCTGCTCTCCATCAATGGGATGTTCCTTAGGGCAGTGCTTCTTATATTTTGGTGAGCGTCAGAATCAGCTAGAGGGTTTGTTAAAGCATAGATTGCTAAACCTACCCCTAGAGTTTCTGATTCACTAGGTGTATTAGTCCATTCTCATGCTGCTAATAAAGACATACTGAAACCAGGTATTACATGGCAGCAGGCAAGAGGACATGTTCAGGGGAACTCCCCTTTATAAAACTGTCAGATCTCATGAGACTTATTCACTATCATGAGAACAACATGGGAAAAACCATCCCCATGATTCAATTACCTCCCACCAGGTCCCTCCCGTGGCACACGGGAATTATGGGAGCTACAATTCAATATGAGATTTGGGTGGGGACACAGAAAAACCATAACAGTAGGTGTGCAGTAGAGCCTAAGAATCTGCATTTATAACAAGTTTCCAGGAGATGCTCATGCTGCTGGTCCAGGGACCACAGTTTGAGGTCTTGTTTAAGGTCTTGCTACTAAAGTGTGATGCACTAACCAGCAACATCACTGGGGAGCACCTTAAAAATGCAGGACCACGTGCCCCATCCCAGATTTACATTAAAGTTTGAGAACACAAATGTAAGGAAGAGCTTCACAAAGGAAGCTTTTAAAATGCAGATTCCTGGGCTTCATACACTAAAGATTGTGTATGAATAGGGTTCAGGAATCTACATCTTAATAATCTCCCCCATGACATTCAGATGCATGAAATTCCTGAGCCAAGAAAAGCCACACCAAGAAAAGCACTGCTCAAGAGATTGCAACAGCAGTTTGTTAGCTACAGAATCAATACAGGTGCTTACTACTGAGTATGCGACTTAGAGCCTAGCCAGACTTGCTAGCTGTCTTGCTATAGCAAGGGTCCTACCAACCAGCTAGACACATTGGACTTACTGTATTTCTAGGTATCCATCAGAGATTGTGTGTGCTTCCCAGTAATCTAATCATGACCTGTTAGAATAAGATAAGGATTGAAATGGATTCTTTTTGAAGACAGATGCCAAGTAGAAGAATGTCTAATATCGTTACTTATACCCACTAGTCAAGGCTGTTCTGATTGTTAATTATAGAAACCCCTCTATCTAGCACACACACACAAAGTGAAAAGGTGGGTTTTATAGAAATATATAAGATATCTAATGAAATATAAGTACAATTGGACAATGTCTTTTGATGATCCAGAATTGAGGTTCTTTTCTGTGGCAGATTGTATTTTCCCAAATTGGCTGCAACAATATTTTACATCCTACATACTCTTCCTGAACCTTGACATTCCCACACTGGGAGCTAGAATCTATGCCCCCTACTTTTGAAACTATGTGGGCCTTTGTAAATGCCTCAAGTAACAGGGTCATGGTGGAATAGTGGTAGGACATTTCCAAAGCTATGTTGTAAAAGGTGATATGGCTTCCATCTGGCTCACTATCTTGAAATTTGACCTTTTGGAACTTTGAGCATCCATATAAGAAGTCTGGCTGTCCTGAAGCTGTCCTGCTGCAGAGACTACTTGGAACGGCCATATGAAGACAGAGAGAGACACCCAAGGAACCTTAGTTGTTCCAGCCCAAGAATCTGACATGTGGTAAGGAAGCCATTGAGATGAGTCCAGGGCTACTGTCCAATAGCAGCTACATGAGAGACTCCCAAGGAGAACCACCTGGCTGACCCCAGAACTATGAGAGATAATTATAACTGATTGTTGTTGCTTTATACTACTATGCAGCAATAGCAACTGGAATACTTTTGTCTAGAGCCCTGTAATTTCTCCCCTCTGTTTCTCTCTGCATGTCTACTTCATTCTCCTGTTTCTGTCCACAAAGTTCATGCATTTGTCTGTATATTGAGATCATATAGCTGTTTGTCCATACCACGTGCCCTCCAGAAGATTTAATGTGCACAAGAATCACCTGGAAATTTTGCTAAAACTTAAAGTCTGATTCATTACTTTTGTGATGGGACCTGAGGGTCTGCATTTTTAACAAGTTCCTAGGTGATATTGCTACTGGTCTGTGAACCACTAGATTAACCTGTTGCCATTTGCTTTCTCTCCCCTCCCCCATATTAAATCATTTGAAAACAAGTTGCAGACCTTGTGATAGTTTACCACGAGATTCTTCAGGGTAACTCTCCCAAGAATAAGAACATTTTCTATATAATCAGAATATTGTTATATATGCCAAAAACTTAATTTATTTTTAAAAGCTTTATCTAAAAATATAGTCCATATTTAAATTTCTTCATTTATCTCAAAAATATCTTTTGAAGCAGTTTCTCCTCCCTTTGATCCAAGATTCAATCAAGGATTAAGTACCTTTGATATCCGATAATCAGAATAGTTGCTCTACCTTTTCTTTACCTGTCCTTTAAGAGACTAATGTTCTTGGAGAGTCCAGGCCAGTTTTCTAATAAAATATCACACAACCTGGATTTGACTGCTTCCTCATGAACAAACTCTAGTTATACATTTTGTCAAGAATTGGTGGTTTGTCGTAATCACCAATTATGTAGTTTACATCGCAACACATCAGGAGACTCCGGATGTCACTTTGCCCCTTTTTTGGTGATGCCATGTTGGATCACTTAGTTAAGCTGATAGTTGATGTCTTTTGTGTTTCTTTTTCTTTTTTCTTTTTTTTCTTTTTTTTTGACAGGGCTTTACTTGGTAGCCTAGGTTGGAGTGCAGTGGGGTGATCACAGCTCACCGTAGCCTCCACCTCCTGGGCTCAAGCAATCCTCCTACTTCAGCCTCATGAGTAGCTGGGACTACAGGTGCATGCCGCCATGCCTGGCAAATTTTTGTATTTTTTTGTAGAGATGAGGTTTCGCCATGTTGCCCAGTATAGTCTGGAACTCCTGAGCTCAAGTGATCCCACCTCAGCCTGCCAAAGTGCTGGGATCTTTTTACAGTGCAAAGAAGTTTTTTGAAGAAAGGCCCCAGCTGTCTTCCCCTCTCATCTCATTGGCCAGACTGGATCACATGATCACCACTAACCCATTCATTGACAAAGGACAGGGGTGTCCTTTGACTAGCTTGGACCAATCATGATTCCATCCCTGGGGTGAGAATTTGTCAAGCTGTGGGGAGTTGACTAATGAGGGGAGCTATTAGCCTAGAAGAATGGCTTTTGGGTAGACAATCAAGCGTGCCTGCCACATTTACCCAGTATTACAGAGCTAGTTAGAGGACAAACTGCTCTCTGATTCCTATTCCAACATAGCATGCTGCCTCCTTAAGAGATTAAGGATTTATTGCTTATAAAATACTTTATAGGCCTCTTGTGAGAAATCCAATATTTATTTGCCCTATAAGATAAAAACAGGAATTTATTTTTTCTTGTTTTCTTTTCAGCTTTTCTCAGTCCATGATTCTTCACAGTGTTATAATGATACAGCTATTTATAGCCACTGCCAAAAATAAAAATAAAAAGTTTTTCTTTCCAAAATGGGCCAATAAGTTTTATACAGAATAAGTTTATGGGATGTAAATTGTATAAGTTTAAAGCATTTCTCACTCTATTATTCTTTCAAAAAGTTATAGAGATGGAAAATCAAAAGGAGTTATAATTCCATCAGGACAAGAAGCCAAAATGGTGGATGCTTTCATGAAGTTTATCAGGATTGTTAATAACTGTCATCCAAACCTCTCTCTCCTGCAGAATTGGTTGGATATTTGTAAAATGTAGTTGTCTTATGAGAATTCTGGCACTTTGAAATATCATTCCAGCTGGAAACTAGACATGAAAAATATCAAGGTGATTCTGAATCTCTGAAAATGTTTGGTTTAATTCTGAAAATTAAATGTAGTGCCCTGGGGCTGGGTACCAGGGCCATTGATTGTCCCAACCAAGTGATTCTTTCCTCCTAGTTGTAGTAATCTATTCTGTGCTTTCAGGCAATACTCTACATCTTGTGCTTTAAAGGGTTCAAAGACAGCTCTTTTACTAGCTTGCATAGGTCTAAAATTTTAGCATTTGAGTTTCTAAGTCCTCCTTCCCTATTCCCAGCAAGAAACTCCACCTACATCCAACCCCACCCTAACTGGGCCAAAGCTATTTCCCCTCCTATTTATCTATGTAAGGGGCCCACAGGCATCTCTGCATAGACCTAAGCCACAGGCACCCTCCACACATCTCTCAAGCATCAGCCAGTACTTCAGCAATGGAACTTTAGTTTCCATTGTGACTTGAGCGCACAGAGACCCAGATAGCCATGTGAAGAATAGGCTTTTGGTAGAGGGGAGAAGTGGAGGTGTGTAGGGAGAGGAAAAGGGAGGGAATATTGCAGGCAATCTTTACCTGCTTCACAATTTGCCAAAACCAAGCTCCCATTTTTATAGCTCACCACCCATTCTGTTTTCCACAACCACTGACCTTGACATTCACCAACCCTTTCTTTCTTTACTGTAACCTTGACTCCAGTAGAACGGTGCTTGTGGTTTATCTAACCTTGTGTCACCCTGAAACAAAAAAACAGGAGATGGCCAAATACCACAGAGAACTGTGGGGTTATTTTTGTGTGAGGCCCAAACAGGATTTCTACATAGATTTGTCATCTCTCCCATACAATGAATGGGTTTTAAAAACGTGGAGAAATTTCTCAAAACTATTCCAGCTATTTTGTTCTTTGGCATTTGCCCACACACCCCAAGAGAGGTAGATATGAAAAAACAATATTTGACCATGTAGCTATAGTTACAGGCCACAGACAGCCAAGGGAACAGAAATTTAAAAATGAATGTAATATGCAACTTTGCCCTGATTCTGTCTCCCTGGATAAACTCTGCTTACCACTTAAATCTAAGTGTTCCCTAGTCCTCGATAATTGACAGGCAGTGGGAGAAGGTAAAGTCAAGTCTAAATTGAACACTGAATACAAAAGCACCTCCTTTCCAAGAAAAATTCCATTTTATGGTGAAATGATGAAAATGCCCCATTCTTTTGTTTAGATAAATTCCAACCCTGTTTACGCTGATTTCTCCAGAGGGAGAAAGAGAGACTGTTTCTTTGAAAAGCCATTGACACAGAAAAACTCAGGTTCAATTTGGTTTTATCCTGAAGGTTTGAAGTAAAACAATTCTTTGTCAGAATTTATAAATAAGACATTCATTAATTAAGCTTCACAATATTGCTTTGAAGTGAATACTACTGAATTCATTTAACCAGTGATGAGATTCTGGCAGGGAAATTGAGCAATTAGACTTGTTCAGTAAAGCATTTAAAAGCCTAGAAAAAAAATCCAGGAGTTCCCAATGCCTTATTCTCCATGTTGAATTACTCTTAGGCATGGAATCAGATATTCATTGTTTAATTGCAGTAAGAAGGGAATTCTTCTGTGACCCAGATAAATTGTAAGAATAATATAGACAAACTATTTGGAGTATCAGTATTTCCCATCTGAAATGGATATCCAATGACTGTCACATCTAGAGGAGGCCTCTGAAGTCCATGAGTGCCATCACCTCTTTCACAGAACTGAGCATCCGCCCTGACCTCTCTCCAGTACTAAGGCAATCTCCATCCCCAAAGTCAATGCTGCTACTGCACATTTCTGATATTAACAATCCAAGAGCATCTTGAGTCTCAGAGCCTTTCCCTCATGGTCAGTGGAGTCATCCCTGATGTACCTCTGCCTGCCTTTGATTCCTCTTTCCACATCCCATCAACACCCACACACATCGACTCACTGTTGGTCCCCAAGAACAGCCATTTTGTTGTTGTTGTTGCCACATCAAGTTATTTGGATCTTGATTACAGTACTGTGTAATCATTATCTTCAACATTCCTTTACTTCCAGTTTATCTTCTGCCTATTCCAAAGATGTCTGCCATTTTGTGTCATAAGGAACACATTCAATATCTGCTCATCACCCTCCAGTCCAACTCACTTATCCCTGTGAACTTCCTGGTCTTCTCCCCAGATGTCTAGTGTTCTAGTTCTCATCTCTTACTCAGGCAAGCAAGCCCTCTGTGATGGTTAATACTGAGTGTCAACTTGATTGGATTGAAGGATGCAAATTATTGATCCTGGGTGTGTCTGTGAGGGTGTTGCCAAAGGAGATTAACATTTGAGTTAGTGGGCTGGGAAAGGCAGAGCCACCCTTAATCTGGGTGGGCACCACCTAATCAGTTGCCAGTGTGGCCGGAATATAAAGCAGGCAGAAAAACGTGAAAAAACTAGACTGGCTTAGCCTCTCAGTCTACATCTTTCTCCCGTGCTGGATGCTTCTTGCCCTTGAACATCAGACTCCTAGTTCTTCAGCTTTGGGACTTGGACTGGCTTCCTTGCTCCTCAGCTTGCAGACGGCCTATTGTGGGACCTTACGATGGTGTCAGTTAATACTACTTAAGAAACTCAAATATATGAGAGAGCTATATACATATATATATCTTATTAGTTCTTTCCCTCTAGAAAACCCTAATACACCCTCTCTGGGGGTCAAGTGACACAGGCACTTTCTTTTACCTCTATGTCTTTGCTACAGTGATGTATCCCTCTGATTTATATTCATGCTTCAGGATCACCTCATTCACTAGCCTTGCATTGATACAGATGCCCCATTTCTTGTCAATGCTTTATTTATGCAATTACACATATTAATTTAGCAAATATTTATCAATATGTCCTAAATATGAAATACCATATGTATTAATAATAAGAAAGATACAAAGATAATTAAATATGTATCTTGAACTTAAGTATCTTACTGTCTTGTTTGAGACACAGAGTGGTAGCATAAATAATCCTAATACACAGATGGTATTAAATACTACTAAAATGATATAGATAAGGTACTATGAGAATTCAAACCCAGAAAAAAATTACTTCTAAAAAAAGATTAGCAAGAGCACAATTGGGAAATATTTCATGGAAGAAGTGGCTTCATACCATAGCCTTGTACACAAATAGACCAGAGAAAGACAGGTATTTCAGATGTTATGATAGTACCAGCAAAGGCATGGAGGTGGGAAGAAACTAGAAGACAGACAGGATGGAGTTCAGGGGGGCTCAAAAGAAGAGGATATAAAAGGATGTTTGGGGAAATAAATGTGTAGCAAGGTTCTTGGCATTGAATGATATGCTGTGTCTTAATTGTTGCTTTGTAGCCCTTAAAAGCTTGTGATGAGTAAGATGATCGGAGGTCGACTCTAGGAAGACCACTCTGGCATGCGTGCAGGCAAAAAGGAGAAGTTACTTTACAAAACTTTTACAACTGACTTCAAGGAAACAGCACTGAGACCCTGAATTAGGGTAGTGACAGTAAGAATGAGAAGGAATAAACGTATCTAACAGAGATTCCAAAAGTAGAATAAACAGAAATTAGCAACCGGTGAGAATAGAGGATAAGAAAGACTGAGAAGTAGGAAGTGACTCCACGATATTTTATTTATTTATCTTTGAGACAGGGTCTCACTCTGTTGCCCAGGCTGGAGTGCAGCAGCACAAGCACAACTTACTATAGGCTCAACCTCCCCTGGGATGGCTCAGTTGACCCTCCCACCTCAGCCTCCTGAGTAGCTGGGACCACAGGTGTACACTACCATGTCTGGCTAATTTTTTTAATTTTTGGTAGAGTCAGTATCTCCCTGTGTTGCCCAGGCTGGTCTGGAACTCCTGGGCTCAAGTGATCCTCCTGCCTCAGTCTCCCAAACTTCTGGGATTACAAGCATGAACCACTGTGTGTAGCCCCATGATTTTATAATGTACTGGTATACGGATACACCAGACATATAGATGCTCTTTTATTCAGTTAACAAATACTTATTGAGCATCTACTGTGCACCCAGAATTAGGCTACAAATTGGAGATACAGTAGCAAATGGAAAAAACAAAATAGAACCCTGCATTTAGGGAGCTGCCAATCTGCAGGAAGAGGTAGAGATACAGACGAAACTATTAGGGATTCTATGGTAGAGGCTGCCTCAGAATAGAGGGAGCCAAAGGAGTGAGTGGTTAAGCCACTGTTGGATGGAAGGATCCTCAGAGACCAGGTTGTGGAAGAGGCAGATGCATAAGATCATGTGCAACACTGCCAAGAAGCTTGCCTGTGAGAGCCTTTCTCTCCCACTCCTCAGAGGGGTCTTAGCCTCAAATGAAACAAATACGTGGATTCTTTCAGTGTTTATGTTAAGAAAACAATATAACTTCAATTGTACTTGTATCAGGTAATGGTATCAGTTTATATAACTTGTGGTGGGGAAGGAGGGGGATTGACAGCTTGAAGAAGTGAAAAGAGTTACAAATGAAGGCATTAAACCAGGCTTGCTCTCTGCTTCTCCCACTGGCCAGCTGGGTGACATTTTATTTAACTTCTCTTGGCCTCAGTTTTCTTATTCATAAAATGTTGATTTTTTAAAAAAACCTACTTAAACCATATTATGTTGTAAAAATAAAAAAATAAATATAGAAGAAATGTACAAGCCATAAAATATTACATAGTTACAAAATATTACTAACCATATCTGTTTCAGTCAAGATTTCTATAGAAAGGAAATGGCAGACTCACATTAGATTGGAGGAGAGTTTATTTACAGAGGGACTGTTTACAAAGTGCAGGCAGGGTTAGGGGAATAGTGCAATGCTCCAGGGAGAGTAACATCAGAGGAGATGTTATCACATCTGGGCCCAAAGGGACAAGAGGCCTGAGTCACTGTGGGAATTGGGAAAGAGAAAATCCTATGAGATGTAGAAGGCATCTGCAAGCAACACAGCAAAGAGGAAGCCCAGGAAACAAATACCTTGTTTACCCTCCCCCTTTCCTGCGATTAGCCACTGGGAAGTCCACCGGCCACAGAGCCAATCAGAAGCCAGAGAGGGGGAGATCCTAGTGGATGCCTCCCTATAGGTCAGCCTCTGGGATCAGTGAGTTGGGAAGAGAAGGTATCTATCTGACCAAATAGCAGTGGTTATCTATTCATCAACTTCAGTGAATGTAAAATCACCCCCAGAGAGCTTGTGAGAAATGAACATTCTGGGCCCTACCCCAGAAAATTGTGATTTTTGTAGACCTGGAGAGATGGAAAGCAGCAATGCTCTGGGCATCACAGGAGTCTCCTACACATGGTCACTGGGCTGCATTTTGAGAAAACAGAAGTAGATATTTAATTTCTAGATAGGTTAATAAGTTATCTTAAGGAGTCTGGTTTCATATATGATGCTTAGCTTAATCAAGTTATCATAGGAAGGATGTTAAGAGTAAGTTCAGACTGACCCATGAGGAAAGAAGTCATTTGATCTTCTTCTCAAGTGGCTTGTGTTTCCTGGAGGCTGCGGGAGCCACAGGAGTTTACACTTTTGCTAGGACTCATCATCTGACATAGTTCAATAGTAGCTCTAAGACCTTCCTTTGTTTCTGGATGTTAATAACCCAAATCAGTAGAGAAAAGAGATGTTGGCTACAATGTTACCTTTTCTTATGCATTTGTTTACCCAAATAATGTAGAACATCACTTTATAAGGAAGAGTTTTTTATTTTTTACAATATCCTGTTACACTGGAAATCACTGCAGTTTTCTCCATCTTTGTATCACCAGCTCCAACACACTGAGTACATGATAAGTGCTCCATAAATGTCAGTGACCACCATCTTATTACTGGACATAAAGGAAAAATGAGTGCAATTTAAATGTTTGTTGTAAAATGTAGTTTGCATTCCTAAAAAAAAACAATAAACAAAAAACTTTCTTTTAAAGTGGGGAAGTCAACCTTCCACTTAAAACCAAACCCAACAAAAGTTCAAACAAGTTTTTAAAACTGTATGCAGTTGCAACATTCCTCAAACGTACTGAGTGGGTCCAGGAAAGAGAACCCCGCAAATTGCCGTCTGTCACTCCTCACAGGCTCCCACCTACTGTTTTGTACTTCTGTGTAGTTGTTATTCAAAGTAAGTGAAATTTTCTAGAAATGATTAACTTGTGAAGATGATGCAACAGTGAACTGTAGGCTTCACTTTTTAAGAGTATTTCGGTGTTTCTGTCATACATGCCATTTCATATGTGTGTAACTCACAACACCAAATCTTAGCAACTAGATTACATAGTTTCAACTAGATTACATAGTTTCAGCCTGAGAGTGAATTTATTTCATTCCAGCATACACTGCCCATGCAACACCTGTTGGGTTCAGAAGACATTAAGCATTTTGCACACACCTACACATCTTCTTGGGGCAGGAATCACAGCTGTTTGTAATTTTACTCTAACTGTAACCCCGAGTGTGGAATAGAACTAAAATAGCCAGTTATGAGCCATTAAAATGAGAAATCGTGCAGATGATCCTTTCTTGGTAAGGCCTCAAAATTGTAAAATAAAGAACAAGATAATTATTGAATAATTTCCAAATCCATTAACCACAGCTTCATTATTTTCTGAATATGAATACTGTTTTCAAGATTTCCTTCCATAGAATGAAACAGTCTATCACTGTAGGAAAAGATATTTTTACTGCACTTCTTTTTCTACTTTTATGTCTTATAAATATAAAGAGATGATAATTAATTTCTGGACTCTTAAATGCACGCACTTAGTCTGACCTTCTAGCCAGTGATAGTAAGTTCTTCATTATCTGAAAGAAAATGAACCAAAGACCATCATGTCCTTATCTTAAACTCTCTGTGGTTGGCTAATTGTGATTCTATTTATGTATGATACTCATTGTTTTCTGGTGGTTTCTGTGTTAGTGTGGTTGCTTTCAGCTTCAAGTAACAGAAGACCCAACATATAAAGGCTTAAAGAATGAAGGGATTTGTTCTCTCATCACAAGAAGTCCCAAATAAGGGAGTCTAGAGTTGATTAACTCAGCAACTCAATCACATTGTCAAAGACCCACGTTCTCCCCATGTTTATACTCTTTCATCTGAATTTCTAGAGACTGAAAAAAGACAGTGTAACAGTTAGGGTTCTCTGAGAAACAGAACTAGAAGGACATACGTATCATTCCAAGTAATTGGCTTAGGTGATTTGGGGAGCTGGCAAGTCCAAAATCCAGTGTGAGTTGGCAGGCTGGAAACTCTCAGGCAGGAGCTGATGCTGCAGTCTTGAGGCAAAGTTTCTCATTCCTCATGGAGGCTTCATTTTTGCTCTTAAAGCCATTCAAACTGATTGGATGAAGCCCACCCAGATTATGAAAGATAACCCTCTCTACTTAAAGTCAAGTGCTTGTAGATGGTAAGCACATCTATAAAATACCTTCACAGTCAGACCTAGATTAGTGTTTAATTGAACCACCAGATACTATAGACTAGCCAACTTGACACATAAAACTAACCATCGCAGACAGTTCCTTCCTTATACGAATCTTTCTAAGAGCAAAGAACCTTTCCCAGAAGCCCCCCACCAGACTTCCTCTCAGTTTTCATTGGCCAGTGCTGGGATTTGTACTTCTCAGGAAATCAACCCCTTACAAAGAGAATAAGATCAAGATTGGTTTAAATCAATTGGATTTTAGCCGAGCCATGTGTGGCAAGAGTCGATGTCAGAGCTAAATTTGGGCTGTGCCACATGGAAGGGAAAAGTTGTTGTGTAGGCAAAAAGAGTATCTGGAATAGGGTAGGGGCTCAATAAATATTTGAATGAATAAGTCAGTCAATAAATGAATGGCGAGGCATGCTGAAGATAATGAGTGCTAGTGATTTTCTCCAAATATATGCCCCTGTCAAGACATGATTTCAGCAGGCAGTGTATATGCTGTATGCATAAAGTGTGACTCTTGTTTGCATAATATCACATTCAAATCTTTGCCACATACTGGTAAGGATTATCACTCATAAATACTAAGTGAATGCTAACTATGCTCTAGAGGTTGAACTGAAAAAGAAAGGCAAGGAAATACCATTCTAAATTTATAAGCTGTTTAATTTAGTACATTAAGTACAAACTTAATGTTGATGTACTTAAACTCCTAATTCTAGAACATGCACTAGGATATTGCTTTTTGGTACATAAGACTACAGTTTAGAAAAATCTCCTAGGGAAGCAAAGAACCTTACTAAGGACTATGAATTGCTCCAGGGAGTAGCAAGGTGTGCTCAGAAAAAAAATGGTGCTTTTCTTGTTGCACCTGTTACAGAGTGCTTCGTTTATGTTTAGTTGCCTTGTCAGGGCTTGTTTTGACCAAGAGTCTGGGTTCATATGACATGCGATATAGGAATAAGAAGGATGATATATATCTGGAGATATGCTCAGAATAAATGGAATACTGACCTATCTCGTGCTCACGTACACACACACCACCAACACCACACCTAGTATTTACTACATTTTTTCACTACCTTAATAATTAGGGACTGTGTTAGGTTCCTTTTGTAATAATTTTCAGAGAAAAAACCTTTTTGTCTAATCAAGAAGATATTATTATGTTCCAGCTGTTTGACTAAAATGCAAATTTATGTATTAAAAATATTAGTGAAAACCTGTACGCACTCCTATGGTTAAGAGGAAGTCTGTGACTAATTCCTCTGTCTCAAGTGCTTTGAAAACCATGTCCCCTTCATCTCCAGTCTTTCCGTGTGGATCCTGACCAACTTGCTGCCATGTCTTATAACCCTAGCACGGTCCCTTACTCTTGCTAAGATACAGTGGTTTCTTTCCATGAAAAATAGGAAGAACAATAGTTTTCTGAAATGCCTTAGAAGGCCCTAGATCTCTGTTTCCAATGTCAGTTTTTTGGCTAAAATGTGATATCTTTGGTGGCTGGAACTACACCATTTTAATCTTCATCCCTAGATACTCACTTAATGTTGGCTGGTTGAGGTAATGAAATATTCCTGCCACATAAATTAAGTTTGTACCCCAAGTATTTTTTAAAAACATATCTCTCTACCAAACTATTTTCTGATTGTTCACTTGAGCTCTTGCTCTGGAACCACTTAGAATTGCCTTCCAAGCTTATTCATCTCCGTGGGGTTGTGTTGAGTGGGAAACTCTTGAGAAGACTTTGGTTTTGGACCTTGCTTGTCCATGTCTTACTTTTAAATAAGATTGGTTCGGGCATGGGTAAGACTACTAGATGAAGCATGTACAAGGGATGAGGTACTCATAATTACACATTAAGAATTATATTTGATACATACTGATAATGAATCATTACATGTTGTCTATATTGATGTGGTGATCATTTAGACGTTTGAATAAGAAATTGAATTTAACCGAGAAGATTAAGATTCCATTGGGAAAACTGGGAAAAGATGTTGGTTTCAGGAAGACTAACCAGTGGAATTGAAAGAAAGGTTTGTTAGTGAAAAAATGAAAATTAGGTCCCTGCAAAAATATTGCCATTACACCAAAACAAAGTAGAACAGTGGTAGATCTGTATTTTTTAAAGGATTTGGTTTGAACAAAATAACCCTCTCCTCCTTTATTAGTTAAAAGGTTTTCTGGAAGTAGTTATTAAGTGCCATTTGGACAAGATTTGAGAAAGAGCCTGATGACCTAGGAGTAGAACTGAGACTAAGAAAGGCAATCTAGGACCAGAGGGGGTATGTGAGTGGTTCAGACAACAGTGGGATCACAGATGAAGAGAGGAGTGAGAAAAACTCAAGAAGCAACTGTGTATGGGAATGTGTGAGGCTGTTTTTGCATTGCTATAAAGAAATATCTGAGGCTGGGCATGATGGCTCATGCCTGGAATCCCAGCAATTTGGGAGGCCAAGGTAGGCAGATCACTTGAGGTCAGGAGTTTGGGACCAGCCTGGCCAACATGGCAAAACCCCATCTCTACTAAAAATACAAAAATTAGCCGGGTGTGGTGGTGTGCACCTGTAATCCCCGCTACTCAGGGGGCTGAGGCAGGAGAATCTCTTGAACCTCAGAGGCAGAGGTTGCAGTGAGCCTAGATCACTGCACTCCAGCCTGGGAGACAGAGCAAGACTCAGTCTCAACAACAACAACAACAACAACAACAACAACAAAAACCAGAAAAGAAATACCTGAGACCAGGTAATTTATAAAGAAAAGAGGTTTGACTGGCTCACAGTCCTGCAGGCTTTACAGAAAGCATGGCATGGGCATCTGCTTGACTTCTGAGGAGGCCTCAGGGAGCTTTGACTCACGGTGGAAGGCAAAGGTGAAGCAGGCATCTCACATGGCGAAAACAGGAGCAAAAGAGAGTGGGGGGAGGGGGTGGGTGGGGAAGATGACACACACTTGTAAATGACCAGATCTCATGTGAACTCAGAGTGACACCTCACTCATCACCAAGGGGATGGCCCAAACCATTCATGAGGGATCCACCCCCATGATCCAAACACCTCCCATTAGGCTGTGACTCCAACATTGGGGACTACATTTCAACATGAGACTTAGTGGGGACAGATATCCAAACTATATCTGGAAGAGACTTACACAGTCCAAGTTCAACATCTGGATACCTAGGGAAGAAGAGCAGGATCATATATGTTTTCATCCTGAAGTTACTCCTCAGAATTCTTAGCATGTGGAGGGGACTTAATATCCTTCATTTAATCTTCTTTTAGAAAGCAAAATGAATGAAGTGTTAAAATGCAATCGTTACATTCTTGTTGCTGGGCATGCCTCTAAAAGTGCAGAGAACAAGTAGAAGATTCTTTTTTTTTTTTTTTTTTTTTTTTTTTTTTTTTTTGAGACGGAGTCTCGCTCTGTCGCCCAGGCTGGAGTGCAGTGGCGGGATCTCGGCTCACTGCAAGCTCCGCCTCCCGGGTTCACGCCATTCTCCTGCCTCAGCCTCCCGAGTAGCTGGGACTACAGGCGCCCGCCACTACGCCCGGCTAATTTTTTGTATTTTTAGTAGAGACGGGGTTTCACCGTTTTAGCCGGGATGGTCTCGATCTCCTGACCTCGTGATCCGCCCGCCTCGGCCTCCCAAAGTGCTGGGATTACAGGCGTGAGCCACCGCGCCCGGCCGAAGATTCTTAAGAGAGGCTGACGCTACAAGAAGTACTTTTGGAGACTTTTTAAAGACTATTGACATTTCCTTGTTATTTTCCAAATTTGAAGTGAGAAGCCTTCCAAAAATGCAATGCTAAAGGGACAGGGAATATATTTTAATTTACTAGATTGTAAGGGGACAGTAGACATTTTTCTAGTAGTATATTATCTATAGAGAGAAGTTTGGGGTTTGCAGTTGTGATAGGCCGGGGGCCCTGAAGTGGGGATAACAGGAAATGAGGTGTGGCACATCATTGCTCTACCCATCCAGGAGATGAGTGGGGAAGGCAGAGCTTCACCTGCCTTCCCTGCTTTCAGTCTGACTTATAGTATGCAATGACAATGCAGGTAGCCCTTGGCGAATTGTTGGGTGAATTAGACATGCACCTACATAGTACCAAAATACACCTTGACACCTTGACATCTGTAAGGTCAATTTTTTTCTAGATTCCACCAGGATTTAGAGTCTTGTCTCTACCTTCAGATTTTCATCTGTAGTATGAAATTATGACTCTCCAAACATATTACTAAGACCAATTTTCCCCTTAAAGCAAAGCCCAAATGTGTAGACATTATATATTGTTCTATTGAGGGAACTTGAGATAAAATACATGTGCATGCTTTCTAAACTGTAAAGTGCTATCTACATATAAGTTTGTTGCTATTGCATGGTTAAGATACACTTTGTAATGGGGAATTATGATTGAACTGCAATTTGCAGTTTCTGGAGCCCACTTCCATTTAAATTTGCAGTTTTATCCATTGTTATTCAATTGTTTTAAGTAATTTAAGTGTCAGGCAATGTTTTTGTATTCTTTCATTGGAACAAATATTTGAGTAGGTTTAACATAAAAATTGATATAAACAGAGGCTATATTTTTGGTTCGGGACCATTAAAGGGCAGATATTTGGAGAAGTGCTTTTGAAAGAGTTTGGAACCTGCCTAAGTCTGTGGCTCTCACCAGCTGCCCTCCTAGTTTCTCTCCCTCAGCTTCCTCCCACATCTGCAAGGAGCATGTATGCAGGGACTCCTCACTGAGTCAGTCCCTCCAGCAGTCTCCATGTGTAGTCAGGGCCTCTAGAAGTCTAAAGAGGCCCATGGTCACTTTTTTTTAAGACTCTTCTTAACTTAAAAAATAAGGAAATACCACAATAAGGCTAACAAAATATGATGTATTTTAAATGTTTGCTCTTAATGAATTAATGCCTCTAATACATGTGAATAGACACAGTGACTTAATGATTAGCTTTTTTATCATAGAAAATGTCAAAATTTTAAACTGAAGCTGCTTCCTTTATGGAAGGCTAGGCCAAGTGGCCTTTCTGAACCCCTTCAGATCTCTGAGTGCCCTGGGACCATCTGCTCACCCAAACCCTGCCCAGGGACTCTCTTTCTGGCCATTGAGGCCCAGGTGTACAGCCCTGCTTACATGTGACCACGCCCTTGTTCACTGTTGTTTTCATTTCACAACTGGGAAAGCCCCATTGTCTCCTGGCCCATTACCAACTGCTAGAGCCTTTTTCAAATTGGTTCTCTTACTTCGAAAACTCTCTTCATGTTTCAAAACACCAGAGCAGAGAAACTCATGCTAAATTAGGTAATTTGTAGAGCAATCCCTTGAACTAGAAAAGAAGTTGGTATGGCTGTTTTGTTGCAGTCTGCACAGATAACACTCAACATCCTAATGGAACTAAAATGCATTACTCTGCCTAGGGGAGAGAGAAAGACAGGGGATGAAAGAAGAGAGAGAAAAAGAAAGGGAGAGAGAGAGGGAAGGAGAAGGGGAAGGAGGAAAGAGAAAGAGAGAGAGAGGCTACAATAACAAGCAGTCAGTTTTCCCTCCTGAAAATCTTCATGTTTAGAAGACATATACTCTACACAAATCCTAGTTCCTGCTTGCACATTGTGACACCCCAATATACCTGAGAATTCTTTGACCTAATGAGGTTCCTCCCCAACCCGTGATTTACTCCACATGCCCTGTATATCTCTTGTCTCACTATCAACTCAGAGCAATTGAGATTAAATTCTGAAAAACAAGCCTCATCATAATAGAAAATCCAATTAACTTTAGATACAGTAGCTGCACCAGCAGCAGCACTGTAATTTTGCCTTCTATGAAAATGGTTTAGCTGTTCATTAGGTAGCATGTCAAAAATTAAACAATGCCAATTATTTTTCTTGTCCCTATAGCTAGCATTATCTGGGGAATTGTATTAGAAGACTGATTACTGATATACCTTTTAACTAGATGTAATTCTTGGAATCTTTGTTTTTTCCTGTTATATCCTTTCTTGGATGTCCTGGTATAAGGTAAAATAATTATCTCTGGGGAACTCAGATTGAACTTCTGTTCAGTGGTTTGGAGATTGTAAAATGATGATGTTGATAATGTTGATGTCATTTTTAGCTGTCGTAAGTGAAACGTGATGTTAAATAGTGATATTATCATGCTTACTCTCTCAGCTACTTTATAAGAAAAGTAAGAAAGTGATTGTTATCCTGGCTTACAGGGAGGGAAACTGAGAAGCCATATGATTGGCTCAAATTTTCATATGGGATGATTGGTAGAGCTAGAAGCAAAAGCCAGGTCTTGACCCCAAGCTAAGTGTTCAGCCTTCAGACTATGCCTTCTCACACTGGCAAAGCTAACATGCCCTGGCTTCCTATTGCATGCCCTGTTTTTATTACTTTTTTTTTTTTTTTTTTACATTTCTGGCTTAGTTGTATTGAATAAGAATATCCACTCTTTACCACAAAATTGTGAAGGAAAGATGATTTAAAAAAAAAAAGAAAAAGAAAAAAGATGATTTAAACATAATCCCTGTCCTCCAAAGGGTTAAACCAGCACCACAAATACAAAGCAGATAAATAATTAGCATATTAGACAAACAAGAAAATTCTATTAAAGCCTTTTGCAAGTAGACATAATGTAGATTATAGGTGAGTGTATGTGCATACTTATAAGAGTTTTATGAAACTTAAAGGAGATCTTATTTGGTTGGGAGTAAGGAAAAATCAGGGAAAGCAGGGAGGAAGCTGGGTTACACTTCCCTCCCCTGTGGTTTCTTTTGGTTTAGCCAGTGTGCCCATCCCTAGGGGAAGTTTCTCCAATTTAACAATGACAATTATTTTTAAGACATAGGGAACGTCTTAAAAATGCAGATTCATAGCCCTGCCCCAGACGCTCTGCTGCAGTGAGATCCTGAAATCTGCATTTTTAGCAAGGCTTCCTACGGCTTAGAGTCAAGCCTTTGGACTGCCTACTCCTTGAGAAAGAGTGCTTTAAGACCATGCCATGAACCGGTTTCAAGGAAAGGAGAACACTGACTTGGGAGATAGGGATGGTACAGGTGGTCTTTGTAAATAGTGGTCTTTGTAAACTCTGACATTGCGGTAGAGTAGGACCGAATGAGGAAAGGAAGAAAGAGCTAAGTGATTAACTAATACAGCCTTTGCACAGCTCACATGTACTTGGGCACGGCCCCAACTGAGAGCATCAGAGAAATCTGATTCCTAACAGTGCTTCAGCTTTCCCTGTCCGTCTCCTACATTTCCTCTGACCCTCGTATTATGCTCCATCTGGGGCACGGCTGCTCTCATTTTGCATTTATGAATAATTTGAGGCTATATTTAGGCATCTCCAGTCATTAGGTACCTACATTTCTGTATACAGCCTATAAGGTTTTATATATTTTTTTAGAATTCTAGAAATTCATGAGAAAGAAAGCTCTTAATATTAGGTCACTTAGTCAATTACCTCCTTTCCTGCCTAATGCAAGATTATTCCCAATAGCTCTGTTTCTAGCGCTCTGTTGCCTATTTTTAAATGTACTAACTGATGGTGATTCTGCCACTCCCCTCAGGAGACCGTTATCCTGGCTCGCCACTCTCAGTGTCAGGGGGCATTCCCTGCTAATTAGCTCCAACTTGCTATTTCTTGCTTTTCCCATTATCCTTGGTTATCAATTCCCTTGTAACAACATTATTTGTCTCACATTAGTTATATATTTTTAGATAGTTTCCACAGTTTCACAAGCTACTCTTAAAAGGAGTTGAGCTATTCAGTACCAGACCATATCTTAATTAGTCACACTGTGGAAGGATGAAGATGGAGTTAATGGAATTGGTCACTGGGTTCTCCTGTTTCTAGCAATATATTGCATTATCCTGTGCCTGCATTTCCATACTTGTCCACATTGATTTTATCAGTGTGAGGTCACCCTTCTCTACAAAGCAATGTCTTCTTTAAGCGTAATGCATCTAGGGCATAAGACGGTGTACAAGAAAGGGCCACTTCCTTATCTGACAAATGGGGGGTGAGAATGCCCACTATTTAGATCCCTACAAATGTTCAATGATAACGGGCATGCAAATAATTTAACAAAAATTCTAGTATGCAGTATACATAAGAAATCCTGAGGCATATCTGTACACTAAAATGAATACAGATTTGGAAGCCAAATAGACCTCATTCTATTTTTATCTTTGTCACTTGATGGTCGTATGACCTTATCAACACTTACATGCAATTATTTATTATATAATACTTCACAATTTGCTGGACTGAAAATTTCTCAAAGGGAGGTATTATGTCTTACATATATTTATGCACAGTGCTTCGACTTACGTTGTTTAACCTTCCTGAGCCTTAGTGTTCCCGTCTGTGAATTGAAGTGGGTGTTACATACCTCTGTGTCACAGACATTTTATGCCCTGGCTCACATCTTCTTAGCCCACCTTTTTTCTCTAGCTATTGCTATAACTACCAGATGTGCACAGGAATAGCCTGATGATAGCTCACCTCGGCTGCACCCTGAGAACTCTGCCATCACCCAAGAGACATCTGCAGGAGGCTGGCTGCAGGAAGAGAGCCCTCTTCTAACATTTAATCAGTGGTCCACACTGGGGAGATACAGTTATCACCACTGAGAGAGGGAGGTACTATTGGCACCTAATAGGTAGAGGTCATTGTAGGATGCTGTTAATGTCCTATAAGTACAGCATAGCCCCTCACAACAAAGAATTATCTAGTCCAAATGTCAATGGTCCCATTGTTGAGAAACCTTGACCTAGAAACTGCAAAAACCTCATCGGAGGAAGAAGCTTCATAAGATACTCTCCTCCCTGTCATGTTCTGCTCCCATCTACCCTCACTGTCTCCACACTGGACCCAACAGAAAGTTATTTATCTAATCTGTAAGCATACATACTAAACAATTAGCAGATTCCCTCCATTGTTTCCTATCCTATAGAATGAGAGCTATAATGATAGGAATGTTTAGGCCACAGCACCATTGTGAAGTGTATATGATCCTGGCTTTGGAAGAAAGTAGTACAACCAGAGAATTTTAAGACCTGGTTAATGCACCCAGGAGAAGCCAGGGGAACAGGTGTAGGAGTAGATCTTAGAGTACCCAACACAAGGTTAGCACATAAGGCTGGAGAAGGGAGAATGTATTGATGTTAGAACACTCTCCCGTGACATGGGGTTCAACATCTTAGCAAAGACACATAGAACTGGTCCTAATACACTGCTAAAATTGTTCCTTATAGCTTTGTCCTTATCAAAGTAATTAGGTAAGTCAGGCCTTGGCAGGGTTTTGGGGAAGGGCTTGAAGGGCTCAGGGAGGTGGAAATGTTGGAATGGGTTTACTGTGTTACATCAAAGTACCCACCACCTGACTCTGTTGCCTGAGGGAGTCCAAAGAACACTCCTACAATCAGTCAATGAAGAATGCAGAGTGAGGGGAGCACCACCATTGTGGAGAAGCTTGGTTGTGTTGTTGACAGTGGGAAGTGCTATGTTAGAACCAGTCTCCCTGGTATCAATGGAATTGATAGGATTCTCAAATAGGAGAGGCTAATTTGTCTTCACAGAAATAGGGTGGTCATAATTTCTGAAATAAACAGTGAGGCCAGAGTGATGACCTGAGAGCTTTGACCCATAGGAATCGGTAGCAGTTGTTAATAAATCATGGGAGCAAGACAGATGGGCAGCCAACTAGAGTTTCACTTCATCTATAGAGCCAGCAGGAGAGATCTGGAAAGCAAAAAACTGGTGTCTGTCGCCCCAATGGGAAATCACACTCTCTCACCCATTTACTAGATCTAAGTCAGTTCCCAGACACAGAGCTCAGTCTCTGATCCAGAGCTCAGTGACTATCAAAGAGACTAGGTCCATTTGGCAATATCCTGCAACACCACTGCAAAAATTTAAAATAAATATCTCCTGATCCTTTCCCAAAGGAACTTGAAGCTATTTACCAGAATATCAGATATACACTGGGGAAACAAAAATACCCAGACCATGCAAGGACTTTTAGACTCAGAGTCTGAGTTGGCTCTAAAAGCAAGGAATTGAAAATGCTATTGTGACCCTTCATTAGAAAGAGGCATGTAGAAGCCAGGTGATGAATAGAATCCTGGCCCATGTCCATCTCATAGTCGTCCAATGGGGCCGCAGGCCACCTGTGTGGTTATTTGCCCAGTCCCTCAGTACAATCAAGATTGGTTCCTTGGCCACTGAAATAAGAGCCACTGTGGGTTTGGAAGAGACATGGGAAGTTCCCCAAACTGCAATCCTACATCTCAAGAGAAATTGCAGAAATTAGCACCACCACCAAAGACTTGAAGGATGAAGGGATAGCCTCATTCAATTCACCTATTTGGCCCTTGCAAAAACTAGAAGGATCATCATGAATGATAGTGGACCAAAGTTAACATAACCAAATGGCATCCACAATCACATATACCATGTCAGATACGGTAATGTTTCTTCCATTGAGGCATTTTATTTGTAAGTATGTATTCCATCTCTAAAAAGAATCCCCAGATTTTTCCTCCTGTTTGTTTTTTGTCTTGCTTCTTCATGGTCATGCCAGCTGAGGTTGTCAATACAATAAAACCAGGATCAAAAGCAATTTGCTATCATGTGGAAAAGACAGTAGTACACATTTACTGTTTTGCCCAGGACCAGGTTACCTCTTCTGCTCTCTGTCACAATATAGTCCACAGAGACCTTCATTTTCTTGGTATTACACAGAACCAGCATGATGTTGCTTAACAGCAATGAGGACATCATGGTCCTTGGACCAGGTGAGGACAGAAGCAAGTACTCAAGGTGTCCTGGTAAGATACATACATGCTAGGAGGAGGAGAATAAAACCCTCAAAGTTTCAAAGACCTACCATATGTATGATGTCTTTAAAGATCCTATGAACTGGGCCGGGCACGGTGGCTCATGCCTGTAATTCTAGCACTTTGGGAGGTCGTGGCGGGTGGATTGCCTGAGCTCAGGAGTTTGAGACCACTCTGGGCAACATGGTAAAACCCCGCCTCTACGAAAAATACAAAAATTAGCTGGGTGTGGTGGTGGGTGCCTGTAGTCCCAGCTACTTGGGAGGCTGAGGCAGGAGAATCGCTTGAGCCTGTGAGGCAGAGGTTGCAGTGGGCCGAAATCAGCCTGGGCAAAAGAGAGATATTCCATCTCAAAAAAAAAAAATCCAATCAACTGGAACATGTGGGAAAATTCCCCTTTAATATAAATGACAAATTATTGCACCCACACCTCCTACCACTAAGAAAGAGGCACTGTACTTGGTAGTCTTATTTGGATACTGGATCATTTATTGAATGACCTGGGAAGCTGCCATTTTCAAGTGTGGTATGTGTTGCCCAGAACAAGAGAGGATCCTGTAACAGGTCCAGACTGCAGTGCAAGCTGCCCTGATGCTCAGGCAGTATGACCTAGAAGATGGATGGTGCTAGAGGAGTCCTTAGTGGATTAAGATTCTATACAGAGTCTCTGTTAAACCCCAATGTAAGAGTTGAAGCACAGACCCTGGGTTCTGGAGCAAGGTTAAACCTTCAAAGAGAGAGAACTACTCATCACTTCAAAAACAACCCTGGTGTGCTTTTGAACCCTAGTAGAGAACATAAAGTGTGATTATGCAACTGGAGCTGCCCATGATGAGTTAGGATTTTTTTTTTTTTACTTTTTTTTTTTTTTTTTTTGAGACGGAGTCTTACTCTGTCACCCAGGCTGGAGTCAGTGGCGTGATCTTGGCTCACTGCAACCTCCGCCTCCCGGGTTCAAGCAGTTCTCCTGTCTCAGCCTCCCAAGTAGCTGGGACTACAGTCGCATGCCACCATGCCCGGCTAATTTTTGTATTTTTAGTAGAGACAAAGTTCCACCATATTGGTCAGGCTGGTCTCGAACTCCTGGCCTCAGGTGATCCACCCGCCTCAGCCTCCCAAAGTGTTGGGATTATAGGCATTAGCCACTGCGCCCAGCGGATGAGTTGGGATTATGAGATATGCAAAGTCATAAGGTCATGCAGGAACAGCAGGAATCCATTGCACGATAGAAATGGTACATTTAGAATTGCGCACAAGTAACTTGGGCACCAGCTTATGCAGGTGGCCCCAGTTTCCATGTGACTTTCCTCTGTTACACTGATGCCTCTCCTTCAACTTACACCCATGTTCCCATGAGGGTTTCCATACAACCAACTCACAGAGGAGGAAATACGTGAGCCTGGTTCACAAATAGGTTAGCTCAACCTATTTATGATAACTGAAAATGGAGTGCCACCACAATACAGCCCCGCTCAAAGGTGGCCCTGAAAGATAGTGTAAAATTGTAATGATCCTAGCATGTATAACTCTAAGCAACTTTGGTCACACACCAGAGAGAAAATGCCTAAAGCACAGATGCGCACAAACTTTTGGGCTGACAAATGGCTTTGCTGATTAGTCAGGATGCTGAAAGTAGCAAGAATAAGAGTTTAAAGACAAGGATGTTTGAGAAAGAGGTTTGTGGATGAATCTCTGGCAGAGGGCCCAAAGCATGTATGGGTATTTTGTCTTGTAATAATGTCCACTGGAAAGTATTCTAGAGCACTCAAAGAGGCACTGGACAACCATGTAGATAGGATCACTTGTCCAGGGGATGGCAGTGAGCTTCTGACCTCAGCCACCCAGTGCTTGCACAGAAGTCCCATGCATGAAGCAGACTTGGTGGCAAGGATGAAGGCCATGCATAAGCCCAACAGCATGGACTCTCTCATTAAGACTTCTCTAGCTACTGCCACTGCTGAATTTCTAAACTGTCAGCAGCAGAGACTCAATATAGTGCTTCAAGACGGAAACATTCCCCAGAAAGCTGGTCAATTACTTGGTAGCAAGTTGATTACACTGGACACCTTCCATCCTAGAAAGACAGCAATATATTCTCACCAAAATTCATGCCTATTTTGATTATGAGTTTGCCTTTGCTACCCAAAGTGCCTCCACCAGCATCATCTGAGGGCTTAAATAGTAAGTGATTTACCAAATGGAATTCCCAAAACATTGCTTTAGACCAGGGGATGTGTTTTACAGTGCAGAAGTGCCACAATGAGTACATGAGTAGAGAATCCACAGGTCCCATCATATACCACATCACTCTGAAGAAGCCAGCCTAGTAAAATGATGGAATTCCTTGTTCAAAGGCCAGCTAAGGAGGCCACGTGGGGAACCACACCCAACAAGGCTGCTGCCCTCCAGGATTCTGTAGGTGCACAGAACTGATAGCCAATATATGGTGAAGTAACTGGAATACATAAGCCTGAAATCCATAGATAGGATTGGCCCTTCTCATCACCACTCCCAGCGGCACAGTTGCAGGAAGTATGTTTCCCATCCCTACATCCTTAGGCTCTTCTGGATTAAAAGTTCTGAATCCTGGTGTGGGGGTGAGTATGGACAGTGCAGGGAGGCTTCCACCAGGTAACACAGAAAAGTAGAAAGAGTTCCACCAAACTGAAAGCTATGACTACTATTTTGTCATTTGGGGCTTCTCAAACTGATGGAGCAGATGGGCTATACTGATGAATAATGATACCATGTAACAAATCTGCACATGTACCTTCTGTATCTAAAATAAAAGTTGAAACTTAAAAATAAATAAAATTTATCCAGAAAAGATATGTAAGACAATAAAATTAAAAAATAATAATAGAAAAAATAAGTCTGTGAATATTTCATCTAGCTTTTCAATTAGGAAAAGAGGAAGTCAAATTGTCCTGTTTGCAGATGACATGATTGTATATCTAGAAAACCCCACTGTCTCAGCCCAAAATCTCCTTAAGCTGATAAGCAACTTCAGCAAAGTCTCAGGATACAAAATCAATGTACAAAAATCACAAGCATTCTTATACACTAATAACAGACAAACAGAGAGCCAAATCACGAGTGAACTCCCATTCACAATTGCTTCAAAGAGAATAAAATACCTAGGAATCCAACTTACAAGGGACTTGAAGGACCTCTTCAAGGAGAACTACAAACCACTGCTCAATGAAATAAAAGAGGATACAAACAAATGGAAGAACATTCCATGCTCATGGGTAGGAAGAATCAATATCGTGAAAATGGCCATACTGCCCAAGGTAATTTACAGATTCAATGCCATCCCCATAGGCTACCGATGACTTTCTTCACAGAATTGGAAAAAACTACTTTAAAGTTCATATGGAACCAAAAAAGAGCCTGCATCTCCAAGTCAATCCTAAGCCAAAAGAACAAAGCTGGAGGCATCACACTACCTGACTTCAAACCATACTACAAGGCTACAGTAACCAAAACAGCATGGTACTTGTACCAAAACAGAGATATAGATCAATGGAACAGAACAGAGCCCTCAGAAATAATGCCGCATATCTGCAACTATCTGATCTTTGACAAACCTGACAAAAACAAGCAATGGGGAAAGGATTCCCTATTTAATAAATGCTGCTGGGAAAACTGGCTAGCCATATGTAGAAAGCTGAAAGTGGATCCCTTCCTTACACCTTATACAAAAATTAATTCAAGATGGATTAAAGACTTAAATGTTAGACCTAAAACCATAAAAACCCTAGAAAAAAACCTAGGCATTACCATTCAGGACATAGGCATGGAGAGGACTTCATGTCTAAAACACCAAAAGCAATGACAACAAAAGCCAAAATTGACAAATGGGATCTAATTAAACTAAAGAGCTTCTGCACAGCAAAAGAAACTACCGTCAGAGTGAACAGGCAACCTACAAAATGGGAGAAAATTTTTGCAACCTACTCATCTGACAAAGGGCTAATATCCAGAATCTACAATGAACTCAAACAAATTTACAAGAAAAAAACAAGCAACCCCATCAAAAAGTGGGCAAAGGACATGAACAGACACTTCTCAAAAGAAGACATTTATGCAGCCAAAAAACACATGAAAAAATGCTCACCATCACTGGCCATCAGAGAAATGCAAATCAAAACCACAATGAGATACCATCTCACACCAGTTAGAATGGCATTCATTAAAAAGTCAGGAAACAACAACTGCTGGAGAGGATGTGAAGAAATAGGAACACTTTTACACTGTTGGTGGGACTGTAAACTAGTTCAACCATTGTGGAAATCAGTGTGGCGATGCCTCAGGGATCTAGAACTAGAAATACCATTTGACCCAGCCATCCCATTACTGGGTATATACCCAAAGGACCATAAATCATGCTGCTATAAAGACACATGCACACGTATGTTTATTGTGGCACTATTCACAATAGCAAAGACTTGGAACCAACCCAAATGTCCAACAATGATAGACTGGATTAAGAAAATGTGGCACATATACACCATGGAATACTATGCAGCCATAAAAATGATGAGTTCATGTCCTTTGTAGGGACATGGATGAAATTGGAAATCATCATTCTCAGCAAACTATCGCAAGGACAAAACACCAAACACTGCATATTCTCACTCATAGGTGGGAATTGAACAATGAGAACACATGGACACAGGAAGGGGAACATCACACTCTGGGGACTGTTGTGGGGTTGGGGGGTGGCGGGGAGGGATAGCATTAGGAGATATACCTAATGCTAAATGACGAGTTAATGGGTGCAGCACACCAGCATGGCACATGTATACATATGTAACTAGCCTGCACATTGTGCACATGTACCCTAAAACTTAAAGTGTAATAATAATAAAATTTTAAAAGAAGAAAAAAAAAGAAAAGAAAAAAATTAAAAAAGACATATCTGCCCACTTTTTCACGTTTTTAATATGCTTTTTTTGTAGAGAAACCTTCTGTTTTTCACAAGGAAAAAGAGTTTTCAACTTCTTACTTTCTATTTGCTTTTAGTTTTTTGTTGTTTTTCTTGTTGTTGTTTTGAGACACGGTCTCACTCTGCCACCCAGGCTGCAGTACAGGGATGTGATCATAGCTCATTATAACCTTGAATTCCTGGGCTCAAGAAATCCTCCTGCCTCAGCTTCCCAAGTCGCCAGGACTATGGGCATGCACCACCATGCCTGGCTAATTATTTTTTATTTTTTACCTTTTGTAGACAGGGTGGTCTCCCTATCTTGCCCAAGCTGATCTCAAACTCCTGGCCTCAAGTGATCCTCCCTCCTCGGCCTTCCAAAGTGCTGGGTTTACAGGTGAGCCACCTCGCCTGGCTTACTTCCTTCTTTAAGTAGGAAGGCATTGGAACAAATCCTTGCTACCACCACTAGATGGGTGAAATTGACCCAAGGCCTCGATGTCCTTGAGTCTCAGTTTTGGTGACTAAAATCCTTACCCTTCCCACAGGAACATCATGGGGATGGGCGTGGGAAGAGAATATACTGTGAAAGATGTAACTACTACTGTTATTATGGTTTTGCTTAAAGTAGACTATAAAAGAACATCTACCTAAAAGAAGTGTCTGGTACATCATCAATCTACAGTTAGTCTGTTCACATAAGCTAATGCTATCAATTCTGCTGAAAAACCCAGACAGGACTGGTTTTTCCGTGGCCAACCTTTCTCTAGTCTCCATGATCTGCCATGTCCTATTTCACTCTCTTTATCATTAAAAACTGTGCTCATTGATACAATATTTGACTCTTTCCTGCCTTTTAAAAATTCAGCACATGAATGAATCACCGAGTTAGAGAAACAGATTAAAGGAAAAGCTAAAATATACAAATGTACCCGTTGCAAGGTCCTGGCAGTAAATTTTCAAAATAGCTCTGTGCAACGGACAGAATTAACTTTCCCTTTATTCTTCTGGCAGTATGTCTCTGTAGAGTCTGGCAGAGACATTTAACAGAACAAAATGAAACTTTATTTTCTCCTTGTATTGGTCTGATGCTGTCAGCCCGAGAGTCTTTTGGAATGCCCCGGTGCACTCCAAATGGGCTCTGTGAGCTCACAGGAGGCAGGAACAATGGCCTGCAGACTGCTGAAGTGGGCAGTGCTGCAACCTGGAACCACACCAGCCCTGCTGGGAAGGAAGCCTGTCCGTTTATCAAACTGACAGCAAGGCAGCAAAGGGAGCAGCTGAAGCATCCTCTGCCAAGGACGAGCATAATGCAGAAAAATACGTCATTGCTGCTGGTGAATGAATATATTCTGGTTCAATTGGTGGACCATATCACCAGTCAACTAAAGTAATGGACAGTAGAGAATGACCAAGAGTTATGTCCTCCAAGTAAAGCTGAAAATAGGTTTACCTGAAGTGAGTTATTGAGTTGGAGTCAGACTTGCTGGCCTCATATAAGGAATAGAACGCTAGTATCTTACTTGTATCTCAGAAACTATTAAAAGCTTTGCCCTAAGCGCACCCAAGGCCTTTTCCAGATCATGAGTCAAATTTCCCCAGCTTTTGATTATGGTTTAAACTATACTGGCAAGAGGCTGTTACTGTTTAGATAAATTTCAAATAAGCAAAGCCTTAATATCGGAGATGCTACGACTGCCTCTCCAAAGGGTGGCTTAGTATGTGTTTTAAACAGAATACAAAACATTTGCATTATTTCTAGTTCCTATTTCACCATCACTACAAAATGCCATTTGCCTGGGAAAGCCAATATTACTACTGAAACACTGAAGGCAGAGTAACATACTGTCATTCCTTCTTTGCATAACATGCTTTCCTAGTATCAAATACCTCTCATTTATAGCACTATCACTATTGTAATTTTACATTAATTTACTTATATGATTATTTGAGCAATGTTATCTCTACCACCAAACTATAAACTCCAGGAAGCCAGGCTGTGTCTCTTTTTGCTCACCTATTACCATCCCTGATGCAGAACCAAAACATCTGTAGAATGACTATTATTTAGCAGGGCCATTATCAATGAGTTTGTATTAGTTACCCACAATGTGCTAAGAATTGAGTAATATAAAAAAGAACAAAGAGCTTAGGCTCTAGTCTTGAGAAGTTTACATTCTGAGATTGTTCCAGGTTACAATGAACTCCTAAGCACCCACACACCCCACCCCACCATTCTCTGTACACTTATTTCCTGCTGCATTTGTCACTTCTAGCATACTATACAATTCGGTTTTTTGTTTTTTATTAACTTCTGCTGCCTCTCATTAGAATGTCAACTCCAGGTGGCATAAGTTTTTTTTATCTGTTTTATTCATTGATGTTGTGCAAGTTCCTAATAATTGTACTAAATGATCATTTCTTCCTCTTGGAAATACTTCTGTATTTCTGATCTGGTCACCTTTCCTTTGCTACCTTATCTCCTATTACTCTGTCCATCACTCACTCCATTCCAGCCAAGCGTGCCAGGCAGCTCCAGCCTCAGGGGCTTTGCACTTGCTCTTCCTTCTCAGTAGGAAGCTCTTCCACACGTTCCCCCATGCCTCATTCCCTTATCTCCTTCAGACCTTTCCTCAAGTCACCCTGTCAGTGGCTTCTTCCTTGAGAACCCTATTTAAATGTGAGCCCCACCCTTCCCCACAACACACAAACACTCCTGGACCTTGCCATCTTCCTGCCCTGCTTGCTCTCCAGAACTCTTCACAGTCTGATACACAATATTCGTTATCTGTTGTCTCTTTCCCTCCCTGACCCCAGACACACTGAAATTCTAAGCTCCATGAAGACAGACATTATCCCTTCTTTACTCCTTTTCCACATCTAGAAAACTGGGTTACGCTCGGAACAAAATAGTATTTGTTGAATAAATGAATGATCACAAAGGCAATTTTTATACATGAAACACCAGATTTTAGAAAATTCCACTTTAGAAAGCATACACATGATTATAATAAGATGTATGAATTTCAAATAGGAAGTTGAATATGAAATAAAAAGTATAATAAGAAGCAGGTGGCTTGGAAAGGTTAAGTAATACAAGGCATACATCTTTGCTTTTTGATGAATGCAGTGCTAGAATTTAGGTCGTTGATAAATTTTGGATGGAAAATCTTAGCAGTTGTTTGCTATCACATCCTATTCTTGAAGGCAGCAATCAAAACACACACACACACACACACACACACACACACACACACACACACATCAGCCTTCAAGTATAAGATTGCCTCTGGTGCCCAGGGAAAATGAGAGGAAATGACTTTTAAATGGCTAAGGAAAGTATTCATGATTTATTAGTTCAGTGAAACGGAAGAGCAGGCGCCCACTTGACAAAGCAGGCAGAACCACCCTTCACCAGGTAGACTGACGTGGAGGCTCATTGACCAAATGCCTACAGTTACAGCTGTGTGATTATGAATGGCCCTGAGAATCGGAAACCTCAGGGGAACGCTACCAGGTCTTCCTCTTCCCTTCCCGTAAGCTTGGGGACAGGAAATTTGCAGGGAATAATTTTTCTCCATGTGAAAACCAGTTCAGAGTATACATTCTCCCTTCCACCCTAGGACTCTCGAGTATGATTTGGAATTGTGGAAGTGATAATCATATCACAATCTTTGTGATAATCATAGCATCACATTACTTTAGAGCACCAAGAGACTTACAGAATCATGCTCTCTGATCAGAGCATTTTACGAAAGGGAAAACTGAACTAAGCCAAAAACTTAGTTTGGAGGGGACACCCTAACCAGCCTCAAGATCACTGAAGCCCTGTACAAGGTTTTTCTCCCACACTGGAATGTCACTGCTGGTGTCCTAGGTAGGTCTCCAGAGAAAGAACTCATTTCAACCTTAATTAAAGCATGCAATTATTCAATTCTATATATGTCTGCATAGAACGAGAGATAGACATAGCTATAGGTAGAAAATCAATATCATAAACTTCATTGATCTTGTTTTTAATGAAGAGAAGAATGAAGGAGAAAACAAAAAGTGATCCCATAATCTCAGAGCCCTGATAACTCCTGTTGATACTTAAATCTTTATATTTTTAATACCTTTATCTCTTCTGTTTTAATAATATAAATGTAGTCACCATTTCTTAACCAGTTACTATGCACCAGGTCTTGTTCTGGGTGATATATGTATTTAAACTTCAGAATAACCTCATGACATAGGTATGATTAGTCTCATTTTACAGAGGAAGTGCTGGAAGCTTCAGGAAGTTTGCTCAAAAGGGAGACTAGGCCAAAGCCTGGGTATGGCTGGGTCAGTCCTCAAACGCAAGCCAGTGAGGTTGGAGCTGTTTCTCTGGTCCCACACTGCATCTCCATCTTCCCTTTGGGAAATAAAACTCCAGTTTCCTTCCTCATCCAAGACAGATACTTAAACCCTATATTTATGAGGACAGCTAATAATATCCCAATTACAATCACTGTATTTAGATAAAGATGAAATAGCATCATTAATATTTAAATAATAAACTTGATTACAGTTTTAAATCATTTAAGATGATTTTATTTTTCAATAAGGCATTTGAGGATCTCCCTGAGCAAGGCCTGGGGCAGGGAACTGTGCCTCTCCTATTGTCAGTTGAAGATCTTAACCTCACAGGAAAAGCAAGCACCTCAGTGGTTTTTCTTGTCCATTGCCTGCCCAGAATGCCTTATCCAAAGCAGAACAGATTTGTAGATTTGTAGGGGAAGGTTGGTTGCACCAGGTGCAGCATCGTGGCTCCTTTTGGAAGGAACAGGCAGAGCTGCGAGGAGACTCTGCTGTGTTCTTCCACAGAGGTGGCGCAGCTGAATCACCAGGGCTTGGCCCAGAAATGTGACTGGGATTCCAAGCACAGCCTCTTTCAGGAAAGGGACACAGAGGCAAGCAGAAATGTTCGTGCTCCTTCAGATAATTCATTCCTGGCTCCATTCACCCTGCCCCTGCTCCACCCCCTGGCTCCCAAGTCAAGGCAAGATTTCTTGTCAGGGTCTTTCGCAGCCAAATCATATATATGACTTAAAGAGGTTTGTTGGCCCTGGCAGTTCCTGGAATCTTTCCAGAAATATAGCCAGAGGGCCAGAGTGGTGCTGCCAGTCATCCTCTTGGGATCCAAGCTCTGAGAGAGCCAGGAGATGGCTTTCCAGAGCTCCACCCTGCCAGCTCTGATTCACATCTGTGTTCTCCTCTCTGGGGAAACTCGCAGGGTGGAGTCCAGAGGAGGGAAGGAAATCTTTGGGTCTGCTCTTTATCCATTGTCCCATCATTCTGGCGACTGTCAGTCTTTATTTTTTTAAACGTTAAACATATAAACAGCATTGCTTCATTTTTCTTTATAGGCGATAATGCTCCATTATGAAGAAAAAAAACTTGTTTCTTGCTTCCAATGGAAACGAGATGTTTACTTTTTACTTCAAACTGAGAGATTTCAGAATATGCTAAGTGAGTTCTGCCTTTCTGACTTAAGTTATCCTGTTTTTCATTTTCCTATTTTCCCACTGACAGAGAGTGCAATTATTGCTACCCTTTTTGACTAGCTAGCTGACTCTTTCTCCTAAAAACGTGAATTATAACTAGAAAAGGCTACTTGGCGGGCCTGTCTATGGTGAGCTCTTGCCTGTGAGAGTTAACTAGAATGCTCCTAGTAATATTTCGTTGTAATTTTTCTGTTGTCGTGTTCTCAGAAGCCCCAATCCATCAGTCTATTCAATTGCCTCCACTGGACAACACAGCAAAATTCATTCCAGGAGACTTCCTTTTTAATAGTTTTCACTTTGACCCATCTTATTTCTGTGAGTTATGCTGAAATGTACACATATATACAACTCACTGTTGATTCCCAGCAGCCAGAATGTCGCAGAGGTGCCACCACCATATACATTTATGCATGTAAATGTATATATACATATAGACCTGGTAAGGTTCATGCACTCAATTATCCGGCATCGTTGATGTCAGGAACTCAGAATTGCTTTGAGGAATTCAGAATTCTATTTTTAGACTTTTTCATAAATGGAAACATAAGTGACAGTCATGCTGTAGAATACAAGATGTTGTCCTTATATTAACTAGGAGAACAACATGGATGCTAATATATATAGTTCACTGTAGTTTGGTATTATTGATATTCCTTTCCTTTTCTGTGTTCAGCTTCTTCACCAAATTAAAATGCTTTGCAAAGTGTGGCTTGTTTATCATCTTCTTTCTCAATCATTTAGAATGTGGGTGTGCATGTTCCTGTTTCCTATTTACTAAATTCAAACATAGAAATTTAAACATGCTTAGAGGCTAAGACAGAGGATAATACCTCCTGGTGTTCCTAACACATTATCTCTCTCAAAACCATTTTATTACCAAATAACACTCAGAGCTTTGTGGAACAGAAAGTATGCTTCTTTATAGAGACAATAAGTCCTAGAACTCAAGCAAGTTGTTCCATGGTCATTGATAACAAGTATAACTCAAAAGTCCCATTACTGTCATATGGTTTTTTTCCATAAACAAACTGATAGAAAACTAGCAAACTTGACTGAAAAATGTAAATTCTTGGGAGAATAATTTTTCATGTAAAAACCTACCGCTAATACCTGTTCCACACTGTCCTTAATGCTAAGAAGGAATAAGATGTTCCTCTATATATCTTCATTCTAAATAATTCATAGTTCTTGATACACACATGGACCAAGATCTAACTTTTTTTATTAAATACACAGTGTTCTCAAAGCAGGTTGTTGGCTTTTGAGGCCATGAAAGTTTTGGGAAGATTTTATCTGTGACACCTGCATGCTATACTTAGCCATATGGCAGTGTACCAATGCCAGCGAAGATGTTTGGGAAAGTAATCGCACCACAGGTGACCCAAGCTCTGTCCTATGTAACTCAATTCTGCTGGACCACTAGTGTGAAGAGAATGGATGATGCCAGAATTCTGAAAAAAGTATAGAATCTCTAGATTAGAAGAGACCTTAAATTTCACCCAATCCCCACCACACTGATGCAAGCATCCTTGAAAAGCATTTTAAAGTAAGACAATATCACAAACTCAGGAAGCATAATAGCAGACAAACCACCACCATCTATAAATAAAATGTTTTAGGTACACCAAAGAGAATGTGCTTGAAACTCAGAAAAGTCATGCTATAAAGGTTTTGCTCCTCTTTGAAATTTGAGAGGTAATAGTTCCTCCAATGCTTTCCAATACTTCTGCAATTCAAGGGCAAGCATTACAGATTTCCGACTGCTTCTTTCCCACTCCCTTATTCAGCAATATTTATATAATGCCTACCATGTGAAAACTAATCTCTCAAAGTTAGGATTAACACTTATGGCCACCACAAAAGTGATTTTTGTTCCCATAAGAACTTCCATTCAAACTTTTAAAAAATCATGTCCCTCATAGGTGGCCATAGATCATAAGCACTCCAACTTTTAAGAAAAAAAAATTCCATAATAACAAATACTAAAGGAGAATCTCATGAAGAATGACAAAAAATTTTAGACATTTTTAATAACTCACTAGTTACTGTTACTAGAATAAATAGGCACTAAAATGTAATAAATATCAGAGCCCTAAAATAAAATACCAGGGTATTGTTCAGTATGAGTAAAGAGAGGTGAGAATAAAGAGAATGGGGTAATGAAATCATGTGAACATGTCAAAGAAGGTGCTGAAGAAAGTTTAAATTATCAACCAGTAGGAAGGTTATGAAAGGTCAAAGGGCAGAGAAAGGGAATTTCGTGAAAAGGTTTTCTGGAGCAAGATGAAAATTCCCATGATCCTCCCTGTCTCCAGTAGAAGGAGTTGCTGCCACTTCTCTCAGAAGTATGTGTCCCCTGAATTTGGAAGGCTTGGTCATCAGGAACTAGACTCAACTGATAAATTGCAAGCAGTCCATGGGAGCATAGAGATGGCTGCAGCTGGGATGTAAATGCAATTCACTCCCACATTGGGTCAAAAAGGCATGTCTCAGGGACCAGATGTACAGTCCATGGTAGAAATGCCAGGCAAGGAGCATTCGAAATAGGAATCTGTCTAAGAGAGCAGCCTGCCAAGGTGAAAGGACCATAGGAATAAGGGATTGATACTAGAACATCAGGGGGCATCACGAGTGGTCCCAGCAAGTATATGTACCCTGAGTCTTAGACCCTTATCATTAATTTCCATAACTCTAACTTCCAGGCATTAGATCAAAGCCCATTGTGTCAGGTGGGCATAGTTGTTGGTGTTTACTCTCTGAAGTGCCTCGCCTCCAGAGGCTATGTATGGAATGTAGCAGTAATGAGATAACTAAGAATGACAAGTCTGGCCAGGCATGGTGGCTCACCCCTATAATCCCAGCACTTTGGGAGGCCAAGGCAGGTGGATCACCGGAGGTCGGGAGTTCGAGACCAGCCTGACCAACATGGAGAAACCCCGTCTCTACTAAAAATACAAAATTAGCTGGGTATGATGGCTCATGCCTGTAATCCCAGCTATTCGGGAGGCTGAGGCAGGAGAATCGATTGAACCTAGGAGGCAGAGGTTGCAGTGAGCTGAGATCGTGCCATTGCACTCCAGCCTGGGCAACAAGTGTGAAACTATGTCTCAGAAAAAAAAAAAAAAAAAAAAAAAAAAAAAAAAAAAAAAAAAAAAAAAAAAAGAATGCCAAGTCAATATAGCAGACTGAATTGACAGCAAATCACTCTCCTTCTTGGAAAAATTAAACAAACCCTAACAATAACAAAATTTGCTACATGGCCAAATCCAGAGTGTGAAATGCCTGAGTGTAAAAAGAACAACAAAAATCAGAGAACTGAATAGGATCTTAAGCCAAAGCAGCTCGTGGTTTGTATCCTTAACGGATATGAAACCTAGTGGGGCAGTGGCTTTGGAGCCATCACAAGCAAACGAGTTCAAAATGTCTTTCCATGTGTTTAGAAGGACAGCACAGACTGACAGAGATGCCCTATTGGCAGCCATAGATGCTAGAATGCAATGCAGTAATATTTTCAAAGTGGTAAAAGTAAGTAACTACCCACCAGTTAAACTATGTCAATGAAAGTAAATAGATATAAAGACTGAAAGAATTTACTAGTCATAGAAGCTTAACTGAAAAAAAAATCTCTAAATAACATTATTCAGCAAGAATAGAGGTAATCTTAGAAGAAAATAGTAGACACAAGAATGATAATGAGAAAAAGAAGCTAGTAAGCATGTTGGTAAATCTAAATAAAATTTGGATGGAATAATCATTCTAAGTCCTGATATTTGCTCAGGAAGAAGATGGAGAACTTGGCTAGCTTTACATTTTGTTAAGTTAGATATGCATGTTAGAAACTTAAAGGCTAGACCAGGTGCAGTGACTCAGGCCTACAATCCCAGCACTTTGGGAGGCCAAGAAGGGAGGACCACTTGAGGCCAGGAGTTTGAGGTTACAGTGAGCCATGATCATGCCACTGCACTCCAGCCTGGGTGACAGAGTGAGACCCTGTCTCAAAAAATTAAAAAAGAAACTTAAAAGCTAACCACTATAAGGAGCAAAAACCAAATGTATATTTACTAATTATTTGAGAGGAAGTAGAGAAAATAAAATTGGGTCAATTCAATATAAACCAAGGAAAGAGAAAGAAACATAAAATGGATAGGACAAATAAGCATTAATATGTTAGTAATCATAATAAATACAAAAGGTTGAATTTGCCTCAAATTGGATTTTTTTAAAAAGAGAATAGCATCCAGCTATTTTTTATTTTAAGAGATATACAAAGGCTGGGTGTGATGGCTCACGCCTATAATCCCAGCATTTTGGGATGATGAAGCAGGAGGGTTGTTTGAGGCCGGGAGTTCAAGGCCAGCCTGGACAACATATGAGACCCCATCTTTATTAAAAAAATTTTTTTTAATTAGCATGGTGGCTTACATCTGTTTTCCCAGCTACTCAGGAGGCTGAGGCAGGAGAATCACTTGAGCCCAGGAGTTTCAGTTCAAGGCAGCAGTGAGCTATGATGATTGCACCACTGTACTCCAGCTTGGGTGACAAGTGAGACCCTGTCTCTAAACAAAACAAAACAAAACAAAAACACAGAGATACACCTAAAACATAATGATCAAGAAGGGACGGACAAATATCGACCAAGTAAATACTGATCAAGACAGCTGGTATTGCAATATTTAAATCAAACGTAGAGTTTTAAGCCAAGAGGCATTAATAGAAACATAGATACATAAGATAAAAAGAACAATTCAATAAGAAAATTAAATAGTCATGAACTTTTATGTACTTAACAATATAGTTTCAAAATATATAAAGTAAAAATGACAAAATTACAAAAAGGAATCGGCAAATCTACAATCATAGTGGAAGATTTTCATACGCCTTTCTCAGAATGTAGCAGGCAGAGAAAAAAATACACACTAAGGATTTATAAAATATTTCAGCAACACAATTAAAGAGCTAATCTAAAAGATATACTATATGTATAAGCCTGCATATGATGAATAGAAAATAGAAAATATACTTTTTTATCAAGCCTAAGTGGAACTGTCTGAAAAAATGACTACACACCAGGCCACAAATCTATTTATATTACATATCTATATCATAAAAGTAACCTGCTAATCAAAGAGGAAATCACAATGAGGAAATTATTTTAAAAAAACAAACTTAGCCAGATGTGGTGGCAAGTGTCTGTAGTCCCAGCTACTCAGGAGGCTGAAGTGGGAGGATCACTTGAGCCCAGCCTGGGCAACATAGCAAAAGCCCATCTCAAAAACAAAACAAAACAAAACCCTGAAACTATACAACAATAATAGTGCTCTATATGCTAAAAATGTGGGCATATTTCTAAAGCAATACTTTAGCCTTAAGTGAATTTACCTAACAAGAAAGATAAAAAATAAATGAGCTAAGAATTCCACTGAAGACTGGGAGACGAAAAGAATAAATGCAAAGTAGAAGAAAGGATGTAATAAAGATAATAGCAGAAATTAATAAAATTTTTAAAACTCCACTAGAGATGATGAGGCCACCAAAATATTCCACCTGACTCCTTCAGAGTCCTTCACTGTCCATGATGCAGGACAAAGCTATCTTCATTCCTCACCTGTTGCTGGTGTGGAGTACCTACTGTCACTGCCCAACAGAAATACAATGTGAGCTACATATGCAATTTAAATTTTATAGTAGTCACATTAAAAAAACTACAAGAAACAGGTAAAATACATGTACTAATATATTTTATTTAAACCAATATATAAAAAATATTTCAACACACACTCAATATTTTTAAATTATCGAGATATTTTACATTCTTTTTCCATGCTGAGTCTTCAAATCTGGTATATATTTTACACTTGCAGATCATTTCAATTTGGACTAGCTGCATTTCAATTGCCCAGTAGCCAACATGCTACTGGCTAGTGTCTATCAAATTGGACAGAACAAACCTGTCTTCAAATGGCATCCCATATAATTTCAGAATTCTTTAGCCTTTGAAGTCATCATTGTATCTTATTTGTTTCTTAATAATTTGGCCTTTGGAACAGGATAAAGACTTGTATAACCATTTTTTCATCTGCACTGTATGTTCTGCAAGGTGATGGCAACCCTCTGGTAAGTTACCTTGCTGCCAATGTCTAAGTCTTTTCCAGCCAGTTGTAGTGGCATTAGTTCCGATAGTGGCCAAAGTTCTAGTGGCCGTATAGTTGACAGCATTTCAAAGAGTTACCTACTTACTTTCCATATTAGTGTTTACACAACAGAGATTCTCTATAGGCATCTCTATTCCCCAAGAATTTCATGTTGAAATAACAAAATGGCCTAGATTCACCTGAAGATAAATTGCTTTAATTATTAAGCAGACTGTGAAGCTCACAGTTTCAAATATCAGGTCAGTGCAGTGCCCAGCGTCAGCAGAAGCTTTGCTGTGCTATTTCTCCAGGTGCTACTATTGAGCCTTAATATTACTGGAACAATTCCATTCAGGACTAGCTTTATCTGTGCAATTTGCCCACTTCTTCAACAGAAGAAAATTGATCTTAGTAATTGTGAGAAGAAACTATGATTTCCCAGTGTTGTAAAGTTTAGTCCAATTGTTGGCATTATTATTAATATCTATGGAAATCTCACAGCATAATTATTTCTTAGGTCTTAGAATTGATGATGAAGCTGTATAGATACCTATCAACTCTCATTTTTACACTTTATGTGAGCTCATGAAGAGAATAGAGTGCTTAAGACTAACAGCACATGGACTTCAATTGGACAACCTGGGTTTGAATCCCAGCTTTACTTATTTATCAGCCATGTGTCTGAAACTCAGCTTCCTCAGCTTTAAAGTGGAAAGTATTAATTAAGATTACAAAAGGATTACACAAAATAACATATAAGGTGTATAACACAGGGCTCAGCACTCAGAAGTGTTTCATAAACATTAGCTAGGTCAATCTGTGAGTTCCTAATTTCTTTAAGCAAATTTGGGAGCATTGAAAAAAATGACCATCTAATAGCATTTCTAAAGCTCTGAAGACAATTCTTTCCAAAAGAAATTCCAGTTGACCTGTTTCTCTCTAAAGCTTACATCAGCAAGCTTTTCCTAACTGTGATGATCTCAACTTCCTTTCTGGATATTTATTATGCAACAATGCTAACGTTTTGGTTTGGAAGCTCCCCCGCTCAGGTCCCATTATCAATAATCAAGCCAGGTTAAAGCTCTCTAAACATACTTGGCATCAGCAGATGGAATAACCCAGTTTCAATGACACTTTCCCTAATCTTACCATTCTGAATCAGGAGTAGGCATTGTAAGGCCAACGATTTTTAAATTTTGGTTTTCCTAGATATATAATTTTTATGTCATTTTTGCTCTGGGTAAGGGGAGGCCAAGTCTGAACTGAGAAAATGAAATAATAGGGTTTATTTAAGCAAGGTACTCTGATGGGAATTTTGCCCCAAAGCCACTCCTCTCCCTTTATAGTAGGATGAAGCTCACCTTTAGATGCTCACCTGTTGAGATGGGCAATTCTCCCCTGTATTGCCATTTAGATTTACAGCTCCTCTCTTTGAGGTTCACATTCATTAAAACTATACATTTGATGCCCACACTATTCATCTGCTGAAATCATAGTATTCTGGAGCTAAAATTTCACTTTCTGAGACTTCTGTCAATCGAGAGTGTGGTATAAAACAAGACATGTTTTGGCATTTTTTCCAGTAAATCCGCTTTGTTATAATATTTCCTTTTGAAAATACTGATTAATAGTTCATGTAGTTAGTAGTATCCTCCAGGCACTGTTCTATTTGTTTTATAAAAATAATGCCCTTAATCCTCACAATAGCCCTATGTGATGATTAATTATTATTCTCACTTTATAGATGAGAAAAGTCAGGTACAAAGAAGTTAAGAAACCCCCTAAGGTCTCATAGTTGCCAAATGGTGAAGCCAAGATTTGAATGTGGATCTCATATCAGATCCTAAGCCTTTAACCACTATACCACATTCTGCCTCTCATTTAAAAAGCATTAGAAGCATATATAAAATCGAAAAGAAGATTTGGTGCATTACGAAGTAAATTTGTCACAAGTTTAGCATATTTCTGGAACCAAAAATATTAAAATAAACTAATCTTAATTTATACATGTCTAAGAAACCATATGCTTATAAACCACTAGGAGACACAGACAAGGATATAAAATGATTATGAAAATCAGCCAAAAGGTCAATGTAGCTTCCACCATGGTTACTGTGGTATTTTGGTGCTCTTATTTATGAATATTTTTCTTCCTCTCCCAACATACCCAGATTGTAAAAAGGTAAAGAAGAGTTCTTGTGTGTTGGACAATGTTTCTTTTTCTTTTTTTTTTATTAATTTGAGCAGGACATCATTATCCAAGCCCAGCCTTGAATATGTGCTATACACAAAACAATTTATCTACTAGAGTTCATGGGCAGCTGGATTGGGAAAAAACACATTAATTATCATTCAAGTGGAAATGCCCCCATAGACATACCATTTAATTAACAGAGAGGCCAGTATTGGAAATGAGTAATTTGAGGCAAGACAGAGAAAGATGTGTGAGATAAACCCTTAGGTGATTTAAGGACATTATCTGTGGATAAACACTTTAAAATACATGAAATATATATCTATCTTATAAACTCCTTGTAAACATAAAAGGATTCCTTAGAAGAAAGGCCCCTGTGAGCTTCTTCCTTCCCTGTATTAAGTCATCACCTGTTATTAGGAAGCTTGTGTTCCACAGAAACATCAATTCCTTTAGTGGCTGGAAAATCCCACTCCCTTGAATTCAAACTCTGAAAGGATCAGAGCTAAAATCACTTCATGTGGCAAGTTCTTCTGCCTTCAAAAACCCTTGAAATTTGTAGCTTTGCCAAGATTATAAATAGAAGTGATATGGCGGCAGAGAATTGATCATTCTGCTAAATGTACTCACCCCATTTGGGATAGTTTTATGAAGCATGGTGGCAGCTGGGACAGAGGTGGGTGCTCAGCCGCCGTTGTCACTGTTGCCACTGCTGCAAAATGTCTTTCCTTTTTAAAAAATCTCTTTACCAAGAAAAGCCAAAAGAGATTTCCCTAAAGCATTAACATAAAAAATAGAATGACAGTCCAAAGGCTGTTTTTCAAAGCAGTCTGAACAACCATCAGAGAGTCTGAAACGAATCACATATACCCACTGACTCCCTGAAAAGAATCCAAACATCAGAATTCCAGGACCCAGTTTGGCATTATAGGATTGCACTTCATTGTGAAGACACTGTCAGATTTTGTGTTATGATTCTTGAAAATATCACCCTTAATGAGATAGACCAAATGTTCCATCTAGCTTGAGTGGGAGGGGAACAGTGAAGGTGTGCAGCAGGGGAGGAGTTGGGTGTAGAGTTTCATGTCTGACCTTGGTATTTCCTTGCAACCCTCTGTAAAAAAGAAAAGTTTATCTTCAATGATCCTTCCTTTTTTGTATTCTTCCTTCTAGTTTCAACATCTCTTTAACAGTACCAGGATTCTTAATTTAATTCAATAAATATTTATATATGGAAAAGAAATATATGTACATATGTATAGATATATAGCATCTTTGTAATAAACTCTCTTTAGCACTGGAATAAGAAATCAGGGCAGGGAGAGGAGCAGGGGGAAGGAGCTGCGTGACCTGAATGAATTTTTCCCACTCTTGCCAATGTTGCCTTCACCCTAGAGGCTTTTCCCTCTAGTTTCCTTCATCAACCCCATGGTCACCTCTGGGAGTAAACTCAGTGTAGGCAAAAACTTGTCCCATAGCTTAGTTGAGATACTTTCAACCAAACTTCTCAAAATTCCAAGAATTAATAAAGAAAAATAAATATTGAGAGTTGCTGGGTATGGCGGCTCACGCCTGTAATCCCAGCATTTTGGGAGGCCAAGGCAGGAGGATCGCTTGAGTACAGGAGTTTAAGACCAGCCTGAGCAACATAGTGAAACCTTGTCTCTACAAAAAATAAACAAAATTAGCCGTAAGTGGTGACTATCACCTGAGGTCACAGCTACTTGGGAGGAGGTGGAGATGGGAGGATCACCTGAGCCCCAGAGGTCAAGGCAGCATTGAGCCAAAATCGAGCCACTGCACTCCAGCCTGGGCAACAGAGCAAGACCCAGTCTTAAATAAATAAATAATATTGAGAACGCAGAAATCAAAACAATTCAGATTACAAAGAACACCATTTGTCCCCCTAGTCTTTTTTCAGCAGGAAAAAAACCTTTATTTCAAGCAGAATCTTACACAAACCCTAACAAATCACACAGAAATTCTTAGAGCTGTTCTAGTAAGTGAAGAGATAAAACTCCGTCAGGTTCTACTTTTCTACTGACCTTCACCTTAAGGAGATCCCTGAGAGTCCTCTCTGGAACCTTCTGGAATCCCTAAAGGGTCTCTGAGCATCATTTAAAAATAACCTTAAGTACAGACCTCCATGTGACAGATACTGGCTTTAACACACCTCACGACCACAATCTCCCCACCTCCCCTTCACTTCTACACACCATAGATATCTCAACCCTCCCTCAAAGTCAAGCCCAGGACAGCACTCCCTTCCTCTCTCCTGCGCCGTCTGTGCTGGTCTAATACATATGTTCCTTCCCTTAGTGACAGACACTAGGCTTAACCTTACTTTTCAGCTGCAGCTGCGTCCCTGGTGTGGGTATGACCTAGTCCCAAATACAGATCCACAGTACAACGCAATCTTAAAATAACCTCAGCATTCACATTATCATGAAGTGATAGAGAGGAAGTCGTTTCCTCCTTAACTGAAGGGATTCCCATCCCTGTAAGATTATAATGTTTAGAGGAGACAAAACATGTTTATACATGAAATAATCTGACTTGAAATAGAAAATAAAATAAGACAGTATAAAAGAAGTTTCTAAATTGAAAGCAAACATGTAAGTGATATAAGTGGTAAGAAAAGGCAGAGAGCAATACTGGCTGGAGTGATCAGCAAATATTTTAAAGCGTAGTTTAAAATTAAGATGGATGCTGAAGGAGGGATTTAGAGAGGACAGATGGAAAGAAAGAGAAGGGTATTCCCAGCAAGCATCTGGCAAAGTAAGGTGTATTCTTTAGGAAGAAATTTGCATTCTAAATAATAAATGTCCAAATAGATCTAAGCTTTACTTAAAAGAGCAAACTTCTAAGAAGAAACAAGTTACATTAGATCCTTGACAGAGGAGAGATTTTTTCCACTGAGAAGATGTAAGTGGAGCTTCTCAAATCACTTTCAAGAACTCAGAGATAGCTCTATTCCTGTGTGCCGAGATCTCTGCCCAAGGCATTTTGAGGAGGAGTATGAAAAACCTAGTAGTTTGGATTCCAGTGTGTTGCAATAATTTTGAAACACTAAGCAGTATATTCTCCTTCCTACTTTTATCTCTCTTCACCTTCCATTCCACCTGTTCCAAGCTCATTGTCTGATAGAGGAGAAGATCACAGAAAGTAGAAAAGAAAGGAATCTTTTCCTGGCTTTGGACTTTCAAAAGGCGAGTGAAAGATTTAGAAGAAAATGAGATGATTCCTTGGTAGTTGTCCTCATTTATACCTCCATCTCCAATCCCTTCATCCCCTCAAAGCCAGAGAAGAATTCCCCAGGCCTGGGGGAAGGTTTGGAAAATAGGTGGTGGGAAGTGATGTGAGAGAAATGTCCTCCTGGAAGATGCCCTTCACCTCAAGGACAAGAGTAGAAGCAAGTTTAAAGCCAGCCCAGCCTTCGCCCAAACAAGGATGTACATTAGGGGCTATGCTACCTGTCCATCCTTCCCACTGGCAGCTAGTGAGGACTTCCCTTCCACAGCATTCAGCACTTTGGCACTGGAGCGCCATCTTTTTCTGCCAAGTTACCACAGATAACTGCCTAGTCCAGTCCAATGGTTTTCAAACATTAATGTGCATCAGAATCACTTGGGGGGGCTTGTTAAGACACAGATGGTCAGGTTCCACCACTAGAGTTTCAGATTCAGCAGGTCCCAGGCGCAGATGGAGAATTTGCCTTTCTAACAAGTTCCCCAGTGATGCCAATGGTGCAGGTCTAGGGACCACACTTTGAGGAGTGCCCTAGGCAATGCCATAGGACATTTTACTCAACAACTTTACATACAAGTTGTGGGACCTTAACCACATTTCCTATCCCCTCTGTCCCTCAGTTAACATATTAAAAAAAAATAGGTATATTACCTACCTCATACAGTTGTGGGTAAAGATTAAATGAGATGTTGCTAAAATATTTATCAAGGGAATTGGCTTATGGCACGTAATATTGCTGTTTATTATTATTTATAACAACATTTAATATAAGGCCTCTCCCCTAATTGTTTTTAATAAATGTTTTCTGGCTAGCTGAATTGTCACCAAACTTTCACAATCCCAAAAGAAAGTTGGGTAAGGCTACACACTCCTGTCCCCGCCTCTGTTCCCATGTCCATACCCTAACAATGACAGGACCAAGAAATTGCCCTCTGGTCTATCCTGCCTGAAGCCTGAGCATGTGTCCCTCTAAACCCCTCCAGACCCCGCTATGAAATATAAAGAATGTCAGCAGGCAGCAGGCCTCCGTTGTTAAGAAGAGGAAACCGGCCGGGCGCGGTGGCTCACGCCTGTAATCCCAGCACTTTGGGAGGCCGAGGCGGGTGGATCATGAGGTCAGGAGATAGAGACCATCCTGGCTAACAAGGTGAAACCCCGTCTCTACTAAAAATACAAAAAATTAGCCGGGCGCGGTGGCGGGCGCCTGTAGTCCCAGCTACTGGGGAGGCTGAGGCAGGGGAATGGCGTGAACCCGGGAAGCGGAGCTTGCAGTGAGCCGAGATTGCGCCACTGCAGTCCGCAGCCCGGCCTGGGCGACAGAGCGAGACTCCGTCTCAAAAAAAAAAAAAAAAAAAAAAAAGAAGAGGAAACCAGGAGAGGCCGGCTCCCAAAGATGTGGTCCAGTAGGAATTCAGAATCGCCAGTATTCTTAGCTCCTGCTTATCTTGGATTGAGCCTTTGTTAGATTTTTTTGTTTGTTTGTTTTTAAAGCTAAGCAGTCTTGTGAAAAGCAGCTTCTCAGTAAGCTATATAGGCACTTCCTGGTTACCCATGATATGAGAATAACCTTTAAACTATTTCCATTTCTGATCCGGGCTGGAAACAGGAAATGCATTGGGTACAGCTTTAAACAACAACAACAAAAAGGGACCAAAAGATAAACCAAATTGTCCCAGGGTTCAGAAGAGGTTTATGCTAAGCGTTAGAAGGTTCAGATTTAGTGAATCCTCCCCCACTTTCTGCCATTCCAGAAATTCCTTTTAGAGGAGGGGGAAAAAAAAAGTGAAGAGTTGTACTAAATTGCAGAGCACTGCCATCTTCAGGGCCAATGAGGAAAATTTCCCAGGGTCAGCCAGATAAATCATCTTCCTAAACACTTCATTGAAATATAATCAGATGGTTAAAAATTTGACAGCAGACAGACTGGAACAGATTTTTCTACTGTTTCCAATGTTTGAAAAGTCAGTAGACACAGCTTTTTGTGGTGTATGAACATTTAAAAAAATATTTGCTGATTGAAAAGCCATTTACAATAAATAGGAAAGTTTAAATAGCTCAAACTGCATTGCCAAATGATGGGAGGAACACAGGCACAAACATATTGTTCAGAAAAAAAAAATTCCTTAAAAAGAAAAGTATGAATCGAATGATTTAGAAATGCTGTTTGAACAGATGGTGTGATTAACAACTAGTGTGTTAGCCATCTCAGGAGCTTACAGAGAAGTAAACAAATGCAAGGGGAAAAGAATCACTTTATTCCCCCAAAGAGTGTTTAGTTCATTTCTCTATGAAAATTTAGAAGTCTACATTTTGAAAGTTGGATATCCCTAGGGGATATTGGAAATAAGAAGTGACAGGAGTCTTTTTGGAGAAAGACCACATTAGGACAAATGCAGATGCTCCCCATACAGGCTGAGGTGTACAGTCATCCAAAACGCTGGAGGCAGGTGGTGCTGTGCAGAACACACAAGCCATGGAGAAAGAGGGCTGGGTTCTCACCCTGGTTGTAGCCCCAGTTACCACTGGCCTGGAAGGCTAGCCTTGTTCTCTCTGGACCTCAGTATCTTTCTTTGGAAAGTAAGAGTGAGAACCAGATGAGCTGTACAGCTTGCTTCAAAAACTTTAATGTGCACCTGGGGATCTCATTAAAATACAAATTCTAACTCATAGGCCTGGGGTAGGGTCACAGTTTGACTTTCTACTGGCCCCCAGGCAATGCTGATGCTGCTGATCCACAGGCTACATGTTTAGGACCAGGGTTCTAAGTCCTTCCAGTGATGATACTCTATCATCTTCTGATATTCCAGGTGTTGCTCAGGCAAGAATAGAAGACCAAGTGTCTACCTCCAAAAGGTATATGACTTTGAAATGGGTAAACATATATATGTATAAACATGTAATAAACATGCCTCATGCTGAATTAATTTTGAAAGCAAATCAAGTATTTATTTGCATTATGTAATTAACAATGGAATTGACTTTTGTGAGCAGGAGAGGTGAAGGGGAAGTCCTGGGAATTGGGTGTGGAGACCACATACTATATGGGGATGAGATGAGGGGGAGATTGAGATTGGGAGCTTGAATCACCCACCAGCATCCACACAGCATATTCAAGACAGATCCTGAGACTTCACCAGAATCTGACACTTTTACTATATGAAGGGCACTGTTAAGAAAATAGAAAGGCCGGGCACAGTGACTCACACCTGTAATCCCAGCACTTTAGGAGGCTGAGGCAGGCGGATCACTTGAGGTCAGGAGTTGGAGACCAGCCTGGCCAACATGGCAAAACCCTGTCTCTACTAAAAGTACAAAAATTAGCCAGGCGTGGTGGCAGGCACCTGTAATCCCAGCTACTCAGGAGGCTGAGGCAGGAGAATCACTTGAACCTAGGAGGCAGAGGTTGCAGTGAGTTGAGATCGTGCCATTGCACTCCAGCCTGGGCAACAAGATCGAGACTGTCTAAAAATAATAATAATAATAGAAGAACTGAGAGGAAATATTTGCAAATTGCATATCCTACAAAGCACTTATATCCAGAATGTATAAAGAATTCTCAAAACTCAACAGTAAGGAAATATCCCAATTTAACAACAGGCAAAAGACTTGAACAGAGACTTATCCAGAGGAGAGATATGGGTGCCAAATTAAAGACGCTCAACATCACTAGCTACTAGGGAAACTCACATTAAAACCATGATGACATACCACCATACACCTATCCCAATGGCTAACATAAAAAATATTGACAATACCAAGTGCTGGTGAGGATATGGAAAACTGGATCACTCATATATTGCTGATGGGAATGTAAAATTATATGACACTCTTGAAAAGACAAAACTGAAGTGACAGAAAACAGACCAGTGGTTGCCAAGAGGACAGGTGTGGGTACGAAAGGGTAGCACAAAGAAGTTTTGGGGGGAGATGTAAGTGTTCCACATCCTAACTGTGGTGGTGGTTAAATCTACACGTGTTAAAATTCATAGAATTAACACCATGAAAAAGTCTATTTTACTGTATGTTAATTTTTTAAAAAACAGTGATCTGGAAAACATTGAACAGTTGGCTTTTAAAGACTTTGAGTGGAAATGAAATGTTTTTGAAAGTATTTGAAGTAAGTGTTTCCTACCACCACTATAATACTTTACCAGCAACATTTTAGTCTTAGCTACCATTTTCTATCTCTTCACACAGTCTCAGGAGATGTTCCCGTATTCTGCTCCCAACAGTGTATTATTAAGCCCATGACACCCTTTCCTTTTCTGATCATATTTTAAGATGTCAGATCAGTCTTTCCCTACAAGTTAAGGCCCTATCATTAACACAAATCAGCAGTGAGTCCAGGAGTCCAACTCATTGCTGACATGGCCTTGCCTCCCAGAAACTTAACATTCTTATAAAAATAAATTAAATCAGTGGATTCTCCCATTGTTTGCACCACATAATACTCCCCCAGAAATTTCACAGAAAGAATATGTATTAACAATTCCTAAGAAAAAGATAGACAAATTGCTGTAAGAAAATAGTCAACCTCATTAGTAATTGAAGGGCTGCAAATTAGAATGAGATGCATTTTTTAACCCATCAGCTTCATAAAGATTAAACAGAATGGTAGGTAAATATATACAGTGTTGAGAAGAGTGTGGGGAAATGGCGTATGGGGCTGAACTGGCTTACCTTTCAAGAGGCCAGTTTCACAGTATATAGCAAAAGCCTTAAAAATGTGCATCCCCTTTTGCCTTGGAATTCAACTTCTAGAAATTCATCCTAAGAAATAAGCAAGCAAGGATGTTTGGCTTTGCATTGTTTTCAACAGTGAAATATTGCATGCCAGGGCTTTAAAATCCCTTCCAGAGTATGGATAAAGATACTATCATTGTCTGATATGCTAGATGCTGCACAGAGCATAATATTATACTCTGAGGGTATAATGTGATTCAGAAATATGTATGGATTAATACACATAAAGAATATACTGAATGCCAAATATCTGATTTTAAAAGTAATTTATTTAAATTATGCAACTTGAAATAATTTACATATTTAAAAGATAGAAGATTAGTTACATAAACTACGTAATATCCAAGCAATACCACTATTAGAAAAAATCTATATATTTTTTGACATAGATTTGCATTTTGTATGTTTTTATGTGAAAGATGCGTACCACAAAATAGTACTATCTTATTTTTATACAAAATTTACAAAAGACAGAAAACATATGTATGGGGGAAAACTGTAAGCATACACTTCAAGACATTATTATGGGTATTGCTGAGTAGTGGGATGATGATAACGGATTTTTATTTTCTTCTTTATACTTTTCTGTATTTCCTTTTCTTCCCAATGAGGATACATTGCTTTCACGATTGAAAAAAATTTTAATTAAACTGTTTCTAGAAATAACTAGCAGATTAATCAGACACAGTTTTCTCTGTACTAGCATTGTTGCCAGAACCCCCAAAAATATTTCACCTGTTGCTTATTTGGAATCTTACCTTTCATCACAGACTTTATAGGCTTACCAGCAGGTTCTAACCACTACCCCTAGAGCATTTGGAGTCACATGGCAGCCACTGCCACAGTGGCCCAATGCACAGCTGTTATGTCTTGAACAATAGCCCTGTTTGGAGTCCATTAGAAGATCTTGGGTGGTTATCAGCCACTTCCAGTGATCTTGCTGTGCCCTGACTTTTTCCTTCATACCTCACAACTATCTGCTTCCAATATTAATTTGGAAATGGAGTTCAGCCTTAACATCTTTCTCTAACATCTTCCTTTGAAATAAAAAATAAAAAAGCTATGGAACTTTTTTCAAGCAGTTTTCCTTAAAACTGGGTTTCATTACAAATTTGAAATGTTTTCAAATTTTTCAGGTAATAAAAAGTCAGAAAAAGGGAGAAAAATCTGTCTTTTCTGAATTCTTTTTTATATGGTGATCACTTTTCTTATCAGGAAAAAAAGAATAAGTGAATTCATTGGCTCTACATTATTTCTTTTTTATCCACAATATAACTTTTCTGTATCTACATAGCTTGTGATCTGATATATTTAAAAATAATCTTGTTATTACTGATTTCAGAAAACTTTGCAATGTGCTTCTAAAATTATTTATTTAATTACCTAATCTTTAATTCATCCCTAATACCTGGACATTTTATTTTTGGCAAACAATTTTCATGTGTTTGCATTAACGTTTTTAGTTAGCCTCTAGGCTTTTTTAGAAGTTATTTTAAAATCCATTTCAGCCAAGATTTCTGATCTGTTCTTGAGTTGTATTTAAATCGGTGTCTTTTGCTTTACCTCACCTTGCTAAAATGTTGGACGTAATGGTGCTATGATTACCTAAAGGATCACGCATGTATTCCTGACTAAACCAGTTCTTGTTCATGACACAAACACTTTATGCCATGAGGGGTTATTCCCCTTTGTTAGAATTAGTCATTTGTCTCATCCTAAAACCTCACTGATGCATTTCCTCCTGAATTAGGCAGCCTGGTAACTGGCAAGTAGATAATGGAAGTTTTTAATTTCTTACCTGGCCTAACTTTTCAGCTTCCCCAGTTTCCTTGGTAAACTGATTGTCAATATCCTTTTTTTTCCTTTATGCTTTATTCAGAAAGAATACTTGCTTACAAAAATGTTTAATGTCATTTTGAATGGTAATTTCCCTCACAAAGAATGATACAAATCCCTGAAATCCAGCCTAGATATAACATTTCTTACCCACCTATCTCCAATTATGTAAGGACAACTTATTTCACACTCTCCCACATACCACCAAGCACCCTATCTCATCCATTTAATAATTTCCACATTTTTATATTTTGACCTAACTTTTCTCACATTTCCCAAAAATGTCAAATTGTTTTCTCCTGACAAATTGGACACTATTTTCCTCAAATAAATAATTGACTTCCCTCCAGTGACTCTAGCAACTTACCATGTGCTTTTCTTTTTTTTTTTTTTTTTAATACTTTAAGTTCTGGGATACATGTGCAGAACGTACAGGTTTGTTACATAGGTATACACATGCCGTGGCGGTTTGCTGCACCCATCAACCCGTCATCTACATTAAGTATTTCTCCTAATGCTATCCCTCCCCTAGCCCCCCACCCCCCCGACAGGTCCCAGTGAGTGTTGTTCCCCTCCCTGTGTCCATGTGTTCTCATTGTTCAACTCCCACTTACGAGTGAGAACATGTGGTGTTTGGTTTCTGTTCCTGTGTTAGTTTGCTGAGAATGATGGTTTCCAGCTTCATCCATGTCCCTGCAAAGGACATAAACTCATCTTTTTTTATGGCTGCATAGTATTCCATGGTGTGTAGGTGCCACATTTTCTTTATCCAGTCTATCATTGGTGGGCATTTGGGTTCATTCCAAGTCTTTGCAATTGTGAATAGTGCTACAATAAACATACATGTGCATGCGTCTTTATAGTAGAATGATTTATAATCCTTTGGGTATATATCCAGTAATGGGATTGCTGCATCAAATGATATTTCTGGTTCTAGAACCTTGAGGAATCGCCACACTGTCTTCCACAATGGTTGAACTAATTTACACTCCCACCAACAGTGTAAAGGCGTTCCTATTTTTCCACATCCTCTCCAGCATCTGTTGCTTTTTGACTTTTTAATGATTGCCATTCTAACTGGCGTAAGATGGTATCTCATTGTGGTTTTGATTTGCATTTCTCTAATGACCAGTGAGGATGAGCTTTTTTTCCTATGTTTATTGGCCACATAAATGTCTTCTTTTGAGAAGTGTCTGTTCATATCCTTCGCCCACTTTTTGATGGGGTTGTTTGTTTTTTTCTTGTAAATTTGTTTAAGTTCTTTGTAGATTCTGGATATTAGCCCTTTGTCAGATTGATAGATGGCAAAAATTTTCTCCCATTCTGTAGGTTGCCTGTTCATTCTGATGATAGTTTCTTTTGCTGTGCAGAAGCTCTTTAGTTTAATTAGATCCCAATTGCCAATTTTGGCTTTTGTTCCCATTGCTTTTGGTGTTTTAGTCATGAAGTCTTTGCCCATGCCTATGTCCTGAATGGTATTGCCCAGGTTTTCTTCTAGGGTTTTTATGGTCTTTAATCCATCTTGAGTTAAGAGTTTCTCTGTAATCCAGAAATTGCTCAATTGACCAAAAAAAAGATAATAATAATAATTTCAACCTGCTTCCTATTCTTCTTTCCTAATTAGTCACATGCCTCAAAAAGTCTCCTTGTTAACAATAATCACCAATATTTATCAACTATCATGTACCAGTCACTTTCGAAACATTGCATTATGTTTGTAAGAGCATGGGGAGGGCAATTATTTCAGATTTATAGATGAGGAAACTGACACTCAGGGAGTTGAAGTTACTTGCTCAGGCAAGCTCAGTTAGTATGTAACAAAGCTGGAATTCAGAATCACGCCTCTCTGATGGCAAAGCTACTTCTTTCTTTATGCCATGAGCTTTCATGAACTTACCATTCTCACCCAAGTGGCCATGTCTGACCATCTTATCTGGTTCATGGACCACTACTCCAGTACAGCTAAGGATTCTTAGCATCTTGCCTGCAATACCAACCTGTGCAAAATGAGACTTGTCTGGGACTAATTATATGTAAGTTTCTCTCCAATTCTTACTATTTGGCCTTCTTCTTGGGTCATTAAAGGTCCTCCCAAATGCATTATTATTATTATTTTTCTTTATTTCAAGAGCTTAATCCCTTTTCTAAAGTCTTATGTGGTTCCTCAAGTGAGCACTACTTTTCCCTGCTTTCTAAACAAAGCTGGCTATTGATTTATTACTTTTTTAGTGTGGCAGCAAATTAATACACCAGAAAGCAGTTTGTCAGATGATCCAAAGAATGCAAAACAATTATTTTTTTGGGAAAGTGAACACCAGGGCTTCCTATGTGAGATTTGATATGAGTGATACCATCTTCCCAGACCTTCTTTTGTTCTGGAGGAGAAAAAGCTGGTCTGGTGATTAGTCACATCACGTTTCCAGCTTTACCATTCCCTTGGGCACTAACTTATTTTCTGGCATTTGAAAAGATAACTTCCCCAGGGTTTAATCGCAATTAGAGCAGGTTGGAGAGAACATCAAATTGCATTCTAGGGAAAAAAAATTAATGTGGAGGAAGGGAGCTAGGTGGTAAGAAGAAAAGAAGTTATTAACTTCCAAAATATAAAATACATTGTAATTTTCATTTTAATATATTAATTTTCCAAAATACATTGTAGATAAACACAAAGCTAGTAATTTACACTTGGTGTTCCTTCTATTTTTGTTATTTGGCTATTGATGGGCAACTTTATTTGCCAATTTTAAATTAATCATGAAATCAAACTGCTGTTTGGCATGTCACTTCCTCCCAAATCATCTCCGCAGCCTTCAGCTGGCAGTTTTGACAGGCGCACAGATAGTCCTTGACTGTGAAATGCTGACCTATGTTAATTCCAGATATTGGCATCTCCTCTTCCAACCCTTTAAGGGTAATGTTACCCCTGCCATGGAACAAATCACTACTGCCTCAGCCACCTAACCTTTCTGTGGGGTCCCTTTAGCCTTTTGGTTTCTCTGTGTTAAAAAAACAAACAACAACAACAAAAAACAAAAACAAAAAAAAACTAGCTTTTAAAATCACTATTAAGTATTTTTTTAAACTAAGGAATTACTATTATTGTGCTAAAATAGAAAGACACTCTTTTTAACATACAAAAATTGAGGTTAAATTCATTAACCAAACACCTTAAAATTAGATTCAATCCCAGAATGGGTCTTTGCTTTCTCTTCAGGAGTCTAAATTATCCACTTTTATGTGGATAAAGTCCTGGCTCCTTGGTGTGATGCTCCCTTCCCTCCTGTGTGTCTCATGTTTTATATTTTTTTTCTAATATTATTCTCCTGTATTGTTTTTTATATCTGTAAGCCACTTTAGATTATCTTTGAAACATAGGAGAACGTACACAAATTAGTTAAATGAAAAGGCTCTTGACAAGGAATTAAGATTTGCCATTAATTATCTGTGGGATCTGGAGCAGGTCACTTAAATATTCTAGGTCTCAGTTTCCTCATCTGCAAAATTAAAGGGTTGGCATGGAATGATCTGTAAGGTTTTTGCCTTTCTATTTCTGACCTTGGTGTAATAAAACTGCTAATCAAAAGAACAAATGAAAACAGAAGACATGTCTCAACTACAGCAGGCCTGAATAGGATCAATTGGCCCTTACTATCCATCCCCATTTCTTCTCATGTGTGTTTCCATCTCCAGGGGCTGCAAAGCTAAAAATCACATTCCTTGGTCTCTTCCAGGTCAGGTTCTGGATGCAAACTAAGTTCCATAATTAAAGTACTTGCATGTGATTTTAAAGATGGAAACAAAGCAATAATGATCTTGGTGCCTTTTGTTTTTTCAGTTGCTATTGGGAAACAATGGCATGGAAATGCCAAATCCTTTTTCTTTGTCTTGTCACTTCTTCACAAATTTATTTCTCTTTGTTAAAATGGTATATAAGCTGTCAGGCCTAACTGCTTCTTGGGATTTTTACTTTCTTTTCTGTAAGACTTCTGTGTACACACAAAAATAAAACATTAACATTAAATAAAACACGTATGCCTTTTTTCTATTAATCTGTCTTTTGCCAGTTTAATTTGCAGTGCCATAGTCACTAAGCTTAAGAGAGTAAAGAATAATTGCTTTTCTCCTTTACAATCCCTAGAGTGCTATTTGATCCCTCTCTGGTAGCCTATATTTATTTTAGAGTTCTAGCATCTTCTTTCTTAGTTCTTGCTAAGTTTGTGTGTATGTGTGTGTCCAAGTATATTTATTTACTTGATGCCAAATTTGCTTTAACGGTGAAAATATAATCAACTCAGTCTTGCAGGAGCATCTTTTAAAACCCATTCCAACTCTATCTTTTTAAAAAATTTCCAGTCAAACCAAACGTTCTTCCAGGTTTGTTCAGTACTCAGTGTGATTATCTCCTGACTACTCTTTTGGCATGCATGACTCCAAGATTTTCTTTGGAAACTATGTATACTATTCCCGTATTCTTTTGTCACTGGTTTCATCTGCTATTTTGAGGTTAGGCTTTTCCCCCTTCAAATAGCTGAATGTATGTATGTATGTACGTATATATACAGATATAAATATAATATATGAACCTGAAATACATTATTATATGTTTTTAACATTTTATTTTGAAATACTTATAGATTCACAGGAAGTTAAAAAAATAGTACTGACAGGTCCAATGCACTCTGTATTTTAATGAATATTTAGTTACGAATTCTAATTTTTCTTTTTCTTTTCTTTTCTTTTTTTCTTTTTTTTTTTTTTTTGAGATAGTTTTGCTCTTGTTGCCCAGGCTGGAGTGCAATGGCGTGATGTCGGCTCACCGCAACCTCCGCCTCCCAGATTCAAGAGATTCTCCTGCCTCAGCCTCCTGAGTAGTTGGGATTACAGGCATGCGCCACCATGCCTGGCTTATTTTGTATTTTTAGTAGAGACAGGGTTTCTCCATGTGGGTCAGGCTGGTCTCAAACTCCTGACCTTAGGTGATCCACCTGTCTCAGCCTCCCAAAGTGCTGGGATTACAGGCGTGAGCCACTGCACCCGGCCCCTCTAATTTTTCTAACACATGTCACTCCACACTATTTATTTCCTTGAAGACCTAAAGTAGAAAGTGACATTGCCAAAAAAATGGCAGATAGGGAATTTTAGGGCTCCATCCCTTTATAAAAGCAACTAACAGACAGTAGTATTTGCTCGACAATATGAATGCAATTAAACAACTGAATTTTATACTTTAAAATGATTAAAATGGAAAATCTAATTTTATATATATACATGTATAAAAACACAATACATTTTTAAAAATTTTTAATTTAAAAAATGAAACCAATAAGCTAATAAAAACTGTCAGAATCAACCTTCGCAGAACTCCGGAATTTAATTAAAAGTTTACAACCACCAGGGCAAACTTGATGAAAGAAGTTGCTGCACCGTGGTAAGAGAGTACTATGGCATTTTGGATTGTTCATCTACCATCCCCTCCTCCCCAGTCAGCAGCAGCCATGAAGATGGTAGCACATACTCCAGGTACAGGTTGCTACTGCAAAAGGGGGCAATTTGGATATTATTGTCAAATAATTGTGGTTGTCTGTTTCGACCTCTTTGATGACTCTCTGAAGGTACAAGGTTTGCCTTTGTTTTGCTTGATGCAGAGCATCCCCAGGGCTGAGGAGGCTTCTTGGGCAATGTTTCCAAAAACAAAGCTATTCACCACAGGAGCCTGGAGCAAGGAGTCAGGACAAGCAACAGACAGACTAAAAAACTTGGAAGAAATGCATAGGGAAAAGAGATACGGGAGAAGATAAAGACTTTTTAACATTTCCTATATATAGGGGAATTGAAAAGACTACACACATACCTAGAGCTGGCTGAAGGTTCAGAAAAGTCTTGAGAAGACCCTAAGCTTTCACCTCTCACTGACCTTCAGATTCTGAACAAGCAGGAACTGAAGGCTAAGACAGAGTTGAAAAAATGGCCTGAGCTGGTATGACAATGTATGCATATGGTCCCAGCTACTTGAGAGGCTGAGGTGGGAGAATTGCTTGAACCTAGGAGTTTCAGTCTGGTATGGGCAACATAGTGAAACTCTATCTATACACACACACACACACACACACACACACACACACACACACACACACACACACAGTGGTCTAGCTAAGCACTGATACCATGCTCTCACAGACAGCCAATCTGCAAAGATTGGGAAAGTATTTTATATTCTTTTGTTGGCTCCAGGCATTTAGGAAAACTCTGTCAAAACACTAGATGGCCACTAAGTTAATAGAACACAGATTTCAGTAGCCAAACATGACAAAGAATACAGAATTTATAAAAATAGTGATATACTTTGGTTCTGTGTCCCCACCAAATCTTATGTTGAATTGTAATCCCCAGTGTTAAAGGTGGGGCCTGGTGGGAGGTGACTGGATCATGGGGGTGGTCCTTCATGAATGGCTTAGTGCCATCCCCTTGGTGCTGTTTTTGTGATAGTGAGTGAGTTATCATGAGATCTGGTTGTTTAAAAGCGTGTAGTGTGCACCTCCCCTCTCTCTCGCTCCTTCTTTGGCCATGTAAGACATACCTGCTTCCCCTTTGCCTTCTGCCATGATTGTAAGTTTCCTGGGGCCTCCTAGAAGCAGAAGCCACTATGCTTCCTGTAGAGCCTGTGCAACTGGGAGCCAATTAAACTTCTTTTCTTTATAAATTATGCATACAAATGTATGAAGTAAAATGAGGTATTTTTTCATAGCAGTGCAAGAACAGACTAGTACAGATAATTTAGAAAAGTCACTGAACAAGCAAACAAAAATAACCCCAAACAGGCAGCAACACCAAAACCCAGGGAATAGGGAGAATCTGATTTTCAGAGCTGCCACACTGTAATACTCACAATGTTGAGTTTTCAAAAAAAAAAAATTACTAGACACACGAAGAGACAAAAAAGTACGGTTTATTCACAGGAAAAAAGACATTAATAGAAACTGTTCTTGAGGAAGAAGGCATAGGCATTGGACTTACTAAACAAAGACTATAAGCCAACTGTCTTAAATATGTTTATAAAAGATAACACCAAAAAGATAACAAAGAACTAAAGAAAACCAGGAAAACAATGTCTCCCCAACGTAATCTATAGATTCAATGCAATCCCTATCAAAGTCCCAGCAGTCTTTTTTTTGCAGATATGGAAAAGGTCCTAAAATTCCAATGGAATTCCAATAGCCAAAACAATCTTCAAACAGAAAAACAAAGTTGGAGGACTCACACTTCCCAATTTCAAAACTACTACAAAACTTCAGTAATCAAAACAGCATATCAATCAATGGAATAGAATTGAGAATGAAGAATAAACTCATACATATATAGTCAATTGATTTCAAAAAGGATAACAAGACATTCAATGGAGAAATAATAATCTCTTAAAGATATGAGACTAGAGAACTAGATATCCATATGCAAAACAATGAAGTTAGACTCTTGCCTCACACCATATATAAAAATTAACTGAAAATGGGTTAAAGACCTAAATGTATGAGGTAAAACTATAAAATTTTTAGAAGAAAATATAGGGATAAATCTAAATAAACATGGATTTGGCAAGGATCTTAGATATGACACCAAAAGCACAAGCAACAACAAAAGTAGATAAGCTGGACTTTATTAACACTAACATTTGTGCATCAAAGGACACTATCAAGAGAGTGAAAAGATAACCCACAGAATGGGAGGAAATATTTACAATTCCCACATGTGATAAGAGGCTAACAAAGAACTTCTACAACTCAACAACAAATAGACAATTCAATTTAAGAATAGGTAAATAATTTGAATAGATATTTCTTCAAAGAAGGCATAAAAATGGACAACAAGTATATAAAAAGTTATTCAACATCAGCAATCATTAGAGATATGTAAAACCAAAACCACAGTAAGATAGCACTTCATACCCACTGGGATGGCTATAATTTCTTAAAATGGAAAATGACACACATTGACAGGGCTATGGATAATGCTTGTTCATTGCTGATAGGAATTTACAATCACCCTTGTCATTGTGGAAAACAGTTTGGCAGTTCCTCAAAAAGTTAAGCATTGAATTACTACATGACCCAACTCTACTCCTAATTATATACCCAAAGAATTGAAAGCAGGTATTCAAACAAGATTTTGTATACAAATGTTCATAGCAGCACTATTCATAGTAGTGAAAAGGTAGAAACTACCTAAATGTCCATGACCTCTTGAACGGATAAACAAAATGTGGTACATACAATGGCATATCACTCAGCCATAAAAGGAATGAAGTATTGATATATGGTACAACATGGATAAGCCTCAAAAACATTATACTAAGTGAAAGAAGCAGATACATAAGGTCACAGATTGCATGATTCCATCTATATGAAATATCCAGAATAGTAAATCCTTGGAGACAGATAAATTAGCAGTTGCCAGGGGCTGAGGAAAAATGAGAATGGGAGTGACTCTTTAATGGGTTTCCTTTCAGGTGATTAAATGTTTTGGAACTAGATAGAGATGGTAGTTGCACAACACGTGAATGTACAAAAAGCCACTGAATTGTATGTACACTTTTAAATAATTCATTTTATGGTATGTGAATTTTACCCATATAAAAAAAAACACTTGGAGTTGCTCTCCCTTGTCTGCTGAATAAAGCACAAACTCCTGACTTAATCTGGCATTTACCATTTTTAATCTGGTTCTGTCTCTTTCCAACCTCATCTCCTTCTATATCCCAAGCCCACCAGGGATGCATTGGTGATAGGGTTTGGCTCTGTGCCCACCCAAATTTCATCTTGAATTGTAGCTCCCATTATTCCCATGTGTTGTGGTAGGGACCTGTTGGGAGATAACTGAATCACAGGAACAGTTTCCCCCATACTGTTCTTGTGATAGTGAATGAGTCTCATGAGATCTGATGGTTGGATAAGGGGAAACCTCTTTCACTTGGTTCTCATTTTCTCTTGTCTGCCTCCAGGTAAGAGGTGACTTTCACCTTCCACCATGATTGTGAGACCTTCCCAGCCACAAGGAACTGTGAGTCCATTAAACCTCTTTTTCTTTACAAATTACCCAGTCTCAGATATGTCTTCATCAGCAGTGTAAAAACAGACTAATACGACTGGTACCTGCTTGAATCTTCTGTGCTCTCACTTGCCCCCACACCTTTGTACATGAATTGTCCATTCTTTCCCTTTCCTCCTCTGCCAGGCTAACTTCTACTTCTTTAAGATTCTTCTCAGATTGACTCTTTGGAAAGCATTTCCTAGTTCCCTCCCCCAGTCTTATTTCCTAGCTCCAGCTGGAGTATAGATTTCTAACTGTGGGCTCCCATAACACCCTTTGCATACTGCATTTGTCACGCTGTCTTCTAATTATCTACCCCTCCAAACTGTGAGTTTCTCCAGAGCAGAAATTGTGCCTTTCATCTCTATTAATAGCTCCTGGCAGTGGTCCTGGCACACAGCACATGCTTGTGAAGTGTTGAATTGTTAAACTGGATCACAACTTTCTCCAGCATGATTTTTGCTCATGTGCTTACTCCCTTGTTTGAGCATCAGGCTTTCTCTGTTTCTTTACCTTAGACCACAATCTAACATATTCAGTCCCCTCACCATTATAGGCAAATGGTTACCAGGAGAACTGGGAGAGTGTATGACTAGACCCCAGCAAACACGTGACCTCTGCAGGAACAGCTCAGCATTCATGCCCATTTCCTGGTGGATCGGGAATGTCACCTTCAATCAAAGGTTTACAAAAGAATAACTTAAGGCCTTGGGGTCAACAAAGGAAAGTTCAGTTTCCTATTGCCTCATTCACTTATACAGCATTTGCCAAATCACCTATGCCCTGTGGAATTCATTTTCCTCATCTATAAAATGAGAATAAAAATAATTACTCTTCTTATTCATGGAATCACTTGAAGATTACAATGAAATAAAACAATGTATTCACATCTATTGTGTTTTTAAATGTTTAAATATTACAGGCCTCAAATCTTTTCAAACTCATTCATAATACAAACTTCATAATATAGGCAACCCAGATTGACCACCTTCTCAGTCATGGTTGGTAATTTTCTATATAACACAAAGAAGTAAATAAAAATTCTAACATGGCATGTAAATGTGAATGATTATTATGTATTCATCTTCATCATCTCCTTAAGGCAGCATTATTGAGACTTCATCTGAGAAATAGTAGCATTCTTGGGAGTTTCTGTCCTATATATTAATACATGAATAACTGAGGCAAGCTGGAGAGTTTGGTTAATCCTGTTATCCTGGTACCTGATCAATGACTTTATTGTTGGGAAATGTTCTGGTGTGGAAAAGCTAAGCTATGCCCACTCTCATCATGTGATAAAAGCTGCTTAAACTCTTGCCTAGATGAGATGATCTTTTACCAAAAAATCCCCAATAAATGTCTCCCTAGCTTGAAAATCTTTAGAGAATACAGTTTCTTGGTTTTATTATGTTAAAGAAATATTGTTTTACACTTTTCCAATAAGTTTTTACTTTATTTTTGCATTGAAATATGTTATAATTTCCATTTTGTGACTCTCACTAATGATAACTTAAGGGACACTTTAACCTGTCCCTTCATCATAAAAACCTAGAGTCAACCAAGTTTGACTACCTTTCCCAGCTACAGTTGGTAATTTTTTTACCCTGTGAATGGCTAGCTTATCACTATTGTAAAGTGAATAAATAAGGAAAATAATTAGGTGGTTCATTTAGGCTCTTTTTATATTTGCTTGTTGTAAATAAAAATTGAATCCAGTTTAAATTAAATGATTCTTGTCATAACCTATTGTAGGAGCATGAAATAATCTCAGAAAAAGTTCCAGCCACGCACATCAGGAAAGCTTGCCAAAGTAAAGGGGAAACTACTTCTACAAAGAAGAAGAAATATTGCCTCCTCCTTTCAGGTACCAATCTGAAAGCTGTTCTCTTTTCCATCAAAATTAATGGTTGCTTTTATAACTTCCCTCTTCCCTAAAGAGAGAAGAAAGTCAAAGAGACCTAGAAGCAAACCTCGCCTGGTTTTCCAATATCAGCTTACAATTTGCAAAGAATGTTCTAAAGGAAAGCAAACTTTACATTCTGGCTTTGCCTGAATACGTGCAATAGTAAATTGGTGACAGTAATAGCTTAAGCAATGGAAAAATAATGCATAAGCCTTATCTAAATCTAAGTTTAGACTCAAGTCTAAACATTGAGCAGTTACTAACTCTCTGTAAAATTAATAGTAGGCCGGGCACAGTGGCTCATGCCTGTAATCCCAGCATTTTTGGAGGCCAAGGCAGGCAGATCACGAGGTCAGGAGATAGAGACTATCCTGACTAACACAGTGAAACCTCATCTATCAGGGGAACCCACCCCCAATATTTCAACGTAGGTTCTTTCTATTTTCCATAAGTGTCGGCCAGCTGAGAAATAAAGAGAAAGAGTATAAAGAGAGGAATTTTACCGCTGGGCCGCAGGGGGTGACATCACATATCGGTAGGACCATGATGCCCACCGGAGCCTCAAAACCAGCAGGTTTTTATTAAGGATTTCAAAAGGGGAGGGGGTGTACGAACAGGGAGTAGGTCACAAAGATCACATGCTTCAAAGGGCAAAAAGCAGAACGAAGATCACATGCTTCTGAGGAAACAGGACAAAGGGCAAAAGGCAGAACTCCCGATAAGGGTCTATGTTCAGCAGTGCACGTATTGTCTTGATAAAGATCTTAAACAACAGTAAACAGGGTTCAAGAGCAGAGAACCGGTCTGACCAAAAATTTACCAGGATGGAGTTTCCCAATCCTAGTAAGCCTGAGGGTACTGCAGGAGACCAGGGCGTATCTCAGTCCTTATCTCAACCACATAGGACAGACATTCCCAGAGCGGCCGTTTATAGATCTCCCCCTAGGAATGCATTCCTTTCCCAGGTTATTAATATTAATATTCCTTGCTAGGAAAAGAATTTAGTGATATCTCTCCTACTTGCACGTCCATTTATAGGCTCTCTGCAAGAAGAAAAATATGGCTCTTTTTGCCTGACCCCGCAGGCAGTCAGACCTTATGGTTGTCTTCCCTTGTTCCCTAAAAATTGCTGTTATTCTGCTCTTTTTCAAGGTTCACTGATTTCATATTGTTCAAACACACATGTTTTACAATCAATTTGTACAGTTAACACAATTATCATAGTGGTCCTGAGGTGACGTACATCCTCAGCTTACAAAGATAACAGTATTAAGAGATTAAAGTAAAGACAGGCATAAGAAATTATAAAAGTATTATCTGGGAACTGATAAATGTCCATGAAATCTTCACAATTCATGTTCCTCTGCCACGGCTCCAGCCGGTCCCTCCGTTCGGGGTCCCTGACTTCCTGCAACACCTGTCCCTACTAAAAATACAAAAAATTAGCCGGGCATGGTGGCACGTGCCTGTAGTCCCAGCTACTCAGAAGGCTGAGGCAGGAGAATGGCGTGAACCCAGGAGGTGGAGCTTGCAGTGAGCTGAGATCGCACCACTGCACTCTAGCCTGGACGAGAGAGTGAGACTCCATCTCAAAAAAAAAAAAAAAAAAAAACAAATTAGCCAGGCATGGTGGCACGCACCTGTAGTCCCAGCTACTCAGGAGACTGAGGTGGGAGAATTGCTTCAACCCAGGAGGCAGAGGTTGCAGTGGGCGGAGATCGCACCACTGCACTCCAGCCTTGGCGACAGAGCAAGACTCCATCTCAAAAAAAAAAAAAATTAATACTAAATTGTTTTGGAAACTTATATGGAGCAGGAAAGAAGATGAATTGTAATGACCAAAGAAGATGAAGATGATTATTTCCTGAATGAGGAGAGATTAAAAGTTAACATCAAAAATGTTCCATGTGGGGAAAAACAGTGCCATGTATTATGTTTAAATTAAATGTTCAAGAAACTCTAAAATATGGGAGATAATGAAGGTTTTTCCATCTAGTCCTAATTGTTTTGTCTCTGACCTTCTCTCCTAGCACCTACTTCAAACAATCACACCCACGCTGCCCCAGAAGATGCTTCTATCCAGGCCTTAACTGTTAGCAGATCCCTACTCTTTCTTCATGATCCAATTCACTTGTCGTCTCTTCTGTGAATCCTTTCATTTCCCAGACACTCTGCTTCATGGCATCACAGAGCTATATTTGCTTCTCTATTAAAGCACATATCATGTTAAGCTGCAATTCCTTGGAGTACCGGTCTGCTTCACAAGTTTTTTCTATCTTTATGTTCCTTGGACTTAGCAAACTGCCCCGCATTAAGTAGGGGTTCACAAATGTTTGTTGAAGAGATGAGTGAATCTCTCATTTCTCTTCTAGCCAGCCAGCTTTCTACTTCCACAACAGCCTTGAAATCCCAGTTCCTATATCCTACACAAAGTCCAGTATTGTAAACCTCTTTGAGATACTAACATAGGGGATGAGTGAGTAATTTGGGTTGCAAGATCTTACCAGCATCATTAACTTTGGTTACAGAGAACATGCTAATTGCCTAGCAAAAGTCCAAATTGTACAACTTTGCAGTCTTTGCTGCCGGTGCATTAATATTAAAGGACATCTAAAAGTAGACAGAGGAGTCTGAAAATATATTCATATATGTTGTGCCCTACTCATGGGTGGGAGAAGCGTAAAGCAACTAGAATAAATAAAATACTACCCCACATGATTTAACATTCTTCAGCAGAATTTTTAGTGAAGGTGTACCATGATGGTTTATAGAGAAGGGAGGGGATACATATCTGATTTGTTATAAATTGCTTTTTTAAAAATAGCACATAAACACTATGCTGCACTGTCTGGTCTGTCCCGGAAGCTTGATTGCATTTGTTTGTTTTTGCTTGCCACCCCTCATCCATTTTCTGCTCCGCTTTGCTCTCTGCCCCAGAAGGCTAATTTGAATTTAGTATATCACAGGGCTGCCTTGCCCTCTGGCTTCCAAGTGGGTTTGTCCCACAGGATTCATTGGCCAACATCAGAGGGCATGGGGAGAAACTGATCTATTTCCCCCCTGCCCTCCCCACTTGGAGTTCTGACAATAGCGGCATTCCATAGGGGCCCTTTTCCAGGGCCCCAGCTCTCCCCAGACTTGGGGAATCCTGTTCCCAGCTGATTGTGCCTGTTTCCTAGAAGGAACCTGACTGATAGAATGGTCACCGGCCCACAACTGGAAAAGTATGTGAATAAATGAATGCGGCTGGGTGCTTTTATTTCTTACGCTATTGTCTTCCACTGAGCAGTCTGTCCACTAAAACTATAATACAGAGGGGAGATTGTAAGGGTTGAAAAGAGCAATAGATAGAAATTTCAGTTATAAGCCCATTGATTTTTGCCCATTTCAGGATCACAGCTTTGATGGGACAATAGGCAGTTCCTCCTGGTGATAGTTTTGAACACTGGCAATTAGACCTCACCAAGGGCACCTAGCTGGAGCCTCACCTCTCCTCCCTCCAGCTGACCTCAGAAAAATGCTGTGCAACTGTGGCATCCTTCCATTCCATTCAATTAGCCTGCTTCAAGCATCTTCAATGGTTCGTTACTGTCAAAAAATACTGGTGAATATCTAGGGAGGCTTGTGTTATCTTTGCAAGATTTTACTTGTGTTCTTTTGTTTAAAAACACTTTGGATTCCCTTGAGATTATTATGATGCAGAGCCATATTTTCAAAAAGATTCCTCAATTCTTGCCAGTAAAAGCTCATCTGATCTCTGCTCAGTTTTCAAAAATGGCTTGAGTTTCCTCATTACTGGCACCATCTCATCCCTCCCCTTCTTGTTGCTGAATGCTCATAGCAGATTCCACAGGCGTGGGGATAATGTTGTCTGTCACTTAGAGAAAGGCAGATTCTTCTGGGAGTTAAAGGCAATGAATTCCAGAAAATGTTTTTCAGATGTTTGGGGTTTAATGAAACACAGGATGTGCACTGCCAGGTAGCACCAATGTTCATTTTTAAGCTTTCCTTATGTTACCATATATTTGCCTAAAACACTGCCTTATGTTACTCTGCCTTTCAGTTTGCCTACATTTCTATGCAACATTCCTAAGACTCCAGACTTTTTAAAGCCCATTTAAAAAATAGCCACCAAGAATAGAAAGATTTTTTTTAAAAAGCCCTTAGGCAACTGCATTCAGGTAGGAGCAAATAATTTAATTTGAAGCTCAGAAGTAATGAGGCTGATGGGAATTGCAAACATGGCCCAGTACTACATGCGTGAGAATCATTTACAAATGGCCTTCTTGTATTAAAATAACCGTTTAGATATAAATGACATCTACAATATCCATTGTTTTCAGAGCCACATACTCTGGTTTATTGAGGTAAATAGCTGTTCATAACTCTGATCCCCTGAAAACCTCATTTTTCTGGAGGCTGATGGTTTTGAGTCAGCAGGCACTGTCTGGGTTTCTGTAGCAACCCTGGAGGCCACTGTCCCACACCTGCTTCAGACGGTCAGAAGACACTATTTCCTTAGCCCTTGATCTATCTGGAGTTCACCATTCACGATGTCATTTGTGTAACAAGAGGGAAAGCAGCAGCACCACCCTGACCTTGGGAACATTTAAGAAGTCAGGAGAACTCCAGAGAAAGTGAGCCCACAAAAGCCATGTCCGTGTAAGGAGAATGTTTCCCAACACTATGTAGAATGGCCAAATGAGAATGAAGCCTCAAGTGGTTTATTTCATCCTCCACATTGTGTGTCTGGGAGAGGAAATCTCTGATAAAGGATGTAATCAAAATGAGTTCAAGTTGTTCGCTTTACCAAAAAGCCCTTCAACATTGCCGAGGCTAGAAGCATGTTGATTTACAACCACAGGGTTCATATTATTGCCTTTCTCCATCCTATATTTTAAGTTAATTAAATACTTATTGAGTCCATGAAACAACATCTACTAAGCCCTACACCAAGAATAGAAATAAATAACCAAATATAGTTCCTGCCCTCAAGTTTGCCATCTGGCTGAGAAAAGCAATCATAACTAGCTGATAGGGGCTGGGGGAATAAATGAGTACATGCCCCCAAATACGAAATAACACAGTACATGTTGACTCCTTTGGAGTGAAGGTAGACAACTATGTTTGTAATATGATTGAGATTGAGATCAAAATGCCTCCTGTCATCTAATTTTTTGGTAGTATAACTTATGTCTCTCAGGAAAAATTATCATTGAGAAAATTATTCCCCAGTCCTACCAGGCCCTTCCAGAGAGCTGCAGTTTTACTCCTCTTCTTCATGTTTGTTGGGTACTTTGTTTAGATGAATGGTATACTGAGCTTTAAGAGGGACGTGACTTCTGTCAATTTTTCTTTTGTAATTCTATGTTACTAAGAACCCAATGGCTATAAGACCTGATTTAAGTTTTTCCAAAGCTAAGGTAACAGTTTTCAAAGCGTGCTTCAAGGGCCTCCTACATAAAAATTAATAGGATGCATGCTAAAATTTGATTTTCTGGGCTATGACATTCTGAAGACCTACTGACCTAAAATATCTGGTGAAACAGCCCAAGGATCTTAATTTTAATGAGTATCTCAGGTTATTATTGAATTTCCACCACCAGTAGTTTGAGAACCACTGGTTTAAGGGCTTTGCTGACTTTGGGGCATCCTCCTAACCCTATTCTTGATAACAAAATCTGTAAAGAATCATCCCTTCAGCCAGGTGCAGTGGCTCACGCCTGTAATCCCACCACTTTGGGAGGCCAAGGTAGGCAGATCACTTGACGCCAGGAGTTCAAGACAAACCTGGCCAACATGGTGAAATCCTGTCTGTACTATAAATAAAAGCACAAAAATAACCAGATGTGGTGGTGTGCACCTGTAGTCCCAGCTACTCTGGAGGCTGAGGTGGGAGGATCACTTGAGCCCAGAAGGCAGAGGTTGCAGTAAGCCAAGATCATGCCACCACCCTCCAGCTTGGGTGACAGAGTAAGACCTTGCCTCAGAAAAAAAAAAAAAATTCTTTTAGTTACATTCTTCTATTATAGAAATTCTTAATTCTGAGCTCTGGACCCATGGATTTCTACAGAATCCCTGGATGGGCTTCAAGATGTGCTTAAAGACTCCTGAATGTGTATGCAAAATGGTGAACAGGTGTATGTTTTCTCTGGGGTAAGAATCCATAGATATCTTCAGATTATCCAAGAGGTTTCAGGACATAGAACAGTTGACCCACTGCTTTGTGGGACTAATGCTATTAAACTCTAGGCTCCCGTTGCTGAAATTAGGTTTCATGGATACTAAGCAACCTCAGCAACAGAATTCTCAAGCTAAGTAATTAAACAAATAGACATTTATGGAGCATCCTGGGTGTTTATGAGGCACTGAAAACATTCATTCCTCACAACTCTTTTTAGTCCTTTACAGTGGAAAGTAGCATTATCTCCATTCAGGTTTCTAATAACAATAACAATAATAGTTAACATTTACTGAGCACTTACCATAGGCAGGTACTAGTCCAAGTACTTCCTATATAACAGCTCAAGTAATTCTTATTAACATCTCTATAATTCTTTTCTTTTTTTTTTTTTAGATGGAGTTTCACTCTTGTCACCCAGGCTGGAGTGTAATGGCGCAATCTCAGCTCACTGCAACATCTGCCTCCCGGGTTCAAGTGATTCTCCTGCCTCAGCCTCCCGAGTAGCTGGGATTACAGGTGCGCACCACCACGCCCAGCAAATTTTTGTATTTTTAGTAGAGATGGGGTTTCTCTATAGGCTTGTCTTGAACTCCTGACCTCAGGTGATCCACCCGCCTTGGCCTCCCAAAGTGCTGGGATTACAGGCATGAGCCACTGTGCCTGGCCAACATCTCCATAATTCTTATGATACCTCTATAATTCTTCCCATATTTCTATAATCTATAAAGTGGATTCTACTATTACTCCCATTTCACAGATGAGGAAACTAAGATTTCCATTAAGTTTCCTTCTCTCATCTCTGTATCATTAATAATAACAGCTAACCTTCATTGAATGCATTATGTGCCAGGCAGTATTTCAAGCACTCATTTTACAGAGGAGAAACCTAAAGCACAGAGACGTTAAGTAACTTATCCAATGTCATCCAGGTAGCAGGAGACAGAGCTAGGATTCAAACCCTAGTCTGGTTAGAGAGTCCACACCCAGCCATGCCTACTACTGCCGCAAGTTCTAGCCTCTACCTTACTGGACTGCTAATTCTGTAGGCCTAAGTTTCTGGGGATTCCTACCTCCAGTCTAATAGATTTCTTTCTTCATTTTTTTATTATTATACTTTAAGTTTTAGGGTACATGCGTACAATGTGCAGGTTAGTTACACATGTATACATGTGCCATGCTGGTGTGCTGCACCCATTAACTCGTCATTTAGCATTAGTTATATCTTTCTTCATTTTGAAGCTCCATTTGCATCAAGGGCTTTTGGGCATGGCTCCTAAGTTTCTACATGCATCTCCATGGCCACCTTATGCTGCACACATGCCCTGGGTGACAGTGTGTCAGGCCAACCTTAGCTCTGTTCCAGTTCCCAGACTACACAAGGTCACACCAGTCGCTCAGGGACGTTAGGGCTCTCAGAGGCCTTTAATGATCATAGATACGATAGCACCCGACAGCTCTGCTGCTCAAAGGAGAACTGGGCAGGATCACATTTCAAATATTGCCTCTGTGTAATGTTCTGAGACCATTCAGAGCCCGGTTAAGAAAACACAGCGACGACTCTCCTCAGAGCTGGGGCTGTTGATTTTGTTAGGTGAGATCACTTGAGGAATATAAAATGCAAGAGAAAGAGTAGCAAAGAGGAAAAACAATAGATGAAAATATAGGGTCAAGCAAAAGTCACCAAGCAGGGGAGGAATTGCCAGACCACATCGTTCCGCTCAGCTTAAACCTAGGGTTTAAGAGCTAAAGGAATTAATCAATTTCTACTTGTTTCAATTTCCTTCCCAATTGTAAAATGTTTACCTGCACGGTGGCTTTTAATTCAGAGAGAAAGAGAGAGAGCGAGCGAGCGAGAAAGAGAAAGAGAGTGAGCAAGACAGAGAGAGAGAGTGTGTGTGTGTATGTGTGTGTGTGTATAACAAAAGTTAAACTATGACTCTGTTTTAAAAGACAGTAGCCCATATTCTCCTGCTCAGCACACACACATAAAGGTTTTGTGATCAAAGCACACAACATTTGTATGTCTAACCATTGATTTATGCTGGGCTTTTAATATTATGCAAGACTTTTTCCTTCCTTTACTCACCACCGAGTGACTGTGCTGATTCAACATTTTATAGATGCATCAATTTTCCTTTAGAAGCTGTGCCGAGAACGTGTGACTCCCTGGGCCAGTTTCTCATTGAAATCAGATGACGCAGGAAGTATCATCCACATTTCAGTGATAGGCTGCCCCCTAGTGACAATTTTCAGCTACACAGTCAACCTACAAATTTACTGCTGCAAATACCGCAGAGGTTTCTTGACACAAAGGAGAAACATCCTCCGTTGCAGAGGATGTAAAATAATAGTGTAATTTAATCCCCAGCCTATTTTCTATACATTTCAGTGTTATTAAAGTTTTCTGCGATAACTCAATATATCTCTGTTTTCAAAATACAGTCATATGCTGCATAGTGACGTTTCAGTCAACGACGGATCACATATATTTAATACAAAGATGGTCTCATACAATTACAATGGAGCTGAAAAATTCCTATCATCTAGTGGCATTGTAGCCATCATAACTTCATAGCACAATGCACTATTCACGTATTTGTGGTGGTGCTGGTGTAAACAAACCTACTTTGCCGCCAGTCATATAAAAGTGCACATATAATTATACAAACATGATACTTGATACAACTATATCATTGGTTTATGTATTTGATATACTATACTCTATCATTATTTTTTAACTTTTTAAAATTTTTATTATTTTTATTAGAGACAGGGTCTTGCTTTGTCACCTAGGCTGGAGCGCAGTGGCATAATCATAGCTCACTGCAACCTCGAAATCCTAGGCTCAAACTATACACCTGCCTCAGCCTCCCAAGTAGCTAAGACTACAGGCACACCACCATGACTGGCTTTTTTTGTGTGTGTAGAGACAAGTCTTGCTATGTTGCCCAGGCTGGTCTTGAACTTCTGGGCTCAAGGGATCCTCTCTCCTCTGTTTCCCAAAATGCTGGGATTACCGGTGTGAGTCACCATTTATCAATATAATAGAGTGTTCTCCTTCTACTCATAAAACAAGTTAACTGTAAAATAACCTTCTAGTCCTTTCAGGAGGGATTCCAGAAAAAGGCATTTTATCATAGGAGATGCTTGTTATTGCCCCTGAAGACCTTCCAATGGGCCAAGATATGGAGGTGGAAGACAGTGATATTGATGATCCTGACCTTGTATAGCCCTAGACTAATGTGTGTTTATGTCTTAGTTTTTAACACAAAAGTTTAAAAAGTAAAAAATAAAATATTCTTAAAATAGAAAAAAAGTTTAGAAAGATATAAAGAAAGGAATTTTTGCCTATAATCCCAGCACTTTGGGAGGCTGAGGCAGGCAGATAACGAGGTCAGGAGATCGAGACCATCCTGGCTAACATGGTAAAACCCTGTCTGTACTAAAAATACAAAAAAAAAAAAAATTAGCTGGGTGTTGTGGCGGGCACCTGTAGTCACAGCTACTTGGGAAGCCAAGACAGCAGAATGGCATGAACCCGGGAGGCAGAGCTTGCAGTGAGCCGAGATTGCACCACTGCACTCCAGTCTGGGAGACAGAGCGAGACTCCATCTTAAAAAAAAAAAAAAAAAAAAAAAGAGAGAGAAAGGAATTTTTATATAGCTGTAGAATGTGCTTGTGTTTCAAGCTAAGCATTATTACAAAAAAGTCAAAAAGTTTAAAAAATTAAACAGTTTATAAAGGAAAAGAGTTATAGTAAGCTAAGGTTAATTTATTATTGAAAAAAGAAAACTATTTTGTTATAAATCTAGTATCCCTACATATACTATTCAGCACACATAAAGTCTACAGTAGTAGACAGTAATGTCCTAGGCCTTCACATTCACTCGCCACTCACTCACTACTCACTCACCCAGAGCAACTTCCAGTCCTGCAAGCTTCATTTATGGTACATGCCTTATACAGGTATACCACTTTTTATCTTTTACACCATATTTTTACTGTACATTTTCTAGGTTTAGGTATGTTTAGACACACAAACACTTAATATACAAATTGTGTAACAATTGCCTACAGTATTCAGTACAGTAACATGCTGGACTGGTTTGTGGCCTAGGAGCAATAGGTTGTGCCATATAGCCTAGGTGTGTAACAGACTACACCATCTATGCTTGTGTTAAGCACACTCTATGATGTTCACACAATGACGAAATTGCCAAACAACACATCTCTTAGAACCCATCCCTGTCATTAAGCCATGCGTGACAGTCAATAAAAATATCTTCATGGAACTAAGTGAAAGATGCTGATAACCAGTGCTCTCTGTAGTGAGCTGTGTGTGTCTTTCCATTTGCATTTATTTTATTTGGCTATTTTGTGGTATTTTTTTCTATCTAAGGTAACTGCACAAAGTAAATCATTTTGCCTTATCAGCATTCTAAACACTTTGGTTTTCAATGTCTTTATTTTTAATAGAAGTTCAATATTTGTCCTCATGCAGATCTATTAGATAATTCATATGAAGCATTTTGCATAGCACCTTGCATGGGAAGGCTTAGAAATAGTCATTGATACTATTGTTATAGGATTATCCATTTTAGAGAAAACTTATTTTAAATGTTAAACAAGAATACCATTAGTGATTTGTTTACAGGTTACTTCTACATTGTACAGAGGTGAAATAGTTTTCATGACAGAGTTAAACAGTCTCTCCATAAAAAGTTAATATTTAGAAACTTGAAAAAAGCCAGGGGCAGTGGCTCATGCTTGTAATTCCAGCACTTTGGGAGGCTGAGACAGGCAGATGACTTGAAGCCAGGGGTTCAAGACCAGCCTGGCCAACATGGTGAAACCCTGTCTCTACTAAAAACACAAAAATTAGCCAGGCGTGGTGGCATGCATCTGTAATGCCAGCTACTCAGGTGGCTGAGGCATATACAATCTTTTGAACCTGGGAGGTGGAGGTTGCAGTGAGCAGAGACTGTGCCACTGCACTCCAGCCTGGGTGACAGAGTGAGACTCCATCTCAAAAAAAAAAAAAGGAAGAAAAAAGAAAAGAAAACTTGAAAACAGTGGCAAATTTGTCTATTTCTGTTTTTTAAAAAATATTTAAATTATTTAATTATTTGTCTTTTTTAATATTTTTATTATTATTATACTTTAAGTTTTAGGGTACATGTGCACAATGTGCAGGTTAGTTACATATGTATACATGTGCCATGCTGGTGTGCTGCATCCATTAACTTGTCATTTAGCATTAGGTATATCTCCTAATGCTATCCCTCCCCCCTCCCCCCACCCCAAAACAGTCCCCAGAGTGTGATGTTCCCCTTCCTGTGTCCATGTGTTCTCATTGTTCAATTCCCATCTATGAGTGAGAACATGCGGTGTTTGGTTTTTCGCCCTTGCAATAGTTTACTGAGAATGATGATTTCCAATTTCATCCATGTCCCTACAAAGGACATGAACTCATCATTTTTTATGGCTGCATAGTATTCCATGGTGTATATGTGCCACATTTTCTTAATCAAATCTATCATTGTTGGACATTTGAGTTGGTTCCAAGTCTTTGCTATTGTGAATAGTGCCGCAATAAACATATGTGTGCATGTGTCTTTATAGCAGCATGATTTATGGTCCTTTGGGTATATACCCAGTAATGGGATGGCTGGGTCAAATGGTATTTCTAGTTCTAGATCCCTGAGAAATCGCCACACTGATTTCCACAATGGTTGAACTAGTTTACAGTCCCACCAACAGTGTAAAAGTGTTCCTATTTCTCCACATCCTCTCCAGCACCTGTTGTTTTCTGACTTTTTAATGATTGCCATTCTAACTGGTGTGAGATGGTATATCATTGTGGTTTTGATTTGCATTTCTCTGATGGCCAGTGATGATGACCATCTTTTCATGTGTCTTTTGGCTGCATAAATGTCTTCTTTTGAGAAGTGTCTGTTCATATCCTTTGCCCACTTTTTGATGGGGTTTTTTGTTTTTTTCTTGTAAATTTGTTTGAGTTCATTGTAGATTCTGGATATTAGCCCTTTGTCAGATGAGCAGGTTGCGAAAATTTTCTCCCATTTTGTAGGTGTCTGTTCACTCTGATGGTAGTTTCTTTTGCTGCGCAGAAGCTCTTTAGTTTAATTAGATCCCATTTGTCAATTTTGGCTTTTGTTGCCATTGCTTTTGGTGTTTTAGACATGAAGTCCTTGCCCATGCCTAGGTCCTGAATGGTATTGCCTAGGTTTTCTTCTATGGTTTTTATGGTTTTAGGTCTAACATTTAAGTCTTTAATCCATCTTGAATTAATTTTTGTATAAGGTGTAAGGAAGGGATCCAGTTTCAGCTTTCTACATATGGCTAGCCAGTTTTCCCAGCACCATTTATTAAATAGGGAATCCTTTCCCCATTGCTTGTTTTTCTCAGGTTTGTCAAAGATCAGATAGTTGTAGATATGCAGCGTTATTTCTGAGGGCTCTGTTCTGTTCCATTGATCTATATCTCTGTTTTGGTACCAGTACCATGCTCTTTTGGTTACTATAGCCTTGTAGTATAGTTTGAAGTCAGGTAGGGTGATGCCTCCAGCTTTGTTCTTTTGGCTTAGGATTGACTTGGCGATGCGGGCTCCTTTTTGGTTCCATATGAACTTTAAAGTAGTTTTTTCCAATTCTGTGAAGAAAGTCATTGGTAGCTTGATGGGGATGGCATTGAATCTATAAATTACCTTGGGCCGTATGGCCATTTTCATGATATTGATTCTTCCTACCCATGAGCATGGAATGTTCTTCCATTTGTTTGTATCCTCTTTTATTTCATTGAGCAGCGGTTTGTAGTTCTCCTTGAAGAGGTCCTTCATATCCCTTGTAAGTTGGATTCCTAGGTATTTTATTCTCTTTGAAGCAACTGTGAATGGGAGTTCACTCATGATTTGGCTCTCTGTTTGTCTGTTATTGGTGTATAAGAATGCTTGTGATTTTTGCACATTGATTTTGTATCCTGAGACTTTGCTGAAGTTGCTTATCAGCTTAAGGAGATTTTGGGCTGAGACAATGGGGTTTTCTAGATATACAATCATGTCGTCTGCAAACAGGGACAATTTGACTTTCTCTTTTCCTAATTGAATACCCTTTATTTCCTTCTCCTGCCTAATTGCCCTGGCCAGAACTTCCAACACTATGTTGAATAGGAGTGGTGAGAGAGGGCATCTCTGTCTTGTGCCAGTTTTCAAAGGGAATGCTTCCAGTTTTTGCCCATTCAGTATGATATTGGCTGTGGGTTTGTCATAGATAGCTCTTATTATTTTGAGATACATCCCATCAATACCTAATTTATTGAGAGTTTTTAGCATGAAGGTTGTTGAATTTTGTCAAAGGCCTTTTCTGCATCTACTGAGATAATCATGTGGTTTTTGTCTTTGGTTCTGTTTATATGCTGGATTACATTTATTGATTTGCATATATTGAACCAGCCTTGCATCCCAGGGATGAAGCCCACTTGATCATGGTGGATAAGCTTTTTGATGTGCTGCTGGATTCGGTTTGCCAGTATTTTATTGAGGATTTTTGTTCATCAATGTTCATCAAGGATATTGGTATAAAATTCTCTTTTTTGGTTGTGTCTCTGCCAGGCTTTGGTATCAGGATGAATGCTGGCCTCATAAAATGAGTTAGGGAGGATTCCCTCTTTTTCTATTGATTGGAATAGTTTCAGAAGGAATGATACCAGTTCCTCCTTGTACCTCTGGTAGAATTCGGCTGTGAATCCATCTGGTCCTGGATTCTTTTTGGTTGGTAAGCTATTGATTATTGCCACAATTTCAGAGCCTGCTATTGGTCTATTCAGAGATTCAACTTCTTCCTGGTTTAGTCTTGGGAGAGTGTATGTGTCCAGGAATTTATCCATTTCTTCTAGATTTTCTAGTTCATTTGCGTAGAGGTGTTTGTAGTATTCTCTGATGGTAGTTTGTATTTCTGTGGGATCGGGTGATATCCCCTTTATCATTTTTTATTGCGTCTATTTGATTCTTCTTTTTTTCTTTATTAGTCTTGCTAGCGGTCTATCAATTTTGTTGATCCTTTCAAAAAACCAGCTCCTGGATTCATTAATTTTTTGAGGTTTTTTTTTTGTTTTTGTCTCTATTTCCTTCAGTTCTGCTCTGATTTTAGTTATTTCTTGCCCTCTGCTAGCTTTTGAATGTGTTTGCTCTTGCTTTTCTAGTTCTTTTAATTGTGATGTTAGGGTATCAGTTTTGGATCTTTCCTGCTTTCTCTTGTGGGCATTTAGTGCTATAAACTTCCCTCTACACACTGCTTTGAATGTGTCCCAGAGATTCTGGTATGTTGTGTCTTTGTTCTCGTTGGTTTCAAAGAACATCTTTATTTCTGCCTTCATTTCGTTATGTACCCAGTAGTCATTCAGGAGCAGGTTGTTCAGTTTCCATGTAGTTGAGCGGTTTTGAGTGAGTTTCTTAATCCTGAGTTCTAGTTTGATTGTACTGTGGTCTGAGAGACAGTTTGTTATAATTTCTGTTCTTTTACATTTGCTGAGGAGAGCTTTACTTCCAACTATGTGGTCAATTTTGGAATAGGTGTGGCGTGGTGCTGAAAAAAATGTATATCCTATTGATTTGGGGTGGAGAGTTCTGTAGATGTCTATTAGGTCTGCTTGGTGCAGAGTTAAGTTCAGTTCCTGGGTATCCTTGTTAACTTTCTGTCTCGTTGATTTGTCTAATGTTGACAGTGGGGTGTTAAAGTCTCCCATTATTATTGTCTGGGAGTCTTAAGTCTCTTTGTAGGTCACTCAGGACTTGCTTTATGAATCTGGGTGCTCCTGTATTGGGTGAATATATATTTAGGATAGTTAGCTCTTCTTGTTGAATTGATCCCTTTACCATTATGTAATGTCCTTCTTTGTGTCTTTTGATCTTTGTTGGTTTAAAGTCTGTTTTATCAGAGACTAGGATTGCAACCCCTGCCTTTTTTTGTTTTCCATTTGCTTGGTAGATCTTCCTCCATCCTTTTATTTTGAGCCTATGTGTGTCTCTGCACGTGCGATGGGTTTCCTGAATACAGCACACTGATAGTTCTTGACTTTTTATCCAATTTGCCAGTCTGTGTCTTTTAATTGGAGCATTTAGTCCATTAATATTTAAAGTTAATATTGTTATGTGCGAATTTGATCCTGTCATTATGATGTTAGCTGGTTATTTTGCTCGTTAGTTGATGCAGTTTCTTCCTAGTCTCGATGATCTTTACATTTTGGCATGAATTTGCAGCGGCTGGTACCAGTTGTTCCTTTCCATGTTTAGTGCTTCCTTCAGGAGCTCTTTTAGGGCAGGCCTGGTGGTGACAAAAATCTCTCAGCATTTGCTAGTCTGTAAAGGATTTTATTTCTCCTTCACTTATGAAGCTTAGTTTGGCTGGATATGAAATTCTGGTTGAAAATTCTTTTCTTTAAGAATTTGAATATTGGCCCCCACTCTCTTCTGGCTTGTAGAGTTTCTGCCAAGAGATCCGCTGTTAGTCTGATGGGCTTCCCTTTGTGGGTAACCTGACCTTTCTCTCTGGCTGCCCTTAACATTTTTTCCTTCCTTTCAACTGTGGTGAATCTGACAATTATGTGTCTTGGAGTTGCTCTTCTCGAGGAGTATCTTTGTGGTGTTCTCTGTATTTCCTGAATCTGAATGTCGGCCTGCCTTGCTAGATTGGGGAAGTTCTCCTGGATAATATCCTGCAGAGTGTTTTCCAACTTGGTTCCATTCTCCCTGTCACTTTCAGGTACACCAATCAGATGCAGATTTGGTCTTTTCACATAGTCAAGATGGCCGAATAGGAACAGTTCCAGTCTGCAGCTCCCAGCCTGAGCGACGCAGAAGACGGGTAATTTCTGCATTTCCATCTGAGGTACCGGGTTCATCTCACTAGGGAGTGCCAGACAGTGGGCGCAGGACAGTGGGTGCAGCGTGCCATGCGCAAGCCAAAGCAGGGCGAGGCATTGCCTCACTCGGGAAGCACAAGGGGTCAGGGAGTTCCCTTTCCTGCTCAAGGAAAGGGGTGACAGACGTCACCTGGAAAATTGGGTCACTCCCACCCGAATACTGCGCTTTTCCGACAGGCTTAGGAAAGGGCGCACCAGGAGAATTATATCCCACACCTGGCTCGGAGGGTCCTACACCCACAGAGTCTCACTGATTGCTAGCACAACAGTCTGAGATCAAACTGCAAGGCGGCAGCAAGGCTGGGGGAGGGTCGCCCGCCATTGCCCAGGCTCGCTTAGGTAAACAAAGCAGCCTGGAAGCTTGAACTGGGTGGAGCCCACCACAGCTCAAGGAGGCCTGCCTGCCTCCGTAGGCTCCATCTCTGGGGGCAGGGCACAGACAAACAAAAAGACAGCAGTAACCTCTGCAGACTTAAATGTCCCTGTCTGACAGCTTTGAAGAGAGCAGTGTTTCTCCCAGCACGCAGCTGGAGATCTGAGAACGAGCAGACTGCCTCCTCAAGTGGGTCCCTGACCCCTGACCCCCGAGCAGCCTATCTGGGAGGCACCCCCCAGTACGGGCCGACTGACACCTCACACGGCCGGGTACTCCTCTGAGACAAAACTTCCAGAGGAACGATCAGACAGCAGCATTCGCGGTTCATGAAAATCCGCGGTTCTGCAGACACCGCTACTGATACCCAGGCAAACAGGGTCTGGAGTGGACCTCTAGCAAACTCCAACAGACCTGCAGCTGAGGGTCCTGTCTGTTAAAAGGAAAACTAACAAACAGAAAGGACATCCACACCAAAAACCCATCTGTACATCACCATCATCAAAGACGAAAAGTAGATAAAACCACAAAGATGGGGAAAACACAGAGCAGAAAAACTGGAAACTCTAAAAAGCAGAGCGCTTCTCCTCCTCCAAAGGAATGCAGTTCCTCACCAGCAACAGAAGAAAGCTGGACGGAGAATGATTTTGACTAGTTGAGAGAAGAAGGCTTCAGATGATCAAACAGGAGGAAATTCAAACCAAAGGCAAAGAAGTTGAAAACTTTGAAAAAAATTTAGACGAATGTATAACTAGAATAACCAATAAAGAGAAGTGCTTAAAGGGGCTGATGGAGCTGAAAGCCAAGGCTCGAGAACTACATGAAGAATGCATAAGCCTCAGGAGCCGATGCGATCAACTGGAAGACAGGGTATCCATGATGGAAGATGAAATGAAGCGAGAAGGGAAGTTTAGAGAAAAAAGAATAAAAAGAAATGAACAAAGCCTCCAAGAAATATGGGACTATGTGAAAAGACCAAATCTGCATCTGATTGGTGTATTTGTTTTTTATTTCTCCATCCTGTACCACTCCCATCCATCTAACATCAGTGGAAGGAATAGCATATTGTCTGAATTAGCCTTTTCGAAACTTGTAGGATTTCAAGGTATAAAATCAATGACTGTGAACAATTCTTATAACATCTGAGTGTTTGGAAACTCACTCCTCTCTGCTTCTCTTCTATTTAATTTTGTACAGATGCCATCCAAGATTAAAATCAAAGGGTGCTCTTCACTTTATTTTGGTGGTTCTTCCATGGACTGAAAACTTTCTAGAACCAGAGTTCTCTTAGTTTCTCCTACTCAAGTACACTGATGAATACCCTCCATTTTGTAGGTAGCTAATTCTGAGGGCTAATTTGTGTGAAACACACAGTGCTGTGAGATAGACATGAGTATACTCTCTTTAGTGATAAGGTGACTTGGCTCAGAGAAGTCAGATCACTTTCCCAAGGGCAGACAGCTCATTAATAGCCATCAGAATTCAAACTGTGGCCAACTGAGACAAAGTCCCGTGCTCTTTCCCATCAAGATGGCCCCACGACCTGCCTGTGGCGTGTTGTTCATTAAGTCTTAGAGACATAGGCTGTGTCATTCCCGTTTTAAGGGAGAATCTTACATCAAGAAAGAAAAAGCCAGGAAGTACATATAAAGGTCAGCATCTCCCTGTTCTAAATTAAGGAAAGCTATTCTCATTGATCCTTGGAAGCATGAATGAGAGCTATCCCTGAGTCAGTGAGGACTGGCAATGCCTCTCTTCAGTGATTCTCTCTAAGGTTGTACTCTTCTTCCCAGCCATAAATAAGTTATGAAGGTAAAATTTCTCTACTTACCCGGAGACTTTGTAATAAAGGAAAAAGAAAGAGAATTCAGACAGACACTACATTATCAGAAACAACAAACTGCCCCCTTGTGGAATTACTGTATCGTGGGAGCTCAAGAAAGCCACTCAAATGACAATTTCTATAAACTGTGATTCAGAATTGGGTTTGAAATGTTATGGCTAAGGTAATATTAGCAATATTTTCTCCTTCATATTTTAAGCTGAGTGAGGTTGTTTTGTTTTGTTTTGTTTTGTTTTTGCCTTGTTTGTTTTTTGGCCCATTACTTACACTCTTAGGATGAATGACAATAAAAAGTTCTTTCTTTTGGAAGTTTTGAGATCTTTAATAGAATGTGTAATCTGCCTTTAAAAAATCATGCCAAGGTGATCTGTAGTTATTTTTCCATTAAAAAAATCTAAATTTACTTATAAAAAGCAGCAGCTTGTGGTCAATTAAGTAATTATTCAGCTAATATTCACTTGCCCTTTTTGGAGGAATATTCTTCCCTTCCCCGTTGTTGAGTTTAACCATGTGGTTTGCTATGGCCGGTGTAAGGTGGGTGGAAGCAAGTGTCCCAGTCCCAAGCCTAGGCCTTAAGCAGTGTCATATGTCTCTGCTCACCTCTCTTTTACCCCATCTTTGCCTCAAATAGCTACTGACCCAAGAAGTGCTATGGTAGTTCTGCATCCAATCCACAGTTTTCAGTGAAGCCCAACTAAACACAGTTAGACTAGCGAAGCTCCAGCTGACAAGCAGAGGAATAAATGCTTGCACCACTTAGTTTTGGGGTGGTTTGGAATGCAGCATTACTGTGGCAATAGTTGACTAATACAAAGACTAATAACACAGAGTGAAATTTACATCCTAGTCTACATTGTGTAAACAACACATCTACCTCTCAAGTCTCAGGAAATCATAGATATGTGGTCAGCTTGGTCATGAAGACCACAGTGAAGAATGAGAAGTAAGCAAGACTGGTCCCTGACTTGCCAAAAGAGATACCCTATGGTCTGCACAGGAACACCTGCACACTTGATTCATAGGAGACACTTTCACAAAGAGTCTATTTACCATTATTCTAACAAGCTTTGTTATGTAATTTTGCAGCCACTTTATAGTAGGCAGGGAGAAATTGCTAGAAGCAAACTTACTGATAACAAGGGAAAAATAACTGTACCTGTGAGAGAGGAGACAAAAAAAACACAAAAAGACAACACAAGAATTTTAAATCGTAAGAATTTAAAATCAATTTCCCTGAATGTGTCAGTTTTCCAACCAGTAGCAAATAAGATAGGGAAGTTAATAATCAATTGGAAAAAATTACTTCAAGAATTGATTAAAACAGTAGTTCTTGGTGTTTATGGATTATAGTTCATTTTGAAAAACTTCTAAAAATAATGGATTCTCTCTTCAGAAACTTATATGTGAGAAAAACCCCACAAAATCTTCCATATAATTGTAGGCAGTTCAGAAACTCCCTAGAACTGATTCATAAACCCTGGGTTATAAACCACGAATTTAAAATAAAAATAGTCTTAGTTTCAGGAGGTATATAATTTAATTATCTGAATTTTTTTATTTTTATGAAACAGCTTATTCCTGTGAAACATGATTACAGATAGATGAGGTGTCCCAAAATTAATAAAGCTGTAAGAGGCGTTTCCTAATCGCCACCCCATTACTGGCTAGCCTGGCCCTGGAGAGATTAATAATCTTTACATCTCCAAATACTCCATGATATCTTTTAATGGTACATTTCCACATCTCTCAACTTTGTTCTTATGAACTTCGAGTTTATGAGAGCTTCATAATTCGATCATTCTTCTATACTGTTGTAATATTAGCTTCCGTGTCACTGGTTCATTGTTTGTTAGAAAAATGAAAGCCAAGCCATTGGAGCCATTTTCTTCTTTTTGCTGATAAAATAAGAAATTTATTTATTTATTGTCATACTTTAATTCCCTCTGTGAAATATGAGGCATCCATCTTGCTTTTGCTTATGGAGACTCCTAATGTATGAATAGTTTTAAGTTTTTCATCTCAGATTCCTGAACATTTATTTCTACACCTTATTCTTTCATCCAAAAAGAAGAAAAAAAGCCCCAAACTGACAGTCAACTGGTAGACCCTAGGATCAAATTTATAGATTTGGAAGACCAACATGGGATAAGGGCAACTATTCTTAATAAAATTACTGATATGGTGCCATTACCACTAGTACTAATACCTTATTACTAAATTCTCAAAATACTTTTGTATTTTAAGATAAATTATGAGTAGGACATTTTTCCAAAAGCAAAGAGAAATAACATTTGTTATATGTCTACTATGCACTCCGCATTAAATTTGATCCCTTAAAACAGTGGTCCTCAATCTTTTTAGCACCCGGGACTGGTTTTTTGGAAGACAATTTTTCCACGGACTTGGGGGGAAGGGAGGGGAGAGAGTTTCGGGATGAAACTGTTCCACCTCAGATCACCAGGCATTAGTTAGATTCTCATAAGGACCATGCAACCTAGATCCCTCTCATGCCAGTCCACAATAGGGTTTGCGCTCCTATGAGAATCGAATGCTTCCACTGATTTGACAGGAGGCAGAGCTCAGGTGGCAATGCAGCTCACCTCCTGCTGTGCTGCTCAGTTCCTAACAGGCCACGGACTGGTACCAGTCTGCAGCCCTGGAGCTGGGGACCTCGCCTTAAAACACTGAAATCCCCATAGTGCCTTCTGAGTTAAGAATTATTATCCCTGCTTTACAGATAATGAACCGGAAATGAAAGAAATGAAGTGACTTGCCCAAGGTCACACTTTAAGTGACTGTGGGAAACTTAAACCCATGTCCCTCTCATTCCTGTTACATCATTTATTTTTTGAGAATAGAAGTGACAGGGAGGTTTGTGATAGCCTTTTTGAAAAAATCAAAAGGACGATTTTTTTTTTAATTATTATTATACTTTAAGTTTTAGGGTACATGTGCACAATGTGCAGGTTAGTTACACATGTATACATGTGCCATGCTGGTGTGCTGCACCCATTAACTCGTCATTTAGCATTAGGTATATCTCCTAAAGCTATCCCTCCCCCCTCCCCCCACCCCACAACAGTCCCCAGAGTGTGATGTTCCCCTTCTTGTGTCCATGTGTACTCATTGTTCAGTTCCCACCTATGAGTGAGAATATGCGGTGTTTGGTTTTTTGTTCTTGCAATAGTTTACTGAGAATGATGATTTCCAATTTCATCCATGTCCCTACAAAGGACATGAACTCATCATTTTTTATGGCTGCATAGTATTCCATGGTGTATATGTGCCACATTTTCTTAATCCAGTCTATCATTGTTGGACATTTGGGTTGGTTCCAAGTCTTCGCTATTGTGAATAGTGCCGCAATAAACATACGTGTGCATGTGCAAAAGGACGATTTTTGTAAAGGGATTTGAATTGCTCTTTGTAAGTCCAAAAGATGGGATTTATGTCAATGCATGAATATAATAGGAGGCAGATTTGGGTTCAATATTAGAATGTTGATGAGTGTGCCTGAGAGGGTAAATGCCCACCAAGCTCTGATATTAATGAAAACAAACCTACTCATACACAAAGCTGGGGGCCTGAGAGCTGACAGGACTCCCTTACAATGAGAACCTTCTCAGGACGCCTGCACCACAGCATAACAGAAGGAATAACAGGATTGCACCATGATGCTGGGCACAAGGGGCCTGAGGGAGCCTTGCAAATTCATCATGCCCCCCTAAAAACATGGGGAACAAACCAATGTCCTTCCCCAAGGCCATGTGTTTGAACATGCGAGGGCTGGAAAGACTGGGAACCTCCCAGTTAGAATGAAGAGGGCTCTGTGTGTCTAGGCTAGCAGTAATCAGTGTGGTTCACAGACTCTCAAGGGTCACTGAGATCCTCTTGGGACATCCATGGGGTTGAAATTATTCTCATATTAATACTAAGATGCTGCTTGCCTTTTTCATGGTGCTGATATTTGCACTGATGATGCAAAAGGAACAGTGAGTTAAGCTGCTGGTACCTTAGCATGAGTCAAGGCAATGGCACGAAACTGTACTAGTTGTCATCGTATCCTTTATCACCACACATGCACGTTTAATTTAAAAAAAAAAAAGCCAGTTTCACTTAAGAATGTCTTTGATAACACAGTACAAATTAAAATTTTATTAAATCTCTTGAGCATGAGTATTTTTAATATCCCATGGGAGGAAATGGATAGTGATCTGGTTTGGCTGTGTCCCCACCCAAATCTCAACTTGAATTGTATCTCCCAGACTTCCCACATATTGCGGAAGGACCCACGGGGAGGTAATCGAATCATGGGGGCCGGTCTTTCCTGTGCTAGTCTGGTGATGTGAATTAAGTCTCATGAGATCTGATGGGTTTATCAGGGGTTTCCACTTTTGCTTCTTCCTCATTATTCTCTTGCCGCTGCCATTGTAAGAAGTGCCTTTCACCTCCCGCCATGATTCTGATGCCTCCCTAGCCATTTGGAACTGTAAGTCCCATTAAACCTCTTTTTCTACCCAGTCTCTATGTCTTTGTCAGCAGCATGAAAACAGACTAAAACAGATAGTATGTATAAAGCACTTCTGCTGCATTTCGAAGTGCAATGGTTGTGTAGAGGAAATGCAGAGGATTGGGCCCAGTGGCTCAGAGCTGTAATCCCAACACTTTGGGAGGCCAAGGTGGGAAGATCACTTGAGGCCAGGAGTTTGAGACCAGCCTGGGCAATGTAGCAAGACCTCATTTCTAAAAACAAACAAAATAGCCAGGCATGGTAGTGCATGCCTATAGTTCTAACTAATCGGGAAGGTAAAGCAGGAGGAATGCTTGAGCTCAGGAGCTTGAGGCTGCAGTGAACTATTTTTGCACCACTGCACTCCAGTCCAAGTGACAGAGCAAGACCCTGTCTCAAAAAAAAAAAATGGTAAAGTAGGAGTGCAACTGAGTTGCAGTCTGAACTAGGTGTTTTTTTCATGGAACGGCATTTTTATTCCCATAAAAGACTGAAAGATTATGACTATTCAGATTTCAGTATTGGCAGACTTGAGTATTTTTGAGTATTTTCTTGAAAATGAATCAACTGAGTCTGGCATATCAAAGAAAACAATTAACAGAATTTGTTGCCCATAACTCAGTTTTTGCTTTGAAGCAAAAAATTTTTGAAAACTTGTATCCACCACTGTGAGCTTGATAGCATCCTGGTACTTAATGACCTTTCTCATGAAATAGATGATGTTAATGAATTGATGATGTTAATGACTATGAGTTTGGATGTTATATAATGAAATGTGTCAGCACTTAGAAGATCTACATGACTGAGCAAACCAATTTTCCAAAAGACCAGGGCATGATATTATGAAATTATGTATGAGTAAAAGATCTATCCTAAGTACAAGATAAACAAATAGATTTTAATGTGACAGAATAGAAAACATTTATTGCTATGGTTTCAGCTTCCACATTGCAACTACCCTTTAAGAAACCACGGGGGATTACTGGCAAAATGGCTGAATAGGAACATCTCCAGTCTGCAGCTCCCAGCAAGATCAACACAGAAGGCAGGTGATTTCTGCATTTCCAGCTGAGGTACCTGGTTCATCTCATTGGGACTGGTTGCACAGTGGGTGCAGCCCAAGGAGGGCAAGTCAAAGCAGGGTGTGGCGCTGTCTCACCTGGGAAGCGCAAGGAGTCTGGGAACTCCCTCTCCTAGCTAAGGAACACCATTAGGGACTGTACCATGCACTCTGGCCAAGATACTGCGCTTTTCCCATGGTCTTTGCAACCCACAGATCAGGAGATTCCCTCCGGTGCCTACGCCACCAGGGCCCTGGGTTTCCAGCACCAAACTGGGTGGCTATTTGGGCAGACACTGAGCTAGCCACAGGAGTTTTTTTTCATACCCCAGTGGCACCTGGAATGCCAAGGAGACAGAACTGTTCACTCCCCTGGAAAAGGGGCTGAAGCCAGGGAGCCAAGTGGTTTGGCTCACGGGTCCCACCCTCATGGGGCCTAGCAAGCTGAGATCCACTGGCTTGAAATTCTGACTGCTAGCACAGCAGTCTGAGCTTGACCTGGGACACTCGCGTTTGGTGGGGCGGTGGGGGGTGAGGGGGGTGGGGGTCCACCATTGCTGAGGCTCGAAGGCAGTTTTACCCTGACAGTGTAAACAAAGCCACCAGGAAGTTCGAACTGGGTGGAGCCCAACACAGTTCAGCAATGCCTCTGCGGACAGACTGCCTTTCTAGATTACCTCCTCTTGGGGCAGGGCATCTCTGAAAAAAAGGCAGCAACCCCAGTCAGGGACTTATAGATAAAACCCCCACCTCCCAGAGACAGAGCACTTGGGGGAAGGGGCGGTTGTGGGTGCAGTTTCAGCAGACTTAAAACATCCCTGCCTGGCAGCTCTGAAGAGAGCAGTGGATCTCCCAGAACAGCATTTGAGCTCTGATAAGGGACAGTCTGCCTCCTCAAGTTGGTCCTTGACCCCTGTGCCTCCTGATGGGGAGACACCTCCCAGTAGGGGTTGACAGACACCTCATACAGGAGAGCTCTGGCTGACATCTGGCGGGTGCCCCTCTGGGACAAAGCTTCCAGAGGAAGGAACAGGCAGCAATCTTTGCTGTTCTGCAGCCTCCGCTGGCGATACCCAGGCAAACAGGGTCTGGAGTGGACCTCCAGCCAACTCCAGCAGACCTGCAGTAGAGGGGACTATTAGAAGGAAAACTAACAAACAGAAAGGAATAGTATCAACATCAACAAAAAGGATATTTACTCAGAGACCCCATCCGAAGGTCACCAACTTCAAAGACCAAAGGTAGGTAAAGCCATGAAGATGGGGAGAAAACAATGAAAATTCCAAACACCAGAACATCTCTTCTCCTCCAAAGGATCACAACTCCTCACCAGCAAGGGAACAAAACTGGATGGAGAAAGAGTTTGATGAATTGACAGAAGTAGGCTTCAGAAGGTGGGTAATAACAAACTCCTCTGAGCTAAAGGAGCATGTTCTAACCCAATGCAAGGAAGCTAAGAACCTGGAGAAAAGGTTAGATGAATTGCTAACTAGAATAACCAGTTTAGAGAAGAACATAAATGACCTCATGGAGCTGAAAAACACAGCACGAGAACATCATGAAGCATAAACAAGTATCAATAGCTGAATTGATCAAGCAGAAGAAGGGATATCAGAGACTGAAGATCAACTCAATGAAATAAAGTGAGAAGACAAGATTAGAGAAAAGACTGAAAAGAAATGAACAAGGCCTCCAAGAAATATGGGACTATGTGAAAAGACCAAATCTATGTTTGATTGGTGTACCTGAAAGTGACAGGGAGAATGGAACCAAGTTGGAAAACACTCTTCAGCATATTATCCAGGAGAACTTCCCTAACCTAGCAAGGCAGGCCAACATTCAAATTCAGGAAATACAGACACCACCACAAAGTTATTCCTAGAGAAGAGCAACCCCAAGACATATAATCGTCAGATTCACCAAGGTTGAAATGAAGGAAAAAAATGTTAAGGGCACCCAGAGAGAAAGGTCGGGTTACCCACAAAGGGAAGCCCATAAAACTAATAGCGGATCTCTCAGCAGAAACCCTACAAGCCAGAAGAGAGTGGGGGCCAATATTCAACATTCTTAAAGGAAAGAATTTTCAACCCAGAATTTCATAACCAGCCAAACTAAGCTTCATAAGTGAAGGAGAAATAAAATCCTTTACAGACAAGCAAATGCTGAGACATATTGTCACCATCAGGCCTGCCTTACAAGAGCTCCTGAAGGATGCACTAAACATGGAAAGGAACAACTGGTACCAGCCACTGCAAAAACATACCAAATTGTGGAGACCATCAATGCTATGAAGAAACTGCATCAATTAACAGGCAAAATAACCAACTAGCATCATAACGGCAGGATCAAATTCACATATAACATATTAACCTTAAATGTAAATGGGCTAAATGCCCCAATTAAAAGACACAGACTGGCAAATTGGATAGAGTCAAGACCCATTGGTGTTCTATATTCAGGAGACCCATCTCATGTGCAAAGACACACATAGGCTCAAAATAAAGGGATGGAGGAATATTTACTAAGCAAATGGAAAGCAAAAAAAGCAGGGGATGCAATCCTAGTCTCTGATAAAACAGACTTTAAACCAACAAAGATCAAAAGACACAAAGAAGGGCACTACATAATGGTAAGGGGATCAATGCAACAAGATGAGCTAACTATCCTAAATATATATGCACCCAATACAGGAGCACCCAGATTCATAAAGCAAGTTCTTAGAGACCTATAAAGAAACTTAGACTCCCACACAATAACAGTGGGAGACTTTAACACCTCATTGTCAATATTAGACAGCTCAACGAGACAGCAGGTTAACAAGGATATCCAGGACTTGAACTCAGCTCTAGACCACGTGGACCTAATAGACATCTACAGAACTCTCCACCCCAAATCAACAGAATATACATTTTTCTCAGCACCACATCACACTTATTCTAAAACTGACCACAAAATTGGAAGTAAAACACTTCCTCAGCAAATGCAAAAGAATGGAAATCATAACGAACAGTCTCTCAGACCACAGTGCAATCAAATTAGAACTCAGGATTAAGAAACTCACTCAAAACCACACAACTACATGGAAACTGAACAACCTGCTCCTGAATGACTACTGGGTACATGACAAAGCGAAGTCAGAAATAAAGATGTTCATTGAAACCAGTGAGAACAAAGACACAACATACCAGAATCTCTGGGACACATTTAAAGCAGTGTGTAGAGGGAAATTTATAGCACTAAATGCCCACAAGAGAAAGCAAGACAGATCTAAAATTGTCACCCTAACATCACAATTAAAAGAAACAGAGAAGCAAGAGCAAACACATTCAAAAGCTAGCAGAAGACAAGAAATAACTAAGATCAGAGCAGAACTGAAGGAGACAGAGACACAAAAAAACCTTCAAAAAAATCAATGAATCCAGGAGCTGGTTTTTTGAAAAGATCAACAAAATTGATAGACCACTAGCAAGACTAATAAGGAAGAAAAGAGAGAAGAATCAAATAGATGCAATAAAAAAAGATAAAGGGGATGTCACCACTGATCCCACAGAAATACAAACTATCATCAGAGAATACTATAAACACCTCTACACAAATAAACTAGAAAATCTGCAAGAAATGGATAAATTCCTGGATACATACACCCTCCCAAGACTAAATCATGAAGAAGTTGAATCTCTGAATAGAACAATAACAAGTTCTGAAATTGAGGAAGCAATTAATAGCCTACCAATCAAAAAAAGTCCGGGACCAGACGGATTCACAGCCGAATTCTACCAGAGGTACAAAGAGGAGCTGGTACCATTCCTTCTGAAACTATTCCAAACAATAGAAAGAGAGGGACTCTTCCCTAACTCATTTTAAAAGGCCAGCATCATCCTGATACCAAAGCCTGGCAGAGACACAACAAAAAAAAAATTTCAGCCAATATCCCTGATGGACATCGATGCAAAAATCCTCAATAAAATACTGGCAAACCAAATCCACCAGCACATCAAAAAGTTTATCCACCACGATCAAGTTGGCTTCATCCCTGGGATGCAAGGCTGGTCCAATATACACAAATCAATAAATGTAATCCATCACATAAACAGAACCAACAATAAAAACCACATGATTATCTCAACAGATGCAGAAAAAGGCATTTGACAAAATTCAACAGCCCTTCCTGTTAAAAACTCTCAATAAACTAGGTATTGATGGTACATATCTCAAAATAATAAGAGCCATTTATGACAAACCCATCTCCAATATCATACTGAATGGGCAAAAGCTGGAAGTATTCCCTTTGAAAACAGGCACAAGACAAGATGTCTTTTCTCACCACTCCTATTCAACATAGTATTGGAAGTTCTGGCCAGGGCAATCAGGCAAGAGAAAGAAATAAAGGGTACTCAATTAGGAAAAGAGGAAGTCAAATTGACTCTGTTTGCAGATGACAGATTGTATATTTAGAAAACCCCATCGTCTCAGCCCAAAATCTCCTTCAGCTGATAAGCAACTTCAGCAAAGTCTCAGGATATAAAATCAATGTGCAAAAATCACAAGCATCCCTATACACCAATAACAGACAAACAGAAAGCCAAATCATGAGTGAACTCCCATTCACAACTGCTACAAAGAGAATAAAATACCTAGGAATCCAACTTACAAGCGATGTGAAGGACCTCTTTAAGGAGAACTACAAACCACTGCTTAAGGAAATAAGAGAGGGACACAAACAAGTGGAAAAACATTCCATGCTCATAGATAGGAAGAATCAATATTGGGAAAATGGTGATACTGCCCAAAGTAATTTATAGGTTCAATGCTATTCCCATCAAGCTACCATTGACTTTCTTCACAGAATTGGAAAAACTACTTTAAATTTCATATGGAACCAAAATAGAGCTCACATAGCCAAGACATTCCTAAGCAAAAAGAACAAAGCTGGAGGCATCATGCTATCTGACTTCAAACCATACTACAAAGCTACAGTAACCAAAACAGCATGGTACTGGTACCAAAACAGAGATATAGACCAACGGAACAGAACAGAGGCCTCAGAAATAATGCCACACATCTACAACCATCTGATCTTTGACAAACCTGAGAAAAACAAGGAACAGGGAAAGGATTCCCTATTTAATAAATGGTGCTGGGAAAACTCACTAGCCATATGCAGAAAGCTGAAACTAGATCCCTTCCTTACACCTTCTACAAAAATTAACTCAAGATGGATTAAAGACTTAAACTTAACACCTGAAACCATAAAAACCCTAAAAGAAAACCTAGGCGATACCATTCAGGACATAGGCATGGGCAAAGACTTCATGACTAAAACACCAAAAGCAATGGCAACAAAAACCAAAATTGACAAATAAGATCTAATTAAACTAAAGAGCTGCGCAGCAAAAGAAACTATCATCCGTGTGAAAAGGCAACCTACAGAATCGGAAAAAATTTTTGCAATCTATCCATCTGACAAACGGCTAATATCGAGAGTCTACAAAGAACTTAAAGAAATTTACAAGAAAAAAAACAAACGACCCCATCAAAAACTGGTCGAAAGATATGAACAGACATTTTTCAAAAGAAGACATTTATGCAGCCAACAAACATGAAAAAAAGCTCATCATCACTGGTCATTAGAGAAATGCAAATCAAAACCACAATGAGATACCATCTCACACTAGTTAGAATGGCGATCATTGAAAAGTCAGGAAGCAACAGATGATGGAGAGGATGTGGAAAAATAGAAACAGTTTTACACTGTTGGTGGGAGTGTAAATTAGTTCAACCATTGTGGAAAACAGTGTGGTGATTCCTCAAGGATCTAGAGCTAGAAATACCATTTGACCCAGCAATCCCACAACTGGTTATATACTGAAAGGATTATAAATCATTCTAGTATAAAGACACATGCACACGTATGTTTATTGCAGCACTCTTCACAATAGCAAAGACTTGGAACGAACCCAAATGCCATCAATGATAGACTGGATTAAAAAAAATGTGGCACGTATAAACCATGGAATACTATGCAGCTATAAAAAAGGATGAGTTCATGTCCTTTGCAAGGACATGGATGATGCTGGAAACCATCATTCTCAGCAAACTAACACAAGAACAGAAAACCAAACATCTCATGTTCTCACTCATAAGTGGGAGTTGAACTATGAGAACACATGGGCACAGGGAGAGGAACATCATGTACCAGGCCCTGTTGGGGGATGAGGAGCTAGGGGAAGGATAGCATTAGGAGAAATACCTAATGTAGATGATGGGTTGATGGGTGCAGCAAACCACCATGGCACGTGTATACCTATGTAAAAAACCTGCAAGTTCTGCACATGTATCCCAGAACTTAAAGTGTAATTAAAAAAAAAAAAAAGAAACTACCACTTGTTGAGTTTTGGGATAGTATTGAGGAGAATATGGACAGTATCTGAAAATGCTATTAAATATTTTTCTATTTTCCAACTGCACATCTGTATGAGGCCAGACTATCTTTATATGCTTCAACCGAAACAGCATATCACAAGAGTTTGAATGCAGAAACAGATATGATAATCTATTTTCTATTAAGCCAAATATTGGCTTAATAGAAAGACACTGGGAGAAATTTTTAAATCTACTCAACATTAATTTTTATTTTGCAAAATATATTTTCATAAACAATATGTGATTTATGTTAGCACATAATAGTTTTTGTATTTAAAGTAATAAATATTTTAAAATTCTCTGTTTTAACTTCCAACATGATAAATATTGATAGATATAACACATAAAAACAAATTATTGGGGTTTCAATAATTTTTAAGAGTGTAAACAAGTCTTGAGACCAAAAAGTTTAAGAATTGCTGGTCTAGGCTGATGATCTGAGATAAATGGAACTTGAGCACTCTAGTGGGTACCAATGTGAAAAGGTGCTGTGCCCAGGAATCAAGCAGGACTGTGTCTCACAGTGGTACCAGTGTAGTGCATTTCTTCAGGACCAGGCGCCTCCCAGAAGCCCAATACTTTATAAGCATACACGGCACTGAAGTCTGCCACCAGAGAGATGAATTTGGCTGAAATGGCTGAGCTTAAAATGACTAAGAAACCTGGACTCATTTTTCTGTCACTAGGCAGAATGAGGACATAGGAGAGACACTCCTGTCTAATTATTGAGAAACAAAGAAAGGGATGTTGTTAGCAGATCTCACTTTATAGCTTTGAACCATTTTGCCCACTAGAATCACTAGCAGCTCTCAAGCAGAAGCCAAATGACTACTGGGGAGCGATGATACAGGAGCTCCCTGCTTGAGGGAATTTAAGACTACAAGTATTCAAAGTCCTTTCCGAAATTTTCAGAATTCTATATATGCTGTTATTTGATTTTACCAAAAATCCTGTCAAATAGATAAGACAGATAGGATTATTCCCACAGAAAGAGAGAGAGGCAAGACCCAAGAGGCACAAGTGTACCAGAGGTAGCCAAGGCAGATCCACTAAAGGCCCCATTAATTAAACAGAAAATGTGTGATCAGCTGGGGACTGCAAAGCCTGTGAAATAATTAAATTTCCTCTCACTTCAGCTGAACAAATGTTCACTCTATACCTATCAAGAACAGAGAGAATATTAAGATAAACCAGGATAGTCTCCACTCTCTAGAGATGTTCAGTTCAGGTTGAATGGAGAGTATGCTCCACTAGAGGTGGAATAATGTGCTGTAGGAACATGGAGCAAAGAGAAATTAATTTTGACATTAAGAGTCCCACATAAGCTCTCCCCAGCCAAGTCTCCCAACATGCAGTTCTGAATCAAATAGAAACATGTGATCACTGCTCGGTAAGCCTCCTTCCAATGGTAAGGCTGGCCACTGAGTTGGTTTTAAGACTCACACAAGTCCTCATGAAATTTAGCAGAACACAGATCTTTCTATTCTGTGTCCCTGAGGGGCCCTCCACAGAACTTCACTGCAACCCATCACTCACAGCCCACGATAACATTGGTTCCCAAAGCAATTGGTACAAGTGGTTATTTTTCTTTACATGCTCATGAGACTTGGCAGGAGGGCAATGTATTTTGCATGGGGAAATAACAGTTTGTTAGACCAAATTGCCCCAGCAGTAAGTCTATTTTCTAGGACGACTCCAGGCTCTATGACCTTGACTGCTGAGCAGAGTGCATTCTTTTTCTGGAATGAGTTACTGTTTCCCAAGTCAATCTCCTTACACTTACCAAGGGTAACCAGCTGCTTTGTATTCTGAAAATATGCCTTCCAGCTGCTTGTCCCACACAAAGATTGCTATTATGCTGCTTTTCCAAATGCAATTAATATTAAAGCTGTGAGTGCCATAGATGACTGATTGTATTAAGCTTTATATTTGGGTCCTGGACACAGTAAATAAATCACAAATTTTTTTTGTTCGCTAAAGCATAATTTGTGTTAGGAACTTCAGTCAGTCATCTGAAATATATATCTATAAAGACATATTTTATATTATCAACATATAAAATATAACAGAATATGAAATATATGTATATATAGTTATATTTTATATGTTGATTCACCCCACCTGCCCACTCCCCACTGCTACCCCCACTTGCCATCCCCTGTGGAAAAAGGAAAAAACCACACTGTGTGTTGGGAACAAAGTGAAATAGAAAACATATGTCCATGGTTAATAATATACCAAAAAAGCATTATATACAACTGAAAAGAAAAGATAATATATGCCTTAGTATTTGTCTTTAAATGAATATTTGATTCCCCCAGGGTGTCATTATCATTCAGTCAGTGAAAAGAAAGCACTTCTGAGAATGATCTCCTCTTCCTTCAGATGTGTGAGAATCTGAATGGTTTATTTCTACAGAGTGCTATGTATTGATTACACTACATTGAATATTATGTGACGCAGTAAAGCTGTTACATGCCTTCTGATTTCTTTGCGTTCTGTGTGGTGCTTCAACAAATTCTAATTTTTCAGATTGTGATGAAGCAATGCCTTAAATTGAATTATATAGCTGGTCTATAATTGAATATTAGGTTCCAATCCAGAAAGAAGCAGTCCAAAAAGACTGTGGTAAATACCAATTCTGTGAGTGACCACATCCTCATCCTATGGATGGAATACTTTTTAAAAAATAGGGATATTCTTCTTCTGGGTTGAAATCCCACCATACTAACACCTTCTAATAACAAAGGGCTAATATCCAGAATCTACAAAGAACTTAAACAAATTTACAAGAAAACAAACAACCCCATAAAAAACTGGTCGAAGGATATGAACAGACACTTTTCAAAAGAAGATATTTATGCAGCCAACAAACATGAAAAAAAGGTCATCATCACCAGTCATTAGAGAAATGTAAATCAAAACCACAATGAGATACCATCAATGAGAGAGCATCAGTGAAAACAATTTTAGAGATACAGGACTCCCTCAGGAGCATCTGGAAGTACTGATTCAGTTACGGAGAATGCGAGTTCCATAAGAGTGAACACCATGTTCTCATTGTTCATCATTTCACCTCCACGGCCTAACATAATTGTATATGAGAGTTACTCAATAATTATCATTGAGTAAATGAAAGAAAAACTTCAAATGTCAGAAGAACAAATCAGAGCAGATCGTTGGCTCTGATGGTCCTGGAAGAGCAGGGGGTAAGGCAGCCAAGGTGCTGCTGAGCTGGGCCCCACACAGCCATCCAGTGGTAAGCTGGAGTTGGCTCTTGTTGACTCTCAGGAGTCAAAAATGTACATCTTTTCCCAGCTCTGCATTCAGTCACTTTAAGCTGGTAGCTTGAAATTGGCCATCGCGGGACTATTTACACCATAGAAATCGGCAAACACCATAAATCAGACTTTTTTTTAGAGATCCAGTTTATTTGTTTTTTTAAGAGAGCTACACCACTAGCATAGCTACCAAACTTGTTTTACCCAGAATTTAACACCAGGAAGTCCTCAAAATCCTAACCAAAACAGGGAGGAGAAGGAGAGAGCTGGGCCGGAGAGGATGATGATGGGGTATTCCATCCTCCTTACAAGATAGTGAAAGAGCTTCTGATTTATGATTGGAAAAGTTAGGCTAATCTGAGAAGGTATATCAATACCTCCAAGAATTCTATTTTTGTTTTTTCTTTCCAGCTCATGGGAACTCATAATTTCAAATGTTGAATTGGGACCCTAGATCCCCTTCTGGCCTAAATTCAATGACACTCATTAATTGAACATACACTTACTGAGTGCACACCATGCACTAGGGATAAAAAAAAAACTATGATAGATCAGTTTCAAATTCCCCCCACCCTTCCCTGTATCTACCTCTTTTGTAAAGTAACATTTTAGCTTCCCCATTAAGGAATAAAGTTTATTTTCTCAACCCTTGAATCTAAGCTGGTCTTGCAATTTGCTTTGACCAACTAAATGGAGGGGAATACGGATGCCAATTCTGAACATACATCTCAAGAGGCCTTGCTGTTGTAACCTCTGCCTCTGCCTTGAAAATAAGCCAGTGTCCCCTATGGAGAATGAGAGAGTATGTGGAATAGAGCCAAGTCATCCAAGTCAAAGTCACCCTAGATCTTCCAACCGCCAATCAATGCCACAGCTAACTGCAAATGCATGAATGAGCCCACTTGAGATCATTGAACCTCACCCAGATCAACAGAACTGAGTCTAGCCAACTGTGCAGATTCTTGTAAAATAACAAATGGCTAAGGTTTATTTAAGAAACTTACTAAGGCCAGGCACAGTGCCTCACACCTATAATCCACCACTTTGAAAGGCCGAGCCAGGTAGATCACTTGAGCCCAGGAATTAGAGACCAGCCTGGGCAACATGGTGAAACCCAGCCTCTACAACAAAATACAAAAATTAGCCAGGTGTGGTGGCACACACCGGTAGTCCCAGCTACTCTGGAGGCTAAGGTGGGAGGATCACTTGAGCTGGGGAGGCAGAGATTCCAGTGAACCAAGATCATGCCACTGCACTTCATTTTGGGCAACAGAGAGAGACTCTGTCTCAAAAAAAAGAAAAAAAGAAAAAAAGGAAATTTACTGATGTAAAATGAACCATTTTAAAGTGAACATTTCAGTGGCATTTAGTACATTCACAATGTTGTGTGAGCATCATCTCTATTGAGCTCCAAAATATTTTATGCCAAAAAGAAACACTCCACTAAGCAAATTTCTCTCCATTTCCCAATCCCTTTAGCCTCTGGCAAACACCAATCTGTGTTCTGTCTCTACAGATTTATCTATTTTAGATATTTCATACAAATGGAAAAATAAAATAGATGACCTTTTGTATCTGGCTTCTTTCATTAGCATAACGTTTCTGAGGTTCATCCATATTGTAGCATGTATGAGTCCTTCATTCCTCTTTGTGGCTTAATAATGTGTATATACACAGGCATACTTCATTCCTCTTTGTGGCTTAATAATGTGTGTATATATATATATATATATATATATATATATATATATATATAGGCATACTTCATTCCTCTTTGTGGTTTAATAATGTGTATATATACAGGCACACTTCATTTTCTTGTGCTTCACATTATTACACTTTGCAGATGCTGCATTTTTTTCAAATTGAAGGTTTGTGGCAACCCTACATCAAGAAGTCTATTGGCACTGTTTTTTCCAACAGTGTGTGCCCACTTTGTGTCTCTGTGTCACATTTTGGTAATTCTCACAATATTTCAAACTTTTTTTTCTTTTTCTCTCTTTTTTTTTTTTTTTTTGGAGACAGAGTCTTACTCTGTCACTCAGGCTGGAGTGCAGTGGCACGATCACGACTCATTGCAGCTCCGATCCCCTGTGCTCAAGCAATCCTCCCATCTCAGCTTCCGAAGTAGCTATGACCACAGGTGCACACCACCATGTCCAGATAATTTTTTTTTTTTTTTTTTGGTAGAAACGAGGTCTCGCTATATTGCCCTGACTGGTCTTGAACTCCTGGCCTCAAGCAATCCTCCCACCTCAGTCTTTCAAAGTGTTGGAATTATAGGCATAAGCCGCGGTGAACAGCCGAAACTTTTTTATTATTTTCATACCGTTTTGGTGATCTGTGATCAGGGATCTTTGATGTTAATATTATAATTGTTTTGGGTGCCACACACCATGCCCATAAAAGATGGCAGACTTAATCAATAAATGTTGTGTGTGTTCTGACTGCTCCGCTGACCAGCCATGCCCTTATTTCTCTCCCCCTCCTCAGGCCTCCCTATTCCCTGAGACACAACAATACTGAAACAAGGCCAATTACTATCTCTACGTTGGTCTCTAAGTGCTGAAGTGAAAAGAGGAGTTGCACATTTCTTGCTTTAAACCTAAAGCTAGAGATGATCAAGCTTAGTTAGGAAGAATGCATGCAAAAAGACAAGACAGGCCTAAGCTTAGGCACAGTGTGCCAAACAGTTAGTTAGCCATGTTGTGAATGCAAAGGAAAAGTTCTTGAAGGAAACAAAAAGTGCTACTCCAGTGAACACATGAATGACATGAAAGCAAAACAACCTTATTGCTGATACGGAGAAAGTTTGAGTGGTCTGGATAGAAGATCAAACCAGACATATTCCTTAAATCAAAGCCTAATTCAGAGGAAGGCTCTAAACCTCTTTGATTCTATGAAGGCTGTGTTAGTCCATTCTCACAGTGCTATAAAGAACTATCTGAGACTGGGTGATTTATAAAGGAAAGAGGTTTAATTGACTCACAGTTCCACATGGCTGGAGAGGCCTCAGGAAACTTACAATCATGGCAGAAGGGGAAGCAGGCACCTTCTTCACAAGGTGGCAGAAGAAAGAGAAGTGAGCAAAGGGGGAAGCTCCTTATAAAACCATCAGATCTCACTCACTATTATTATTAGAGTGCACTCACTATTATGAGAACAGCATGGGGGAAACCGCCCCATGATCCAATCACCTCCTTCCCTGGATATGTAGGGATTACTGGTCCTTCCCATGACACATGGGGATTACAATTCAAGATGAGATTTGGGTGAGGACACAAAGTCAAACCATATCAAAGACCCTCTGAGAGAGGTGAGGAAGTTGCAGAAGAAAAGTTTGAAGCTAGCAGAGGTTGGTTAATGAGGTTTAAGAAAAGAAGCCATCTCCATAACATAAAAATTCAAGCTGAAGCAGCAATTGCTGATGGAGAGGCTGCAGCAAGTTATCCAGAAGATACAGCTAAGACCATTGATGAAGGTGGCTACGCTAAACAACAGATTTTCAACATAGATAAAATAGCCTTATATTCAAAGAAGATGTCATCTAGGACTTTCAGAGCTAGAGAAGTCAATGCTTCAAGGGACAGGGTGACTCTCTTACTAGGCACTAATGCAGCTGGTGACTTAAATTTGAAGTCAATGTGCATTTACCATTCTGAAAATCCTAGGGCCCTTAAGAATTATGCTAAGTCTACTCTGTGCTTTATAAATGGAACAACAAAACCTGGATGACAGCACATCTGTTTACAGCAGGATTTACTGAATATTTTAAGCCTAGTGTTTAGACCTATTGCTCAGAAAAAAAGATTCCTTTCAAAAGATTACTGCTCATTGACAATGCACCTGGTCACCTAAAAGCTCCAATGAGGAGGTACAAGGAAATTAACGTTCCTTTGAGACCTGCTAACATAACATCTTTTCTGGAGCCCATGGATCAAGAAGTAATTTTAACTTTCAAGACTTATTAAGAAATACATTGTGTTGGCCAAGCAAGTGGCTCACATCTGTAATCTCAAGACTTTGGGAAGCCAAGGTGGGAGGACTGCTTGAGGCCAGGAGTTTAGGACCAACCTGGGCAACCTAGGGAGACCCAATCTCTATTTTTTAACAAATAGAAAAAAATAGCTGGGTGCGGTGGTGCACGCCTATAGTCCCAGCTACTCCGGCGGGTGAGAGGCAGGAGGATAACTTGAGCCCAGGAGTTCAAAGCTACAGTGAGCTATGATCATGCCTTTGCACTCCAACCTGAGCTACAGAGTGAGACCCTGTTTCAAAAAAAAAAATACATTTCATAAGGCTATAGCTACCATAAATAGTGATTCTTCTGATGAATCTGGTAAATTGAAAACCTCTGGGAAGGATTCACCATTCTAGATGTCATTAATAACATTTGTGATTCATAACAGGAGGTCAGGATGTCAACATTAACAGGAGTTGGAAGTTGATTCCAGCCCTCATGGATAAATTTGAGAAGTTCAAGACTTCAGTGAAGGAAGTCCCTGTGGATGCGTAGAAATAGCAAAGAGAACTAGAATTGGAAGAGTAGCCTGAATATGTGACTGAATTGCTGCACTCTCATGATAAAACTTGGGCAGATGAAGAGTTGCTTCTTAAGGATGAGCAAATAAAGTGGTGTTTTGAGATGGAATCTACTCCAGATGAAGATGCCGTGAACATTGTTAAAATGACAACAAAGGATTTAGAATATTATATAAACTTAGTTGATAAAGCAGTGGCAGGGTTTTAGAGGACTGACTGCAATTTTGAAAGAAGTTCTGATGTGGGCAAAATGCTATCAAACAACATCACATGCAACAGAAAAATCTTTTGTGAAAAAGAGTCTATTGATGCAGCAAACTTCATTGTTGTCTTACTTTTCAAGAAATTGCCACAGCTACCCCAACCTTCAGCAACCATCACCCTGATCAACTAGCAGCCACCATCATAGAAGTAAGACCCTCCATCAGCAAAAAGATTATGAGTTACTGAAGGCTCAGATAACTGTTAGCATTTTTTAGCAATGAAGTACTTTTTAATTAAGGTATGTACATTTTTCAGGCATAACTCTCTTCTACACTCAATAGACTACAGTATAATTTAAATATAACTTTTAAACCTTCCAAGATCGAGCCAGTAAGAAATTGAAACCCTGAACAGACCAATGACAAGCTCCAAAATTGAATCAGTAATAGAAAACCTACCAACCAGAAAAAGCCCAGGACCAGTTGGATTCATAGCCAAATTTTACCAGCTGTGTAAAGAAGAGTTGGTACCATTCCTAGTGAAACTATCAAAAAAAGAAAAAAAGAGGAGGGGTGACTCCTCCCTAACTCATTCTATGAGGCCAGCATCATTCTGATACCAAAACCTGGCAGAGGCACAACAAAGAAAGAAAACTTCAGGCCAACATCCTTGATAAACATAGATGCAAAAATCCTCAATAAAATACTAGCAAACTGAATCCAGCAGGACATCAAAAAGCTAATCCACCACAATCAAGTAGATTTTATCCCTGGGATGTAAGGTTGGTTTTACATACACAAATCAATAAATGTGATTCATCACATAAACAGAGCTAAAGACAAAAACCACATGATCATCTCCATAGATGCAGAAAAAGCTTTCAATGAAATTTAACACTGTTTCATGTTAAAAACCCCCAACAAAGTAGGCACTGAAGAAACATACCTCAAAATAAAAAGAGCCATCTATGACAAACCCACAGCCAGCATCATACTAACTGGGCAAAAGCTGGAAGCATTCCTCTTAAGAACCAGAACAAGACACGGATGCCCACTCTCACCACTCCTATTCAACATAGTACTGGAAGTCCTGGCCAGAGCAACCAAGCAAGAGAAAGAAATAAAATGCATTCAAATAGAAGAGAGGGAGTCAAACTATCTGTGTTTGCAAATGAAAATCCCATAGTCTCTGCCCAAAAGGTCCTTGATCAGATAACAACTTCAGCAAAGTTTCAAGATACAAAATCAATATACAAAAATCAGTAGCATTTCTATACACCAACGTGCAAGCTGACAGCCAAATCAAGAATGCAATCCCATTCACAATAGCCACAAAAAGAATAAAATAACTAGGAATACAGCTTAACCAGGGAGGTGAACGGTCTCTACAATGAGAATCACAAAACACTGCTGAAAGAAATCAGAGGTGACACAAACAAATGGAAAAACATTTCATGCACATGGATAGAAAGAATCAGTGTTGTCAAAACAGCCATACTGCCGAAAGCAATTTATAGATTCAATGTTATTCCTATTAAACTACCAATGGCATCCTTCACAGAATTAAAAGAAAAACTATTTTAAAATTCATATGGAATCAAAAAAGAACCCAAATAGCCAAAGCAATTCTAAGCAAAAAGTACAAAACTGGAGGTATCACCGCAACTTCAGACTATACAATGCTACAGTACCAAAACAGCATGGTACTGGTACAAAAGAAAACACATAGACCAATGGAACAGAATGAAGAGCCCACAAATAAAGCTGCACACCTACAACCATCTGATCTTTCATGAATTCAACAAAAACAAGCAATGGGGAAAGGATTCTCTGTTCAATAAATGGTGCTGGGATAACTGGCTAACCATATGCAGAAGATTGAAACTGGACCCCTTCCATACGCTATATACAAAAATAAAGTCTAGATGGATTAAAGGCTTAAATGTAAAACCTAAAACTATAAAAAACTCTAGAAGATTGCCCAGGAAATACCATTCTGGACATAGGCTTTGGCAAAGATTTCATGGCAAAGACACCAAAAGCAATTATAACAAAAATCAAATTTGACAAATGGGACCTAATTAAACTAAAGAGCTTCTGCACAGCAAAAGAAACTATCAACAGAGTAAACAGACAGCCTACAGAATGGGAGAAAATATTTGCAAACTATGTATCTGACAAAGGTCTAATAGCCAGCATCTAAAAGGAACTTAATTCAACAAGTAAAAAAAAATAAGGAAAGTAGGCAAAGGACAAGAACAGACACTTTTCAAAAGAAGACACATACACAGCCAACAAGCATATGAAAAAATGCTCAGCATCACTAATTATTAGAGAAACACAAATCAAAATGACAATGAGATATTGTCTCATACAAGTTGAAATGGCCATTATTCAAAGGTAAAAAAAATAAAAGATGCTGGCAAAGGTTGTGGAGAAAAGGGAATGCTTATGTACTACATGTGGGAATGTAAATTAGTTCAGCCATTGTGGAAAGCAGTTTGGAGATTTCTCGAAGAGCTTAAAATAGAGCTACCATTCAACCCTGCAATCCCATTATTGGGTATATATACTCAAAGGAATATAAATCATTCTACCATAAAGACACATGCACACATATGCACACATATGTTTATCACTGCACTATTCACAATAGCAAAGACATGAAATCAACCTAAAAGCCCCCCATTTTTTTTTTGAGATGTCACCCAGGCTGGAGTGCAGTGGCGCAATCTCAGCTCACTGCAACCTCTACCTCCGGTTTCAAGCAATTCTCCTGCCTCAGCCACGCCCAGCTGATTTTTGTATTTTTAGTAGAGAAGGGGTTTCACCATGTTGGCCAGGCTGGTCTCAAACTCCTGACCTCGTGATTTTCCCACCTCAGCATACCAAAGTGCTGGGATTACAGGCATGAGCCACTATGCCCAGCCTAAATGCCCATTAACAGTAGACTAGATAAAGAAAATGTGGTACATATACACTACAGAATATTATGCAGCCATTAAAAAAACAATGAGATCGTGTTCTTTGCAGGAACATGGCTGGAGCTGGAGATCATTATCCTAAGCAAACTAATGCAGGAACAGAAAACCAAATACCACATGTTCTTACTTATAAGTGGGAGCTAGACAATGATTACATATGGACACAAAGAAGGGAACAACAGAAACCAGGGCCTATTAGAAGGTAGAGGGGAGGAGGGGGGTGAAGACTGAAAAACTACCTATTAGGTAATATGCTTGTTGCCTGGGTGATGAAATAATCTATATACCAAACTCCCATGATACACAATTTACCTGTCTAACAAATCTACACATGTACCCCTGAACCTTAAAGTTAAATAAACATAATTTGTATATCCACGGGGAAACAAAAAAATTGTGTGTTGTGCTTTATTGTTGTGGTCTGGAACTGAAGCCACAATATATCTAAGGTATGCCTGTCTGCCATAATTTGTTTATCCAGTTCATCCATTGAAAGACATTTGGGCTGTTTCTATCTTTTGATTTTTGTGAATAATGCAGCTATAATGTATACATGTACTTGTTTGAATACCTGTTTTCAGTTCCTTTGGGTATAAACCTAGAAGTGAAATTATGGTGTCATATGATAATTTTATGTTTAACTTTTTAAAGAAATGTCAAACTCTTTCCACAGCAGCTGGACCATGTCATATTCCCATGAGCAATGTATGAAGGTTCCAATTTCTCCACATCTTCACCAACACTTGTTTTTTTCTTTTTAATTATAGCCATGTTATTGGGTATGAGGTGGTACTTCATTGCGGTTTTCATTTGCACATTCCTAACAACTAATGATACGAGCAAATCTTATCATGCAATGGTTAATGTTTCAAGTCACTAAATTTTTGAGTCATTTATTATGTAGCATTATCTAATTGACAAGAAAAGTTAGCAAAATTAAATGGCCCTGTCCTCATCAGACTAACAGTGTAGTCTAAATGAAAGACTATCATCTAATAATATACAAATAAAAGTTAAGTTAGAACTGTGGTTGGTGCTATGAAGGAGAGATCTTCAGTGCTATGGGAGCACACAACAGACCTAATTTGGGATGTTAGGGAAGGCTCCCCTGAAGGAATTACCACTGATCTAAGATCTAAGGATGAGTAGGATTTAACCCGATCAAGAGGAGGGTAAAGTGAGTATGTAAAAATGCCTATGCTGGAAGGTAAGATGAAAAACAGGAAGAGTTGAATGAGGTCACAGTGACCCAACAAAGAGAAACTAAGAAATACAGACACAAGATGAGACAGGAAATACATGTAGAGGCCAGGAAATACATGTAGAGGCCAAGGCCTTGAAGGCCAAGTTAAGGTATTATACCTCTACTCAAGAGCAATGGGATACAATGGGTTATCATTAAAGGTTTTTAGGCAGTGTGTAACAAAACAAATTTATGTCTTGAAAAGATCACTCTAATACAGAATTGGAGAAGGAAAAGAGTATAAGTTGAGAAATCATTCAGGAGGTTATTTTAGTAGGAGAAAACACTTTGATATAGTAGTAGTAGTAAATATAAAAGGATGAGAAAATTCAAAAGCTATCTCCATAAAATCAATTTGTCTTGAAAACGTATCAAATAAAAGTCAGAACAAGATACCAAAGATGACACCTCGGTTTCTGGTTTGAGTAAATGGATGCAAGATGATGTCCCTCATTGAAACTGAGAACGTACACTGAGGACTAAGTTTGGGACAAGTCTGGAATTTGGCTTTAGACCTGTTGAGTTTGACATGTCACCTAATTAAAGATAGTGAGTAACAACTGTAACTACAAGTCCGATGCTTAGATAAAATGTTGGGTTAGACATAAAAATTTGTGAGTGACATACATGGTGGAAATAATTGAAGTCAAGGGTGTGGATTAGGCCCTATAGGAAAAGAATGTAGAATATCAACAGAAGAAAGCCAGGACTCAGACTTGTGGAACCAAATATGTCTACGGATTTGTGACAATCAATTATTGATGACGTCGGCAAAAGTTGTTTCTGGGGAAGAGTCAGGAACCAGACTGGAGGGGATTTAGAAGTGAGTGGAAGGTCAGTAACTAACTCTCTAGGACAGTAGTCTTCCTTATCCACAGTTGCCCTTTTTCATGATTTCAGTCAACCACGATTTGAAAATATGACATACAATAAGATATTTTGAGAATGAGAGAGAAAGGGACCACATTCGCATAATTTTTATTGTAGTATATTGGTAAACTTTATTATTGTTGTTGTTAATCTCTTACTGTTCCTAATTTATAAGTTAAACTTTATCATAGCTATGTATATATAAGAAAAATATATAGTACATAGAGTTCAGTACCACCGTATCCATGGTTTCAGGTATCCAACTGGGAGTCTTGGAACGTACCCCCGACAAATTAAGGGGGACTACTGTGCTGTGTTAGTTATGGCATTATCTTCCTGAGTTCGTCAAACTCAATCACTCCCAAGCCAACTTGTCAGGGTTCATTCTGAGATCTTTCTGCCAGCAACCCACTCAAAGTCCAGCCTAGCCTAGGCCTGTCTCAGGCTGGTGGAGAAGCCCACACCCAGACTCATAAAGCGGAAGATTCCCTATGTCCTGGGGAGGAAGTAATTTTAGGATATTAAAGTATGAAGGGTCATTTGGTCCAAATATTAATTTAGTCTGAATAGAATCTGGCTAGAAAGTGCACAGAAGCCCCCCACCCAAAAATTGTCAATCAGATAAATTATCTTAGTATGCCAAAAATTATCTAGACTAGAGAAAATTTCAGCCAAATGTGAATTGCCTCTATTCATTAAACAAACACATATTGAACTTTGTAACACATGGGATCCCTTTCCCTGAGACATAAGACATAAGACATGGGACTCCTTTCCCTGAGAAATTTTTGATCTAGAAAGGATGTCAGAGAAGTAGACCCATGGCTACAGTGTGGAGTGATAAGAGCAAACACAAGGAAGGAGCAACCTAGACTGGTGTTTCAATGGAGGCTTTTGAGAAGATACCATTGTTGAGTGGCATTTTGAATGATGAATAGAATAAGATAGGAGGATGAAGAAGCAGAGTAGAATAGTGAAAGGCATTCTAGGCAGAAAGCTCAGAGGCATAAAATAGCACGCTGCATTGAGCAATTCAACACTGTATATCCAAAGTGCAAGGGGATGAGTCAGATGAGGTAACCTGGGCCAGAGCATGAAGAACGTTGTATACTGGTGTGTTAGGCAAGAACTTTTTGGTTTCAAGTCACAGAAACACGATACAAATAGCTTAAATAACAAAATGTGGAATGCAGTGACTCAGATACTAGAGAGTTTAGGAGGTAAATGAGTTTTCCAGTATGGCTGGTTACAGTACTTGGCTGATCATCAGGAATCTTTCTTCAACTCAGGCCTAACTTGCAGTGGCCTGAATTGGATCTTGTGCCCATCCCTGAATGAATCTCTAATACTCTAGTTAGCCAAGCCTGGGTCATGTGCCCACAGTTAGTTCCAGGCAGTTCAGTCAAATCCATCCAATGTGGAGTGAAGAGTGGGGCAGGGAAAAATAATGGATCAGGAGTCTTCCTTCAACTCAGGCTTAACTTTGCAGTGGCCTGAACTGGATCTTATGCCCATCCCTAAATGAATCTCTAATACTCTAATTAGCCAGGCCTGGGTCACGTGCCCATAGTTAGTTCCAGGTAATTCAGTCAAATCCATCCCATATGGAGTGATAGCGGAGCAAGGGAAAATAGTGGATGTCCACCCCACCATGCAAAGAGCTTTAAACTTTATCCTAAGGATAAAGGAAGTCACTGAAAGATTGTAAGCAGGGAAGTGGAGTGATCAGATTTGCACTTTAGAAAAATCTGTGCAGTAGCAGCAAAGCAAGTGGGTCAGAGGAGTTCAGACTTGAGGTAATTCCAACTCCTGCCATTGTTGAGAGGATAGAGATCAGAGCCTGAACAATGGCCATGAGGATGGGAAATTACCTAGTTCCCTTCATGGGATTATTAAAAAAAATCCATCAGTTAGCCACAATGACCCAGTTTTTATTCCCACTTTCCACCTAGATTTTAGGCAGAAATCAGAGAAACAAGGCAGAAATGGTTTCTCTTTGCTGGCAGCCACTTCTAAAAGAATAGAACAGATTTTAAATCCTTCTGATCTCTTAGGCCCTATGACTCTACGTAAACCCAGAAGAATTCAACCACATATGCATATGCTTCATGCCACCAGTGTGAGGATTCTTGGTATCTAACATCATAATGTGTTTCTCTACACACATCTGAAGTGTTATCTTTGACTTTATTCAACTGGAGATAGAACTTGGAGAAACTGAGAGTCATTGCCCATCACCCAGAATGCACCCTGACTTCTGGTTTACGGCATCATCCCACGAAATGCTGCCTTAGATGTATGGAAAAGGCCACACATGATTATCTTAAACATGTACAGCATTTTAAGCCTACAAAAGCACTTTTCTTACACATTAATTCATTGATTCCTCCCAGCAACTCTATGACATGGAGAGTAGTACTCCCATTTTGTAGATAAAGATAAGAGGCTCAAAGAGGGGAAGTAAATTGCCCCAGGCTCCACTCTAGGAAGAGGCTCGGTGGAAGAGTAGAGCAAGTCTTTGTATTAAAATCTTACTTCTCCCATTAGATCTACCTTTGAGTAATGGTTGTGAGCAAAGACTCTGGAGCCAGATTGCCAAATTTAAAATCTCAGCTTGCTGCAGATTAGCTAAGTATTTTAAGCAACAGATTCCTATAATTTGCTGACCCTCAGTTTTCTCAATTGTGAATAGAATTTTTTAAAAAATCTACCTCAGAAGGTTGTTGAGAGGATTAAGCAAGTAAATACAAACATATAAGATGATCTTATAATTTATTGCCCAAAACATTATATTTCTGAGTGTGAAAAGAGGTACTAAAAATGAGTAAAATGCATATTACTTTTGAAATAATGATGCGCAGTTCAATTAAACTTATTTACTGACCCCAGAAAATATTTTAAGCTTATTGATGGATCTATAAAATAGTTCTATTCAAACACTATTTCAGAAATAATTTTTTCCCAAAAACAATACATATCAGTATACATTAAGCCTAAATTTTTTGGCTTTCTGAATATTAAAAAATATATATAAGCAGAATATTCATGTTGGGGCATATTCACATTCTTTAATCAGTTGCTTAGCTTTATTTGGCCCTTTCCTTGCAGGCTATGTCTCATGGGCCTTGGCACATCTAGTTGGTCCACTGAGTGGCCATCAAGAACCGCACTGTGGAGGCCGGGCACAGCGGCTCATACCTGTAACCCCAGCACTTTGGGAGGCCCAGGTGTGTGGATCATTTGAAGCTAGGAGTTCGAGACCAGCCTGGCTAACATGGTGAAACCCCGTCTCTTCTGAAAATACAAAAATTAGCCAGGCATGGTGGCGCACACCTGTAATCCCAGCTACTAGGGAGCCTGAGGCAGGACAATCACTTGAGTCCGGGAGACAGAGGTTGCAGTGAGCAGAGATCATGCCACTGCACTCCAGCCTGGGCAACAGAATGAGACTCTGTCAAAGGAAAGGGAAAGGGAAAGGAAAACGGGAAGGGGAAGGGGAAGGGGAAGGAAAATCCAGGATAAAAGCTAAACTAAACAGGATACAGCAGGACATTCCCAGGCAAGCTGAATAGGTAATTTATGTACCCTAAGAATAAAGCTCTAGAACAAGGTCTGGCTCTCAGTAAGGAATAGGTAAAGACTAGCGATTTTTATTGGTTTAGCCTTCATTATTGTTGTTGCTATTACCATGGTACCAGTTTTGTTCATTTATTATAAACAGTTCACTGAGCTTTATAACTACTGTCTTGTTTAATTTTCCCCAAAGCCCAACTGCTGCATTCTTTTACTTCTATCTGCATGGCCCTTCAAGGCATCTGAGTGGGTAATCCCTGGATTTAGTCTGGAGTCTGAATCACTACACTGTGCTTTCTCTTCCTATTCTCTATTCCTGTAGTTGTTTTAGTATGAAGCACTATCCACTGGATATAATCTGACATACTATCTTATATATTCCAGATGTTTATGTTAGTCACCTCCACCCCAAGATTAGAAATCTCTTGGGAGCATGGACCAATGTATCAATCACAGTTTTTAGATGCAAGCAACAGGAACCAACTCTGGCTAATTAAAGCAGAAACAGGATTTTATTAAAATATATTACATAGCTCACAGAATCTACAGAAGGGCTGGAGAACCAGGCTTAGAGGCTCTGCAGCCCAGAACAAGGTCCCAGATCCACCACAGAACTGGTTGGTCCTGTGAAAACAAACAGCATCACTGGACACAGCCCTCCCAACAGCCACATTGCTGGACACTGCAGATAAACTGTTGTCACAACCACTTCAGAAACCTCTAGGTTGCTGCTGTGACCATCAACCTCCCTAAGATAAAAATTCAAGTGTTCTGAGGTTTTTTGTTTCATCAGTTTCCAAAAAACAGGTGAGTGCACCCAATTGGTAGAACCCAGTCACGTGCCCATCCTCCAGCTGCAAGAAAGCGAGTATTTGGTATTTTCAGCTTCTTTGGTCATGAGAAACATTGCATTGTATGAGGAAAATTCCTACAAGCCTAGGGAGGGTGCTCAAGAACTAGGCAGTCAAAACTCAAGACAAATGTCTCCTGCATCCATGACTTGCTGTTCTTTAGTGTCACTCTCAGAACTGAGCACCATTGAACCCTGAAGACTTGCTTTCTGCCGACATCACAAATTATCCAAGTGATGCTGTGGAGATTAATTTTAAAAGCGGCACTTCAGACAACAGTGAAAAATGGTAATGTAGCTATTTTCTCATTGGCATATCCGAATATAAGCATCACAGAATCCCTTTCTATTCAATCTCGTTGGTAGTACAGAGGTTCAAAGTAGTCTACAAATTCACTGAGAAACTGAGAACCAAATAATTTATAGATGACTATAACTACTATAAGTTCCTTTGATCTCTCAACTTTAAGGCAAAGCAGGAAGAAAAACAATAAAGGAAGGGAAAGGCATTTTGCATCCATTAATCAAGTGGCTGCTTTACAATATAACACTTAACTCCTTCATAGTCACTGTTCAATTAAGTCGCAAATCTTTCCTACCAAAGCCTGATGATTTCAAGACAACTGAGATTACAACAGTGGATGTAGAGCATCTTTAGCACCATAGCACTGAGCAAAAAAAACACCCAAGAGAAATGAGAATTAAAAAGCCCAAGGGCCATAATCTAAAGAAGCTACCAAAGAGCACAAAACATACAAGTTGACCCCAAACAACCTGAAATAAAAGGTTCCAACTACCACTCATCAGACAAACCATGGCCACAATATTGATTGGGATATGACAACTTAACAGCAAGTTGAGAATTGTTCCCAGACACCAGGCACCTGCCATAAGGCAGAGACTGTTGACTTATCATGGTTCCCATGCTAGACACTGACAATCTAACTTCCCAAATATTTATGTGCCAGGCACTTCACTTGGTACTTTGATGCAAAACCAAGGTATATAAATTGCCATCCCTGATACTCCCAAATTTATCATCTGTAGGAGGTAAGAAGTCAAGAATTCAAATGGCTATAAGGCAGAACATGGCAAATGCCCTAAAGGTGGTACAAAGTGCATATGGATTCAATGGAGGGAAAGAACATGGAAGTCAAGAAAGGCAAATGATAGGAAGAGAATGCAATGAATGCCTGAAACCTCCTTGACTGCAAGCCATTTTCACAGATTATGAAAGACAGTTAGGGCTGAAACGGATCCTTCTACAGATTATCTAACACAACCCCCTCTTTTTAAAAACTTTTATTTTAGGTTCAGGGGTACATGTGAAGGTTTGTTATGTAGATAACATACAAAGTTTGCCGTGACACAGGCAAACTTGTGTCACGGGGGTTTGTTGTACAGATAGTTTCATCACCCAGGTATTAAGCTCAGTACCCAATAATTATTTTTTTATGCTCCTCTCCTTTCTCCCACCCTCTATCCTCAAGTAGACGCTAGTGTCTGTTATTCCCTTTTTTGTGTTCAAAAGGTCTCATCATTTAGCTTGTAAGTGAAAACGTGCAGTATTTGGCTTTCCATTCCTGCATTAGTGTGCTAAGGATAATAGCCTCCTGTTCCGTCCATGTTCCCACAAAAGACAAGATCTCGTTCTTTTTTATGGCTGCATAGTATTCCGTGGTGTATATGTACCATAGTTTCTTTATCCAATCTGTCATTGACAGGCATTTAGGTTGATGCCATGTCTTTGCTATAGCAAACAGTGCTGCAATGAACATTTGCGTGCATGTGTCTTTAGGGTAGAATGCCTTATATTTTTCTGGCTATACCTAGTAATGGGATTGCTGGATGGAATGATAGTTCTGCTTTTAGCTCTTTGAGGAATTGCCATACTGCTTTCCATAATGCAACTACCTCTTTTTTGCACCTAACATGACGCTCTCAAGTGAAGTGGCTAGCAGAGCCAGAATTAGAGTCCAGGTTTTCTGACTCCTACACCTATATAATCCCTTAGAGTCAAGAGACACTTAAGGAAAAGAAAAATTTCCCATCCTTTCCTGTGCCTTAAATGCCACTTCTCTCCTTATGTCCCATTTATGGAGAAAGGCTATTTGATCTTGTCACTTGGCAGTGTGGCAGTGAAGTACATATGTTGGGGAGGAGGGTGGTCACAGGGACACAGAGACTCTGAGGGTCTGTCCTGATATCCTCCAGAGACAGCTGCTTAGCTTAGCTGAAATGCTGACCAAACCCCTGTTCTAAGAAAGGCCCTCAGCACATAGGTGGGTGGAGATGGTCGAGAAAAGGCCAAGGATTGCCAGTATCTGAACCAGGGACTGAGTCTCTCTTGGAAGTAAGTATTGAAAATTGAATCTGAATCCGATACAATTTGGCTGGAGCTCTGTCTGAGCAGGGATGACCTCAGGTGACTCAGGTTCAGGATATCATCAGTGGGCACCTAAGGACACAGTGCAGGACAAGCTTGGCAGCAGCATGGAAAAGGGTGAGAACGCCACACACTTTGTCCATAGCCAAGAAATCAGGGCCGTGGAAACCTAACTGGGCTTTGAAATTAGCACTTCACGGAGCGGAGATTGATTCCTCCTTGGTTCTGTTTCCCCGACGCTGGCAGCAGATTCTGTCTAATAATTAGCTGGTGATAGTCCATATCATTTCCTTCCTAGGATGCTCCAAAGTTTCACAAAGCCTGATACACTTATGTTAATTTTCTTTTTTCTCAACTTTCTGGGCATGGTGTTTTTGTTCTTGTTTGGTTTTGTTTAGTTTTGGTTGCAAAGTGGGTTAATTGGCCTCCTTCATTAATCTAGTGAATTCCTTTTTTGATTTTCAGATATTTTCTTTCCTTTAATGTCAAGACCAAGAACTGGCTATTACTAAGTATCTTTGACCTCAGGCTAAAGTCTCTAGGTTTTTATGTTATCATTAAGCTACTTGTTCATCAAGGGCTTCTTATGGGAACATATTTCCTGCAAATAATAGGCCCATTGCAGTTAGTTTTGACTGGTTTGGTCTTACTAGCACATTTACTGCCACCAAAACCACAAATGATTCTCAGTACATCACAGCCTGATCCAATTATCCTGAGTCCTCCAGTTCCCACGTCCTTAACTGTCATAAACTTTCTGAAGATGACTCTGTAATAATTTCTGCCATGTGCTTAAGTCTTTATGGCATGTCTTTTTATGGAAGATTTCCTTAAGGATGCATCATGGTCAAATTTCCTTTCCTACTGACCAGATTGAGCTCAAGGAAGAAGGGAAAACAGTCTATCTGAATCCCAAACATCCCTAGATTGTCATGGCTACTGTAGTTAAAAAGAAAAAAAAAAAGTCACTTTCTGCAACAATAGTCAGACATCATGGCACTTTCTAGATGCCAGGACTATGCTAGATACCTTAGGAGCACCACATAAAGAGATGATTTTGTCCATAAATCCTTTGTACTTGTACCTTGGGGGCAATCAAGAGGCAAACTGGTTAGCATGACTTAGAATCAGGAGGCTATGTGTATTCTTAGCTCCATGTCTGACAGCTGAGTGTGTCTCAGTTTCCTCTTCAGTCTCCTCCTCACAGTGCAAATAGACTGGAAAAGATCTTACCATAGAGGCTTTAGAATGTCTGCAAGTGCAAGAATTATTTTTACGGGACATTTCTCCTTTAGTCTATGGCAATGAATGCATATCCTCATCACTTTCAAAGGCAGTGTTGGCTGGACTCAGAATCAAGACATGAGTGATCAGGGTACTTCATCTCCCTGCTGCAGCCTGGCAGGTGAGTGCAGCTTATCCTGCTGGCAAAGGAAGTGCACCAACTCAGCTCCACTCGCTCTGTGAGCTTTAAGGTACTTAGACCCTACATCCATGTCTTCAGGGGCAGCTTGATCAGCATAAGAATTTGCTATTTTCATAATTTGCAGAATAAATTAAAACATGAGAGATTTGGATTAGATAACATGTTACTTTCCTAATTGGAAGTTGGAACACTAAAATATTGGCATCATGTTCCTCTGAACTCTTAAAATTGAGGTTGATAACAACATGTCATGTGCAATGAAACCAGATAACAGAAGAAAGGGAAACTCTCATTTTTTGTTTAGATGTTATTAATGTGTCACACATTTATACACATGGCACTGTGTGGGAGGTATTATTTTACCCATTTTACAACTGAGGAAACAGAGACCTTCTCAAATTTGTACATTTTAGAATAGTCAAAATTCTACCTAGACCTGTCAGATATCAAATTTCCTGATTTTTCCAACGCAGCAATTCATCCAAAGGCAGTCATATTATCATTTTATTATAGATCCCTGACTTCTCAATTCCATTCTTAAAGCCCCTTGTCTAGCACTATTAGACCTTTTTATTCTTTGTTAATAAACTATTTGCTTCTAGAAGACTTTGCCTTCTTGAAAAATATTAAAGATCCTAAAATATCTTAGGAAATTGAAACACTTTAGAAAAACAAACAAACAAACAAACAAAAAACACTGCCTGAGTAAAATCTTTAACGGCGCAACATCCTATGGCCTGACAAGCGTGGTGGGCCATAAGTGTCGTCTGCTGAAAGCTGCTTCAGCCCTTTAACCTAGGTCAGCTTGAGATGAGTAGGATAGAAATGAGGAGCCGAGCAGGAATATGAAAGTCCTGACAAATTGATAGGAGTATTCAATTCTACACACTAATATGAATGGTGACAAATTCTCAGAAATCCTGTTTTGTCAATAGAGATTTTAGGGTATTAGAAACCAAGTTCACATAAGCTGGTGTAGATGTTCCCCAATCAGCTGGTCCTATTGGGTTCTCTTCAGTACTAGAATTTGAAATATATGGGTCAGTTTGAGAAGGTCTCAAGCCCATGTTTGTACAAAAATAATTTACTTATGTCACCTCAAAACAAAGGTAGTCTTCAGAAAATTCGGTAACCCAGAATTTGAGGTCTCTATAAAAGAAGTGGTCCTCACTACCTGCTCATTGCTCTCCTAATCCTGTCCTTCATTGGCCTCCAAAGATGGTTAGCAGATGGGATTCTCTCCAGGCCATATATATGGCCACATACTGCTAACCCTCCCCCATGTTACTCCTTCCCTTGCCCATGACACATATCACTAATTACAGTACTCTTTCCTGTTACGGCCAGATGTAGCCTCAGAATCCTTCTCAACATAGCTTCAGATGACCACTAGCAATCATTTGGAACTGGCATTCAGAAGATCTATGCTGCCAAATCGCCCTAGGGACTGCTGAATAGTGAGCTTCCCTTGTCGAATTCTCCCAGAATCCGAGTCACTGTTCAGAGAAGCATCCAATAGAGGATGAGAGAAGAGCTTTGTTCATTACTATCTTAAGAAAACACACTTGGGAATGAACAAAGCTCTCGATCTTTAAAATGCTTATAAATCACCCGTGGATTTGTTAAAATACAGATTTTTATTCATTATCTCTGGAATTTATCCCCTCTTAACTTTTCCTCCTTTAGTTTCTATCTCTTTAATTATTTGTGCTGCATCTTGAGAAATCTTGGGAGTTAGTGTTATAGTGCGATGGTTAAACACAAGGGCTCTTTTTAGATTTAAGACTAGTTGTGTGACTTTTGGCAAATTACTTATCCTCTTGGCCTTAATTTCCTAATCAATAAATTGGGAATGAAAAGAGAACCTACTTTATATCATTCTTGCAAGGATTAAATGAAATTATACATATTAAATGCTTAGAATAATGTTGGGCACAAAATAATTACTCAATTAATATCAGATAAAATTAATATTTCAACACAATTTTATGATTCACTAATTGACTCTTCAGTTATGTCTAAGTTATGTCTAGTTCACTATGTCGAGTCTTGTTATATCAACAACCTTATTTTTTATTGCCATTATTTCTAAGTGGTTCTTTTTCATAATAACCCATTCTTGATTTATAACATCATATTTTTATATATCTATATAGCTATCTATATGTCTATGTATAGATACTTTCACCTCTTTATCTCTTTGAGGTTATTAAATGCATTTACATTTTTGATTTTATAAAATTACCTTTTTTTACTTCCTTAGATGTAAGCTCTTTTTTGAAATTGTGCTTTCCTGTCTATCTGGAGGTTTTTAGCTAGGAACTTATTATGATCAGGAGATTTTTCAAGATTTCAAAAATAATCTGCTGGATTATAATTTCCACATACGAGCTTTGAGCAGGGAGCATAGTGCCAGTACACAGGCCTCAGTCAGACATCTGTATAGAGATCACCCTGCGGGAGAACTCAATTCCAGGCCCTGTCCCTGCAGGCACAACCCAAGCCTAGCCCATGGGTTTAGGACAGATGTCACTGCCATGACTCCTGGCCTTGTGCTGGCCGCTCAGCTCTCACTTCAGGTGGCTCCACTGTAGACTGGCAGGGCAGTTCCATTGCTGGCCATCCTCTGGCCTCAGAAACACCCACCTTCTTAGAGCCTTTTCTTATATCATCCAGGTTCAGCCATTTTTTTCAACTGCTCTGAGTCCTATTTGACATTTTTTTGTCTGCATTATTCTCAGGCTCCTCCCATGTGCTTAATTGCTTCCCACGCTCACTTGTACCACATACTCTCCTGAACCCTGTCCCCAATGTTACAATTATATTTAATGAGGCAAGATATTCTGTGTGTGTGTGTGTTTGGAGGGGTAGGGGGGCAGGGTCTCGCTCTGTTGCCCAGGCTGGAGTGCAGTGGTGCAATCTTGGCTCACTGAAAGCTTAACCTCCTGAGCTCAAGCGATCCTCCTGCCTCAGCCTCCCGAGTTGCTGACACTACAGGCATGCACCACCACACCTAGCTGATTTTTGTACTTTTTGTAGATGCGGTTTTGCTATGCTGCCCAGACTGGTCTCAAACACCTGAGGTGAAGGTGTTCACCCTCCTCAGCCTCCCAAAGGGTTAGGATTATAGGCATGAGACACCACATCCGGCCAAGATATTCTTCATCAGAAACACTTAGGAATAAGTTTGTCTTCCCCTCCCTATTTCTACAGCCCCAAGTTGCAGAAGTTTTCAAACCCATAGTCTTTCAAAATCCCCCAATCTCTCCAAGCCTCCCATTTCTCTACAGTCATTCTTACAGGAGACACCAATACCTGTAAGGGCCCTGGCAAAACCAATCACTTGGTATGACAGCAAGTCTTGAAACCAGGAAGGAGGAGGGGGCAATAAAAGTGCCAGCAAGTGGAGAAGCTTACCGTATTCATCCAGATCTCAGCTCTCCACAGCCCTTCCCCTTGCTCTATGGCTTTCTCTTTATAGTTACTACAGAAGTCCTCTACAAGGTATAGCTCAGATGTAACACTTCAGAACACATTAACCATCATGACAACCTCATGGTAGATACTTTTTTCCTCTCTCCTGTGGTATGGACTGGACTTAGTAACTGTTTCTCCTTCCAATCACACACACACGTTAGCTTGTGTACAGACACACACACACACACACACTTCTCAAGATGAAAAAACTCGTGTGATAAGACTTGCTGCCTTCTTCCATGATTCATTTCCCCCTTTTCCATATGCTCTCTGCCTGCATAAATACCTTTAGCCTATTCATTAATTCCCTGGTAAATGTATTCAATTCTTCCCTCTGTTCCTTTTTTCCAACACTCCATTTGCTTTTTAGAAGTTTTAGCTCTAACCTTATGCTCTCTGTCTCTCTAACCCTGCAGTGATTGTCACTGTCTTTCTGTGTTTCTCTTTCCTCAAAGTCTTATAAAATAGAACATACTGCAAAGCAGTGGTGTTCCTGGGATTTAGCATTTGGGATGGCAGATGGGGTGGTAACAAATCTGCCTGTGGGGGCTGGGTACATCCCCCAGCACTCCCAATCTATTACATACATTTTGAATGAAAAATGTTAAAGATAATGGAATTAAAAGCACATTAATAAACCACTTAATCTATTTAGGAGAAGTTGAGAAAAGAAACTCTTTACTAATACTTAATCTAGTACAACTCACATATAACTGAACATAATCCCCTTGATCAGCAAGCAGGTATGAGAGATTTCGCTTTTGTGGTCTCACTACAACTTAGGCATTGATGAAGAAAGCACTGGCAAAGGCAGCTCCAGTATCAGAAGTTAAGGTTGGCTGCCAATCATGTTTTGTTTAGAATCTCTTCTTGAACCCTGGTTTTTACTCACTGTTTTCACTCAAACTATCCACAGACTCATTTTTTAATAAGACCAGGATGGCTCTTGCCAAATCGTAATGTTATAATTATTCCTTTTTACATATTCCTCATTTAGATTGCAAACTCTCTAAAGAGTAAAGACTGTCAGTCTGTTCCATGGGATGCCAGTGTGCAAAGTAGGAGGGAAGTAGAGCACCTCCTATCTAAAAGGAATATGCACTGTGCAGGCATTTCACCTCTTCATTCTTCTGTAATCATTGCAACCACCTATGTTCACAGATGTCAGTATGGAAGCTCATAAAGGTGAAGTAATTTTACCAAGATCATAAAACTAGTAAGAGAGCTTGGATGCAAACCCAAGTCTTGACTCTAAAGCTTGTGTCCTTTACACCACACTGTGCCACTCAGTGCTGCACGAATACATGATGAGTGATGAATGAATGAATCAATCCATCAAACAAGCCTGGACCCAAGGCACTTAAATTCTGCCAGTTCAACTTTCTGATTGCAAAATAAAGGGTGGCCATTTAATAGTGGATGTGAAAAATAAAAGTGTTCTGTGAAAAGAATGATATTGACCTCTAAATCAAAATTTTCAACATTTAGATATGCAAAAAAATAACAGCAATAACTCTCCTTAAAATACTAGAAGCTACATCAGTTTTATTATCCCATCTGACAATTGACTGAATGAAAACAGAGAGACTAAGAGAGGCCTGGGTCAATGTCATATGGGCTATCTAGAATTAGAACCAAGAGCCTTTGAAAGTGGCATCCTCTGTCCATCAATCCATAATTTTTAAGATATTAATGTGCAATTTTTCACCACAAGCCCTAATGGAACCTGTACCAGGAGTAAAACTTTATTATCAGTTAACCAGTATTGAATACCTATCAAGGATAGACATTGTGTGAGTGCTGTTGGGTTTTCTAGAGTAAAAAAGCAGACTTCAGCTCCAGCCTCCTTTGTGATGTAACCATAGTGAAGCTAGAGAATTACATCGAGCACTGCAGATGGTATAGAATATCCTAATTACAATTCCAAATTACACTAAATGCCTTTCTAAATAGAAAAAGACCCAGATAAATTAATCTGAAAGGACATATAAAATTGCAGTCATGGGGAGATAAATCTTTCATTAGCAAATCTTTCCATTTGCCTGACCACTTCTAAGTAACTTTTAGATCACTAAGGATTCACACACATACACACACAATTTTCCACGGCTTATGAAAAAATAAAAGCATTTCCATTATGTTCTGTCTCTTTTGAAGAATACCCTGAGGATTTCTTCTAAAGTTGAGGCAAATCAGCATACACAAATACATCCATTTACAATCTCCTTGGAAACTAGAATTGCTGGTCAATTCAGGCAGCAAGCAGCAAAATGTTTTGTCCAGGTTTCCTTGAAGAGAGAAAAATATTGTGAAAAATTTGAAGGAGGATATACACTGAGTTTCAGGGTTTGATGTGCTAGCCTCTAAGGAACTACATTTCCATGCACCGGAAAGACTGCTGCTTTATGCCAAGTCTACATGCTGTGCCATCAGAATGAAATAAGCCAAAGAAAAATGATAGTAAAAATGGATACCATTTATAGAGCATTTAGCAGGTGCAGGCACTACACTAAGCACTATACTTATATTACCTCATGTAATTCTCACAACCACTCCAGGATGTAAGCATTGTTTTCCTCATTTTACAAAATAAAAAATGGAGTCTCAGAGAAGTTAAGCAGATCACTTAAGGTCACACAGCTAACAAGTGATGAAGTTGTATGAAACTTGGTGCCTGTCCTCTGAACACAATGCTGCATTTCCACAGGCACGACTGTGTTGTCAACAAGACCACCTTGCCTTCCCTCCCCAGCTCAATGATATAGTTACTGCCAAGCTTCAGATAAGATTTTCCATCAAATAATGCTTAAAAAGAACCACAGATTTCCAGCAAAGACATGGAACTGCTAAAACAAAGATACACAAACTGTTCCCACCGATTATATGGTCATTTATTTACCTATTCCTCATGACTCACTTCTGCAAAACTCTATACTGTAATGAAAAATCCACAATGAGGAAAGTAAACTATTTGTGCTCTACCTCTAGATGGACAAAAAGATGAAGAGGCATACTGACACACTCACGCACACACAAATGGAAAACACAGATTTGTTTTGACAACCTATTATACTACAAAAATATTTATGAATGTAAGCTGCAGCAAAGTGCATCCATCTTCCAAAAGCACACATACCCCGTCAAAGGCTGCTGAGATTCGGGGAAGGTGAGAATACCCTCCCATTTAACTGCCTTCAGGCTAAGGGGGGCACAAGAGGGAAGCCTCCAGTTTTCCATTATCAGGGTTTCTCATAATGTCATTCTTTTCACAGAACATTCTTATTCTTCACATCCACTGTTAACTGACCACCCTTTATTTTGCAATCAGAGAGTCGAGCTGGCAGAACTGAAGTGTCTTGGCAGCTGCAGAGATGAAACTCAACTGAACAAACAGATTCTTAAGTGATGCTTAGATGGAAGAACTTGGACATGGTTCAGATTTCTTAAAAATTTATTTAAATGTGTGATTGAATCCTGCTCATTACCCTCTCGGCAGTATATTATATATTCAGCTCTTTTATTTTATAATAATATTGACGGTGGAAAATAAAGGTACAATATTACCAACTCTTCTTATTATAGAAGAAGAGCAGCTTTGTTTACGTCATAAACAATAGTCAATAAATGCATATAAGTTAATTTTTCACAGCAGTCTATACCCAGAACTTGGATATGCTATTTTGCTCTTTGGTCCAAATTTCTTGAGACAAATAAATCCTTCTGTGTGGTAATCAGACTAAAGTTTTGGAGTAAACAGTGTGTGAGAACATGCAGACCCAAGATTAGAATGTTGCTTAATGTAGACCAATGACAGATGACTTTACTACAGCACTGCCTGCCACCTCTCTGACCTCCTTTCCAAACACTCCTCCCCCTTCACTCACTCTGCTCCAGCCATAGACCAATTTATTTTTATTTAATTTTTATTTCAATAGGTTTTTGGGGAACAGGTGGTGTTTGGTTACATGAATAAGTTCTCTAGTGGTCATTTCTGAGATTTTGGTGCAACCATCACCTAAGCAGTGTACCCAATATGTAGTCTTTTAGACCCATTTATTTTCCATGAATGTCCCAAGCATGCCCCCTTCTCACAGTCATCGCATTTGCTATTTCCTCTGCCTTAAACACTCTTACACTAGACGGCCACATGGCTTAACCCTTCACTTCTTTTAAGTGTCTCTTCCAATGTTACCTTCCATCTTCACCCACCACTCTCTATCCTTCTAACCTACTTAGTTTCTTCACATTTGCATCATCTGATGTATATTTGTTTGATTCCTGACTTTCTTCTCCCACTTGAAGGTTAAGTTCCAGGAGCAAAGGGACTTTGTTCACTGCAGTAACCCCAGCACCTGGATCATTACTTGCATATAGCAAATGCTCATGAATGAATAAAATGATGAATATCCTCAGAACCAGCTTAGGGCTGGGGGGCACAGTGGGGTGGTGGCCTAAGATGCCCATCTATAAAAGGGGGCTGAAGCTTCACTGAAAAGATAGTGAGATAAAGGATATTTATTTTAGAATTCCTCCGCAAATGTTTATAGAGGGAATACTTGGATAAACCACATAAGTCAGGGGGAGGATGAGCCACCCTCCCACAAGGGTGTTGGCTAAACTGCCCTGAAGGAGGGTGAGTACAATCAACTATAGGAATCTTCTTCTACTGAGTGGAGTTTTCAAGATTGAGTCAATTTGCTTGGGTCTAATAAAGAGAGGTCAAAAACAGCCACCAGTAGTTCTCCTCATCTGTTCCCTATGTCTTGCTCAGTCTCTCCTCTACATAAATGTTACACGAATAGTTAAATAATACTGGTTTGAAGGAATGTCATATCATCAGCCTGTCCTGTGTACCTACGTACATTTCCTCTGTTCAATAATCTACAGTGCTTCTCTATTATCTTCTGTCTCACATTCAAACTCCTCAGCTTGGCCCTTAGTCCCTGGAACCCATGAATATGTTACGTGACATGGCAAAAGGAACTTTGCAGATAGAAGGTTCTGAACCTTAAAACAGGGAGATTAGGAGATTATCCTTTATTCTCTAGTTGGGACCAATGTAATCACAACGGCCCTTAACAGTGGAAGAGAAAGGCAGAAGAATCAGGGTGATGCAGAAGAATCAGGGTGATACAGCAGATGAGTGAGGCACTGGAGTGATTTAAAGTATGAGATAGTCTCAAACTGCCTTTGCCAGCTTTGAAAATGGAGCAAGGGATCCATGAGCAAAGAAGGCAAGTGGCCTCCAAAAGCTAAAAACAACCACCATCCAACAGCCAGCAAGAAAACAGAGACCTCAGTCCTACAACTACATAGAAGTGAATTCTGCCAACAACCTAAATGAGCACAGATGCAGATTCTTCTCCAGAGCACAACTGCACCAACACTTTCACGTTCGTCTTATGAATTCCAAGCAGGGAAACCAGTTGAGCCCACTAGACTTCAGGCCCAGAGAACTATAAGATAATAGATTTGTGTCATCTTAAACTACTACATTTGTGATTATTTGTTATGGCAGCAATCAAAATCTAAAGCTAAACCTTTAGCGATTTGGATCCAACTTATGTATCCAAAACATCCCAGTGCTCTGAAACAGGAATCCACTGCTGCAGTCAAGTGGGTCTCCTTTCAGTCCCTAAACATGCTCATTTGTTTTTAATCCCACACTGTTTCTCCACTCAAACCATTTTTCCTGCCATACCAATTCAAATCTGGTGCTCTAAGGCTGAGTCAGATGCAAGTCTCAACTCTTTCACCTTTTAATTGGTTGCTCAATATGACTTTCCACTTAGGGACTTCCAAGTGTCACAACATGCTTCCAAAAATTATATATTTGTGGGCCGGGCACAGTGGTTTTCACCTGTAATCTCAGTGCTTTGGGGAGCTGAGGTGGGAGGATAGCATGAGCCTAGGAGTTCAAGGCTGCAGTGAACAATAATCATAGCACTGTGCTCCAGCCTGGGCAACAGAGCAAGGCCCTGTCTCTGAAGAAAAAAAAAAAAGTACATGCTTTTGTCAAGTGTCTTTATCATTTTCTCTTCCAACAAAACTTTAAGCCCTTTGTGAGCTGAAACTACATCTCCTTTGTTTCTAGCAAAACATAAAACAACAGATACACAGGAAATATTTCTTAGGAACTTGCTCACTTCACTTTAAATGCCCACCTGGAGATTTTTACATATAGAGAATATTTTGTAATTTGCTAAAATGACAAAATTTGAAAAAGTTTTCACAGCATAGTTGATTTCAGCTTGTATCACAGATCAGGTGAGCAGAGTCCTAATGATATGATCCAGTGACAGGAAGTACTTAATTGCATTCATATCTATCAACTGGATGTTCCTTACAAGGACAGAGTTCTCACCTGACACCTGCTTTCCCACTTTATCCTATTTCTGAGGACTTCAGTGCTAACGACATGAAAATCATAATCATACCATGTGGGGACAGCTCACCAATGCTAGTGACAGCAGTATTGTGCCTCATTGCCTAAATAACATCTCCAGCTTTCATTACAGTAGACAGACCAGATAAACAATGAAACCTGTTGTCCTCTCAAGAATAAGCTCTCATTTTTCATAATAAAGAGAAGCTGGGCTGAGTGCTGTGGCTCATGCCTGTAATCCTCACACTTTGGTATGAGAATCAATGAGTTCAAGACTAGCCTGGAAAACATAGTGAAACTCCATCTCTACAAAAAATTAAAATATAAAAATTAGCCGGGCAAGGTGGTGCATGCCCGTAGTCCTAGCTATTTGGTTGGCTGAGGTGGGAGGATCACTTGAGCCTGCCAGGTCCGGGCTGCAGTGAGCTCTGATTATTCTACTGCACTGTAGCCTGGGTGACAGAACGAAACCATCTCTAAAAAAAAAAAAGGAAAAAATAGAAAAAGAAAAAATACAGAAAATTTGAAGTTTTCATCTTGATTCTAAGAGGCTTTTGTTCTTTTTAAGGTACAAAATTATATTAAAACAATTACATAAATTTGGGGTGTATTTAAAATTAAAATATCATCTCATCACAAGAAAGATGAAGAAGACTCCTTGCTTTGCCCTTGAGCAACCAAGAACAGTTAAAATCTGTTTTAAATCCCAAAAATACAAAAGAGACTTGCTGGAAATAACAATGCTCAGTGCTCGCAACCCAAGTCAGTCTACACTGTTGTTATATCCATTCAAATTCTAAAGCCTACAAAAATGCCTTTGTTAGAGCAAAGGGGAAAAACTCCACCTCAGGACACTTATTCAAGATGAAAGAAAGGTGTATCTTCAGTGACAGAACTGCCTGCTATCAGATGATTTCGTGCTAATGTTTTTAAAGATTATGGACTTAACTTTCTTGGTTTTCTGGTAGCTGAATCTACTCTCGCCTCCTCTCTTTTTATGCTTGCCTTCATTGCTGTTCACATTCACATCAACAGAAGGAGGCACCTTGAAACCGAATGACAGAGCAACTTGAGGCAAATTTAAGTTATTAACATTAAAAATCTGTCTCAGAGAATGAGAATCATTTACTCGTATGTATGACTTATATGCTTCCTGGGCTGACTTATGAAGAAAGTAGTTCTTTTTCATTAATTTTACAAACCAAGACTGAATGTCAGAAATTTTAGGCCAGGAAAAGTCAAATTCACTTAATGGAACCTTGGGTTGCTTCAGGTAACAAACAAAACCCAATTCTTCTGGGCAAAAACTGAGCAAGGCATGCCCTCTTTCGTTTAGGTCCCTGGCTATTGTCCCCCGACGATGAACATATTCCTTAGGGTCATCTGGAGGATAATACTGAACAATCCAGCCAGGAATATCTAGCTCTCTCCCTGCCTCATCTGTACACAATATCCCTGAATCTGCATTACAGAACTGGAAAAAATGTAATTCTACACGTAATTTTGCTTCTGGAAATGAATGGCTGAGGTAGGCAAGTCAATGTAGTTCCGCAACTCATAGTGGTATTTTATGGACCTACAGGATGAAAAGAAGACCATCAGTTTCTTCTTTCAGTTCTTAAGGAATATAAAGAGCAAAAGGAATCCTTTTTCAGAGGGACGAACAACATATCCCCGCTTGAGACTATCCACTGTTGCAGTAGCTTTATCATTATCAACACCAGCATACATTTGTTCCTTTTTTTTTTTTTTTGGAGAAATCCTTGCCAGGTCTTCAAGTTTTTGAGTTTGTGTGGCGGAAAAGGGCATAGTCTCCATGTTCAAAGAAGTTTAATAATTTGCTTTAATTTCTCTTCAAACCCAGCATCCAAGATATCATTAGCCTCATCCATAACCAGACGCCATAGGTTTTTATACTTAAATCCTGCAGAATTCTGCATACAGCCCAGGAGATGGCCTGGTGTGACCACCAGTGCTGATCCCATTTGCAAGCTTCTGTACTTCAGCAGATCTGTTACTGCCACCCATTATCAACCCATGCATGTGCATATGGTGAGTCATTAGCTCCTTAAGAACACCAAGAGTCTCAGGACAAGCTGTTTAATTAGTGAGAGAATAAAGACTCCTGTTCCATTTCTGGACATGAATTTTAACTTAACAATTAGTTCAAATGCAGGGATGAGAAATGCCAGGGTTTTTGCCACTGCTGGTTTGTGTAGCTGCTGGAAGATCCTGCCTTCCATAAGTGGCCCATCATTTTTATGCTAAATTTCAGTCATGTTGGTAAAGCCCATTTCTTTTATTGCCTTCAAAGTGTTTTCACTGACAAAATTAGAGAAGAAATGAAGTATTCTCATCTCTCTCATTGTCTGGCTTCCCCCCAGTTTTCTGTTTCTTCAGGAGCCTCGATACCATCTTCTTCGGATTCCCCTTTGTTTTCAGTTTTTGCTTTTTTTGTATCACGCCCAGCATTAGTCACTATTTTTCTCTTGTTCTTCTTTTCTTTTTTGATTTCGAATCTAGAGACTGAATTGCTGCTTCTGCACTGGTTAGTATGATAGATTTCTAGTTTTCTTTAACTTTTACATTTTCTACTATTTCTTTAGACATGTCTCCATTTGGGGCTTCTGACAAGCCCACAATCATAACATGTTTTAGGGATTTTTTTAACTTTTCCATGCCCCACTGTTTCTTCTGACACATTTCCATTTTGAGCCTCTGATAGGCTCACATCCAAAGCCCCCGGTGGCTTTAGGTTTCACTGCCACCATTTGAAATTCTGCCTCTCCATCTTCTTGCACAGGAGTGTCATCCGTAGGTAAGATGTGTTCTTGGGGAGACGCCTTCACATCTTCACAGCAGCACCACTGTATGGGTCCTCCACTCTCCAAATGGCTTTTCATTAATATGCATGGCACTGAACAAACTTGCTTTATGGACCTCATATAACCAATCTGAAAGGTAGCAAGTTGTAAAATATCCATTATATTGTTCAGTATTTAAAAACATGTCTGTGAATTTTATTTATCCCATAATTATCCTCATTGCACTCTTACAGATAACCAACAGATTTAGACACTATTCAGTAAGAAAACATTGGGTTTTTTTATACCAATTGCTACCAACTTTTATTACAAATTGCATCTATTTTAATACAGAGTCATTCAGGGAACATCTACTGAGTACTGACTATATGGTTAAAACTTTCCACTTGCTATGAGTAGTTTAACTGAGATTAAAACTTGGTTTCTCCCCTTCTTCTAAGAACATAAAGCCTCAGTGATCTGGCTATTCCCTAACTTTCCAGCTGCAATTCCCACCAATCCCTGTCCACACAAGATACACACCATGAGGTCTGGGTTCTGTGACCTTCTTCATGATGTCTTCGTTGCCTAAAATTGTTCTATCTCCTAACTCCCCCAGCCTAGTTAATCCCAATTCAATCTTTGGAACTCAGTTTAATGTCACCTCATCCAGGAAGCTTCCTTACCTGCCCCTGCTTCACTTAGACTACCTTATCCCCTAAAGATTATGACTTTTTTGAGGGCAGGAATGAGATCTTTTTTGGTTTTGTAACCTTGGGACCTAAAATTGTACCTGGCACGTAGTAGAATCTCAATCAATACCTGTCGAAAGGGAAAGTTTTAAGCATAGTGGTTGTTAAGTAGCTTGTAAGAAAGTCAAAACATGGATGCAAATATTAAATATCAGCATAAGATGTATCACAGGATGGAATAGGTATATTTTTTTTCCTGGAGCTGCTGTACAAACTACCACAAATGTGGTGGCTTAAAACAGAAATGTATTCTCTCACAATTCTGGAGGTCAGAAGTCCAAAACCAAGATGCTGAGAGGACCACACTCTTTCCAAGGGTTCTAGGGTAGATTTCTTTCAATGACTCCTTCCTAGTTTCTAAGGGTGGCTGCCAACCCCAGTGTTGCTTGGTTTGTAGCTTCAGCATTCCAATCTCTATCTCTTTCTTTGCATTGCCTTCTCTTCTGTGTTGTCTGTCTTATAAAGATATATGTGATGGCATTTAGTGCCCATTCAGATAATTCAGGATAAACCCCTCCTCTCAAGATTCTTAACTTAATCACATCTTTTGCAATATAAGGTAATATTTGCTCTTTTACCACATAGGGTAATATTCACAGGTTCCAGCGATTAGGATGTGTACATATGTTTTCAGGACCACCATCCAATACACTGTAGTATGTGTAAGTTAGTAAGGAATCCAGGAAAAGTCATGAGAATTCAGAAGGAAGAAAGCACAATGTGCCAAAGTGACAGCCACATGGTCTTAACACTTTGAAGTGTCAATGTAATTGGTAGTTATCACCATGGCTCCTTTGAAGTAGCCCAGTGATGCCAATTTCCTTGAAGAAGAAAGTGAAGAAAGAAAGGATGTGTGCATATTGCAGAAAGACTAGTGATGAGGCCAAAATTGGGATTTAACTCTCTTCTCTTCAATCCTTGATTTATTGCCTATACTCTTTTACCATCCAAAAGAAAGACAGATAAATGGCAGACACATCACAGAGCTGCCACCTATTATTTAAATGGCAGATTTTCAGCTTCTTCTTTATTCCTGCTGAAGTTCTCATAGCAGAGATGTTAATGCAATACTCTGGACAAAAGAAGTGCAGTATCAAAGCTGGGGGCGTCCCACAGTCAACAAATACTGACTCAGCATCTGCCCTTAGCAAAATATTGTGAGGAATGTGAAGAATAATTAGACATGTATTCATGCTCAAGGAGCTACCATCTCATAGAATACATGTGGTCAGGTAACAAGCAGAAGGCAGTAATTCTCATGGCCCAGATAGAAGACTGTGGGAGTTTAGAGAGAGAGAGACCATTCCTGGCTGCAGTCATCAGGAAAGTCTTCATGGAGCAGATGGCATCAGAACAGGGCATTGAATGGAAAGCACTTTAATAAGTAGAACTGGAGGTGAAGAAGACAGAGGAGTGATCTAGGGCAACTCAAGCAGGATGGAGAATTTTTTTTTTAAGTGTGGAGATGAAAGAATGGAAAGTGTGTTGGGAAATGAGACATTCAGGGTATATGCATAGAACCATGGGAGATAAAAATGAAAAGAAAAATTGTTATATCTGGTTCTTGACTGTCAAGCAAATGATACGGACTTTCTTAACTAGGCATGAAACTGTCATTAAAGATATTTTGAATAAAGAAAAGACATAATCAGATATAATCAGAGTTGTTTGAGAAGATCACTCTGGCAGTGGTGTGAAAGATATATTAGAAGGCAGAAGAGGCTAGATGCTGGAAAATTATTGCAATAGAACAGACGAGAGCTAAATAAAGGTCTTGATTAGGGAGGCCGCCATGTGAAAGGCATGTGAAAAAAGAAGTGAGAGCAATTTCAAAGAAAATTCAATAGGATATAATGGCTTATTGGAGATATGGGATTGAAGACATAGGAGACATCAGAGATGAGTTTGAGACTGAAATATAGTAATGCAAAATAGTGATGACTTTGGAAGAATCTGGAAAGTCAGGAGAATGGACACGTTTAACAGCAAAAATGATTAACCTAGTTTACAAATGTTAAGTTTCAAGAACCAGCAGGATACAGATACTAAGAAGGACATGAACGTAAGAATCATTCCCATGGAGAAAATAATTGAAGTCACAGAAATTTATACCATCACAAAGAAAGGGGAAGAATTCCTAAAGCTTAAGGAATGTCCATCATAATTAATGAATGGTAGAAGAACAGAAGCTAGCCAAGAACATCAAGAGCAAGAAGTGATTTGACCAAAGAAGAAACAGGAATCCAAATGCTGAAGTGAACAGAATTTAAGAGAGAGGAGAACTTCAAGGTGGGGTCACTAATATCAAGTAGTTTAAATTCCAAAAATGTATTATCAAGGGGGAGCTGATTATAATGTTGACACAGTCTTGTACAACATAATCCTAAATGATGAAATCCTGAAAGATCAAAATCCCTAAAGTCCCAGAAATGTAATTTGGGAAAAAAAAATGTTAAAAGTTCTTTAAAAGACATTTCACACTTTAAAAGGGGGGTTTATTTGAGAAACATATCACAACAGAACATTTCATAGGCTACTTCACATAATAATATAGGCAATAATAACATACATATTGTTGCAAGCAAATGCTCTCATATACTGACAACAGTTACACAGGTATAACAGTTATAAGCAAATGATATGCATAAAGAAATAGAATAAAAAAGGAAATGTATAAAAAGGGAAACATATAAACACATGGTAACTTGGTTAGTAATTGTGTGCACTCAGGTTTATAACTACAGTCATCTGAAATACTGTGATGACAACTGTGATGAAGTCTTTCAACTAGATCAATCAAAAACTGTAATGGGTCACACTGCACAAGCAGTTGCCCAAGCAGCTAAGATCTCAAGAAATTATGCCTTTCACAAATCCAGATGTACAAAAAGGACATCTCTTCATTTATTAAGGAAGTTTCAATGTTTTTACACACACACAGTGCTTATACACAAAGGCCGCGTTGCATGCAGAGACCAAATTGCCAGGAGATAAAGAGTAATTCATAGTAGGCTGGGTGTGGTGGCTCACACCTGTAATCCCAGCACTTTGGGAAGCTGAGGTGGGAGGATAATTTGAGGTCAGGATTTCGAGACCAGCCTGGCCAACAAGGTGAAACCCCATCTCTACTAAAAATAAAAAAATTAGCCAGGCGTGGTGGCACATGCCTGTAATACCAGCTACTCAGGAGGCTGAGGTGGGAGAATCACTCCCGGGAGGCAGAGGTTGCAGTAAGCTGAGATCGTGCCACTGCACTCCAGCCTGGGCAACAGCTGTCTCAAAAAGACAAAAAGAGTAATTGGTAGTAAATACAAATGTTTCAAGAAGTCTGAGGATAAAAGCCAGAAGCCAATATCAGAGGAGGAAACAGAGTCAAAAGAAAGATGACATGTTTAGGTGTTTGGTGCGGTTTTCTTTTCAGAATAAATGGTTATATTCCAATCAACATTTATTTAGTGCCTACATTGTGCGGCTGGCAAGATCCAGAGATGATTAGAACTTGATCCTTACTCTCAAGCAGTATACAATTTAGAGGAGAAAACAGAAATGTAACTACATTGTTCAACCTGAAGCCAGGTAACCAGCAGGCTACGGAAGCACTGAACAAGAGCATTTATTAGCCTGGTGGCCTGGTCTGAGGAAAGGGGAGGTGATGGGGCTGAAGGGCCTCCTAAACAGATGATACCTGTTAACTCTGAAGGGAGAACTAGAAGCTGGGCTGGCATATTTAAACAAAGGCATAGGGAAGAAAAGTACCACACGTGTTTTCTGCAAAGATAAAGAATCTTACCGAGGGAAAACATTGATTAGAGAGAAAGTAAGCAATGGCAGCTTGTTTCTGAGTGAGGTGGGAAAGGATGAAATCAGACAGGCCGGTAAAGGTATTAGCCGTTTTTAGGAGGATACAAGAGAGGAGACAAAAATTGAAGAAACAGGGCAGTAGTCAAGTAGCAAAGAAAATGGTTGAAGGAAAAAGGTGTTTTGCCTCTTTCCTTTTTATAAAATGGAAGGTCAACCATCTGCTCAGAGCAGAGTCAGGGCCAGGAAGGGCAGGGAAGCAATGATTACTAGATTAACAGTCTTTCATTCTTTGAAAATAGAAGCATTTATTTAAATCATAGTTAGTCTGGGGCTCCATCTCTTTCTAATGTATCCAGTGTGAGAGCCAGGAGGTGCAGAGCTTGGGCTCTGGAGACAGATTGCCTGTGACTGTCTTGTCTGTGTCACATATTAAGGATGTGATGCAAGTGGTTTTATGATGTAAATAAGCTCTCTGTGCCTGTGTCTGCTCATCTATAAATCAGACAAATAGTATCTAACTCCTAGGTTTGCTATAAGGAATAAGAGAATTCATACATGTAGAATGCTGCAAACAGTGCCCAGCACATAAGAGGTACACAAAAAGCTTTAGCTCTTAGCATTACTAGACCACTGCTGGCCATTAGAACTTTCTGAGATGATGGACATTCTACTGTGTTGTCTAATACAGCAGTCACTAGTCACATGTGGCTATGGAGCACAGGAACTGTGGTTAGCGTAACTGAAATTTTCATTTTTATTCATTTAAATTCAAAAAGCCATATACAGCTGGGCAGAAGACAGAGCAACCATTTTTTCTTTTAAGTTCCAGGATACAAGTGCAGGACGTGCAGGTTTGTTACAGAGGTAAACATGTGCCATGGTGGCTTGCTGCACCTATCAACCCATCACCTAGGTATTAAGCCCTGCATGAATTAGCTATTTATTGTAATACTCTTCCTCTCCCCCCAGCCCCTACAACAGGCCCCAGTGTGTATTTTTCCCCTCCCTGTGTCTATGCGTTCTCATTGTTCAGCTCCTGCTTATAAGTGAGAATGTGCGGTTTTGGTGTTCTGTCCCTGTATTAGTTTGCTGAGGATAATGGCTTCCAGCTTCTTCTTTGCAGAAAGTAAAAGTTCCTTTTTACTGTTTCTCTTCTTGTTAAAGAATAAGTCATAAGTGTTAGAAATAATAGTTTCTTTTAAAGACTAACTTTATGCTAGACATGCTCACAGGCACATAGTACATTCTATGACCTTGTACTTTAACCAAGATATCTGTGCTAGATGTGCTCACAAGCATGTCCCAGCTCGCAGCCTATGCCCCTTCCTTATTTGGGAATGTTATTACTTTTCTAAGTCTTTTCATAAGAAACTTCCTCCTTTCCTTTGTTCTTCTCTGCCATTATCTCTTTAGGAAAAGTTTTAAACCTTTAGCCAATCGGGAGCAGCCTAGACTGTGAGGTCCAATTCCAGCCAATGGAATCAGGACACAGCAGTAGGGTACGGATGTGTCAGATATAAATATTTTTATCCTCTTTGTTCAGTGTGCTCTCGTGGCAAGACTGCTGGCAAGCAGCACCCTTTCTGCAGAAAGTAAAGGTTGCCTTGCTGAGAGATCCTTTGTCTCCATGCTGACTTTTCTTGGTGACACCGATTATCTGCTTCTAACATCCATGTTTCTGCAAAAGACATGATCTCATTCCTTTTTGTGGCTGCATAGTATTCCATGGTGAATAAGTAACACATTTTCTTTATCCAGTCTATCACTGATGGGCATTTGGGTTGATTCCATGTCTTTGCTATTGTGAATAGTACTGCAATGAACATATGTGTCCATGTATCTTTATAATAGAATGATTTATATTCCTTTGGGTATATACCCAATAATGGGATTGCTGGGTCAAATGGTATTTCTGGTTCTAGATCCTTGAGGAATTGCCACACTGTCTTTCACAATGGTTGAACTAATTTAAACTCCCACCAACAGTGTGAAAGCATTCCTATTACTTCACAGTCTCACCAGCATCTGTTTCTTGACTTTTTAATAATTTCCGTTCCACTGGCATGAGATGGTATCTCACTATAGTTTTGATTTGCATTTCTCTAATGATCAGTGATGTTGAGCTCTTTTCATATGTTTGTCAGAGCAACCACTTTAAACAGGGTTTTATTGGTATACAAAAGCACAGAGTCCTATCCCCCAAAGACCCTGGTCCTGAAGTGCTGTAGAATAGGCCCAACCAATTAAAGATAGAGCTATAGCTCTTAGGACACAGCTTTATTTTGTTGGTGTTGATGATCAAAGATAACATGGAGAAAAAATGTGATCACAACTCCTGTACCTCCAGAGGAGGTTTCAGTAGCTGGTAGGATATTTGTTAGATACACAAGAAGCAAGTGGCGTCTCCCCAAGAGAATAGAATGGAGATTCGACCAACTTTCTGCTGAAGTGGGCCAGTTGAGAGCCATTAGGAAGGATGGCTGGAGTTCTAAGTGAAACAAGGAGCTGCTACCCAAATGTTTACTTGAACCCTGTTAATGTCTGATGACAATGGAGTAATTTCACAACAGAGACACTGAAACAGCCAATATCACAGTCTGTGCAACAATATGAAATTCAGATGGTCTAGAGTATTGCTAAAACACAAAGGGAGAGGGGAGAAAGGTTATCCATGAATAATACATTTCCTTTTGTGGAAGCAGGAGGAGAAGAAACAAATGGATCATTAATGGGCTTAACACAATTAGGCTTCACAGTGGGGCGGGGGCCAGCAGAAGCTCTTGCCAGCAATGCCACCAGCAGAGGAGGCTGCTGTGAAGTAGAGGAGGAGGGCAAGAGTTGGTGGTAACATTATTTTGGAGTTGCTGCTTTTTCTTCCCAGTATCCAAAGCCTCTTCTTGAATTGAAGATTAGTTGTGTTATCTCTATTTTTGTGGGGTTTTTTTTTTTTTTTTGAGATGGAGTTTCACTCTTGTTGCCCAGGCTGGAGTGCAATGGTGCGATCTCGGCTCACCACAACCTCCGCATCCTGGGTTCAAGCGATTCTCCTGTCTCTGCCTCCCGAGTAGCTGGAATTACAGGCATGCACCACCACTCCCAGCTGATTTTGTATTTTTAATAGAAACAAGGTTTCTCCATGTTGGTTAGGCTGGTCTCAAACTCCTAACCTCAGGTAATTCACCTGCCTCAGCCTCCCAAAGTGCTGGGATTACAGGCGTGAACCACTGTGCCCAGCTTGTTATCTCTGTTTCTAGAGCAAAATAGCCCAGTGGTAAAAAGAGCATTTCCTTGAGAATATATGAAAAGGTATTATCACATTTGAAAAGCGTAATTAATATGATAATGTGGAGAAATTAAGGATAAAGCAACCTAAAAAAAACAGGAAGTAATTAAGTGAAGAATACAACATTATTGAACATTGCCAAGAAAACAGACATACAAAAGTTGCAAGTTGTAGCTTGCTTTATGCAATAATGCACTTTGCTGTAAAGTAGCATACCTTGATCTTTTCAAAATCAGACATTTGAAACTTACTAATAGATTTCACTATTTAGAGGCATTCTGTGTGTATATATGAAAAAAAGGTCCTTTATGGTATAAATAATCTATCTAATCATGATCCCGTTGCAGGAATTTCTCTTTCTGTTCCATGGAGTAGTTGCAGACTTTGCAGTCCAGCAGACCTAGGTTCAAGCCAAGCTCTGCTTCATATTGATTATGTGACTTTGGGGGAGTTACTTTACCTTGATGAGCCTCAATTTCCATAACAGTAAAATGGCAACAATATATACAGAATGTCATAGAATTCTAGGCCTATAGAAAATACTTAAGAGTGCCTAGATCATAGTAAAGGCTTAAAAAATGTTACTGACTCCTTCAGGAAGGGGTCAGGGTGTGCATTCTCCTAAGAGGAATCAGATTCCACAGACGTTCAACATGCCAAGGGCAGACTTGACTCTGGTTTAGACACAGAAACCAAGAACACTTAGCTCTAGGAATCCTTCTCCCAGGGAACAACACTTATCTTGGTGGCTCTTTTAGGTATTAAGGATAAATCAGAGAACACTTGGGTGACCAGGAATAAAGAAGCAGCTACTACATCAGTCTCCAGATAAAACCCTAACTCCAAGGAATTTTCCATGAGGCTATTATGACCTGGGCTCCAGCTGGCACTGAACTGTGACCCACCCTGACTCCATCTACCATCCCAACCTCCAGCGCCAGGCTACTGCCACAGGCCTTGCATCCTCACCTGGTCAGCTAAGCTTATTGTTCCCATCTAGAACAAGGAATGCTGCCTAGTCCATCAGATGTGAGGGTTTGATTTTCAAATATCATCTTTCTTAACATTGAACAACATGTGTTTGTACTATAGCAAAAGAAATATGAGTGTGTTCTGGAAAAGCAAACTGCTAGCCTCATCTGAGGCAGGCAATGGGGACAGACATAGTCAGTGTTGGCAATGAGTGGCACAGGGGTTTGGCATAGGTCAGAGAAGGTTGGACACAGCGTGGAACAAGAAGTTGCCTTGTAGTCAAGCCAAGTTAGAATGGCCTGACACCAGAGCAGACAGAGGCCAGGGATCAGGCACTGGTTCATCAAGGAGGGAGAGCTCCAGGCAGAGACAGTCCTGTTTGTGTTCTAGATTTTTATTAGTGAAATTGACCTAGAAGCTTGTAACTTCTAGACTTCTAACTTCAGAGCTTTATAATTCCAGCATTACCTCAGACTCCTCTTGGAGGAGAATCTCTAGATTCTAGAGAAACCATAGTCTTTGTATGCCAGCTGTAGAACTCATGAAATTGGAAAGCATCCTTATGCCCCTATGAATATCTGGTTCCATTTAGTAGGAAGAACAATTGTCTAGCCTGACTGATGCCCCCAGAGAAACACTGTATCTTCATGAAATCATAACCTCATTATCCTTAGAAAATTTAAGAGAATTCAAATTTTCCCCTTCTATTCTTTTCCCCTTTCTCCTCTTCTAAGGCAGGAAGTTAGCATCAGGCTAAAATCCTAAAATATTTAGAGAATAGGCTATTAGAAGGGTGCTGCAAACTGGATTATTGATGCAAACACATGGTCAGGATAAATACGGGGAATGTTTGAAAAAGATACAGGTCTTGAACATACAAGACCTCTGTAACTCAGCCCTCAACACGTATCTGTGGCCATGACACACATGCCTCAATGGCATGTTCAGATTTTAGGATCTGGCCTTGACAAATAAGCACAATGTCAGTGGTGTGGATGCAGGGGAGAAATTCTACTGTCCACTCTCTTGATCCTTGAGGATAAAACGTAGTGTTCTCATGAGTTTCACTAAGGACAGCTCTATTGTAGTAAAGTAAATCATGTCACTTTCAGGCCTTGGAATTCACTTAGAGACAAAAATATATATTTACAATCATCTAGGAACTGTATCCCATTTCTACTCAGTGCTTCAGTACTCTTCATAAGCATCCACAGAAGTCCCTATCTCCTGCACAAAACCAATGAACAACAATTACACTAAACATTCTAAGCCTCCTCTCACTCTCCACTTTTATCTAGAAAACTAACAAGAATTTAAGTCCTATGTTGACCCAACAATGAGTTATACGATGGGGCAGAACACACTCGTATCTCCTTTTCTTGAAATCCTTGTGGAAAATGCATATAATGTCACAGATGGCTTAACAACCTCATAAACAAGACCTGAGAATTTCTAAAACTCTTTAGTTCCTTGTAAGAAAGCCCACATTCCTGTGAAATACAAATAGCTACACAGACATGCCCTGAACCAAAACTTTATTTCCATTTCAAGGAAACTGACACAAAATATCACTCTGAAATGTAGACCTAAGAAAAATTGCAACCCAGATGTTCCATTTTCCTCTCAGCTGTGAATGCCTGAAGCAGGTCTTGCTAATCCTGAGTGCAGGTGAGAGCCGAATTATAATAATGGAAAACACCTGTTGACTCAAACCTCCTCTACTCTAATTTTGACACACTGGCCCCAGGTGGGCCTTTATCACAAAGCACTGGCTCTTCTTCTTTGCTAATAGAAGAGCATCATGAACAGATATGGTCAGAGTAATCTCCAAGAAAGGATTACAATTAAAGCCTCTGGACTATTCCAAGGGTGTCTGTAATAGTTAATATTGAGTGTCAACTTGATTGGATTGAAGGATGCAAAGTATTGTTCCTCATTGTGTCTGTGAGGGTATTGCAAAGGAGATTAACATTGGAGTCAGTGGACTAGAAGGAGACCCACCTTCATTCTGGGAGGGCATCATCTAATCAGCTGCCAGAGCAGCCAGAATAAAGCAGACCAGAGAACATGGAAGGACCAGATTTGCTGTGTCTTCCGGCCTTCATCTTTCTCCCATGCTGGATGCTTCCTGCCCTCAGTCATCAGACTCCAAGTTCTTCAGCTTTTGGACTCTTGGACTTGGACCAGTGTTTGCCAGGGGCTCTTGGACCTTTGGCCACAGACTGAAGGCTGCACTGTCAGCTTCCCTACTTTTAAGGTTTTGGGATTTGGATTGATCAACCACTGGCTTCCTTGCTCCTCAACTTGCAGATGGCCTATTGTGTGACTTCACCTTGTGATCGTGTGAGTCAATTCTCCTTAATAAACTCCCTCTCATATATACATCTATCTTATTAGTTCTGTCCCTCTAGAGAACCCTCACTAATACAATGTCTCTCTGATATTCCACCATCTCTGTTCCCTGATAAATTCTCCTTTCCACTTCTTGCAAAGCTTATCTCTGGCTTATTGATGCAAGCCGATGGTCAGGATAAATACGGGGAATGTTTGAAAAAGACACAGATCTTGAACATACAAGACCTCTGTAACTCAGCCCTCAACACGTATCTGTTTTTCTCTTATTTTATCTAGGAATTAAAGTGAAACTTGTGGGGAAGAGGAAGCTACGGCTCATATTTCAAGGACTTGCAGCTGGAAGAAGACATCCACTGTTTTCCACCCTTTTCCCCAGCAGAAACCATCTCTATCCACCTCCCAGACCCTATTTATTGTATTTATTATCTGTGATGCACTTCACACACTATATGTAGTAGAGTTCCCTAAGATTCCCTTTAATTCATTGTTTCAATAACACATTTATTGAGCACTTATTATGACAAATCAATATATTAAAATGTTTCTCTTCACATGTGGTTTTGTGGAACACACACAAAATATGAAAGACCTGTTATCTGAATATTCTCATCTCTGGGCCATAAGAACTCAAACAGCCAAAAGAGCAATCAACGATTCCTTGTTCACTACTCACTTGCAAAATCTGTTTTAGAAATGAAACAGGATAATCTATCCAGCTGATAATCTAAAGTGAGTTATGTACCTTTTAGCAAAGTCTGGCCCAATGTCCCCCTTCTTATATTTCTTGGCTTTGGTTGGTTTTGTTTGTTTCTTGTGGGTTTTTTTTTTTTTTTTTTTTTTTGCCATTTTCTTTTCTCCTTTAAAATAACAGACATGGTAATTCATTTGTGATGCACTGAGAATCTTAATCTGGCACCAGCATTACTGGTAAGTTGCTTCCTTTCAGCATGAGATAGGACAGCTTACACTTGCTACAATGTATAAGACAGCCATTTTCATGCTTATACACAATAACAAGCTAAAGCTCACATTTTTTAACGTAACATCTGTGTTGCTTTCTCAGAAAAACAAGTAAAAACATGATGGTTTATTTTGGATGTGGAGGAGAAAGAATTCCAACAAACCACCATAGCAAAACACCCCAGTTAGCTTAAATGTTTTGGAGGATTTGGGGTGGGGAGAGGGGAGTACAGAAGAGAAATAATTACCTGTTTATTATCTCAGAGTCAAATTATAACAATTCACTAACTGAATCCAAGAATCACTGAATTCTAATTGACCTAGGATGCTGGGCAATGAAAAAAGGCTGGGACTGCTAAATTCAATGTTATGAGAGTATATCGTAATTTGTCATATTGTCCTTTTTCTTCCTTAATTTTCTAATAAGAACCCCTCTAGTTGAGCAATTTCTTTAGGGCCACTTAATGTTCTCATATAGGGGGCTTGGCTGTTGCAGAGTTTCTTGGTCAATGGGAGACTGATTGTACAAGCCAGCCCCAGAAGTCTGGACCTCCCTTGCTCTGCACTCATTTACCATGTGGTGTTACACAAGCGAAAGAGCAGCCAAGTCTCTCATTTAGAGCTAACTTTCATAGCCAAACAAAAGACAAATCTCCTATTAATCAAGAGCTGCACAGTCTTTGAGTTGAAGATGGTAACAGCTGTGCCAATACAAAGGAAAATATTTTCTGCATTATCTGCTTAATGTAAAGGCTGTGTAACATCTGTGCACAGGGCCGATTGCTAGAGTGCACTGCATTTTTAGCAAGGCAGCCAGAACTTCCAACAGGAATATGCCATTCAACCGGCAAATGCAGCAGAGCTCTTACATCATCTCGAATTTTCCCAAGAAGCTGACATTTTCAAATATGTAAGAGGCGCACCTTCAGCCCTTTCTACTTGTCACTTTTGATGTTTTGATTCTGGCTGCAAAAATCACAATTGCTATGATCTCCCTTCACTTTGGCTTGCCTGTTCTCAGCATTACTAGCTTTAAGGCTGCCAGACAGAAAGCTGTTGACTTTCCCTCTGAGACAGACAATGGCTTAACATGTAATCACTGGCCCCTCTTCTTCCCAACTCGATGTTTATTGCTAGCCTGTTGGCACACCCCCCAGACTGACTGTACCGGTTCTTAGTCTGAAAAGCATTCATCAGTCTTCACATTTCCAAGAGAAATGCCCCCTCTTGTGGTGTTTGCTGAATACTGCAGTCCTCGCTTCCAGCAAGAGAGCTGTGACACCCCACTTCCCACATAGACATGTGAGGAGACTAGGAACTCCAGTCCACCCAGTATTGAAAATTTTTAGCTTTTTGCTGTGACAGCTGAATCCTCTCTAACTGCATCAGGCTTTCAGATATAGATTGAACCGTATGAAAGTGCCAACAGTCAACCATTTTTGACCAATAAAGCAGCAATTTCATATAGTTCAATGTAAGCTAGGGAGGGAACTTCTTAGCTGAGCCCTGTGAATGGCAGCCAAGAGTGGAAATCTTTTCTACTCTAGTAACTACATTGAGGCACAATAAGGTAGAAAGGCAGTTCAGTATATTATCTCTATAATAAATAAACGTTTTTCAAGCCCTATATGCTAGACACTTTGCCAAGTTATGAACATAACCTTGTTAAGTTTCTTGTTCAATTGGCAGTTGATCATAAGGGCAAACTTAGAAATTTGGACGTTCTAGATTTGTCATTTGTTTATTAGGGACCATTGGTAAAATAAATGGCAAAATTATTTCTACCCCAGCACAAGCAGCTAGTTCTCTGAACAGTTTACTGGTCTCAATGCAAATAAATGTAAAATGGGGTGCTGTAGTTCCATCTGTAGATGTAATTATTTTGTAAGTATCCTATTTGTTTTTAATATGAGACAATAAATAGTGTGATTATGTCAAGTAATCTTTTTCAGCAATGTCAATTCATCATGCTAGCAAATTCTAAAAATAAAATTTTAATTATGTAATATTTAATATCACTGATGTCAAATGGGAACATCTGTAACCTCATATCAGAGACTCTTTATAATAAATAAATAGTTCCTAGAAATCAATAAGAAAAATCAACAACTCAGTATTGCAAAGAATGTTATTAGATGATTCACACATTTTTTAAAAAATGGTTTTAAACACAGGAAAGATGGTTGACTTCACCCAAAATTAGAGCTATGAAAACTAAACTGACATCAAAATATTATATTTACCTTTCAGCCTGGCAAAATTTAAAACTTTGTTCACACCCTCTTGGCAAAGTTATGAAGAAACAGGCACTCATAACATTTCTACTCTAAGTATAAATTGACACACTTCCTAGAAAGTACAATTTAACAAATTAACCACATCACAAATACATATACTACCAATGCAGAGCATTTCCAAGATAAATTATTTGGAGAAAAAAATAAAGGTATGGAACCATATGCATAATATGGTACTTTTTAGTTACAGCGGAGAGAGGATAACATTTTTTTTTTTTTTTGACAGAGTCTCATTCTGTCGCCCAGGCTGGAGTGCAGTTGTGCAATCTCGGCTCACTGCAACATCCACCTCCTAGGTTCAAGCGATTCTTGTGCCTCAGCCTCCCTAAAAGCTAGGATTATACGCACGCACCACCACACTCAGCTAATTTTCGTATTTTTTAGTAGAGACGGGGTTTCACCAAGTTGGCCAGGCTGCTCTCGAACTCCTGACCTCAGGTGATCTGCCTGCCTCGGCCTCCCAAAGTGCTGGGATTACAGGCATGAGCCACCAAACCCAGCCTAATATATCTATTACTATCTATTATCTAATAGTAATATACCTATTATCTAAAAATAACATAATATGCTTTATAAACATAAAGAAACTTTAGAAAAATGCCCATGAAAGTAATAACATTGGTCCATGGAAATAGACTAGGCAGATTGTGGAAAGAAAACATATTACTGCATTCTTATGTGGGGCTGGAGAAGGGGGGAAATACATGGAAATAGCACATATACATTAAATGTAATAGAATCATTTATGTCAGTAGGTTAAAAAAAAATCCCTCTTCTATCTTCAACAGATTTAATGATTGTGTGTTGATGCGTAGGAAAAGTGTAAGTAAAACTGTTTAAGGGCTTCCTTAACATTATTCCTTCATGATGAAATCTTGTCTGGCCCCAAACAAGCTAAGGGTGTCCCTTCTCAGCTCACTAGCAGTAACAGAATTCAAGACCTAGTGGAGTACCTGACCCCAAGATAAGAGCTCTGCTTGGTGCCCAACTTTTCTTCAAGACCTCAGGCCACTTTTAGCTCAACAGCAGATGTCCGACAGCCAGCAAATGAGCCAGTGTTGCTTGTTTCCATGTGAAATAAATTTAACTAATACTTAATAATTTAAAAGACAAGCAGTTCTCAGTCCTTCTGAGCCCTTTTCTTTCTGCTACTGTCAATATTCACGCATTAATTCATAACTCTGAGCACCTACTATACATTGCTTGCTGCTCTAGAAGCACCAGGTGGACCGCTCAAGAGTGCCCCCAAAACACCGCAGCTTAAATGACATATTCCAGGGTCAAGACTTAGCGGTGGGACTATTTCACTCCTTGTTGTTGACCTCCAGGAAGTTGAAATTTAGTGATTCACAGCTTAAGGGGGAGAGCATAAATAAGCCCACGCACAAACCCAGAAAGAAATCGAGTTAAAGGAGAGGACAAGATTGTTGAGCTTGGCAAAGTGATAAGTGGTGCATGAGCCTTTTGCCCCTAAAAACAGTGGATTTATTTTTAAGTACACACATGCATATACATCACTGACTAGACGTGTGACTGGGGCAGTCATTTCACTCTCCAACATTCCACATCTGTTCCCTAAAAAGTGAAAGAGCTTGAGTTAGATCAATGCTTCCCAACCTTTTTCCGTGATCACACCCCTACAGAGCCTTTTTAGACTCTTTTCCCATGTCACCCTCCATCATAAAATATCAATGCCACAGTTAAACTGTACAACTGAATATGCACTGTATGTATGTCTGCACTTTATACATAAAGAGTATTTTTTTACCTCCCAAGAGAATGCATGAATTATATCCACAAGAAGGATCTCCAAGATTCCTTCTTACTTTAAAACCAGGAGGATGGTGCAGTGTTGTGGAGAATAACTGTATGTACTTTGGTAACAGATGGATTTAAGTTCAAATCCTAACTCCACCTCTTGCTTATCACATGACCTTGAATATGCTATTTAACTTCTCTGATACTAAGTATCTTCATGTGTAAAACTGGTGGAATGATACCTTTCACAGAGGGTTGTCATAAACATCAACTGAGGCAAAGTGGGTAAAGCCTGGCAACTGAACCTGGCACACTAAGCAATCAGTAATTGGTAACTTTTCACTTGGTTTATTTAAAATAAATCTGTACCTTACATCTGTATATCTAAAAAGTTAAGCACTGATCACAATATATGCAATAACTATAATCAATAAGTCAACAACCTATAATGTACTTTCATTTGTGCCTGTAATGTAGCCCCAAATGTCAGCTTCTATCATGACTTCAAAATTCTATTCAACTTTCAAGACCGAAATTAAATGTCACCTGCTTCAATGAATCTTTCCTCAGTTTCATTAAATGTAGATCTCCCCATCCTTTCAGCTCCCATGGTATACTCTGTTTACATCACTAGGGAGTCAAACATATTCCACTTTATAATTTATATTGATCTTAAGTGCCTTAAAGATAGGAAATCTGTTTTACTCCTCTTTGCTGCACACATGCACACACATACATACACACACACACAAACTCAACATAATAGATTTTCAGAAAATGTTTGCTAGACCAATGAATTAGTGCTGCAAAGTTGGATCCCAAAGATCAAATGTCACATTAGTACATTAACAACAAAAGGAAAAAGATAGTCTTAAATTAACATCTGTGTTAACATAATGACCTGTAAGAGAAATTAAAATATAGGTAGAAGTTTTTTAATTTTAAATCCTGAACATGAATCCCTAGTAAAAGCTCATCTTCCCATATTGTAGAGGTTGATGTAAAATCCTTCTGATAATAGTCAATTTATGAGACATATAAAATTTTTAAGAGGCTATTCCAGGGAAGGTAAGGATGCCCCTAATACATATCAAACTTGAGTTCTATGAAAAGTGTACAGCGTGTCTGTGTATCAGCCAGAAGAGTATTCTGGATCTCTGCTCTATCACTGTTACCGCTGGTCATGTTTTGTCATGCTCTTGTCTCAGCTGGGGAAATTCTGTGATAAGAGAAACACATACGTCAAATGTAACAGCAGAAAGCAAAGAGAAGCCGGAGGGAGTAACTATGTGAAGCATTTGTTTTTTAGACTCTATGATGTTTTAAGCATATACCTAATGCTTTTTACACATGCTGAATAACCAGGCTAATTAAAAAGCCCATACAGCTCTTGTTAAAATCTGTTCAAATTTTTTGGAGCACCTGTTATAACAGAATGCCCACAGACTTGATAGTTTAGAGCCAAGACACCTGCTACCTTATGTCTCACAGTATGTTCAGTTTTATACTGTTAGCAAAAAAATAAACACTTTTTGACATTTAGCAATCTTATACAAGAGATATGAAATTATCAGGAAGGAATGATAGTTTAACCCCTCCTGTGCTGCTCTGGGAAACCACACCCTTTCTTCTCTAGAAGGAAATGGATGTCTAATTTTGTCCCATGAAGTTACTATGGCTTCTCTAATCATCTGTAATTATGCAAGGTTTTCTAAAGAGTACAAGTATCTTCTTGGAAGCTTAAAGCAGGGGATTTTCTAGTCTAAAGAAGTTCTCAGTGAGCTAACTTAGATACATGCATTTAAGTGATGGCCAATTTACAAATTAGCTTTTCAGTGAGCCCTTTAACAAAGCACATCACTGTTTTGACTTTGTCAACTGTTTATGAAACCCCCAGACAGGTTTGATGTGATTAATCCTGGTGATGTTTTTAACAGAACTTTACTCGAAAATGCATTCACTTTTGAAGAACTATTATTATAATGTTCTATAGTTAGGAGTTTTCAGAGTCCAGATATATAAGTAGGAACATTTGAATATCTCTTTTAGATTCAATTATATGGTTAATAAACAAGTCTTTTAAGAATGACAATAAAATGGTTTTCAAGATATGTACTTTCTAAACAGCTGCCATTTTACCCGTAGTATTTCAGTCCCTTGAGGTCTGAAATGATGACTCATTTGACTGTGTTAGCCCAAAGTTGTACAATTAAGGGAACAAATATTTCACAAATACTTCACCTTGGTTAAAAAAAAAGTCTTTAATTTTATTGTCACAGTATAAAATTTAATTTATGCTAATGACATTTCTATAACAAAATCTGCCTTTGATCTAGCCATTCCAAATCTAGGATTATGTCTACTGTAAAGTCACATATATATAGAAATAAATGTAAGAATATAATTTTCAGGATTGTCTACATAGAAAAAGATTTGAAACAACATAAATATCTATTGATAGGGACCTGGGTAAATAAATTATAATAGATTAAAATAATAGAATATATGTTGTTGTTAGGTGAATAAAGCAGCTTTGTATATAGTGACATGAAACAATCTCCAAGACATACTGTTAAATGAAAAACATAAAGTATAAGAGCAAACAAATAACCAAACCAAACACACACACACACTTGAAAATTATAGCGGCCAGGCACAGTGGCTCATGTATGTAATCCCAGCACTTTGGGAGGTCGAGGTGGGTGGATCACTTGAGGTCAGGAGTTCAAGACCATCTTGGCCAACATGGCGAAACCCCGTCTCTACTAAAAATACAAAAATTAGCCAGGCATGGTTGGGTGCACCTGTAGTCCCAGCTACTCCAGGGGCTGAGGCAGGAGAACTTCTTGAACCCGGGAGGCGGAAGTTGCAGTGAACAAAGATTGCGCCACTGCACTCTAGCCTAGGTGACAGAGTGAGACTCTGTCTCAAAAACAACAACAACAGCAAAAAAAAAAAAAAAAAAAACAAAAAAACAAAAAACAAAAAAACAGAAAAGAAAAGAAAATTATAGCAACATTGACTATCTTTGGAAGGAAACACAATAAATTGATAACAGTGGTTATATCTGAAGGGGAAATTTGAGGATTAGGGGACAGGGATAGGAAAAAATACCTGTTTTTCACTGAAAAACTATTTTGTAACTTTAGCCATTTGTATTATGTATACATATTACCTACCCAAAATATTTTAAGATGTGAATTATAATAATGCATTAAATTTGGGAGGAAAGAAAAAAATGCGATGTATTATGGGCGTAATATAACATAATATTCTAAAAGTACTTCAAAATTTCCAGACTGTTACTTGGTTAACTCTAAATCAGTATTTAACAATATAAATCACAATTTAATGTCTAATTATCATGATGAAAACAGCTTTTAAATGTTGAATGTGTATATCTGTATTCAAATACAAGCTGTTTTGACTTTTAACCAACATACCAGAACTGGGAGTGATTTTATTGCATAATTAGAAAACAAACTGCAATATATTTTAAGATGTTTTTAAAGATAATGGGAAGCATTTTTAAATGTTCAAGAGAAATGATGTTTTAATTCCTGTACATTTATAAGAATGGAAATTCTATTTGTGTTGGGCACCAGAGAATGTATAGTTCAGTATGTACCTTGTCATTTTGTGCTGCAAGCATCCCAAACCTGATATTCCTGGGGCCTATTTCCTAAAATGGACAAGAATCGATTATGTGACTGCTCCAGGGCTTGCAACTGAGGAACAATATATGGTGCATAGCCCTATAAATCCTCACCCTGGTGGTCAGGACCTATTCTGGGAAATAATTTGAAGCAGATAACTTACTTTCAGACATCCCTTCTCCCCTTCTTCAGAGGAGATTCTAGTCTTTCAAAAATAACTTTTCCATCCTCAAGAACTCTGCATCAGCCAGCTCCCCAAAACCATCAGATGAACAGACTAAATTATGCTATACTTAATGTTTATATGCATTTTAAAAGAGAACAAAATTATGCCTAGAATTCACATAAGGAGTAAATTCTGACAAAGAAATAACAGGCTTCAGTAGGAAATATTGTGGAGAGTGGATGAGGGAGATTGACACTGAGGCAGACTGAGACCAACAATCACACCACATCAGCCTGCTGGCCTTCTTGGGCAATGCTGGATTCACTTTAGAAACCCACATTACTGCTTTGTGCAAGCAGTAATGGCATGCCAGTCATTAGTAATGCTTACCATATACTTCTAGTTCTCCCCTTTCTGGACCATGATAGGGTTCTATTTCCTGGCTCCTTTGTCAGGTGGGGCCACATGACTATCTCAGCCAGTGTTTGGGGAAATGGGTGGTGTACGACACTTCTGAGCCAGAGCATTTACTTACTCTAGGCCAGGGTGAGAGCCTGCAGAGCTATCTTTCCTCTGCCATGAAGACCAGCAAGAGTCCATAGCAGGTGCTCTGTTGAGAGCATCCTGGAGGAGGAAATAAACCTATGTGAGCAAGAAATAAATCTTTGTTTTTTTTAAGTTATTAACACTTGGGGGTTATTTGTTGCCACAATATAAACCAGCCTCTCCTTACTGATACATATGGGAGATACAGTATACATGCACAAGTGACTAAGAACAGCCTTCAGGGTTACAAAGGTAGTAATGACTGCTAAGTTATCACAACTGTAAGTTTGACCTTAATTTTATAAAAACATTTTCCACTTGCTCATTAAGGCCTTTTCCCAAGTACAAATTTTGAGTACCTGCCTGGAAGGTGGTAAATTACACAATTTGGAGACTGAGGAAATGAGACGCAATGTCTCTCTTTCTTTCTCTTTCTCCCTCCCTCCCTCTTACAGTTTGATGAGGAATTATCAATAAGAAAAAAAACCCTGAAAAGTGGATATCTAAACAACTTAGCACAAGATATTTTATTAAACTGCTATATAGAAAACAGTCTATTCATGAGAAAAGTTTATATAATTCCAAGACACTTTAAATTCCTCAGTTTGTCACATTGACGCTACAGAGGAGGTCACATAGTAAATTGTTATAGTCGGAGAAAATCTCAGAAAAACCGAACTTGATTCTTAGAATATCACCATCCCATATTTCAATAGCACTTTCGAATTTGAAGAGTACTTTCTTGAATATCACCTTTCCCAGGCTCATTGTTTATCTGGCATGTGGCTCCTCTTCATGTGTATATACCCATACAACAACACTCTACATTTTCTGGGACAAGTTCTCTTACCTCCATACTACTGGAATGAAAACTGAAGTTCAGTAAGTCCAAGTGATTAACTAACCCAAGACCTTATGATCAATAAGTGAAAAGGTCAAGATTCACAATCAGATTTTCTTACTAAGTTCAGGGAATTCACTCACTGTTCCACGGAAATAGAAACCATTGAAGGAAAAGACCCAGAAGAGTATCAGCCTATGGTCAGGGAAAGCTTCTGGGAAAAAGTGATACCTGTGTACAAGCCTGTCACTGCCCTGCCAGGTGTATGTCTTTGTACTAGTCAGTGATTATCTTTGTATCTTCAGTGTGGTGCTCAACGCATGTTGAATGAATGAGCAAATGTATTGAATGAGTAAAGATGTCATTTTAATGTTTTTATTTAAGTTCGGGGATACATGTGCAGAACGTGCAGATTTGTTACATAGGTACATGTGTGTCATGGTGGTTTGCTGCACCTATCAATCCATCATCTAGGCTTTAAGCCCCACATGCATTAGGTATTTGTCCTAAATGTTCTCCCTCCCCTTACCCCCCAGTCCCCAACAGACCTCAGTTGTTGTTCCTTTCCCTGTGTCCATGTGTTTTCATTGTTCAACTCCCACTTATGAGTGAGAACATACAGTGTTTGGTTTTCTGTTCCTGTGTTAGTTTGCTGAGGATTACAGCTTCCAGCTTCATACATGTCCCTGCAAAAGACATGATCTCATTCCTTTTTACGGCTGCATAGTATTCCATGGTGTATATGTACCACATTTTCTTTATCCAGTCTATCATTGATGGGCATTTGGGTTGGTTCCAAGTCTTTGCTATTGAAAATAGTGCTGCAGTAAACATACGTGTGCAAGTGTCTTTATAGTAGTATGATTTATATTTCTTTGGGTATATACCCAGTAATGGGATTGCTGGGTCAAATGGTATTTCTGGTTCTAGATCCTTGAGGAATCGCCACACTCTCTTCAACAATGGTTGAACTAATTTACATTCCCACCAACAGTGTAAAAGCATTCCTATTTCTCCACAGCCTCGCCAGCATCTATTGTTTCTTGACATTTTAGTAATCACCATTCTGACTGGCAGGAGATGGTATCTCATTGTGGTTTTGATTTGCATTTCTCTAATGATCAGTGATGTTGAGCTTTTTTTCACGTTTCTTGGCTACATAAATGTCTTCGTTTGAGAAGTGTCTGTTCATATCCTTTGCCCACTTTTTGATGGGGTTGTTTGTTTTTTCCTTGTAAACTTGTTTAAATTACTTGTAGATTCTGGATATTAGCCCTTTGTCAGATGGGTAGATTGCAAAAATTTTCTCCCATTCTGTCGGTTGCCTTTTCACTCTGATGATAGTTTCTTTTGCTGTGCAGAAGCTCTTTAGTTTAATTAGATCCTATTTGTCAATTTTGGCTTTTGTTGCAATTGCTCTTGACATTTTCATCATGAAGTCCTTGCCCATGCCTATGTCCTGAATGGTATTGCCTAAGTTTTCTTCTAGGGTTTTTATGGTTTTGGTTTTACATTTAAGTCTTTAATCCATCTTGAGTTAATTTTTGTATAAGGTATAGGGAAGGGGTCCAGTTTCAGCTTTCCACATATAGCTAGCCAGTTTTCCCAGCACCATTTATTAAGTAGGGAGTCCTTTCCCCAGTGCTTGTTTTTGTCAGGTTTGTCAAAGGTTTGCACAAAATCAATGTGCAAAAATCACAAGCATTCCTGTATACCAACAATAGACAAGCAGGGAGTGAAATCATGAATGAACTCCCATTCACAATTGCTAGAAAGAGAATAAAATACCTAGGAATACAGTTAACAAGGGATGTGAAGGACCTTTTTAAGAAGAACTACAAACCACTGCTCAAGGAAATGAGAGAGGCCCCAACAAATGAGAAAAATTCCATGCTCATGGATAGGAAGAATCAATATTGTGAAAATGGCCATACTGCCCAAAGTAATTTATAGATTCAGTGCTATTCCCATCAAACCACTATTGAAATTCTTCACAGAATTAGAAAAACTACTTTAAATTTCATATGGAACCAAAAAAGAGCGCGTATAGCCAAGACAACCCTAAGCAAAAAAAACAAAGCTGGAGGCATCACACTACCTGACTTCAAACTATACTATGAGGATACAGTAACCAAAACAGAATGGTACTAGTACCTAAATAGACATATAGACCAATGGAACAGAACAGAGACCTCAGAAATAACACCACACACCTACAAGATGATATTTTTAGATATGCAGTCATCCTTGTTATCTGCAGGAGATTGGTTCTATGCCCACTCCCACCCCCTCCCCAGGATACCAAAATCCACAGATGCTGAAGTTCCTTATATAACAGAGTGTAGTATTTGCATATAACCTACCTACATCCCTCTGTATACTTTAAATCATCTCCAGATTACTTGTAATACATAATACAATGTAAATGCATTATAAATAGTTACACTGTATTCTCTTTTAATTTGTTTTATTATTTTTTTAACATATTTTCAACCTGTGGCTGGTTGAATCCATGGATGTGGAACCAACACACACACAGGGGGCTGACTGTATATTGAACTTTCATTCTCAAGAGAACGCACATTAAATTCCCAAACTCACAATCCCAGGTCTTGACCTCTGACATTTGCAGGACCCAGGGCAACAGTACAAATAGGAGTCCACATACCATATGTCCAATTGTTTCAAAAGTAGAAAGCAAGCTGCTGGTGATTAGATAAAAGATATTCTATTCTCCTGCCTTGACAAACACATCTTTATAATGATAAAAAATTAAAGTGTGTGAAAAGCTATGATTTTTATATATAGTAATTGAAATTAAGCAAAATATCAAAAAGGAATAAATTGAATTTCATCATGTATGTATGTTCATAGGTTAGTAATGTTTTTATGACAAGTACAATACATATAATTCATAATTTATTATATATTATTCCATAAAATGTTTCTGTCTTGCTTTAATTTCCATAGCATCACAAATGTTGTTATAATCAAGATTTTCACATTATTTGTGCTTTATTGATAGTAATGCCAAATTAGACAAACTTTCTTGAGTCACTGTTGTTTTTAAATAAATTTTTATTAATTCCTGTTTAAAGAAACTTGGCTCTGCTGAGGCAATAGGGGCAGGAATTGTCAAGTTATTAATTCAATAGTTAGATTTAGAAATGAGTAAGATATACATGTCTTGCTCAGATATTGTAAAAGTGATATATTGATAAATTATTACAGAAAATATTGCAAAATATTTTTAACTTCACCATATGTATAGCTATTGCCTATATTGCAACTTTTATCATCTCTTAAAGCAATATGTAGATCTACTCATAATGTAAAAAATCAATATCTTTTACATGCTTCAAAAATTTTAAGCTAAAACCTATATATATACACAAATCCGAGTAATATAAACTAATCCTACAGAATTTCTACAGCTTTGTGCAACTGTTTCAAATATTGCACTAATTTATGAGTACCTCTAGAACCACAAATTGGAACAAGAAGTGAAGCGAGAAAATAGACATTCAGCACTGGGATACTTCACCATAACAAGAATCTATTTCATGCATGTTAATTAAGAGGGAGAATTTAACAAGTTAGACATTTATATTTTCATGTAGCTCAGTGTTTCCACTGCTCCTGGATTCCAAGTAGTGTGTGTCTTCCATACCAATAGTATTTCAACCCATACACTTCCATGCCATTTGAACGGGTGACTTTTGTTTTGAGGCCATCAAGCAGATTTGAAGAAGGATTTCTCTGTGGCCTGAATGGTGTTTGTCCTGAGACTGAATTTTTAGGATTACCAAGTGACAGAGGCACCCATGCATTCTTTAATGAATTCATTTTATGTGTGATACAAGGGGCCCTCTAAATTGTAGGACCTGGACAGAGACTCCTCTTTCCTGGGCTAAGAGCTGTACTCATTGCAGCAATGCAGAGGGACATTCCAAAAGGAATTAAGTCACTTATGTAAATCCTTCAGGAGAGATTTTGCCAGCCTCCTTTTCACCTTACCTCCTGTTCATCATTAATTATGCATGGTTGAGAAGATGTAAGAAAAACAAAATAGTATGATTTAGCACAAGCTTGTCCAACCCGCAGCCTTGATCCCACGTGCAGCCCAGGACGGCTTTGAATGTGGCCCAACACAAATTCATACTTTCTTAAAACATAATGTGATTTTGGGGGATTTTTGTTGTTGTTGTTCTCAGCTATCATTACTATTAGCGTATTTTTTGTATGGCCCAAGACAATTCTTCCAATGTGACCCAGGAAAGCCAAAATATTGGACACCCCTGATTTAGTACATCTTACATTCTTAAGCATTGATATAAGCACTTTATGTGCTTTAACATATTTTTATCTTCACAACCAAAGAAATAAATAATCTTATTATTCCTTTTTTTTAATGAGAAAATTGAGACACAAAGGTTACACAACTTGCCTCAGGTCACAGAGCTGGGAAGCAGTGGAGCTGGTAGGACAGAAATTAGTCAATGATTCTTTTATTCCGTGACTTCTTCCTTCTTCAGGTCTTACTTTTGATTTGCTTTTTGATTAAAGATTTTCTCAAAACAGTGCTAACACATTTAACAATGTGTTAAAACTGCTTGGGTTCTAATCCTGACTCTACCACTTGCCAACTGGGTATCCTTAGAAGTCACACTCTGTAAAGCAGAAACGGTCATAGTACCAATCTCATAGTGTTAATGTGAGAAATAAATCATGTAATAATGTACAGCATTTTTAATATTAGGTGCCATGTAAATGTTTGCTTTTGTTATTGTTCTGTTATTATGTATGGTTTATTTTCTAAGCTGCCCAATATGGAAAAAATCGTGACTTTCTTAGAGCTCTGTTGTGTGGTAGTTGAGTTAAAATATGAAAGACACTTAAAACAATGCCAGGCCAGGCGTGGTCGTTCCTGCCTGTAATCCCAGCACTTTAGGAGGCTGAGGCGATCACCTGAAGTCAGGAGTTTGAGTCCAGCCTGGGCAACATGGCAAAATCCCATCTCTACTAAAAATACAAAAATTAGCTGGGCATGGTGGCAGCCGTCTGTAATCCCAGGTACTCGGGAGGCTGAGGCAGGAGAGTCGCTTTAACTCGGGAGGCAGAGGTTGCAGTGAGCCAAGATCGCGCCACTACACTCCAGCCTGGGTGACAGAGCTCCATCTCAAAACAAACAAACAAACTTTGTATGTCCGTGTGTCAGTGGGGCTCATTCCAACATTTTGCCCCAGCACACTGAGGCGTGAGGCACGCTTCCAGAAGTAGCAGGGGCTACTGGGATATTTTGAGAGTATTTAAATAGTGAGCAGAAGGAACAGATAAGGGGAGAAAGTAGAGAATTAAACATGAGAGAGAACAAAAGAACAATGAAAAGTGTGAGGCCTTGGAAGAACTGTGAGAAATGGAATTCAAAGGGTTATTAAGGAATTAACCTCAGGAAGGAAAAGGAGCACATATTCGTGTGTAATACAGGGTAACAAAGAATGACTAGTGAGAATGAAGATGTTTACAGATTAGTTGGCAGAACTGGGGGAAATTTCTCTCTGGTGACCTCAATTTTCCCTATAAAATAGGAAGTGAAGTCATCTGTTGGACATAGTGAGAGCCAAATTTTGAAGAGAGAATAGAGGAAGTTTGAAATAGTAGCTGCAGAGAAGGGAAGAGATAATGGGACAGGCTTGAAGACCTAAATGACTTTACAATGGTTCAGAACACATGATGTGGCTGTGCGGTTTCCTTTAACACTGCTCAGAAATACTGTATGAGTTCAGGGAAAACAGCTGGGTTGGGGTTTTGCGAGGCTGTCACTATGGAAGGAAATACAGGTTTAAAGATACTGACAAAACAAAGGATGAAGTGATAAACCACAATGTCTAGATTCAGTTGACAAGGAAGATGACGGGGGAGTTGGGAGCAAGAAGTGGGGTTTATTTGGGGACACAGGTGACATTGAAGGATTGGGTGGCAGTAGCCAAATGTGAAGGTCACAAGGCAGTATAACTATGGTCAGAGATTTCCCAACAGTACAGATTTGAATGTAATATTTCAGAAGGTTCTGGATCATGACAGCATCAGGGTGCTGCCCTGGGAGGAGGGGCTGAAGAGAAACACAGTAAAAGTCCCTAGAGATGAGAAAATAAAGAAACTGAGAGGCCAAGCAATTGGATGGTATATTAGTTTGCTAGGGCTTCCCAAGTGCCACAGACTGGGTGGCTTAAACCACAGAAATTCATTTCCTCACAGTTGTGGAGGCTGGCACTCTGAGATCAAGGCGTGAGCAAGGTCTTTCTTCAGAGGCTTGTCTTGGCTTGTCGGTAGCCGTATTCTCCCTGTGCCTTTAAGTGTTCTTTCTTCTCTGTCTGTGAACTAATCTTCCCTTACAAGGACATGGGTCATATTGGATTGAGACCAATCTCCAAAGACTTCATTTAACCTTCATTAACTCTTTAAAGACCCCATTTCCAAATATAGTCATATCCTGGGGCAATAGAACTTAGGACTTCAACATATGAATGGGGATGGAGCTGAAAACACAATTTAGCCCACAACAGAATGGTCATTCAGGAAGAGACAGAGGGCACCCAGAATGGTGGTAAAATGGGTAGAGATGATGAGGGGAAATGAGGTACCCAACTCTTCAGTGTTTAAGGTGGCTAATTAGCTTGTTGCTGTTTCATAGAGTTTGTGTATTCCTCCATATTATTTAGGATTCCAAGCCATTTTTTTGTGCAGTATTTTTTTCATAGACCCATAACCCATGTCAGTTTTTTTGTTGTAGTGTCAATTTTTGTCTTTTACCAAAGACAGGGATTGTGGCTTGTACAACCCTATCCATTCAGCTAAGTGTGAGCCCCTCATTGACTGTGTAGCTGGAAATCTGGCTAAAATGACAAGTACCTGGACAAACATTCGTCATATATGACAGCATAAGACTAACAGAGAATCCACTCTCACTCCACCCCACTCTCACTCCATGGCTAGATTCTCTGACACACTGAACATAGAGCATAAAACAAAGCCTCAACCTACAATGCACACACATACTCCTAGAACTCTTAGAACTTTCCCATTTTCTACCCTTGTCATAATAAAAATGCCTACCATTTATTGAACAAAGCATTGTACAAGGTACTATGCTTTGTGCTGTACATTCACTATCTCATTTAATACTAACAGCAACCCTAGATGAGGAAATTGAGTAGAGAGAGGTTAAATAACCCACTTAGAGTCACCTAGCTAGTAAGTGGCAAGTCTGTCTGACTCTTCAAGTACTACATTCAACTACAGTGCTTTATTTGTGGGGACCAAATCTCCCCAGATGCAATGGCATGCCACCAATCCCATTCCCTTCCAGGGTGTTTATGAATTGATGTGGAAAGTGGGAGTGAAGAACAGTATACCTCAAAAAGTACTTCTTTTGTCATCCATTTTTTTTCTTGATTGTTCTAAACCCTGGACCAATCAGCAGGGCTCATGGAGAAATACTTGGCTTTTTACCTTCTTTCAGCTTAGCTGTCCTGTTATATTTCAGGAGGCAATTATTAGCTAACTTAAAAATTGTTTTTCCTCAATCTGCTTTTATTTCCTTGTGGAAATGGATACAAATTTTTATAGGTTTTAGCAATAGATTATCTGTCAGTTTTAGTTTTAGCATGAGGTAATGTGAGGTTTGCCTTTTACCAGTATTTCATAAACATTTAGTGGGCGAGTGGGAGAAATTGAATCAGTGGCTGCCAATTGCATGCCATTTTATTATAGGATTTTCTCCCTTTGTGTTTTTTATACCTCTTTCTCTCATGATGGTACTTTCTATTATCTCAGAAAACCATTAGGGTCATTGACAATTTAGTGTTTGAAGTTGCTGAGCTGAGAGGGACATTAACGTCAAGTCATAATGAGAATCTACCTACCCATTTATCAAGTAGGTTTTTCCTCTTTGTAGACCCTTTGGGCTTTGGCGGTTGAGACTAGAAGGATTAAGTTAGAATACAGAGGATAATTTATTGCTATGAAAATTTTCCAACTCTGCTCAACTTGGGTTCAGATTAATAATCAACTCATGAGACACAAAAGACTTCACTTAACTCCAAATTTACTTTGTTTTTAGAAAGAATCAAAAAGTAACAGCACAGTATGTAAAGTAACAGTGTAGTAGAGGTCTCGCAACTCCTAGGCACAGCTTCCAATGTCCAAATCCCACACACTTGGGAAATGTATGGTCATAATGACAGATGAAGCTGAGTAGACACAGCATCTCTAAGCTCAAGGAAGCCATATGTCTCAGTCTGTTTTTTGCTGCTGTTATACCACAAACTGGGTAATTTAAAAAGAAGTTTCCTTGGTTCATGGTTCTGGAGACCAGGAAGTCCAAGACTGAGGAGCCATATCTGGTGAAGGTCTTCTTGCTGCATTATAACAGCAGAAAGCATCATATAGTGAGAAGAGTGACAGCACTCAAGACAGAGAAAAAGGGGGACAGACTCTCACAATCACAAACCTATTCCTGAAATAATGTTGTTAATCCATTCATGAGGGCAGAGCCCCACGACCTAATCACCTCTTTTTTTTTTCTTTTGAGACACAGTCTCATTCCCTCACCCAGGCTGGAGTGCAGTGGCACGATCTCAGCTCACTGTAACCTCCACCTCCCGAGTTCAAGCAATTATCATGACTCAACGTCCCAAGTAGCTGGGATTATAGGTGCATGCCACCATGCCCTGTTAATTTTTTTGTATTTTTAGTAGAGACAGGGTTTCACCATGTCTTGAACTCCTGACCTCAAATTCCTGATCCGCTCTCCTAAGCTTCCCAAAGTGCTGGCAATATAGATGTCAGCCACCACACTCGGCCCTAATCACCTCTTAACACCATCACAATGACAACTGAATATCAGTATTAGTTTTAGAGGGGACATTCAAACCATAGCACCATCAGTTCTGGCATATCTTCACCTTTCATACCTCGCTAGCTGTGCAGCTGCATCTCATCAATACTGGTTACTCGCTACTTGATAGACAATGTTAACAGTAAGGTACAGGTGCTAGGTTTCATAGACAATAGAACTTGCATTTATTTTAGATCTGGCATAGGGAAACTTTTTTCTGATGAAAAATATATTTTTATTTATAATGCTTTAACATGTAGGGAATTGGATAAGATTTTTTTTGTTGTTTTCTTTTTAATTTTACTTTAAGTTCTGGGATACATGTGCAGAACGTGCAGGTTTGTTACATAGGTACACATGTGCCATGGTGATTTGCTGCACCTATCAACCGTCATCTAGGTTTTAAATCCCGCATGCATTAGGTATTTGTCCTAATGCTCTCCACACCGTCTTCCACAATAGTTGAACTAATTTACATTCCCACCAACAGTGTAAAAACGTTCCTATTTCTCCACACCCTTACCAGCATCTATTGTTTCCTGACTTTTTCTTAGATTTTTTTTTAATTACACTTTAAGTTCTGGGATACATGTGCAGAACATGCAGGTTTGTTACATAGGTATACACATGCCATGGTGGTTTGCTGCACCCATCAACCCATCATCTACCTTAGGTATTTCTCCTAATGCTATCTCTCCCCTAGCCACCCCCACCCCCGACAGGCCTCAGTGTGTGATGTTCCCCTCCCTGTGTCCATGTGTTCTCATTGTTCAGCTCCCACTTATGAGTGAGAACATGCAGTGTTTGGTTTTCTGTTCTTGTGATAGTTTGCTGAGAATGATGGTTTCCAGCTTCATCCATACCCTTGCAAAGGACATGAACTCATCGTTTTTTATGACTGCATAGTATTCCATGGTGTATATGTGCCACATTTTCTTTATCCAGCCCATCATTAATGGACATTTGGGTTGGTTCCAAGTCTTTGCTATTGTGAAGAGTGCTGCAATAAACATATGTGTGCATGTGTCTTCATAGTAGAATGATTTATAATCCTTTGGGTATATACTCAGTAATGGGATGGCTGGGTCAAATGGTATTTCTAGCTCTAGATCCTTGAGGAATCATCACACTGTCTTCCACAGTGGTTGAACTAATTTACACTACCACCAACACTGTAAAAGTGTTCCTATTTCTCCACATCCTCTCCAGCATCTGTTGTTTCCTGACTTTTTAATGATTGCCATTCTAACTGGTATGAGATAGTAGCTCATCATGGTTTTGATTTGCATTTCTCTAATGGCCAGTGATGATGAGCTTTTTCCTGTTTGTTGGCTGCATAAATGTCTTCTTTTGAGAAGTGTCTGTTCATATCCTTTGCCCACTTTTTGATGGGGTTGTTTTTTTCTTGTAAATTTGTTTAAGTTCCTTGTAGATTCTGGATATTAGCCCCTTGTCAGATGGATAGAGTGCAAAAATTTTCTCACATTCTGTAGGTTTTCATAGGGAAACTTTTAATAGTTCCTTGAGTTGTGTTGTAAGCAGCATAAGAACAAGGGCCAAACCCTCAGGCATCCTGAGGCAAAAGAAGCAGATTTTAACCCTTTCTTTCATCCTGCAAAGCCAACTATAAAAATGAACTAAAAAAAGGAATAAGTTCATTTAATTTACAAGGAGCACTTTTAATTTTTCAAAAGACAGGTGACCTTTTTTAAAAACAGGAGGAAAGGGGAATTTCAATTCCTGAAATTTCATTTTCTTTTCTGTAAAAGCAAATAAGTATTTCTCTCTAACTCAAAACACTGTTGCATTTTACCTACTGTTCTATCCAGTGAACTTACAGAAATGTAATAATTTGAATAATGTTTGGGGGATCTAATTGATCCAGGAAACCTATCAAAAATCAGATACATACATTCATTGATAACTCATTTCTGCTATTTCATTGATACTATACAAAGGAAGATATTGCCCATGATATGGATTCTTTTATTTCCATATGCATGTAATGTGGGTATGTGCAATGTACATTATGTTGTACAATCTATAAAGTATGTAATAGCTTTATTTTATATTAATTAAAAATGTATGCACATATATAAATAAACAAATCTATAACCTAAATTTAAAAAATCATTGGTAAAACTTTATTATGCCCTTTAAAATCCTTAGTATTTTGACACATTTCATTGCTAAAATAAAACTGTTTTAATTTAAGCTAAGAAAACTAATTGGTATCAGATACTAAAAGTTCTTGTAAGTTGCTGAAAGTGTTAGTTCTGGGAATAGCATTTTTACATTTTTTGTATTGATTTGCCTTTGAGACAAACTGCAACAAGAAAGCAGGTGATAAGCCTTTGTTAATGCCTCTGAGAGAAAATGCTGTAGCTACAGACTACTGTTGATAAACAGATTTTGAATTAATTAGTTCTACATAATTATGTGAGCCATCAAGTCTTTGAAACCAAATGTACTTGGTCTTATATTGCTTTATATATAAAGAAGAAAAGGAAAAATTTTGTTTTAAAATTTACCTCTTCCAGGGTATAATTTTTTACAGGTTTAATTTTTTAAAGCAATGATTGAAAGATTTAAACGGCATATGTTCAAGTCATATTAAATATTTATTCTTAGATTTATAAAATGAGATAAGAAGAGGTTTGCTTTTTATAAATTGTTACCATTAGTGACAGAACTGGGACTCAGAGCATGTGACTATTCCTGCCTCATACTTCATGAAAGTCATATTTTGTTGCCAGAAGATGCCAATGTGAACATCTTCAAAAAAAAATAGCCTGATGCTAAAAGGTCAGGCTTTCAATAAGATACTTTTAATAGTTTTGCCCAAACATTTACAATAGCAACAACAAAAAAAAATTTAAAGAAAAGCAGAGAAAAAAATCTTAAAAAGAAATTGGGAAAAACTAAAAATATTTTTGAGCGACATAAAAGAAGCCTTAATAAATGGAGTGATATATAAATAAACATAAGAAGATTCAATATTATACAATTGTGAATTATTACCAAGTCAATATATATGTTTAATACAATTGAATCAAAAGCTCAATTAGTTTTTTTGGCGTTTGGGACAATTTTTAAAGAAATTATCTAGGGAAAAAACATGAGGACAAGAAAATTATTCAAAAGAAAATTTATGTGGAACAACTTGCTGTATTAGAAATTGACATATTATAAAGCTATTATAGTTTTCAAAAAGTGATACCAATGTAAGAATAGGCAGAAAGATGAAACAGAATAGATAGCCCAAAGACCAGCGTAAATTAAAATTTACCCTAAGGATACAATCCAAGTTTTGTACCCAGAAATATTCTTCTTAATATTGCCTTATGATAAAAATGTTAAGAAACTCCTAAAAGAGTCAACCAAGGTGAGTGGTTAAACGATGACACATCTATGTAGGGGATGGAATATTATACAACTATTTAAAAGCACAGTTTGGAAAAATAATTGCATGGAAATATGTTTATGAAAAAATATTAAGTGGAAAACACATGAGTCAAAGCTATGCATATACTTACATATTTTTATAATGTGTATCTTTATATTTTTATTTTTAAAAGATTGAAAGGAAATACATCAAAGTATTAAAATTAGTTATCAGTGTATAATAAAACTATGCATTACTTTTTACATTTTTTACATTTGTTTGTATTTTCTAATTTTTTTATAATTGTTAGCATCTGAGAGACTTTATGTCTACCCATACCTCAATAATTTTTTTAAAAAAATAATTTAAAAAATTATTTTTAAAAAATTATTTTTTTAAAAAATTATTTTAAAAAAATTAATTATTTTTTTAAAAAATTATTTTAAAAAAATTAATTATTTTTTTAAAAAATATTTTAAAAAATTTAAAGCTGGTTTTTTTTTTCGTAGTTAATTTATGGGTTATCTAACTTTGTTGATACTGACTTCAGCAACTTAAAATGCAGTGAGGTTTCTCTGTTGCCTCAAATTCCAAAATATCAAATGTCATTTTTCTTTGGGTACTGTATAAGCCACCAAACAACCCAACGAGAGCATATAAATAAGTTATATATGAATGTAAGGCAAGAATAACTTGCTGTTCCAAGTTATTGGAACCTCAATTGTTCAGGTCTGTTGTACAATTATATTATGCCTAGTGTTATACTTCCCAGTGGAAGAAAGCCTACTTTCTTATACCAGGAGAATAATTATCAGTAGAACAAGGCCTATTTCTAATATATATTTTTATCATTTTATAGGTATTTGGCTACAATTAACGGAGATCCCCAACTCAAATTTACTTCAACAATGGGAAAATTGATTATCCTACATAAGAAGTCTGGAGCTTGGGTGGGCTCCAAGAAGTATAATCAATGTTTATGCCGAAAGGGGCCCAAGTCCTTTCTACCTCTCCATTCAGCCATTGTTCATGTGTTGGCTTTATTCCCAGGCTGGTTCCCTTCATGGGAACAAAAATTCTATAGTGGTTTTTGTCATAAAAATGCCAAGAGAAAACAAACCGTCTCTTCCTGTGTCTCTTTCTTAGAAGCAAGGAAACCTTTCACAGAAACCCCCATCAGACTACTCCTCAAACCTCCTTGGCCAGAGCTGAGTCATGTGACCCTTCTTAAACCAACTGCAGGCAAGGGGGAGGAGATTAACATAATTGTCATAGACAAATCAGCCTTGTGGTCAGCTTCCCCTGAAACACTTGGAGGATGGATATATGCACACAATCTGGTTCTGCTGTGAAAAAGGACTGGCAGGCTGGGGTGGGGTGGGGCAATACATATGGCGTGAATGTTGGGTAAGCAATCCTTTCTGTTCCAGTCCTCCATGTTGTTAATGATATGGAAAGAGGAAAGATTCTTTTTAAAGTAGTAACACACTGTGATAGATGCTAATGATATCAGAGTGGACAGAACTAAATCTCTGTCCTCCAGGAGCTAACAGTTTTAAGAGAGAAGATACACAAGTAAACATGCAACTACAACATAAAATGTTACATCCTGGTCCCAGGGAAGTTCCTTGAATGGGGCACTTAATTGGCCTTGATTCCCAAAGGAGGCAACATACAACTGGGGCCCAGAAAGATGAGGAGTCAGCAATTGAGAGGCGAGCATATCTGGAGAACCAGCAAGCTTTCAGTCTGGAGGTGAAAACAGGATAGAGATCATATAGGGCCCTGAAGGCCATGCCAAGGAGCTTATATTATCCCGAAGGCAATGGGACTCCAATAAAGGTTTATAAACAAGGAAGTAACATAATCTGATTTCCTTTTTAGAGCATTTCTTCTATCTTCAGAGTGGAGAATGGATTGGAGGGGTTCAAGCCTAGATTTAGAGAGAAGACTTAGATGTTTTCACAGTAATCCAGGCTAAAAATACACAAATTAGAAGATGATTCAAAGTTCATGACTTAGGCAACTAAATGGATACTGGTACTATACACAAAGTTTAGTTTGGGACATTGTGAGTTTGAATTGCTTATGGGATACCTAAGTGGAAATATGCAGTAAATAGAACTCTTTGATTAGGCTTCTTATGATTATAACAATTATTAAATTGCTGCTAAATAGCCTCCAGAAAATCTCAGCAAATAACATTAGTCATTGCCAGATTATCCAAGCAGTTTTTTCTTTCTAGCTGACATGATTTGAGTGATACGATGAGAAAAATCATAGCAAATGTTTTACATGCTGACAAGTTAAACTAATAGATATTTTTAGATGTTGTGTAAGAAAAGAGCTCTTGGTTAAAACTGATGCTGACATTTAAAGGCTCTCCATAAACTTCAGAAATGTGTAGCCTTAGACACAAAGCCTAGTAGTTTAGAAGTAATGCTTAGCATCTAACCCATGCTTTTTCAACTTTGCTTTCTGTCATGAATTGCCATTTATTATGACCATCTTTCAATATCTTTAAATAGGCTTCAAGAACATGGTTTTTAATGGCTGAATTATTTTCTTTCATATTGTATAATGGAAATGGTATTTTACCAAGCAACCTTCCTTTCTGTGACAGTTCAGGCAATTTCTAATTTTTTATAATATAAATAAATGCTGATTGAACATCACTAAACATAAATACTATACAAACATGTTTTCTTTAATATTTTCATTTTTCCCAATCAGCTTTGTTAAACTGTGGGATTGACTAAGAGGTTCTTTCTCTTATTCTGAAACTGCAACCATCTCAGAGGAAACAGCCTTGGATTTGGTACTAGAGAACCAGGTTCTAGTCTTAGCTTTTTTTTTAAAAAAAAAAAAAAAAGAAAAAAAACTCACGGTATTGATTATGGCCAATTTAACTTCCCTAGCCCTTGGTTTTCTCTGTCCAAATAACAAGGTTTTACTAAATAGATCTCTATAGGCCCATTTACTAAGTAGAACAGCAACAACAAACATTTTGCAAACAGTCTAATGATCTCAGTAAATAAGGTTGTAAAATCTGATCTCAGAATATGTCTTGGTGGTCTTCTCAAAGCTTGCTTTCTTTGACAAGCTAGCATCCTTCCCATCCATGTAGATAGATTCTGAGGCTTAGACAGGGTGGACCCTGGAGGTAGTAGGGTGGTGAGGTGGACCCTGGAGGTAGTGGGGTGGTGAGCTACCTAGGTGATCAGGTATAAATAGACCCCTAATTCTCTACCTCCACCTCATTTATTCCACCATTATAGCTTTATTGCTTACATCTTGACTTGCTAATAATTCCAGAAGAAAAATCATAATCACAGCCTTCAAGACGTTAGTCCTCTAGTTGGAGTAGGAATCCTGGGTCCACATATACTACTCTGGATATAAAAAGGCAAGAACCCCTTGGAAATTGTCACAAGACAAGGTCTGTCAAGATGCAAGAAAATTAGATGGTACAACCATAAGTCACTTGACTTCATTTATTCCCCCTTTCCTTCACCATCACTCAGGGGCAATCAAAAGTGAGTTTTAGCCATTTTTCTTAATGCCAAATTTTCAAAACCTTTCGTTAATCCCCCATTTAAATCATAAGAGGCAATATATCTGTTGAGCAAAATACCTCAGCTATGTTTGATTGACAAATTTTGTATAAGACATCTTTTTCATCTGGAAAAAGCAAAGCAAAGTATTAATAACACACACACAAATGATTCAATGAAGTCCAAAATTATCTTACAGATAATAGGGTGCCATAGGTATCTTCGATTCCTAAGGACCTTTGCTTTGCCCACTATTTACTTATTATAAGCCAGCAGATTTGCAATCACCAAGTATCTTGTGACTCTCATGACAGAACACAGCACTGCAGCAAGGATTTGAGGTGAAGGGCAGGCAAGCGCCATCATGCTGAGGCTAGCCAGGGTAGGTCCCAGGGGAACCTCACCCTGGGATATTACTACATCTCAAATGTATACTACTCAACTCTTAAACCTTGAAAGGTTGTTGAAATATTTGAAATATTAGTGCAAGGTTAAAACCAAGTATTTTTACTATTTTAGAGAAGGTGAATTGCAACATATTTACCCAAACAGACTCAATTTAGGTCATACGCAGTGGTTCACAGCCTTGGCTGTCCATTAGAATCACCTGGAGAGCTTTTAAAACTCCCAAAGCCTACGCAGCATTCCTAACCAATTAAATCAGTATTTCTAAGCATAGGAACCAGGCATCAGTATTTTTTAACGCTCCCCAGGAGATTCCAATATATAGCCAAGACTGAGATTCACCGATGTAAGATTTAACTCAGGTAATATACCTTTGGGCTTATTGTGCTTATTTGACCAACACTGGGGCTCATTGTGTTTATCTGACCAATATAGAGCCAGAACTTATAGAAACCATTGACGAAATGACTCCCCCCAGAGACACCTAACTCTTTTGGCTCTCACTTTCTTCCTAGGCTATCAGGCATGGTGTTTGTCATATCCCAACCTGAATCCGCAACTCCCTGCTTGACAGTCCTGAGGCTACCCCAAGGGTTCTGATGCACCTCATAACATCTCTTGTTTTTTCTCAGTCTACTGTCAAACCACTTAGCTCAGAATTCCCAGAGGCCCCAAAACTCTCACTTCCCTCTGAAACACTAAAGTCAGCTAAGGTTGATGCATGTACGTTGATGTGAATCTTCTGAGTAGTTTTGGTTTTACAAGGCATTTAGGAAAGTCTAGGGCCTGGCAGCATCAAGGCATGGCTATGAGGTGGGGGGAATGGGAAGAATCTCTAGAACTCCCTCAGTTTTTAGCTCCTCTCCTTCCCCTATTCTTTAATATGTATAATTAACACTTTCTGTTTTATATATCTTACACAAGGTGCCATAAAAACAGTTTCAAAATGCTAAAATGATTTCCTGGGCAAAAAGGCAAGCACCCACTCTAACCTCCCCACTTAGTCACCTACACCTTTCTCCTTGGGTGTAGATAGGTGTCACAATTGAAAAATAACACACTTGAATTGTCTTGTTAGGATTTTTTTCATGACCAATTTATAAACATTCAGTATGATTTCGGCACAACTGGCCTCCCAAATTCAAAGCCAGAATTTCTTAAATGTTGCGGGTTGTTTTTAAAGTTAGAATGACTACAGCTACACCTACATATTTAGGAAGAAGATAAATGTTATTTGTGTGCTGCAATTGTGATAAGCATATTGAATACAATGATTGTCAAGCAAAATTTCCATGTGCAATTTCAGACAACAGACTCCAAAATGTGACCATATATAATCACCCCTTTTCTACTACATTATGACAAAACAGGTAGTTGAAAATCATGTTTTATTCCTATCTCAGACAATAGGAATCTTAGTAAAAAAATCTATTTTGTTTAAAGAACAACTTCAGTTTTCTCAGAGAGTCACTGAACCCAGATTGGTAACTCAAACTCAGCAGCTTTCTATTTCTGTCTGGTCTTTCATTCTCTAGCTTTGTTTACAGGCTAAAGTTGCTGCAATTGGGTCTTCTCACTTCATCCCTTAGTTCTGTATACTGTATATATCCTGAATCATCTAGCAATATAAGACCACATTGGTCCAGTTCCTGACAATTTACCTATTATGCCTGTGTGCTGAATTTTATTATCTTAGGGAATCCATGAGCTTCCATGATTATGACTTGATAAAATTACAGCTCAGTTCAGATCTCAACAACATGGAAAGAGGTTTGCAGGGTTTGTTTACAAGTGAGGATGCCATATGCTCCTCTAAGAAAAAATATGCTAATTACCAAGGAAGAAATGAGGTAAGAACATGTGCAATTGCTGCAGACCTACTAAGTAAACAAGCAAGATACTTTCTGTGCAATGGAAATAAATGTGGTGAATCCATCCCCTGTGTTTTTATGTTCAGCTGACTCTACACAGAAAATGTTGAAGAGCAAGAAAAGGCATTTTCTCATAGTTATGTATTATATGTGTAGATTGACATATTTCATATTTGAGGTTCAAACTGGCCCAAAGCCTTATGTGGGTCCTTGTTTATTTATAAGGTTATAAAGCAAGATATTAAATGTTTAAAGCTGTATACAATAACAACCTGAACTGAGTAATTACAACTACCCAAAGTAGGTTTTTTTCTGCTTTACTTTATGGTTCTTGAACTTGCTGCTCTTCTCCCAGGTTTCATCTTCACACCAGCACTTGTTGCTGGGGGGAAATGTTAAGTTCATTCAATCATTTGTCTTCAAAATAACTGCAGGTGTTTGAACTCAGCTCTTGAGGGTTTTTTCTTCCCTCTAGCTGGTGTGTGAATATAGATAAAGCTTTAAGGAAAGAGAAAAAAATAAAAAAGAAACTATACAGCTTTTTCACCCAACAACACATTGCCAGGAAATGCTGGCTCGGTGAGTGGTGCCTCTAAGCAGAGCTTGCATACCAAGACAGCTTCCTCCACACCAAACACGCTACCCGCGGATCCCCGCTTTTCAAACACAGGCATCCACATGGAACTTCCTCAAGAAGAGAACTCAGGCAGGATGTCTAATTACCCATTTATAAATTGATATCCCCACAAGTTAGGATCTGTACTGGCAATCTATAACAAGGGCCAGCCACAGCAACATTGTAAAGTAGGCAAGTCAATTTTGCCTCTGTTTTCTTGACAGAACTAAAATAAGGAAGAGATAGGCTAGCCTTTAGCAAATGGCCCTTTGATGAGGTCAAAACGTTTGGGAGCCAACTCCACCTCTAGTCATTTTAGTCCAACATTACAAGAACTCCAAAGGGGCAAACACTTGACATTTAGCCATGGGGTACCCCAGGAGACAGAGAGCTCTCCCAATCACCTTAGATCTCCATAATTTATCTACCAAGGACTCAGGAAGATGTACAACTTTGGAACCACATAGTTCAAATCCTATTAGTTACATAGCACATATAAGTCCCAGCCTCAGTTTCTTTGTCTTTAAAATGGAGATGATCATTTTCCAACAGCAGCATAATTATTTGGGGGATATTTTCTTATCATTTATTTACCTCTGCCCAGAGAGAGGACATAACACTCACTAAGCTCTCTCCTTCCCAGATGGTGAGTGTTGGAAAGAACAAATACTGTCATTATGTTGGCAAATTCAACATGAGCATACGGGGTCTCCGGCACTAAAAATTTTGGTGGGCTCAGTGACACAGTAAAAACAAACAAACAAACAAACAAAAAACACAGAAGTAGATAACTGTGGCAGAACAAGACTCAGTTTTCTATGACAATAGAGTGAAGCCTTAAAGGCTGCCATAAGGCCATCCCTCAATGCTATCTGACGTTAGGACAGATAATTCACAGCTCTGGGCTACTTTGACCTTGTGGGGTCCTTACTCTGCCCAGACGGTGACACCCCCAAGCTTCAGGCACACCTCTATTCTCTGGTTAGATAGTAAAACAAAGCAAAAGTGACCTTAAACAAGTTCAACTTATCATTCATGACAAGCCTCAAATCTGCCTGGATTTTGTGGTCGGATTGACAAGAAATTATACATCACTTTTGAGGCATTAGGTATTCAAACAAAAAAGAAATGTGGAACCAAGGTGTCACTCTCCATGAAACTCTCCATCCTGGTGACTAAGAGAGTGGCTCTATAATTGTCCCTTCTACATATGAAAAATGTGGCAGAAATGAAGAGGTCCAAAAGAGGCTGGATATTCACGAGACTGTAAGTTGTGCTTACTTGTGCTATTTACCACTGTATTTCCTGTGCATACCACAGTGCCTGGCACATAGTAGATGTTCAATAAGTATTGTTGAATGAACTAATTAACTAATGATTAAATGCACAAGCTGTCATAGTGTCATAGTCTGTTCAGGATGCTGTAACAAAATACTAGGTGGCTTATAAACAACAAATATTTATTCCTCCCAGTCCTGGAGGATGGAAGCCCAAGATTAAGGCACCAACAGGTTCAGTGTCTGGTGAGGGCTGTTCCTCAAAGATGGCACCTTCTTGATTCATCCTCACATGGAGGAAGAGCAAGGCAATTCTCTGGGGCCCCTTTTATAAGGCCACTAATCCTATTATGAGGGCTGTATCCTTAGGACCTGATCACTTCCCAAAGGTCCCACCTCTTAATATTGTCACTTGGGGATTAGGTTTCAATGTATAAATTTTGAAGGGACATAAACATTCAGACCATAGCACATGAGTTTCTCTCTTCTAATCTGGAGGAGTGGTGGTGGAGTGGGATACTAGTAGCATTGAAACAAGAGTCTAAGGAAAGGATGCTGGACATCCTGGTTCCACATTTCTTTTTCCAGTTTGAATACCTAATGCCTCAAAAATGAGGTATAGTTTTTTTGTCAAGTAAAATATATATCTACATTATGGCCCAGTAATTCCTCTCCTAAGTATTTGCCCAAGCAAAATGAAAATACATGTCCACAAAAAAAGACTTCTGCAAGAACGTCCATAGCTGTTTTTGTGCAAAAATGTTCACAGTAATTTTATTAAAGTCCAGGTTTATGTAGCATTTGCCAATTTCCATGATACAAATACTCCCATCATGCTTTATTTCAAACTGCTACTGTGATGTCACTAAATGCAGAGTTGGAAAGAGATATGTGCAATCAGCTGGTGTGAACTATTGCAAATGGACTCTAGCTGGATGGGGCTCAAAATCATTATGCTGAGCAAAAGAAACCAGAGTACACCTTGTATTATTTCATTTGTATAAAATTTAAGACATGATATTGCACATAACAGAAATATGTTCCTATTTTTATTGCTGAGTAGTATTCCTTTGTATGAATATACCACCATATGTTTACTCATTCACCTGCTGATGAACATTTGGCTTCATTCCAGTTTTTAACTATTTTAAATGAAAGTGCTATGAAAAAAAATTCAGAATTGGAGCAAGTAGCACATTTATGTGATGGAGGCAGTAATGGCTTCTCCATACTATAGATTTTGTATGTGAAATTTAAGCCTTCAAGAGTCACTAATGTTGTTAGGAGCTATCACAACGAACCAGGATTGCCTCCCCCATACTGAGCTGTTTTACTTCAGTTTTGTCATCACAGTGAAACAGAAGTTTTAAGCTAAATGCTTCTATTCTGCCTTAATTTCCCAACACAGATAGTGCTAAGCAGTATTCCAATGAAACCTCATTAAGTTCCAGACCTCTGTCAAAGATGAGATTCTTTGCTGTCTATGATCTTCTGGACTGACGTTCTTGGTTTACTCTTCCTACTTGAGGAAGCATTTGCTCCCAGGATACAGCAAGCTTTAAGGTAGCAAGTGGGAAACTGCTTCAAATGGAGAAAGATTCCATCCCCTTTAGTCACCTTCTCTGAAGCAGAAATCAGGAGATTGCAGAGGTCTCACATTATTTAAGCCAAGATACCTGGGTGTGGTGGTTCACATCTGTAGTCCCAGTCACTGGGGAGCTAAGGCAGGGGGATCGGTTGAGCCCAGGAGTTAGTTCTAGAGTGCAATGAGCTATGATTGCACCACTGCATTCCAGCCTGGGAAACACAGTGACACCTCCATCTCTAAAAAAATAATAATAACACCAAGATGCACGGTAATATCCAATCTCAAATTTCTTGACTTATTCAATGCACTAAAAATCAACTTTCTCTCTATTCTCTAACAGAATCATTAGAGAGTTAACCAGCATAATTTCTTGATAATGAGGGACTTTTCATGATCCTTTTGTAAGCATTCTGTGATTCCTTCCATTGCTGTCATATGTGTAATTTGTCTTTGGGAAAGAGACTTACAGATACATCCCTGGTACCTCACAGTTATGGTGACAGTTTATTAAGCCCAAAATATGCCAACAGTCTTTAAAATGTACACGACCTATGACCCATTAATTTTACTTTCAGCATTTTATCCAAAGTACAAAATTAGTAAGTCAAAGTAATATATACATACATATATCAATTCTAATAAAAACTGAAAACAATTTAAATGTCCAATAAAAAATAATTTATCCATGTAATTATACAACTATTGAAGATCATGTTTTCAAAGAACAGTTAATGATATAGGAATATGTGCCAAAATAAATGTATGGTATTTATTTAAATATTTACAGAGTATTTATAAATGTATAGAATATTAAAAATACCAACATACAAATTCAAATTTCCCCTAGGTCCCATTGGCTTGTTTGTAAGGAAGGCCACTAAATCCAAGGGATCATTGTATCATTAGCTGTTAACTAAAAGGTTACAAACTCGAACTTCCTTCTGCTTGAGTATCCCTTTGGAAGTCCCCAAAAGGTACATGGGTTCTCTAAGATGAAAAATATAGGCAAATCCCAGACTGGGGTAAGGGTATGTGCTATCATACCTTACCCCTGTGATCAGCCTGGAACTCCTGCTCCCGTCCAAAGAATCAGGCCCTGTGGGTGGGAAGGAAACAGAGGAACAGGCCAGGACAATCACCTTACAGAAAATGGGCAGAAATTGTACACATGACTTCTGTTTATGTTTCATTGGTGAGAACTTTGTCACGTAACCACAGCAAACCTCAAGGGAACCTGGGAAATTTAGTTTTCAGTTGAATTGCCATGTGTCCAGGAAGAAAAGCAGAATGAATTTTGGGGACAACCAGTAGTCTGTCACATCTCATTTGGACAGATTTTTTTTTTTTTAATGCAGGAAGGAAATACTGTGGCTATCTCTAAGTTAATACGGTTTGTAAAGACTGTTTCCTCTACACTTTCTGAATTACCTAAACTTTGTGCAGTGATCATCTATTTCTTTCATAACCAGGTAAGTTGAAACATTATTAATTTTTTTAAAGACTGGAAATAAATACTCTAAAATGTTATCAGCAGTTATCTTTGGAAGATAAGACTCCATGTAACTTTTTTTTGTTTTCTTATATTTGCTGAATTTTTATAATTTATTTGAAATTTTAGAAAGTAGTTCACCAAATGTCTTAGTTCCTGCAGGGACAGGTAGAAATATTGTTATGGCCTATATTTGGGTTTCACACATGGTCACAATTACAGTGTACTTCTGTCAGAGCCCTCTGTTTTCTTTGTTTTAAAATAGAATGTAAGCCTGTTTATTTATGACTCTCAGTAAGATGATGAACGACACAAAATTCTTCAACCTGCCCCCCAACGCAACCATTTTAAGTAACTCATCTGTTCAACTTAAGAATGGAAGCTGTAATCAGCTGCTAACTAGTTCTCCTAGCAAGTTACAGCACTCCCTGGCTCCACAAAAGTTTCTCACCTTACTGCTGAGCTGTCCTCTGGGAACACGACTGTCCTCCCATCCTCACATTTAGCCTATATTACATTCAGGGTTTATCTTACTGAAGTGAGCCTACCCCCACCCTGGTTTCAGCCAACGGAAGCTCAAAGTATTAACTTTCCTGGTATATTTACATTTCACTGGGCCATTTTTGAAGACCTGAAGAAATCAATTCTGAATGGTTAAACTATAGAAACTAAAAGAGTGAGAAACTAAAATATCTTGGAAGAAACAGAACTCTCCCAATAACATGTTAATCCTACCATAAATATAACACCTCACTCTTAAGGAAAGCTCTGTTGAGAAGCACAGAGAGAAATCAATTAAAGCAAGTTTAAAAAAAAAAAAAAAATAGGCACCAGTACTCTGGAAATGCTACAAAATGTTTAAATGCTTTTCCTATCTTTCCCTTTTCTTACCTGTCTTTTTGTCTATCTTTCCACCCCTGTGATATTCAGAACCTGAACATCACACAGAATGAAAATAGCATTATAAAAATAAGTAATATAGAAACATCATTTTTCAGTATTTACAAGCACAAAAACTCCACCTTCACTTTTTCAGGGGACCAGTGATATGACTTAGTTCATACTATGGCATTTTACCTATGATTCCCACCAAATTATTTAGTTGAAATGAGAGTGTTTATTTATTTAAGCACATTTATCAAAATCACTCTGAATAAGGGATACTGACATTCCGGATGACTGGTGTACACCTTCGTGAGAAACAGCCCGAATTGACTCTTCTCACTGACCTTCAACATCATGATTTGGTGAGGAGGAAGAAAATGAGAAAGAGAATGACAGGAATACAGGTCTATTTTACTTCTCAGATTACATTAAGATTCCAAAATGTCTTGTTTCTCACACACCTACGAATCTTCCCAAAATCTACAGACTGCTTTACTCTCAGTAATTTATTTTCTCGTTCAGTTGTTCTCCTGATACTACAGTTATTTTAGACTTCAAAATATTCTAATTGCTTAATCACCTCTCCTGGCACAGTCCTTGTTTCCTTCAGTGTTCTTTCTTTCTCCCATGAGAAACACAGAGTACATTGATTCCTGCCAGCTGTTCTGCATCTCCCATTGTGAAGACTGAAACAAAGAATGAGCTTGGTCTGATTACATTTGTCAGTCAAATTACCCTGGGATTTTGTATTTATAACCACTATTTTACTTATAATTTAAAAAGAGAAAGCTTTCATTTCCTTACTTTGAGCTTCCATTTTCCTGACATAGACTATCATTTATGAAATACAATAGACAATCAAAACATAGGTAGATAATTCACTTGTTTAAGAAAAAGAGGAGGAAGAGGAGGTGGAGGAGGCACTTTTCTGAAACATGTAGTAACTCAGGGATTTGTAGAATAATCCAAAGATTATCAATGTCTTTCTGGACATAGCTTTTTTTATATATATAATCCCCAACCCTTTATAATCCCCAGACCCTAAACCTTTTTGGCATTCTGAATTAATAATTTTTATAATGCTTTTATCCATACCAGTAATGCTGGTCTATGTAAGACTACATGTAGTGTTCTCAGCTATTCAGGAGCCTGAGGTGGGAGGATTGCTTGAGCCCAGGACTTCAAGGCCTGTGAGTAGCCACTGCACTCCAGCCTAGGTGACATAGTGAGATTTGCCTGTTAAAAATAAAAGTAAAAATTCAGCCAGATGTGGTGGCTCACACCTGTAATCCCAGCAGTTTGGGAGGCCTACACAGTAGGATCACTTCAGCCCAGAAGTTCAAGATCAGCCTGGGCAACTTAAGGGAGACCCTGTCTCTACAAAAAAAAAAAAAAAAAAAATTGCCAGACATGGTGGCACACACTTGTAAACCCAGCTACTCAGGAGGCTGGGGTGGGAGGATTGCTTAAGCCCAGGAGGTCAAAGCTGCAGTGAGCCCTGATAGCGCCACTGCATTCCAGCCTGGATAGCAGAATGAAACCCTGTCTCAAAAAACGACAGCAACAACAAAACAAACAAAAAAGTAAATATTCAAAGAGCTTTTGTTGCAGTCTATGTGTAGCTTAAACTGACATACCAGGTCACTGCCAATTCTTGACAACTAGGCAACCTTTCCTTCTACAAATGGGTCTTCCAGAAGATAATGTCACATCCAGAATGAAGTATCTGATGGTTATAAAGCATATTTCTTTGTTTTAGTAGAGCCAACTTTTATTGTCTACCAAAAAGACAACTGTCCCTACCGGTTCCAAGACTGCAAAACGGCAGAGAATTAAGCCACGGAACAAATCAGCCATTTAAGCGGTGTGCTCCTTTCTAAAATGAAAATATCACTGCTATTTGTTTTGTCATGGAGAGGAAGAGCATTTTTTAAAAATTATCATTATACTTTAAGTTCTGGGATACATGTACAGAACGTGCAGGTTTGTTACATGGGTATACATGTGCCATGGTGGTTTGCTGCACCCATCAACCCGTCACCTACATTAGGTATTTCTCCTAATGCTATCCCTCACCTAGCCCCTCACTCCCCGACAGGCCCTGGTGTGTGATGTTCTCCTCCCTGTGTCCACGCGTTCTCATTGTTCAACTCCCAATTATGAGTGAGAACATGTGATGTTTGGTTTTCTGTTTCTGTGTTAGTTTGCTGAGAATGATGGCTTCCAGTATCATCCATGTCCCTGCAAAGGACATGAACTCATCCTTTTTTATAGCTGCATAGTATTCCATGGTGCATACGTACCACATTTTCTTTATCCAGTCTATCATTGATGGGCATTTGGGTTGGTTCCAAGTCTTTGCTATTGTGAACAGTCCTGCAATAAACATACATGTGCACATGTCTTTATAGAATGATTTATAATCATTTGAGTATATACCCAGTAATGGGATTGCTGGGTCAAATGGTATTTCTGGTTCTAGATCCTTGAGGAATCACCACACTGTCTTCCACAATGGTTGAACTAATTTACACTCCCACCAACAGTGTAAAAGCATCCCTATTGCTCCACATCCTCTCCAGCATCTGTTGTTTCCTGATTTTTTTAATGATCTCCAATCTAACTGGTATGAGATGGTATCTCTTTGTGGTTTTGATTTGCATTTCTCTAATGACCAGTAATGATTAGCTTTTTTTCCTATGTTTGGCCACATAAATGTCTTCTTTTGAGAAGTGTCTGTTCATATCCTTTGCCCACTTTTTGGTGGTTTTTTTCCTTGTAAAGTTGTTTAAGTTCTTTGTAGATTCTCCATATTAGCCCTTTGTCAGATGGATAGGTTGCAAAAATTTTCTCCCATTCTGTAGGTTGCCTCTTCACTCTGATGATAGTTTCTTTTGCTGTGCAGAAACTCTTTAGTTTAATTAGATCCCATTTGTCGATTTTGGCTTTTGTTGCCATTGCTTTTGGTGGTTTAGTCATGAAGTCTTTGCTCATGCCTATGTCCTGAATGGTACTGCCTAGGTTTTCTTCAAGGGTTTTTATGGTTTTAGGTGTTACATTTAAGTCTTTAATCCATCTTGAGTTAATTTTTGGATAAGGTGTAAGCAAGGAGTCCAGTTTCAGTTTTCTGCATATGGCTAGTCAGTTTTCCCAACACCATTTATTAAATAGGGAATCCTTTCCCCATTTGCTTTTGTCAGGTTTGTCAAAGATCAGATGGTTGTGCATGTGTGGCATTATTTCTGAGGCCTCTGTTCTGTTCCACTGGTCTATATATCTGTTTTGGTACCAGTACCATGCTGTTTTGGTTACTGTAGCCTTTTAGTATAGTTTGAAGTCAGGTAGCATGATGCCTCCAGCTTTGTTCTTTTTGCTTAGGATTGTCTTGGCTATATGGGCTCTTTTTTGGTTCCATATGAAATTTAAAGTAGTTTTTGCTAATTCTGTGAAAAATGTCAATGGTAGCTTGATGGGGATAGCATTGAATCTATAAATTATTTTGGGCAGTATGGCCATTTTCACGATATTGACTCTTCCTGTCCATGAAGCATAGACTGTTTTTCCATTTGTTTATGTCCTCTCTGGTTTCCTTGAGCAGTGGTTTGCAGTTCTCCTTGAAGAGGTCCTTCATATCCCCTGTAAATTGTATCTTAGGTATTTTATTCTCTTTGTAGTAACTGTGAATGGGTGTTCACTCATGATTTGGCTCTCTATTATTGGTGTATAGGAATGCTTGTGACTTTTGCACATTGATTTTGTATCCTGAGACTTTGCTGAAGTTGCTTATCAGCTTAAGGAGATTTGAGGCTGAGACGACAGGGTTTTCTAAATATACAATCATGTCATCTGCAAACAGAGACAATTTGACTTCCTCTCAGAGAGCATTCTTGATGTAATTTTGTAAATCTATTAAACAATGATAAATTGTTCATCAAGGCTGAGATGTTTCCTTTTAAATGAGCTCTATGAAATCAGAATACAGAACATGTAGAGGACATTTAGTTGCTACTGCCATCTGGAAGGCAAACTAGGGAGGTCAAAGACATCTAAGGCCTGGAGAGATGTAGATGAGCTGATAGGATGAATAGCTGCTCCTTTTTCAAAAGTTGTTGATTTTCTTAACAACTAGTAATTCTAGACTTTTTATTGCATGCTTTATTGATTATTGTTTAGAGCAGTATATGATGAAAAAACATAAATATGCAGACAGGTTTTGAACAGTGAATTTCAGAAGGAAATGTCAAATTTTTAAAGTAAATCTAAACAGGGAATATAAATGGGATAATTCATTTTGACATCCAAAAGTAGTTTCACATTATGAAATAACATAAAATTTGCATTTGCCTTCACGTAATAAATGCTTCCCAGATTTGCATGGCCCTAATACAATAAGATTAAGAATATTCTATCATTGTTTATCCTTTGTGATCAGTTGTTTATCCTGTGTTAAACAAATATTGTGGGAAGAATAGATTGGAACAGGCTTCAAAACTATTCCTTGGATGCTCATCAACAGAAACACAGAGAGACAGCAGAGCTCAGAACTTGGACAGATAAAATCTAACAGGAAAACCAAAAGTAAACTGACTAGAATTTTAAATCTTCAACAATGAATAGAGTCGTGGGATTACTGGTATAAATGCAAACCTGATGTTGCAGAAAATAACTTTGAATTTTTGTTTCCAAAAAATAAATATATCAACTTGTCTTTCCAAGGAGATCCTTAATGATACATGTGCCAGGGTAATGTATGCATGTATATATATAATGTGTGTATTTTATATATAGTCTTTCTTGAAAAAAGCAAGAGGAAAAAAAAAAGCATGAAGAACATATAACATATGGCATTCCCTATCGCCTCAGCTGGTGTTTGCCATTTCCTGCTTGTAACTTTCTTAATTTTACATCTCCTCTATTTCAATATACTAGACATTTTAATCAGATTTGCAAGTTGGCCTTCCATTTCTTCACTTGCAGCCCCGGCTCCTATTAATCTTTTCAATTACATGAGTAGGCCTATTCAATTTAAAGAAGAGCTAATAAGTACAATGCCTAGGGTGTCTTCATGAATAATCAATAATGTGCTCATTGTGATGTGGCTGTCTGGGTAAGCTATGCTCTGATGCAAGAGGCAATAAAATTCAAAACTATTCTAATATTTTAATCAAATATTATAGGATTGATATATGTGATATTTGGGAGAACAAAAATCAGTGAGTAGCATAGAGGCACCCTGTGAGGGGGAAAACAAAAACAAAAACAAAACAACCTTACTTTGAGTCACTCAAGCATTGCCCCTCAAAGCTGGGCCTGTTTTTAACTTCTACGCCCTGCCCAAATCCAGGCTGCATATGAAGCAGTTCTCTTCAGGAAAGTCAGGAAAACAAAACTGGTCATTAACCCTCAGGCAAGTAGATTGAATATCTTTCCTGAAGCAATTAATTAGGATTCCAGCATGTTAGGATCTTATCCTTTGCTGGCAAAACCTTCCTCACTAATTCCAATGTCAGAAGTGGAAACAAAACAAAACAAAAAAAGTGAAAGCGCCTCCACAGATTCTAAAATAAATGCCTATTTGTTCTCAACTAGAAACCAATTGCTGGGAAATGTTGGCAACTCAAGATGATCTCCCATTCCAAGATTCTCACTGCCATCCTAAGAATGCTGTGGTCCTAAGAGTTCCTGTAGTTTGCTTCAGCAATTAACTCTGTGCCTTTAGACACCCCAAGGAGTTTTCCTGGTAAATGTAAAGAGTAACTTACCCAAAACACATTCTTTCACACTCTGGCAGCAATACCTAAGGTTAGGCAGTACCATTTAAGGAACTAATGCGACAGGCTAGAACTCAATGTTGACATCTGAGATGTTAGGTATGCATGAGGGCTAATTTTCTAAAAGTTTACATACATATGCAGGATTCCATCCATTTTCTCCATCACATTTTCACTAATTAAGATGGTTATTAAAGAGCTGGACTTCATATTATCCTTAATTTCCTGGAACATGTAATTGCAAACTCACTCCAGAAATTTCCTTGTATACCTCCCACAAGGTTGCCTAATGGTGAGTGTTACTGATAGACGTTTCTCACTATGATGGTAATCAGGTTTCAATGAAACTCTTAAAATACTCTAGAAGAATCCATAAAATTGGAGAAGAGGGAGATAAGAGAGAAAATTATACATACTCTAGGCAGCCAGTTTTGATGTGGTATCATTGATAGTCATTTTCTATTCATTACCTAGCTCTTAATATAAAACTTCATAAGTCAAAACATAAGTTCACAAATACAGAACCAGGACCCCAATAAAAAATAAAAATCAGAAGACAATCAGGCAATATAGCCATAGGGAGGAAAAAAACACTATGATCAGAAGCTTAGAACTATAATCTAGTCCCTTCCTTACCCTTGAGCCAATAGCCTAAAATGCACAATCATAGAAGAAATTTTTATTTCATACACATGAAAATGGCTAGTACCTATTGCTCATCCACATTTTCCATGTATCAAACAGCATAGACATACAGGGAAACTAAAACTCTCTTTGATGCTCATAAATATTCAGTTGAAATTTTTAAAAATTTACTTATAAAAAAAGAGCAGTTGTTACCTTATGTCTATGTAAAATTAATTTCTCTACAAAATAAAATCAACAAACTCTAAATTAAAACATCTCAGGATCTCACATGGATCAGAGTTCCAAAACTGGTAGCTGTAGTTAAGACTAGAGGTGTCAGAACAAAATTTTAAGTCAAGAGAATCTTCAAATCTGTATGAAATCATGTCTAAATAATGCTAAATATAAGAATTTACATTAACAAATGAAACAAGCACAAAGATAAAAGTTGCATAGTTAGGGAAGGTCAAAATTTAAGCCTGCCTTCACATAAAGTTTAACATTTTCATTCCTTGCCTTATGCCTTACCATAGCCTAGGGAATTAACAGGAAACTAAGGCCTAAGGCAATTAGGTACCACCATCTGTAAATCACCCAGAAAATGATTGAGAGTATAGTATCAAAAGACTGACAAGAAGTAAACTCTCATGATGAGAATTTACAGCATTCCAGAAAAAAAAAAAAAAAGCAGTGAAGCCAGATGTCAAAATATGTATTTAGTGACTCATAAAATTTCATTGCCCCAGAGTGAAAAAAAGAAATATCACAGTTAGGCAACATTTTCAGCAGATGCCCCTAAAATACTTCTAACTTTAAAATAGTTCTTCAAATCTTCTTGAAGTGCTTCCTATTCATTTATAGTTCTCTTATTTTATTGATGTCTTTCTTACCACTGTCCTACAGGATTAGGAGTGAATCCAGGAGCAGAAGAAATTGAGAAAAACTGAATGTCAGGTTCACTATGCCCTGCTTAGCCTCATCCAACTCAAACTTGCTATCCATGTAGTCAGATGGGGTAAGCTGGGGGATAAAATGAGAAATAGAAATGGATCCATTTTAATCATATTCCTCTCCTCTACCTTTGTGAAAAGCAGTCTACAAGATACCCCTCTTACATTTAATGTTTTAACATTATTTTTAAAATCTCAAAAGGAAAATAACACTGAGTATTTCACACAGGAGAAACTGAAGAAAACTCCAGGCATGAAGACTTTATACTCAAGTAAAAGAGGAGAACAAAGGCCAAATCTGTCCACAGTGACATTTTGTTAGCTGGCGTGCCTTTCAACAGAGTTTCATTCTCCAGTTTGCCACAATCCCCATCACTACTTATATTGTATAAGCCGCTTCACACTTCACATTCACCTTACCTATTAGTTCCTGTATGCATTGCAGACTTTGACCCCTGCAAGTGAAGATTTATCTTCATCTACTTTTACACACTCAGCTTTGGCAGAGGTCTTTAAAGTCCATCTTCTAGAACAACCGTCCATTTGATAATTAGATTCTCTAATACATTTCTGGCTAGCTTTTTGCACGTCAGAAACACCAGAAGAACTAAAAATAATAATAAAATAAAAAAATAAAAAAAAATGCCTGAGCCCCATCCCTGACCTACTGAATTAAAATATTGAAGGATGCAGGGGGAGGGGGTTGGGGAGAGTTCTAAGTATCTATGCAGGTGAATCTGATGAGCAGCTAGGGGTTACAAACTATTTATTATATCTAATCATGAAGAACTCACAGTTTTTAGATAACAATGTAAGAAAGTTCTTTCCTCAGGCAAGTCTTAGTGCTCAGACTAGAGATAGAGAAGAGTTACCTGCCTCTCAGCCCTGGGGTGGTTTGACAGTATATCAGAGAGCCTTGTCAAAACTCAGAGGGGTTTGTTATAGAAACGAGCCTTCACTTCTTTCACTGCCTGCCATATGTTTCATTCCCTGCTGGCTCGATTCTGAGAACATTTTCCATATCTATGTCCATGTGAAAGCTAAAGCTACCTATTCGGGTGTTGCAGCTGTCACCAACAATATCCTGGTGATGGGATGAAATAGATTTTGCTTCAGAAACTATGAAAAGAAAGTCGGTGTGCAGAAATGACACATTATGAAACGATGAAGTATAACATCTGGCTCAGAAGTGAGTCAGACAGGTGCCATTAATGAGACAAACAGGAAGCTTCTTTATTAAAAGCAAAGTTAAATTTTGAGGCTATTTTGGACTCTCTCTATATACAGGTCTATTAACCAATTCAGTTGAAATAGCTTTACAGTGGATTTGACCAGATGTTTGGCTGCATTAGCTGAAATCACTGGTTATTATAATATAGCAAAGATTCATCCCACATAATTGCCCACAGGAATTTAATAGCCATAGGTTAAAAAATACATCATTATCGGGCCGGGCGCAGTGGCTCATGCCTGTAATCCCAGCACTTTGGGAGGCCGAGACGGGTGGATCATGAGGTCAGGAGTTCAAGACCAGCCTGGCCAAGATGCTGAAACCCCATCTCTACTAAAAATACAAAAATTAGCTGGTCATGGTGGCACACACCTGTAATCCCAGCTACTCGGGAGGCTGAGGCAGAAGAATCACTTGCACCCGGGAGGCAGAGGTTGAAGTGAGTCAAGATCATGCCACTGCACTCCAGCCTGGGCGACAGAGCAAGACTCTGTCTCAAAAAAAAATCATTATTATACCAGGTCAAAATTGTACAACAGTTTACACCTTTCAAAGCACTCGCTCACAAATAATCTCATGGAAACTTTAAAGAAACCCTTTTGTCAGGTGATAATAAACCCATATAACAAATGAAGAAACAGAGACTCCTGTCCCATGACTTGCCCAAACTTATTCAAGTAGGATCACAGCTGCACAGACCCCACATTCTCCAAACCTAAGGTCAAGGCTCAAGCTCTGAGGATCTTCAGGATTTTAAACTACAAGAGGAAGCTTTAAGAAACAAACAAACAGAAACCTTAACCAATATAAACCTAACCACGATTCTGGAAAACCAGGGGCTGAACAGGAAGAAATGTAGGAAAGAAAAATGTGAGAAACATCTAGCCCTGGATGCCAAGGCTGCAGACTTGCTAGTTTTCAGACTGAATCCTAACATACTGCTGGTACATACACATCTGCAAGCTATTCCCAGGCCCATCAACAGCTCCCTATCAAAGTCACAGGTGTAGGGTAGAAAACAGCAGAATGAAACCACCTTATGGTTGTGCAGCACTTTAATCATCTACACAAAAGAGATAAGACACATTTCCCTGCCACATAAATATTGGCTAAGGAACACTGAGGCACAGGAATATTTTGAGAAGGAACATATGAAATGTAGCTGAAAGGGCTTTCTGAACATCAGCCCCCACGGTGCTTCCTGACAGTCAATCATGATAGGGGATGGAACCGAGAGGTTCAAAATAGGTATTCTACTCAGTAAAATAATAATAATAATAATAATAACTTTGAAAACATAGTGCAAAATGCATTATTTGATTCTGCCATATTTGGTTCAGCATGCAAAGTTAAATCATGGTAAAATGAGGAAGAATATCTCTTAAATATCAGGAAGATCTTCATGCCTTAAATAAGTAAACCCCTGAACCATGAGTCTGAAACAAGAAGAAATGGACAGTGAAAACAACAGTGCCTTTTCCATTAAAATATAGAAGGATAAAATTAAAAGTGGAATGACTCCCTCTTCCTGCGTAATTCCTTGCTTATTTAGGACATTTTATTAAAACTCTGCTATGACATCATTAGCAGATTGTAAATCTTTTTGGGGCATGAATCGCATAATTTCATTTCTTTTCAGTCTCTAAATTTTATTAGTTTATCAATGTAGATTTTAAGGATGATGGAATTTGACCCAAAATATTATGTATCCCTGTACTTATATGTCTTAATAGGACATATATATGCGTAAGCTGAAATATATATGTATATAATAAATTTGCTTTTCCTAAAGTCACATATATATATGGCCTTAGAAAATATATAGGATAATATAATATATAAAATAATATAGGATAAAAATATATAGGATAATATGATAGGATATTAATGTGTGTCCATATATAGATACACATACATATCCTATATTATCCTATATACTTTCTAAAGCCATATATATGTGGCTTCAGGAAAACCTAATTTAATTATATACATATATATTCCAGCTTAAGGAAAAGCCAATATAATAAAGTTCAAAATAATAAAATGAACAATTAGGCATAATTATTTACCTTTATTAATTTAGCAAATATTTATCATGTACCTATCTTGTGTCGGAAACTATGTGAGATAAAAGGATGCGAAGATGTTACAGAGCCCTTCCCTCAAGAGGCTGACTATGAGAGGAGGAAGAAGGCTTAAGTACTATGAGGAAAAAAAGGTATTCAGAGTATGGTAGAGACACAAGCTAGTAGTCAAAACTCATATGATAATTAGCCTTATACACTGCACTAAGAAATCTGGACTTTTTATTGTAGGCCACAGGAGCCATTGAAAAGTTTTAAGCGTTGAGTAACTATCAAAATCATATTTTGTAAATAGCAGCACTCTAGCAATAAGGAACAAGATAGCTTGAAAGGATCAAGATCAGACATGGGGAAACAAAACAGAAGCCTATTGAGAGAGTTCACATGAAAAATGATCAGGGCTTAAACTAGAACTGCAGCAAGAAAAATGGAAGTTAAGTGGGGTTGGAGTGGAGAGCAGGATTGAGTGGATTCATATACTGCTTTGGGAGAATCTCTCTATATAATAAATCCTAAACTAGGGAATTAATCACCTTTTGAGTTAGTAGGACAATAGTCTAAACAAGTTATTTTGATTTGCAAATTCCAGGCTTTACTTGTGAAGCGAAACTTTACTTTTCATGAACTAGGTAGAGAAAACTGAAGCAGAGAGCTTTACAAGGAACTACGGTGCAGGAGAGATAAGACTATTAGCTATAGGAATTTCCTGACCCAAGAAAGGAAGACTTTTTCACAAGGTGGCAGGAGATGTCAGCAAAAGAAGAAAAGAAAAACAGTCAAAGAATTTGAATAGAAATTACTCCAAAGAAGACATACAAATAGCTAACAAGCATATGGAAAGATGTTCAACATTACTACTCAACAGAGAAATGCAAATCAAAAGCACAATGAGATATCATTGTGACTACTTGGGTAGTCACAGAAGATAGCTCAGGGTGTTGACTGTGAAGCTCATAAGAGGTTTACCAAGATCATGGATGACATAACTCTTCAGCAGAGGACCACAAAGCAAAAGCTAAGTCAGGGATCACAGCCAGACCCCAGAAGATTTATCTCACTGCAACTACTAAAGCGAGGGCCAAGCTAGGAAACAAGAATAGTTTCCATCATAGTTCCCAGGACCAAGGGCACTTCAGAAGCTCATTCAGCAAGAACCCAGGCATCCCTCACAAGAGCAGACATCCCTCTCCCATTGCCAAAAGGCTAGTTAGTATCCCCTCTCACCTCTAGCTGCCACCTTGAGAAGGAGGGGGAAAGGAAGACACAGAGAAGGGGAAAGGGGGAGAATCCAGGTTTTGCTTTGCCTGAAGTTTATACAATTTATAGAACCCTCTTTAGGAAAAAGAATACAAAATTATAAATAGAAAATTGCTGGGGTCCCTCCCAGGCCTTGAAAGGGTCCTGGGCAAATGAGGGGCCCTGAAGTATAAGATTCCCATAAACTTGCCTCTGAGAAGAGACCCTGGAAAACTGAGTAATTACTGAAAAGAGACTGTTTGAACCTGCAGAGGTGAGGGTGTGCGTCATAGCCAGTGCATACTGCCATCAGTGGGAATGAAGTCTCCAGAGTACAATGACATTGGTCGTAGAAAATAAAGTGAAAATAGGAGTCATAGTGTGTAAATTCCTACCACCTGCTACATTTTCTATGTTCAGAGATTTAAAAGTCACTTTGCAAATTGCTCAAAAAGGAACAAGCTGCTGGAAGTCAAATTTGAGTTTTATTACTACGTGAGTTTAACCTGATGCATGCCCATAACAACAGGGAGGTAAACCGCTGAAAAGTAATAAATGTGAAGATGATTAGGATCACCAGATATCTGGCTTCCCATGGAGATTTTTCACTTGTCCTGGAATTGCTTTACATACACTGAGTTAAAAGCTACTCTATGACAGTGGGTTCCCAGAGGAACATGAGATCCTCCCTTTTCCAACTATATAGCTGTGTGAGGATGGATTTTTTAAAAATATACACTTCAACCAAAACAACGTTTCATGACAGATTGAATGCAGGAGCAGACATCCAAATCCAGCTGTCTCCTATTAAGCCAGACAGTAAAGAGATTTGCAAAAGTGTAAAACAATGTCACTCTCCTCACTAGTTGGTTCTGTTTTAAAAAATAATTAAATATAAATCTATAATATGTAAATATATAGTTATGTTGCTTATGTTAACAGTAATAAAACATCACATTTTTCAATAAATTAATATGTTAAAATGTCTCTAATTTCAAATACAGTATATCTTAATATAATCCACATAAACAACTGTTAAGAGTGTAAAGGTATCCTGAGACTAGAAAGTTTGAGAACCATGGCTCTATAAGAACCAAGGTGTGTGTTGAATAGCAAGCTTTATTCCAAAGGAATTAATAATTAAATATTGTTCTACTTTTGCAGCATGTGAGACCCAGTACAGATTAAGAAACACATAAATATCACAAATATCATTTTATCAACAACTTTAGGCCCCAGCTTCAAAGTCACCCTCTCAAAAGTCTTCTCTAATCACCTTGTCCAAAAGGACCTTTTTCAGTTCCTCTCTCTCTCTCTCCTCCCTAACCCTATTTCCTTAAGAGATTTTTTAAAAATCCCTAATTATCTTCTTTTTTTTATGTGTTTATTTTCTGTAGTCCCATTCTTTTCTTGCTTATTATCTCTCTCTCCCCTTGAATATCGGTTCAATGCAGACAGGGACCTAGGATGTCTTGTTAAATGATCTGTCCCCAGCTCCCAGATAAAGATCTCACACATAGTAAGAGCTTAATTGATATTTGTCGACTGAATGAACTAATTCTATTAAATACTTGTTTCCAAGGTTATAACGATAAGCAAAACTGAGAAATCTAGAAAATACTTTAAAATGTGATATTTGCCCTTCTTTTCTGACATGCTAAACGTTTCTCAAATATGAAAAGACCCACTGTTCTCCCTGTGATTTTTCTTGCGGAACACCATGGTCTTACCCACAGCCAATTCTATTTGGACCCCCAACTAGGAATATTTCCATTAGTGGAAGATAACACCCAACTACAAACTCTAAGGAAACCTGCTGGAGTGCATCTGAGACTGACAGAACTTTGTTACATATTTGTCTCTGACCAGATTTCCTGCTGCTTTTTATCTAAATTTGTTCTAATGACAGTAGCTCAGCCTCAGATTTGGCCAGCATATCAAAAAGTTTCACACATAAACACATACATATCTCCTCACACACATGCACACACACACACATACATATATATACAAATACACACACACGCGCGCACACACACACATATATTTATGATTGACACTGACTGTGATAAACATATATTTCAATCAAAAGGACAAATGCGGCCAGGTGCAGTGGCTCACGCCTGTAATCCCAGCACTTTGGGAGGCCTTGGCAGGCAGATCATGAGATCAGGAGTTCAAGACCAGCCTGGCCAACATGGTGAAACTCACATCTCTACTAAAAAATACAAAAATTAGCCAGATGTGGTGGCACATGCCTGTAGTTCCAGCTATTTGGCAGGCTGAGGCAGGAGAATTACTTGAACCCGGAGGCGGAGGTTGCAGTGAGCTGGCATCAGGCCACTGCACTCCAGCCTGGGCAACAGAGTGAGACTCCATCTGCGGGGGGTTGGGGGGGGAAGGACAAATGCATGCTGGGGAAAGGACTTTTAAGTGTTTCATCCAGGCAAAGGACATTTGTTATGCATTTATAAAGAACATATATTATCATATATGCAACCAGCATTCCCTTAAAAAGAGGATCTAATCTTTTCCCACAAGTACCTTATGGACAGTGCTGTTTAGGTCATTAAATTACATCTGGGACCATGTCTGCATAGAGCTGAATAATGTAGCTGCTATAATGATGTGCTATAGTTATAGCACTTGGTATACATCTTATATTTCCCCTGGCTAACAGTGTATAACCTCGCTTAAATCACTAAATTCTGTATCATGGTGTTTCTATTTGTAAAACATAGATAATAATACCTATCCCAGGCGCTCACCCTAAAAGGATGTCGTGAGAACAGATGAGATTAGTGATGGCAAAGCTCTTTGTTTGAAATGTACTATTTAAATCTCAGGTACTATTATTAGGGCTCTCTGCAATTTCTCAGCTAATGGATTATGCAACAGATGGGCCCTAGAAGATGTTTGATATTATTGATATTTTCTGTAATTTTTTTTTCTTTTTCCCACCTCTCTTATTTATTATTTATTAAAATTCTAGCTCTGATCTACATAACAAGAAAAAGCAGAAGCCTTCTGTGTTTGGGTTGAATTTGCCAAGATCACCTTATCCAGACAATTTTTAAATTATTACTTCTATGCATTTGTAAATGCATTGAGGTCTTCCCAGTAGGAACAACTGACACAGTTGGACTGAACAGTTACCCAATGTGCCAGGATTTGATGCAGGCTAATAGATTAATTCTAAGTTCCTTTCCTTTCCTTTCTTCTAAAAATGTCCTCTTTTTTGGTGTTCATGAACTAAAATGGAAAGAAAACAATTTGACAGCCTCATCTATACTAAAAATGTTTATCTGGGAGGTCTAGCATCAACACTATAGACTAAACTAGCAGAGTAGCATTAACTACTGACCAGAGATATACTAGTCATTTACAGTTTGACAGAGGGAAATCAGAAAGGCTCAATAAGGCAGGCACTAGCTGCCAAGAGACAGAAAACTGATGGAGGGTTAGATCTGGAAGGTGAAGGTGTTACAGCAGGGATAGGAAAAGTTTCTAAAAGCCTGATTCATAGACCTAACACATTGACAGTCTCGGGCCCGGTAGCCTCCACCTGCTTGCTTTCTGCTTACAATCACCTCTGGCCAAGCCAATTCCATTTTGAATGTGATTTAATCATCTTCCTTTTAATGCAAGCTATTTCAACAGTTAACTCACTGCCATGATGCAGCTTAAAACTGAAAAAATATACCTAAGATTTGAGAGGAATGCCTAGCAAGGTATTTTTCCTGGCTCAAATTTGGTTTAATCCAGTCACCTAGAAGATGCCACTTCTTATGAAGCAACCATCCAATAAGCTATCTGCTCCTAGGCAGAATATGAAAGAAAGGAACAGGTTGTGCCTGTTTATTGCTGCTTGGTGTTGTTCCCAAATAAATGGATGCTAATTGAGAGGGAGTGTGGCTTCATATTTTATGACACCCTGGGTATATGCTAAGAAGTCTCAGGAGAGCCGCTTTAAATTAAAGCTAATGTTAAACTCTGCTTAATTAGCATTGCTGTAGCGGGTTTCACTTTTCCCTGTGAGAGGAAGAATGTGCTATGTTACAGTTTTCCTGTTGCAAAATACTAAACTATATGATGGAGGTGAAGAAGTGATTTGGGAACTGAATGACTTTCTGGGCAAGGGAGAACCAGACAGGATGGCATTTTACTAATTAAGATGAGTGGTGTATTAACCAGATGGGAAAATACAGAGTGGAACAATGGAGCGAAATCCTCAGAATGACACCATTATTTTGGAAACTGTTATAAATCAGCTGGGGTTGGGGTCCTATAATCAACTCCCAGTAAAAAATGAGTCAGTCACTCCTGAATATTCTGTGATAAGAAGCACTAAAAATGCTCTGAGCCAAAATGCCTGAATTCCATATAGTTCATCCACATGGAATGGAAATATAAAAGAATAGCAGAGATGGGGCCGGGCACGGTGGCTCACACCTGTAATCCCAGCACTTTGGGAGACCAAGGCAGGTGGATCACCTGAGGTTGGGAGTTCGAGACAGCCTTACCAACATGGACAAACCCCATCTCTACTAACATACAAAATTAGCCGGGTGTGGTTGTGCATGCCTGTAATGCTAGCTACTCAGGAGGCTGAGGCAAGAGAATCGCTTGAACCCGAGAGGCAGAAGTTTTGGTGAGCCAAGATTGTGCCATTGCACTCCAGCCTGGGCAACAACAGCGAAACTCTGTCTCAAAAAAAAAAAAAAAAGAAATAAATAAATAAATAAAAGAAAAGAATAGCAGAGATGTGAATAGCCTCTACTTTTGCCAAATATCATTGTCTATCAGCACACCAATTGCTCTACCATTGGCCTCTTAATCTCGTGCCCCGATGCTTGCTCTTGCTTTCTTCCATTTATACATAAACTGTGCAGCCTTTATGCAATAGATCACGTTCCTTTCTTGAGTGTCAAAGGAAGAGATGCCATGCTGGCTGCCAGTCACCCAATCTGGTGGCAACTTCATCTACAGCAGACTGGAAGCGTAAGAATATTTGTTTCTGGTGAGGTCACCAAACACACATCTCTAGCCACTGCATAAAGTATAAAAGACCAGAGGAGTTTTCACAGATTGATACAACAAGTTGACCAGAGAAATTCGAGCTTGAAATTGTCTTACAAATGGTTTGCTAAGTGAACTGTCCTGCTCATGGTCTCAGGAGAAAAATTCTAAGGTTGAACAGTATTTAGCTACCTACCTCTGCCAAAGAGGGCTATTATCATTTCAGAATAAAGAGATGATTATTCAGCTCTCTGACGCAAGTCAAAACACACTCACATCTCCTGCTCACAGGAGCCAGCATAAAATGGGTACTGAGCTGGGAGAACAGGTGTGTTTGTGCTTGGAGAAAGCAGCAAGGGATATGAAAATGACTTAGCAGCTGGTGGAAAGGAAGATTGAAGTTGTGCCAGGCAAAGGGTGTTTTTTCCCCTAATTATGCAAAAGCCTTAATTTCATTGATCATGTTGTTCTCTTCTTTCTCCATCTAAATAATATGAAATCTGTGTAACAACTCTTTTGGGAAGTCAAAAACATTGCCAGGGACGCTTATTAAGGGAATGAGGGTCAAGAAATTCTCTCTAGTGGATAAGCTTGCTATTTTCTCAGGGTTTGTGAACCATGGTAACTTTAATTAGAAAAAAGATAAAAGATGTAATAAAATGAGATGTAGTTATTCAAGCTGAAAAAAAAATATGTCAATAGAAAGAGTAACCTCTGAAAACAAAACCCAGGAAGTCTGAAAGTCTTTTATATTTGTTGTTATTCAATTGTTGGTATTCATTCTCTTATTTGACAAAAATTTATCAAGCATGTATTTTGTGCCAGGCACTGAGCTACGTTTTTAGAATACAAAAATTAAAAATGCAGTTTCTGCCTTCTGCAATGGCTCACAATCTAGGGGCGAAAAATATCTCACCCTAACTCAGTTGGGGCAGCTGCTTGGATAGAACTTTATTCTAACTAAAAAGCTTAATCTGTCCTTTCATTTCAGGTGCAAATTAAATTTTTAAAAGTTGAATCTTAGTTAAATTTTTCTGATGGTATGTGAGAAACTTGGTAAATGATTTGAATTGAGGACAAGAACCTTGCTCACCCATGTATGACCATGTGTCATGTCCCAGAAGGTCTGTGTCTCCCCTTGCCTTGCTCTGTGATCGTATAAGTGGCCCTACATATAACCCAGATAAGCTCATCTTTCCCAAACCCAAAAGAAGTAAAAGATGGAAAATAACAAAATCAGAATACCCCAACATTCACACAAAAGAGAACAACTGCTTGAAAATGTGTTAGTGACATTACTGTCCTTTGAGTTGGTTCTCTCTCATTCCAGAAAGGAGCACGTGCCAAGCGACCGAAGAGTTGAGGCTACCTTCTGACTCTACAGCTTGTGGTTGTGAACCAACATTACACATCTCCCCATACTGTCAGAAACTGTATCAGCAGTCCTCAGAGCTGGAAACAGCAGTCACAGAATGAGGTTCCATGTCTCTCTGTTTGACTTATAAAATGTCAATCATTGTGTGGTCTCAGATACATTGACTTGCTCACTGTTTGGTAACATTGCAATGACAATGTGTTTTAAATATATGCTGGAAGGACAATTTAAACACTTGACAGCAGTGAGAGTCAAGACAGACCATATTTTCTGTTCTGAATCTAGTATGCAAGAGAATCTGCACATACTGCCAGTGTTTTATTGTCATTTACATAGTCTTCAATTGTAAAAGTGTTGGTTAAGCAGGCATTTTGCTGCTTGGTTTTACCTTGAGAGCCTGATACGGGGAGGAAGGGTTACTAGTTGAAGAGAACTAAGAGGGCTAAAGCCTAAGAGACCAATTTAAAGGTTTTCTATTTGTATTGCTCACCCTCTGCATGTACCACCTCTTTCCTTAACTCCCCTCTAACTCCCAGGCTACTGTCCTAGAACTTGTACCCTTAAAACAATCCATGTAACGCTCCAAAAATGGTCACCCATTTTTATTTGGAAAAGGATTCAAGAAGAATATAAAGAAGGAAAAGATAAAAAAAAACAGTTTAGCTGGATGATTTATTGAAATATTTAACTGTGCTTTATTCTCAAATTATTTTTCCTCTTCAGACACTTTCCAGAAAAAGAGCCAAAACCCTTTGGACTCCTTTGCTCCAGGATGTGTTTCCTTCCTGATTTTGTTTTTCAAAAAGTATAAGCTCCTTGAAGGTATTATGTTATGTGTATAATGAGAATTTGTCCTAACAGAGAGAGAGGGTTTCCCCTCAACTGGAAAGAGAGCAAGGAGCCTGGGAACTCACTTCCCTCTCTGGGTGCAGCCTCAGTAGAGATGCCCGTGCCAAATCAGCACAGAAGCACAGAATCAGCTGCTTCAAGGCACCACACTAGCTTAAAGAGCAGATCAGAAGTGACCATAATGGACCACACTGGCTCTGCCCTCATTTTCGGGGCAAAATGCAAACCTCTAGATTGAAGGAAAAGGAGAACAAGGACAAAAATTAGGTTTCCTGTGAGCTCAGTAACTTTAAGAACATTCCTTATCCACACAAGTTTGTAACACCAAGTTCAATAGTTTCAAATACAATTAGATGAACCACCTTTGTCAGCAGTTATTCTACTCAAAATGGGTTATCTGTTTCTCCCCAGGGCGTGTGTGGTTGTTACTACTTCTCTGGCTGCACTTTATAGGGTAGTACAGATTTCTCCAAGCACCCTGAATTTACAGCCAGAAGACTCAGACTCTATTATTTGGGTCTTGTTCATTTTTACAGTCTTTAATTGAATACCATTTTGTGATTGTCAAGAACTGTGAAGGCTGTGAGATTTTACCCCATTGATTAGCTAACAAGTTAGCCTGCCATAGATTCATGGAAGCTGGCTGATGACATAAGACTCTTGGGTCAAAGACAATGGACTTTATTACTGATGGCACAGCAAGCAGCATGAGTACCATATTTTTCCCTTGTCCCCAGGTCCTACAGAAGCAATGCAGATTGAGATGAAGGCCTGCACGAGCAGTGGTTTGCATTTCAGGAAAAGGACTTTGAATTTAGGGAACTTGAATCTTTTATACTGGACAGCCAGCATGCCCTGCCTTTGCACCAAAGGGAGACACTATCTCTGTCTTCAAAGACTGTTTGCTGTACAAACTTCATCAAAGACATTCTTGGGCAACAGATAGTCGATGTCTCTGCTCCTAAGATATGCAGAAATGTGACAGATGCGTGGAAAAGTTCTCCCAGCAGTGCTAAGCCTGCTGTAGCACTTTAAAAAGCTAAAGAAGTAAGACCTCAGCCCTCCAGAATTCAGTGGAAGATCAACTAGCTGATGTGGAACTACAAGCAAAACATTTCACTTTTCAGTGCTTTTCTTTCTGTGATTACAAAATAGGAATGATATCTGCCCACTCACTGCTTATTTTGAGAAATAAAGGAAAAAGAACAGTCTGACAAATGCTTTGAGTTTCATGATGGACACTAAAATAGGAGAACATCATATAAAGACATACTGGGTCCTAATCACACTTTTATTCTCCAATGACTTTGGGGAAAGTATGACAAATTTACATATATTTTATTCTGATAAGGTGGAAATACTGTGGTTTTTTTTTTGTAAGTGCTGAACATGAGTTTAAGCCCTTAGTTTTGTCAAACTATAAAGCTGACTAAATATGTTTAAACACTATTTTTATTGAAACTGCTGTTTAGATTTCTTAAGAAATCAAATAGGTTTGCTGTCTCTTTATCACATCACTTTGTAGCTGGAGAACAGTACGGATCTATGATTCGTGAGTCCTCACATCTTCTCCAGACCTCTCATCATCTCAAACATGCAGCTGGCAAGTCTTCTACCCTTTCTGTCTTCCACCTCAGGGGTAGGAGCTCTCTTCTTCGTTCTCCTGGCCTTAACTTCCTCTTTGCTGCCTGGTGAGTTTTTACATAAAGTCAAACTAGACTTTCTGCTTGTAGGCACAAGAATCATTAGATTTTACAAGCTGCCTTAAAAAGTACTCCTAAATGCAATTAAAGATTTTCCAGCATTCTGTGGTTAATTTGACTAACGTTGTGCTAAATGATATCCTAAATTTCCGTAAAGACAGTGCTTACCTACCTGTGCTATATAACCCCCTACATGAGAATGCCTCAGCCAGTACCCAAGATCTAGTTAATCAGAGCATCTGAAGATAGAGCTCAGAAATACGCATTTTAACAAGTACCACAGGTGATTCTTGTTAGCCACTAAGGTTTGAGAACAGCTCCTTTGAAATTATCACCAATAGAATTTCAATAATTATGTTATTTTACAAATTGTCCCATAAAATACAAGACACAAGCATAAGCCATTTATTAAAAGGCAAACAAGCAAGAGATATAATATATACTTTTAGTTAAATAGGATAATTTCTAAAGAACAAGTATATCTTAATGATACACATAGTTTAATTTCCTTTATTAAAAGGCAAGAAGTCTAAAAGAATTGTTGAATTAAATATCCAACAATAGAAAAACAGTTAAAGTACAATACATCAACTCAATGGAATATTTTTCAGCTTTTATAAATTATCACTAAAAAAAATTAAGCAATACAAAAATATGCATTAGAAAATAGAAAAAAATGTACAGCACAAAATTGCATGTACATGATTGCAACTAAATATCTTCTGTATTTGAAAAAAAAACTACAAGAGAAAATGTCAGAGTTGTCAGATTATGGGAAAGTCCTCTCCCTCAATTTTTTTAAAGAAATATATTCAACATTGTATTTTTTCTACAATTAAGCTAAATAGATAGACTGTGACAGAGCTTGGAAATCCTAATTGCAGGCTCTGCCTAACAGTTCTACTAATTAAATTAACAACACCTATTTTGCAAGTATTATGAAACAAGAGAATAGGTGAAGGCGACTCATTCTGTTTACCTTGATTTCTCATGGGGCTTAGATTTCACTTTAATACATTATGATCTTTTTGTTTCCCATCATCTTCCCACTAATATGTAACCTCTTTTCATCAAGACTTCTTAATTCACTTCTCAGTCTAGAAATCACGTTCTCTCTCTCTTCTCTTATGGCCTCAGGTACCCTCATTTTCCCTCTCTGGAAATCCATGGGTTACCTGGCCAAACTTAGAATTCACAATACATTTTGCTTTGAGTGCAAAAGTTACCAACTGGCCTATTGGAATTGAATATATTTGTTTATTGTAGTTGTTATTCTTAGGGTTTCAAGTTAGGAAGAGATAATTTTTTCCTTCTACCTTGTAAACATATGATATAGAGGCTCTCAAGATGAAATACTCTTCTTAAACCACACCTTTATTTTATAAACAGCACCATATCTTGTGTCAGGAACATCATGAAATGTTCAGGAGGTGCACTACACAGCAGCTCAGGCAAGAGGTTGAGGACCAGCCAACGTTCAGCCCAAACTCTCCTCACCCAGATCTGTTCTTTTGTTAATGTAAAAGCTAGAAGGGAGAACAAATCAGCTATAAGTTTGCCTATTTTAAAGCTCCTTCATTGCATGATTTTCACCTCATCAAAAATGCCCGCCAGGAGATGCTTCAATATAACAGATGATTTGTGGATACAGAATTGTTCCCTTTTCTTGTGCTTTTTTGACTGTACTAAGAAACAAAGGTTCCCTGCCAAGACCCTGCCAAGACCACTGCTAGTATTCAGTTTCTTCAGTGCACACAGACAGCTGAAAAGAGTATAGCTTGTATTTCTGTGACTTACAGAGAACAATCTTCAGCTCTAACATCTGCCCTACCCAAGCACAGCTCCAGGGAAGCTCAGTAACAGTGATGCTGGTGTCTCGGGAAATGGCACAGCGTTGGAATAAAAGATGTCAGTTGACACTATTTAGCTACAATAAGTTCTATTTATGAGCTTTTAACTTCAAAACTAATATATACAGGTATCTAGGACAGTTGTGTATCTAACAAATCATAAATATTATCATCATTCTCATTACTGTCATATAAATTCTGAGTAAAGAGGAAATCAGTCAAACATTAAGTTGGAGGTAGTAAGAACTCAAAGTAATGCACTAAGTTTCCAACTAGTTATAAAACTGTATTTTCTGCTTAGCTAATCCTCACCAGATTAATGAGTGCTCACACTATGCTTAGTATTGAAACCATAACTTGTGACAATCATTTGCCCATACAGCTGTCCCAAACCAACACAGGACTGCTTCTGTTGTGGAATCTGTCTTACAGCTATTATCAATTCACTGATTTTTTAATAGAATTACTCATTTCTAGGACATTGTCTAGTTCAGATCCAGCAAAACTACAGCTTTCATTTTGGTTATTCAATATTTAGCACCCATTTTGTGGAGATACCATCAAAAAAAAAAAATTCTCCTGAGCTCAGCCTTAGTGACTCAAGTAGTCTTGAATACACCAAATCATATGGAAGAGGAAGCCCCAGAATAAATTTTTGAGAACAGTCTGTTTTATTCAGTCCCATCAATAATTCAGAAATATACAGGGTCTTAGGAATCCATCATGTTAACTATTGAAGACTTAACTAATCTCTAAATTAGAATGTAGTAGCTGTGTGGGTGGGAAGATTTCTTTCCTTGCCCATTGCAAGGTTCATGGCTAACACTTCTATAACAAAAGACAGTTTAACAAGAGAAAAGCATACAATTTATTTTATAAAAGGTTTATGTGACACCAGAGGTTTCAGAAATGAAGAACCAAAGACCTAGGGAAAACTGTGTATTTTTGTGGACAGTCATGCAGAAATGATTGTAGGACAAAAGGGTATGAGCTAATGGTAACAAACTGGGGGAATCTCCACAAGGCCTACTTGTTCAGATTCTTCTTGACCTTTCTGTGTGACATTCCTTCCCTTGGGGTATAGGTCAGGACACCTGTCACATGAGGATCTTATGACCTACTTTCAGGAGAAGGAGGTCAGACTTCTTTGATGGCTAGCTCTCAGGGGAGAAATGTGGAAGGAAGTCAGAGAACTACCTTATTGCTTCAGCTGTTTTCTCAATTCCCAAGGTACTATACTTTGGAGTATGTGTTCTGACCCCCAACAGAGCCTGCAATTTTATTCCATTTCTGTACCTGAGTCTAATTCATATCAAGGTTCAAGCACCATGCATCTGTGGCTTTTCTTGGGTACCTCCAGACCTGGGTCAGTCTGACCTTTCTACTATACTTCCAAAGACTGCCAGGCCAGGACCCGCAGCTAAAGGGAATCTGGGAGCTGGGTCAGCATTTGGCTCTTCAGCTCCACAGGGAGAGAAGAAGCATATCACAGGGTGGGAATAGTTGAAGAATTACCAAAAAGAGAATGATAGGAGATGAGGAGAAGTAAAGGGAAATAGAGTTCATGGCCATGGCCCACTGTCATGATGTAAGGCACAGCTGTAGACCTTCAGCTAATATATGTTTCATAAGTAAGTTGTTCCTTCTTAAATAATTAGCAGCCATCTATTTTGTGTGAGACACATCTTTATGGATATAAACATGCTAGGCAAGGCATGGTGGTTCATGCCTATAATCCCACTGCTTTAGGAATCCAAGATGGAAAGATTGTTCAAGTGCAGGAGTTTGAAACCAGCCTGAGCAACATAGCAAGACTCTATGTCAACAAAATGTTGTTTAAAATAGCTGTGCATGGTGGTGCACACTTGTAGTCCCACTTGCCTGGAAAGCTGAGACAGGAGGATGGCTTGAGCCCCGGAGTTCAAGGCTGCAGTGAGCCATGATCATGCCACTGCATTCCAGCCTGGGTGACAGAGTGAGATCCTGCTCAAAAAAAGAAAAAAATAAGAAGAAGGAGAGAAAGAAAGATGCTATAGCAGGCTCCTCTGTTCTCTGGAGAGCACAGCATGTGTGCCATAGAAAGACCATAGGCTCTGAAGACAGGCACACCTGAGTTCAAAAACTGTATCTGTCATTTACTACCTATGTCCAAGTTACTCAGTCTCTGAGCCTGCTTGATCTTCTGAAAAATATCTAAAGGGTAGTTGGGAAAATGACATGAGAAAACCTAGCCTGGCCCAGAATAGGCGCCCAATAAAAGTTAGCTTCTTGCTACTTTCCTTCATAGGAATTTGCAAACTAGGTGTCAAGGTAATAAAAAAGAAACTCCGTGCTTCCAAGATTAGCCTTTTGTGGAGCTGCTCCACTTCAAGGCAGTCTAATTAACACTCACTCTTCACCTTCACCCACGCATTCATCAGTTTCAACAACGGTTGATCACTAGCAAGAGGTCGCAGAGCAGATCCAGGCCTCCCGAGTCTTAATCCCAATTTATACTTTTGAGTATCTGTTTGCAACAGGAAATTTAAATAAGATGAAAACACAATACTTTATTTGTGGTTTAAAATACCTTCAAATCCATGCTCCCCCTCATCATTCCAGATTCTAACATGATTAAATAAAATTTCTAATTAAATGCTTACTCCAATTTTTATACTAATTTATATGGCATATATTTATGCTATAGCAGAGCTGCTTTTTTATGGATTGTAAATACTTACTATTTTTCCCTTTCAGGTCTTTAAAGCAATAATGTTTCAGAGTTTACAATGCAGACCACATATAACCATCAACCGAGGACATTTTTAAATTACTGATGCTTGGGACAGACCTCAGTCCAATTAAATCAGAATCTCCATGGGTAGCACCCAGGCACTGGGGGTTGGGGCATTTGTAAAGCTCTCTGGGTGATTTTAATGAACAGCCTGAGGGATGTAGGAGGAGGGAGATTTGACTACATTTTCCCCTCTTATTTACTGTATGTCAGAGTTTCCCATTGTGCTCCCCACTGATTATTCTGAGTCCCAACTCCAGCCAAAACACTGGATGGGATTATGGAAGAACCACATCATCTCTTCCCAAGAAGGAGCGCTGTGAGTTTGCCATGACTTTCCAGGCACATCCCAGCAGCATTTCCTATTAAGCAGCTGTTCCTTTCAACCTTCCTGATGTCTTAACCTGGCCCTGTGTGCCCTACCTGCCCTGGGCTCATCTCCTAATCTTGCCCTTACATTATTCCCATTGTGGGGTCATAATAGACTTTGTTCTGTTTGCTAGTCCTTTTGGTCCTGGTTTTCCTCCACAAAACAAACAGATGTCCATAAGAATCACCTGAGGATCTTGCTAAAATGTAGGTTCTGATTCAGAAATGCAGGGGCAGGGCCCTGAGAGTCTGCATTTCTAACAATTGCCCAGATGATGCTGATGTCGCCAACCAGCTGACCACACTTAAATAGCAAGGATATCCATGGTCTTTTTCACCTCTAATTGTGGGCAGAACATAATTCAACTGTTTGAAGTTCTTTTTTCTTTTGTGAGACATTGTTTACCATTTCTGATATATTTGATGTTGAGTCTTTGGATAAAAGTATGTCCCATAATTAAAGCATTGCTCCTATGGAAAAACACAATCCACTTATGATAACCCACTTTTATATTCAGTGCATAGGAAGCACCACGGTGAAGAGAGAGACTTTCTGGATAAACTGAGTCTGGGGTTTGATGCCATTTTTGTCCCACCCTCTATTTGCCATCATTCAAAGAACATGGTCTCTTGCCAATTAGGTTTCCTTTTCCTTTCCCCATTGTTATATCGCCGGATAGTGTGTGGCTTCAATCAGAACTTCCAAAATATTTGGATTTTATGAACTAGGTAATATTTTCAAAAACAATTTGGGGACTGATATAAGATTGCTAATCTTTAATTAGCTAAGCAAAGATATAAAAACAAATAACTACCATCCATTAACAGTGTTGTTTTATTTTTTAAAAGCACATGTTAATACCAAAACATAACTAGGAGGGAACTAATCTCATAATAAAAAGCAGTTCCTTAAAAGTGAATAAATTTAGCTTTATAGGAAAAATCACTACACTAGCCTTATCCTTCTCATTTCACCTAGTCTGATAAAAACTTCATCATAAACAATAGTCCATACACTCCACTTTAGGTACTACTGTAGGCTTAAGTAACAGGAGGAACTTTTGATAGCAAGTAATATTTTCTTCATCAATAACTAAGACTAGGGTCTTTGTGCAGGGAATGAATCTGGTTTGAAAATCAGTACCAACCTAAACCACTTCCAGGTTTATCATCCTTTCCATGCTCTCTGCAGTAGACACGAGCTGTTCCTAGAAGGCTGATTTCTATTTGCCCCATCCCAGCTTCCTTCTCCTACCTGTTGGTCCATATTGATAGGTTCTATGATATCCTAGTTATGACAATCCTCTTTCCTCTGTATTGAGGAAATGCCAGCCCTAAACAAGAGAACTTTGTTTTATCAGTTTTTCCAGAATATGAATGTTTGATTCCCACCAAGTTGCCACTGATTACTTTACATGGTATGGGCTGCATTTATGAGCAGCCCACACAGGATAAGTATCCAGAAAAGAAACAAGTTCCTGAGTCGCTGTCAGGATTTAATTCTGTAATCACTTTTAAGAAGTTGTGTTGGATTTGTAGAGAAGGCAAAACTCTGTTTTCCTATGCTTTGAAACTGGCTTCAATGACAATAAAGAAGAAACCAAAGAAAATGCTTTTGAAATTAGAGAAATAAAAACTTCTGAAATCTTTACGAGTAGGCAAGCTGTGAAAGCAGTGGCAGGGTGCTTCCTGCTGAGTCATGAAATGGAATGATTCATAGTCAAGCAATTCAAGGCCACAGACAACAGAACTCAAGCAAGGGAGTAGCAGGAATCAAGCCCAGATTGTAAATCCAGGATTGGAAACATAATTGAAATCAGGAGTAAAGCAGAAATATCACAGGAACACAGGCTGTTTGAGTCTGGTGGACATGCCAAAATTAGGAAAATGGTAGAACAGAATTAGGTCATTATTTGAGGATCGGGAACACAGACCAGAGATAGATGGATGCTAAGTGAAGCCCCTTGATTCAGGCTTCCTGGGAAAGAAGGCCTAAGAGACCTTAAGTAGATCTCTTGGAAATCTTTGTCAGCCCTACCTACAAAATTACTCCCATTTACCCAGTCTATCCACTCGCCTGTCTGGGAGCCACCCTGAAAGAATGATGAATGTCTCTGAGACTAATTCTACACACCAAACTGGTCCAACCACATTGACTGAAGCAATAGTTTGAGAAAACAAGTCCACAAATCAAACCTTCTTGTTCTGTCTATAGATATAACCTGAATCTAAACTTTGAGTTTAAATTGTCTCAGTAGTAAAATTACTGATGCATATAGCAGTATATACAGGCTTTTTTCTGTTGCTTCTGATTTTCATCAGAAACCCTAGAACAGAGAAGATTAAGAACACACATTATGAATTTAAGAAGCCACCCAAACAGCTGATCTAGAAATTCAAATAGCACAGATAAAAGGCAGTGGTGAGAAAAGAAATTAAGTGCTTTCTGCATATATCATGCTTAGTTCATCCAATGCTATGGGCTAAAGTGAGTCCCACCAAATTCGTGTGTTCAAGCCCTAACCCCCCTAACCTCAGAAAATGTTTTGGGAGATAGAACTTTTAAAGAGATGATCAAGTTAAAATGGGGCCACTAGGATAGGCTATAATCTAATCAGACTGGTGTGCTTATAAGAGGAAATTTAGCCACACACAGTCACAAGGGACCTGCCTGTACAGGGGAACCACCCTGTGAAGGAGAAGAAGAGAATAGCTAACTGCAGGCCAAGGAGACAGGCCTGGAATGGGTTTGTTCCTCAAGGCCTTTAGAGGGAATCAACCTTGCCAGCAATTTAATTTTGAACCTCCAGCCTCTAGAACTGTGAGAAAATAAATTTCTGTTGTTTAGGCCCGCTGATCAGTGGCATTTTGTTATGGCAGCTCTAGCAGATAGCACATCAAATAAACTGGTTAATGGAAGGGGAAAAAAATTCTGCTACTTATAAGTTTAAGTGCTCTATATCTTATAGCTGCACAAACTTTCTGAACCATACCCCTAACAAATTTTAAATTAACCTAAAAAGTCAATTTAGAATTCTGTGTCTTTTATAAAGTTTTAACATCTTTCAAGAAGAGGAAATAAACTTTCATTATCTTCAAATGTTCTTTCACATAAAGTCTGAAGTTTGTAGCCTGTTCCTACATCTTATCATGTCAGAAATAGAAACAATTTTTCTTCCTACATAAAGTAAACTTTCCTCATTAACATAAACATATGTTCAGACAAGAGCATATTCAGGGTTTTACCATGTTTCAGTGGATAGAAAATAAGAGAATACTCTGAGAGCTCATTAAGATGGTTTGATACTATTTGTCGAAAGTTTCAAGAGAGAATGTTGATTAAAATACAGGGAGTCAGTTAAAGTCCTCTCCTCAGCCTCTTGGGGTAATTTATCACCTTCAATCATCTTAAAGTTTAATAGCCAATAACAGTATAATAGTTCTCATTCATGAGGTAGTTATATTTTAACTGGGGTCAAAGCATTATATTACAAATAAAGATCTAACCTATTTCAGACATCATTCAAGGAAGATTTGAGGAGCCCCAAGATGTTGGTGGGGACTACACCTGTAAAGACATTTTATAGTTAACATCTGCTTCACTGACCTTCATATAATGTAAGTAATATACTTAAACAAAGCTACTGCTGAATGTTGACATAACAGGGTATAATGAAAACTTATCCCCTGCATTCAAAAGTGTGCCAGCTAAGTATGTATTGCATCCCAGCTTCAAAGCCACCTTTTATTGGCTGCTTGGCAAAAATGAAGCTGGAATGTTGAAATATTTCTTCTTTGCAGTGACAACAGTGTCAAGCTTTGTCTGTATACGGAGGTGGAGAAACACTACAAGAGGAATAGGGCTCCTCTTCCTGGTTCTGGTGTTTTCTATTTTCTTCTTGTTCCTATCTCATGGCTACCAACTGTGCATGTAAGGTTGCTCTAGTGACACCCCATCAAGTTGCAGTGGCATACATACTGATGGCTCCTCATCGAGTTGCAGTGGCATTCCTATTGACAGCTTCCCGATGAATCTCACAGGTGTCCCGAAAGTCAGCTTCCCAGCCTTGGCCCACGTGCACTTTGGAGGGGTGGTTTACTCATTGCCCAGCATCTGTGGACCAGTTCTGGCCTGGGCAACCAAGCACACTTCTCTGGAATCTCCTGGTCTACAACCACACCTTTTCCACTGTGGTCTGAATTCCGGCCTTAGGAAAGAGGTTCTCTTTCCCACATTTGTTCCTTCTTTAGATACCCTCCCTGAGCCCCAGATATCCTTTTGAGTATCTTTACTCCTTTATAGATCAGCACCTGGTATAGTTAATAGTTATTTATACTAAACTTTCCCTGTTCTAATTACTATCTGATTTTGTCTCCTGATTGAACCTTGACTGGTATAAGAGGGGTTGGGGAAAAAGGCCTTCATTCCTAAGGAATAAACTTTCCAAGCACTTATTTAAAAAACCCAAAGTATGCAAAGAACCAGAAGATAGTTTGCCCTTCTGCCAGAGTAGTCTATTTCAAATGACTCTAATATCCTGACTATAACAAATGACATAGAAAAAAACCAGTGAGCATTCAAATCCAAGAAAGATAGTTTCTCATATTAAACCCTCAACCAAAAAATCAAATAAAACAAAACCCTTAAACTAAAAATTCAAACTGAAATATACAAGGGACTTAATCAACTGTTAATCTGCAGTATGGTACCCAAATGAATATGTTCTGTGTTCAGTTTAAAAATTATCTGGAGGAAGCAGGGAAAAGGAGCCTGACTAGCTAGACTTTATACATCTGTTCTCTGCAAAAATATTATCTCAAACTAAGCCAGGTGCAGTGATGCATGCCTGTAGTCCCATCTACCCAGGAGGCTAAATAGGGGATTGCTTGAGTCCAGGAGTTCAAGGCTGCAGTAAGCTATGATCATACTTGATAATGGTCACTGCACAGCAGCCCAGAGTTTATAGATTATCCTTTCCATCTCTCCCTCTATTCCTTTCTCCTCTCTTATTTCTTTCTCACTGTCATTGGGTCTTAGACGTTAGATAGGTTAACATTTGTTATCTTCCTCATTTATAGAGAATTACAAGTATGAACTATTAATCCTGCTATTAGAAATTGTATCAGTACTAATAGAGAGACCTCCATCTCAAAAAGCCACACACACACACACACACACACACACACACACACACACACACGTAATCACAAAATAGGCCAAAACAGGTCATGTTGGAAATGCAAGATCTGCAGCCATGATACTTTGCATATGTTATGCAGAGTCCCACACTTAGAGTGCTAATGATTGAGAGTCATGATACCTGTCTCACAGGCTTGTTGTAAAGATTAATACTGAGAGCAGTGTTTGACGTAGAGCAAATCTCCATAAAGGCTATTTGTTGTGGTTATTGTTGTATTCACGACTCCTTTTTGACCATATAGAGTATTACAGCAAGAAGATTTCAATTGCTAGTAACAGAAAATCCAACTCAAACTGGCTTAAACAATACGAGGGAACCTTGGGGATTACATAATTCAAAAGTCAAGAGGTAGAGGGAGCTTTAAAGTTGTTTGAGTTAGTGGTTCAGCAATATTATTAAAGACCCATGTTTTGACCAGGCACAGTGCCTCACACCTGTAATCCCAGCACTTTGGGAGGCCGAGGTAGATGGATCATTTGAGGCCAGGAGTTCAAGACCAGCCTGGGCAACATGGTGAAACCCCATCTCTACTAAAAATACAAACATTAGCCGGGCACAGTGGCATGCGCCTGTGCCCAGTTACTGTATCCCAGTTACTCAGGAGGTGGAGGCATGAGAATTGCTTGGACCCAGGAGGCAGAGGTTGCAGTGAGCTGAGATCATGCCACTGCCCTCCAGCCTGGGTGACAGAGCAAGACTACATCTCAAAGTAAATAAATTAATTAAAATTTTTAAAACACCAATTTTTTCCCCATCTCTCTTTTTGGCCATCTCGTGATGATGGTTTTATTCTGTAGTTGAAGACCCTTACAGCTTTAGGCTGTTTGTCAGCCTAAATAATGAAGGCTGTGCTTCACTTTTACTTTCAGCTCTGTAATCCAAGCAAGAGTCCTGGTATTCACCAAGGTTAGACTGGCTCGTGTCATGCACTCCACCCTCAGCCAATAACAAAAGTAGGAGAAATATAATGTACTGACTGGTTTGAGCCAGTCCTAGCCTACTCATGGACAGTGGTTGGAGTTTGCTTCCCAAACAGTACATAGGCTACAAGGGGAAAAAGGAAAAGGCAATATAGAAGTTGCATAGACAAACAAAAATGATCTTGCTTAAATAATTTAATTTCTCGCCATCTAGTTTTCCTGCAAAACTTGTATGAATTCACAATTTTTTTTTTTTTTTTTTTGAGACAGAGTCTTGCTCTGTCACCTAGGCTGGAGTGCAATGGTGTGATCTTGGCTCACTGCAACCTCCACCCTCCGGGTTCAAGCAATTCTCCTGCCTCAGCCTCCAGAGTAGCTGGGATTACAGGTGCCTGCCAGCATGCTCGGCTAATTTTTGTATTTTTTAGTAGAGACAGGGTTTCACCATGTTGGTCAGGCTGGTCTCGAACTCCTGACCTCAGGTGATCCACCTACCTCGACCTCCCAAAGTGGTGGGATTACAGGCATGAGCAACCATACCCAGCCAATTCACATTTTAATTTTACAGAGACAGTGAAGAAAAATACATCAATGAATAAAAAACAACAAAGAAACTCTCTTACATAGTCTTACCATGTGCTCAGGGTTTTAAATCCTTTACACATACTAATTCATTCAATTCTCAAAACTACCATAAGTTTTAGGCAAGACATTTGTCAAAGGTGAAGTCAGGATTTGGAATGTAGGCATTATGGCTCCAGCACCTATTTGCCTAACTCCTCTGCAGAGAGATGGATGTTACTTCTGACGTGCTCCAGAAAGTGCCGCTGGGCTTGGTTCTATGGCTCCCTCTCCCAAGAGCTGATCAGCATATTGCAATTGATGAATGAAGGGTTAAAGAATAAATAAATGAGACATGAGAAAGAGGTGTTTCTACAAAGTTTTTTTCCATCCAAACAATATTTTAAAATCTGAAACCCAATGATAAGAGAAGAATAAAACACACAGTTCTTTCACCAATTGAATAATTAGAAAAAGTTCACCAATTCCATCCCACTCAGCTTCCAAACCATAACAGCATCTTCAAATTATAATGCCAAAGGTGATCAAGTACTTTGAAGCCAGGATCTCTAATGCCAGTGAAAAACTGTCAAAATTATGAGTCAGCTGTTTGATATTTAGAAAATCAATTAATCTCTTTGGGTCCGTTTCCTGCTCTTTGAAGTGATTTAACTTAAAAAAATCTTTTAAAAATAGCATGTCTACGCACAGAATTACCTCTACACTTTTAGAACTACCTCAATCTTTCCTCCTCAAACAATAGCTTGTGATTTTACTTGAAACCCGTGTTTATTGGATATTTTATCATGGCTCTGGCATCCCACCAAATATGATCAAATTAAAAAGGAACTGAACTGGTAAAGCAAGGAATAAATAACACACAAGGAACTTTGAAATCTCTCTGCAAGCTTCAGCTAGTTAATCCTCCCAACATCCCCCTGGAGTCATGCTAAACAGTTTTCAAAGGTCAGATCTCATTGAGAATTTGACTTATTTTATTGAAGTAATAGAAAAACCCAGAGTTTATGGATTATTCTTTCCATCTCTCCCTCTATTCTCTTCTCCTCTTTGATTTCTTTCTCACCACCATTGTGTCTTAGAGGTTACAGACAGGCTGACATTTTTTATCTTTCTCATTTATAGATAATTACAAGTATGAACTATTATTATTAATCCTACTAATATTAGTAATTGTATCAGTACTAAATTACTGTGTTCTCACATAGAAAATTATTGATGACAGGCATCTCATAGCAATTTCAATTTCATGAATTTATAATTCCAAAAGAAATATATTTCAGGTAATGCAAATTTGTTTTCTACAATTTATATATTCCTTACCTCTTTGAGGGGAGTTCAGTAATTTCTATTTTATCCTAATATCAAAACCACTTTTCTAGGTTTCTCAGTTTAGAAAGAAAATGCCTGTGAGGCTCATTCTTTTGGCTGGTGTTTCTCATCAACTTTAGAAAAGAGAAATCCCAGTGCATAGATCAAAATAGAAAGGTTAATTGGTAATAAACTAAATGTATTGCTATCTTGGCCAATAAAACAGAAAGTAGAATGTATAATATCTAAAACAAATTCTTCAATGGTGAGATGTCTCATTTTCTGATTAAATTCTGTCAGCTTACAGAGACTTTTTATGGAAACTTAAATAGTTCACCTTGTACCCTGTAGAAAGTATCATGTATTTTTTATGAGACATATTAAGCTATACATAACAGATTAGAAAGGAAAAATGGAAGGATGAGTAAAACTGCAGAAACAAATGTGCATTATCATCTTCCTTGACTAATTGTATTGAATCTGCTCCCAGGTTGCCCTATTTTTCTAAATTGGCATTTGAAAAGAGACAGCATGTCTAATTTGCTCCTCCACTTCTCAACAAGAGCACCTGTGTTAGTCCGTTTGCGTACTGCATGAACAACTGCCCAAGACTGGGTAATTTATAAAGGAAAGAGGTTTAATTGACTTACGGTTCAGTATGGTTGGGGAAGCCTCATAAAATGTACAGTCATGGTAGAAGGTGAAGGGGAAAACAAAGCGCCTTCTTCGCCAGGGGGCAGGAAGGTGGCGTGCCAAGCGAAGAGGGAAGAGTCCCTTATAAAACCATTAGATCTCGTGAGAACTGACTATCACGAGAACAGCATGGGGGAAACCCCCACCCACCATGATTCAACTACCTCCATCTGGTCTCTTCCTTGACACGTGGGGATTATGGGGACACAAAGCCAATCATATCAGCACCTCTTCTGCATCACCCTCCTTTTCCCTTCCCATCCTCCTGCCATCTTCAATTATGCTATTCTTAACATGCCCATCCCAAGACCAAGGTAGGTATTAAGCAGGAATTGAAGGTGGCATATTCTCAGTTCGTTACGTTCTTGTCAGCCTGGAAGCTTCCACAACTAGGCATAAGAAGAAATCAGCCCGGGCGCAGTGGCTCACGGCTGTAATCCCAGCACTTTGGGAGGCCGAGGCGGGCGGATCATGAGATTAGGAGATTGAGACCATCCTGGCTAACACGGTAAAACCCCGTCTCTACTAAAAATACAAAAAATTAGACGGGCATGGTGGCTGAGGCAGGAGGATCACTTGAACCTGGGAGGTGGAGTTGCAGTAAGCCGAGATCTCGCCATTGCACTTCAGCCTGGTGACAGAGCGAGACTCCATCTAAAAAAAAAAAAAAAAAAAGAAAGAAATTGAAAGTGGTAGAGAATGCATCTGAATTTTTTTCCACCTCCGTTAAAATTTCATGTATCAATGAATGAGAGAATCTTCACTAGATAAAGTGCAGTGTATTGGGCAATCCCAGGTGCTTTAAAAGTTGTTAAGAGGATGGACTTTGGAGACAGACACTTCAGTTTCCACTTACATTTAATGGCTATGTTTACTTGGTCAAGCCACTTTACTTCCTTATGCCTCAGTTTTGAATCTATAAAAGAGTACCTCCTTTATAGGGTATTATAAGGATTAAATAAAGTGATACATGTAACGTACTTAGAACTGTGCCAGGACCATAGTAAATTATATACAGGTATTTGTCATTATTAATCCATCTGAGATTTTAATCTCTTCTACATTCCCAAACAATGGTCATTCATCATATGTTTCCTTTCTCCCAGGGAAGAAGGAACTCATTACCTCTTAAAGTGGCCTATCTCATTTTCTGACTATTGGAACGCTGATCTTCCTGTAACAAGCGAATTTTTTTTTCCTTATAGTTCTGGCTCACTGTCTGAGGCCTTTCTTGGAGCTGCATAAATGAATTTGATATTTGAATACAGTTCTCTCCTTCCCAGTTTCTCTAAGCTAAACATTCTCCATTCCTGCAATCATACACATGTAATATGGATGAGTATTTGATAACTAGTTTGTCTGTGGTCTTAAAGAGTGGTACCCTGAAAGATAGGTCAGAAAGCAGGACTAATGCGTCCCTCATTCTAGAGGGAATTCTAAGGTCCTATTACTTTGGGGATATTTTTAGAATCCCCATATTATCACCTCAAATAAAACTCAAGTCAGTTTTGTGTGACTGCTACTAACTTGCATCTCATCAACCCTTTCTGTGATTATGCAATTCCTTTCTGGTTTTTGTTCATTTGTGGGATGGTGGTAGGGAGGGGAGTAGTAACTGACAATTTCATAATTATTCCTATTGAATTTCATTTTGGCATCAGCCTATTACTTGAGTTTGTCAAGAGTTTTTTAAATTTTTAGTCTATCAATCTTTGTTTTATCACATATTACTAAGTTTCCTCTTTCTTTTGATAGCCAAAAATACATACCTATCATATAAAGGGGAGGACAAGGTGCTGGGGAATCCAGGGTCCCACTTTTATTCTTGTTCTCAAAAATAATGTGCCTAAGTTGCAGAGAAAAAGAAACACTTATACACTGTTGGTGGGAGTGTAAATTAGTTCATCCATCGTGGAAAGCAGTGTGACGATTCCTCAAAGACCTAAAAATGGAACTGCCATTTGACCCAGCAATCCCAACACTAGGTGTGTACGCAAAGGAATATAAATTGCTCTATCAATAAAGATACATGCACGTGTATGTTCACTGCAGTACTGTTCACATAGTAAAGACATGGAATCAACCTAAATGCCCATGAATGGTAGACTGGATAAAGAAAATGTGGCACATATACACCATGGAATATTACGCAACCATGAAAAAGAATGAGATCATGTATTTGCAGGAACATGGATGGAGCTAGAGGCCATTATCCTTAGCAAACTAACGCAGAAACAGAAAAGCAAATACCACATGTTCTCACTTATAAGTGGGAGCTAAATGATAACACGTGGACATATAGAGGGGAACAACACACACTGGAGGGAGAAGATGAGGAAAAATAACTAATGGATACTAGGCTTAATACCTGGGTGAAAAAATAATCTATTTGACAAGCCTGCATTACACAAGTTTACCCTGAACTTAAAAGTTAAAAAAATTAAAAAGAATATGCTCAAGCTACTTCTTAACTACTTAGTCTGTGTACCTCACAGATTTATTTTTTAAGGCTAGATGCTAAGAACACTCAAATTGTGTCTAACTATCATCAAGACTATATGCTGGGTACAGTGACTTACACCTGTAATCTCAACCTTTTGGGAGGCCAAGGTTGATTGCTTGAGCCCAGAAGTTCAAGACCAGTCTGGGCAGCATGATGAGATCTCAACTCTACAAAAAAATTTAAAAAGAAAATTAGCTGGGAGTGGTGGTGCCCACCTGTAGTCCCAGCTACTCAGGAGGCTGAGGTGGGAGGATTGCTTGAGCCCAGAATTTCAAGGCTGCAGCGGGCTATGATTGTAACACTGCACTCCAGCCAGGAGCAACAGAGTGAGACCCTGTCTCAAAAAAAAAAAAAAAGAAAAGAAAAGAAAAAAGAAAAAGTAAAGATTATAAATAATCCCCTACAATGTTAAAAAGATAAGATTTTTACAATTATTTTACTAATAAAGCTATGGAAACAAGCAGAAAACCACAAGCTTAGTCTAAAAAAAATCAGAGTGGATTTATTGAGAATACGGAGAAGGGTATAAAATAAATTTTTAACCCTTGATCCTTTCACTTGTTTAATCCGTGGGTATCTAGGCATCTCTTCATGCGTAGCTCGAGCTCTGAGAACTGCCTCTCTGCCCACACAGCCAGAACTTTGTATGCATCACCACTCTTAACTTTGTCAATGAGCAGAGTTAAACGTTTGCACGTCTATCTCTTGCTTAAGAACATGAGCTCCTCAAGAGCAAAAAAACCATTTTAAGAACTTCTGCACCCAGCATGGAGCCTAACACATGGTAGATAATAAATGTTTATTGAATAAATACAGTTGATCCTTGAACAACATGAGTTTGAATTGTGTGGGTCCACTTACATGTGAATATATTTCAGTAAAAGTTAGACCAAGTGGGCCCACCTCCCCTGCCTCCCCTTTCACCTTCTCCTTCTCTTTGACTCCTCAAACCACTGATACAGCAAGACCTTCTCATCTTCCTCCTTCTCCTCAGCCTACTCAATGTGAAGACAACAAGGATGAAGACCTTCATGATGATCCACTTACACTTAATGAATAGCAAATATATTTTATCTTCCTTATGATTTTTAAATACATTTTCTTTCCTCTAGTTTATTGTTAGAATATAGTATATAACATATATACAAAATATTCATTAATCGATTTTATATTATAGGTAAGATGTATTAGTAGTTAAGTTTTGGAGGAGTCAAAAGTTATACGAGGGGGGTTGATGCAACTGTAACTGACCAAGCATGCTAACTAAATGTCCCTACAGGTATAAGGCCAATCATTAACTTAGGTAACAGCTTAAGTATATGAATTGTAAAGAGTAAGGACATTTTCCCTACACTACCCCTCTCCCTACATCCACTATATCCCTTTCATCCATTCAGTGTGACCAGAAGTTTCATTAAATGGGGATACCTTTAATTCCACCACTCGAACTAAAATGCAAATATCCCCTCTGGAGAAGCAAAACTTTGGCATAAATTTTTGTTGAGTTGCAAATAAGTCATATAGGTTACTCTGCCCAGTGCACCATTTATAGAGGCTGGGGTGGTCGTGGAAAAAGAGCATCTATCATCCCTGCAGGTCTCAATTCCCCTTAGCATCAGCCCTGCTGTGGCCACAGGCCAATAAAATCCTGAAGCATCAGCCCACCAGCAAGTAGAGCCTGGAAAACATGCTGTTTTCACAAATACTGTGCCTAGAGCATGAATTCGTCCTGTAGGTGTCCATGTGATCATCTGAACCAAGTTTCTCAATCAAACACCCACCCCATGCAGCCTGGCTACCTAACTAGCTACTTGGCCAGAGTCGCAGGCACCTGGGTCTCCCTCCGAAGGAGGGAACCTATTTCTAAATCCTAGTTAGCAATTAAGAGACCTGGCTTTCTTGCTCTCCACTTTCACTAAAAAAAAAATTTCCAGGATTCTTCTTAGGGAGGCCTTTCGACCAGACCTGCCCTGAGAATCCTGCTGCCCCCGGGCAGTGATGTCCGCATTCTTTGACTAGTAACTCCCCTCAGCCATTCTTCTCTCCCTGAATAGGAACCTGAGTTTTGCCTCCCACCCTCTAACTTGGGCTTGGAGCTGCTCATCCCACTCCTGCCCTGGTCATTATACCCTAACCCTTGCCAATCCTGGCTTAGTACCAGTTTGCTTCCTCCTCTGAAGGAATTTCTGCATTTTTGTCAGCCCTAGTCACTTGATTTACGACTCCAAGAGAAGGAAAAAGGTGGGGAGTAGGGAAATAGGAAAAGGAACTACTAGAGACGACAAAAATTAAAACTTCCATCTGCCTCACATATTTTGCCTAGTCTAGAACTGGTTAGTGGCATAGGTTTTAAATTTCATGTACTCAGAATTTCTTCAAAAAGCTTCTCTAACTGTAGCTTCTCTGTTTTGGCTGTAGGACCCTCTCTCAAACAATGCCCCACCAGATTGAGGCCAGCATACCCTGGAGTAGCCAGTTCTGCAGGATCCTGGGTGTCAGCCAAGCTCAAATGCCAAAGTAAATAGAGGAGGGAGGGGGCACAGGATGAAGAGACCAAAGAAAGGGGCATTTCCCAGTCTAGACAGGAGCGCTGCTTTTTTTAAAAGCTGTGTTTTTAAAACTCTGCTCATTCAAAACTGTAAATTCTTAAGAAGTAAGTTTTCCTTTCACTAGTGGCTATCTCACTTTTTTGTTGGTTTGTTTTGCTATATTTACAGCACGGGATAGGTTGGTTTTATTTTTCCATTGCACACAATAGCATTTAATATTTAGCATTTCATCAGTAAGATAGTTATAAAACCCATAGTTCCAAAAGAAATGTAATGCTTCATTGTATGTTAGATGAGTACGTAGAAGCCTTTAATCATAAGTTTATTCAGCATTTTAGATACTTTTGAAATTATTTTTTATAGAATAATTTCATCATAAGTAGCAATATCTCAGATTTATTTAACATATAATTTAAGAGAGGGCAGTGTTTCAAAGTGGAAAACAAACTAGACTAAGAATCAGAAGTTCTAAATTCTAGACCTTTTAATAACTGTTGAAGTTTAGGTAAAGCCTCAGACTTCTCATCTGTAAAATGCAGGAGCTGAAAAAGGAGACTGCTTAATTCAGTTTTTATCCAGCTCAGTAACTTTATATGCCAAGAGTGTAGTGCAGTAAAAAAAAGAAATGCACTTGGATTCAAAAGACTCACATTTTAATCTAAGCGCTGCTTCTAACTTTACTTGTGACATTGAGCATTTACCTTCTCCTGTTTCCCTCATCTGTAATAAAAAGGAAATGGAACAGATGTTGTCTAAGGACATTTCCAGCTCTAAAATTTTATATCAAAGAAAAATGTCTGTGGTGCACATGCTGTCTTCCGTTTGCATGTAAAATGTGATGTTTTGCTCTAAGCAACCTAAGAGAAATACATGTATTTGTAAAGCATTTCCCGAGTTTGCTGGAACACACTTTTATCCCACGAACAGTGAACCTTAAGTTCTCAAGGCAGAAAAGCTGTCTTAAGAGCCTTGTTTGCTTCACCTCTCTTCTGAGTACCTAAGCTCAGGCTCTGCAATTGAGCTTAAACCTTATTACTACAAAGCTTCTTCCAAGTGACTTCTGTAGGCCATAAAGACAACTATAATCAAATTTGGTTTTTACCTCCTGTTTATAAACATGCTTCTTAGGTCAAAAAGCGACTTCTTAAAGGTTAAAAAGCCACTTATCAAATAAACTGAACTTTTAAATTTTCTTACATAAAATGCTTAATCCAAAAGTATTTTTGTGTTTACAATTCCTGGGGTTTTTGTTGTTGTTGTTGTTGTTAAAATGCCTTAACTATTCACATAAAGTATCTTGCTTCAAAAGGAAGTCAGAGCTACAGTCACGAGTGGTTTACAGAATATTTTCTGATAGTCTTTGCTTCATTTCAGTATCGTGCCATGATTGGCTGTTGCTAGCTACAAATAAGGAAGTCTTCAAGTTGGGGGATTTCTCAGTGGAAGTTCCCACTTCAACATAAGGGAGAGCTCTGGACAGTTTGAGCAGCATTGTTAGAGCCTGTGGAAAACACTTTACAACTGTGTAACTGTCTTCATCTTTACAGAGGAATAGTCTACAAAGGAAGACTTGTAACCTGGAGAAGAGGTAATCTAATTTCAATAGTTCCTACTGATTCTTAACCTAGGAAAGGGGCCTGGATGTCTTAAACTGAAGTGTTGCAGATGTGTTACCCTCTTACTCTTGCTATGTGAGTAATTTATGACATGATTCAATAATGCCTTTGTAGTTAACGTCATAGTTAGAAATTTGGCCTTTAAAAAATGGCTGGACGTGGTGGGTCATGCCTATAATCCTAGCACTTTGGGAGGCCAAGGTAAGAGGATCACTTGAGCCCAGGAGTTTGAGGCCAGCCTGGGCAACATAGTGAGACCCCATCTCTATTTAATAAATAAATAAGTAAATAATGGGGTCCCTAGCCAAGACCAAGGAAAATTTTAAATTTTTTTTAATTTTCTTTCTAACTTTTAAGATAGAATTTATGTCTCTACCTCAATGATTTTTTTAAGTTTATATCTGGAATGAGAGCCTTCTCCAATGAATGATTTTTATAACATAATGTTGACATTATGCTGAAAGATATTTGGCTTAAGTTGTTCATAACTTACTAGGCTGAAAAGTAAATTAAAGTAAAAATGTATTCATACTTTTTTGGTTATATTTTTAAAAATCGATCCTGGCCTGATCCAGTGTGTCTATACAAACATTAACTCAAGGCTGGGCATGGTGGCTCACTCCTGTAATCCCAGCACTTTGGGAGGCTGAGGCCGGCAGATCACCTGAGATCAGTAGTTGGAGACCAGCCTGACCAACATGATGAAACCCCGTCTCTACTAAAAATACAAAAATTAGCCGGGCATGGTGGTACATGTCTGTAATCCCAGCTACTTAGGAGGCTGAGGCAGGAGAATCACTTGAACCCAGGAGGCAGAGGTTGCAATGAGCCAAGACAGCACTATTGCCTAGGCAACAAGAGCAAAACTCCGTCTCAAAAAAAAAATAATAATAATGATTAACTCAAGTTTAGTATTTTTCTCATCTCATAAAAAGCACATGATAGTGAATATTTCATTACACTAAAGTGTTAATCTTATAGACAATGCTGCATCTCCTTGGACCATTTAAACTTACACAGTTATAGTAAACTAGTCTTATTCTATTATCAATTAGCCCTCATATTTTCACAACCAAAAATGAACATTAAATACCATGTAATATTTCATTAAGTTATTTTCTTAAGAATAATCATAGGAAAAATGACAGCTCAAAAAGATTAAAAGTCAAGAATTATTATCACTATTGTTACATTATTATAATAGCTGTCATATTCAAGCTTGTAAGTGGCAGAACCAGGGCTTAAACATAAATTCATATCACCTCTTTATCCAGGGCTTTCTGTTACTACTGCCCTGCATTCTTATAATGTTAAAATAATATTTGAGAGATGTCATATCCCAAAAGATGGAGATTCTTATGATAGAAAAAGGAAGATGACTTGGCCATGTTCACGCAGCAACCAAGTCATTTTTAGAAGCTAGGTCTTTCTTCTCACTCACCCACTCCCATCTCTTCACTCCCTCCAGGATACACTTCCACATGCATACAGGTGGGCACACTAGTGTGCCTCCAAGCAGTTAGCTTCAGAGCCGGAAGAAGATGTGGGGTTGTATACCCAGTCTAACCTGCCTTCAGGTTCTGCCCAGCAGCCAACTGGGGACCTAGAGCAATGTCTAGTTACTTCTTTTAAACACTTATGACATTGAGTCATAGAGATAACTAACTAGATGATTAAAAATAAATAAAGCTCCCCTGAAAAAGTTCTGATTAGAATTTCATGAAACTTATGCACTAATTTGAGGAAAGTGATCATCCTTATAGCATAGAAACTTCCTGCCTGAATATTCTATTAATATGTCTTTAATGTATTAAGGCCTCAGTAGACATAGAAGTTCTTTATTTATCATTAAATGTATTCCAATATATTTTGTTTTGTCTTCTTGTGTGTGTAGTAAAGGTACTTGATAGGGATATTCTTTCCACTATATTTTCTAACTAATTATTGCTGGCTTCTTAATTTCACAAATTTATCTTTCATCTAGCAATTTTATTGATCCCTCATTTTTTCTAAATTACTTTAGGTAATTAACATGTGATGCCTAGACAGAAAAAAATACAATTATGTATTATCCCTTTTTTTCCTCACCACATTGGCCAGAATTTCTGGAACAGTGTTTAATAACAGAGAAGAGAGCAGTCAACCTTGTCTTGTTTCTGATCTCAGTGGGAATTTCCCTAGTGGTTAACATTAAGAATGAGGTTGGCTGTTGGTTTGAGATAAGTACATTTATCATAAAAACCAAATAATTGCCAAGTACCTTGTTTACTAGAGGCTTATTTAAATAAAAACAAAATAGAGACTTCATGTTAAACTGTACTCAATGTCTTTTTGATATCATTAGAGACAACTGTATGGTTTTTCTACTTCAAACTGTGTAGTGGTCTGCTGTTACACAAGAGAGTCATTGCATTTTTAAAAAGTCCATGTCATCAAATATTGTGATATGAAAATGATTGCTTTGGTAATAAAGGTAGATTTATAGTTATGAGCTATGATTTATTGTTGCTCCAATTAAAATAATAAATTGGTAGTTCAAAATAAACCAACCAAACCTACACGTTTCCTCTTTTTCTCTCCAATCCACATGCTTAGACACCTCTTCTCTATTATTTTGGCTTCATAATTCTGTTCCCAACTCAAACTAACAGAAAAAGAATGAAAACAATGTGACATAAGCCAAGTAACCCTATCCAGGCATAGCAGCCAAATAAACAAAGCAGCTATTCCTACGCTTTGTGCAAAAAGCCTTCTTCCTATTATGACAGTGCTAGCTGCAGACCGCAATTTAGTTACAACTGTGGTAAGCAAAATGTGTGTCCAAATTGATTAATCTTATATCCAACTTATATTAAGAAAATGTATGCTAAAGAGAAATGTTTGAAATTTGCTAAGAATTTTTAATATTCATATTCAAAACTAGAAGGTTAGTATTTTTGTTTTTATATTCATAAGTCTGTAAAAATTAGTCTATATTTTTATTTTCTAGAACATATCACTGATAGGTTTCAGTTTTAAAATGAGACTAGCTTAATAAAGTAAAATGATAAAAATACCAAAATGTTCCAAGTTCTAAAGAAAATTCAATAGGAGTTATCTGTTCCTTGAAATGTTTAAAGAAGAATCCATAATACTGTTGGGCCTTGGCATCCCCTTTTGAAAATAATTCTTTAAATGCTTACAATGTCTTCCATTGTTATTGATCTATTTGGGGTTTATGCTATTTTTCATGCAGCTTAGTTTACTTGCTTTTGCTTAGAAATTACTCTTTTTAAAAATTTTTCAAATATATTGGCATACATGGTATTCCCTTGAACTTTTTAAAATCATCTCCATAACTATGTGGATAACCCTTTTTCATGATGCATTTTGTCCATTTGTCTTTTCTTTTTTTTTCTGATTGGATGTCACAGAACTAATTTCTTGGATCTATTTCTTCTATAGTTAGCTCTTTGTAAAATTGTTTTTGCTTTATCTTTGTTAATATTTTCTCAATGCCTTTTTTAGACTATTTTAGTTTTCTAAGTTTGTGAGTTGAATTATTAGTTCATGTATTGTTATTCTTTCTTCTTTTATAATGAAAATATTTAAGGCTAGGAGTTTTTTAGTACTATTTTAACATCTTACAACTTCTGATACATTGCTTTCACATTTCACTGTCTTAAAGTTTTTAATTGAAGTTTTATTTCCTCTTTGATCAGATTTATTTAGGATAGTAAGGGTTTTTTTTTAATGAATAGTCTGTCTTTTTTAAAACCATTTTAGATTTAGAGAAAAATTCAGCGAACACTGCAGAGAATTCACATATACCACCCTTCCTACCCCCACCACTCACAGCATCCCCTATTATTAACAACTTGCATTAGTATGGCACATTTGTAACAATTTATGAACCAATATGGGTACATTATTATTAACTCAAGTCCATAGTTTATTCGGGTTTTCTTATTTTTTCCCTTTTTAAAATTGAGGTGAAATTCATATAACACAAAACTAATCATTTTAAAATGAACAATTCAGTGGCATTCAGTACACTGACAATGTTGTGTAAGCACCACCTCTATCTAGTTTCAAAACATTTTTACCACCTCAAAAGGAAACAGTGTACTATTAAGCAGTTGTTCTGCATTTCTGACTCCCCTCAGCCCCTGGCAACCACAAATCCGCATTCTGTCTCTGGATGCATATATTCTGAATGTTTCATATAAGTGAAACCAGACAGTGTGACTTTCTTTTTTATTATTATTTTACTTTAAGTTCTGGGATACAAGTGCAGAACATGTAGGTTTGTTACATACATATACGTGTGCCATGGTGTTTTGTTGCACCTATCAACCTGTCATCTAGGTTTTAAGTGCTGCATGCATTAGCTATTTATCCCTCCTTCCTCTTGCCCCTCAACCCTGACTGGCCCCAATGTATGTTGTTCCCCTCCCTGTGTCCATGTGTTCTCATTGTTCAACTCACACTTATGAGTTAGAACATGCGATGTTTGGTTTTCTGTTCCTGTGTTAGTTTGCTGAGGATGATGGCTTCCAGCTTCATCCATGACACTGCAAAGGACATGATCTCATTCTTTTTTATGGCTGCATAGTATTCCAGGTGTATAAGTACACATTTTCTTTATCCTGTCTATCACTGATGGGCATTTGGATTGGTTCCATGTCTTTGCTATTGTAAATAGTGCTGCACGAAACATATGTGTGCATGTGTCTTTATAGTATAATGATGTATATTCCTTTGGGTATATACCCATTAATAGGATTGCTGGGTCAAATGGTATTTCTGGTTCTAGATCCTTGAGGAATTGCCACACTGTCTTCCACAATAGTTGAACGAATTTACATTTCCACCAACAGTGTAAAAGCATTCCTATTTCTCCAAAGCCTCGTCAGCATCTATTGCTTCTTGTTTGTAATAATCACCTTTCTGACTGGCATGAGATGGTATCTCATTGTGGGTTTGATTTGCATTTCTCTAATGATCAATGATGTTGAGCTTTTTTCCATATGTTTGTTGGCTGCATAAATGTCTTCTTTTGAGAAGTGTCTATTCATATCCTGTGCCCACTCTTTGATGGGGTTGTTTTTTTCTTGTAAATTTGTTTAAGTTCCTTGTAGATTCTGGATATTAGACCTTTTTCAGATGGGTAGATTGCAAAAATTTTCTCCCATTCTGTAGGCTGATGCTCACTCTAATGATAATTTCTTTTGCTGTGCAGAAACTCTAGTTTAATTAGATCTGATTTGTCAATTTTGGCTTTTGTTGCATTGCTTTTGGCATTTTCGTCATGAAATCTTTGCCCATGCCTATGTCCTGAATGGTCTTACCTAGGTTTTCTTCCAAGGATTTTATGGTTTTAGGTCTTATGTTTAAGTCTTTAATCCATCTTGAGTTAATTTTTGTATAAGGTGTAAGGAAGGGGTGCAGTTTCAGTTTTCTGCATATGGCTAGCCACTTTTCCCGACACCATTTATTAAATGGGGAATCCTTTCCCCATTGCTTGTTTTTGTCCCATTTGTCAAAGATCAGATGGTTGTAGATGTGTGGTGTTATTTCTGAGGTCTCTGTTCTGCTCCATTGGTCTATATGTCTGTTTTGGTACCAGTACCATGCTCTTTTGGTTACTGTAGCCTTATAGTATATTTTGAAGTCAGGTAGCGTGATGCCTCCAGGTTGTTCTTTTTGCTTAGGATTGTCTTGGCTATATGGACTCTTTTGGGGTTTCCATATGAAATATAAAGTAGTTTTTTTTCTAATTCTGTGAAAAATGTCAGTGGTAGTTTGATGGAAATAGCATTGAGTCTATAAATTACTTTAGGCGGTATGGCCATTTTCATGATGTTGATTCTTCCTATCCATGAGCATGGAATGTTTTTCCATTTGTTTGGATCCTCTCTTATTTCCTTGAGCAGTAGTTTATAGTTCTCTGAAGAGGTCCTTCACATCCCTAGTTAACTGTATTCCTAGGTATTTTATTCTCTTTGTAGCAATTGTGAATGAGACTTCATTCATGCTTTGGCTCTCTGCTTGTCTATTATTGGTGTATAGGAATGCTTGTGATTTTTGCACACTGATTTTGTATCCTGAGACTTTGCTGAAGTTGCTTATTAGCTTAAGGAGGTTTGGGGCTGAGATTATGGGGTTTTCTAAATATAGACTCATATCATCTGCAAACAGAGACAATTTGACTTCTTCTCTTCCTATCTGAATACGCTTTATTTCTTTCTCTTGCCTGATTGCCCTGGCCAGAACTTCCAATACTATGTTGAATAGGAGTGGTGAGAGAGGGCATCCTTGTCTTGTGATGGTTTTCAAAGGAAATGCTTACAGCTTTTGCCCATTTAGTATGATATTAGCTGTCATAAATAGCTCTTTTTATTTTGAGATATGTTCCATCAATGCCTAGTTTATTGAGAGATTTTAACATGAAGGGATGTTGAATTTTATTGAAGGCCTATTCTGCTTCTATTGAGATAACCATGTGGTTTTTGTCATTGGTTCTGTTTATGTGATGGATTATGTTTATTGATTTGTGTATGTTGAACCAACCTTGCGTCCCAGGGATGAAGCTGACTTGATCTTGGTGGATAAGCTTTTTGATGTGCTTTTGGATTCGGTTTGCCAGTACTTTATTGAGGATTTTTGCACTGATGTTCATCACAGATATTGGCCTGAAGTTTCTTTTTTTGTTGTGTCTCTGCCAGGTTTTGGTATCAGGATGATGCTGGCCTCATAAAATGAGTTAGGGAGGAGTCCCTCCTTTTCAATTGTTTGAATAGTTTCAGAAGGAATGGTACAAGCTCCTCTTTGTACCTCTGGTAGAATTCATCCATGAATCCATCTGGTCCTGGGCTTTTGTTGGTTGGTAGGGTATTAATTACTGCCCCAATTTCAGAACTTGTTATTGGTCTATTCAAGTATCACTTCTTTCTGGTTTAGTCTTGGGAGGGTGTATGTGTCCAGGAATTTAACCATTTCTTCTAGATTTTCTAGCTTATTTGCATAGAGGTGTTTATAGTATTTGCTGATAGTAGTTTGTATTTCTGTGAGGTCAGAGGTGATATTCCCTTTATCATTTTTATTGTGTCTATTTGAGTCTTCTCTCGTTTCTTTTTTATTAGTCTAGGTAGTCATCTATTTTGTAAACTTTTTCAAAAAAACAGCTCCTGGATTCATTGAGTTTTTGAAGGGTTTTTTGGTGTCTCTATCTCCTTCAGTTCTGTTCTGAACTTAGTTATTTCTTGTCTTCTGCTAGGTTTTGGATTTGTTTGCTCTTGCTTCTCTAGCTCTTTTAATTGTGATGTTAGGTTGTCAATTTCAGTTCTAGCTTTCTGATGTGGGCATTTAGTGCTATAAACTTCCCTCTTAACACTGCTTTAGCTGTGTCCCAGAGATTCTGGTACATCATCTCGTTTTCATTAGTTTCAAAGAACTTCTTGATTTCTGCCTTAATTTCATTATTTACCTAGGAGTCATTCAGGAGCACATTGTTCAATTTCCATGTAGTTGTGTCATTTTGAGTGAGTTTCTTAATCCTGATTTCTAATTTGATTGCACTCTGGTCTGAGAGACTGTTATAATTTCAGTTCTTTTGCATTTGCTGAGGAGTGTTTTACTTCCAATTATGTGGTCTATTTTAGAGTAAGTGCCATGTGGTACTAAGAAGAATGTATATTCTGTTGATTTGGGGTGGACAGTTTTGTAGATTTCTATTAGGTCCACTTGATCCAGAGCTGAGTTCAAATCCTGAATATCCTTGTTAATTTTCTATCTCGTTGATCTGTCTAATATTGACAGTAGGGTGTTAAAGTCTCCCACTATTATTGTGTGGGAGTCTAAGTCACTTTGTAGGTCTCTAAGAACTTGCTTTATGAATCTGGGTGCTCCTGTATTGGGTGCATATATATTTAGGATGGTTAGCTCTTCTTGTTGCATTGATCCCTTTACCATTATGTAATGCTCTTCTTTGTCTTTTTTGATCTTTGTTGGTTTAATGTCTGTTTTGTTAAAGACTAGGAGACTAGGACTGCAACCCCTGCTTTTTTTTTTTTTTTTTTTTTTTTTTTGCTTTCCATTTGCTTGGTAAATGTTCCTCCATCCCTTTATTTTGAGCCTATGTGTGTCTTTGCATGTGAGATAGGTCTCCCAAATACAGCACACTGATGAGTCTTGACTCTTTATCCAATTTGCCAGTCTGTGTCTTTTAGTTGGGGCATTTAGCCCATTTACATTTAAGGTTAATAATGTTATATGTGAATTTGATCCTGTCATCGTGATGCTATCTGGTTATTTTGCACACTAGTTGATGCAGTTTTTTCATAGTGTCATTGGTCTTTGTTGATGTTGATATTTTGGTGTGTTTTTGCAGTGGCTGGTACCAGTTTTTCCTTTCCATAGTTAGTGCTTCCTTCAGGAACTCTTGCAAGACAGGCCAGGTAGTGATGAAATCCCTCAGCATTTGGTTGTCTGGAAAGGATTTTATTTCTCCTTCTCTTATGTAGTTTGGCTGGATATGAAATTTTGGGTTGAAAATTATTTTCTTTAAAATATTGGCCCCCACTCTCTTCTGGCTTGTAGAGTTTCTGCTGAGAGGTTCACTGTTAGTCTGATGGGCTTCCCTTTGTAGTTTACCTGGCCTTACTCCCCAGCTGCCCTTAACATTTTTTCCTTCATTTCAACCTTGGAGAATCTGATGATTATGTGTCTTGGGTTTGATCTTCTAGTGGAGTATCTTAGTGGTGTTCTCTGTATTTCCTGAATTTGAATGTTGGCCTGTCTTGCTAGGTTGGGGAAGTTCTCCTGGATAATATCCTGAAGTGTGTTTTCCAACTTGGTTCCATTCTCCCTGTCTTTTTCAGGTACTCCAATCAATCGTAGGTTAGGTCTTTTTACATAGTCCCATATTTCTCAGAGGTGTTGTTCATTCCTTTTCATTCTTTGTTCTCTAATCTTGTCTTCATGCCTGATTTCAGCAAGATGATCTTCAAACTCTGATATACTTTATTCTGCTTGGTCAATTCGGCTATTGATACTTGTGTATGCTTCACGAAGTTCTCGTGCTGTGTTTTTCAGCTCCATCAGGTAATTTTTGTTCCTCTCTAAACTGGTTATTCCATTTAGTAGCTCCTATAGCCTTTTATCAAGCTTCTTAGCTTCTTTGCATTGGGTTAGAACATGCTCCTTTAGCTCAGTGGAGTTTATTACCCACCTTCTGAAGCCTACTTCTGTCAATTTGTCCATCTCATCCTCCATTCAGTTCTGCATCCTTGCTGGAAAGGCATTGTGATCATTTGGAGAAGAGACACTCTGACCTTTTGGGTTTTCAGAGTTTTTTTGTTCTTTCTCATCTTCACAAGTTTGTCTAGTTTTGATCTTTGAGGTTGCTGACCCTTGGATGGGGTTTTTGTGGGGAATTTTTTTGTTGATGCTGTTGTTGTTGCTGTCTGTTTGTTTGTTTTTCTTTCAAAGGTCAGGTCTCTCTTCTGTAGGACTGCTGAGGTTTGCTAGGGATTCACTACAGGCCTTATTCATCTGGTGTTTGCTCTTGCACCTGGAGACATCACTCAAGGAGGCTGGAGAACAGAAAAGATGGATGCCTGCTCCTTCCTCTGGGATCTCTGACCTTGAGGGGCACCAACCAGATGGCAGTAGGAATGCTCCTATATAGGGTGTCTGATGACCCCTGTTGGAGGGTCTCACCCAGTTGGGTGGCATGGGGAGCAAGACTTGTTTAATGAAACACTTTGACTATCCCTTGGTGGAGGGGGTGTGCTTTGCTGGGGGGAACCCACTCATCTGGGCTGCCTAGATTCCTCAGAACTAGCAGAAGGAAAGACTAAGTCTGCTGGTCCATGGAGACCGCAGCACCCCTCCCCCTAGGGGCTCAGCCCCAGGGGGATCAGAGTTCTGTCCCTGAGTCCCTGGCTGGAGTTGTTGGAGTTCCTGCAGGGAGGCCCCGCCCAATAAGGAGGGATGAGTCAGGGTCAGGCTTGAAGAGGGTCTGGCCGCAGTTTGCCACAGCTGGTGTGTTGGGGTGGGGGTGTGGGAGTTACTGCTTGGGACCAAGCCATCCAGCCTCCCTGGCTCCAGCAGGGAAAAAGCGCAGCCTGGAGCTATAGAGATGGCTGTTCCCTTCCCCCACCCTGGGAACTTAGTGTGTTAGGTGGCTATCAGTCCCAGTGTTGGCTACCATCTCTCCCCCCAAGGAGCTCAAACAGCTTGGACAGCAGAGAGCTGCAGCTGTGGTGCTGACTGCCCCTGCCCCTGGGAACTTAGCAGGCTTAAGCAGATTCTAGCTGAGTGGCTGTTGAGAATCAGTGCAACTCCGTGCTTGGGAGGCTAGGCCTGGTGGTGTGGGCTCACTAGTGGGATCTTCTGACCTGTGGGTTGCACAGTTCCATGAAAAAAGCATGGTTTCCCAGGCTGGGTAGCACACTCACTCACTGCCTCCCTTGGCTGTGGGCTGGGGGCTTCCCTGCCCCATGTGGCTCTCAGGTGGGCCACCGCACCATAATGGTCTTCCTTCCTCTCCGAGGGTCACGCCAGCTGCCTGGTCAGTTCTGATGACAGAACCTGGATACCTCCGTTGCCAGTGAAGGATTTGCGTGCTGTTATAGTCCTTTTTGATGGGAGCCTCCAATCGCTGCTCCTTCTAGTCGGCCATCATGTCCTCACCTGTGACTTTCTTAAACTGTCTTTTTTTACTTAGCACAATGGTTTTGAGTTTCATCCATGTTGTAGCATGTATCAGTACTTCATTTCTTTTTGTGGCTGAATAATATTCTATTATATGTATATACCACTAATTATTTATCCATTCGTCTGTTGATGGATAGGGTATTTGGTCTGTCTTCACTTTTGGACTATTGTAAATCATGCTGTTATGAACATGTATTTACATGTATTTGTTTCAGTACCTGTTTTCAGTTCTTTTGGGTATATACCTATCAGTAGAATTCTGGGGTCATTTGGTAATTCTATGTTTAGCATTTTAAGGAACTGGCAAATTATTTTCCACAGTGGTTGAACTATTTTACACTCCAACCAGCACTATATAAGGCTTCCAATTTTTCCACATCCTCCTCCACACTTGTTATTTTCTATTTGGGTTCTTATTACAGCCATCCTAGTGAATGTGAAGTGGTAATTCATTGTAGTCCTGATTTGCATTTCCCTGAAGACTAATAATGTCAAGCATTTTTTCATGTGTTTGTTGACCATGTGTAGATCCTCTTTAGATAAATGTCTATTCAAGTCAGTTACCCACGTTTTAATTGGATTGTTTGTCTTTTTGTTGTTGAGTCATGAGTTTTTTATATATTCTAGATTCTAGCCCCTTATCAGATATGTGATTTGCAAATATTTTCTCCTTTTCTATAGACTGTCTTTTCAGTGTCTTGACATCTTTCAATGTTTAAAGTTTTAAAAAATTATTAAGTCAAATTGGTTTGTTTTCTTGTTTGTTATTTTGGTATCATATCTAAAATCCATTGCCAAATCCAATGTCATGATGACTTACCCACTTGTGTTTGTCTAAGTGTGCTATTATGGTTTTATCTCTTATATTTAGGTAATTGATCGATTGGGAGTTAATTTTTGTATGTGGTGTGAGGTAGGGGTCCACCTTCTTTCTTTTGCATGTGGTTATCACTTGTCCCAGCATCATTTGTTGAAGAGACTATTTTTTCTCCATTAAATGGTCTTGGCACCCTTATAAGTGTTTATTTTTGTACTCTCAGTTCTATTCCTTTGGTCCATATGTGTATCTTTATGCTAGTGCCATGCTGTTTTGATTACTGTAGCTTTGTAGTCAGTGTTGAAATTGGGAAGCGTGAGTCTTCCAACTTTGTTTTTCCTTTGCAATATTCTTCTGGCTACACTTGCAATTTAATATGAATTTCAGAATCAGCTTTTCAATTTCTACAAAAAAAAATAGGCTATTGAAATTTCAATAGCAATTGCATTGAATCTGGAGATCAATTTGTGGAGTACTGCCATCTTAATAATATTAAGTCTTCCAATCCATGGACATAGGATGTCTTTCTACTTACTTAGGTATTCTATAATTTCTTTCAGAAATGTTTTGTAGTTTTCAGTCTATAACTATTTTACCTCTTTGGTTAAGTTTATTCCTAGGCATTTTCTTTTTTGGATGCCACTGTAAATAGAATTTTCTTAATTTCCTTTTAAGAGGGTTCATTGGCAATGTATAGAAAAAACTGATTTTTGAGTGTTTATATCATACCCTGTAACTTTGCTAAATTCATTTATTAGCTCTAGTAGCTTTCTTGTGAATACTTTGGGAGTTTTCATATATAGGATAATATCATCTAAGGATAGAAATAGTTTTACCTCTTCCTTTCCAATTTGGATGGCTTTTATTTCTTTTTCTTGTCTAATTGCACTGGCTACTGTTTCCTGGACAGTGTTAAATAGCAGTGGTGAAAGAAAGTGTCCTTGTCTTGTTCCTAATCCTAGGGAGAAAGCTTTTAGTATTTCACCATTTGATATGTTGTTACCTGAGGGTTTTTCATAAATGCTCTTTATTATGTTAAGGAAGTTCCCTTCTAATCCTAGTTTTCTGAGGAATCATGGAAGGGTGTTGGTTTTTTTCAAATGCCTTTTTGCGTCAGTGGAGATAATCATGTGGGTTTTTTTTTTTTTCCATTTTTCTATGATGTGGTGCATTGCCCGAAGTGATTTTCTTATGTTGAACCACCCTTGCGTTACAGGGATAAATCACACTTGATCATGATGTATAATACACTTAATAGGCTGTTGGATTTAGTTTGCTAGTATTTTGTGGAGAATTTTTGCATCTATATTCACAAGGAATATTGGTTTTTAGCTTTCTTTTTTATCACGTCTCTGTCTGGCTTCAGTATAAAGTCAAGGCTAGCCCCATAGAACGAGTTAGTAAGCATCCTTTCCACCCATTTTTTTTCTAGCAGTTTGAAAATTTGGTGTTATTTAAGTGCATGGTAGAATTCACCAGTGAAGCTATCTGGTCCTGATGGCTTCTTTGTGGGGAGATTTTTGGTTATTGATTCAATCTCTGTATTATTATCAGTCTGTTCAGATTTCCTATTTCCTCTTTACTTAGATTTAGTAGTCTATGTGTTTTTAGGAATTTGTACAGTTCATCTAGGTTATCTAATTGGTTGATCTACAACTGTTCCATAACATAATATTTATAATACTTTGTATTTCTATTTGGTTGGTGGTAATGTCCTCACTTTCATTTTTGATTTTAGTTATTTATTTCTTCTTCCTCTTTTTCTTATCGATTTAAAGTTTTGTCAATTTTCTTGATCTTTTCCAAGAACCAACTTCTAGTTTCATTGATTCTCTCAACTGTGTTTCTACTCTCTGTTTCATTTATCTCTTCTCTAATCTTTATTAGTTTCATCCTTGCTAGCTTTCAATTTAGTTTGCTCTTCCTTTTCCAGTTCCTTGAGGTATAAAGTTAGATTATTGATTTCAAATCTTCTTCTTCTTTTTTTTTTTTTTTTTTTTCTTTTGAGATGGAGTCTTACTCTGTCTCCCAGGCTGGTGCAATCTTGGCTCACTGCAATCTCTGCCTGCCAGGTTCAAGCGATTCTCCTGCCTCAGCCTCCCAAATAGCCGGGATTACAGGCACACGCATACCACCACACCGAGCTAATTTTTGTATTTTTAGTAGAGCCAAGGTTTCACCATGTTGGCCAGGCTGGTCTCAAACTCCTGACCTCAAGTGATCTGCTTGTCTCAACCTCCCAAAGTCCTGGGATTACAGGCGTGAGCCAGCATGCCCAACTCTCACATCTTTTTTAATATGAACATTTACTGCTATTAATTTTCCTCTGAGCACTGTTTTTACTGCATCCCATATATTTTGATACATTGCAATTTTGTTTTTATTCTTCTCCAAGTAAATCTAATTTTCCTGTGATTTATCCTTGTGACTCATTGGTTAAGAATGTGTTGCTTAATTTGCACATATTTGTAAATTTTTTAGTTTTCCTTGTATTAACTTCTAGTTTCATTCCATTTTGGTTGGAGAAGATACTTTGTATGATTTCAATCTTTTTAAATATATTAAGACTTTTTGTGGCCTAACATTTGATCTATCCTGGAGAAGATTTCATATCCACTTGAGAAGAATGTATATTCAGCTTTTTTGGGGTGGAATGCTCTACATGTCTGCTAGGTCTAGTTGGTTTATACTATTTTTCAAGTTGTCTATTTTCTTTTGGATCTTCTGTTTTTCTATTTATTATTAAAAGTGACATAATGTAGTCTCCAGTGACTATTGTAGTACTGTCTATTTTTCCCTTCAAGTCTGCCAATGTCTCGTTCATATATTTTTGGGCCCTGTTATTTGATGGATATATGTGTATAATTGCTATATCTTCTTGATGAATTATCTTTTTGTCAATACATAATATCCTTCTTTGTCTCCTGTAACAGTTTTTTACTAAAAGTCTATTTATCTAATATTAGTTTAGCCACGCCATCTCTCTTTTGGTTACTGTTTGCATGAAAAATCTTCTTCCATAATTTCACTTTAATCTATTGGTCTTTGCATCTAAATTAAGTCCTTTGCAGATAACATATGATTTGATCATTTGATCATGTTGTATTATCCATTCTGCCAAGCTCTGCCTCTTGATTGAAGAGGTTAATCCATCTACATTTAAAGTAATTATTGATAAGGAAGGTCTTACGGCTGCCATTTTGCTATTTGATTTCTGTATGTTCTATACCATTTTTCTATTTCTCACTTCTTCCAATACTGTCTTATTTTGTATTTTAGCTTATTCTTAGTGGTATACCATTTTATTCCCTTCTCATTTTCTTTTGTGATTTTTAAAAAATATTTTCTTAGTCATTACCATGTGAGTTACAATTAACAACCTAAATTTATAACAACCTAATTTTAACTTATACCAACTTAGTTTCAGTAACATACAAACACTCCACTACTAAGCAGCTTAATCACCCCTTACGTGTTGTTGTCACAAATTATATCTTTATAAGTTGTGTGCCAGATTGATAATTATTTTTAAGGATTTGTCTTTTAAATCATATAGGAAATAAAAAGAGGAGTTACAAACCAAAATACAATTATCCTAGCTTTAATATATTTACCTATGTAGTTGTCTTTACTGAAGTTCTTTATTTCTTTGTATGGCCTCAAATTATCTCCTAGTAGTCAGCCTGAAGTACTCCCTTTATCATTTCTTTAGGGTAAGTCTACTAACACCAAGCTCCTTCTGCTTTCATTTATCTCAAAATGTCTTAATTTCTTCTTTATTTTTGAAGGATAGTCTTGCCATTTATAGAATTGTTGGTTTACACTTTTTTCTAGCACTTTATATATGTCATTCTACTATTTTCTGGCCTTCATAGTTTCAAAGCAAAATTGGCTGTTAATCTTATTGATGATCCCTTGCACATAATGTGTCACTTCTTTCTTGCTGCTTTCAATATTCTCTCTTTGTCCTCAGTTCAAAAATTGCCTCAAAAATTGAGAGTATCTGTACAATGAAATAATATATGAACAGGACCTGGCCTACAGAAGGAACTCAATAAATACTGGGTAATATAAATGATTCCTGTTATTTAGTGGGTGATTCTACATGCATTTGATTTTTAATTTAAATAATTAGCCATAATTATAACTTAAAATGTCTAAAAATTCACACTGAGAAGGTCTAGATATTGGACTTACTAGAAAAAGACTTTCAGTCAATTGTCTTAAATATGCCCAAAGAGCTAAAGGATAATTTGATTATAATGCCTCAGTGTGGATTTTTTTGAGTCTATTCTACTTAGAGTTCATTGAGCAACTTGAATAAGCTGGTTCAGACTTTTAGCAAATTGGGAAGTTTTCAGCCATTATTTCTTGAAATATTTTTTCTGCTTCATTTCTCTCATTTCTCCTTCAAGACTCCCACAATGCATAGAAGGTAAGCTTGATGTTAACTATCTTATCACATTCTCTGACTCTTTCTTCTGCTTGCTGAAATCTGCTATTGAACCCCTATAATTAATTTTCCATTTGTTATTGTGCCATTCAGCTCCAGAATTACTATTTGGTTCTGTTTTATAATTTATATCATGTTTTTATATTCTCCTTTTGTTCATAAATCATTTTCCTGATTTCTTTTAGTTCTTTGTCCATGGTTTTCTTTAGTTCTTCGGGCATATTTAAGGCAACTGATTGAAAGTCTTTTTCTATTAAGTCCAATATAGAGGCCTTCTCAGTATGAACTTTTAAAGACATTTTAAGTGATAATTATGACTTTTTATTTAAATTAAAAATCAGGCTGGGTGTGATCCCTATTCACACCTGTAATCCCAGCACTTTGGGAAGCAGAGGCAGATGGATCTCTTGAGCTCAGGAGTTTAATACCAGCCTGGGCAACATGGTGAAACCCTGTCTCTACAAAAAATACAAAAATTAGCCAGGCATGATGGTGCACGTCTGTAGTCCCAGCTACTCAGGAGCATAAGGTGGTAGAATCACATGAGCCCAGGAAGTCAAGGCTGCAATGAGCCAAGATCCTGCCCTGCACTCCAGCCTGGGTGACAACAGTGAGGCCCTGTCTCAAAAAAAAAAAAAAAAAAAAAAAATCAACTGCATGTAGAACCACCTACTAAGTTACAGGAATTTTCTATATTACCCAATATTTACTGCAGTCCTCCTGTAGGCCAGATCTTGTTCATACATTATTTTGTTGGACAAGTACACTCGACCTTTGACAGGAAAAGAAACTGAGGCACAGGATTAGTAAAGTCATATGATTAGTAAATGGCAATACCAACATATGAACGAGGCAACTTTAACACAGAACTCTCACTTACAATCATCATGCTTTAGCTTCTCTCAGCTGTAGTTTGCCTTCGTGGGGGCAATGATAACCTAGGACTCTGCCTAGTGAGTATAAGTTTCTCTAATATCAGTCATAATGGCCATCCTAAGCTTAAAAACATTCAAATATGTATCTTGAAATTTCAAGCATAATGCATGTCATAAAGAGGAAAGGACAGGGTAAAATAGGAGCCCACAGCTAAGCCCACAGTCTTAACCTAGAAAGGAAATCAAGTGTGGCCTAGCTTAGAATCAGATCATTCAGTAGAGGACTCAACAGACCAGGTAAAATATGAGGAAAACATGTTCTAGGCTGAGGAAAGCAGCAAATACCTGAAAAGGACAAAAGAGTGATCACTTAAGGTATTAAAAGAAGCCCAAAATCACCAGGAAGAAGCAGCAGGACATAAGTCTGGAGAGTTAGGAAGATGCCTTATTCCAGGATTAAGATTTTGGATTTTATTCTAAAGGTGAGGGGAAGACATTTAATAGTTGTAGGTGGTAAAGAAACATAACAACATAGAATCTGACAAGGGAGAAAGTGAGGCAAACAATTAGGAGGTTAGCATTGAAACTATGAGTTGATGGTGGCTTGAACAACGGGTAGGAATGGAGATAGATAGTAGCAATGGGGACATAGAGTGTAAGCATGCAAGAAATACTGCAGAGGAGTACTCACATGATGTACCTGATTGGGTGACTGATTGAATGTTGGGAATTAAGATATTTAAATCTTTATTATGTGGACAATGTTTTAATTTCTTTCTTCCTCTATTAACATAAAAATTAAGCATACACTTTTTTTTTTTTTTTGAGACAGAGTCTCACTCTGTTGCCCAGGCTGGAGTACAGTGGTGCCATCTCAGGTCACTGCAACCTCCGCCTCCCAGGTGCAAATGATTCTTGTGCCTCAGCTTCCTGAGTAGCTGGGATTACAGACGTGTACCACAACACCTGGCTAATTTTTGTACTTTTAGTAGAGATGAATTTTCTCCATGTTGGCCAGGCTGGTCTCGAACTCCTGGCCTCAAGTGATCTGCCTGCCTTGGCCTCTCAAAGTGATGGGATTACAGGTGTGAGCTACAATGTGCAGCCAAAAACAAGCGTACACTTTTAAATTCTACTTGTAGTTATTTATCTTCATATTAAAAAAACTAAAATGATACATCTTCAATTATTAGAATGAGATCCTGTAATTTTCTTATTTCTATATATAGATTAGAAAATGAGTAAAATAGCAGAACACATTTACTTCCTGCCACCTCTCTCCCACCCACTTGCATATTTGTTGCTGTAATCAGAAAGTTGTGACCATATTATTATTATTAAATTATTTATTAGGTAATAATTTATATCTTATGTGTCAAAAATTACATTTTTCCATTGCTTTGTAGTTGCAACATGTTTTTAATTTATGTTTAAATTATTTCAAATGTTTCCTAATATTTATTTTATATCAAAATTTCACCTTTCTTGAGTTTTTAATTTTGACTCCTTCTCGAATAAGGGAAGCATATCTTCAATTGTTTCAGAAAATGGGTGGTATGATGTTTGAACCTTGAGGTATCTGAGAATGTCTTTGTTTTCCTTTTCTTGAATAAATGATAACTTGAGTAGGCAGACACTATAGGTCAAATCTTTCCCAGGCAACTGTAGATGTTATTCTATTCAGCTTTTGAAGTTTACTGCTGAAGACAAGTTTTTCTTCCTTTGCAATTAATTTTTTTTCCACCTGGATTCTTGTCGAACTTTTTCCATAACTTAGATACCAGAAGCCTTCCTTCACCCTCTCAAGGCTGGATGATGGACTTTCCAATGTGTTTTCAGAGTACCATATATTACCCCTAATGTAAAAATCATAATACCACATTGTATAGTAATTGCCTGATTCTTGTATGTATGTCACCCAGTATAGACACCAAGTTCTTTAAAGGTAGGACAGTGTCTTAGTGATCTTTCTATCCCTAATTCTTAGCACATAGCAAATATTCCCAAAATATTCACTGATTAAATTAATGACTTGATAGGGCATTTAATATTGAAATTTTTAACAAGATAGGTCATTAATATATTTCAAAACACATTGAGTCCTTTTCATTTTTACAAAGTATTGTATTGGTTCAAAGTATTACTTCAGATAGCTTCTGATATATCTGTGGTTGCCGTCTCTGTTCTATTTACCCCAATTTCTTCTTCAGGAAGAAGTTGGGGCATAATCTTTCTACCATTTCCTTTAATGGTTGTCACCTATTTGTACTTTCCAGTCATATTTTGGAAGAGTTTTTCAAGCTTTTACTCTAATCATTGATTTATTATTCTGCAATACTGATTCCATCTTTGATTATGTCCAAATTATATGTGAATTTTGCCATTGCATGTTGTTCTGTGTCCTTACAGACTTAACTTATCCAACTTTGGTTTTATTTCACCTTGTCTCTAGTTCCCTCCTTATCTTAGTCTAATAGCTTATCATGTATTTCATCTCTTTTTGCATAGAAAATACAAAGCAGATTCTCTCCATATACTTCTGCTTCTGGTAAATAATTTTCCAAAGTATTCACTTTCTTTGTATTTTGAAGACTCTCTTTCAGACAGCATAATCTTTTCAAAGGGATGCTTTCTCTTGAATTACTCGTTCCAAGCCTTGTGTCAACCTTACTACCTGAATGTGTGGATTTTGGTTCTTGGCTCTTCTCATTATCTGTCTGATGCTATTAAGTTCTTCAGCATAGATGTTGAACTGGAAGACATATAGACATGCACAGTCAACAGCTAACTTTTTGGTTTGAAGCTGACATTTATCAACTTTGTCACTGCGGGTGTTGGGCTGAGGTGAGATTCCTTACCTTTAATAGCTAGTTATTTTACTATAAAGAGAAGAATTCCTGGTTAATCAGAAACAATGATTTGTCTTTTTCTTGATAAGAACCATATATGAAAAAGTAAACCCCCAGAGAAACAAACACCCAGTTCTGTCTGCCCAACCCCTTTCATTATTAGTTTCCTAAGCTTGGACACAGAGCATTACACCTATCCACTCCCTTTGGGTTATTGCTGGTATTCTCTAGGCCGTAGCTCCAAAATGGGTCATAGAGTGGAGAAACTAATGGGAGAGATTAGGGCAAAGAGGTGTAAAATACTTCTTAGCCATCACACATAGTAGTGGAATTACTAGTAGGGGCCGTGAGGCAGGTAGCTTCCTTACTATCCTTCCATACCAACACCTTTGATTGCCTTCCAACAAAAAAGTACATGTCCATTTCAGCTTCACAGTTCTTGCAATAAGTCCAGTATCCTATCAAATTCTGGAACTAGGGTGCTTGTCAACAGGGTTATAGCTGCTCTTATGGTACTTTTCTGTGAGTTAGAAAAAGCACCTCTCTGAGAAGACACAGGCTGAAGGAGGCAAGGCTTTGCAACTGAGCACAGCCTGCTCAACCATACACAGTGGCCCTGGTTGTCAGTCTGCCTTCCAAGGCCATTGTGAGTTCTCATGTTTTTCTGATTTTTCATAGCCATTTTAGTTGGAGAGTCTGCAATATAATCAGCCAGTCCAGATGTCATCGTAAATCAGAAGTCAACCAGATTCCATTAATAGTGATATTGCACATCAAAGATTTGACTGAGAACATAACTGACATTCCAAGTCATAGTAACTGTTTATATTGCCAGGTTTCCTTGTCCTTAGGTTTATATTCAGAAGTCTCAATAAATTATTAAGCAGTTTTAAAACTAGGATTCAAAATATTTTTGAGACAGAGTCTCTCTCTGTTGCCCAGGCTGGAGTGCAGTGGCGTGATCTTGGCTCACTGAAATTTCTGCCTTCCGGGTTCAAGTGATCCTCCTGCCTCAGCCTCCCATATAGCTGGGATTACAGGTGTGCACCACCAAACCTGGCTAATTTTTGTATTTTCAGCAGAAACGGGTTTTCACCATGTTGGCCAGGCTGGTCTCAAACTCCTGACCTCAAGTGATCAGCCCGCCTTGGCCTCCCGAAGTGCTGGGATTACAGGCGTGAGCCACTGCACCCGTCCAGGTTCCAAAATATCTTTTAAAGGCCTGCAATTCCCTCATTTTCTTTTAATAATAATTCATTAATTAATATTATTAAATAGAGACGTGGTCTCACTATGTTGCCCAGGCTGGTCTGAAACTCCTGTGCTCAAGTGATCCTCTGCCCTTGGCCTCCCAAAGTGTTAGGATTATATGTGTGAGCACCACACCTGGTCAGTTCCCCATTTTCATGCCACCATACCCAACCTCCAAAGCCACATCACTGCTCACTAACTTGAGGTATATAATAATATGAGTGAAGGAAAATTGGAATAAAATTATGTCATTATTTTAAAAGATTATTCCTCAAATAAATGTCAACTCAATTTCTAACCTTTGTAAAACATACTGTATGTGAATTCTTAAAAAATCATCATTATAGGAAAAGGAAAATGTTTGATGCCATTTTAGCATTGATTACAAAATAATTCTACCAGCATTTATGCATATTTCACATACAGGGGAATTATGCAGCCACTTCTCTTCAAGACTACAACATCATGGAAGTGGAAAGAGAAAAATACGCATTTAAGAAATGTGTATATCTAGCTATTTCCTTATTCAAAGTTTTTAGCACCTCCATATTTCAAAATGCCTATGCATTCAGCTTTAGACTCTGAGTATATTACTAAATTCCACTATTTCAATCAGAAATCTTCAAATCAGCTTATTTAATTTGCTCAAGCAGTGCTGAATAAACTGGACTTCATCAAAATTAAGAATTTCTGCTTTGCAATAGATATTGTCAAGAGAGTAAAAAGACAAGCCACAGACAAGGAGAAAATTTTTTGCAAAAGACATATCTGATAAAGGACTTATCAAAAATACAAAGAACACTTAAAACTCAACATTTGGAAAACAACCTGATTAAAAAATGGGCCAAAGGCCTTTACCTCCCCAAAGAAGTTAACCAGATGGTAAATAAATAGCCATATGAAAAGATCCTCCACGTCATATGTCATCAGGGAAATGCAAATTAAAACAACAATAAAATATGACACACATCTATTAGAATGGCCAAAATCCAGAACACTTACAACACCAAATGCTGGCAAGGATTTGGAGCAACAGGAACTCTTATTCATTCCTGGTGGGAATGCAAAATGGTAGCCACTTTGGAAGACAATTTGGCAATTGCTTACAAAACTAAACATTCTCTTACCTTATGATCCAGCAATCATACTACTTGGTATTTATCCAAAGGAGATGAAAACTTATGTCCGCACAAAAAAACCTGCACACAGATATTTATAACAGCTTTTTTTCATCACACTGGGGTGAGGGATGTTGATAATGGGGAAGGGCTATGCTTGTGTCGGGGCAGAAAGTATATGGAAAATCTCTGGACATTCCTTTCCATTTTGCTGTGAATCTAAAACTGCCCTCAAAAAAAGTTTAAATAATTTTTTTAAAGCAGTACTGTATTGTGATGTTTAACTCAATTACTTATTACAAGAAAACTATTCAACTGGTCAAAACGTTATATATAAGAAGTTTCTGTTTGTTAAAAACATTGTTTCAAATATATTTAGGCTTTGACTTTTAAAAGTATACAGCAACATTCAAGATAACTAGACAGAATGCACTGCAACTTGGCAGGTTTTTAAATCCTTGGACTTACTGGCCTAAGGAAAGATGTGTAAACATCCATGATTCAGAAATACAGGGAGAAATTGGGGCAGCCAGACCTCATCCTCTTGCCCTAAAGGGAAAAGATATCTTTCTTGCGGTATCTAAGATATGAATCTTAGATAATATTCATGCATGGCTAGGAATTGGAATAATGGGAAAGTCTTAATTCATGGGAAATTTTCTAATAAAGTTCCACCTCCATTTCCAGCCATTCCTCTTTAACAAATACATTTAGTGAAAAATACTACCAGTTGGGGAGAAACCAAATGGGTATGTGTATATGTAGTGTTTCTCAGAGTGTGGACTTTAACCACGTTTAATTACATAAATTTACGAGGATCTGTTGAAAATGCAGGTTCCTGGGCTTCACTCCAGTTGCTCTGAAATGAAAGCTGTAGGAGTCGGTTGGTGAAACTACATTTTGTTTCTCAGGTGATTCTTGTGTACTCTAACTCATATATAGGGTGATGTTATTTATTTACTGGTTATTTATTTACCGGTTATTTATCGTTTGGCAAAAAAATCCAGCAAAGACTCACAAGTGACCTTTACACTTGACATAGGATTCTCTTCCGCTGCTGACGCTTTTTTTTTCTAAGAGGCGGGGACTTGGCTGGGCAGGGCTGGGGGAGGGCGCTAGGCGGGGCGGGCAGGGGCGGGGCAGAAGAGCCCTGGGCTGGGTGGGGCAGGGCGGAAGGGCCCTGGCCTTGTTGGGTGGAGGTGAAGAGTTAATGGCTCCGCGCGCAGGCACTGCCCTCTGAACTGGAACAAAATGCAACTTCCGGTTGGAGTCACTCGGCCAGGCGCCGGCGACCTGAGGGGAGAGGGAACGCAGCTGAAAGCGTGAACTGTGTGAGTAAGAAACTTTGTGAATTGGTGTGTCCGAATCCGTCAAGCACGACGTCGGAGAATTTGTATGCGTGAGCGAGAGGGACGCGCTGACAGTAGGGGCGCCGCAGGGAGAGAAGCCGAGGAGCAGCGGAGACAACCAATTTGCAGTTTGGGGAGGGATTTTGTGCGGGAGAAACCACGCGAGTCCTTCCCCCGGAGCGGACTCCTTGTGGGTTGGTTTCCGGGCCCGCGATGTCAGCATAGCATCGTCGGCCTCTGCCCCAACGGCTTCAAGGGAGGGACTCGTCCCGGCTGCTTTGCCCGGGAAATGGGGGTGGAAGGGCCTGCGGTGTCGAGGTGAGCAGTGGACCCTCCAGGAACATTCCCGACTTCCCTTCGGGAGAGAGACTGCCTCCTAGAATCAAGTAGTATCGTGGTTACTCTTTCGAAAACTTAATTGGTTCTTTCTGTTGTTTTCCCAAGGTGGTTGCACAATTCCCCTCTGCCTTCCTGTGGGGTGTCATCATAGCCTGGTCAATGAGAAGTTGGGTAACTTCCCAGAGGGTCACGGAGGGAGTGGGTGGCCAAGGCAGGAAGAACAGAAGCCAACCCCGCCCACAGTGGGAACCCAGGCGTTAGGTAGAGTCCTCACGCCGGTGTAAACTGACTAGCAACGAGTTACAGGCAAAAAAGCTGTGCTTTTCTAGAAGTAGAAAGGGGGAGGATAATCAAAGAAGAGCTGTGCCTTTATTGTTATGCTATAACGAGCAAAAGTAAAGCAGCCTTGCTATGTAAAGTGGTGTTTATCTCACCTCACAGGAGATGCTTTTGACAAGTTATAATAAGGGAGAGATGGTAGTAAAGGAAGTGAAGAAGCGACGTGAAATTGAAGGAAAAGAAAATGACCTGCCTTCTTACCGCGGTTGGAATACACACCCAAACGAGAGGTAGCAGAGAAGCAAGCAGTGCATTCTGTTAAAAATTATTGTGTCCTCATTTGAGAGAGGAGGGATCCTCAAATAATACAACTATGTGCAAAGCAGGAAGTGAAATCCTTCTCAGTCCTCTCCCCAGTTGTAATCCAAGCCTTCCACATCTTTCCTGTATGTGCATAACCATGTTATTTTGCTTTCTTATGAAAATGAGATTATGCATACTGTTCGATAATCTGTTTCAGATTAAATATATATATATGGTGAAAGTCTTGCCATATGTAGCTCTATTTTATTGTAATGTTGGCGTGGTACTGCATTGTGTAGATGTACCAAATTATAGTTAACTGTCACTTACTATGTCCTGTCCGTATATATTGCCCAGTATTCTTCAAAATTATCTGTTTCTCATTAGACTACAGATTTCATTAATCCTTTGTGAAATATATGGCAAATATTTTCAAGAATTATCAATGCTTTGGTTTAAAATGCCCAGGCTTTTTATCTCAGGTAAGAAGGTAGTCCCCACTCAAAAATTCTTAAAATCTTCTCCTATATTGCCTGTTAATTCTCTTTTTATGATTTACTCATTAAAACATCTGAAAATGATTTTTGTATGCTAAGATAAGGATTTAATTTTTTTCTTTGTTTTTATGACTAGGCAGCCATTTTTTCCTGAAATCATTTGTTGAAATCATTTCTCTCCCAACTGACTAGAAATACCTCCTTAATATAGTAAATTCTCAAGTGTACATGCATCTTTTCTTTAGACTCATCTGTTGCTTTGATCTTTTTGTCTCTTCCTTTAAAAATACCAATCTGCTTTGATATTACGTTTTCTAGTAATTCATAGGACAAGTCCCTCTTCATTTTTCCTTTTCAAAATTTTCTTGAATATAATTGCATTATCTTTGAGATAAAATTTAACATAAACTGTTCATGCTTCATTAAAATACTCTTTTTGGGATTTAACCATTATATTTTCTTATATTTTGTGACTGGTATGTAGATGAGTGTTTATGTATCTGGCCAACTTTCTAAATTTATTAATTTTAATAAATTGTTTCACTTGAATTTTCTAGGAAAACAATCATCTAATTATAATTCATCTTATCTCTTTCTTTCTTTGCTTTAGTGAATTGCTGGCTTCCCCAGAATAGTGGTAAATAAAACAGTGATTCTGGCCATCCTTTATCTTGTTTCTTAGTTTGGGGATGTTTTTATTATGTCATCATTAAATATGAAGTTACTATTAATATCTAATAAATTATATTTATCAGGGAAGTTTCCTTTAATATTTCTAGCTCATTGTGATTTTTGCAGAGAACTGTTTGGATTGCATCCAAAGTCATTTTTGCAACTGGGGATGGGGAGTGTCTATTGTATTAGATAGCACTTTGAGAACAATTTTAAATAATAGATATTGGATGTTCATTTGGTGTGTATATTCATTACTTCTTAACATTTTTATCAGGAATGGAAGTTGGATTTTGTCAAATGGCTTTTTGACATCTATCATAACCTTTCATAGGTACTTTTCATCTTTGACCTAACAGGATAGTGAATTACTTTAGTATATTTGCAGTTTGTGAACCAATCTTACGCTTGGTCATGGTGTAATATTTAAGTATATATTGGTTCCTTTGGTAGCATTTTTATTTAAAATCAATGATTGAGATTCATTTTATACTCACCTTTTTCTGTTATTTTTGCTAGGTTTTGGTATCAAGGTTATGCTGGTTCCTAAAAAGAACTGGGCAGAGTTCCTCTTCCTCCGCTCTGATGTAGTTTAAATAGCCTAAGAACTCTGCTCTTTGAAGATCTGAAAGAATTCACTCATGAAACCATGTGGGTCTGGGAGTTCATTGTTCTTAAGACAGCAACAATACTCAGCAAAATGGTTCAGAACAAACAAAAACTCCTTGGAGTAAATACAATTGAATGAAAGAGTCTGGGACACGGTAATGTCAAGAACTAAGAACAGCTGCTGTACTGATGCTGGTTATTTCCCCCCTACACACAACTTTTTTTTCATGGACAAGGAAAAATGCTGTAGGTAGGCTGAGGCTGTTAAGTAAAATGTCTTGCTATTCTTTCTCTTCTCTTCTTCAGTTATGTTACAGAAGCAAGGGTATTGCTTCTACATGGGCAAATTTGTCTATGCCCTGAAAGAAACCAAGAGTGAAACTCAACTGGGAAAGCATCAGTTTCACTTTATTGTCACTAGCTTCCCAATTTTGCCGGGAAATTTCTTAATTTAAAGGTAATAACCAAGCTGACATTTTACTGTAGCCAAATCCTACAGAGGGTTTCAAAATGAGTGGGTGAAAAAATATACAAGCTTAACATGCTTATACTTATTTAACATGAAGTGAAAATCATTAGCATAGTTCAGGTATGTGCATGGTATGTGCACGCACATGGGGCAGTGCTGTCATCTAACAGAAGCCCACCTTTTTACTTGACTAATGGTTTACTGTTAATACCTCGATAATAGTGTAATCTTTGATAGACTTTTATAAATGATTATTTCAAATGCTTTTTGATCACCTTCAAGAATATGACCTGAGACAGGTAATGTAATTTAGCAGTTTGCATCTATGAACTGTGGAGGATACCTACAGACACTGAAGCGTTACTAACAGTAGGATGCAGGCATTATGTGAATGCGTGGGTATTTTATTTCCATTTATGGGCTACTATAGCAAAAATAATTGGGGAGTTGCCCTATGATGAAAGAAGACTGCATGTTTTTTAAAACCATACCTTTGTCCAAAAGCAAATGGTAAATAAAAATAGACTGTTGACATAAAGCTTCGCTATTTCGATGCTATGCATTAGCTGATTGACTGTTACTGTTTATCCTTTTTGTTTTCTAACACCTTATAAGCATAAAATATTACTGTTTAATTGCAGTTCGTTTGTGTTCAGTTACGTAAAGCCTAGTTTTAGTTTCTATTTCCTGTAGGATTTATGCTGTGGCTGCCATTTCCCACCTGTTATCTCCTATGCTTGCTGCCATGGTTTTGAATCATAAATACAGGGAAAGAGGAGGCTATTATTTAGATATGTAACAAAAATCGCTTTATAGTTCGGAACCAAGATTATGATTATCTTCAGGAAGGGATAACAGAATATGAAATGAACTACCTTTTCAGTGAGTTGTTAATTAATTTTCAAAGTCTTTTGAACTAAGTGCAGTATTTGGTCACTGTTCAAATAAGTTGAGGGTAACTGGTACCAAGCCCTATGCAACTGAAAACAGGCTTTGGGACTTATGTAGTACATGTGTCACATTTTCCAATTCCTAATCTATAAAAGCTTTTTAAATTGTGGTAAAATTCACATAACATAAAATTTACCATCTTAACCTTTTTTTAAAGTATATGGTTCAATAATGTTAAGTGCATTCACATTGCTATGCAACCAAGAAAAACATTTTTAAAGGGACGTATTTTTCTTAAGGAAAAGAGTTTGGGAAGTAAATGATGGCAATTGTTTGTCTCATGGAAAATTTCCTGGACAGTAACTTTTTACCTTCAGAGATATATTCTCTATAAATGGTAATTATCAGTAGTAAGTTATGAGAGTAAACATTTTGAGTACTAGTGATCTATAATAGCTTTTACTTAACACCAATACTTTTTTTTTTTTTTTTTTTTTGCAAAAGGAAGGGTCTACTGAAAATAGGTTGCTAACATTGACAACAAAGTATTTTAAGTCATTGCAGTAAGGAATTACTGGAAATTGAGTAGACAAAGAAAATTAATATGAGTTCCATTTTGATGGTTACTTAGCAAGTTGAACTTATGAGAGTCTTTGAAATAGTTGCAGTATGAGAATTGTTCTATTGAACAGCGAAACAACCCAATCAGGTAATAGTTTTTCCAGAGAGTGACTTGCTATAAGGGACAGAAGTTAGAGACTTAGATTCTTTCAAAATAAAGGATTTTTTTTAATTGCTTGAAGAAGGATTTTTGGAATCAGCAAATCAACTGTTATTGTGAGAGATTTAAGTGGTTTTACTATTCACAACCATTTATTATGTGGCATTTACTGGAATGTGGTTTCATAACCTCAAGTATTTGGAATCCCAAAAGTAGAAATGCCTTTCCCTTGAGATTGTTGTTTCTCAACCTTTAAAAATCCATATTTCCTTTCTGATAAACATTAAAATCTCACAAATCCTAGAGGATTGTAATACATGTTCCTTCCCATACAGTCCTACTCCTCCTCTACACCTCACCATACTGACTACAGACTTTCTCTTCTAGTTCCCTCATCTGTGAATATTATGCAAAGTCCTTCTTTATATGATTTATGTAATAGATTTTTAATATTAACTATTTCAAAATTGTATATCCTTCCTCCCCCATCTTCAGATTCTAACATTGCCCCTAGTCAGAGGAGAGGATACCCCTTAAAGATTACTCAGTTCAGCACAGCCAACTGAGCAGTGCCATGTTTACGTTCACCTCAGAGGAGTAGAACATCACATGCCTGCTTTCCCTTTTGGTGTTATACTGTTTAGTTGTGCACTTAAACCCATAACATTTGATAAATAGTCTCAGAGAAAGAAGTATTACTGGAGAAAAAAAGGAAGTAAGGCAAAACTGAGACTCATGGGTGTGGTCTTTGACAGTGAAATCTTTTAGCTCTTGCAAGATCACATAGAAAATTTCACCAAGTTCTAACATCCAGCAAAATGGAGAACATGTACTGGGGACCTTTGGGTTTAACCAGTGAGACTGTCTTGTTTATCCTGTTGCATTTAGCCTTCCAGCTTATGGAAAAATACAAAATTCAAATTCTAACACTGCTGGATTTATGATATTTAAGGTTTCTATTATATCAGCTGCCTGGATGGAGCACAGAAACAGCGTAGTACAATATGCTATGGGTATATTCATGACCAAAGTTTACAATGTGGAAGGAGAATAGAAATGCAAGAGGTCAGTTGGGGAATTAGCTGCTTGTGTTATATAACTCCTTAAAAGTGGAAAATGATCACAAGTAAATGTGAGTAGTGACAGTTCTCTTCCATTTCCTTTCTTCAGGTAAGGAAAACACACTTAATATTTTTGAGTGTCTTTAAAGATCTTCCTAACCATCCAAAAGAGAAGATGTCTTATTTATGTGTATATGTCGTGTTGTTGACTGATTTTTTTGCTTTTTACTCCTGATGTGTTTTGTGGGTGAGAAGGCAAGCATGTAACTAAGATACAGAAAAGACCAAGATGTAGTGGGGCACAGTGGCTTGACGCCTATAATCTCAACTACTCAGAAGGCTGAGGTGGAAGGATTGCTTGAGGCGAGGAGTCCAGGCTGCAGTGGGCTATGATTGCACCGCCACACTTGCTGCACTCTACCCTTGGGGGACAGAGTGAAGCTCTGTCTCAAAAAAAAAACAAAAAACAAAACAAAAACACAGAATTTGTCTTTCATTCACTGATTCACCTCTTTATGTACTACAGTGGCAACTTTTCTGAAATAGAATATGAACTCCTCTTATTCATAGCCCAAGGGGTTGGGAAAGGCTGGTGGCTTTCTTTTCTAGGGCAAAGTGGAAGGAGTAGCAGTTATTCAAGGTGGTTTCCTTTCCCCATCCTGAAACTGCTTTAGATTTGAGTTGGTCTCTCACCACAAGTGTGAACTCTGGCAGAACATTTACCCAGAAACAGAATAGGCTCAGCAGTTGGGGAAACCCAGCAGAGGGGCCTTGCCTGCCTCCCAAATTACTCACACTTGTCTCAACCACCTACAAAAAAGTAGACCTTACTAAAGAATGACTAATCATCCTGGGGTCAAGATGGCGAAAATCCTACCTTTAAGCCTTTGATTCTCTTCAAACGTGGAATTCCAATGTATATATACATAACTGATCAAAGCTCAGATGTTCTGGTTGAACAGGCAGTTAGAGGTGGAACATGATTTGGCTCATACACTGTCAGCCTCAGTGCAGCTCCAGAGGCACCACTACTTACCCTTGATTACTACTTTCTTTATCCAGGATTGGTTGGCTGTCATTTGGCAGGATAATGGCTGCCAAAGACAACAGACTTAAGATATTGTATCTATTGTCAACCTAAAGAAATGGAGGCAAAATTAATATGGGGAATTTATTTGGGTAAAGGTTGACGACAGCTGCCTTGGACACACTTCCAGGTTGCCTTGGGGGGTTGCTCCATTCGGCCTTTGTTGCAACCAGGTTTTTGTTTGTTTGTTTGTTTGTTTTTGTTTTTTGAGATGGAGTCTCTCTCTGTCACCCAGGCTGGAGTGCAGTGGCGCGATCTTGTCTCACTGCAAGCTCCGCTTCCTGGGTTCACTCCATTCTTCTGCCTCAGCCTCCCAAGTAGCTGGGACTACAAATGCCCGCCACCACGACCGGCTAATTTTTTTGTATTTTTTAGTAGAGACAGGGTTTCACCGTGTTAGCCAGGATGGTCTCGATCTCCTGACCTTGTGATACGCTCGCCTCGGCCTCCCAGAGTGCTGGGATTACAAGTGTGAGCCACCGTGCCTGGCCGCAACCAGGTTTTTAAAGGCAAAAGAGAGCAAAGAATGGGCTGATACTAAGTTATTTGATAGGAATTCTCACTGGTTTACAGAAATAACATTGATTAGTGATTATACATTGTTGAACTATAGGGCATGAGTTTTGGTATCTAACGTATGGCATTTTATGGCTACTTGGCATCACATAGTAGGTAGCTTCAAGAGGGTCATTTAGTTCACGGGAGAGTGAGGTGTGACTGCTGTCACACACTTACATTTCAGTGCCTCTCTGGGCCTGATAATTAAAATGGGTTTGCACTCCTCACATTAAAAGTTTTTATTTCTCACTATGAAATAAGGAGGGAAGTTCATTTTAAAAGGAGTGGCAGAATAAGGAGAATTGGAGAACCAGTACAGAAGATTCAAAACCCAGATAGTAGAAGTCCCAGAAAGGAATACAAAAGGAAAGAAATTGCCCCAAAAAATTTTCAAGAAAATTTCCAAGAACTGAAGGAGGAATTTCCAGATTGAAAGGGCCCACCAAACACCTATTGCTATGATATAGTCCATGGCCAAGTATGGTCCTGAAATTTCAGAATCCTAGGGACAAAAAGAAAAAAAATCCTAATTGTTTTCAAAGAGAAAAAAATCGGTTTAAGGCCAGGCACAGTGGCTTATGCCTATAATCCAAGCACTTTGGGAGGCCGAGGCAGGCAGATCACCTGAGGCTGGGAGTTCAAGACCATCCTGGCTAACATGGTGAAACCCCGTCTCTACTAAAAATACAAAAATTAGCTGGGTGTGGTGGCGTGCGCCTGTAATCCCAGCTACTGGGGAGGCTGAGGCACAAGAATCGCTTGAATCCCGGAGGTGGAGGTTGCAATGAGCTGAGATCACACCATTGCACTCCAGCCTCGAGCAACAGAGTGAGAATTGTACAAGATCAGGAATCAAAATGGATCTGATCCTCAAAAAAAATAAACAGAAGCTAGAAGATAGCATAGCAAAGCTTTCAGAATTCTGAGGAAAAATTACTTCCAACCTAGAACTCTTAATCTAGCCAAAGGATCCGTTAAGTCAGAGGGTAAAGATATTTTTAGTTATGCAAAGCCTCAAAAAATTTACTTCCCAAACACTTTCTTAGGAAGCTGCTACAAGATTTGCGTCACCACGTGGGGATATAAAACAAGATTCAGGAGACTGAAAATGAGGGATTCAATTAAAGAAAGAGATGGACAAAGGGTATCCCCAAATTCAAGGTAAAGAAGGTCCCAAGATGAAGGCTTTCCATCAGGCATAGAGAGCAACTAGTCTAGATTGGAGCAAGCCAGAAAGCTTACAGAGTGATTCTTCTAAAGAGATAGAATACCTGACGTGTCTGAATATATTGAGGAGTTGTATTAGTGATAATAGGAAACAAAGCAAACAAGAATTTTCAGGGAAAAAAGTTTTCAGAAAAGGAAAAGTATCCATGGTATTGTTCAACAGTGAATAGCATTACATAGTAATAAGAAAGTAAAAGCTGAATGCTAATCTAATGAAAAATTAGATATAACTGTATTGGGGAAATGGGGGAGAATAGGAGGTAGGGGATATTTAAAGAGAGCTGAATCCTAATTTTCCATAATGAAGAGACAAAAACTGAAAAATCAGTAGTGGCAGTATTACATGTTATTTAGGGATACAGAGATAAATACAAAAAAGAATTAGTCAAAATTTGTTGCGAAGGTGAAGCAGGAAATAGGAAGGGGAAAGCAGAGGACTACTGTTTTTCTTATTTTGTAGAACTACACAACTCATTAAGATATAGGTACGTATAGCTCTGATTAAAATAAAAAATTAGAGGGGAGAGAGCTAGAGATTGTGCTTTAGCAACAGAGACCTAGGTTTATCTGGTTCTTCCATTTTCTAATTCTGTGCCTTATGCAACTTATTTACCCTTTTGAAGCTCAGTTTTGAAGTTCAGTTTCCTCCTCTGTAAAGGGAAGACAATATATGCTTCTGCAGAGGGAAGATTAAAAATGAGGTAGTTTATGTAAAGCACCTGCAAATAGATCTTTGTTCCGACCCTAACCCCAGTGCTTCCCATGATCAAATAGGGAACCACCTTCTTCATTGTTGGGATGATTGCCATCCAAACAGAAGACTGAGATTGTCCTTCTTATCCATGACTCTTTGTGCCTCTTTGAATTAAAGGCATGTCTTTGAGATCTATCTTGTCTCTCAACTATCTGTAGATAGTTTGAGAATTGAAATAGAATTAAGATGATTAGAGTATTGATAGGAGGAACATCAAGTTAAAAGTGTCATTGCTACTTAGTGGGAGATGGGCTATGGTCAGTCAAATTTCTCAACAAGAACTTCAACAAATGCCATTAATAGAGAAAACATTTGTTTTCTCTATTAATTAAGTTGATGAGTTGTGGAAGTTTTATGGAAGCAAGATGAACAAAGTGCTGTTGCTCTGGGCCATCTGCCAAAGTATCAAAATACCTTTATTTATTTATTTGAGAAAGTCTTCTACCTTAGCAACTGCTATTTTTGTTCCGAAATTCTATATACTTCTTGTAGAATAATTAAAAAGCAGATCACTATGGGAAAAAAGGCAACTTTATGAAAGCCTGTTTCCCTGCGTTGGTGCATATTTGTATAGCATTTTATAGTGCTTTCCAAGCTATGACTCGACCCCCTATGGCAGTAATTTTAAATCCATCTTACATCTCCCCACTGTACAAAATTAGATCCAGGAGTCTTGGACAGGGTTTGGTAATGTATTTTTTAAAACCACCGTGGATGATTCTAATTTACTGACAGGTTGCGAACCAATGTCCTACAGCCTGACTCTACGCCAAGATTCTGAATTGGGAGAAATGGGGGAACAGAGGTCCATAGAAAGGTTAAATGACTTGTTTACTCTCACCCATCACCAAGCCTGTCTAGACTGGACATGTATTGTATACTTCAACTCTGATTTTATCTTCAGTTGACTAGGCTTTTTAATTTAGAGTATCTGATCTAAATTGCCTTAGCAGAGAAATTAGTACATTTTACACAAGATGTGGTATAGTTAAAAATATCATTTGCAATCTTTATTTTATAGTGTCTTTTTATTTTTTTCCAGAGGCAAAAGGAAGTGAAACAGCAAATCTGAGTTTCTAATCAACTATTACTTCCCCACAGTAGGGTGGCACAGCAAGTGTTAAGATTTACTAGGTCTGAATATTCATATTTGAGGTAAACTGGTGTGGCCTTGAAAAGGGTAGAAAGTTGGGTAATTTTGGCACAGATGCAAGTTTGGAATGTTGATCTGTTGGGCTGCCCAGGGATTTTTGTAGCCTTCTCTTTAGGAATATTCAACAGTCTGAAGGAGAGAACTTGTTGCATGGTACTGGATTAAAAATATTAGATCTGGTTTTAAGCTAATATGTTAAAGTCATACCCTAAACATCTTCAGAATGGCTGAAAATGGAGATCCGGAAATCTCTGAAACCTTATTTATTTTTTCATTAGAGTTCTCACAATTACTTCTAATAAAACAAGTTGTGACTTGCAAATCCAGCAGCCTATGGATGTCCTCAGGGAAATTAAAAACAAGGGATATGAAGAGCTGTAGAGTCCTGTGCCAGTGGTTAAGAGCACAGAGTAAAGCTTTATAATTATGTAGGTTTTTGCCTGTTCCTATTTATCATTGGTAATGTTCTCAAGGCTAAATGGCTGCTCAGCTATTTTAAATTGTGATTTAAAGAGAAATTAGGCCCTTTTGTGAAAAGGTCCTCTATCTCTTGAAATTTCAACTCTTTTTTCATAGAAGAGCTCTCTTCCTCCATAGTGGTTTTTTCTGATACAGTAAATGACTCAGGGATACTCGAGGGGCAGCCAACTCGTTAACTCATAAGATTTTAACTACTTCTCTTTCGAAACAACTTTACCATTTATGAATCTTGTGTAGCCTGTGACTTCTGTTATTGTCTTGTGTTTTGGGGGACCTTTTTGAGATTACTGAAAATATTTTTTTTCAAACTTTTCTGGTTAAGACCAGAGGATAGATACAAACTGTACCACTCTTTTGAAAAATCATTAGTACTACCTTATTATTTATTTATAAATCTGGTAGAGTAGAAGATACTTAAGGAAAATCTTGCATTCAAATACTCTGCCAGAGTTGTTTTTCCTGTTATTTAACAGCATAGAAAGGTTAACAAAGCAGAGCATTAGATAACATTTCTACATATTGGATTAATAGTCTTTTTACATAAAATAACAGACACAAAATGTCATACACTATTTTATGCATTTCCTAGTTTTCCTTCTGGCCTCCTTCAAAGAAATAATAAGTGGGCCTGTCCTCTTTTTTGGTTTATATTTGGTAGGAAAAACATGTACATCTTGTGCTATAAGGTGGTACAATAATGCGTATTGCTTTTCTCTATTGTTTTCTTTTCAAAAATGTAGTTTTTTTCGGCTTTTTTTTTTTTTTTTTTTGGGGGTAAAACGATTTTGGCCTAATTGGCCATCCAAGGATGTACTAGTATCAGGAGACATTAAAAACAGGACTTCAAGAATACAAACAATAGTGAAGGCATAGTTATCTTCATTTTTTTCCTATAGATAATTATGCAGGTGATGCTTTCTTCCTCTTTATTATGATGTCTTTTCTAGCACTGTTGTCCAAAATTAGATTCAGTATCTTCCCTCTCCTCCTGAAAATTTTCTTTCTGTCACTTTATGTCTGGCTATCACCACTTTCTACTGGGTGTTTTGAAAACCAGTGGCTGGTGAACCATCTGCAACAAAATCACCTGAGGCGCTTTGCTAACTAGAATGTAGATTCTGAGGTCCCATTTCAGGCCAACTGATTTGCAGTCACAGGTACCTGAATTGCTGCCCTCTTGTCTATTGTGCACATCCAGTCGGCCACCAAATCCTGTTGATTCTACTCTTGAAATGCCTCTTGAATCCACTCATCTTTATTTCCCCTGCTCTAGTTCAAGCCCTCATCTTTTACCTAGAATACAGCATTAGTTGCCTGTGGTATAGCCTCACTTTGTCTCCCTCGCTAGTTTGTAGTCCATGCTGTTATCTGTTCTGTCTAAAATATGTCCATCATCTCCTTGAAAATCTCTCATTACTCCTTGTGTCAACATGTTAAAGTCTAAATTTCTTAGAGTGACATTCGAGGTCTACTATAGTCTAGCCATAACTGAGTCTGCTGCATGTGGTTTATGCAGCCAGTGTACTCTACAGCTCTATAGGATGCCATTCCAATCATGGTCTTTATGTATGGTCTTCCCTAGAATTTTTGTAGTACAGCACAGTCATACATGCTGACCCTGACCATAGCTTATCATGGCACCCTCACCTCGCTATCATCTCTGCACACATGCTAGACTTGCATAAACAGAATACTCCCTTCACTAAAATGCACCATATTAATGACTTTTCAGGGCCTCTGCTCTTTCAGAATGAATGTACTTTGCCCACTCATTCTCTACTTGTTGAAACTCTTCTCATCTTTCGGGACTCTGTTTAAGTGTCAGATCCTCTGTGAAGCCTTCCACAATCCTTATTTTGATTGTTCCTTCTATTGAGCCTTTATCTTGTTTATACCTTTTACTTAACAGTTTTCTTCTTCTTTTTAGGTAGAACTGTGAATGAAATGCGTAAATCTCTAGTGAACCATTGGTTGAGGTCTACAAATGCTTATACCTGTGCTACACAGACCTCTGTGAAGATGTGCCCAGACCTTTTTTTTTTAAACATTTATAATTGACCTTTTGGCTAATTATTTTCATGTGTGTCTGCCTCACTCAATTATAAGCTCTAATTGGAGAAAAAGGCAAAGACCATGACTGTTTTTCACTTTCCCAGGGAGAAAAGGAGTGCCTATTGTGTGTTCAACACTGAACCAGTCTTGAACATTGTACCAATCAGGATACAGCTCAGTTCCTCCTTTAGAGACCCACAAAACAGTGGTTAAACAAGGGTTGCCTGCATCACAGTGTTCTAGGTGGCTTGTCACTGTAACATTCCAACCAGCTGGGAAAAAAGGTGAAAGGGAAAACTTGTTATGGAAGTTACACCCATTTGCCAATGACTAGCACGTAGTCACATGACCACACCAGCTAAAAATCAGAAGTATTAGTACTATAAGAGAAGGAGAGAATAGATATTGAGGAACAAATAACATATCTTATATATATGGTCTCACTGAAGTTTTACTTAATTTTTACTGTATATATGGTCTCAATTTTTATTGTAACCCTACAACTATGTATGATGTGAAAAGTGATGTTCAGAGTTCAGTAAATGGCTAGGAAATTGCAGATCTGGGGTCTGAATTTAAAGGCTGTATTTTTTTTCAGTCTATTTAGTAAAGTGTTTAGGAGGGAATATATAAATGTTATTGAATAAACAAAAGTCACAGTAATTTTCACAGTATTACTTGTAATCACATATTTTTCATATCACATATTTTTACAGTATCATATCATCTCTTTACTTCCAGGACACTCTATATATAAAGTTTACTCCTTGCTTCTCACCATTGTGAAATGAAATGCCCTAGCAACTGGTTTGCAATCAAGGCTTAATTTGTAACATAAATTAAGACAAAGCAGCTACTGTTTTTAAATATATGATATCATTTATGAGGAAAAATAAGTCACCATATTTGCTGAGCAAAAGTTTTTATGTTGTGTATAGTTTGGTAATGTTATACAATTATAAAGTTAAAGGAGATTCTATTATCCAAACTCTTTGTCTTAATAACAAAGAAAATCAAGGCTGCAGAACTTGCCTTTTCTTTCATTTCCACCTCTACTTGCTTTCAGGCATCATGGGGAAAGCTTTAGCGTAATCCGTCATGTTTATAGTAACCATCATTGTTATGCTTAAGAATTGTCTCAGGTTTGCATGGTTGTCCTGATCAGGAAAATCAAACTGAGCAGTGCATAAGAAATGCATATAATCCTTGCCTGTTTTAGTAAAGAATTGATATTATTTAATATTAAAAACATCCTTATCACAGTGGGAAACCTGTTTGAAAAAGGATGACTGCCGTTTGATAATTAAATAAAAGGAATGGGTAAGATCATTCCCACCTATATCTCAACACTCTATTCAAATGCCACCTACCTCTCAAAGCCTTTCCTAAACTTCATAAATAGATTAACTTTCCTCTCCAAACTCTAGCCTTTTGGATATCTTAGGATGCTCATATACTATATGCTTCAAGTTACAGTTAATGGTACCTTCATGGGAGGAGATGCCATGTCTGATTCATTCTTACTGTATCAGTGGTACCCAGCACACTTCTGCTCATAGTTGGCACTAAATATTTTATCAAATAAGCATATTGACCATAACACCCTGGGAGAGCACTTTGCAGCTGACTCTAATGAACAATCCTTGAACCAAGAATTTTAAAGATTTAATCTAGTTCATAACACAGCTTTATAGCTATAGATAAGTCATTTAAGCCTTCTGAGCCTTATCAGTCAAAGAGGAATGTTAATATGTAATAGGAAATGAAGAATTGGTGAAAATACTTTGTGAAAGAAACATAACTTTAAGATAGTACTATATCTGAATCCCTTGCTGTTCCCCATATGGTGCCTTACACATCATAAGCCAGCAAATACCTTGTTCTGATTGAATGGTAATGGGATATATTTTATTAAAATCAAAGTTTTGCTAGGGCTGGGAAGCTTTACCAAAGGAAGAGAAAATTATCTTTCTTGCTCATGCTACCTCTCTTACTCCAGGACAGTTTCATTATTGAACCAAGGGATCAATGAAAGAGGAAGCAGGGATTTTCTTGGTGTTTCTTCATGGACAGGCACACCATGGGCAATCACTGGGCTGGAGAGGTGGGACAAGAACCGACTGCCCTCAGTTTTGCTTGTCTGAACCACTGGTCTGGGTAGGAAAAAAGGAATTACTGCTAGATTGACAACAGTGGGTAGATGAGAGTATCCAGGCTCCAGAAGAACTGCAGGGGACAAGATTGGGTTGGTGATTTGCATTGAGCTAGCCCTGCTACCTTCAGGGATTTCAGAATTTTTTTCTCATGTAATGGAAGGAAACCAGCAAACCAAATCCAGAAATAAAGCAAAACCCTAACTAGGAGAGTGTTTTCAAGGGAGAGATTGCTATAGCATCAGCCTCTTGGGTTTGGAGAATGAGCTTAACCATGAGATTTAGGTTTGAGCATGTTTACTATAAGTAAAAAGCATTTTCCTGGAGTCTGGCAAATATTGTGGAAGATGTACTGAAATGTAATTGAAATGTAGCTGCCTCTTAATTTTATACTTAACAAATGCCAAAAATAAATAAATAAACAAGTGACTTTAAAGTTCAGGGTGTTAATATTTGAAATCTGTCCAGTTTAATTAGCTGAGTCCCAGAGACTTTCCTTTTTCTCTGGTCAGTGTTGCTGATCTAACACCTAATTATCTTCTTGGTTGTGAAATAGGAATTAAAAGTATCATTTACTTATTTGTATCAACCTGGAACTTATTTCTTTAGCATACATTCTTATTTCAGGAAATAGGATGCATCCGTGTGGAATTTACTCAGTAGCTCCTCTCTCAGTGACATTTGTGTGATCTAATTCAAGGACCTGAAGGGATGGCTCCACATGATTTACTTGCATATGATGCAGCTGTTTTTAGTGCTGCATTTACATTTTTAAAAACAAGAATGCACCTTCTCGATAGAACAGACATGCATTTTTAACTCACAAACTCAAGAACTGTAGAAAAAGGAAGTTTCTTAGAAATTGGGTCCAAACACCTTTTTGTACTGAAGAAAAAGAAACTTTGGTCCCAAAAGATTTAGTGGCCCTTAACTAAGGGTCAGTCAGTAATAGAACAAAGCAAGGGACTAGATGGATTTCCAGTTCGAGGCTCTTATTTGTCTCAGATCTAAAGGTACAGGTGTGGTTTATATTGACAATTTTTCATGACATGCAGCTTTTTAAGGCAGTGATAGATAGCTTAGCCGCTTAGCTACTTAAAACCTCTAACTTCTGTATTAGTTTATTATAGTATATTATAGTCCCTGTGACTACCTATACTTACTTTTTCTTTCCTCTTTGCATATTTATTTTTAATCTCATGTATTTTTTGTAAGTAGCCTTAGTATGTTTTCGAATGAAGCAGTGTCTAAAATACTCAAAATGATGCTTTTTATTAATGCTAACTGCTTATGTTTCCATAGTGTCTATGTCTGGGCCAAGATCCTAGCAACATTAATTATCGTAACAGGATTTCAACTTTTTCATCTATCAGAGGTAGCAGTAGAAACTAACTTCCTAAGTGGAATGCATAAAGAATTGCCATTTCTTCAGTTTTTCAGAAAGTAATGACATTGTTATCCAAAACCCTGGAATTGTTTTTATTGAGCCTGGTAAATTACTTAAAATGTATTTAGTATCTTAAAATGAAAGACTTTGGCTGAAAGATTACTTGCATGTGGGTATTAAAAAAAAGTTGTGATTTATGATCAGTTGATTTTTGGCAAGGGTGCCAGGGCTATTCATGGGAAAAGAATAGCCCTTTCAACAAATAATGCCAGGACAATTGGCTAACCTCATGCAAAAGAATGAATCTGGACCCCTACCTCACACCTTATACAACATTAACTCAGTATGGATCAAAGACTTTAATATAAATTATAAACTACTTAAAAAGAAACAATTGAAAATCTTCATGACCCTGGATTAGGCAACAGTTCCTTAGATATGACAGCAATAGTACAAACAACAAAAGAAAAAATAGGTAAATTGGACTGTATTAAAATTAAAGACATTGTGTGTCAGAGGACACTATCAAGAAGTGAAAAGGCATCTACAGAATGGGAGAAAATACTTACAAATCATATATTGGATAAGAGTCTAGTTTCTAGAATATATAAAGAACTTTTAAAATTTAACAATAAAAAGAGAAATAACCCATTTATTACAAGTGGACACAGGATTTGAATGGATAAATTGCCAGAGTTACACAGATGGCCAATAAGCTCATGGAAAGATGCTCGTCATTAGGGAACTGCAAATCAAAACCTTGATAGGGTATCCTTTCACACCCACTAGGATGGCTGTAATTTTTTAAGTGGACTATAAGAAGTATTGGTGTGGATGTGGAGAAATTGGAACCCTTATACAATGCTAGTGGAAATGTAGAATGGTACAGCTTCTGTGGAAACTGGCAGTTCCTCAAAAAGTTAAAGATAGAATTACCATATGACTCAGCAGTTCCACTTCTAGGTATATATCTGAAAATATTGAAAACGTGTTCACACAAAAATGTATACACAAATGTGCACAGTAGCTTTATTCATAACAGCCAAAAGGTGGAAACAACTCAAATGTCCATTAACTGAGGAATAAACAACATGTTGCATATCTTACAATGGAATATTATTTAGCCATAAAAAGGAGTCAAGTACTGTTACATGCTACATCATGGATGAACCTCAGAAATATCTTTCTGAAAGAAGCCAGACACAAAAACCATGTATTGTATTATTCCATTTATATGCAGTGTCAAAAATAGACAAATTCGTAGAGACAAAAAAAAAAAAAGATTAATGCTTACCAGGAGATGGGGGAAGAGGAGGATTGGGACTAACTTAATAGGTATGGACTGTTTTAGGGAGGGTGATTAAAATGTTCCAGAATTATCTTGATGGTGATGCTTGCACAACATAATGAATATTCTAAAAAATACCAAAGTGTACACTTTAAAATAGTGGATTTTATACTATATGAATTGTATCTCAATTGAAAATGTGAAAATTTAAAAAGTGTGCCTGAAGATATAACAAAAGATGTTATGACAGATTAGAGACTGAAATTTTAAAGAATTTTCACAAACATGAAATAACTCGGTACCCAATATAACTGATAGAGAACTTTGTCTAGTCTGTGACTTTTAGAGAATTAAGAGAAAGGTCCTGTGTTGTGATTTTTACAGTTGGACAGGAAGAATCAGAGTCATTAGTTAGCCTTCTGCTCAGAGCCAAGGAATGTCGTTAAGAGATGTTATGCAGACTGAGGTTATAAAACCAAATTACCTCCACTGAGCAAATCACCTGTATTCAGAAACAGCAGGGAAGTTGGAAAACTAGTCGGTAGTGGGGGTAGGACTGAAGGGATGTGATTTTTCTTTTTTAACGTACAATGCAACAGTGGCTCTCCCTAGATTTTGTGCTAAAATAAGAACATTTTCACACATTTTAATTGCTCTGTGGTAACAACAGTGCGAACTCCATCCACAAACATTTATTATCTATTTAATTTTGCTCTAATTTCAGTGTAGCAAGAATTCACCTCATAAGTGGGAGTAAGAGTCCATTTAATAAAATGAAATCCCTTCCCACATTGCTGATCCTATTGTACATTTCCATAATAAAGAATTTAAAATGGCCTTTTATATTTTCTCATTTTTAGGTTAAGTTTATAGATTAGTATTCTCAAAGTAGCATCTTCCTGAACCGGAACCCCACTTGCTCCTTGAACATTAGAATAAGAATATTTTAAAATTGTGGAACTTAAGGTTTCATACAATTTCTAGTCAGGATTTTAGATGAGACTTATGTTTATAGTACTTGGTGGTATAATGTTTGTGGTAAACCTTATAGAACTATCTTTAAGATGCATTTTTAAAATGAGGTTTATGTAACTTAGTAATTATCTAAATTGATCTCATTATTTTGCAGACCTGTCATTTACTCCATCCTTTATAGTGATGCTACAGGACGAAGAGGAATGGATAAAAACATTGGCGAGCAACTCAATAAAGCGTATGAAGCCTTCCGGCAGGCATGCATGGATAGAGATTCTGCAGTAAAAGAATTACAGCAAAAGGTGTGTGGTTCTGGTTTTGAAAGTTATTCTTTATCTTGGTACATGGAATTTTAGAGCCTTTTGCATCTGAAAAATGTTATATTGTTAGAAATTGCCCTGAAGAACTATAATTACAGAAATGCAGGTATATATTAATGGATTAAATTTGAAGTTTTTGTTTGTTGTTTTTTTTAAAAATATTGCAACCCATAGGAAGAGTTGATTTGATGGGCTCCTTTTCAGGTGATTGTGAAAGATTGTGAATGTTGTCTTCCATAAATAATTTTAAAATATCAGTATTTATAAATAAGGAGGAAATAACTATAAAAACAGTTTTATGACACAGAAGTATCACTGTCTCCATTTGTTTGGTTTTGGTGTTTTTTATGTTGTTATTTGGCTGACAGGAAAACTTTTCAAATCTTAAAATATTTAAGAACTAAATTTGGTATTAATTTATAATACTCTTCCATTCTTTATAACAATTCAAAGTAGACTATTTCAGTGAAATCTTTAATGACTTACTAAAGTTTCAGCTTTTACAATTATCCCTGTACACATAACATTTATTTTTAGTACTTTTAGTTTCAGAAGAAAGTAAATTGGAGGAAAGGCATATCCAGGCAAAAATTACTTAACCTCATAGTTCTTAAGCACATGTCTGTTACTGGTTCATGATGAGATTTTCACTGATCTGCAGCAAAATGAGAAAAATAAGGCTAATTATTAAACTTCTCATAATGCTACATTTATTTCATCTAAAATTCTGCCTTCTATTCTGATGTTATGTTCCATGTTTCCATACGATCAAAGTAAAGAGCAGAATTTTATTAACATATACTTTTGTGAAATGATGATGATAGGATTCTCTCCTTTTTATTATGTTTACATAGTAGTGTTTCAGAAGTCTCCAATTTCACCTACACGTTCTGTGATTCCCCAGAAGGATTCATGCAACTCAACATTGGATCATACTCATAGTTAAGATTTATTACAGTGACATAGTAAAGATATATAGCCAGATTATTAATGGAAAAAGACATCAGGAGGAGTCTAGAGGAATCCATGTTGTTCAGCCTTCCTATACACCTTTCCTTCAACTTTAAAATTCAGTAACGTGTGCAGTATATCAGGAACTCCATTTTAGTTTCAGAGTTCAGGGTTTTTTTTTTTTTTTTTGAGGATTGATCACATAGGCACCCTCTTGTCAACCAAAATTCCAGATTCTCTCAAAAGGAAAGGTGTTCATTGTAAATCTCATTGTATAGTCTTAAGTGGGCTGGCACAGCAGGCACAACATTATCATTTAGGAAAGGTTTTCAAAAGCCAGGTTCCCAAATGCCAGCTGTATTAGTCTGTTCTCACACTGCTATACACTGCTATAAAGAACTACTTGACGGCCATGCATGGTGGCTTGCGCCTGTAATCCCAGCACTTTGGGAGGCTGAGGTAGGTGGATCACCTGAGATCAGGGGTTTGAGACCAGCCTGACCAACATGGTGAAACCCCGTCTCTACTGAAAATACAAAATTAGCCAGGCATGGTGGCACATGCCTTTAATCCCAGCTACTTGGGAAGCTAAGGCAAGAGAATCACTTGAACCTAGGAGGCGGAAGTTGCAGTGAGCTGAGATTGCACCATTGCACACCAGCCTGGGTAATAAGAACGAAACTCCATCTCAAAAAACAACAACAACAACAAAAAAAAACTACCTGAGACTGGGTAATTTGTGAAGAAAAGAGGTTTAATTGACTTACAGTTCCACAAGCTTAACAGGCAGCATGACTGGGAGGCCTCAGGAAACTTACAATCATGGCAGAAGGCAAAGCAGAACCAAGTACCTTCTTCAAAGGTGGCAGGAGAGAGAGAGAGCAAGGAGGGGGGGATGTGCCACACACTTTTAGCATCAAATCTCATGAGAACTCATTCACTATCACAAGAATAGCATGGGGAAAATCCGCCTCCATGATCCAGTCACTTCCCACCAGGTCCCTCCCCCAATATTGGGAATTAAAATTCAGCATGAGATTTGGGTGGGTACACAGAGGCAAACCACATCACTAGCCAAGGGAAAACTTGCACCTAAACCTTTCTGAAGATAACAGCCTCAGGCCTGCTGTGTTAAATTACTTCTGCACAGGCAGTTGAAAGTGAGAGATCTTATGTTGGTTTTCCCAATTAAAAAAAAAAATTACTAGCCTGTGAAACTCTGAAGTCTAATATGCTAATATTTTGGAAAAATTCTCGAACCTTGTTTTTCCTCTAATCTCACACAACAACAATAATCAACAACATAGAAGAGGAGAACAGGAGAACGTCACAGAATTGAAGTTTAGAATTTGGATTTTTTTTTTCCATTCAGGTTTAAGGCATAACCATTTTTATTAAAAAAAAAAATCTCAGAGTTTATTCTTATTTTGTGATTAGGTTCATTAAGAAGACTTGACAATTGTGACCAAATGTGTGTGGGTTTCTCCCCACATATTAAGCAGTGGACACCAGCTAGATGTCTTCCAATTCAGTTCCAACACCATCTACTCAGAGATAACATCAGATCCGACAAGTAAAGGGCTCAGTCCCACAAGACCACCCTCTCCCCTCCCCAAGTTGCAAGTCCCAGCCTCCAGAACTTCTAACCAACTAGTTTCCAGTTGGAGTTCCCACAATCCCCTCTTTGGGTTTGATTAATTTGCTAGAGTGGCTCACAGAACTCAGGGGAACCAATACTTACTTGTACCAGTTTATTTTGAAGGATATTTTACAGGATATTAACATCCAAATGAAGAGACATATAAGGTGAGGTCTGAAAGGGTCCCAAATACAGGAGCTTCTGTCTTTGGGGAGTTGGGGTGCACTACCCTCCCAGCACGTGGATGAGTTCTTCATCTTTCTGTCAACCTTCATATGTTCAGCTCCCCAGAAGTTCCCTGAACCCTGTCCTTTGGGGCTTCTATGGAGACTTCATTGATTGTCCATGATTGAAGAAGGGACAACCAGTTCAAAATGTGATTGCACAAAAAGGGTGTGATCTAAACCCAGCAGTTCCTGTCTATTCAGATTCTTCTTGGTCATTCTGTGCAGCATTCCTTCCTCCAGAGTATGCAGCAAGACCCTCTCTGGAATGAAGGTCTGATAACCCATAGTCATATTAGAGTCCTGTCTTCAGCAAGTGAGAGGAGGGCAGGAGAAGGTTAGAGAGACTGTTTCCTGAGGCGTGCTTCCAAGGCCTGAAGCACCTCAGTATTGTAACAAAAGACTATAACAAGAGTTGTGAGAGTTACGAGCTAGGAACCATGGACAAAAACCTAATCATAATGCCACAGCTAGCCATGCAATTATTAGCTTCTTCCTTAAATACAGGAGCTACACAATTTCCTTCTCCTTTCTAATTGATAAATCTATAAAACTAGCTGTCATTCATAACTCCCTCCATTCTTCAGAAATCATTGTTATTCTTTGTGAGTCTCCTCTTGGTTTACAAAAGAATACTCCATTATGGAATACCTATGAATACTTATGGACTGTAAGTCTTCATTAGGGGTGGATAGGAGGAAAGAGCGCACAGTATGAGAGAGGGCTTTCTAAGATTATTGAAATGAAGTTTAGAATTTGAATTTATTTTTTTTTTCAGTTCAGGTTTAAGACATAACTACTTTTGTAGAAAGCAAAAAACTCAACGTTCTTCTTAGGTTCATTAAGAAACCGTGACAATTCTATATTTCTTCTAGAGGAGTATTAAGATATCTTTTGGATAAGACAGAAACAGGAATTCCTGTTAACTCCTATATTTTTTGCACTAGCCATTGGTAAGCAATTGGGAGTTTAACCCCTTATCTGCTGTGGAAGAAGCCTTTGCTCACATTAGCATATATTCCAAAGAAGGAAAAAGGAAAATTTTTTTACATTTAGTTTTCAAAGCTAATATTTGTTAAGTACTCAAGAATGGATGAAGAAAAAATGTATAATATATATTCTTGTATGTTAAAATCAAAATATTCTGGTAGATTTATTTAAGAAACATTTATTGAGTACCTCCTAAGTACTGGGCCCTTCATGAAGTTTTGAGAATACTGAAATAAATAAAATATCATTTATATCATTAAGGAACTTTAAAAAGTTCAAATAAATCATAAATAAAATAGATATTTTACTATATAGTAGAATAAAAAAAGTAGTTATTACTATAGTGTATTTTGTACTATAATAGAGATCAGTATAGGATAATACATGAGCACAGAGAAGAGACACTTGGTCTATGAGAATCAGTTAATAAGCTCAATGTGAGTCGATACTTGAGCTAAGGTTAGGAAGAAGCAGGAGGAGCACTATATATTAAAAAAAACTCAGAAGTGAGAGAGTATATGATACATTTCATGTACCACAAGGAATCATATAGCTTCAAAGAGAATGATGGGACATTCCAGGAAAAGAACCTGTAAAGGTAGATTAGTATGGCTAAGTAGTTTGTACTATATCCTTTTCAATCAAAAGTTATTGAAGGATTATTTGTGCTTTGGAACAGTCTTCCTGACAGTGGGATAGAGATAGATAGGATACAGAACAATGTGAAATTGAGCTCAACAAATATATATTAAGAACCTATTTCATACTAAGCAATGTTCTAAGAGCAAGCAATATAAAATAACTGGCAACTATCCAGTTGCACTTTATGCACTTTAATATATGTATTGATATAAAATTATGTAGTTATATGATACATAAAATATCTATTAATATACATACTAAATGTATGCACATATATATTATACCTCAATTTTTTAAAAAAGTGAATGGCAGTCATTTCAAGCAATCAAAATGAGGACATAAATTAAGCATTAGAGATGAGTTGGGGAAAAGATTTAAGGTTTATTTAGGAGATAAAATGGAAAGCAGGGGTGCCTGAATGCAGGCCACATCTGAGGCCTGGTACCCTCTCAGATGGTGTCCTGGTATCTGGAATAAATTACTGGATTAATGGTGGTGCTGATGACTGAAACCAAGGATGGATAAGAGGGTACAAATTTGGGGTAGGGAAATAAGATCTATAATTAGGTTTTAGTTAATAGTTGTAGTTACCTGTGAGGCTTATAGGTGAAAATGCCAATGGATGGTTGTAAATTTGGATCTAGGCCTAGAAGAAGTTCTGAATTGGAAAGTGTAGATATGGAAGTAATGGATTTTATTGTATCCTTAAATGTGGATAACATCTCCCAGTTAAGAGTGTATAGGTTGAAAGAATATTTGAAGGACAGAAGTGGGAGATGGAGAAGGAAGGGAAGAAGATCAGTCACTTGGCCTCTGGAGATTCAGAACATAGGTTAAGCAATTTGAGACGCATAGGAAGAGAACTTGGAGAATACCAATATTTTACAGAATAGGCATAGAGAGGGAAAAATCATTAAGGAAACTAATAAAAACTACTCTACAAGGTAAGAAACAAATTATAGAAAAAGAATGTAGTATCATAGAAGGCATTAGAAAAGAGCTTCAAGAAGGAAGCACTGGTTAGCAGTACCAGATATCCAAGAAATCTAGTAAGATGACAACTGAGAAGCCAATTGCATTTGGCTATGTGGAGGTTACTGACATTTATGAAGGCAGTTAAGTTGAGTGGGAAGGGCAGATTGTAGTAGGCTGAGGAGAATTAGGGAATGAAGAAGTAAAGACAATATAAACCACGTGGTTAAAAGCTTGACTGTGCAGAAGATAAATAGAGTGATAACTAGTGAGGTTTTTGGTTTTTTGTTTTTTTTTTCTTTTTTTGGATGAATGAAACAATGTGGAAGAATATATAACATAGCAGAGAGAGAGGAGAAAGCCTGAACATAGAGTGAAAAAATAATTCATCATTCTCAGTAAACTATTGCAAGAACAAAAAACCAAACACCGCATATTCTCACTCATAGGTGGGAATTGAACAATGAGATCACATGGACACAGGAAGGGGAATATCACACTCTGGGGACTGTGGTGGGGTGGGGGGAGGGGGGAGGGATAGCATTGGGAGATATACCTAATGCCAGATGACGAGTTAGTGGGTGTAGCGCACCAGCATGGCACATGTATACATATGTAACTAACCTGCACAATGTGCACATGTACCCTAAAACTTAAAGTATAATAAAAAAAATAATAATAATTCATGCCTTTTTACAATCACATTACACAACAGCCAGAGTGATCCTTTTAAAAAGAAATATTTAAATGTTAATTATATCAGTCTCCTACTCAAAATTTTTCAGTGATTTCTATAAAATAAAAGCCAAAATTATGAACAAAATTAGCTGGACATGGTGGTATGTGCCTGTAGTCCCAGCTACCCAGGAGGCTGAGGTGGGAGGATTGCTTGAGCCCAGTGATCCTGGGAGATTGAGGGAGTTTGAGGCTGCAGTGAGCTGAGATCACACAACTGCACTCCACCCTGGTGACAGAGCGAGACCCTGGCTCAAAAAAAGTAAAACAACGAAAGTCCTTCCCATGGCCTACTAAGGCAGAGCCTAATCTGGCCCTTACCAGACAGTCCATTTATCTCCTACCACTCTATTCTCTCACAGCCTTTCTACCACATGGGCTTCCTGTTGTTTTTCAAATATATTCCTATTTCAGAACCTTTGCATTTACTATCCCATTTGGTTGGAGTGGTTTTTCTTTGGATATTTTCATGGTTTTCTCCCTTATTGTTTTCCTCCTTTATTGCTTTCAAGGGCAGTCTCTTCAATAAACAGTGCTAGGAAAACTAGATAACCAGATACAGAAGAATGAAAGTAGACCCTCATTTCTCACCATGTATAAAAATCAAATCAAAATGGATTAAAGATTATATATAAGACCTGAAACTATGAAACTACTAGAAGAAAACATTGGGGAAATGCTTTAGGACATCTGTCTGGGCAAAGATATTTTGGGTAAGATCTCAAAGGCACAGGCAACAAAATTAGACAAATGGGATTACATCAAGTAAAATTACACAACAAAAGAAACAATCAACAAAGTACAGAGACAACCTACAGAATGGGAGAAAATATTTGCAAACTGACAAGGGATTAATAAGCAGACTGTATAAAGAAAATTCAATAGCAAAACAACAAAAACAAATCAATTTTGAAATGGGCAAAAGATCTGAATAGACATTTCTCAAAAGAAGACATGCAAATGGCCAACAGGCATTTTAAAAAATGCTTACCATACTAATCATTAGGAAAATGGAAATCAAAACCACAATTTGATATCATCTCACCTGAGTTAAAATAGTTTTCTTGATTAAAATATTTGACAAAAAAATAACAGATGCTGGCAAAGAGGTGGAAAAGGGAGAACACTCATACAGTTGTTAATAACCAAAAGAGAGCAAGAGTGAATATATTAAATCAGAGACAACAGACTTTAAATCAAAAATTGTTCCAAACTGGGTATGGTGGCTCACACCTGTAATCCCATCACTTTGGGAGGCTGAGGCAGGTGGGTCGTTTGAGCACAGGAGTTTAAGACCAGCCTGGGCCAACATGACAAAATCCCATCTGTACAAAAAAACAAAAACAAAAAACACCAGGTATGGTGGTGTGCTCCTGTAGTCCCAGCTACTCAGGAGACAGGCAGGTGGATTGGTTGAGCCCTAGAAGTGGAGGCTGCAGTGAGCCATGTTTGCACCACTGCACTCCAGCCTAGATGACAGAGCAAGAGCCTGTCTCAAAAATAAAAGAACAAAACAACAAAAACTACTACAAGAGACAGGAAAGGGACATTATATAATGATAATGGGTCAGTTTATCAAGCAAATATTAACAGTTATATATGCATCATATGCCAGAGCTCCAAAGTATATGAAGCAAGCATTGACACTATTGAAGGAAGAAACATTACAGCTCTATGATAATAGTAGGAGAATTAAAGTATTATACTTTAAACACTTTAAATAATGGATAGAACAACTAGACAAAAGATCTGTATGGAAATAGAGGATTTGAACCACATTGTAGAGCAGTTGGACCTAACAGACATATGTAAAAACCCCAGCAACAACAGAATACACATTTGCTCAAGGGCATATGGAGCATTCTCTGGGAGAGGCCATTAAAAATGACTTAATAAATTTAAAAAGATTAAAATCATGCTAAGTATATTTTCTAATCACAATGAAATGAAACTAGAAGTCAGCAAAAGAAAAAGTGGGAAATTCACAACTATGTACAAATTAAATAACACTCTTAAACAACCAGTGGGTCAAAAAAGAAATCACAAGGGAAATTAGAATGAATATATATTGTGACAAATGAAAATGTAAATACAAAGTACCAAAACTTCTAGGATGCAGTAAAAGCAGTGAATAGAGAAATGTTTAGCTGTAAATGCATGTATTGAAGAAGAGAGATCTCAAATCAGTAACTTAACTTTATGCCTGAAGAAACTAGAGAAAGAACTAAACCCAAAACTAGCATAAAGAAGAAAATAATAAAAATGGAAACAAATATAAATAAAAAATAGAAAAACAATAGAGAAAAACAACGAAAACAAGTGTTGACTATTTGAAAAGATCAAGAAATGTGACAAACCTTTAGTTAGCTTGACTAAAAAAAGAGGGAAGACAAATAACTAAAATAAGAAAATGAGGACATTATTACCTACTTTACAAAAGTTAAAAATATCATAAAAGAGTGCTATGAACAATTGTATGCCAACAGATTGGATAAGCTAGTAAAACATCCTAGAAACACACTAACTACTAAGAATGAATCATGAAGAAAATGAAAATCTGAATAGACCTTTACCTAGTAAGGAGATTGAATCAGTAATCAAAAACTTCCCAACAACGAAAAGCCTAGGATGAGATAGCTTCACCAGTGAATTCTGCCAAACATTTAAAGCAGAATTAATACCAATCCTCTCAGTCTCTTCCAAAAACTTGAACAGTATGTAACACTTCCTTACCCATTCTATGAGGCCAGCATTACCCTGATACCAAAGACACTATTAGAAAAGAAAACTACAGACTAGTATCACTTATGAATATTTGCTATGGTTTGAATGTTTGTCGCCTCCAAAACTCATGTTGAAATTTAATTGCCAGTATAACAATATTAAGAAGTGGGACCTTTAAGAGATGATTAGGCCATGAGGTCTCTGCCCCCCATGGGCATAATTAATGCTGCTCCAAAACTGTCAGTTTGGCTGCTGCTGCCCTTTCTCTTTGCTCTTCAGTCACATGATACCTTCCACTATATGGAAGATGCTAGTGTCTTGGTTTTGGACTTGCCAGATACTGGTGTCTTAGTTTTGGATTTCCCAGCATCCAGAACTGTGAAGAAATAAATTTCTGTTCTTTATAATTTATCCAACCTCAGGTATTCTGCTATAGCAGCACAAAACAGACTAAGACAATATTGATGCAAAAAATCCTCAACAAAACACTAGCAAATCAAATCCAACAGCATATTAAAAGAATTACATATCATGACAAAGTGAGACTTATTCCTATAATGCAGTAATGGTTCAGCATACAAAACTAGTCATGATATACCATGTAATATACCACGTTAACAGGATTAAAAAGAAAAAACATGATCCTCTCAACTGATTCAGAAAAAGCATTTGATAAAATTCAACACTGTTTTAGGATTTTAAGAAACACTCAACAAACTAAGAATAGAAGGAAACGAACTCAACAAAATAAAGATCATCCAACATAGGAAAAACCCACAACTAGCATCATACTCCAGAGTGAAAGACTGAAAGCTTTTTGTCTACCATTGAAATAAGTCAAGGATATACTTCTATTCACCATAGTACTGAAAGTCCTAGACAGAGCAGTTAAGGAAGAAAAAGAAATAAAAGCCATCAAATTGGATACGAAGAAATAAAATTATCTCTGTTTGTAAACAACATGATCTTAAGTATAGAAAGCCCTAAAGATTCCACACCCAAAAAAAACCCACCTGTTAGAACTAATAAACAAATTCAGTAAAGTTACAAAATCAGCATGCAAAAATCAGTTGTGTTTCTATACATTAACAACAAACCATTTAAAGAAGACACAAATATATGGAAAGAAATCACATTTTCATTAATTGGACCCTTGCCTTTCTCCATATACAAAAATTAAAACAGATCAAAGACCAAATGCAAGAGGTAAAAACCATGAAAGACTTAGAAGAAATCTTAGGGGGAAAGGTTTATGACATTGGATTTGGCAGTGACTTTTTGCGTATGACACTGAAAACAGGCAACTAAGGAAAAAATAGTTAAGTTGGACTTCGTCAAAATTAAAACTTTTGTGCGTCAAAGGGCACTATCAACAGAGTGAAAAGGCAACCCACAGAATAAAAGAAAATATTTGCAAGTCATATTTGGTAAGAAATTGATATCTAGAATATATAAAGAACTACAGCTCAACAACAACAAAACCTGGATTTAAAATGGGCAAGGGGCTTTAGAGATTTCTCCAAGAAGTTATACAGATGGCCAATAAGCATATGAAAAGATGCTCAGCATCCCTATTCATTAGTAAAACCACAGTGAGATGCTACTTCACACCCATTGGTGTGGCTGTTATTCAAAAAAGCAAAATAAGTGTTGGCAAGGATGTGTAGAAATTAGAACCCTTATGCATTGCTAGTAGGAATGTAAAATAATGCAGCCATTGTGGAAAATGGTATGGCAATTCTTAAAAAAATTAAACATAGAATTACCATATGATTCAGCAATCCTACTACTCTTGGTTACATACCCAGAAGAAGTGATAGCAAGGACTCAATTGGATATTTGCACATTCAGGTTCAGAAAAGCATTTTTCACATTAGGCAAAAGGTGGAAACAACCCAAGTGTTCATAAGCAGATGAATGGATAACTGTAAGGTGGTATATACACACAACATAGTAGTATTTAGCCTTAAAATGGAAAGAAAATTGTACACGTGCTACAGAGTAGAACCTTGGAGATGTTATGCTAAGTTAAATCAGTCACAAAAGCAGAAATATTGTATGATTAAATTTATGTGAGACACTAAGAATAGTCAAATTGATAAAGACAGAAAGTAGAAGGGTAGTTGCCAGAGGTTGAGAGGGAGGAAGGAATGAGGAATTACTGCGTAATGGATACAGAGTTTCAGTTAGGAAGGATGAAAAAAGTTTCTGGAGGTAGATGGTGGTGATGGCTGCACAACAATGTGAATTTTTTATTTGATATATATTTTACCATATTTTTAAAAACTCTATTACAAAAAAAAGAATTGGTCTAGCCTAGATAATCTTAGTAGCCATGTTTTATTGCTATTCAACTTGTCACTCATCAATTTATATAAACTCACCAGCCTTTTACCACTTAGCTGTCTATACTCCACATCAGTTCTTCTCTCAGTGTTTCTTCCAGTTCACTGCAATTTGAGACTCAGAAGTTTTTCTTTGAGAAGTCAGTATGCTGTATCCATTAAGGAACATTCTGTTCAGGAAAGACATCTAAGTATTCCAAATTGATAAGGGAGGTAAAGACAAAACAGATAAGTGATTTTTAAAATATTATTGGCTTAAATTACGAAAGCACCACATGCTTATTTTTTTTAAAGTAAACAATTCAAGATGTACAGGATATAAAGTGATAGTCCTCTCCCTCACTCCCCAGGGCTATCCATTGTTAGTAATTGGGTATATATCCTTTCAGAGTATGAGAATCATATTTTTTCAAAAATGCAAGCATGCTAATCTGAAAAAGGTTTTAAATGTTTTAATGTCATCATCTTCATCACTAAGATTTGTTGAGGTTTGTTTGCCAGAGAGCTTTACAGTTATTTAATCCTTGTATAAATCTTATGAGGAAGTATTATTTTCATTTTTTGGATGAGGAAAATGAAGTGAGAGAGATGAAGTAACTTGCCCACAACCACATAGCTACTAAGTTAGTAGAATTAGTAGAGCTAGAATTTGCAAAAAATGTTTGACCACAAACTTCTTGTCTATAACTTCTCTGCCAAAAATTGTCAATAGTCTTTCAGGTTTGTACATATAAACCTACCTCATATCATGAATACCTGACAATACCTTGTACTACCCTTCCTTCTTAAAACACTATTTTTCTTTTTTTTGAGATGGAATCTCACTCTGTTGCCCAGGCTGGAGTGCAGTGGCGCTCACTTGGCTCACCTCTGCCTCTTGGGTTCAAATGATACTCCTGCCTAAGCCTCCTGAGTAGCTGGGATTACAGGCGCCCACCACCACGCCCAGCTAATTTTTTTATTTTTAATAGAGATGGGGTTTCACCTTGTTGGCCAGGCTGGTCTCGAGCTCCTGACCTCAAGTGATCTGCCCACCTCAGCCTCCCAAAGTGCTGGGATTACAGGTGTGAGCCACCATGCCCAGCCCTTACTTTCTATTCTTACATGAACCTTCTCATTTTTTCCTGTGGCTTGAGATATCTGTGACAATTAACTCCTAAATTTATATTCCTAGTCCAGACCTGCCCTCTGAACTGTATACCCATTTGTATCACTGCTACTTGGAAGGCATATTAAACTGAATATCCAGACCTGAACTTACATATTCACCATTTTTTCTCACCTGTACCATTGCAAGAGAGTAATGAGTTTAATAAGCTGCTGCGTGGAATAATACTACCTTTTATTTTCCCTAAATTTACTTCACATAAATTTCAAAGGATAATCTCTCCTCTTACCACTACTAGTGTCCTGCTACTGATCACGAAGTATATTTATTTTACCTGGCCTCTAAATTGTGTTTTTCTCTTTTAGTTCTAGACTAAATTTTCCATTGTTATGCCTAGGCCCTCTTGCCACCATGCTGTTAAATTGTTTTTTTTAGAACCTCTAGTCTTAAAACATGGCTCTTTTTAGCTTATCCTCTGGTACAGCCCTCATTCTAGACCATACTAAAATACCAGACAATTTCAGATACATGGAAGTAGCGCACTAATCTCAAATACACAGAAGCAGTCTTCTTCCCTTCAACATTTAAATTCATATTACTTCATAAATAAGAAAGGAAAATTAACATTTAATGAATGAGCGTATTCTACAGGTGTCACAGCCCTACAAAAGTAGACATTGTTAGCTTTATTTTCAAATGAAGAAACCTAGACTCAGAAATGTTGATTTTCCAATCTAAGTTGCAGAATCTATACTGAAACTAGGTTTATCAGACCGAAGACCATATTCGTTATACTAACCTAGCTAAGTCATAGCTCATTCCAGGTTTTCAAACTGTTTTCTTCCCATTGCTATGAATAACTTAATATAGTCTCCTCTCTCCTTGGATGAATCCTTACTTTGTGATTTATACATCTCTTTTTAGCAAGAGAGGCTAGAGCATAAAGTTTGCTATGAATATTTCCTTTACTCATCCTTCAATTTATCATGTGCCAGGGACATCATATATGCTAGCAATTAAAAGATAGAGCATTCACTTAAAGGGTTCACAGTCAAATACTGCTTATTCCATTTCTTGGCATGTGTAAGCATTCATACATACCCACACTAAGAGGTCTTCTGTTCATTCCAAGGTAGAGGAATCTTTTAATCACAATAGCCTCTGACCAGACAACTTTTACTATGCTTACAGAATAAGACAAAAGATTATTATGGAGAGTATAGGGTGGTAGAGTTGGTTTGGCCCCTGAATTGGTTATTATATAGGATACGCTATTACAGAGAGACTAAGAAATACAGTGCATAAATATAAAAGTTGACTTTTGTCTGTGCTTGGCACAAAGATTCATGTGAGTAATCCCAGCGCTTTGAGAGGCTAAGGCAGGAGGATTGCTTGAGCCCAAGAGTTCAAGACCAGCCTGGGCAGCATAGCAAGACCCTGTCTTTATTTAAAAATAAATAAATAGATAAATAAGTTCTCTCTTTTGTAGCAGTCCACAGGTGACTAGAACAGGGCTAGTAAGGCAGCTCTACCATTCTTAAAATATGGTTTCCCTCTCCCAAATCACAATGGCTGCTCTCCTCATTTCCTTGCCAGTGAGAAGGGGAAGAGAAGTGAAGAGCAGGCAGCTTTCTTTTAATGATGTTGTCCAGAATTTGTGCAGATGATTTCTGTTCACACCCTCTAGCCAGAACTTAGTCACATGATCACATCTAGTAGTGAAGAAGGCTGGTAAATATATCCTCTAGCTGGGTGACCATGTGCCGTGTTAAAACTCTAAGAAAGAAAGAAAATGGATATGGGGAATAATTAGCAGTCCTTGCCACATCTTTTGGCTGACTACGCCAAAATTGCCTGGAGAGTTTCAAGTATCACAAGACTCCATAATATGGAATTAAATATTTAATCAGTTTATTACTCATACCAAGTTACTTGTCATCAATTTCTGCCACTGTTCCATGAGAGAAATTTCTATTGCTTCTTTGACCATCTTTCCAAGAGTAGAATCAGTAATAAAATAATTAAAACATCTGAAACTGTTAAAACTGATAGCAATTTACAAGTCAGATTACCATAATCGTAAATGATTAGGTTATAGAAAACCTGCAGCTGGCCTCTCCTGCTTGTCCCAAGATTCTTTGTATTATGTAATTAGAAAATAGAAATCTCTTTGTTGAGAAGAGAAATTTGAAATGGAATTTTTCTCTTCTTGCCCCCTCTTGATTAAAAGAGAAAAACTGACAAAGTCTTACATAGAAAGGAAGCATTCTCCTTAATTCTAAAATTATTCAGATGCTATGATGTATTAACTGCTTTTTCTTTGTACCGAGAAGAAAAGTGAAGGATACATAATATTTAAAACCATGCAATTTGCTAAGCAAAGAGTCTTATTGACTTGCCAGTAAGGCTGAAGAGAAGGCCTAAAATAAGAGTAAATTTGACTGTGCCTTGTCTTTTTATCATAAGTTACAGATCTTCTCTAATGTTTTTCTGACAATAAATGTTAAGCGATAAGGACCGTTTTGTTGTCAGATTGCTTTACTCAAGAGCTAGTCTTGACCCATGTGAAATGTAAACCTTTAGCCTAAGGCTTATGCTACCTCTAAAAGCTTGTAAAACATATTTTAAAGGATTGCAAACGGCATAAAATACCTTTATTGTAGGTACTGTGTTAAAAAAAATCCTTCATTTTCACATAAAATGTAAATGGCCTCATTATTGTTTACCACTCTTTTTTTTATGTTTTTTTTCCCCCAACAACATATATACTCTATCCAAAGTGTTGATGGGGTAAAGCAGTTCATTCTGGTTTTTTTTCCTAATGAAGCTACTGGTATTAGAATAAAAGTGCTCCAGGTAGTTTCTGATCAAAGCTTTATTTCTTTGTTGTACATTGTCAGTACTTTGCCAGTAGATTCATTTTCCACGTTATCAGAATGGAAGATATTTGTATCCTTTCTTCCAAGGTTTTACTTCCAGAAATATGTCGTGTTAAAACTTTTAGTCAGGTATGTAGGATATATGTTCAAGGAGATTGGTTAATAAAGAATTAATGATATTCATTCAAAAATATATTGAGCAGCTACTATGTATCCGGAACTGCACTAAGTACTAAATCTACAATGATAAGCAAACAGACATGCTTGCTTCCTGCTTCATGGAATGGTGGCACAGTCTAGTAAAGCAGAGACTAATCAAACAATCTCACAAATATAGCTTGAAACTCTGATCAAAGTATCAAGAAGAAAGGTAAATTGCTATTAGAATGTCTGTTGGGGACTTGACCTAATCCAGCAGGTCAGAGAAGATTATCATTATATAATGATTTTTGAAAGGGCAGGTTTGGAGGGCTTTTTAAGTTCAAGGACCTGCATTGTAAAACCCATTGGCCTAAAAGAACTTAAAGTATAAGGGAAATAGTGCAATGAGAAGAGTCAGGGGCTCTTAGTAGGGACTTGGAGACCATATTAAGGACTTTCGGTTCTTTATTCTAGGAGCGTAAGGAGCCATTTAAGGTTTTTTGGGGGACAAGGGTGAGGGGTAGGGAAAAAGTATGGAGTAATATGATTACATGTGCATTTTGCAAAGAACACAGTGGCTACTAGAGAATAGGCTATTGCAGCAGTCCATTAAGGATGTGGTAATAGATTTAAGAGATATTAATAGTTGAGATTAAACTTGATACTTGGGGCCAGGCGCAGTGGCTCATACCTGTAATACTAGCACTTTTTTTGGGAGGCCCAGGCAGGCAGATCACTTGAGGTCAGGAGTTCAAGACCAGCCTGGCCAACATGGTGAAACCCTGTCTGTACTAAAAATACAAAAATTAGCCAGGCGTGATGGCGGGCACCTGTAATCCCAGCTATTCAGGAGCCTGAGGCAGGAGAATCACTTGAACCCAGGAGGTGGAGGTTGCAGTGAGCCTAGATCACGCTGCTGCACTCCAGTGAGCAAGACAGAGCTCCGAAAGAGCAAGACTCCATCTCAAAAAGATAAATAAAATTGATACTTGGTAATGGATTGGCTGTACAACAAATAGATGTCAAAGATGGTTACAGCTTTCTGTATAGATAAGAGCACCATATACTGAGAAAAGGAATACTAGCAAAGAACCAGACTTTTGGCGGGGTAGAGAGGAGAGATGAGAGGGAGTGGTAATTGGGGGAAATCATCAGTTTTGAATATTCTAAGTGCTTCCCCAGGAACAGTTGGCCACATAGATCTATAGCTTAGAAGAGAGATCTAAGCTAGAAGAAAAATTTGAGCTACTGGCATGGATGAGATTACCTAGGAAGAGAATATATAGCAAGAGAGGGCCTCAGGTGAGCTAGAGGTACTAATACGATGTGGCATAGTGGTTAGTTAGGGGCTTGGGCTTTGTATTCAGGCAAGCCTAGATTCAAATCTTAGCTCTACTATCTACTGGGAAATCTTAATAATTAAGATTAAAATTGATACTTGGGGGCCAGGCGCGGTGGCTCACACCTGTAATCCCAGCACTATGGCAGGCCGAGGCAGGCGGATCACTTGAGGTCAGGAGTTCAAAACCAGCCTGGCCAACATGGTGAAATCTTGTCTCTTCTAAAAATATAAAAATTAGCCAGGTGTGATGCGGGAGCGCTTGTAATCCCAGCTACTCAGGAGACTGAGGCAGGAGAATCACTTGAACCTGGGAGGTGGAGGTTGCAGTGAGCCTAGGCAGATTATTTTGTACCTCTTTAAGACTCAGTTTCCTCATCTGTAAAATGTGGGAAATAGTCTCCTGGGAAGGTTGGTTTAAGGATTAAATGAGATAAAGAAAATAAAACTGATTTTGGTACATAGTATTAAATGAAATTATCACATGATGATAATGTGTTGCTGAGTTGAAAAATTTGGTTGCGGAATAGTTCTCATTTGTAAAAAAGTGTGATACGTATACACACATGTATACAGGAGTTCTGAAAGGGTATATACCAAAATGTCAATAGCAGTTACCCTTGAGGAAAAATGGAAGGCAAAGTAAGGGATGATACTGCCATGTTTTACTTTGTACATATCTGTACGTACTTGTACATTATTTTTGTTCTGTTGGTGGTAGTCGTCATTTTGTTATTTGAATTTTTCAACAAATGTGCGATTTTTATAACTATAGCCATTAATCTTTAATCGTTTAGTCCATTTTGTCTCTTTGTAAACTTCGAACAATCAGGTGTTGGTTTTTTGTTTTGTTTTCTTTGCTTGACAGAATGTTTTTGATTCAATGGAGATACCATACTGATTTCTCGTGAAGAAACACCTGAATCCTAGGTTACAACGAACTAGAAAAATGACTGAGAGATCTGGCTTCGGTGATAACCAGAGCTTTTGTTCATAAACATGTGCTACATGCTCTGTGTCTTAGTCCATTTGCACTCTATAACAAAATACCTTATACAAGGTAATTTGTAAATAATAGAAATTTATTTCTCACAGTTTTAGAGGCTGAGAAGTCCAAGATCGAGGCTCCAGCAGGCTTGGTGTCTGGTGAGGGCCCAGTCTCTGTTTCCAAGATGGCACCTCATTGCTGCATCATCTAGTGGAGATGAACACTGTGTTCTCATATGGCAGAAAGGATGGAGGGCAAAAAGGACTGAACTCTGTGTGAAGCCCCTTTTATAAAGGCCTTAATCTTATTCATGTGGGAGCAGCCCTTATAACTTAATACCTCCTAAAAGGCCCCACTTCTTAATACCATCACAATGGGGATTAAGTTTCAACATGAATTTTGGTGGGGACACACATTCAGATCATAGCATTTCACCCCTGGCTCCCCCAGATTTATATCCTGCACACATACAAAATATATGAGATAAATGCACGTGATACACATTTATTCCATCCCAAAAGCCCCCAAAAGACTTACCTTGTTCCAGCATCAACTTTAAAATCTAAAGTTTCATCTTAACACTATCTAAGTCAGATACGGAGATGAGACTCAAAGTACAATTCATCCAGAGACAAATTCCTCTTCAGCTGTGAGCCTATGAAATTATACAGTTATATGCTTCCAAAAGACAATAGTGGGACAAACAGGATAGATATTCCCACTCCAAAATGGAGCAACAGGAAAGAACAAAGGGCTAACAGGTTCTAACCAAATCCAAACACCTCAGATAAACAACAAAAAACTCAGTAGGGCAAACATTAAACCCTGAAGCTTGGGTGTAGTCTTTTACTCCCATTTCTCATTTTCTGGACACACTGGGGTGGAAGTTGGACCCCCAAGGCTCCAGGCAACCCTACTTCATCACATTGCTGGCTGCATTTCTTGTGTGTTGGAGTTGCATGCCTTTGGGTCTCCCAGCCTGGAGTTGCACCCTGGTGGCTCTACTGGTCTGGGGTCTTGGGATGGCCCTGCCTGGGCAACTCCACTAGGAATTGCCCTGATGGTGACTCTCTGCATTGGCCTCACTCCCACGGCTGTGGATATTATTTAGATACCTTGCTCATTGTTAAAAACAGGAACTAATATTTCCAATGAGCATATCGCGAGACAAATACTTTATATATTCTGTGTCTTTCAATCCTTCAGGTAAGTATAATTTTCATTTACAGAGGAAGAAACCAAAAGCTCAAAGAGGCAAGTAAATTAATCAGGACCGAAACACAGGATTGTAAAATAAAAATAGTTTGTCATAGTTTACCATTTGGCATGCTGAGAAATTGGTGGCAGCACTGTCACCTAAAAGTAGATAATTAGATTGGAAATCTGATCTGTCAAATTGCAGATCTTCTAGATAAATCTTGGTACTGGAGGGTGGGAACGTACAGGGCTTATAACCTAGTAGGCAGAAAATGGTTGAAGAAAGACTTGTGTAAGCCAGGATCTCTGGGTTGCTGATCCTGTTTGATCTCGTACTATTTAAAGAAAACTCAAAATTGAAGTTGATTCTTAGCTTACCAAAATTTCAAGATGTATTTTAATTAGATTGTGTCTAATTAGTTTCTATCTAAAGTGCTATGTATTAGGATAATTAATATTTAATTATCTTCCTTCATGAACTGTAGAGCTTCCTATGGAGAGCATTTGTGGTAGCCACGCAAATCCTTTAGTAAATCTTTCATTCTCTTTATTAACCTTGGAATAATTTGAAAGGTTTTTGAATTGGGACTATTTCTTTTTTTTTTCAATCCACTCAACATTTATTAAATTCCTTAATAAATCATTGGAGGAAAGCAGTGATATTTTTGAGAATATTGCAATTAATTATTGAGGATGAGAAGAAATGTTTGACTTAGGATATTATAGATAACTTAAGGGCACTTAAACTTTTTTTCCCCTATGTAAGAAATAAGTGCCTTGGAAAATACAAAAAAAAAATGTTCAATACCAGCAATAGGAAACAATTCAATTTATGGAACTCTATTTTAATATTTATGATACTCATGGAAATTTAAACATCTATCTACAGAAAATTATAGGAAATATGCTGCCTTAGTTTTGAAGAGGAAATACTGAAATTTTGCCTGGATAAAAGGGCAATTTTTAAAATAAACTTTTTGCTTTGCTTATCATAATCCAGAGTATGGGCAACCATTTTTGATAAATTTAGGATGTGTGCTATATTTGATCACCAGTGTTTTAAGTTTTACTTTTGAACACTAAGAAAGAATACAAAGTTAACCTTATGGGCCAGGCATGGTGGCTCATGCCTGTAATCCCAGCACTTTGGGAGGCCAAGGTGGGAGGATCACTTGAGCCCAGGAGTTTGAGACCAGCCTGGGCAGCATAGTAAGACCCTGTCTCTATACAAATAACATAATAATAAAATAAAAAACAAAGTACCTTATAGCACAAGTACCTAAGTACCTGTTTACCTCTTTAGATGCTGGTAGACCACTTGTTTTGCTAGTCTTTGAAATTGGAAGGAGTGTCAAATACACAGAAGCCAGAGTCATCTTGGCCAGATGGTGTTTGATACAGATGGATGGTTAGTTGTCATGCAGATCTCCTAGTTGGTAACTTGTTGCTGCCATCTGACTCAAAGAATCATTCACACACACTGGCTGTCAAAAGCATCTTCTTTTCTGTCTGTTTTAGCTGTCATGTCTGTGCTCTGTACAGAAGTGTTGACAAGACATTGCTGTTGTACATTTTCAATGTGGTTGTTAGTGAGTTTTCTGTTTCGTGGGGTCTTTGATAGTGCTAGAATGTACTTGCTTTGTAATTGTATTTTAAAAAAATACTATGACTGTGCAACAATAATCTGACCTTGTAAAAGGACTTTTCTGGTTTTAAGTTTAGGCAGATATGTTCTGTGAACAAAAGCATTTAATCAAATGAAAAAAAAAAGACTAGTTTCATTTACTTTCCAAATAGCAAATAAACCAAGTTCTACTGGTTATTTCCCAGTTTGATGTAATATTTCCTTTTGGTCTTTCCCTCTCATAGTCTGTGGTCAAAATCTTTGTACTTTTTTCTGAATATGCATTTTCTCAAATTACTACCTTTTTTCTAACGGTATAAGCTTCCCTTTTTAAAAAAAAGAATCTTCAAACATTACCTATCTTTTGCATCCGTTTTCTCAAACTTAGTTTCCCTTTGTCGTATTTACCTACTGACCTTGTTTCTGTTTTTAGTGTTTCTAGAGAAATATAAGCAAAAGCATTCCTCCATTCCTTCAGATCATTTCTGAAAGCATATCTGTTCCTCTGATATTTCTTTTTTTTTTTTTAAGTGAAAGCAAGTTTATTAAGAAAGTAAAGGAATAAAAGAATGGCTACTCCAGAGGCAGAGCAGCAGCATGGGTTGCTCAACTCTGATATTTCTTTAACAAGTTAATTAGTTTGTTTATTCAACTAATATTTACTGAGCATCCTAATATGTGCCAGGCACTCTGTAATACTCTGGAGATATCAGGAGGAAATACTCTCTACCCTTGAGGAGTTCAGTCTAGAGGGAAATCAGACATTAGACAATTAGACTAGAATATTATAACTGCTAAATACAAGTATGTGAAAAGTGTAGGAGGAAAACATGGACTCTTGCTGTTCTGTTTCCCTTACTATACTTCCAGAGTGTTGGTTTTTAAAATTATTGTAGACTTTGCTCGACCTTTATAATACTTTATTAAGTAGCTTAAGAAGTAGTTAAAACTTCAATTTGAAATAGCCATTGATCCATTAATTTTTCTTAGCTATTGAATACATTTTCAGGATTATTTATTTATTGTAATATCTTATATGCAGATGTGCTAAAGTATGTTTTTTAAGCCAGAGAATAGAAGATAAAAATTAACTGGCAGAAGCTTTCTGAGTTGGTTTCAAAAGAAAATATATGGTTTCTTCATTAAGGTGGGAAAAAAAGACATAGAGACTTAAATAACATAGGCATTTATTCTGCGCCTGTCTCTAACTTGCTAAGTTTTTTGGACTGGTTACTTAATCTCTGGACAGTATAATGTATATACCTATCAAAATAAAGTGAAAAAAATAGGTACTTATTGATTGATGTTTGTGAAGAACTTTGAGTTCTTGGAGAAAGCTTTAATTAGCGCAGAAATATATAGAGAAGACTGTAACTTGTTTGCTGATTCTTCAGCCCTGGTGGTGCTCTGTAGCCCAAGTAAATCTAAGGTATTTAGAATTTGCTGTAGATTTTTGGATCCTTCATTCAGTCAGCTTACCACACTGTTTCTAGGGGGTTGGGTGTGAATTTATACAGGAATAAGATGTCTTATCCTGGGAAGCCAGGCCCTAGACTAGACTTGGGTATCAGTGATCAGTTCTGAGACGTATTCATTGGACATGCACTTCAGGTAGACCTACATGATTCATTCTTCTGTTCACAATAATAAAATGTAATTGGAATCCGTATTTCCTTTTTTAATTTTTCAGTGAACATATACTGAACATCTCCTATGTATAAGTTACTTAATCCATATGAATTCTGTGGGGAATGTGAAACTATGTAAGACTGCCTTTAGGCAATGTGCAAAGACAATGTACCACATGGGTTGCTTATCAGCTTTGTCAGTTATTCATATTTGGAGTGTATTACTTATAAAAGTTCACCTTTCATTTGGGAAAATGTAGTATTTAGCTCTAATTTCTTTTTTTTTTTTTTTTTTTTTTTTTGAGACAGAGTCTGGATCTGTTGCCCAGGCTGGAGTGCAGTGGTGTGATCTTGGCTCACTGCAAGCTCCGCCTCCCGGGTTCACATCATTCTCCTGCCTCAGCCTCCCAAGTAGCTGGGACTACAGGTGCCTGCCACCACGCCTGGCTAATTTTTTGTATTTTTAGTGGAGATGGGGTTTCACTGTGTTAACCAGGATGGTCTCAATCTCCTGACCTCGTGATCCACCTACCTCAGCCTCCCAAGCTTTAATTTCTTAAGCTAATTTATATTTGCTAATCTATGAACAGCTATGTAATTTATTAAAATTTTTAAGTTTATTGGTCTCTGAAAATAATAGAGCTTCACTAATTTTGAACTTTAAGAATCAGTTTAAAGTGAAATATCTAGTATCTACTGAAGATCATTCTGAGATTATTAGAACTTCATTTTCATTTTATATTTCAAGGAATTTGCAACTTAGTCATTATTTATTTATCCCTCCAGGGATAGAAATTGGTTAAAAAAAGAGTTCTCTGCTATTGTTTGGTGATACGCTTTTAAGACTGTACTAATTTGGTAATTGTGATACAACAGTTTCAAATTTGCTTGAATGTTTGCAGCATCTGTATTCCTCAGTACAAACTTGTGTCTTTTTTCATTGCTTTATTCTCACAGTCACTGCAATAACATAGCAAAATTAATGGATTAACAATATAAGGGAAACTGGCATTTAAGACACCAAAGGTCAACTATATTCTCTTAATTTCTTAAAACTTAGTGGAGAAGTTTCTGGTCAGTATAATTTTATAATTTGCATTTGTCCCTTTGATTTGTATCAACACTTCCTTAGTGTTTGTGTACTCTAAAAATAAATTTAGAAGTGTGTTTATTTGAAAGACACAAAATCTTAATTTTTTAAGTTAGTATGTATTTTTAAAGAATCACTTTAATATAGCATCTGTTGTATCATTTGTGCTTTTTTTTTTCCATTAAGGAATAAATGCTAAATTACAGTTTTGATCCTTACTGAAGGATCAGGAAATCATAGATTGAATCCTTGACTGAAATGTCTTTAAATAAGTTAATCTTTAAAACTTCTGCGGTGCTTTAAGTGTCTTGAATCACTGATGTTTGTAACAATTACAAGTACATTCCTGGAGCCAGTTTGTATCTCATAAATCACAATACCTGCAAAATGACAATGTGGGCAACTCATATCTATTTATATTATCAATGGATGGTAAATATATGTTCATGTCTATCAGTGAATATCAGGCTAACTGGTTTTTATGTCAGCAGACTGAGAACTATGAGCAGAGAATACGTGAACAACAGGAACAGCTGTCACTTCAACAGACTATTATTGACAAGCTAAAATCTCAGTTACTTCTTGTGAATTCCACTCAAGGTATGTTCATGTTAATTTTTTATGTATTTCTAGAACCTCTTGGTGAAAAGAAAGGTGTAAGTTGAGTTTTTCTATTTTATTCCTTCGTTGTTTCTCAATAGTTTTGATATTATAACTGTGGTACAGTTATATGTTATGTTTATTTAAATGAACACTTGCAGGATATGGGAAAGTGGACTTTCACATATACTATACTATATGGTAGAACTCTAAGTTTATAAAACTTCCTAAAAAGCAATTTGCCAGTAAATAGCAGCAAAAGCTTTTGAAAACATCTATGCCTTTTGAACCAAAAACTCAAGTCCTAAGACTATATCATAAGAAAATATTTGTTCAGGTACTCAAAAATATATATGCGAGGATGTGTATCACAGTATAATGTCTAATCATGGAAAGCTAGAAACAAATATTCAGTAGTTACACTGATCTATATGAATAGCTATGTAGCCAAGAAAAGTGATGATAATAGGTATTAACTTGTAAGAATATGTGGACGATATATAGCAAAATGAACAAAGCAGGATACATAAATAAGTGTTTTTTTCATTTATGCAGAAAAAGGTGATTCTTGTGTGAAGTTATATGTATAGGAAAAGAAGAATTCTGATAGAATATATAAACCAAAATATTAACTGGAATAATTCACAGGTGATAAAAATTTGGGTAGCATTTACTTTTTATTCTTTTTGGCTGTCTGCATTTTCTAATTTTCCCATAATAAGCATGGAGTCATAATACAAATAATTATCTTAAATAAGAAACGCATACCTGAAAATGTGAATATAAAAGTTGAATTGTTGCTGACAGATGCAAAGAGCATATTTCTAGTTTTCTAAATTCTGCATATTTTACATACTGCTGGCTTTTGGAGAGCAGGGGTTTTGTGTGTTTGTTTAGTGGGAAGGAAAAAATATAAATGGACAACTTGTCAAAGTAACTATTACCTAAAGAATTTTCTAAAACTCCTACCTTAAAATGTATTCTCTTTATGGTTTTGAGTTTGTATTATTTTTTGCTTTTTCAGGTGGTACCAAAAATAAGGGTTTTCTGCTAATGTCCAAGAGGTTTTTGTCTTGCAGATAACAATTATGGCTGTGTTCCTCTGCTTGAAGACAGTGAAACAAGAAAGAATAATTTGACTCTTGATCAGCCACAAGATAAAGTGATTTCAGGAATAGCAAGAGAAAAACTACCAAAGGTAGACATTGCTTCTGCAGAAAGCAGCATTTAAATGCTGATGCGTGACATAGCTTCCTCATTTTATTTTTCTGAAGTGATCTGCTGGAATTCCAAACAGAAGTTCCATATATACAAATATGTGGCTTAAATATTTCTAAATAGAAGAACTATTTTCAAGTAAAATAAAGGCTGAGGTTTTGTATTTCCTACTGACCGTTTTTCTACATCACAAGCATTTCAACAAAGAAAACATTTAACAAAGAAATAGGGCTGGACACACTGACTCACTCCTGTAATTCAAACACTTTGGGAGGCCAAGGAGGGAGGATCACTTGAGCTCAGCAGTTTGAGACCAGCCTGGGCAACATAGGGGGATCCCTATCTCTATAAAAAATGAAAAAATTAGCCACGCAGAATGGCACACGCCTGCAGTCCCAGTTACTCAGTAGGAGGATTGTTTGGGCCTAAGAAGTCAAGGCTGCTGCAGTGACCCATGATCATGACACTGCATTCCAGTTTGGGTAACAGAGTGAGACCCTATCTCTAAATAAATAAATAAATGAATTAATGAATGAATGCCACATACATATGTACATATATGTGTGTGTGTGGTGTGTGTGTGTATATATATAAACAATGAAATAAAAGATTAAAATCAGGTAAATAATAAGACACAGATTAGATAATAGCTTTCTAGCTTTTTCTTCAATAGTCTGTGCTTAGTTTAAAAGAAAAATACACCCAACTAGCTTAAGCAAGACTCTATTGAAGTAATACAGAAAGAAATAGTACATATCTGCAAGGAGACATATACAAGGACGTTCATGCCATGGGTTAGAAACAACCTAAATATCCACCAATAATAGAATAGTCCATCTTTAGAAACTCTTTAGAAAAATTAAAATATACTAAATATATATTAATTTGCCTAAATTTCAATAGCAATGTTGAGTAAAGATGGAAATTACAAAATGATAAAATGGGAATACTTTATGTAGTTTGTTGTTGTTGTTGGTTTTGTTTTGTTTTGTTTTTGGATTTTTTTTGGAAATGAAGTCTTGCTCTGTCACCCAGGCTGGAGTGCAGTGGTGCAATCTCTGCTCACTGCAACCTCCACCTCCTGGGTTCAAGCAATTCTACAGGCGCATGCTGCCATGCGTGGCTAATTAGGATACTTTATGTAGTTTTTAAAACATAACATTAATGTTTGTGAAAACACAAATATGTAATAAAAGTATAAAAACCTGTACAGGAAGGGCACACATCTTCTTTAGAAAAACGATCACCTCTAGAATTGGGGAGAAAAGAGACTGTGATATCTGAAAAAGGAATAATGAGGGCTTCAGCAGTTATATCTGCAACTTTTTTTTTTAATAGAAGAGAGCCAAGCAAGTATGCAAAATGTTAACACTTGTTAACTCAGTAGTATATGTATGTATATTATATTGTTCTCCATGTTTTCATAAGTCATTGAAATTTTATAAGTTTGAAAAGGATATTTTTAATGAGATGAGTTGGCTTTTAGTGGGACGATACATATTTTGAATAAAATACGAACTCCTAGCAAATAAGGTTTCTTAACATCAACAAGAACAATTAAATCAAGAGTGCTATATTTATTTCTTTCCTTCTAAATAAAGTAGGAGATTTTCACTTTGTTAGGGTTATTCAGTTACTGATTGCATAACTAAGACTATCTTACTATTTAACATCAAATCTGAGAAATCCAATTTTGAGAGCTTTTTTCTATAAATAAAAATTTTAGAATAAGAAGTTCTCTTGGTACCCCTTAGTACATATATTTTTATTTTAAACCATTCTTTGAGTCATTCAGTTTTCTTCACCCCCATTCGAATTTTCATTTATCTAAAAATGCTGATAAACACAGAAACCATGGCAATGAAATATACTAGGTTTATTTTGCAAAAGAGGAAATTGAGAAACAATGATTCTGACTTTTTGGAATGCAATTTTTTTACTAGGCCTATTGTAGTACATTATAAAATTGTTGAATTACTATACTGACATAAATTTAGTGCTTAAATAAACAATATTTCTAATCTTCCTCTTTCAATGTCTTCCAAATGCCATTACTTAACTGCAAATTTAATAATAATTTATAGCATTCCTTTGAAAGTAATAGAATATCTCCAGTTTAAAGTATGTAGAAGGTAGTTTTGAAAATAAAACCTTGGTTAGAACAAAAGGGATGATGTGAAAAGTTCTAAGATATAGTAATAGTTTTGTTTTTTTTAATTTGGATAATTTGTTATTTATGCAAGTTTTAGAGTTTATTTTCAGTCAATAAGTATCAAAAGCAGACCTTCAATGGAAATCTTTTTAAAAATTATATTTGTTTAAATTCTGTAAGCTAAGTATTTTATCTGTGAAATATATATTTGGATACCTGGGATGAAATTAAGTTTAAGTAACAGAAATCATTTCAGAGATAGCCTGTGTGCAAAGAGTGAATAATATTACATCAATTATAACTATATTTTTGGGCAGACGGTAAGAGGAAAAGCTCCAAGTAAGGAATAAACCTAACTTCAGCGAGTTCTCTTAATTATCTTTACTAATAGGGGAAAGGTTTATGTTTTAGCCACATTTTTATACTTTGAATAGTTCATCAACTCAATTTTCTTTGTAACCATTTAATAAAAATAAAAATTAACTGTCTTGCAGTTCAGCTTTCTCTTTTTTTATGTATCTCTAGCCAAAGTGCTAATGAGCACTAAACGTATAAGGGATTAAAGAAAAGAGAAAATATATTGTAAAAGAATGGATAAATTAGATTTATTGAATATTTGAGAGTTGGCTGTGTGCTTAGTGTAAAAAATTAGGCCTATGTTAGAAAAAATACTGGCCCATCAAGCAATGGAAATTAAAATATGTTCCATTGGCCTATGTGTTGATCTATACTTAGTGAGTTATAATTCACCTTTAGCTAATACAGGTGAAACCTTTCCTAAAGAACTCTGAATATATGGTTATATTCAAGCTTCTTCCACAATGAAAAAAATCCATGTCTGTTGCAGTTTTTTAAAAGTATGCACCCACATGGATGAGAACTGGAAGGCATTATAGAGAAATGGTTAAGGTGATGGTATGATTCTTTTTTATTCTATTTTTAATATACTTTAATGGTCTTCTGCAAAACTAACCTATTTCTAGAAATCACATTCCCAATCAATTGGCCTAGCTTCTATAATGAATTAGTAAGTTAATAGAAATGCTTTGAACCAGTAACAGAAGGAAGCCACTACGAGCCACCCACAGTGCTTTCCTCCTTCTGTTTGGTGGGTGGTTTGAGGATTTGTTTTCTTTAGACAATTTGTTTTGTTTAGGATTTTGTTTTGTCAGGATGTTTGAGAAGGGAAAGACTTGTGGACATTTTGGCAAATAGCCACTCTGGCTGCCTTGGAAAAAAGAGACACAAAGTAGAGGCAAGAGGGATATTTGAAGGGGAAAGAGGCCCTTTTAGAAAATTTTACTTAAGAAACATGAAATTTATAGTTCAGTCTCTATTCATGTTATTCCTACACAAAAAGAATGCAAAAATCCTTTGACTTCTAAAGGGACAGAAAGAGGTAAAGACAAAGCCTCTATCATTAGATGACCCTTAGTACTCTGCTTGAGACAGTAGGGAAGGAAATACTCAGTTTAATGGAAAACCTTAGTTTTGTCTTTTGTACACCACAGTAATTTGCACAGTCCTTTGCATTATCTATCATATTATTCCAGACTTACCCCAAAACTTAGGGCTTAGAACGACAAATTTACCTGAGTTTCTATGGGTCAGAAATTCACCCAGTGACTTACCTGGGTGGCCCTGACTCAGGGTCTCTTATGTTGAAGTCAGGATGTGGACAAGGACTGCAGTCATCCGAAGGCTTAACTGGTTGGAGGATCCACTTCCAAGATGAGTCACTCACATGACTGTTGGCAGGAGGCCTTTCCATATGAGCCTCTCTGCACAAACTGATAGCTAACTTCACTCAAAGTAAGGGATCTGAGAGAGAGAAAGGTGCCCTCTGTGACGTAGTCTCAAAGTCACATTCCTTCACTTCCACTTAATTTTGTTCATTAGAAGCAAGTCACTAAGTAGTGGGGCAAGAAATTAAGCTGCACCCCTTGAAGGGAAAAGTATCTAAGTTTCATAGATATATTTTAAAAGCAACACAGGTATTGTAGATTGTGGTGTACAGAAGAGGATGTGAAAGATCAAGAGACAAGGGGGCTGATACTTAATTTACCTTATGACAAATATTGATGAAACGTAAGGGAACTTAATATTCACTTAATAGTGAATTAAATTCCTGAATTATGTGATTATTAATCCTAAAGGGAAAAAATATCATAGCCTGTCATCTGAAGAACAATTTCAAAAATTCTAATATGAATATACTTTCCAGAGGAGAATAATAGCAATGCTTAGAGAACTAAGAAATTGTTGCATATTACTAATTCTTTTTTATAATGTTAAAAACTGAAAATGCAGATAGGAAATCAGATAACAAAAATGCACACAATTATTCTTGACAAAGACTATTCATCTCTTGTTTACAGAACACCATTTTCAGACATAGTAACTTATGTCCATGTTAGCAGTTACTATTTAAATAACAAGTTTTGTATTTGTGTAACAAATATAAAGACATTCTATAAAAATACAAAACTATAAATTGTCAGTTTAATTCACTTTTTTAAAAACCAGGATTGTAATGTACTGTGTCACTTATATAATCTCAGAAATGAGATTTTTATAATTTGCTTCTGGGAAATAGTTTGGTTGCCAAACTAAATACTATCTTGAGTGTCTAGGTTTTGACAGAAATTGTTTGCCCTCATCTTTCTATGCTACTTTTTGTTCCTGTGGAGAATTATACAAAATTCTCCGGTGGTTTGATGCAAGAAAATATGTAGAAAGCAATAATATAGAAGACAAAAAATTTGGTGATATTGGTAAATTATTTTTCTTCATTTATCCAGTAATTCTGAATTCATGATGTATACTTAACACTGCCAACCACTGGAGAGCAAAGAGATGTTGTCCCTGTCTTCTGGCTTAAAGTCTTGATTTAATAATTAACATTATTGAATGTTGAAAAGTTATTTCAGATTCTAGGATCCAAAATATGAAGTGAACATGGTATGAGTTCACTAATTAAATAGAGTTTATGTGTTCTCATGTCTATATATTTCTAATTTGTTCTTTAAACATGTCTTTATTTTTCATCTGAGTTAATCAAAAACTCAAGTAAATGACGAGTGCAGTTACTGAAAGATGTCAGTTAAACAGTTTGCAGATTTCGAATATAGCTATCATTGTGATTAGATCAGCAGATATGGTGGCTTTGAGGAACAAGAAAGATTTTTTAGGTTTAGAATAGTATAAACAGTGATATAGCTGTGGAGCTGGCAATTGCAAGCAGTAAGATGTGCTGTACCTGACAACTTCAAGTAAATATAGAAGCTCTGACATATTTGAAGAAAGCTGTTGTCTAAAAAGTCATTTGTCAATCACTTACACAAGAAGTAGTTATTGAACTCCTATTTGCCAAGCCTTGCTAGTCATTAACAGAAATACAAAAAACAAAACACAGCAATAGCAATAGTATTGTAATAGACAACATCTATCCCCTTTAAGGATATAGTCTGGTTGGGGAAATGACAATATGGAGACCTACAGCAATTAGCAAGCATTATAAAATAATGTAAAGTCCTAATTATATAACAAAATGAAACCCCGTCTCTACTAAAAATACAAAAATTAGCCGGGCGTGGTGGCAGGCACCTGTAATCCCAGCCACTTGAGAGGCTGAAGCAGGAGAATTGCTTGAACCCGGGAGGCGGAGGTTGCAGTGAGCTGAGATCACGCCACTGCACTCCAGCCTAGGTGACAAGAGTGAAACTCCGTCTAAAAAAAAAAAAAAAAAAGAAATTCTAACTATAATTTTATGGCACAGATAAAACATTTAGGACCTTAATTTAAAAATTAAAATTCTCAGTGAGCTTAAGATAGGCTTGATCAAGGGCCCAAAGTTTAAGTTCAAATACAGAAAAGAAGACAAGTTCTTACTTGCCTTTATCTTGGTTATGTGTGCATAGATAAGTAAAGTTAAATTTTCTACAAGACTTTGATGGAAAAAGGATAATTTCTAGACAAGAGCCAGAATTATTCTAGGTCACTTGGGAGAGAATATTATGTATGTAAACTGAAAGCTAAAACTGAGGGTTTTGAATGAGCCATTTCATTTACCATAACCATTTTTAGTTGACATAATCATGGCTTCAGAGGAGAAAGTGCTTTCTACCTTTTTCTTAACTTTATTCTATAGACAGTCCTTCAGTGAGCGGCATTTACGCATGGTCTGCTTCTTCAATTATGTATAGCAGTTTTGGCAGGCAGTACATGAACTTGAACTCTGTTTTGCTTTCTGATCTTCTGTAGCTAATAAAATCCTAATCTCACAGGTCTAGGTCTTAGATGGCATTCCCATCCTTACACTGTTCATATCTTATATACACTGGACTTCAAGTGCAGTGCCCACTTAGGGATCTTCGTCTGAGTTTTGGGCCCCTGTAGCTTCTCTCAACACTCCAGACACTTTCTGTTGCAAGTCCCTTAATCCACATTTGTTTGTTAAGTTGCTGTATGTTGTCCAGGTACCTGGTTTTATATTCATTGTAAAAGCTTTAAAATGGTTTATAGGTAAATGATAAATATGTTTTTCATCATTTGAACAAAAGCTAAAAATTAGGCCGTTAGTCAACATATTTAGCTACTAAGTGATTTCTATGGAAAAGCCAAATCTCATTTACATCATCTAAACACATAGCACCTCTTCTAAAAGAGGAACTTGAAATAAATGTAATTGCATGTGTTTGTTACTCAACTTTTTAAAAATTTGCCCCTGAATTCCTTTAATGTTTAATCTTTTCTATCTTTTATCATACAGAAATGGTGATTATGCACACTGTACAATGGCACAGGCCAATGTAGGCTGGGGCTTAGAGAACTGGAGAAAAACGTGTTTGTGTGTAGTACCTCAGGTACTCCTTGCCTTGCAGTCCAAAGCAAATGTACCGCTTCTCCTGGTTTTCTTTCTAGAAACTGCATTATATATACCCTATTTTTATATATAATGCTTCTGTATTACTCCTCTGGAGACTAGCCTTTTTTATAGACTTTCTGGTAGAATGTTAATTAGAAAGGAAAATAACTATCTTCAACCAATTTATTCATTAAAAGTTCAGTTTTTTCCAAAGAGTCATAATACATAAACTTTTTTTTTTTTTTTGAGACAGGGTCTCATTCTGTCACCCATACTGGGGTGCAGTGACACCATCTCGGCTCACTGCAACCTCCACCTCCCAGGCTCAAGTGAATCTCCTGCCTCAGCCTCCCGAATAGCTGGGATTACATGCACACACCACCACACCTGGCTAATTTTTGTATTTTTAGTAGAGACGGGGTTTCACTATGTTGGCCAGGCTAGTCTCAAATGCCTGACCTGAAATGATCCACCTGCCTCGGCCTCCCATAGTGCTAGGATTACAGGTGTGTGCCACTGTGCCTGGCTGATACACAAACTCTTAAGAAAACAAATATTGATATCCAAAACATTTTAATAATTACATTGAAATTTTCTATTGCAGAAACTGTGTTTCCAATCTAAATTATTAATTAATCCTAACCCTTTCCTGCTCTGGGTTTGTGTTTTTGAATTCAGTACATCATCTTACAGTTTTTGCTTTTGTTAAAATACTGGAAATAATTTTGAGGAAGAAAAGAAAATAAGAAGTGATATGTCACCTTCTAAATTGTCTTTCCTAACTTAGAAGCAAATTCGAATGTCTCTAGTATGGCTTTTCTCTCCTTATTTCCCCTATCATCCCTTTTCTCACACTTCTCTTTATTTAAAACTTGTCTTCAAAGCACACAGAATAGAGTCGATAAGAGTCTATCCAGCCCTGATTTCTCTTGGCCAAGGAATGAAAGGCTGTTCTCTAAACCTTGATAGGTAAGGAATAGCCCCCTGTCCACCTCCATCTTAGTCTGTATTGCTGTAAAGGAATACCTGAGGCTGGGGATTTATAAAGAAAAAAGGTTTATTTGGCTCATGATTTTGATATCTGTAAAAGTTCAAGATTGGACATTGACATCTGGCAAGGGCCACAGGCTGCTTCCACTCATGGCCGAAGGCAAAGAGGAGCCAGCATTGCAAAGATCCCATGATGAGAGAGGAAGCAAGAGAGAGAGGGGAGGTGGCAGACTCTTTTTAACAACCAGTTTTCTCAGGGGCTAAAAGAGTAAGAACTCACTCACCTGCCATCCTTACCCCCACAGCCCCCAGGATTTCTCTATTCATGAGGGATCTGCCCCCATGACCCAGACCCCTCCCATTAGGCCCCACCTCCAACATTGGGGATCAAATTTTAAAATCAGAGTTGGAGGCGACAAGTATCCAAACTATAGCACCCACAAACCATCTAGTTTATCTTATTATTATAACCTGTCATCCTAAAAGTTCTCAAAATCTGGCTGGGCGCAGTGGCTCACGCCTGTAATCTCAACATTTTGGGAGGCCAAGGTGGGTGGATCACTTGAGGTCAGGAGTTTGAGACCAACCTGGCCAACGTGATGAAACCCTGTCTCTACTAAGAATACAAAAATTAGCCAGGCATGATGGTGGGTGCTTGTAATCCCAGCTACTCTGGAGGCTGAGGCAGGAGAATCGCTTGAACCTAGGAGATGGAGGTTGCATGAGCCAAGATCACACCACTGCACTCCAGCCTGGGCAAGCGTGAGACTTTGTCTCAAAAAAAAAAAAAAAAGAAAATTTCTCTAAATCTGTTTTGAAGGTTTTTTTTTTTTTCAGTGTTATGAAATGCTTCTACATTCAACCTGCTGTTATTTTTTTTTTTTTTGGTTGAATTGTATGATGAAAATTCAGCCTCAAATAGATATTGTATTTGAAAAGGGGAAGAGTATTTTAATAGCTTTTTTAGCGATTGTGGATAGTCTTTGATACTGCACTAAAACTTGGTAGTGTCTTAAAATGTTAGCTGCAATATGGAATCTGAAAGCGTATCAATGAACTTTTCTGCTACATTAAAAGCTGTTGGTCTATCTTGTACTTTGAGTATGTCTTTTACTAATGTATGATTCTGTAACATCATGAATCAATCATTTGGAAAATATTGGTTCACTAAGTTATGTAGATCTTGCAAATGTTGACCTATTATATAATATTTTTAAATCACATTTAACATCATCACTGATTGCATCAGAAAAATCTTTCAAGTATTGGGCATCTGTCAAGCTTACTGTGACAGGTACAGGTCTTCCAAAATTTTAATTTTCACTTGAAAGCTCAAATTTTATCATTGGCAACAAATCTTGTCTGTTGCTTTCCTTAACATGACAGGCTAACTTCATTTGCTTTTGAGAAAATGTCTGAATAACCATAGCTTGTGTGTCAGTCATTCTTTCAAGCAAAAATGGCATTCCATTAGAAAAGTAACCAGTTTACTTGCAACTCAAATAGTTGCACAAGTACTTTTCCCCAAGACAATAATTGTACTTCAGTATGCAGCAGAAGTCCTTTTGTGTATACTTCCCATTTTGTCACACAAAATATTAAAAATATGTTGAGATCAAGTTTCAATAAAAGTAATCACTTTTACTGCCTTATTAAGGACATTCTTAGTTGAAACTGCCTTTTTTTGCTGGTTTTTTTTTTTTAACTGAGTGTGTGACATTAAAGAATACAGTGACAACAGTTTGATATGGCCTTAGTCATACTCGGGCACCAGCAGTTTTATTCATTGTTTTTGCATCATCAGTCTAAATGCCAACACAGTAAAAAATGCAAATATTAATAATATCTTAATTGTGACAATAGTTGATTTCAATTATGTCAGGCTCTGGGATTTCATTTTATTCTACTTACAAGCTAATAAGTTAGTTACTGTTTCATGGGTGGGTACTGGAGGAAAACAGAAAAGTGAATCAGAGAAAAAGGACTTTATTATTTACAGTAAAGTTAGTAGCGAAGAACATCTTATTTTCATTGGTCCTGCCTAGGAGGTAACACAGACACAGATGATGCTTATACATGCAATGGTTACATTAAAGGAGAGGCATATTGAGCTTGGGGAACCCACCATTTTATAGCAGGCAGTAAGCATGCCTGCTCTTTGTCCAAGAGGGAGACATTACCTAGTCTTTCAAATTTGCTCTGCAAACACAAGCCTAAGAAAAGGCTCCGGTAAAGAACAGTGAGATTCTTGTATTCCTGACATGAACAGCAAAAATGTGCCAGGATGCTCAGGGGCCATGGCAGATTACCTCTCCCAACAGTGGATCCCTTGAAAGGCTCTTGGGACCTTTAAGGATCCTGGACCATATTTTGAGAACCACTGGTTTAACCAGATTATAATTTCCTGTTAGAAAAAAATCATATTGCCTTTTTCTTAGTAAGTTACTTTTCATCCTCCTGAAAAAATGTCATGTTCTAAGAATATTCCAGCATCTCCTCAGGAACCTTTATTTGTACATGGAGGTCCTAATGCTTCCTCATCAGTTCTTTTCACATACATTGGATAATCAATTGTCTTATATCTTCATACTTTAAATCGTGATGCTTGTAAATTAATCTATATTAAGTCTAGAGCAGACTCTGAATTTTGACTCTAATTTGTTAAAAGATAGTTTGATAGTAGATACCTGCATTTTCTAGTATGTTCCATAAAACCCTAGGACTATGAAGTGCTGCATACTAGGTACTCTGTTTTTTTAATTTTTAAAGGCGCAAGACTGTATCTGGGATCTGAAATCAATACTAAGAAAACCACTTAGCTTTGTTTAAGTACAGGATCTTCAGCTAACACTCTTCCCAGTATTGTATTTTAACATCCTCTAACTGGATTCTTAGTTCCTTCTAAGATACTGCTAGATTTTGAGGGTAGAGGAGGGGGAAGAGTCACCTAATTTTTCATTTGCACCTATACACTCTGAGCTTCTCTGCTGCTTGGTTAAGCAGTGTCTTGCTATGTTACGAAAGCTGATTTATTTCCTGAAAGATTTTTTTTCTTTGCCAGTTAGTCATCTTTCTATATACTTATGCTCTAAGCTATATATCTTAGAATCCTAATAAAACTATTGTATAGCAGTTTCCACACATTCTGCATTGTCATTAACCTGTGGTTTTTGTCTCCCTCCCTGATAAGTCCCTTTTGGAAACAAATAATTCTAAGACGAGCATCTTTTATTGTCTCTTTCCTGTTATGTTTGTCAATAGTAGTGTGATTTTTGCATTTAAGCTTAGTTTCCTCTAAGTAATTCCATATTTAATGGATTTACTCATTGTTATTTCTGCTCCTAATTTCTCTTGACTATTTAACATTAAAGACAGCATGTTTCCCTCTACATTTTATCTTAATAATATTATAGGGAGCCACTGACTTGTCTGTATTCTCTAGAAGTTACATCTGGACCGTATGTCTGCTAGACGGCCAAATGGCCACAGTGAATCTCCTTGCTTTCCTTCTTGCTTCTGCTAATTGAACATTCTCTCCTGCTTTCTCTTTTTTACCTGTGCTGCAGCCTGAGACTCCTCACTTCTGTCCTCAGCTCTTGCTTCTCATCTTATCCTGAGCCGTAAGCATAAAGTGATAATTTTTTGATAAAGCTGAATCTAAAACTCTTCTTCCTACTTTTTTTCTTTTTGATAAATGTTCATTCCCCTTTGACATGAAGAATATACTAGGTCTTGGTAGTTTATTTTTTACTAAGTTCTTTCTTGGCCAAAAAAAAAAAAAAAAAGTTGGTGAGGCCCCCAGTTGGGAATTTTATTACTCAGGAAAGGCCTAACCTCAGTTTCTTGAGGGTTTCTCCTGCCCTAAGATTTTTTGATGCTAACAGAAAAGAAGACAAGTTCTTATTTGCCTTTATCTTGGTTATGTGTGCATAGATACGTAAAGTTAAATTTTCTACAAGATGTTAATGGAAAAAGGATAATTTCTAGACAAGAGCCACAATTATTCTAGGTCACTTGGGAGAACATTATGTAAACTGAAAGCTAAAACTGAGAGTTTTGAATGAGCCATTTCATTTACCATAACCGTTTTTAGGTGATATAATCATGGCTTCAGAGGAGAAAGTGCTTCCTATCTTTTTCTTACTTTATAGACGGAATGCTGCTGTAAACATTTGTATACAGGTTTCTGTGTGAACATAAATTTTGAAGTGCCCAGGAGTGCATTCATTGGGTCATATAGTACTTACATGTTTGGAGTTTTTTTGTTTGTTTATTTTAAGAAACAGACAAAATGTTTTCTAGAGTGGTGAAGGGTATTGGTAGTTTTGTTTTTACAGGCAGTGAACTTGATTAGCTCAGGGTAAGTGTCACTCCTATGGAGAGGGGCAGCTCCAATCTCCATTCAATCCTTAGAGCTTTAGCTGCAAAGCTTTTAGCCTCGCACAACCTGGAGACTGCCAGAGACTTGGGCTGAATTTAAACTCAGAATTTAAGGTTCTCAAATTCTCTAGGGCTCCTTTCCTTCACTCTCTGGTGACCATGGTTATGATCTCATTCTCCTTCTTGGTTCTTCCAGCCAGAATGTTAGTGGGCTTTGTTACTGGAATTTCAGCCACTACTGTGCCTCTACTGCAGTGTGGCCATCATCAGGACAAAACCATAGAAAACTGGGAATGCACTCTAAGCCAATTACTTACTACACATTTTTTACTCTCCTCCAATATATGCAAAGTTCAGTCTTCAGTGTTTTCAGGTAGTTGGTTTGTGTGTGTGTGTGTGTGTGTGTGTGTGTGTGTGTGTGTGTGTGTTGTCCAAAGTTTGTAACTGTTATTTGCAGAAGAATGGTTTGTTAGGTGCTCACTCCTCCACAATGGAATCTGAGCTCCTAAAGTCTAGTTTTTTGGTTTTTTTCTGGCTGAGTATGGTCAGGATGTGGTCCAAAATCACCCAACATATAAAGAACCCAGAAAATATGACCCAGTTATAAGAGAACAGACATCAACCCTAAGATGATTCAGACACTGAAATTATCAGACAAGGACTTTATCAGCTGCTATAACTATACCCAGTCTTTTATTAAAAGATAGCTGGGGAGGCAGGAAGGGAGTTAAGCTTTCCAGAGAGGATAGAATTAACCAGTAGGGTACTCCACCCATTGTCATGCTTTGTCAAATGCTTAACTTCTATGCCAAGTTTGAGAAATACTATGAAATTTTGTCAAAGAAAATACTGCCAAATTGCCTATGTTAACAAGTGACTCGTTTGGCAAAACTTGAGTAAATCTATCTTAAGTTATTTTTGGATGTACATTTCTATTTGTACGATACATCCTTGAGAACGCAGCAAAAAAAAGGCTATACCAAAGGTTTCCCCTCCCACCCTGGGCAATATTTAAGCATCAAAACATGGCCTGTAACTGCTTCTCAGTGATAAATATATTTTTTATTGTATGACAGGAAGATTTTAGAATCTTAAAATTAGTTTGCCTTGGTGCAATATGTAAATGTAACCATTCTTTATCTCCAACCCTATGCTGGATAACTGTACCACTTAGCTTCTCCAGCAGCCAAGCATTATGGCTAAGTAGTTAAAGCTACTGGGGCAAAAAGGCTTGTGTTCCAATCACAGCTACTCCGCCTGCCAAACTATACACAAATTATTTGATCTCTTCAAAGCAAATTTAAAAATCATAATTAAATACGTAATTCAGAAGATTTTGTGGCTTGCCAGGTGCAGTGGCGTGCACCTGTAGTCCCAGCTACTTCAGAGGCTGCAGCAGGAAGACTGCTTGAGTCCAGAAATTTGACTCCAGTCTGCTCAACGTTGCAAGACCTCCATCTCAAAATAAGCAGCTTTTGTGATTTCAGTTAAATAAGTAATACATGCAAATTGCTTAAATAATAGCTATTTTCAAGAAGATAGCTTCTGTTCTTCATGGTGTAGTGGCATAACACTAAATTTGTAGTTAAAGGATTTTTCCAAATCAGTTCATTTTTTCTTTTTTGAGATGAGTTCTTGCTGTGTTGCCCAGGCTGGTTTCAAACTCCTCCCTCTCAGCCTCCCTAGTAGTTGGGATTACAGGAGCACACCACCATGCACAGCACAGATCAGTTCATTTTAAATGTAGTGTTTGGGGAAAGAGTGAAAGGAGTGTGAGAAATCTTAATTAAATTGCTCACTGAAGTTATGCAGTTTCTATTTTGCATTAAAAAAGCATGTCCACAATTAAATATTTCTTCCCTTTAAAGAAATCAGAAAGATATATGCAAAAGGTACCTAATACAAAGTGAAAGACTTAGAAGACAGATAGTAGAAAAGTATTCATCTCATTCTACAAATTAACTTTGATAGAATTGAAATTACAGTAATTGTGGCAGTACTGGCAAAGGATTTTACCTTTTCTGAACAATATGTTTTATTGTAGCATTGAATCAGTAGAGATTGTGGGGATGGGTTATGTTAAACCACAACCCAATAAAGAACTTGGAAGTAATTAGGGTGTTTAATTTTATTTTTATATTGTTTATTTTCTTGCCACTTCCTTCAGAACTCTGGGATGGATCCCATTTTGCCCTGGAGTTGTTCCCACACTGGCAGTGGGTTTGCCTAGCACACTGTATCACACAGAACAGACAAGGCTCCTAGGATTTGTGTTTCTCTTGCTTTGCTAGATTTTCAGGAATGTTAATGAGGGTGAGAGAACCATAGATTTTATATGGCCGTAAGTTCTTTTAGATTAAATACAATATTCTATTTTTTTATCTTTTATCCTCAAACTTTTATGTACTATTCTTTTATGTTTATTCTTATCAAATATCTTTTTGTAATTTTTTTTTTGGTCCTGTTTTATACCTTAATCTTTTTCTGTCTCAGCCCTTTTTTCACTTTCTCCCTGATTCAGCTGTATCCAGTGCTTGACTTCACTATAACATCTTTTGTCTCAGTATATGTAGACTGGTAAGGAAATATTCAACCTCAGTTCCTCCTTTAACATTTCATTCTTAGTTCTCAAAAATCTAAGTGACAAATGAATCTTTATTTTCAGTTTTTTTCCTACTACTTACTTTTCCTTTTTCTGTAGTGAATTTTATCAAGCTAACATTTATACCTATTCCATAGTTTATATTCCCTCTACCAATCCATCCCATCCCACCTTGGCTTACTTCTTGGTTTACATTGATCCAAGTAAGGATTCTCGTTTCTGTTTTAAAAGCATATTTCTATTTAGCCTCATCCCGAAACGAAATAAAACATTGACTACACTCAGTTGCCTAAGCTAGCTAAAAATAAATATTCCTTTGCATGCAAGGATCGTAACTAAAGTTTAAAGGGAGTCTTTGATATGAACACTGGAGTTAAGTGAAATATGTATCATTGAAAACTAACCTTCTTTACTTAATAGAAGCCTTTTAAAGTTTAGGTTTCTTACATACATATGAGAGAATATACATCTTGTTAAAGAGTTTAGTCAGAATTATCTTTAAAAATTCCATAACTCAGCTGGGCGCGGTGGCTCACGCCTGTAATCCCAGCACTTTCGGAGGCCGAGGTGGGCAGATTGCCTGAGGTCAGGAGTTCGAAACCAGCCTGACCAACATGTTGAAACCTTGTCTCTACTAAATATACAAAAATTACTCGGGCATGGTGGCGAGCACCTGTAATCTCAGCTACTTGGGAGGCTGAGGCAGGAGAATTGCTTGAACCCAGGAGATGGAGGTTGCAGTGAGCCAAGATCACGCCACTGCACTCCAGCCAGGACAACAAAAGCGAGACTCTGTCTCAAAAAAGGAAAAAAAAATTCTGTAACTCAATTTTATTTTGCTGACTTTAATTGCTTAAAATTTTTAAGAAAAAATATGGTTTCAAATGACAATTTTTATTTCTTTTCTGTATCTTTCCAATTTTTTATAAAAGGAATAAAATAATTTCACTTTTAGTATCAACTATAACAAAAGCAGGTGTTAAGGAAAATGTACATTTCTTTCTTTGAGAGGTTGATATCTAACATATCCTAGAATGGGAAACAAAAACATTTTTGATTATTTTTGCATCAATAATAAAGCCTGATTTGGACTAATGAAATATTAACCACTTTTTTTTCTCCTCCTTAAATATCACTGCATATTCAACTGTCCCTTGAACATATATTTTTGATATAATACCCATCTAGGGAGAAGCTTAAATTGACTTACACTAAATCAAAATTCTCCCAATTCACATAGGAAATTTAAGGAAACATTTTACATCTTCCAACTGTTTCAGATGTGTTTATCTTAATGGATTTAGTTGAATGACTTACCCAGCGACATACTGGAAGTGTATATGAAAAGTATGATGTGTAAAACTCTTATTTCAGCATTCATTCCACAAGTTCAGCATTTCCAAACTAGTACTTGGAACAGTTTATGATGTTAAGTATTTTAAGTTTTAGTACCTCAAAATAAATTCATTTTTTGAATGATTTAATGCTTAAAATCTCCTAAAATATAATGTTCAAAATTCCCTTGCTTTCTTATTTGAAGTTACAACTTCATCTTCCTGCAGTACAGAGCCCACTTGGATTATATTTGAGAATAGAAAGAAAAATACAAGTTATCTTACTCTCTGAGATGCTCAACAAACTGATTAATCTTTATTAAGATAATGCATTGACAAAAAAGTCTGAGTTTCTGGGAAAGTGTTGAAGTTGCCATTGATTATACTAATCCTAAATCCTTTGAAAAATTAATGATTGTTTTCAGAAAGTTGTATCAGACTGCTATAATGGAAAATAGCATTAACATGTTATGCCCCATTCTAAATAAACCCGACTTCAAAATGTCTGTCAGAAAACCGTTTACTTTTTTTTTTTTTTTCCCCCAAGTAACATGTTAAGAGGTGCCTTTCTGAAGATTTTTCTTGGGTACCGGGAACTCAGAATTTTCATTTGAAATATACTAACAGCTTTATTTGGCATGAATGATAAAAGGTGCAGTGTATTGCCTAGTACAACCAGTAATACTTTTTTCAATAAGAATAAAAACAAAAATAATAGTAAGCAGAGCTGTGTTTCTAACCCCAAAGAAGCTGAAGACCTTAGTTTAGATACGTCATAGGAATTCCTTAAGGAGTCCTCCTTTACCTCCTGCCAATACACCAAAGGAATCTTTTCTTGATAAATTCACCCACACTAGTTATCAAATCCAAACATCACAGAAGTAAGTTAGCATCAATTATTTACCAAGCGAGACAAAGGTTTGTCATTTTTTTCCTATCTTTTCCTTCAGCCCTCTTCATCCCCATTAGTTTTTTAATACTTCTTTAATCTCAGAAGCAGTCATTCCTAGTTTATGTCAAAGTCAGGACTTTGGAATTTGGAGCACTATCTTTACCACTTTCTGTAACTATCTCCAGTTTTAGGCTAAAACTACAGGGCATTACTCTTTTTTTTGTTTTGTTTTTTGTTGTTTTGAGACAGTCTTGCTCTGTCGCCCAGGCTGGAGTGCAGTGGTACAATCTTGGCTCACTATAAGGAGGTCATTCCATTTAATATATAATCACTTATTTTATGATTTGTTTGACATATTAAATTATCAAATATAAGTATTTTCTTAATATACCTCTTCTCTGATTTTGTTGATATAGACTTAATAATAAAATCTTTTAAAAGTTTGTTTTCGTATTTGTAGTGTTCTGACTGGCTGGCTAGCTTTAAAATGTTGCCTTTCTTCCTAGTCCACACTAAAATCCATTGAGTGTTCTAATTGTACAAAACACCATAGAAAAACCTTGTCTACCACTTTTAAAAACAAACTGTGAATGTGAAAATATCTTCTGATGTGACTGCCTTATAATGCTCAATACAGCAGTTTTAATCCAGAAGAATATATGACCTGAATGTTTGTCAAACACATGATATGCAGCAACAAAATAATCTTTATTTTACTTCAGTCTGACAATATAATGTATAAAATCACAAATTGTTTGTATTGGCAAGATTTTATTTTACTAATTCTGAGATACTATAAAAATAATACTCTATATATTTAAAGTATTTATTTAGAAAAAACTGGGAAATAAATTGGAGAAGATATTAATTTTAAGAAAAACAAACTGAAATCAAGTCTTTGTCTTAGAGAACAAATAAGACTCTGAAGAAATTGAAAGAAATCTTTTGAAAAGCAAGAGTGAAGTACTTCAGTGATAAGACACAATGAAGTAAAATCTTCCATTTATAATAGCTACAATGACCTTAATTGAATAAAATCTAAATGTCACTAAAGACAGATATCCACTGGTTTGGATTTGAAATTTAAGAACTATACAATTTTGGATGAATTATAACTTATGATTCTGTATTAGGATTCTTCAAATCCTTTTCAGTTTATAAGCTTTAGAAAGTACACAACACTTTCTAGGTATGATGTAAAATTTTTTAAATATTTAAACCATAGAATACATTATTACAATATGTTCTTTAATGTTGATTTTTAAATGTCAGAATAGATGTAATACCAGTGTAAGCCACAGGGTGGGAGTGAAAGGCAAGAACTTGTGTTGAAGCAGCTTAAATACATAATTGCACCATCTTTATAAATCTTTTAAATGCTTGTTGAATTATAAGGAGCTGTAGCTTGGTTTTCTTTCTTCCTTTAATACAGCTGCATTCTTCAGCAAAGAATCTATAACAAAAGACAAACACGTTGATTTAAATATATAGGCCATTTTTACTGAATATCAAAAGAAGTAGACACATAGATTTTTTTCCCCCTAAGTTTCTGAGCGTATGAGGTGCTTGGTGAACAGAGCAGCAATTTTGATCAATAGTTGAATTTGAGAAATTTCTTGAATTACCAGTACCGGAAATAGTAATTGAAGTTACCAGAAATATTTCATCTCTTCAGACTTTCCTTCTTCATTTTCCTTTTTCCTTGATTTTTCTCATTTAAAGAAAAAAATCAATTGTATATTACATATAGGTCTATAAGCTGTCTCAAGTTATTTTTCAGTAGGGAAGGTAAATAAAATTTCCTTTGTGTTTTCTCTTTACTCGACCTCATTTGAATTTGGGAGCAATTTAAAGTAGTAATAGTAATCATTTTGTATGTTTAAGGTAAGAAGACAAGAGGTTTCTTCTCCTAGAAAAGAAACTTCAGCAAGGAGTCTTGGCAGTCCTTTGCTCCATGAAAGGTAGTTCTACATCCTTTTTTCTCAACTCTTAAAAATTATCAATACTGAAATATATTTTATATTTGTTTTTTTTAAGCTTTAACAATTGCAAAAAAAATAGCCTTTTAGAATAAGTGGAAGTGACCAACCCCAGAATCCTACATGTTAAAGATGACCTAAACAAGTCATGCAGTTAATAGCAGAGCTGAATCTAAAACTTGAATTCTGTAAAGCTCTACTATTTCAATAGACCAAGTGTTAAGGTCGTATTTCTTTATATGGATGGCTCCTAATGTGAACCTTACCAAAATGAGGAATATTTAATATTCTATTTAAGATATTTGCAGAGAACAAAAGTCAATGCATTGAAATTTCTAATGTGAGAATAAGACAGCCAACATTAGTGTATATATGAATAAGTAGATATGCTAGACTATACTATATTTATGTATTAAAACTTTTAATTTATCACTTACTTTGTGCCTGGCCCTCTACAAACACAAGCTGATTTTGGGGACATTGTTTAGGAATTTAAAATAATTTTTTTTTACTTTTAAATAATTATTTTGTGGCACATAAAATGGTACTACATAAGTTTGATTATTTAAAAAACTTGGAAGTTATAGCTTTACATTTTAAAATGTTGATTTTTTTTTTTAGGGGTAATATAGAGAAGACTTTCTGGGATCTGAAAGAAGAATTTCATAAAATATGCATGCTAGCAAAAGCACAGAAAGACCACTTAAGCAAACTTAATATACCAGACACTGCAACTGGTAAGATTTAATTTAATTTACAGTAATATTGATTTGCTTGATTGAAATTGATTTCCTTTTGAATGTGAAAATATTCCTGAATGCCTATTAAGTGTGTAGCATCTGTAATTTACCCCTCATCCACGTATGTTTGAATGTGTACATGCTGTGTAAGTTCTGTAATGTATTACATGTGTAATTGTTGGTTTTTTTCTCTTTGTTGTATATGGTACTATATAGATTAAATTGAAAGACATAATTACTAATTATCTTAATGAGACATCCCACCTTAAAAAAATACAAAATAAATACAGACTATATCCCTGAAAGTTTTCAGTTGTTTTTTGGGGGACCTTATTAAACATTAACTTTTATGTTAATAAGTGACCTTGAAGCCACACTACCATATTATATGAGCTAAGTAAAATTATAACATCAGGTTTGTTTGTAAATTCTGCCTGAAAGTGCATTACATACACTATGGATAGATGTTTTTTTAATGTTCTTTTTTTTTTAATTCAATACAGAATCTTGCTATGTTGCCCAGACTGGAGTGCAGTGGCTATTCACAGGCCTGATGGTGCACTACAGCCTTGAACTCCTGGGCTCAAGAATTCTTTGAACTCATTTGGTTCAAGAATAAAAACGTGGCACTCAAATTTCCTGAGTGCTAGTTGTGTTTAATGCACAAAATACACATTTAGTATAAAATATAATTTAGAAGGAACATTTGTTTTACATATGTGTTATAGTATGTTTTGTAAATGCTGTACCCTTTCCTAAAACCCCAGACTGGCTTCCTGGTGTTTGCTTCAGTAGTTCTATATGAATAGCAAAATCTAAGGGATTAGGTCTGGCAACCAAACACTTCTGCAAACAAAAGGAAGGTAAACTGATCATTTATAATGATAAATTCTCCTTTACCTTTGTGATTTGAGCTATTCTGCAGACAATTCCCAAAGGATGTGATTTACAGTTTTCACTCTGAGAGATGTTGCAGTCTTGCTGACTAACACCCTTTTAATTAAAGATCACTTTCCATTTCTTGCAGCTCTTACATCTAGGCTATTTAAAATCATTTTATAGTGTAAATTCACTTTTTGCTACTACTACCATTTTATTTTCAGAAAAGTTACACAATGTGGTATTACAGAAACAAAATAATCTTTGTAGACAGACATAATTTGGTTCTTTCTCTCCCTTCCCCCACCTCCCCAAAAACAACTCTTTTCTTCACCTTAATTTTTGTCATTTTCATGAGAAATTGATCTTTTGTATGGACTAAAGATAACTAGGTACCTCTGAAGTAAATGAATTATTTCTGTTTAAAATATGCTAGCTATGGAGATGTAGTACCTAGAATTCATAAACATGCTTTTTTGAACATCAACATCTTTTCAAGGCATTGTAATGGTGATATATTCTTTGTTACACAGAAAACTTATCTCATTATCAATGGCTTAATACTTTGACCATTTTTAAATTGCACAGGTCTAAATCTGAGTATGTGTCTGTCAGCTAGAACACTGAGTATTTAACTTCAATTTCTTCTCCACTAAAACTGCTTCCTGATGCCTTATTTTTATGCTTTATATTAACAGTGTCACAAATAATAAGTACATTATTCTCAAAATATTTTGTGCTACAGACTCTAGTGAAGTTTTGCTGGGGTCCAAAGAGAAACCAAAATAAATATTATACTCTGACAGTGGTATATCAAAAGGAGAAAGGAAAAAATATTTTTTGAAAAGATGCCTATTCAGGGTTTCCAAGTATGTATGCTACACTGTATAAAAATATAGAAGAACTATTTTGAATATGATTTGCACAATATATCTGGGAAGAGTACGTGTATTGTCCCTATGTTATTTTGTATTAAAATTTGATTTTTACTTTTAAATAACCAGATATGATTCATTTGAAAATACTGAGTTAGTAGAATTCTACATTTCCTATTTATTATTACTTTGTTTTTTCTACTCATCTACATATGGCAGTAGACTTAAGAAATGATAAAGATAAAATGTATGTTTATCCATAGCTTCAAATAAAGTACTGTTTGGTTCATAAAGGAGTGTCCAATTTCAGTAGAGATTGGGAAGGAAGAATATAGGATTAAGGGTAACAAACATCCATGAGAAGGGTAATAAACAACCATGAGGTCTTTTTCTTTTGTCAATATACAACGTGATTATACTGAGAAGTAACTAAATGGATAGCCTGTATTTAAAACTGGGAAATCTAAAAATATTTCCCATTTTACTTTTTCCTTGCAAAGCTAAGTAGTCTTAAAATAGACAAAATAGAAAAGCTATTTGCTCACCTGATCATGTTTCTCAATATGGTGTCAGGATGACAAGTGCTTTCATGCATCTCATTTGAGTTTTAAGTTGTCTCAGCTTAGATTTCTAGTAGCATTAGGAATGTAAGGTTTAAATTTTTTTAATAGATATTAACTCTCACTGCTTGAGCAGATTAACTCAGATTATTTTAATGTGGCTGAGTTTTATGCCAGCTAGCTTTGCTGAAAGAAAATATCTGTTTTTTTAGAGCTGTTTGATTTCTCCTCGTTTTGTTCACAGCGGGGATAGATCAACTGCTAGAAAAATAATTCAAAGCACATTTCTGTCAATTTGGGGACTTCTCTCTATATATAGAAACCAACATGTTCAATTTAGCCTAATGGTTCAGAGCACAAATCTACAGTTAGGTTGCCTGGGTTCCAGTGGCAGATCTACCACTTACTATAATAGTTGTGTGGCCTTTGAATTAACCTCTCCAACCAGTTTCTTCACATGTAAAGTGGGGATAATAATAGTGCCTGCCTCAGGATTACTTTGAGTATTATATGAATTAATGTACATACAATTATTATAATAGTACATGCCATGTGGAAGTGCTATTAATGTTAATAGTCATTTCCATTAGCAGCAGCAGCAGCAGATTCTCCAGCATTCACCTTGTTCTCCTTGTGAAGATCATTTGATAAGTCTCTCCTCTTCGGGTGTTACAGAATCTGATTACCTCAACAGTTGGTTTTCCTGATTTGTTATTTGCAAGTAGCAAATGTCATCTACAAAGACAGTACTGTTTCCTAGACTTTCCTACCACTTTCAAGTCTACTGCCAGGGAAAATGACTACTCGAGAGTTAATGGACTTTAAGAACCTCAGAGGCTAAAGAAATCCAGATAAACAATTAAGCTTGGTGACAATTACTATAGCACTCCTAGTCATAGAGTATCTGGTAAATGTTGATTATTATAGTAGGCTTTGTAGGGGAGAGATTACAGATTCATTCAGAATTCATTTGTTAGGGGCATACTATGTGCCAGACACTGGGCAAGGGTCTGGAGTTAGAAGGAAACAAAACAGTTTAAGACCTCAAAAAACCTACTTTAGTGGGAAGAAACAGAGTTATACTTGGAAATACAGTCATGTGCCAAATGACATTTTCAGTCAACAACAGATTGCATATACAATGATGGCCCCATAAGATTATAATGGTACTTAAAAGTTCATATCAGCCCAGGCACAGTGGCTCATGCCTGTAATACCAGCACTTTGGGAGGCTGAGCTGGGCAGATCACCTGAGGTTGGGAGTTCGAGACCACCCTGACCAACATGGAGAAACCCCGTCTCTACTAAAAATACAAAATTAGCCGGGCGTGGTGACGCATGCCCGTAATCCCAGCTACTCGGGAGGCTGAGGCAGGAGAATCACTTGAACCTGGGAGGCAGAGGTTGCGGTGAGCCAAGATCATGCCATTGCACTCTATCCAGCCTGGGCAACAAGAGCGAAGCTCGGTCTCAAAAAAAAAAAAGTTAATATCACCCTAGTGACATTGTAGGTAGCTGTTGTTACATTGTAGCACATTTTGTTTTTTTTGTAAATTTAGTGTAACCTAAGTGTATAGTGTTCATAAAGTCTACAGTGATGTACAGTAATATCCTAGGCCTTCACATTCACTCACCATTAACTCACTGACTCACCCAGAGCAACCTCCGGTCCTGCAAATTCCATTCACGGTAAGTGCTCTATACAGGCATACCCATTTTTTATCTTTTATGCCATATTTTTACTGTACCTTTTCAGTGTTTAAATACACACATACCATTGTGTTACCTGCAGTATTCAGTACAGTAACATGTTGTATAGGTTTGTAGCCTAAGAACAATAGGCTATACCATATAATGTAGGTGTGTAGTAGACTATACTGTCTAGCTTTCTGTAAGTACACTCTATGATGTTTGCACAATGACAAAATTGCCTAAGACTGCATTTCTCAAAATGTTCCGTCGTTAAGTGACACATAACTATATAACAGTGTGTTTCAGTTCTCAGGGCATCCAAGAGTCATGGGAGAGTCATCCAGAGAAACTTATGTCCAAGCCAAGATATGAAGGACAAATAAGAGTTGGGCAAAGAGTAATGGGAGGGGACACTTCAGGCAGTCTGCACAGCAGGTGCAAAGGTGCAAAGACAAGAGAGTGTAGCTATTTTGGAGAACTATACAAAGTTCATTATAGCCAGAGTATGGAGTGAAAGATGAGCATGGAGAGATGACCAGGGGCCAGTCATGAACAGTCTAATAAGCCTTTTCTGAGATCTGAGGGGCTTGTAGAGCCATCAAAAGATTTTATTAGGAAGGTAACTTGGTCAGATTAGTATTTTAGAAAAACTACTCTGAGAATGAAGGGATGGAGGGGAAGTTGCAGTGAAGAGAACAGATTGGATATGAGACAAATTCAGAGGCAAGGAAGCAGTTTAAAGGCTGTTATAATAATCCAATAAGAAAGGATGGTATGAAGAGAGGTATAAAGAGAGGCAGTAGGTATATAACAAAATGAACCAAAGAAGTTGGTTGCATTTTACTACACATACCCAAACAGAAAAAAATATATTGGAATGTGCTGTGGCAAAAGACAGAGAGGTGTCATGAGACTGCCAAGACCAAAGGAATATAAAGGAACTGACATTTGTTAAGTGCCTACTAACCTGTACAGATACTTTGTATACCTTGTGTTCTGTATACCCTGTCTACCTAGATTTGCATCATTGGTAATGTCTCCATTTGTGAATGTTCAACAGTGCTGATGACAATCCTTAAAATACATACATTACCAACTTCAGTGCCTTCTTTAAGGGACATTGTGGAGCTTAATTTGGCTTTTTCTAGTGTCTCAGAATCATCAACATGGAGAGTACTTTGATGATTGTTTTTTTGTATTGAGCACTCATTGGCCCTATACTAGACTGTAGTGTTTTCTAAGTTCTTATATCAGCTTCTTTGTCTTTCTTATCTCTTCCTATGCTTTTAGCTCTTGTTGATATCTATGTCTGCCTTTAGCAACTCATACTCCCTTTTAATTTGCTGTTTCAAACCAGCTATGAGCTGTGGAAATACCACCAAGTTTGTTAGAATAAATCTAAAATGACAATAGGAACAAAATTCATCTATCTATGAACCTTGTGGCTCTAATTCTGGCTCCTCAGAAGCTCTGTTTTCTTTCTAGCTTTTGACTGTGTCCTACAAAGCTGAATTTGTTGGATAAGTGGTTCTAGATAAATGAGCTACAGAGGCCCTTTTGTCTACCAGATATTTACCTGTTTTTTACAGAGGTCTTTTTTAAAAAAAGATATAAGATGATAAAATAATCTATTCATCCACAGTTTTCTTAACATGCATCACAATATTTCATCCTTCCTTTGCCTTCACTGTCTTCTTTTTCCCAACTCCTGCAACCACCAGTCCCTCACATGGATTATTGAGAGCAGACAGTGGCTAAACTGATTAGTGATATACTTAGTTAGACAGTGACATTAATAATAAATGACCTAATTTTAGATATACCTAGTAAGATTTTCCCTTTTAACAACTTATTTGTCTAAGCAAACTCACAGTTATAGCTTCCGTTACTGACAAAATGTTTAAATGTATACACTACAAGCAAATGTTTTTCAAGTGTGGAGCAGTGTAACTGTGAACAAGATGCAAAGCTTACGGCAGAAGACTTAGGAAAAGACAAAGTAGTTAAATTGCGACTAATAAGCTATGTTTCAGTTCACCCGCTGGAGACTGCTAATATTCTGTGTAAGATGGTAGCAAATTTTAAAATCCCAGTTGTCTTCATTTGCTATAAAAACCAATAGAAAAAATAATAATAATCTCTCCAAAGCTGATTGAACAGATTTTTTTAATGATTTGAATGCGGCTGTTTCTCTTTTGTGTTCTTCTCCCTCCAGAAACACAGTGCTCTGTGCCTATACAGTGTACGGATAAAACAGATAAACAAGAAGCGCTGTTTAAGCCTCAGGCTAAAGATGATATAAATAGAGGTGCACCATCCATCACATCTGTCACACCAAGAGGACTGTGCAGAGATGAGGAAGACACCTCTTTTGAATCACTTTCTAAATTCAATGTCAAGTTTCCACCTATGGACAATGACTCAACTTTCTTACATAGCACTCCAGAGAGACCCGGCATCCTTAGTCCTGCCACGTCTGAGGCAGTGTGCCAAGAGAAATTTAATATGGAGTTCAGAGACAACCCAGGGAACTTTGTTAAAACAGAAGAAACTTTATTTGAAATTCAGGGAATTGACCCCATAGCTTCAGCTATACAAAACCTTAAAACAACTGACAAAACAAAGCCCTCAAATCTCGTAAACACTTGTATCAGGACAACTCTGGATAGAGCTGCGTGTTTGCCACCTGGAGACCATAATGCATTATATGTAAATAGCTTCCCACTTCTGGACCCATCTGATGCACCTTTTCCCTCACTCGATTCCCCGGGAAAAGCAATCCGAGGACCACAGCAGGTAACTGTTTTGCATTAACAAATATATTATTATGTGTGAACACACATTTTGCCATACATGCACAGATATGCATCTCTTTTACGTTATCAAACATCCTTTTTAAACTACTGACAGCCAAAGTTAAGGCTTTCAAAAAAACAAGTCCCATAATAAATGACATGAAATTAGAAAAGCTGAATATGGTAAAACTTTATTGGAAAGTACCTTAGAATTTATGTCAGATTTAAAAATACATGTTAAGCCTTATCCATATCTGTCGTGGTGTCACTTTCTTAGTTCCTTATTCAAAGCTTGTTTACTCAGGATTAATAAGAATATTAAATTTCATAGTGTGAAACAAATGCTGTTTTATTTAATAGTTTGTGTATATCATATTCATCTTTATAAGAATTCAAGATCTTTCATAAGTAAATAATTGCATCTTACATTTCTATTTATCAAAATAAGTGAACTATCTTTCAGTGAATACTTCTACTACATCTTCAGTTATATAGTACACAGATCTGTAGGGTTTAGTTTGGTTTTGGTTGCTAATCTGGAAATGAACATGTAGCCTAGTATATTTTTTAAATAGTCTCTGCATGTGTATGATATCAAATATTTTATTTAATGTTTCTAAAGCTCACAGACTAATATCCCCCAAACCACTCCTGCCCTCCCTTTTAGATTCAAATTCTATCACAGAATGATTCTTTTAGTTAAAAAAAAGTTTAATGTCTGAAAGCAAATGAAAACTATATAATTTTTACAAAAAACAGAAGCTTATGAAAATACAGATTGATGTAAATGTCTATGTAACTTGCAAACATTTGTCTGATTTCTCTTTGCCTTGAGATATTTAATTTTTTTAAAAAAGTTATTAATACCCTTTTGCTTTAAGTACACATATAGGTTATAGACTTAAATCAGCACGCAAAGAAGGCAGTTGTCAAGCTGTGGTATATTTTAGTAGTGGGAAGAACTAGGCATGGCTGACAATAAGTTTTAATTATAACCTCACTTATGTTCTTGTTCATTGTACTTTATTTCACATCATAGTCTCAGTTATAGTTGCTACTAAATGAAACAAATTAAACAATTTCATTTATTGCAAGTAGAATTCCTGTGGAGCTGTGAAGTGCATCAGTTCTAATGCTTGTTACTTTTTTCTCTATTATATGTCTTGCTTGTTCTTTTACTAGTCTGTGCATTCATGTTTCAGTAGATGGCACCCTGCATTGTACATTTGCTTTCTATACTACAGCAAGGGAAACAGCTGGTATGTGATTACAACTTGATGGAAAAGTATTCAGCTTAAAAAATTCAGGAGAATTAGTGTTGAGTTGTCACAAGACATGGGGCATAAGGTTAGATAATTGATATTTTGGCAGAAAAAGCAAAGAAATTAGTTTGTTTTGAAGACCATGTTACAGTTTAGGATGGAAAGAATATTTCTTAAAATGAGTTTTTTAAAAAAAACCTTTTAAGCTATTTTATTAGTATTAATAAAGCTAGTATTATGCAAGCTAGTATAAGTACAAAGCTAGTATAAGTACAAAATTCCTGAGTTGGGCCAGGTACGGTGGTTCATGCCTATAATCCCAGCACTTTGGGAGGCTGAGGCAGGAGGATTGATTAAGCCTAGGAATTTGAGACCAGCCTGGGCAACATAGTAAGACCTTGTCTCTACAAATACGTATAGTTATATAGATATATGTAGCTGGGTGTGGTGGCTTGTGCCTGTGGCCTCCAGCTACTTGGGAAGCTGAGGTGGGAGGATTGCTTGAGCTAGGTAGTTCGAGGTTGCAGTGAGCTGTGATGGTGCCATCACACTCCAGCCTGGGTGACAGAGCAAGACCCTGTCTCAAAATAATAATAATAATTTTTTTTTTAAAAAAATCCTGAGTTGTTTGTAGATAGTAGCAAAGACAAGTGAAATTTTTGGCTACATATTTCAAAATTTTACTTTCTATCAATCATTACTACTAAACATCTATTTTATATATTCAGCTATCATAACCAAGACTAAAGTATATCAGATTATTATTGTTCTATGTGATTTTCTTTTTTACTTTGCTGAGTCAGTGAGTGGGATCCCAACTAAATTCTATGAAGAGATCAAATCTGAACTAAAAGTTCTTAATAGAGAAAAATGAATATGGATTTAATAGGTAAATTGGGAGTAGAAGATTGGCTTACCAAATTTAGAAGCTAAATTGCTTCTGATTTAATTTCTTACTATTTTATATAAATAAGAATTATCTTTAATAATCTTTTATTTTTGGCCATATCAATTTCCCATTACAGTGATTTGTACTTTTTTGTTTAAACTGAAAACATTAAAATTAGAATCAAGTTAACTCTAACTAGATTTTTGTTTGTATGCTCACAATTTTTACTACTTTTATCAAAGAAGTTTTTCCAGAGAGTTATTTTACCCTAAATTTTATAACATTTATTTTAAATATTACTATTTTTGTAATAAAATTGACATTTCTTATGAAAGGAATTGAGTCAGCATTATTATAAGTCCTCCATACTGATATTTGAATGTGTCTGGGTGCCTAGACAGACGTTGTATATTTACACCAATTGTACACAGCTGTCCAGTAAACTGTTCATAAGAAGACAGTGATGTCGTGAAATCCAAGTGCTTCCATTAGTAATATACTGTTTATGTAAATGATTGGTTAACCAGAATGAAAGAAGTTAGGGGAAATAACAGTAACACTTGTCAGGTGCTAGACTAGGATGTGTGACTTTAAAAACATATTAGTAATAGGAGGATAAGGGGTCTCTTTAAATTTGACTTTATGAGATGATTCTTCTTAAAATATCAGAATTTAGCTGTGTCAGAGGAATTTACCTGTGTCCACATAAGAAATTTTAAAAAATAATTTGGTTTACACAATTCAGGAAAATATTTTCCAGTTAACAGACATCTATTGTGTAGCTATTATTAAGCTAAATGCTATTTCTTGTCCTTCTAGAAATTTAAAAAAAAGAATAAATGCAGTTATGAAAGGGTATTTATGTGCTGGTTATAGTGGAGGTGGTTCTGTTAGATTATGACTTTCCATAATTCTTTAACCAGGCAACTATTGACGAGTTTCACTTTATTCAGCCACAAGAATGAGTAAGGCCAAACTACCTATTATATAACAGAAGCAAAGTAAGAAGTCAAAACACTGCATGTGTTAGATTTTGTTGAATGATTAAATATTTGTGTTTTTAAAAACAAAAGATAACATCAGTGAAATTTGTTCAGTAGTTTAAAAGGAAAATTTTCTTTTTAAAAATCAAAATAATGCTGATTCATGTATGATGTATTCACTGTATTTGCTTATAAACAGTAGTGAAATTGATTTTGATTAAGACGCAATGCACACACACATCATGTCTTGTGTACTATGTAATTAATAAAGCCCCTATAATTTAAGGTTTTTATTGTAAAAAACAAAAGATAGAATTTAATTTAAAAGACCAGAGTATTAGCTATTGTTCCAAAACTACTGCTGTTGTGATCGAGTATTAAAAATTGCATGCTAAAGCTGCAATCTTTTTAAATATATAAAGATAAAATGCATGACTGTGTGTGTCCCAAGTGACTTTTAATCAAAGTTTAGTTGTGCCCTTTATGAAACCACGAATTGAGTCATGTCATGCTAACTTTACGGAAAAGTAATTTGCTTTTATATTAGGGAATTCAATATATATGCCCATGCGTAACTCATTCAGAAATTCAAATTTGAAGTCCAGTGCTATTTGAATTTAAACATAAGTAACAGATATTTTTGTTTGTTTCCTGCAGCCCATTTGGAAGCCCTTTCCTAATCAAGACAGTGACTCGGTGGTACTAAGTGGCACAGACTCAGAACTGCATATACCTCGAGTATGTGAATTCTGTCAAGCAGTTTTCCCACCATCCATTACATCCAGGGGGGATTTCCTTCGGCATCTTAATTCACACTTCAATGGAGAGACTTAAGACACATTTGAAAACAGACATATCAAGTTCTATGTGATGATTTTGGGTTTTTAATACTATAAATACTTGATTGTAAACTAAATTCAAGATCATTTATAGGAAAATCTAGTTTCACAGCTATTTGAATTTTTTTCTGGATTTACTATATAACTCTTATTTTTTAAAAGATCATTCTGTTCTTTCAAGGAGAAATAAGCCTAAAAGAAGAAAAACAAAAAAAATTCTGTATAAAACTGTAATCCTTTGTATTCATGTTTACAGTGCTATTACTATAATTCAAAATTATGTATGTGACTTAGAGTTATATAATCATAATTTATGTTTATTTCAAATATCTAAGTTTATTGCTTGGATTTCTAGTGAGAGCTGTTGAATTTGGTGATGTCAAATGTTTCTAGGGTTTTTTTAGTTTGTTTTTATTGAAAAATTTAATTATTTATGCTATAGGTGATATTCTCTTTGAATAAACCTATAATAGAAAATAGCAGACAACATAAACATCTTTGTAAATATCAAACCTAATACATTTCTTGTCCAGTGATAAAACAACTGGTAGAATTATTTAAACACTTTAGATTTTTAAATAATATACATGGCTTTAATTTTTACTGTGTGTATAGCTACATGATGAAATTAATTAAATATTAAGAGGTACTTATGTTGTGATCATTTGTATGTCCTTTGTTCCTGAGTAAAAAAAAAAAAAAAAAAAGGGAAGGAAGGAATCACATTTTTAGGGAAGTTTATAAAATTCATGTTTTCATTTCAGTAACCTAATAGAATGGTGATGACCAGATTTGGTGGCATTTATTACAATTAGTGAATCACTTTGAATTTTAGAATTATTCTTCAAACTAAACTTTCTAAAGAAACATTTGTTTTTAACGGGAGAAAATCTAAAACCCTGCAAGGACTATCTATATTTGTTAACTTAGATTAGAAATGTTCATATTCTTGTTGAGAAATTTGTTATTCATTGTTAGCAGCCTGATTGATGGCCACTGAAGACATTTGAGAGAGTGGATACCAAATTCAGACGGCTGCAAAATTTGTTTAAAATGAGACTTCCCTTTCATTTTTATTCCCTATGATTCTCGCCTTATAGGTTTCTGTTTTCCCCTGATTCTTAAAAGTGTTTAAGGCATGGCTTCCATTTTATGAAGTAAGCATTGATTTGCAACTCTCAGAAATTTAAGCCTTCTTGAAGCAAGTGCTTTAAACTAGAGGGTGTGGGATGGGGGAATTTGAGCAGGCCTCTGTGCCACAGTGAAGAACCTTAACTTGTGGAAGAATGAGAGTGGTGCCTCGACTTCTCCTGGTGCCAAGCACATCATATTGACATGTTCCTCACCAGGGTGACAGTAATTATTAGGTATTCACTGCGAAGGGTTCTGAGGTATGTACATCTTTCTTTCATTGCCACTAGGGCTGAATGGAAATGCCTAGACAATTATCCAAGTTTCTTCCCTTCCCCCCACTTCCCGCCCACCCAGCCTCCCTTCTCCGCGCGCGCGCACACACACACACACACACACACACACACACACACACACACACAAAATTAAAAATAAAAACTTCCCAGCGTGTACCAGCCAGAATATACCACTGTACCTATCTGGTGAAAGGGGATTCTTTTTTTCCCCTGTCCTTTTCTAGATGGGAAGACTTTCTCTCAACACAGTTGACATCTACTAGCTTGCTGACAACCAGAGGAAACTCCGTGTCCCAGAAGGTGACTCAAATTAAAGTGTACCATTGACCTTCCTCCCCAGCCCATCCTTTCCCCGCCCCCACCACTTTTAGCAGGACTAGCAAACTCGGTTTTCTTCTGGATTCCAGCGGCACCCTAAGCTCCACGTGGTGAGGGACATAGACCCTTTGGGGCCACAGGAAAGGCAGCCTGGAGAGCAGCCCCCTGCCCTGCTCTACAGAGGGAGCGCGGGTCACCGCTCTAAAGGTGGAGTGGGCACCCGCCAGGTCTCTCCCTCTGTCTCATGACTGAGTCGTGCAGGGTCTGGCTTTTGGCATCTGCTAAGCGTGGCCGGGTAAGAACAGCTCCCAGGTAAAAAAGCTGCACACGCGAAACGCCGAGTCTGAAAAAACCACCCCCGCCGAGGCGAGGCAGTTGTGAGCGGGATGCCTGAGAAGTGGGAGGTGAATGTCCTCGGGAGGGCCCCCCCGGTGCAGCTTTCCCCGGAGGCTGAGGCTGCTGCCAGCGGGGACATCTGCTTTCTTACACTCCAGCCTGGCTCACCCCGCCCCCTCAGCCCCGGGTTGCGTGGTTATTTTACCAACACGGGGGGAGGGAGAGCTCGAGGAGGTAGAAAAGGGGTGGATAGAAGCTTAGAAGATTTTCTTCCCACTCCCCCCACGTCCCCTCCTTTCGTCACATCTTTTAACCTTCAAGGTAAAGACTTAAGGAAACAATAAGCGTGTCCGCTGGCTCGCAGGCCCGCCGGGGTTCTCGGGCGCGGGGCCTTGCCCCTCTCCATCCTCCCTGAGTCCTTCCCCGAGTCGGGCCGTGCTTCGGCGGTTCGGCTGGGCGCAGGGGCCGGCCGGGCGCGCCCAGCCTGTGGCGCCTCCTCTCCCGGGCTGCTGCCTCGACAGCTGCTTGTAGCTACAGTAATTAGACTGTCAGTGCTTGTTAGAGGAGAGAGGGGAAAACACGCTTCTGACAGCAGATTCCAAGACTCCCCAGTTTGTTAATTTCTAAGAGATCTTTAAAGCATTAATTGAGGTCTCCCCAACTCTCCCCTCCCGTCCCTCTCTGCAACTCCTCCCTTCCCAAAAATATCTTTAGGAGAAGCGAGTTCTCTCGGCGTGGAAGCAGTGTTTCCCGCAAAACTGCCAGCCCGCCCCCCGCTCACGCACAGACACCCAATTTCCCATATACAGATAAATGCACACATGTATACGCGAAAGGTTAACTCGGCGGAGGACTCGCCCAAATAAGCACCGGGATTGCATTTAAAATAATAATAATAAATAAATAAATAAACTAGGAAGGAAAGCGGGGGGAGGGAAGCAGAAGTCGGGAAGAAAAGAGAAAAGCAGCAGGCTGATTACGAGGTGTCAAAACTGCCAGGAGCAAGAAGGTGATAGCAATCAGGGGTGAGAAGAGTGCGGCATTCGTGCGGGGCAACTAATTATCCGTCTCATTTGAGAAGAGCAGCATTTGAGGCAGCAGCGTTCGCCTGCTGAACGGTGACAGATTGGCGCGGAGGAGAGGGGAGGTGTTAAAACAATGGAGCCGGGCGCGCGAGCGCTGCTGCATGCTAATCAGCCCTCCCTCCGCCTGCCTGCCGCGCTCCCTCCTTCCTCCCGGCCTCCCTCCTCCGCGCTCCCTCCTCCCGCCTGCGGCGCTCCCTCCTTTCCAGCGGGCCCCGCGCCGCCGCCGCCACCCGCTTCCTGCTCCCTCGCTTTCCCGCGCGTCCTTCCCGCCGCTGGCGAGTGGAACCCAGCCACCGCCACCGAGTCCCTAGCGGGCCAGGAGCCCCCGCGCGGCCCCCAGCGCCGGCCCGGTGGAGTGCAGCCCCGCGCGGGCTCGCCCGAGGGCTCGGCCTGCGCCGCGCGCCCACTCCCCGGGGCGGTGGGGCGAGGACCCGCGCTCCGGGATCCACGTACTGGGGAAGCGGCCGAAGAGCCTGCGTTCTCACGCCCACTCGCTGTCTGGTGAATCGACCGCGTCGGCCAGCGAGCGCGACTGGGAGTCCAGGCGAATTCAGAAAGGGCTAGGGCCAGCCAGGGGTGAAAAGAGTGACAGGGCCACAAAGGCCAAGAAGGGCTCCAGGACTGAGCGCAGATCTCCTGCCCTGCCCGAGCGTGGCCGCCACCCCGAGGCCTCCAGCCGCCCCCAACCCGCCCTGCAGTGGCCGCGCCCCGCTGGCCTGCGGCGAGTCGGCGAGGTCAGCGCCCCCCGCCACGCCTCGCGCGCTGCGGCTCTTAGACCCCTGGAGCCCCTTTTTTGCCAGAGCTACCGGTCCACGGTTTAAATGATCGCAGCGAAGATACATAAAGGGCCTTAGCATTAGCTGTGCTTCCAAGGCCTGACCTCCTGACCCCAAGACTAGATTAAGGGGCCGTCTGGGCCTCGAGAGTTC